>NC_000013.11:27158106-28408106 GCF_000001405.40 Homo sapiens | reverse complement strand
ATCTAAAAGCTTGTCTTCCAGATACAAGAGAACTTTAGCTGTTTGATGTCACAATCCCAAGTACATATGCAAATGTCTAATCTAGGTATACACATGTGTATATGTGCACATTATATACACTCATACCTGTAATACGAGTGTGTGAAAGATAGCAAGTCTAACGCAAGATTAACATGGGGATGTTATAGTCTAGAAAATGGAGAATATGATAATGAAAAAATAAGGCAAAGTGACTCTCATATAATGACTTTTAAACTTTGTCATTAAGATGTTTCTAATAAAGGAGAAAGTACATAATTTCTCTTTGGCTCAGTTTACTCTACTTATCAATAAGCATTAAAATGTTCATTTATTTTACCTCATGATTATTATAAGGTTATACCTGGTAAAAACTGCAGAAATTCCTTGAGGAATGGTCACCTTTTATTCATTCTTTTTAAATTTTAAATCTTGTAATCTAACTGTAAGACAGACATCTTTAAAAA
This sequence comes from Homo sapiens, assembly GCF_000001405.40. Taxonomy (NCBI): domain Eukaryota; kingdom Metazoa; phylum Chordata; class Mammalia; order Primates; family Hominidae; genus Homo; species Homo sapiens. The sequence continues at coordinate 28,407,621 of NC_000013.11, read as the reverse complement.
CATTTGGGGAAATCTGATATACGGTTTAGGTGCAAACACCACCACGGAATTATTGCTAATTCTCTTAGGTATAAAAGTAGTGTTGTGGTTATATTGGAAAAATTTGCTCATTTTTTAGAGAGATGCACTGAAGTACATAGGGCTAAAATGACAAGATGCCTGAGATTTGTTTTAAAACACAGAAATCCTTCATTTGGCCAGGCTAGAAAAATTTTAAAATAAATAAATAAATAAAATACAGAAGAAAAAAAAGGGGTAGATGAAACCAATGTGACAAAATCTTGATAACTGTGAAATCTGGGTGGCGGGTATATGGGGGTGTATCACACTATTCTCTCTACTTATCGGTGTGTTTGATAATAATAAACAATTAAAGAAAGTAGAAACTCTTAGCAAAAACAACTTCGGGTACCTTGTGCCTGTCTGCATGTGTGCAAATGTTTATGGGGCGCCGACGGCATGCTCGGGCCCTGCTTAGCTATGGGGACAGAGTGAATACGTCGATTTGTCCCCTGTCCTCCTGTAGCTGTTGGCCCAGCGGGGACTCAGAACCATTAAGTCAGCACTTAAAAGGTGGTGAGTACTCTGCAGGAGGACGTTACAGGGCCAGTACCCCTGCAGATGCGATAGTTTAACACTCTGGAGTTCCTTCTCAGCTCAAGGACCAGGGAGGAATAGTAACGGAACGTTTTTCTGACCACATTCCCTTCTGTCTTCCCCTTTTTCTCACTGACTTTAGCCTCTCATTTTCCTCTCACATAAGTCATTCCTGCTCTTGGCTGCTAAAGATGAACCACTCATTTTTTTCTGGAAATGAAGCTTGAAAATTTCACTTAGCCTATAATCCCAGCTACAGGCTGAAGCGGCAGGATTGCTTGAACCCAGAGGTTCGAGGCTGCAGTGACCTATGATTGCACCACTGCACATTAGCCTAGGTGACAGAGTGAGACCCTGTCTCTAATATTAATAATAATAATAATAATAATAATAATAAAATTCCTCTTGGTTTAAAAAATCTGTAGAATCTGCCCAAGACATGTGCAAATTAGAGACCAGCAAGCTTTCTGCTCAAAAAAATTCTAGTCCAGAAAGTCAGAATGCAAAATGGTGAAATGTTTAAAACAGAGAGAGAATTCATGGACCTCAAAGATAAATAACATCAACACCTTTATTTTATAATTAAACACTTGAGGCCTGAGAGCTTGAACAGTTCCCCAAAACTTGAGCAGAGAGAGACTGAATTTAATAACTGTTTCATGATGTTGATTTCCATATGCACTTAATTAGCCCTGGAAAAACTTAGCCATCCAACTGCATATTCTGATTAAAAGCCAGCCTTTTATAGATATAAAATGGTATGATTTCCTTGAGTTTTTTATTCATTAACATAACTTCATTTTTTCCGTGTTTGAATGTTACTTCCACTAAAAACTAAAATCTAGATACTAAATTTTCTAATTTATGCATTTTTATTTAATATTAACATTTACAACGAAAAGGATGTATGGTGACACACTAGTGTGGGGCTTTTTTCAAGTATCAGCCAAATATATTTGCTATTTTTAAGTTTTGAGGATGAATATAGGAAAAAATCTAAGGAAAAGAAGATCACACATAAAATTTGTGACTTTGTTATCTGAGGACTTACACCAAGTTTTCATTTCACCTGTCCCCATTGACTGAACCATGCTGTAAAGCCACATTGTGACAACTTTTTTTTTTAATAGGTGTGACTTTTGTTCCAATAATGAAGAGTCCTTTATCCTGGATGCTGACAGCAACATGGGAAACAGAATTGAGAGCATCACTCAGCGCATGGCAATAATAGAAGGAAAGAATAAGGTATTGTTTGTAAAAATGCGCACTGGGATATTTATTCCACAAATACACTCTCAGCTCCCAATTCTAGGTTTATTGGCACCAGAAGTAATTTAAATGTTCAAACAAAAATTCAGAGAGAAGAAAGACAATATCTGAGCTATGTCTTCATGGAGATACACACAGAGACTACTCAAGCTACCAGTTCCAACATAATGAGTACTCATTCCTAATGGTAGAGATGGCACTGTCCACTTGAACATCAAACTGGTCCACATTGGTGGTTCACAGTCCTGGCTGCCTATTAGAATACTCTACCAATTATTATTATATCCAAATCTCCGGAGTGCAGCCTAGGGCTCGTAAAATCTTCCCAGGTGATTCCAGTACCTAACGGGGATTGAGAATCACTGATGTACATAAAGTGGGATCCCAGTAAGCAAAAGCTAGTGCAAGACTTAGAGCTAAAACTGAATGTTTCTATTTTGTGAAATATCATGTATTTCCCTCTGTCTGCAAGAGCAAAGCCTGAGTTGAGGGGGATATGCAAACACACACAATCTATCAAGATTCCTTGACCTCATCAGCGCACTATTCATTTTATACTCCCCTAACCCCCACTGAAGCTTGGCAATAGCTAACAAGCCTGTCAGCTAGGCAAGTCTCAGTGGATCTCAGACCTAGTGGCTTTTTCCTGTTGAATTAGTAAAGAATACACTTAAAAATCTGCTATTGTCTGGCACAGGGATAGTGATTCTTTTCTTTTCTTTTTTTTTTTTTTTTTGAGATGGAGTCTCACTCTGTCACCCAGGCTGGAGTGCGATGGCGTGATCTCGGCTCACTGCAACCTCTGCCTCCTGGATTCAAGTGATTCTCCTGTCTCAGCCTCCCAAGTAGCTGGGATTACAGGCACCTGCCATCACACCTGGCTAATTTTTGTATTTTTAGTAGAGACAGGGTTTCACCATATTGGCCAGGTTGGTCTCAAACTCCTGACCTCAGGTGATCCACCTGCCTCGGCCTCCCAAAGTGCTGAGATTACAGGCGTGAGTCACTGCACCCAGCCATGATTCTTTTAAAAAGAAAAAACATATCAAGTATCCCCTTGCTGACATGTCTGTTTACATATATATTTCTTGATTTGGAGTAGAGACTGTTAATACAGATTCCACTGCCTGCTTGAGTGTGGGTATGCTTATGTCATCTATTCAGCCGTACACTTTGCACTTGAAGATGACAAAGTAGATGGCATCGTTCCTCATGTATGATTTAACAGTAACAACAAATAACATCTATAATTTTCATTATGTGAAACTTTTTGACATATGCTAATGTCACCATCATTCTTTGGCAGATGAGAGTGGTTATCTCTATTTTAAAGATAAAACAGGGAAGATAAGATGATTAACCCAAAGACAGCTTAAAAGTATAAATGAGAGACTCAAACCAAAGTCTTTCCTTTGCAAAACCTAATGCCCTTATAGCCAAGTAAGCCACTGTAGAAATTAGTCAGAGTGGCAATAGCTTATATGATAACACCAATAGTCTCTTATTAAACACTTAGGAAGTTTTTATAACTATAGCAGTAGCTGTAGGTGGTTTACAACTCTTTTTCTCTGACAGAAATAAGCAGTACTTTAAAACAGTCCGTGATGTATAGCTATTGATAAGAGAGCAGTTTAATGAAATACTTAGAGGAAGTTATATAAACTTGAAAGTTTAATTTGTTCTTTCTTTCTTTCTTTCTTTTTTTTTTTTTTGAGACAAAGAGTCTCACTCTGTTGCTCAGGCTGGAGTGCAGTGGCCCAATCTCAGCTCACGGCAACGTCTGCCTCCCGGGTTCAAGTGATTCCTGTGCCTCAGCCTCCCAAGTAGCTGGGATTACAGGCACACGCCATCACTCCTGGCTAAGTTTTGTATTTCTAGTAGAGACGGAGTTTCACCATGTTGGCCAGGCTGATCTAGAACTCCTGACCCTGTGATCCGCCTGCCTTGGCTTCCCAAAGTTCTGGGATTACAGGCATGAGCCACCACACCCGGCCTTCAGATATTTTTAATAAGGAAACTACCTCAGTTTATTAGCAGTGAACAGCAAATTAGTTGTCACAAAGTACTAGAAAAATGTCAAGATGCCATTCATTGGTTGTGTCAATTCATTTTGCTTTTTCCTGACCATGTCAGGAGGATGTACTGTTAACTGCCGGATATTAACACAAGAATTTATAAGCTTAATTTCAGTGGTAACTTCTAGTGCTATTTTGGTATCCTATCCACAAAAATATACAATAGGAAATGAAATGAAAAATGAGAAAGCTAGGTGAAGTTTCTGGCTAACCCAAACCATGAAGTGGCAACTTGACTCCATATATAATGTAAAAACCTATAAAAATCAGTGGAGGTGGAGTATCAAAACATGCCCATGATAAAAGAACGTCCCAAGATTTTCTCCATGAAGGTTTAAAACAAATTTATTGTCTGGTAATTTTACAGTTACGCAGAAGATTTTAAATATAGACCTCTGCACTTGTGCTACCCAACCTGCCATCAGGAGCCCTGGAGTCAAACTACGACACTTCCTCTCTGTATAACCACATACAAACCAGCTCACCTCTCTCAGCTTGAGTTCTTTCCTCCAAAAAAAACAGAACTAATGATACTTGCCTTAGCTAGTACTTCCTGTTACAAGGATGAAATGAAATAACATAATGAAGGCCAGACGCAGTGCCTCATGCCTGTAATCCCAACACTTTGGTAAGCCGATCACCTACCAAAGTGGCGGGCGGATCACCTGAGGTCAGGAGTTCAATACCAGCCTGGCCAATATGGCAAAACCCCGTCTCTACTAGCAATACAAAAATTAGCCGGGCGTAGTGGTAATCCCAGCTACTCGGAAGGCTGAGGCACAAGAATCGCTTGAACTCAGGAGGTGGAGGTTGCAGTGAGCCAACACTGTGCCACTGCACTCCAGCCTGGGTGACAGAGTGAGACTCTGTCTCAAAAAGTAAATAAATAAATAACATAACGTAACGTAACGTAAAGTAACATAACATAACATAATGAGAAAGCCCTATACAAGTACTACTTTAGTAAAGTGAATGTCATATGTACCCTTATGCAATTCCCTAAACTGATTGTGATCATATACAATGAAGACTTTGTTAAACAATTGTTTGCACTGAAAAAACTTTTAATACTCACACTAAACAAAGTCTCTCTCTCTATATATATAGATATATTTTATATCTATATATATGGTACATATCCCATTAGCAGTTGTAATTGTAATATATTAGACTTTAAATAAAATGATTGAGTTCATATCTTGAATTTAGGAGAATTTAGTAATTTTACTTTTAGCATCTACTAATATATCTTTTTGTGGGTGTGAAAAAATGTATCTGTCATATGATGGTGACAAAATGGAAGTTTTGCTGTTTCTGAATTATATGCAGTGCTTTTTCCTTCACAATTAAAACTGTTTTTATTTTCTATACATTTTTAGAAAGCAAATTAAAGTCCCAGCTTAGACTGCGGTGATCCCTTTATCCACCGTCACATGGTAGCCTGCCCAGCAATGCTACTCCACAGATCAGTGGGGCAGCGATCACACTCACGCTGGAGCACCTTGGATTTTTTTTCTTTGTTTTGTTGTATTTTTTTGTTTAACTTAAGGAAGGGTATAGAGGACAATAAAATTTAGTTTCCTTATTGGCGAGTTTTGGCCCAGATTTGTGAAAAGTGAGTCATCAACTGGAGTTGCTAGTAGCAAATGTGCACTTTCGTATTGTCTAAGTGGTGTTGCCAAACTGTTAGGTTTGTAGATATGGAGTAGGAAGTAGAAGGAACCCCGTGTTAGAAAAAACACACAGGAAATACGTTATCACAGCATTAATTCTGTAAGGTTGGAGAATCATTACCATTTTAATGTGTTAGCAATATTTCCATTGAAATCCTTCTGAGTGTACCTTGAGAAATGTGTCCTGTATGAGACAAATCCATGACAGGAGCAAGAATCCTAACCACAGAATTACAGCTTGTGTTTCAGTTCCCACACACACCCCAATTTTTTCTAAATCTCACGTTCTGTTTTCCCATCAGTTGGCTCAAATGTGCCACCCTGTGTTAATTTTAGATTCTTCCATGACCTTTACACATCTACTTTTATTTCTCAGTGAAACACTTGAAAGGAAGCTATATTAGAAACATCCCGAGATTAAAATCAGTGTTCCATATATAGATGTTTAAAAAACGAGTGCTGGAATTAGGCTGAATGACACATCAGCCCATCCATTCTATTCAGTGAGGTTCAAACAACATTGTAGTAACGAATTACTAATGCTTAGTGAAGGGGAAGGAAGGAAGGAACATGAAAAACTCCAAACTTACAGTACTTGCTGATAGTTTTATGAGCATTCCTGGGTCATACCAAAGAGCCTAGAGAATGGGCTTGAAGGATCTGTCTCTAACATGTAAATCCTTGAGGGCCAGGCCAGGCAACTGGAAGCACCACAAAAAGCAAAAGCAGTAAAAATGAAGAGTAGAAAGCATGAGTCCTTTAAGACTAATATAAAATTTGATAGTCTAATTTTATTTATTTATTTATTTATTTATGTATTTTGGCATGATCTCGGCTCACTGCAACCTCTGCTTCTCATGTTCAAGCGATTCTCCTGCCTCAACCTCCCAAGTAGCTGGGACTACAGGCGCCTGCCACCATGCCCAGCTAATTTTTGTATTTATAGTAGAGACAGGGTTTCGTCTTGTTAGCCAGGCTGATCTTGAACTCCTGACCTCAGGTGATCCACTCACCTCTGCCTTCCAAAGTGCTGGGATTACAGGCCTGAGCCGCCGCATCAGGCCTAATAGTCTAATTTTATTTCAGCACTTCTGCTTTTTTCTCTTCCTCAGTCCTCTTTCATTTATTTTCAATTGTGGAAAATGAAAACTAATTATAGCACTAATACAAGTAGATATCCTTAAGAATTTATTTTTGCATACCTTATAGAATAAATGATTATAATTTCAAACGCACAACTCAAATTCTTGGTTACTTTCTCTTTGAAAGTATTTAGTTGATATTGCATGCCCTAACTGTGATGCTATTTTCGTTTTTTTCCCTTAACACCATAGTATTTGGATATAAGGACTGAGGAACAGATTTTTTCCTTTATTCAGAAGACTCAGACATTGAAACTCACTGTCTCATGCAAAGCTGCCTTCTAGTCCAGCCAGACTACACTGATCTACAATTTGCACCTGAGCTCCTTTCTCTGGCCCTATAAAGTTTAAATTTTAATTGTCAAATAATTTTATTTTTAATGAGAAAATGTTTGAATTTATAATTTAAAAATATATCCCCTGAAAGAGAAGTACTCTAGAAATGAGATAAATTTTAATAAAACTGATCATAGGATATGTTTCACCTTATTTTTAACTTTTCTTCTTTAGTGATAACCATTGTATTTATCAAATATATTTTCAAACCACATAACAACAGTTGAAGAGCAGCTTGCAGCTTATGTAAAATGTCATCAGAGAAGCCAACTAGTATTTCTGTAAATAGTAGTAGTATTTAATTTATGTTACCCATCTCTGCGGATTAAAGGAAGTATTCTCAAGGAAAAATTCAATTAAAGGTGTAGACAGAATTTTGCCAATAGATCTGTGTTATTCAACTTAAAGAGTCTCAAGGCGAGAAGCAATCTGGTGTAGAGATTAGGAGCATAGGCGCGGAGGCAGACACACCTGAGCATAAATTCTGCCCAGGCCTGTCTGTGGTCCTTTGCATCTTTGGGTGAATCATCTAATCTCTCGGAACCTCAGTTGTCCTACCTGTAGAATAGGGTAATATACCCATCTCACAGGGTTTTGGGGAGGATTAAATGAGACAATTCCTGTAAAGTGCCTTGCATGCTGCCTGGTGCATTGTAAGGCATACATAAAGGTTCGCAGAAACAAAGAAATAATGTAAACTCCCATCAACGTTGTTTTCTGCTTCTATTTTAATAGAAGCTTTGGAGACATGATTTCTGGGGCAGGCTTGACTACGAGTAATGTGTCTTGTTTGGAAGGTGTCATTCACACAAAAGAAGAAAAATTCAATACATTTCTGTCTCCATCTTGTGACCCGGATTCATTTCACTTCGGGGCACCTCAGTTTTATTCTCTGATTATACATAAATTTGGACCTATTTGACTATTTGTTGGGGACTTGTAAAATGGCCACGGCCATTCCCAGGTTACCTACACAGGTCTTAAATGTGGCAAATGTATACATCTGACTTGATTTTCCCTTGCCACGAAACCCAGTTCTTGTTCTCGGTTGCTCTAAGTTCAATGAAATCAAAATCTTTTAAATAAAAACCCAAACATGACTCATAGATGCAGATAAATGCTGTCCATAATTTCAAACACTCCCAAGCCAACAGAAATGGGTTTTTCACTTACTTACTGAGCAACAATTAATCTGAGAATCTAAGTAAGTTTCTCCTGAGGCCCATTAGGATAAACACTTGAGAACTAACTTCATAAAAAAAACAGTGCTGGAGCTGACACCCCAGCTTAAAAAGGCTTCATCTGAGCTCCTTGTTTCTGAATTTTTTGCATACTGCTTTGAAGGGTCTAAGCTTCCTGAGACAATGTAAGGGAGTCAGAGTCGTATTTGACGATCTCTCCTGTCTTCCAGCTTCCACCAGCTAACAGTTCTTTCATGTTGCCACCTACAAGCTTCTCTTCCAACTACTTCCATTTCCTTCCGTGACTCTAAACGGGTGGGTACAACAATTACAAGGAAATGGCTATTCAGAATTTTTTATGTCCCACCTCTTAAAAAGATTCATCATCAAAATAAGAAAAGGGACACCTGAGCTCTCTTTCGTACACTTTCCCATGGATTATTTGCCTTCATATGCGCTTTCCTTGCAAAAGAGAGAATAATTTTTGTATGATCTTCAAGGAGGGAAATTCTTCTCTATCACCTTAAAGAATGATAATGTTAAGGGAGGGATTGTGTCATATTCATCTCTGTCTCTCTTACAACATCTGGGCAATGCCTTGATAATCACTCAATAAATGTCTGCTAAATTGTCTGCCACATATTGCAGACACTTTCATTACCAATAATTTCAATAATACACAGGGAGTATATGGGTAGGTGTAATTAAGCAGATCCTTCCAACAAACAGAAGAGAAAGCACTGTGTACTACTCACTATACCACAGTGAAAATTGTAGAGAATTTGGACCAATGAATTTGCTGGCTAAAAACATGAGGAACATGTGTTTAAGTCTTCCTGATCTGTAGATTAAAGACAGAAATACCTTAATTTATTAGATGGGATAAGAGAACACAACTAAAGTGCCTAGCACATTACTTAGAAACTCAAGAAAATGTTAGGACTCTCTCCTACAGCCAAACCACTTGTAGAGTATGTCCACCACCTTGGAAAGTCAGCTGTCACATTTCAGCCTTACATTACTTTAGCCTGTAAGTCACTTGTCATTATACTTCAGCAAGGACACTCTATTAGTCTGGAATCATTTGCACAGCCTCTGCAATTTCAAAGCCCATAACCAGTTATTTTTGTCCTAGGACATAGGCTGCAAAGATTTATAAGTAACTGGACTAACTTTTCTTTTCCATAATTTTAAGTATGAGAAACTAGCTTTCTCATTTTTTTCATATAGATTATACACTACTTTTTAATGCAAGCTTGGGTTAAATTTAAGAATGTTTAACAATTTGTTTCATATTGCCAATTTTTTTTCTTTGGAAGAATGCAAGTCTTTAAGTTGTCTAAAATTTTGTTTCATTACTTTTTAGACATCAGAATTTGGAAAGTGCTTTCAAGTTCATGCAATTTTGACTGCTAATGTTTCTTTAGGGACTAAGTTGTCAAATAATAGCACTAAAGTCTAGTGGAACAATATAATTGCATTAATTCATAATTTAAATTTTCATCTTCTAGATTAGGAATAGATACTTAATTTATTAAGAGAAATTAGGTAATTTACACACACACACACACACACACACACACACACACACACACACACGGTCTCCTTCAGGACCATCCAGTGCTGCATGCCACATTATTTGAGCATAGAAAAAAAGTTTCAAGCCAGGTACAGTGGCATGTGCCTGTTGTCCCAGCTACTTGGGAGACAAAAGCGGGAAAACTGCTTGAGCCCAGAAGTTCAAGGCCAGCCTGGGCAACATAGCAAGACCCCATTTCTTAAAAAAAAAAAAGTTTCAGCCAAACATTATCTTCTGTCCTTGCTCACTTAACATGCCTGTTATAGAACCAAACAGCAGAGAAGGCTCCTGTTATAACTGGCATCTATGCTCTCAGGTCACCCAAACAAAAGGGAAGGCCTCAGCCTCACCTGTTCCTCTCATTGATGTGGAACTGACCACCTCATAGGGTAGGACGTGCAGTCCCACATCTCAGCTTCAGGTCTGTAATTGTTACGCCAGCAGCACGAGATAAATAAGCCTGAAACCCTCATATGAGTCGGATGTCATAGGCCCCGGTCTCCTGAGGACCTGCTTTCCTGTTATTTTTCCATTCTTGTTGGGGCTCGGCAAGGGGAGAGCCTTCTGGTAACCACCACCTATGCAATACTCTCTTTGCAGAATGAATGGAGTAGCTGAATCATTTCAACCTCAGAAGTAGCTTGGGGTGTTCAATTAGTTATTTGTCCTGTTGCTAGCTAAAGTTTCCTTTTCTTTTGCAGATGGCTAGCACCTTGGTTGTGGCTGACTCTAGAATTTCTGGAATCTACATTTGCATAGCTTCCAATAAAGTTGGGACTGTGGGAAGAAACATAAGCTTTTATATCACAGGTAAGCCACACATCCTATAACCAGAGACAGCCTGGTGACTTCATTCTCTCTTCAGTCTTGTTTGCTTTTAGTGCATTTATAGCTTGAGTGATTTTTTTTTAATTCCATAGAATTGTCAAACTTTGAGTGCCTTCATCCTTGCTCTCAGGAATAGAATTCTACCTCATCGGATCTCGTAAGGAGTTATTTCCCTGTATTCTCTTTTAGAGTTATTTGTGTTTGTCTCCCTCCCAGACTGGATTATGAATTGGGAATCTTGTATGCTCATTTTTTCATTCCCTTCAGTACCTAGCACAGGGTCTGGTACATAGCAGTTCAATACCAATCAAGGAAACCAATTATAATGCATATAATATGATGACATCGTTTTTGGTTTTGTTTTTGTTTTAACCAAAAGGTTAATTTTTTTACAACTTAGGTAATTTAGACTTTTTGGGGAATGAGGCTCTGTAGCAATCTGAAACAGAGCTTTATTAACAATAGTTAATGTGCTATTTTTTGATAGCATTTAAGAATTTTTAGCCTTAAATATGATGGTCTCTGCAAATCTTAAAAACCTCCAAGGTACACAAATGGCACTCCCTATGTCCCTCAATGGGTACAGGAAGGAAGTAAGTAGCTCAAAGTATAAAAACAATTGCCTGGCTCCACACTCCCCCAATTTCTGAGGAAACATGGGCAGTAAGCCAACTTTCTGGAAACTTCTCACTGCCCGGGGCAGGCTGCAGAAATTGCCAAAAGTTCTCCAGAAAGAAATAGACATGTCCAATTCCATGACACATATGTGTTGTCAGATCACAGGGGCCTCTGGCAAGTTAGCCAAGCCCCAGAGAAGCTGTGCCATGGGAGATATCCCTGAGTAGATTCTCATAGAACGTCAGGGCTGTCAGGGATTCTAGAGGCTATTCTGCATCATAGCTCTTGTATTTTCCAGATGAGCAAATGGGATTTGGACTAATTAAATACAAAGGTTTGCACTGTCCTTTATATTTGGTTGGAAACAAGTTACTGTCTCAACCCATAGTCGTAGTATGTCTGATTTAGAATACAAAAGACTGAAAAATTCCTGTTTTGTTCTGAACATTCAATAACTTTGTAACAGTTTAATCAGCACTGTTAAATGGTACAGTTCAACTCTACTGAGCACTTGGAGGAACATCAATGAAGTCCTGTCTTTCTAGGAACAGGTTTCTAACACCAAGGAAACAAACAAGAAATGTCAAATTACATATATCCTAGTATCAAAATTTATGTGCAGAGGTAATGTGACAGGTGAGCTTGCTTTCTAAAGCCACCACTGTCCAATAGAGATATAATATAAGCCACAAATACCATTTAAAACTTTCTAGTAACCACGTTTTTTTAAAAGTAAAATTAATTTTATTTAACCCAATATATCCAAACTATTGTGATTTCAATATGTAATCAGTATTTTTTAAAAATATTACACTGCTTCAGTTTTTACACTTAAATCAATTTAAATAAAATCAAATAAACTGAATATGCTTCAGTTCCTCTGACACAGTAGCCACATTTCAAGTGCTCAAAAGCCACATGTGGCTCACAGTTACCATATTGGACAGTGCAGCTGTAAGCCTCTGAGAAGGAAGCAGGACCTGAACAGGAAGAGAGAAGGTGGGATTTGAATAGGTGGAGAGAAGAAAACAGACTTGCCCTGACATTTTCAGAGCCAAGACAAGAGTACCAGTGGAGGCCCACAAACCATACGTCTAACTACTGACAAGTTCTACATCAAGCAAACAAGCCATTAAATACCTTTTAGCCCCCTATGGACAAATATACTTTCATGATGACCTGAGAGGTCAGGATCAATTTAGAGCTCTGAGACTACTCAGATTCCAGAGCAGATTGTGGCAGCACCTGGCCGTGCAGAAAAACTAAATCACCCACCTCCCCTCTCCGCCCCTTACCCTGTCCACACTGCAAGGGGCCATGCACCATGTGTGGTGTCTCCCAGCCCACACATCTAAGCTCTCCCCATGCCCCTCACAGATAGTCTCCTTTGGCCACTGCCTGGACAGACCCAAAGGTGTGAATACTGACAAGCAGTCTGATCTCAGGAGGCCAGACCTAGGGAAGAGCCAACCTAGAAGCAGATTTAAATCAGCCTTATAGGGAATTCTGAGATCCCAGGGACCTGGATCATGATATAGGAATGGAGTGACACAGGCTGTCGGTAGGCATGCTCACTTGGCCCCATAAACTCTTCACATTGTGGGAAGAGCTGCGACCAGAACAGAGCTGCGACAGGGATCCTTCTTGCCTGGGTCTGAGGGCAGTACTGGAAGAGGATGTGCTAAGAGAAAAGGGGAACATCATGCTCACTTCCTTATTAATCACTGTTCCCAATGAAAGCTAACTGATGCCTAGCATTAGTCACAGCACCAACCTCTGGCTAGCCCAGAGTCTCATCGCTGCATCATATTTCTACCCATGGTGTTGTTGCTGAAAGGGCCCAAGTTGATAAAGGTGATCTCCTGCTGAATTCAGGCAGAAATTCCCTCCTACCTCTCACCATATTGTACAATGTATAACCATGGCGGGGTGGAAACCTCTTCTAGATCCCAAGGCTTATCCATACAAAATGAGAATTCGATTCAGACATACCTACTTGAAGCTCACAGTTCTTTTCCTCTAGAAATCCAAGAGCTTTAACTTTAAAACTGACACAAGTCCAGTCAACCAAGCCCTCATTGCCTGGAATATACTTTCCCTTAATCCTTTTCTACCAGTCCTGAAAAGTTCTGGTTTTGATTGTGATATTAGGTTAACTTGCTTACGTTCATTATTAGTTTTTAAATAATTATTATCTTTCTCTCACTCAAATCTTTGTCACTAGAGATGAGAGTAAAGACTCATGAATGTTGTACCTCATATGTTTATTTTTTGAAAAAAATGAACATATATTTGTTCAGTGTTTATACTTGACTCAGTGAGGGTAATGCTTTAAAAGTGCCTGTCTAAAATTTTAACGCTCTTCTTATCTAGATTTGGATCTTTACTGGTCCTCATTTCAATCCTGTTGCCCCTTCTTTAAAATACAGTTACTTGGGGCCAAGCACAATGGCTCACGCCTGTCATCCCAGCACTTTGGGAGGCTGAGATGGGAAGATTGCTTGAGCACAAGAGTTTGAGACCAGCCTGGGAAACATGGCAAAATCCTGTCTCTACAAAAAATACAAAAACTAGCTAGGCCTGCTGGCACGTGCCTGTATTCCCACCTACTTGGGAGGCTGAGGTGGGAAGATCACTTGAGCCCAGGAGGTCGAGGCTGCAGTGAGCCATGATGGCACCACCATGCTCCAGCCTGAGTGTCAGAGCGAGAGCCTGCCTCAAAACAACAACAACAACAAAAACAAACACAAAAATTTTTTTGAGTTGCCTTCCAAATTGATGAAAATGGTAAACTGTGGCCATTAGAATCCTTGACCGCTTCGACTCCAAACTTTGGCACACACTTGTACATAGCATCCACTTGAAACAAGCAGAACTTCCTGGTAACCATTCACTCTCTTTTTAAGTAATATTTCCACTCTTCGGTGGCAGTAGAGCCTTCTTTATTTTTACCCAACAAATGACATCCCTGGCGTCCTTTTAAATTCCTATGCTTGTCCCTTTCATGAACTTAATGCACATGCCTGATCCAATTGAGTTGAAATATCTACCCCCAAGTATGCACCTTTATAAATAGATGACACTTTCGTCTAACCCTGGGTTGAATGCCTCTTCTGAGCAAGGGTTGATTCTTCTCCATGACACCTCATAAGATGCCATGGATGTGATAATATGTTAGATGGATGAGTATTATTTGGTAATGATGATGACTGTGCTGAATTCGCCACAGATACTTAAGTGTGGGAAGATTTCTTGTTTTCACTTTGAGGGTTAGAAGGCAATTCTTTCTTGGGTCTGTTTTTGTACTCAGACTAAAAAAAAAAGTCAACATGAATTAAGGAGAAAAATCCCTCTGGGATTTTTATTTATCATCTTCCATGGATCAAAAGAGAATACCAAAGGGGTGAGACTGAGAAATAGTCATTTCTAAAAGGCTGTCTGATAACATAACAAATTAGCTTCAGTGACCATGTCCCCTATATAAGAAACAGGCCTCAAAACGAATTTGGTTCTTTGCTTTTCCTATGTGTGTGTTTTTGCTGTTTTGCTGGCACTCAGCATGACTATGGGTGTGTTAGCAATTACTGAGGGTGAAACAGGAACAGCACTGCCTTATCTCCCTGGTTTCCCAATGTCACTAAATGCATTTTATTTTGAGATTCCTGGTGGTGCTTGGCAAAGATAAACAAAATCTTCCATCAGGAAACCTGTGAGCTATTTCCACAGGAAGTTTCAAATCACTAAAGTAAATAGAAACTCTCTACACGATCTCAATGGTGTTACTTGGGCTCACTTGGGTTCTAACTACCAGGATGAGAGCTCATAAATGGAAAGTCTGTGGTCTTGTAAGAGTTGATTGCAACCAGTGCACAATACCTCTGCTCTACTATCTGTGTAAAAGTTGATGGCTGATGTTTTACTCCTCATGCTTGGAAAATGGCCCAAATATAAAAAGATGCTGAATTAGAGCAACTATTTCTGACACCTTATTGTTATCTTAAAAGTGACTGTCAGCTGCCCCTCCTGCATCTTCTGGCACATTCTTAGATTTTCATTTTAAAAGCAGGAAAACCTCCACTGGTATCCTCTCTCCTCAGCCACTGACGGCTTCGTAAGCCACTGTTACGCCCTGCTCCCAGGTTCCAAATGAATACTTTGGCATTTCTTCAGACGTGACACTTTATAATAAAGCCAAAGCTCAGAAAAATCAGAAAAACAAGCAAAGTGAGATTTAGGAAAGAGTTGATATGATATCTAATTTTGGACTATTGTCCCCTTAACGTTTAAAGGTTTCTTTATAGCTTTGTGTGCAAAGTATAATAATAATAATAGCATAACATAATGCTTTTCATCTTCAAAGCACTTTGTAAGATGTTGGCCCAAATTCTTTGCTCAAATGCAGATACACCACTAGTAATAAGCAATGGGAAGGTTTTGAGAGCGGGTCAGTTCAGGGCCGGCAGACTTTTTAAAATCCTCCCGTGAGACTGGGCCAAAATGATACTAAGAAATTCTCAGCCCCAAAGTGAACTGATGGCCCAGGTTAGGCATGCGGAGGGGAAGAGCTCATGGGGTGTTGACAGAGACACCTGGGAGATGGAGATGAAGGTGCCCAAAATATCTGAGACAGGTCTCAGTCAATTTAGGAAGTTTATTTTGCCAAAGTTAAGGACACATGTCTGTGACACAGCCTCAGGAGGTCCTGACAACATGTGCCCAAGGTGGCGATTGAGGTACAGCTTGGTTTTATACATTTCAAGGAGACATGAGACATCAATCAATATATGTAAGATGTACACTGGTTCCGCCTGGAAAGGCAGGACAACTCGAAGTGGGGAGGGGGCTTCCAGGTCATAGATAGGTGAGAGAAAAACGGTTGCATTCTTTTGAGTTTCTGATTAGCCTTTCCAAAGGAGGCAATAAGGTATGCATTTGTCTCAGAGAGCAGAGGGATGACTTTGAAGAGAATGGGAGGCAGGTTTGTCGTAAGCAGTTCTCAACTTGACTTTTCCCTTTAGCTTAGTGATTTTGGGGTCCCAAGACTTATTTTCTTATAACAAAGATTAGCTGGGAATCGACATTGGAGAAAATGGCTTTTAATGACATAGCCACCTTCAGAACATGTTTAAAATATGTTAGAGAGTAAATTTGATTTTTAAAATTATTCTCTTTACCCCTCTATCACCCCCATTTTAGAATCTGGCAACTCTTCCAGATTAGTTGTCCGCATTTTCAGAAGAAATCTTTGCTCTCTCAGGTCTGAATAGAACCATCCCCATAAAAGAAGTCCTGAGTAAGTCAGCGGGCTCCTCTCTGGCCCACTGTGCCACTGGCCCACTGTGGTCTTTGCTGGACCAGGGCAAGTAATCTGGGACAGGAGCAGGAGGAGGATAGTGAATAACAGTTGCTTCTCACTGCAAAAGTCTAGGACTAAAGTGGAATTGATTGGCACTTTACCTAGGACTTCCTATTCTCACTTGTTCGCAAACTATTTTGGATAAGTTTGACCGTAAGTGTGCCTTTGGTTTTTAGGATGAATTGCTCTTATGTTACTTCACTATTTTGCCCACTTGCCAGTGTCACTTGCCAGTAGGAATACTGTACATGATTTTAAAAATAGGAAATGAGGCCAGGTGCAGTGGCTCATGCCTGTAATCCCAGCACTTTGGGAGGCCGAGGAGCATGGATCACCTGAGGCCAGTAATTCGAGATCAGCCTGGCCAACATGGTGAAATATCACCCCCACCAAAAAGTACAAAAATTAGCCCAGCGTGGTGATGCACGCCTGTAATTCCAGCTACTCTAGAAGCTGAGGCAGGAGAATCGCTTGAACCCTGGAGGTGGAGGTTGCAGTGAGCTGAGATCATGCCACAGCACTCCAGCCTGGGCAACATAGCAAGACCCTGATTCAAAAAAAAAGGGAAATAAAGTTAACAACCAAGTTGGAGAAAATATGCCACTTTGAAGAGCAACTTCACGTGAATCAGGAGAAAATGCCATCCTAATAACTATTCTGTTTTGCATTTCCTACCTCACTTCTGATGGAATGAACTTAGTTGATTCCCACCTGCTGTGTTTGCTCATTTACCCCAAATACTCATCCTTTTTAATGTGGATACTGAGATAATTTGTGCACGAACAATTCTTAAGATCTTTGAATATCTCATTAAAAGACACTGATTTTTCTGTGAACTGAAGTTCTTTATTCTTATTTTATAGATGTGCCAAATGGGTTTCATGTTAACTTGGAAAAAATGCCGACGGAAGGAGAGGACCTGAAACTGTCTTGCACAGTTAACAAGTTCTTATACAGAGACGTTACTTGGATTTTACTGCGGACAGTTAATAACAGAACAATGCACTACAGTATTAGCAAGCAAAAAATGGCCATCACTAAGGAGCACTCCATCACTCTTAATCTTACCATCATGAATGTTTCCCTGCAAGATTCAGGCACCTATGCCTGCAGAGCCAGGAATGTATACACAGGGGAAGAAATCCTCCAGAAGAAAGAAATTACAATCAGAGGTGAGCACTGCAACAAAAAGGCTGTTTTCTCTCGGATCTCCAAATTTAAAAGCACAAGGAATGATTGTACCACACAAAGTAATGTAAAACATTAAAGGACTCATTAAAAAGTAACAGTTGTCTCATATCATCTTGATTTATTGTCACTGTTGCTAACTTTCAGGCTCGGAGGAGATGCTCCTCCCAAAATGAGTTCGGAGATGATAGCAGTAATAATGAGACCCCCGGGCCCCAGCTCTGGGCCCCCCATTCAGGCCGAGGGGGCTGCTCCGGGGGGCCGACTTGGTGCACGTTTGGATTTGGAGGATCCCTGCACTGCCTTCTCTGTGTTTGTTGCTCTTGCTGTTTTCTCCTGCCTGATAAACAACAACTTGGGATGATCCTTTCCTTCCATTTTGATGCCAACCTCTTTTTATTTTTAAGTGTTGAAGCTGCACAAACTGAATAATTTAAACAAATGCTGGTTTCTGCCAAAGATGGACACGAATAAGTTAATTTTCCAGCTCAGAATGAGTACAGTTGAATTTGAGACTCTGTCGGACTTCTGCCTGGTTTTATTTGGGACTATTTCATCTGCTCTTGATTTGTAAATAGCACCTGGATAGCAAGTTATAATGCTTATTTATTTGAAAATGCTTTTTTTTTTTTTACGTTAAGCACATTTATCTTGAACTGGAGCTTCTAAAATGGGCCCCAGGGGTGCAAGATGTTGGTGTAATTCAGAGATAGTAAAGGTTTATCGCAGTGTGAATTATAAGAGTCCATCCAAATCAACGTCCCCTCCCTCCTCTCATGCGATCCAGGTAATTATGCAGTTAGTGCCACAGTAGACTAGCCTAGCAAAGGGTTTGCTCCTTGCTGTCTCTGACTGCACCACACAGCTATTGATGGCAGCTGAAAGAAAGTGGATCATGCCTTAATTTTAAATATTCCTGTCCTCTGGTTATTATTTTAAGGAACTTCATCATGTTAAAATGACAGCATTCAAAGGTGTACCACAATCAATTTATCAAGGAAATAAAGGCTATTGTAACCAGAGATTTAATGCATTCTTCTAAATGTAAATTTAAAATTTGCCCTTTAAAAAAGTCCACTTTCCCCATATGCAAATGTTAATAGGATTTTTATGGGGATTAAGAAGCGGCAAAACTACAGAAGCAGAATTCAAAGTAATTTAAAAAATACACACCAGTTTTAAATCAAGAGAAGTTGTAATCTCTTGTTTTAAGCTTGCGTTTGAGGGAAAATGACTTTTTCACCAATTTAATATGCATTGTTCTGTTGTTTTTATTTATGATTGATCATTATATGTGACTTGCATAAACTATTTAAAAAAAAAAACTATAATGACCAAAATAGCCATGGCTGAGAAACACAGTGGCTGGGCAGTTCAATAGGAGGTGACAATATGACAACTTCTCAAGCTTGGGAACTCACCAGACTGTTTCCTCCTTTAGGTAACAGATTCTGTCCCACGGCTAAACTTGTCTTTCACGTGGGAATTGCTTTTGTCAAACGTGAAAGAGTAAACAATAGCATTTCCCCAGAATGCCAGTTTTATGGAGCCCCAAATGCTCTGAAAACAATTAGTAACCTGGAAGTTGTCAGCCCAAAGGAAAGAAAAATCAATTGTATCTTGAAATTTTACCTATGGCTCTTTGGCCTGGCTTCTTTGTTCATTATAAGTTAGTGTGTTCCTTCAGGAAACAATGCCTTAATACCATAGAACATGGGGGCCTTAATAGTTGCTAACATTAAAAAAGCAAACAGAATGATTGAGGGATCCTTATGAAAACAAAATGGTGAATTGGACATGCAGAACCTACCATTTCCTTCCCCTGTTTGCAATTTTTGTGGGGAGGGGAGGATGTTAGTATTTACAAAAGATGATTTTAAGAACTTCCAAGAGATGAGTTTAAGAATTCCATAGAGTATTAGTTGTTCACTGTGTAATTAATCCTTCCGGAGAGTCTTTTTTTTTTTTTTTAAAGAAACTTTTGGGTGGGTTTTGTTTTTTATTAGTTACCCTAGGGGTATGTTACCCTGGGGTATGAAGGGAGGTGAAGATAACGGAGGGGGGAGAAAAAAAAAAGGAGAAAAAAGGAGCCTAAAATGGGGAATAATTGAAATGGAACAGGGGGTGTGAGGCTGGTTCCTCAGTCCCCATTCCAAACGGAGGATAGAAGCTGTGTATTTATGTGACCTGGCAGATCTCTGGGGCCATAACACTGAAAAGTGAAAGAACCTGGTGGGCAGCTATCTTTGGCTACTGATAACCAGCAGAAATGTCTGTTAATTCTGATTTTCTCAATTTGAAGGGATCAGCTACACTGTTAAATTTTGGAAAGCCACTACCTACTTCCATCAAGTAACTTAGGTTTCGAAATATGGGTTCAACGCACCTCCCTTATTCAAAATGTCAAAATAGATTATTATAATGTATAAAGTAAGAATTGACAAAATATGATTCTTGGGTTGATTGGTCATTTAGAAACTAGCCAAAAGTGAGACTTTTAATGTAGAACATTTTTCAGAAATGGGTACAAAGAAAAATGCATATTACTGTATATTTCAGAGTGTTTATGTGAACCTTGTATTTAATTGAGAGTCCCATGTACGTTCTGCAGCCTTTTTGCTGCTTCTATCATCTGAAGTTTGTGTAGTACAAATAAGGCCTTTGGGATTCTTAATGACATTTATGTTAAAATGTTCTCTTCTCTTTAAACACCGTTTTCCAATCCACCTGTCAGGGAGTCCAAATCGTGTCTGTGTTGATGATGCTATACTTTGTAGCTAGAAAAACAATTTTAGTGTTGTGGGCTCTGTATTCAGACTTCCTTTTTACAAGACCGATGGGCAGTGATAGATTATTTTATCATATTTAATGCATGGGAAATAGTGTGCTGAGGAAGCTATTAAAAGTATAACTCAGTGAATTGGGTCTGAGTTTTAAATGAGATATTTCAAAATTGGCTTGCCACTGTAAAAGCGACTAAATAATAATATGATACTGTTCTTTATGATCTTGTCATGTTTCACTGATATGTTTGGGGTCTTCACTATGTAAAAAATGTCAAAATTGTAATGAGCAAGCATGTACAAGTAGTCGTAAATCAAAGGTTTTAAACAGGACTGCATTTTCAATTAGGAAAAGCTGTTTGGCAGATAGCATCCAATGCAAAAACAGAAATATCGTAACGTTCTGCTTAGTGGGCAAGATAAGATAGGAAAGACATGCTCAAAGAGGCAAAAGAATCATTGCTATCATTCATTCTACACTAGTTTGAAGAAGTTTTTGTACATCAGAGCACTTCCTTCAGCACACTTTTTTGCCTTCAGATTTCATTTTTTATAAAATGAGAAGACTAATGATAAACTGTAGAAATCAAAATTTATTGAGAAATCTGTTTCTCCTAACAGATAGTAACCCTGCCATGATATACTACTTCAACAATGTTATAAAATTTATGTGATAATATACATTTTAACCTGGGATTTCTAAATTGCTTTAACAAATGCTAATCCTGAGAGTTGCCCTGCAGGACTCAAAAGGGAAAGGTTTTGGGACGTGGCAGAACCCTGCAGGGACATGGAATTAAGGCCATTGCAATGTATCATCTTTGTAGCATTGTCATCACTCCTAAGCTGCCTTCACAGTTTTAGTACACTAAGATGAGGAAATCGAAAATGGGCAGAGAAAGCTCATACTGTATAATTGAAGACAGTGACAGAGAACGTGTCAGTTATGCCAAAACTCTTTTGATTTCTGTTCCAGGATTTCCAACAAGAGGGGAAAGGAATGACTTGGGAGGGTGGGAAAGACATTAGGAGTTGTTTTTATTTTTTACCTTGGAAGCTTTAGCTACCAATCCAGTACCCTCCTAACTAGAATGTATACACATCAGCAGGACTGACTGACTACTTCATTAGAGATATACTGTACTCATTGGGGGCCTTGGGGGTACTGCTGTTCTTATGTGGGATTTTAATGTTGTAATGTATTGCATCTTAATGTATTGAATTCATTTTGTTGTACTATATTGGTTGGCATTTTATTAAAATAAATTGTATTGTATCATATTTGTATGTTTTAAGAGAAAATAATATAAAATACAATATTTGTACTATTATATAGTGCAAAAACTACAAATCTGTGCCTCTGCCTCTTGAATTAATTCTTTGGTTGCTTGCATTTGGGAAGGGAATGGAGAAAGGAAAGAACCAATAAAGCTTTCAAAGTTCAAGAAATTCTCCTGTTTGGTCTGCTGCCTTACAACTTAGGTTACTGACAGTTGAGTAACACAAACACGCCCCCACAAATACATCAATCAAAACTCACACAAAATTATATTAGCCTATCACTACAGCACTATATATTTATATAAAAATCATTACAAGACTATACACAAAATCATGTTTTTGATTTATAGCTTCTAAACTATTATGCAAAATCCTTGAGTTTTAGAAAAGCTCCTCTCAAAAAAAGGAAGGAAACTAGCTAGCTAGGCAAAAGCCTTTGTATTGAAATCTAAAAATACAAAATCTAGTCCTTGATTTCACTGTGTTGTAATAAATTTCAATTTATCGTAGCATCTTATTAAAGTAGAAGCAGCAGGTTAATGATTGAAGAGAAAGTGAACAAATGAAAATGAAACCTAATAGTTGAGTTTTGCTGTTTCTCTGTATATTTTAAATGTTGATATGCATAGACAATACAAGAATAAAGTTGACGAGTAATCACAGCTCCCTTTCTTTCTTCACTAGATCAGGAAGCACCATACCTCCTGCGAAACCTCAGTGATCACACAGTGGCCATCAGCAGTTCCACCACTTTAGACTGTCATGCTAATGGTGTCCCCGAGCCTCAGATCACTTGGTTTAAAAACAACCACAAAATACAACAAGAGCCTGGTAAGAGACTTTTTTTTCTTCCATTTATTATTTCTCATCTTTCATCAGCCCCCCTTTCCCTTAACAGTCCCGTCACCTGCTTCCAGTATGTATAGACCTACTTGCTGATAGAGCCCCAAACACTGGGATCTGGTTCATGCTGATAGCAATGTCCAGTGAGGAATATTTGGGCCAGTTCCTATGCAGACCATATTCCTAACCCATAGAAAGATCCTGCAGAATCTATTCAGCTGGAAGTCTTTAAATAGTGCATTCAGAAAGAAATGAGAAGAGCCATGTAGAAAATGATTCAGTTCACCATGACGGCTGGGAAAGTGAGCAGTTAGTTTCTTGGCTTTGAGGTATTGTAGAACTTGGAACACCTGGCATATGTGAAGTTCAGAAAAGTAGATTTATAATCTCGTTTTCTTTCTTTCTTTTTTTTTTTTTTTTTTTTGAGATGGAGTCTCACTCTGTCAACCAGGCTGGAGTACAGTGACACCATCTTGGCTCACTGCAACCTCCTCCTCCTGGGTTCAAGCTATTCTCCTACCTCAACCATCCAAGTAGCTGGGCAAGTAGTTGGGACTACAGGCATGTGCTGTCACCATGCCAGGCTAATTTTTGTATTTTTAATAGAGACAAGGTTTCACCATGTTGGCCAGGCTGGTCTCAAACTCCTGACCTCAGGTAATCCACCTGCCTTGGCCTCCCAAAGTGCTGGGATTATAGGCGCATGCCACTGCGTCTGGCCAGTTTATAATCTTTTAAATTCATCTACGCAGATGTTAAGGATTTGGTAAAAAGAAAACTTTTTAAATTGTGTTTGATCATACTAGTAAAAAACATAAATCTACACCAGTGGGTATAGGTTTATTTTCTTTCAACAATACATATAGTGCCATGGGATCCGTGGGAAATTGGTTCCAGCACCTTCTGCAGATTCCAAAATGCACTGATGCTCAAGTTCCTTATATAAAATGGTATGACATGGTATTTGCATATAACCTACACATACCTTCCTGCATACTTTAATCATCTCTAGGTTACTTTTTTTGTTTGTTTGTTTGTTTTTTGAGACAGTCTCACTCTGTCACCAGGCTGGAGTGCAGTGGCACGATCTCACTCAGCTCACTGCAGCCTCCACCTCCTGGGTTCAAGCGATTGTCATGCCTCGGCCTCTCAAGTGGCTGGGATTACAGGTGCCCGCCGCCACACCCAGCTAATTTTTTTTTTTTTAAATTGAGACAGAGTCTCGCTCTGTCGCCCAGGCTGGAGTGCAGTGGTGCGCTCTCAGCTCACTGCAAGCTCTACCACCCAGGTCACGCCATTCTCCTGACTCAGCCTCCCGAGTAGCTGGGACTACAGGTGCCCGCCACCACGCCTGGCTAATTTTTTGTATTTTTAGTAGAGATGGGGTTTCATCATGTTGGCCAGGATGGTCTTGATCTCCTGACCTTGTGATCCGCCTGCCTCAGCCTCCCAAAGTGCTGGGATTACAGGCATGAGCCACCACACCCGGCTCTAGGTTACTTTTAATACCTGATACAATACCTACACATCATTTCATGTGAACTCAATGTAGTACTTGGTGCGTGAAAAGTTCTTTGGTTTTTGGAACTTGTGGAATTTTTTTGTTGAATTCACAGATGCAGATCCACATATACAGAAGGCTGACTGTACTTTTTTTTTTTGAGATGGAGTCTCGCTGTGGGCTGACTGTACTCTTAAAAACAACGAGACTTAAACCAATAAGTATAAACACTGTCTATTGCCTGCTTCATAAATCTGTGGTTAAATAAGAGTACAATGAAATTATTTATGATTTTAATTGATATTCATATTTTATTAAAAATAAAATTGCCATTTATTTCCAATATTCCAACAATCTAAATCAAATAAACAGCAATATGGAGTAGTCCTTAAATGTAAGTCCTCTACACAAAATGAAACCTCCATTTGAGTTTGATGCACAGAATGGGGTTGTGGTATAACAACTCCAAATTTTAAGATATCTGCAAATGTCTTAGAGAGACCTTACACTCAGCAGGTTCAAAACCAATCACATCACTTCATTTTTCTCCATAAAGTAGCACCTCCTCTTATACTGACATCAAATATTTAATCATCCAAACTAGAAGGTGATGGTCTCTCCTTTGCCCTCTTCATCTAATCAATCACCAGACTGAGCAGATTACACCTACTAAATACTAAATATTTCTCAAATCCATTCCTTTCTCTGCTTCCCCATTATTCTCTCGGTCCAGACACTCATTACCTAGCCTCTGAACACCTTCAGTGGTCTCCAAACTTGTCTCCCTATCTCTCTTTGCATCTACTTTCAACACAACAGTATAAAATGCAGCTGTGAACATGTCACTTCCCTGCTTCAAGTCTTCCACCGGCTCCAACTCTTCAACCCTAACACACTTCGATGAAGTTCAAGAATCTGACAGAGAATGCCCTCAATATCTAGCCCCTGCCTACTCCTACGACGTTATGCTCAGAGTCGCCTGACTTGAATTTTATAACTTTATATTCCAGCAGTGCCAAACTCTGGTAGATCACTGCAGACATTATGCTGTTTAAACTCCCTATGCTTTCTTTGGTTCCTGTTTACTCTCCGCCTGGAGTACCTTCCCTTCCTTTGTCGCATCCCTTAAGACCCAGATTGGGTGTTCTCTCTCCAACTAGGCCTTACACAACTCCCACAAATAGGAGGCAGATCCTCCGTGAGTCTTTATTACTTATAACTGTTTCTACTTCTCTCTTGCTGAGACTTTTAAAAATCATCAGTTCATGTGTGTCAGTATTACCTATGCATATTTCTACTCCTCTCTTATGTATTTTTTTAAATCACCAGTTCATATATGTCTCCCCTCCAGAGGGCAGATAGATAGTTTATCTTATTTGTCTTATTTATGTCTTGTCTTTTCATCTTCAGAACCTAACACAGTACTTGACAATTAATAAATAAATGTTCCATGAATGAATGAATAAATGGTTTTCAGAAAATCTTAGGCTATCCTTAGCAAACTCATAGTGGTAGCACAAAAGCCTCGATTTGGCATGGGGGTGGGGCCCATATCATGGAAGTTTTAAAGCTCAAGGGACCTTTAGAGTATCTTTAGTCTAACATGTAGAATGGAAAACTTAGGCTCAAAGAGGTAAAGTGATTTGCCTAAGATGACACACTACCAAGATGGGTAGTTTTGTGGAAAGCTAGTCCCTTGAGAGGTTCTCCCAGAATAAAAGGATGAATAAATACATGAATAAATAGCTTGTGAAAGAAATTGGTAAACTGTACTAAGTTTTTTTGTTTTTGTTTTGTTTGTTTGTTTGTTTTTGAGATGGAGTCTTGCTCTGTCGCCCAGGCTGGAGTGCAGTGGCATGATCTTGGCTCACTGCAACCTCCATCTCCTGTGTTCAAGTGATTCTCCTGACTCAGCCTTCTGAGTAGCTGGGATTACAGACATCTGCCACCATGCCTGGTTAATTTTTTGTATTTTTAGTAGAGATGGGGGTTTCACCATGTTGGCCAAGCTGGTCTCAAACTCCTGACCTCAAGTGATCCACCCACCTTGACCTCCCAAATTGCTGGGATTACAGGTGTGACCCACCGCACAGGGCCAACTGTGCTAAGTTCTGTATTCCTCAAACTTACTTGATCACAAAATCCATTTTATGAAAGATTAGTGTAGGATGTTGAGTGATTCTTTGAAAGAAGTAAATGTGAAATAAGTTCAGTTTTTATAATTTGGAAGTGGGTTAAAGAATCAGAGTTAAAATGATTTGGGAAGCTTAGAACCATTATGAGACTAGAGGAGAGACAAGGCAAGAGAATGTGTCTCAGCAGCTACCACATGCAAAAAAAGAGTCCAGTGTGCTGGGGAGATCAGGGCTTGAGTCCTAGCATGGCCCTCATGAGTCATATAAGAATTTGGGCAACTCATTATTCCTTACTCTCGGAGCCCTTTTTCCCCTATTTATAAAATTGGGATAATTCTGACCACACAGGGATATGGTAAGGTTTAAATGAGTTAACGTAAGCTGGCCCATAGTCTTGGCTTGTTCAATGCTGCCTTCTGACCCACCTCATTTATACAGAAATTGTCCAGTGAGTTGGCAGAATTCACTGGAAGGCATCAGAGTTAATTAATAAGCTCAAATGTCAAACAACCCTAAAACAAAATAATACAGATTCTCCCCCCACCACCCCTCCACCACCCAGCTTTCTCTGATCTTCTGAGGGCCAAACCAAAAGAATAATATCTAAAAACAGGTCATATAAAGTCTTACACAAAATATTCTATAAATATCATTCTAGGATGCTACTATTTAGCAATTTAGCACTTATTAAGTTCAGCTATACCAAGTCAGCAATTTTCTTTCTCTCGCTTCCTTTTATTCACTCTGTAAAACCACTATAGCCTTTAGGAAAGGGCTTTCTTAATTTTCTGGAGATAATCTTCCCCATGTATATAGTTTCTGTAAAGTTCCATACGTAATATTCCCATTTCAGGAGCAAATGCAATAGCCAATGCAATATGCTCCATGACGATGACCCTTATGTTTGTATATATGAGTATCTTCAAAACTGCCAACTCTTTTATGACTATTTCTTTTTGTAAACCTATGAATAAAGGTAACCAAAGTGATAATCCCTGATTCGCCAATTGTTGCAAAACTGAAATGGAAGAGTATTAAGATCATGGCCTGCAAAGACTGAAAAGTAGTTTGTTATATACTCAGCCTTTAGCCAGCTTGACTGAGTTTTAAAACCCTGAAAATAAACTGTGTGTCCTTTAGATACTTGAGGTGCACCTTTTAGATGAAGCCTGGCAGCTCAAAAAGGATTGATATAGCAAGAGAATTTTAGTGACCTTGGATCATTGATAGGATCCAGTCCATTATCATTGTTATTTTTTAAATGATGACTTGCTCCCATTCCAAAGAAAATATTAGAGAGGAAGTGAGGCACACACAAGGGCTCAAGCTTTGTACAAGCGCCTATAAAATGCCTACTTGGGGTAGTTGGAGCTTTTTCCTCCCTTATCATTTCCTTTCAGGAAAAAACTGTCAGTGGGGCACAGCCATTCACCAGAAGAAAGGCAGTTTTAAGAAAGTGTTATAAAAGCTGAGTAGTAAATTCTTGAGCCAAAGGGCATCAAGCAGGAATAAAAGGGATCTTAAGCATGCAGGCCCTGGAACGCATGTGAACGGATTGCAAGAGACAATCTTGGCCAGGGCAACCCAAACAAGAAGAGACAGGGCCTTGCACACCACACTGCCTGAGTACCTCGGGGTTGGCATGCTGTCTGCTGCGCGTGCCCAACTCCCAGCACCGCTGTCAGGCTTCTCAGGGCTTCGATTGCTTGGCCCCATCCAGCTCGTTAGCACTAACTTCCTGCTGCGCCCTGACACCACTCTTCCTCACTTTTTCCTTTCTCCTCTTCTCCCTTCGGTCCTCTGGGCCATGGGCTGCCTTCAGTTCTTGCCTGAAAAATTCTCTTTCCTCTCACTACGTTATTCTCCTCCCACTAATGCTTTTTTGTTTTGTTTTGTTTTTTTTGAGATGGAGTCTTGCGCTGTCGCTCAAGCTGGAGTGCAGTGGCACAATCTTGGCTCACTGCAAACTCCGCCTCCCAGGTTCTGGTGCTTCAGCCTCCTGAATAGCTGGGATTGCAGGTGCATGCCACAACGCCAGGCTAATTTTTGCATTTTTAGTAGAAACAGGGTTTCACCATGTTGGCCAGGCTGG
Organism: Homo sapiens; assembly: GCF_000001405.40. NCBI lineage: Eukaryota > Metazoa > Chordata > Mammalia > Primates > Hominidae > Homo > Homo sapiens. Next base: position 28,379,144 of record NC_000013.11, on the reverse strand, counting down.
TCTTGAACTCCTGACCTCAAGTGATCTGCCTGCCTCAGCCTCCCAAAGTGCTGGGATTACAGGTGAGAGCCAACACGCCCAGCCCCACTAATTCTTGATGTCGTGAAAGATCTTCTCTCACCTTCCAGGGAAGTGATTCTTCCTTTTTTCTGATGTCTAGGTTTATTTACAACTCATGTCATTGAGCACATCACTTCATTGTTCTCTGGTGTTACATGTGTTTATTTTATAATATCTTAATATGTCTTCTCTATTAAACATAGCAATATAAGATTTATTGAGCGTTTACCAGGTACCAAGGCACCGTGTTAAGTGTTTTGGAGATAACTCATTTAATTTTCACAACTATCCTTTGAGGTAGGGACATTATTAGATACATTCCACAGATCTGTTTTACTTAACAAGCACCTGCGAGGTTTCTGCTGCTGCTTTAGAACTTACCTAATGCTAATTTGTTTGCTTTTCATTACAATTCTGTGAGGTTTGCTGAATGATTCTGACCGTTTTACAGACTAATGGATGAGGAAGCTGAGACATAGAGAGGAAAAATAACTGGTCCCAGGTCATAGAGTTAGTGAGTAGCCCTCCAAGGTTCAGACCAGAAGAATTTGACTCTGAAGCCTGCACTCTGCACACTGAACATATGGGCATTTAGCATTGAGCATAACTAAATGTTAGCTCACCTCACTCACAAGAGAACAAATGAGCATCAGTTTTAAATGATATAGTGGGCACCAATAAACATGTATTTAAAACAATGAATATCTGCTCATTCTCAGCCCTTAAAGATTAAGTCTCGGTCAGGCACGCTGGCTCATGCCTGTAATCCCAGCACTTTGGGAGGCTGAGGCAGGCTGATCATGAGGTCAAGAGATCGAGACCATCCTGGCCAACATGGTGAAACCTCGTCTCTACTAAAAATACAAAAATTAGTTGGGCATGGTGGCGCATGCTGATAGCCCCAGCTACTCAGGAGCCTGAGGCAGGAGAATCTCTTGAACCCGGGAGGCGAAGGTTGCAGTGAGCCGAGATCACGCCACTGCACTCCAGCCTGGCAACAGAGCAAGACTCCAACTCAAAAAAAAAAAAAAAAAGATTAAGTCTCTTGAAGACTTCAGTTTATTTAAAGCATGTTTTGAAACATTTTAAAAGCATATTAAAATCACATAAAGCATTTTTTTTAAAAACTAGACATGCCATGTATAAAGGTAAACATTATTCTGAACCCAGATTGGGGGTTACTTTTAAGATATAAGGTAAATTAAAGATTAAGTCTCTTGAAGACTTTGGTTTCTTTAAAGCATGTTTTGAAACATTTTTAAAGCATATTAAAAACACATAAAGCATTTTTAAAAAACTAGACATGTATAAAGTTTAAAATTATTTTGAACTCAGATTGGGTGTTACTTTTAAGTTGTAAAGGTCCAGAATGCATGTCCTATCAGCCTAATACTCATATATTTACTTATTTAACAAATATTTATAAGTCACTGCTTTGTGTCTGGCACTGCGCTAGGCTCTGCAAATACAGCAGTGAACAAGAAAACTGAAATCTGAAGAACCAAAAATCTAGAGTAATTAAGTGATGCATGTATTTACCTGAAATACGCTTCTTCAAGCAACAACCCTGTGTGTCCTGCCTTATTCGCTATTATCGTGTCAATTGGTCTAAAAATGGAATAAGGCAAATTAATAAATGGGCAATCAGAAAAATTCTATGGCTCAATCATGGTATCAAAATATCTTTAATACATTGGATAGCTGAAAAGATACACCCTTTGTGCTTTAATTTTCCTATGTTCATGCTGTGCATACAATAAGTTCTCAATTGTTGTTAGCTGTATATACAGAAAGGAGGAAGAGATAAGGGGAAATTAGTAGGGGCTCCAAATTAGAACTGAGTAAAGAAGCAACTGGGAACTCTTAGAAGGGACTGATGTGGTGCAAAGTGTTGAAAGATGAAGGTAATTTAAGACCTATTTACTTTGAAGAGGCAGGTGAAAAGAGAGTAGACAAGCTGAAGTGAATATAATACAGAGAGCCAGAGATAAGAGAGGAAAATGCAGTGTGAAGGGACTAATACCAAGAAGCACCACACAAGAGTTCAAAGTCAGAGATGAATCCTGTTTGACAGTAGTTGCTTTGAGTATGGTCTGATTCCTAGGGGTACATGGACAGCAAAGCTCCTTTTAGAAACATTTCTTTCTGTTGGGCTAAAAATATTTAAGGTTTGCAAACCAGACTTGGAACAATGGTACAGTGTCACCTTGGAGAACCCTTGACCCTGAGTGTCTTTACTCCCTCTTCAGGCCACCCGCCTAAAGGACTGGCAGCTCTCCAAAATAATCAAAAAGTCTCCTTTCTACCTTACCCTCTTCCCAGGTTCTCCAATGAGGTCGTAAAATATTTCAAGTTATGACATTGCTGAGCAGGTGCTGCAAGAGGGGCTACTGGCAACCCTCTTCACAGTGGCACTGTAAGGAAGTAACATAAGTTGGCCAAGAATATATGGCAGAAGGCCTATCTAGTTTAGGTTTGCACTGACACAGGCACAAACCATCTCACAAGTGATTGTGCTCTGAAAGAGTCATTAAAAGGCTGAAAAAAGTAACAAACCCTCCCTCTCTGGAAATATTTGAGAAAACAGAAGGCAATCTTGATCTTAGATGTTCTTAGTAAAGCCTGCCTGAACCAATAAACCATCATCAAACTATTATTTAAGCTAAATTTTTATGATAGCAAAACATTTTTAGAATATTTTAAGGTTAAAGCAGTAGTATTAGAACAACAAAGAGTTCAGAAAGAGTAAATTCTGTCTTAAACAGACTGAGGGTGGAGCAGGAGAGAATCACTCTAACCCAATGATTAATACTCCTTCTTAAATGAAATCTTCTTGATCACTAGGACTAAGTGTTTATCTAACTGTTAGAGGACATCTTTCCTGTCACACTATATCACTGACACCAAATGTCTGCATCTGTAGGCACCATATTCAGATCCTAGTACCTAAGAGGACAGAATCACCTCTGAATTATCAAGTGATTTGACTAGATCCAGGAAAGATCTTAAGGAACCTTAGAAGAGAGAGAGGAATGAGGCTGTTAATACCCAGGGATGAAAAACTGACCATCTGTCACGCTCAGGCTACTAGAATCAGCAGTTTTGCTTGATTCCTTAATCAAATTCCTTAATGAAATTCAGAAATGTCAAATATCTTTTGCAAAACTTGAGTTGTAGTTGCCTTTTCCTTCTCATGAAATCTATCCTTACGGTACACAATGAATGAAGAACTATTATTGCAGAAAAGAAATGTGAACAAGATATCCAGGGTGTGCGCAGAGCAGTGCCTGTGAGGGTGAGCTGGCTGCTCTACTTAGCACCCCTGAGACCAGAGCTGATCTGCTGGTGTGATTAGCTAAGCAGCTGTTCTCGCTAGCCCTGTCTCTTCAATATGTGTCATTAAGGTCAGGGGCTCTCTACATCCAGATCAAGGAAAACCAAGCTTCACTGCTGATATGCAAGTAGCTCTTCTTCCCTGCCAGGACTATGTTGCAGAATCAAGGCTCAGTTCTTTTCCAAGGATAAAGTTCTTTTAGGAGGTAGAAGAAAGGAGAGTAATGAAGTAAGAGAGGTAGTGGGGTAACAGCATGCGAAAACTAACCTGTTGACATTGCCAAAGTTCAGACCTACAACACTCATCTCAGCCAACAGAGGGAACCTGACTTTAACACAGCCCTATCATGGCAAAAAAAAAAAAATTGAAAATGTTGCTTTATGCGCTTTCTGCAATTCTGCAATTACTTGTTAATGTTTGGCTAGTTCAATGAGATTGAAAAGTACAGTGGTAGAGTTCTATAATTTATATTCAGAAAAGTAAAGTAATCCATGAGTAAAGTTCCATTTTGAATTGGAAAGCAATAGAAGCTATTTATGAAGAATCAGTCAGCCCCAAAGTATCTCTTTTTATTGGCAAGATTCAGGTGATTTAGGTCTTGCACCTACATGCATAGGTATACACACACATACATAGCAATATATCCTATCCTAAAGCTTTGCCTAAAGAAAATTTCCTGGATGCATTTTACAGCATAACATCCTCATCTCTATTCAGCCCAGAAAAGCCTCCTGAAAGCTGCTGGCCACAGTAAGGTCCAACTGAGGGATCATGCATTGGTCAACACAAACATCTATTCGTATGAATAGCAGGGCCCCCTGCTAGTTGTTTAAGTTTAGTGGTGGTGGTAGTGGTGGTGGGGTGTGTGTGTGTTTGTTTGTGTGTGTTAGGTCCTATTAAATTTTTAAATGAAAAATTTAGGACATAAGAAATAGGAGGGCCGGGCACGGTGGCTCACAACTGTAATCTCAGCACTTTGGGAGGCCGAGGTGGGCGGATCACAAGGTCAGGAGATCGAGACCATCCTGGCTAACACGGTGAAACCCTGTCTCTACTAAAAATACAGAAAAAATTAGCTGGGCATGGTAGTGGGCGCCTGTAGTCGCAGCTACTCGGGAGGCTGAGGCAGGAGAATGGCATGAACCTGGGAGGTGGAGGTTGCAGTGAGCCAAGATCGCGCCACTGTACTCCAGCCTGGGCGACAGAGCGAGACTCCATCTCAATAAAAAAAAAAGAAAAGAAATAGGAGAGAACTTGTAAATGTGGGCATCACTTTAGAAAAAGGGTTTTTTTGGGTTTTTTCTTTATATTTTGTTTTGTTTTTTGTTTGTTTTTTGAGACATGGTCTTGCTCTGTTTCCCAGGCTGGAGTGCAGTGACATGATCGTGGCTCACTGCAGCCTCAACCTCCCGGGCTCAGGTGATCCTCTCACCTCAGCCTCCTGCATAGCTGGGACTATAGTCACATGCCACCATACCCAGCTATTTTTTTTTCTTTTGTAGAGATGGTGGTCTTTCTATGTTGCCCAGGCCTCATTTTTTTAAATTGTGGCAAAATGCACATAACATAAATTTTATCATTTTAACCATTTTAAAGTGTACAATTAAGTGGCACTAAGTACATTTACAATGTTGCAAAACCATCACCACTATCTAGTTACAGAACTTTTTCATAACCCCAATCGGAAATCCCATGCCCATTAAAGCTTCTCCTTTTTTGACTATGAATTAACCTCCTCTTTTGATTCTCTCTGTGACCTCTTGCAACACACGGAAATGTACTTTGAACATGGCCAAGATCAGCAGCAAATTTTGTCTGAAGAGCAGTCAATGGCTGGGAAAAAGAAATGGGGCATGAAGAAAAACAAAGAGAAGAGATACAAAGAGATTTGGGGACATCGAGGGGTTAGTGGGGGTGGTAAACTCTCCCAGCAGTCATCCCAGAGATCTCTCAGAGGCTGTACTCTGTCCAAAGACACTAACCCCAAAACTAAGAGCCAGTGCCTGGGCTCTTAGAGTGAGAGGGATCTCAATCCCTAATCAACAAATTCCTCCCTACACTAAAGATTGGATGACTACAGAAGGAAAACTCATACACTCCCTTAAACATGCTTTCATGCTTTCATGTTTTTGCAAAATAATTAGATGGACTTTTTCCATTTTACATGTCTAGAATCTGCATGGAAATCTCTCCTCCCCTCAAGCATAAACTTCAGACAGTTTAATCAGGACCTAAAGTGGCACATACACAGCAATGCAACTGGGGTCACCACTATGCCCAATTCAATTAAGGAAAATATGCAAACAAATATACTCTCAGATAACTAGTCAGTGAACTCAGTCCACGACTCTAAATTGCTGCTGAAAAAAATCAAAGTCAAGAAAGTTCACCTCCCCATTCAAATGATAAACCTGATTTTTATATAATCTCCTGCTACCAAGGAGACTTAAACAATCAAGACTGTATATTAGTTTAAGTAGCCATCTCATACAACTCAGTCATAATTAAACTGAGCATCACTGAGAAACAAAATGAAGTGCAGAAAACATACTCTATATCACGTTCCCTCCCCCACCTCCACACGGTGGGACAGTCTTCTGACTGAATGGGTTTTGATTTGTCCTTTTATTGCCTTAATCTAAAATTGTAAATTGTCATAAAATATAAATCGACTTTTCTTGCCTCAAAAACATTCACTCACTCATTCTAACATAGTCAATATTACAAAGTTTTGCAATGTTTAAGTATTTGAACTCATATAGCTTTTAAACTTTTCATTTAATGGCTCTTTGCCACTGAGAAAGAGGTAAAAAGGGCTACAGTTTCATGTCTTAATGTTTCATTTTTATTTTATTTATTTATTTATTTTTGAGACAGAGTCTCACTCTGTTGCCAAGCTGGAGTGCAGTGGCATGATCTCTGCTCACTGCAAGCTCCGCCTCCTGGGTTCAAGCGATTCTCCTGCCTCAGCCTTCCAAGTAGCTGAGACTACAGGCCCGCACCACCATGCCCAGCTAACTTTTGTATTTTTAGTAGAGACGGGGTTTCACCATGTTGGCCAGGATGGTCTCAATCTCTTGACCTCGTGATCTGCCCACCTTGGCCTCCCAAAGTGCTGGGATTACAGGCATGAGCCACTGCACCCAGCTATATATATATATATATATATATATATATATATATACATTTTATTTAAACGAGGAATATATGAATACATTTCCACTGTACAGAAATAGAGTAAGCTATACAAATTTCCCTTATGGAGAGGTAATACATATTAACTGTTTGATATGTATCTTGTCAATGTTTTTTCCATTTTTTAACCTATACGTGTGCATATGTACAAATGTGGGCTTTAAAAATATATGGCCGGATGCAGTGGCTCATGCCTGTAATCCCCCAGCACTTTGGGAGGCTGAGGCAGGCAGATTGCCTGAGGTCAGGAGTTCAAGACCAGCTTGGCCAACATAGTGAAACTCTATCTCTACTAAAAATACAAAAATTAGCCAGGCATGGTGTCAAGTGCCTGTAGTCTCAGCTACTCAGGAGACTGAGCTAGGAGGATTGCTTGAACCCAGGAGGCAGAGGTTGCAGTGAGCCAAGATGGCTCCACTGCAGTTCAGCTTGGGAAAGAGAGCGAGACTCTGTCTCAAAAAAAAAAAAAAAAAAAAAAATATATATATATATATATATATATATATACACACACACACACACACACACACACACACCAATGATTTATTCATTCAATAGATATTCACTGACAGTCAACCTTGTGACAGGCATATTAGGTGCTGGGAACAAAACAGGGACCTTGAATTTACATTCTAATGGGAAAATACAGGCAACAAATTTAACAAACAAAACTACTGTCATGTCCCCTTATCCACAGGGGACCTGTTCCAAGACCCCAAGAGGATGCCTGACACCTCAGATTATACCAATTGCTGTCCATCAGAACACGCTCTGTTCATGCCTTCTACCCACAAACTTAAATGCCTTTTCAGGTTTCTTTTTCCTTCTTTCCAATTTCATGGATAGAAGGTTCATTCTTACCATAGATCTTAGCCAACCTCAGCATATGATTTTTTTGTTTTCTTATTAAGTTGAGAACTTTCACCTTTTAACTAAAAGGAAGTACTTCACAGCTTCATCACTATTCGTGTGCTTTGGAGCACATTATTGAGGAAAATAAGTGTTCTGTGAACACAAGCACTGTGATACTGGGACCATCTATCTGGTAGGCCAGCCAGCTCCTAAGGGATTCATAGATGGGTAGCAGCTACAGCGTGGAGATGCGTGCGGGACAAAGGGAAGGTTCACATCCTGGGAGGGACAGAGTGAGACAGCGAGAGACTTCATCATGCTTCTCAGAATGGTGTACAATTTAAAACTTATAAATTGTTTATTTATGGAATTTTCCATTTAATATTTTTGCACGTTGGTAAACTAAAACCACAGATACAGGGGGACTACTATATAAGCATATGGTATAAGTTCTGATGGTCATCACTGTTATGATGAAAATAAAATAAGATAATGGATTACAGTGAGTGACTGGTAGTGGGCTTATATGGGAAACCCAGCATTTCCGAGATAAAATTTGAGTTAAGGTCACACCATATGTCATTTTAAGACTTGCTTTTATTACTTGATATATCTTGGAGGTCTTTCTATGTCAAAACGTATTGTTCTACCCCACTCTTTTTAGCAGGCATACACTGTAATATGATTTGTATTCCCATAACTTATGTAACTACTCCTCTATTGAGAGAAAAACACTTTCTTGACTAAGTTCTTATGGAGTGCAATAGTACTGATTTTCCTGTCTTAAAATGGTCATTAGAGTCGCTACTTCATCACACACAAAAAAAGCCCTGTAGGTGACTGGCCATCTTCTTCGGGACTAATGGATCCAACCTTGTGGATAGGCTATGGCCAATCTGAACATAGCACAAGGATTAATTGGGACAGGAGTGTGTGGGTGTGCGCACAAACTTACATGCATGTGTTCACAGTTTACAAATAAACATAGCTGATAGCTAAGGTTATATAGATAATAACCATAGAGTTAGGACCATTTGACACATTTTTAAGTGCCTGAATCATCCTGAAATGCTTTATTAGAACAAGAGCAAAGTTCACAGTGAAAGCGCACAAAGATGCTTTCATTTTAAATATTTAGAAATACGTGTGTTTTTGGCACCGTTTCAAAGGATTCATTTTAACTATAGCCTCTTCAAGGCTTTTAGAAACTATTCTGCTATCATAACTCCATTTTTTTATTATACTTTAAGTTTTAGGGTACATGTGCACACCGTGCAGGTTTGTTACATATGTATACATGTGCCATGTTGGTGTGCTGCACCCATTAACTCGTCATTTAACATTAGGTATATCTCCTAATGCTATCCTTCCCCTCTCCCCCCATCATAACTCTATTTTGTAAGTTAAAGTAGTGAAGGAATAGACATTATCCCAAATGAAAGGACCTTTGTCTATGGTGTTTCCCTTATTCAGAGGTTACAGTGAGAAGAATATTATACAGCTTTTTTTTTTTTCTTTTTGAGACAGGGTCTTGCTCTGTGGCCCAGGCTGGAAGGCAGTGGCGTCACCATGGCTCACTGCAGCCTCCTCCCAACTCTCCCACCTCCCCAAGTAGCTGGAACTACAGGCACATGCCACCATGCCGGGCTAATTTTTTTTATTTTTTATAGAGACAGTAGTCTCACTGTGTTGCCCAGGCTGGTCCTGAACTCCTGGGCTCAAGCTGTCCTCCTGCCTCTACCTCCCAAAGTGTTGGAATTACAGGCATGAGCCACTGCACCCGGCCTATATGGCATTTTTCATCACTGTCCCCAGTCTTATTCTTTTCTAAGTGTTCCTGTTCTTTCTCTGTCTTTTTCATGGCTAAAGCGTAAATCGTCTTATCAGGGCTTACACTGCCATCAAGTCTCCTTTAGACGCTATGTTTTGCAACATTCTCATATTCTCTTCCAGCTTAACATATTATTGCAAGGCTGCTTTTCACTGTGTCTCAAATTATCCCATACGTCAACTTTTTTTCTTTTTTACATTCACAAAGGCTTTGCCATGAGGCTTGATCTTAGGGTGAAATTCTCAATAAAGAAGAAACCACATGGTCACCATTCAGAAGCACTGAAATCACTCATCTTTTTAGTGTCATTTATGGATTAATCGTTTTTCATTTTCCTTTTCTTTTTTGGAGATGGAGTCTCGTTCTGTCATCCATGCTGGAGTACAGTGGCATGATCTTGGCTCACTGCGACCTCCATCTCCTGGGTTCAAGCAATTCTCCTGCCTCAGCCTCGTGAGTAGCTGGGATTACAGGTGCCCACCACCACGCCTGGCTAATTTTTGTAGTTTTAGTAGAGACAGAGTTTCACCATGTTGGCCAGGCTGGTCTTGAATTCCTGACCTCAGGTGATCCGACCCCCTTGGCCTCCCAAAGTGTTGGAACTATAAGCGTGAGCCACCGTGCCTGGCCTTCATTTTCCAATTTTGTCAGCCTTTGCCATTTTACTCAACTTGAATTTATGTTCCTCAGACATAGTTTTCCAAAAATCCAAAGTTTGACTGGATATATAAAATCTCCTTTGTGGAAAGTCAATCTGACATCTTGCCTCTAGCTTTCCTGGGTCACTTTTAGCCATTTCTATATTTTGGCTCTTCTGGTTCTTAGTTCGGACACTGCTCTTAGCTAATCAATTAAAGGCTGCCAATCTAGCCAGGCACAGTGGCTCACACCTGTAATCCCAGCACTTTGGGAGGCTGAGGCTGGTGGATCACCTGAGGTCAGGAGTTGGAGACCAGCCTGGCCAACGTGGTGAAACCCCATCTCAACTAAAAACACAAAAATTAGCCGGGTATGGTGGTGGGCACCTGTAATCCCAGCTACTCAGGAGGCTGAGGCAGAAGAATCGCTTGAACCCGGAAGGTGGAGATTGCAGTGCGCAGAGATTGCACCATTGCACTCCAGCCTGGGCAACAAGAGCAAAACTCTGTCTCAAAAAAAAAAAAAAAAAAGCTGCCAATCTAAAGATATGATTATTTACTGTGTACCTAGAACTGTATACATCAACGTCACCATCGTCATCGTCATCATCACCATTGTCATCATCATCATCATCGTCATCATCATCATCATCATAGCTATCATCATTATCATCATCATCATCATCATCATCATAGCTACCATTTATTGAAAACTATTATGTGTCAACTTCAAAGAACTTATCCTTTAGTTGGAGAGCCAAGACAATCATAACAATAACAAATGGCCGGGCATGGTGGCTCACGCCTGTAATCCCAGCACTTTGGGAGGCCAAGGCAGGTGGATCATTTGAGGTCAGGAGTTCAAGACCAGCCTGACCAAGATGGTGAAATGCTGTCTCTATTAAAAATACAAAATTAGCCAGGCATGGTGGCTCATGCCTGTAATGCCAGCTACTCGGGAGGCTGAGACAGGAGAATCACTTGAACCCAGGAGGCAGAGGTTGCAGGGAGCCGAGATCGTGTACTGCACTCCAGCCTGGGCAACAAGAGCGAAACTCCGTCTCAAAAAACAAATAAATAAATAAATAAATAAACAGACAAAATTCACTTTTTATTCTATTAAACTTAACATACATGCATTAATTGCCTACTCTGAGCCTGATCCTTTATTATATTCTAGAGAAAATGAAAATAAGCAACACATAATCCTCACCTTTGAAAAACAAACATAATAGGTACAAAGTCAGTTCATAAATGTGCAATGTGAGTGGTATAAAATAACATCAGATAAAAATTAGCACTTCTGATGACTAATCAGGGGAGATTTCATGGAGGAGATGTCATCTGAATTGGACTTTGATGAATAAAAAAGAGAGTTTTGATGACGAATATTAGTTTGGCCAAAGTGGATGAATATAATGTTCTCTAAGTCAACAATACATATAGTCAACTGAGCAACAAAACAGAAGTTGCTGGTCAGACTAGTAGGCCCATTTAGGAGAGCAACAAGCCACTTTTGTGTGTGGGGGGGAACAGGAGGCAAACACATGGCCTGCATTTATGTAATCAAATAGGTGAATTCAAAAGCTCTACAGATTTATTTACTCAATGGTGAATTGGATTAAAATTATATTCCATGCTCTTCCCTGGGCAATATGGTGCTCACACATAAAATGCCAAGATTGTCCTTCACCTTAAGGTATAATGGGAAGAAATAAAGCTATCTACAGAGTCCCTTGAAAATTACACCTTTAAAATTGACAGTTGGACATCTTGAAAATTTAGACCACATCCCATGAATAAATTAGGCCATCATGGTCAAAAACTTATCCACATCCTCCATTAGCAACCAACATAATAAGTAATTCAAATCCTCACACTGAGTTTCATCGTCAGATACTTTAGAGGACACCACACGTTTCTACAAAAACAGCCCAGTGTAAAGTTTTACTTGTCCTTTTGGGGCTAATGCTTTAGCAAACGCATAAAACCACCAGAGTTTGCATTCTAAGCTCCAGGAACTGAGGCTTTTTGAACCTTAAGATGACAAAATTAACTGACAGAATTTTATAAATTCTGAGGTGAGCTTGGCATGCTGCAGGTCATCAGTCTATGCTACCACCCAGGGAGTTAGCACTAATAACTAGCTTAGCTTCATCATATTCCGCAAATATTGCAAAGCTCACTCCCCTCCTCCACCCTCTACATGACATTTTCCATTGTCTTCATTTATGTGGTCATTTTCCTCAGTTACTGAAGGTCAGCTGTCTATCGGCCTGCACTAGACACTGGGGACTCAAGAATGAATAAGTTAGAGTTACCATTCTCCAGGAGCCCACAGTGGAGTGGGCAGATAAGAAAGTCAGCAATTTTATGACAAAAAGGTAAGTGCCAGAGTAGGGGCATTCACAGGGTGATGCAGGAGTAACAGAGATGGGGTCCAAGAGCATCAGAAGATGCTTTCCACTGGGCGTGGTGGCTCACGCCTGTAATCCTAGCACTTTAGGAGGCCCAGGCAGGTGGATTACCTGAGGTCAGGAGTTCAAGACCTGCATGGCCAACATGTTGAAACCCCACCACTACTAAAAATACAAAAAATTAGCCGGGCGTGGTGGCAGGCGCCTGTAATCCCAGCTACTCAGGAGGCTGAGGCAAGAGAATCTCTTGAACCCAGGAGGCGGAGGTTGCAGTGAGCCGAGATCGTGCCATTTCACTCCAGCCTGGATAACAAGAGCAAAACTCCATCTCGAAAAAAAAAAAAATGCTTTCCAGAGTAGCTAATCCTGAGCTGAATATTAAAGAACAAGCAAATGTTAACCAGGCATCAAGGGAACCACGTGTGCAGAGTCACTGAGGCTTAGAACAAACTGCAAATAGATTAGCATGGCTCATACCAAAGACACATGTAGGGATGCAGCAGGCAGCAAAGCTGGGAAGATAGGAAGGGGCCAGATCATGAAGGTCCTTGCTTAGTAACAACATAAAAGCTTATCCCCATGTACATACTCTAAGTTACATCAAATATATCTTGCATCCATGTTTTTATTGGCCTTCACAGTAGATCTATATAAGTTGATCTGGTTGCCAACATTTAAGAATCATGAGCTTTAACATTAAAAAAAAAATTCAAATTTCTGCCTTCTTTCTAAAACTCAGAAGACAACACCAGACTCAAATCCCCAAATTCTCAATAGGTTGGAGCTAAGCAAAGGCTTCTGCTTTTAGGTGGGAGACAGGCTTTCTATTCTCCAGAGACATAGTCCCCCTTCCATTATTTTATCCCCAACTCATTTATATTACGTGCCTGGCTCCTGAAGACATCTATGTTTGCAAATGCTACTCTATGCCCTGTTGGTCCATCTGATACAGCTTCTTAGAGTAAAGAGAAATAAATAATGAATTTCCATGGGAATTGTTATGGCTTCAGTGGTTAAAGAATCTGTATTTAGTGTCAGAAGCCAAGGAAATACACAAACAAGCACATGGTAATGACTTAGGCTATCCTTTAGAAGCAAGCAAGCAGGCCTACAATTAAACTATCTCAGAAACACAAAGCAGAGTATCATGTTTATAAGTGAGTTCTGGCTGAGCACGGTGGCTCACGCCTGTAATCCCAGCATTTTGGGAGGCCAAGGTTGGCGAATCACTTGAGGTCAGGAGTTCGAGACCAGCCTGGCCAACATGGTGGAACCCCATCTCTACTAAAAATACAAAAATTAGCCAGGCTTGGTGGTGCACACCTGTAATCCCAGCTACTAGGGAGGCTGAGGCAGGAGAATCCCTTGAGTCCGGGAGCAGAGGTTGCAGTGAGCCGAGATTGCACCACTTCACTCTAGCCTGGGCGACAGAGCAAGACTCCGCCTCAAAAAAAAAAAGGGAGTTCTACATGTTAGTTCTAAAGACTAATACCCAAAAAGGAAAGAGAAAATTCAAATACAGTGACCTCTCAAAGACCTCAATACTATTTTGCATAACAACAAAATTAAAATCTATCTAGGAATAAATATAACTAAAGAAAAGCATGATATTTAAAGAGAAAATCATAAAACTATTAAATGACATAAAAGAAAACCTAAATAACTCAAAGATACTCAATATTCTTCTATAAAAACACTTATTGGTAGAACCATATTGCCATTTTTGTACGTCAAAGTATTGGCAATTCCATATGGTTCCACCTAAAAATAAATATGACCATTTCCCCCAAATTATAATATAATATGAACTCAGTGGAATTCCAATAAACATTCCAATTGTGCTTTTTACAGAATTTGACAAGCAAAATCTGAAGTATAAAGTATTGAAGTATAAAGGGCCAAGAATAGTCAAGACCATTTTGAAAACTATCTGGTGAGGCCATACCAGATATCAAGATGTGTTATCAAGCAATCATAATTTAACTTATGTGGTACAGGGATAGATAAATAGGTCACTGTGAATAAATAAAGAGCCTAGAAACAGAACCACAAATACACAAATACATGGGAGCTTCAACATAAAAAATTCAGATAGTATCTGAACAGAGCTGGCACAACGACTTAGTGGTAAAAGAAGATCTTATTCAATAAATGATGCTGGGATCATTGGCTATTTATATGGTAAAAATTAGGTCCTTACTTCACACCATACACATACCCCTCCCCAAAAGAAAATCTAGGTCAATTAAAAACCTAAATAAGAAAACACAAAATAGTAAATGAATCTCTTAAACAGATTTTATGAAGAAAGTATACTTTCTTTATGATATCAGGGTAGGAAAAGAGTTCTTAAATAACAAAAAGCACAAAAAGTTAATAAAAAATACTGACAAATTTGATTATGTTAAAAAATTTAAAGCTTTGTATTAAAAATTCACCATGGCAGGGACTGTGGCTTACGCCTATAATCCCAACTACTCAGGAGGCTGAGGCTGGAGGATCACTTGAGCCCAAGAGTTCAAGGCTGCAGTGAGCTATGATCTTGCCACTGCAGTCCAGCCTGGGCAATAGAAAGAGACCTCATCTCAATAAATAAGTAAATAAATAAAATAAAAATTTACCATAAGTGAAATTTAAAAGACTGTTCATACAATGAAGGAAGACTTGAAACGTATTAAGCCAACAAAGAATTAGCATCCCAAACATATAAAGAACCCTAAAATCGTTGACAAAAAGACAAATAGGACAACAGAAAAATGGGCAAAGGATAGAAACAGGCAGTTCACACAAAGAGAAACCTGAATGGCCAATAAAAATATTTCACCTAGCTAGTAATCAGGGAAATGTAGATTAAAACCACAGCAAGATACCATTTCACATCAATCATTTTGCCATCAATTAAAAAGCATGAGCTGGGAGCAGTGGTTCACCCCTGTAATCCCAGCACTTTGGGAGACCAAGGCCAGCAGATCGCTTGAGGTCAGGAGTTCAAGACCAGCCAACATGGTGAAACCCTGTCTCTACAAAAATACAAAAATTAGCCAGATGCAGTGGTGGGCGCCTATAATCCCAGCTACTTGGGAGGCTGAGAGAGGAGAATCACTTGAACCCAGGAGGCAAAGGTTGCAGTGAACCGAGATTGCACCACTGCACTCCAGCCTGGGCGACAGCAACACTCCGTCTCAAAAAAAAAAAGGATAAATATAAAAGCATTGCTGAATGGGAAAACAATCAAGTTGAAAAGGATATATAATCTATAATACCTGTTATTTAGAATTTTTAAGCACACAAAATAATATTCTGTATTCTGTACAGATATATACCTATGTAGAAAAAGTACAAAAACATGCATGTGGAAAAAGTACAAAAACATGTACTATGTAGAAAAAGTACAATTTCAGGTACCTCTGGAGAGAGAGGGTAAAGGAAGGGATAAAGTATCTATAAATCTCATTTCATATTAAAGACAGAAATGGGTCTGCCTAAAGCAAATATGGCAAGATGTTGACCTCTGATCATCTTAATGGTAGATACATGAGTTATACTTTTTCTGCACTTTAACATTTTTGAAAGTGCTCACAGTCAAAAAAATTAAAATTAAACTAAAAATAGAACCACTTTAAAAATGTATTTTCCTCAGCAGAACAGAGCCTGTATCCTACGATTTGGGTCATATAAAGTGAGTATCAACAGATTAAGGTATTAGAGAAACCTGGGGAGACAACAATGAATTAAGTATGAACAAAAGATCTGAAGAATGGAGACAAATTATAGGGGTAATAACATGCTTATTTTCGTAAGAAGGGAAATAAATGCAAGAGTGGAGGATGAGCAAGGGCCTGATGACAGTTCTGAGCGTCTGAGTGGCCTATCTGATGGGGAAGCATCAATGTCTCTGTGTCATTTGTTATAGTACAATAGAGGGCATATCAGAAAGAAGAGCTTTGCCTGTTGAATTTGGACACCTTCTCACCCCATCTCCTCTCCTCCTTGGGCTAGAAAGAGGAATCTGTGCCAGATGATGTTAGCTCATGAGCATCCTGGCTACCATCTCTCACCTTTCATAATTACACACTCTCCTTGAGTGAAATCCAAGTCCTTTAACTTTATTTACTCATGGTGCCAGCCTGTTTTTTGTTGTTGTTGTTTTTTCCAAGTTTTAGTGGAGATGGAGTCTCATTATGTTGCCCAGGCTGGTCTCGAACTCCTAGGCTCAAGCGATCTGCCCACCTCGGCCTCCAAAAGTGCTGGGATTATAGGCATGAGCCACTGTGCCCAGCCCATGATGCTATCCTTGAGTTGGGATTTGAGTGATAGAAAATTGGCTGAGTTTCAGATCTGCTGCAATGGAGATTATTGTAATGATTGTAGGTAGCAAGATAGCTGCTCTTATAAATGTTCATTGACCCGGAGCAACTGTACAGCCACACTTTTATTTTCTGTGATTGCCACTTGTACTATATCT
This sequence comes from Homo sapiens, assembly GCF_000001405.40. Taxonomy (NCBI): domain Eukaryota; kingdom Metazoa; phylum Chordata; class Mammalia; order Primates; family Hominidae; genus Homo; species Homo sapiens. Next base: position 28,362,352 of record NC_000013.11, on the reverse strand, counting down.
TATACTTCTCAAAGCTTCAATGCTTCCATTTAAGCTATCTCAATTGATCATGAAATAGGTGGAGCAGGTATTATTCTCATTTTACAGGTAAGGAACTTGCCCCAAAAAGATTAAGTGACTTAGCCAAGGTTATGGGGAAGAGCTGTCATTTTTTCCCTGTTATCTGGGTTTAAAATATTGGAATCACCTTGGACTCATCTCTCTCTTTTTCTATTGCTGTATCCAGTAAAGCACCAATTCCTATAGGTTGTTTCTACAAAGTATCTGTTTCCATTTCTTCCTCTCTACTTCCTTTCCCACCATCCAGATTTGAGACCTCATCATTCCTTGCCTGAATTACAACTGATGAGCAGGACTTGCAGATGCTATGCTTTCCTCATTCCAGTCCAGCTGTATTCTCCTTCTAGACTGAACGTCCTTAAATGTCGCTTTCACTATGCTCAAAAATCTTTGTGATTCTCTTTCCTTCTACATGGAATTGAAACTCCTCAACCAAGATTTCAAAGCTCTCCTTAATCTGAATTCACCTTTTCCAGTCACCTACTCAAAACAGGTCTTTTGAAATAAAAATGGCTAATACACACATGAAAAAATGTTCAAAGAAATACAAATTAAAACAATCATTTTCATCTATCAAATCAGCAAAGTTTTGTGTTTTTAATTTTTTAGACGATACTGCTCATCCTCCACTCTTGCTATTTATTTCCTTTCTTACAAAAATAAGCAAGTTATTACCCTTATAATTTGTCTCCATCCCTCAGATCTTTTGTTCATACTTAATTCATTGTTGTCTCCTCTGGTTTCTCTAATACCTTAATCTGTTGATACTCACTTTGTAATTCTCCAAAACTAGAATTTGTAGGCAAGGATTTCTTCTGCTTGATAGTGTATCACCAGTATCTAGAATAGTGTCTAGTACGTAGTAGGAGCTCAAAAAATATTTGTTATATAAATGAACAAACTGTGTTTTCAGAAAGTACACTTTAGAAAGACTAAAGAAACAACATCTGGGAGGTGAGATTGTAGGTGTTTGGAGTTTGTGTGTTTTTTACATTTCTTTTTTTTTTGTTTTTTGAGATGGAGTCTTGCTCTGTCACCCAGGCTGGAGTGCAGGGGCACCATCTTGGCTCACTCCAAGCTCTGCCTCCCGGCTTCAAGCAATTCTTCTGCCTCAGCCTCCCGAGTAGCTGGGACTACCGGCATGAGCCACCACGCCCGGCTAATTTTTGTATTTTTAGTAGAGACGGGGTGTCACCATATTGGATAGGCTGGTCTCGAATTCCTAGACCTCATGATCCACCCACCTCGGCCTCCCACAAGTGCTGGGATTACAGGCATGAGCCACCGTGCCCGGCCTTTTCCATTTCTTTAATTGGCAAATAATAATAATTATATATATGCATGGGGTACAGTGTGATGTTTTAATATTAATACATGTATACAATGGGAAGGATCAAATAAGCCTGATTAGCATACCCATCAGCTCAAATATCATTTCTTTGTGGTGGGAACACTTAAAATCCTCTTTTAGCTATTTTGAAATGTGCATTATTTTTAGCTGTTGTCACTTTGCTGTGTAATAGAATGCCAGAACATATTCCTCTTATCTAACTGTAACTTTGTACCCAGTGACCAATATCTTCCCTGTCCGTATCCAACTCTCCCCACCCCAGCCTGTGGTAACCATCACTCTACTCTCTACATCTATGAGTTCAACTTTTTTAGATTCCACATATAAGTGAAATCATGCAGCATTTGTCTCTCAGTGCCTGGCTTATTTCGCTCAACATAATGTCCTCTAGGTTCATCCATATTGTCATAAATGACAGAATTTCCTGTTATTTTTTAAGGCTGTAGTATTCCATTGTATATATACACCAAATTTTAAAAATCTATTCATCCATTGATGGACACATAGGTTGCCTCCATATCTTGGCTATTGTGAATAATGCTGCAATAAACATGGGAATGCAGACATCTCTTCAGCATCCTTGATTTCAATTTCTTTGGGTAGATACCCAGTAGTGGGATTGCTAGATCATATAGCAGTTTTCTTTTTAGTTGTTTGAGAGGCTCCATATGGTTTTCCAAAATGGCCGTAACAATTTATAATGCCACCAACCGTGTATAAGGGTTCCCTTCTTTCCACATCCTCATCAACACTTGTGATCTTTTATCTTTTTAATAATAGCTAATCTAATAGGTGTGAGGTGCTATCTCATTTGGTTTTTTTCTTGTTTTTTGAGACAAAGTCTCGCTCTGTCACCCAGGCCGGAGTGCAGTGGCACGATCTCGCTCACTGCAACCTCTGCCTCCCCAGTTCAAGTGATTCTCCTGCTGCAGCCTCCCAAGTAGTTAGGATTACAGGCATTCGCCACCACACCCCGCTAATTTTTGTATTTTTAGTAGAGACTGGGTTTCATCATGTTGGCGAGGCTGGTCTTGAACTCTTGACCTCAGATGATCTGCCCACCTCGGCCTCCCAAAGTGCTGGGATTACAGGCATGAGCCACTGCACCTGGCCTCATTTGGTTTTGATTTACATTTTTGTGATTGGAGATGGTGAGTATTTTTTTCATATAACTGTTGGCCATCTGTCTTCTTTTGAAAAATGTCTATTTGATTTCTTTGCCCATTTTTAAATAGGATTATTGGTTTCCTTGTTATTGAGTAGTTTGAGTTCCTTGTATATTTTGGATATTGGCTCCTTATCTGATGTATGATTTGCAAATACTTTTTCCCAATCTGTAGGTTGTCTCTTCACTCTATTAATTGTTTCCTTTGCTGTGCAAAAGGTTTTTAGTTTGATGCAATCCCATTTGCCTATTTTTGCTTTCGTTGCCTGTGCTTTTGGGGTCATATCCAAGAAATCTCTTCCCAGACCAATATCGTGGAGTTTTTCCCCCACATTTTCTTCTAGTAGTTTTATAGTTTCTGGTCTTACATTTAAGTTTTTAATCCATATTGAGTTCATTTTTATATAAGGGATGAGAGAAGGGTCCATTTTCATTTTTCTGTATGTAGATATCCAGTTTTCCCAACACCACTTATTAAGGAGACTGTCCTTTCCCCATTGTGTGTTCTTGGCACCTTGTCAAAAATCAGTTGACCATAGATGTTTGGGTTGATTTCTGGGCCCTTGCCTATTCCATTGGTTGATGGATCTGTTTTTATAACAGTACCATGCTGTTTTGATTATCATAGCTTTATAATATTACATTTTCTTTTTTTAAGCTTTCAAATATTTCTCAACTTTTCTATATTGAGTACATCTTTCATAAGAGAAATACAAACTATTTAAACTAATGAAATACAGCCTATAGTCTGGCCAGGCCTGTTTTATCACTATTCTGGAACAAGTACTCAATTCCTGTTTATTTCCACATCATGCCATTTCTCATGCTTCCGTTTCTCATTTCACCTCTGACAATCCTTCAGACCTCAACTCGAGGCCCACCTCTTCTATGCAGCCTTCCCCAAGTACACCCTTCCTTACTGATCTCCTTCCCTGTGCCAGACCTTCCACTTAATTAGGTATACTGTGCTGTATTCACTCATTCTCATTCATTAAACATTTTCTATTTGTTGGCTTGTGTGTGTGAGTGTATGTGTTGAGCATGTGTGGGAGAGAGAGAATGTAAATGTGTGTGTTTGGTAGGAATTAATTTTTCCTTCTCAACAGATACCATGTCTTAGCCTGCCCACATCTTAGCCTGCTGTTTGTTTTGTAACACGAACTGATGGCAGAGTAAATACTCAACAGACCCTTGGTGATAGTACAAGGTATTGAAGCTTCAAGGTCTTGAAGCCTTTCAGGGGTCTGAAAATTCTTGGGACTCCTTCCACTACACTGTGCTCTGTAGTAATCCTTAAGCTTACATTTACTGAGCACTTACTATGTACCATGGGCTTGCCATTTACTATAGAGTAAGAATTACTTTCATTTTTATCTTAAGATTAAGGAAACTGAAACTTAGAAAGATCAAGTAACTTGCCTAAGTGACAAAGCTTGAAGCGCTAAGGCATGGATTAAAACACAGCCCAGGCAAACTCTTCATCACTAGGCTATATTGACTCACCAGGCCTTATGACAAATGAAATATTAGTTCCTTTGACCCATATGTCACAAATGTGCTTTCAGTCAAACTGCATGCTCTTGGTGAAGTTACTTAATCTCACAGAATCTCAGTTTCCTCATTTGTAAAAGGAAGACAATATTAGCTGACAGGCTGGTTGTAAATGTCAAGGTATGAAAGTGTGTCACATAGTGCCGAGCACACAGAGGGCGTTGAGTCAATGATAGTTGTTATTATTAGATATGCTGCCTTCTTGATATCTTCAACTTTCAAGTTGGGCATGGCAGCTGCCTCACATTTCTTTCTACAGGGTGGGTGGATTTGCATCTCCGAAGCTGGGGATCACAGCTCTGCTGGGTGGTGAAGGTGCTATTAGAAAGCCTGCAGAAAAAAAAAAAAAAAAAAAAAGGAAAGAAAAGAAAAAGAAAGCCTGGACCCAGAGAAAACAAATAAGCAACCCTGCCCCAGGTTCACTAGAGCTCGGATTTCCTTGTCTGAATGCATAATGATAGGAAGAAGGCTGTGTTACAGAAGTAGCTGTTTTTTGTTTGTCATCCAGGCCCACTAATCTAAACATCTCTCACCCCTCAGGAATTATTTTAGGACCAGGAAGCAGCACGCTGTTTATTGAAAGAGTCACAGAAGAGGATGAAGGTGTCTATCACTGCAAAGCCACCAACCAGAAGGGCTCTGTGGAAAGTTCAGCATACCTCACTGTTCAAGGTAAACAGCTGCTTAAGAAAGCAACAAGAAATTGGTCAGACATCTATTTCCCTGTTTGTTTAACTTTCCACCTCCCAGTCTCCTGCTGCCTGCTCCAGTCTGTTCCTTTCCCTGACCTCCTTCTCCCCTCTCCCTGCCACTCCGGGAAGGGACTGTCTGGTTCTGTCTGGCAAAGCAGAAGGTGAAGACACTGGCTGGCCATCCTCGAGAGCCCAAAATCCGAACACAGTGTCTGCGGGAGAAGTCGTTCCCAGAAGAAAGGAAACCCAGTTCTGACTGTGTTATTACGCCCTGCCACAGAGAGTGGCCAGAGTAGTCCACACCTGTGAGAGAGATGTCCAAAATGGAAGAAAAGGGAGGGGGGTAGGTGAGGAGGGGGAACTCGCACACTTAAAATTGTTCATTTGTTTTCCTTTTCTAATTCCCAGGAGTTAGACATATGCTGCTATTCCAAATGCTTTTATAAGCTGGCTTTTAAAATGAAGTGGGCTGTAATATATTATCAGAAAGAAGCAACATGTAATCAACAGATGACATTTAAGAAAAATATTCCAAGTGCTTCCTCTTTATAGGTCTCAGACAGTTTGCTCAGCAGCAAAATACAAAGAGGCCTAATCCTACCCTGGCTATGGCCATGTGGCTTACATTTGGAAAACAGTTTCGACCTCAGTTTCAATTCTCTAATGCTAAGAATCATCCAAAACATAAAATTTACAACATCATAAAATATCAGATTGGCACCTCTTAGATGTAAATATCTATGGCATATTGAGGTTTTACGTGAAAAGATGGTATTTGTTCAGTAGCCTATTTCCAAATGCTAACCAGTCGACTTCAGAATATGCAAGTATTTTGCGGGGAGGAACTAGGAAGAAGGCAACGTACTTCAGTTTTTTTCCCCCTGAAACTTACATTGCTTAAATATTTTAACTCTGAGAATTCAAACCCCTTTAAAACAGAACATCATCTTTATTCTTTCACAAGGAGATGATTTTAAAGAGCCCCCTGAAAGTCTGAAACTACTCTACCACAAATTTATACTTTCAGAAAAAGTGAGAGGGTAGCATTCCCCAAATACCTTTAGTAATGGTTTTGTCTCCCAAATAATCCTTGTTCTAAAATATTATGTTCACTTTTCTGCTCGCTCATACAGAAACAATTTATTAGCATCTCTGTTTAACACCTTCTTCCCCAGATAGCTGCTAATCTGTCTTTTAACAGGCACCCCAGACATATAGCCCTCAGGAATGGCCGTGCCGGGCCAGGGAACACAGAGAGCAAGGAGACCTCACTAATCCTCAGAGCAAACGTCATTTCCCCCATATCCTCCCAACAACCCCATGAGAAACACAGAGCAGTGATAAACCTCCAGAGAGGTCTGAACTGACTCACCCAACTCACACAGTCTAGTCATGGCAGACCAGAGGAGAAAACTGAACTTTTCTCAGACTCCCCTCCCCTCACCCCATGACTGCATTCCCCTGTCCCCACCCCTCCACCAGGGAATATGGGGCAGCAATGGCTGGACTCTTATGGCCTGGGAGGAGCCTGGGTATGAAGCAGTGACGTTTTTGCGTGTTTGTAGGTCTCCCCAAAGTCTTGACTTCCTTCCTTTTTCTGCCAGGTTGATGTGGGTTTCTCAGAAGCCAGTGTGCTTAAAACTGTGCATTTACGACATCTGTGAGTTTCTTCTCCCCACCTTCAGAACGACCACCCTTCTGTTCGCCAGCAGTCTGCTCTGCAGGAGGCCTGCTGTTATTCTTTCACTGCTCCAGGCCAGATCAGCAGCACCGTGGGGCCTTCCAGATTGGATTAGAGTCAGTCGTTTGGCCATTAGTGAGCCGGACTTGCCACATAACGCCAAGCGTGGCCTCTGTTTGTGATGTTAGTGCATCCTGGAGTAGGCTCCATTCCCTATTCCAGCCAAATCCTTCTTATCCTCTCAGGCCAGCTGAAATGCTTTCTGCCCTGGAATGTACTCCGGGATGAACAGCTGAGGCAGATACTCATTCTCTGCTCTCTCAATCCCCGCTTCTGGAATCATTAGTCAGTACTTATTTTATTCTGCCTTTTATTATTATTTTGGCGTTGATATGCTTCTCTTCCCTACCGAATTATAAACTTTGAGACAGTACTGTCTGACATATCTTTGTATCCTGTACACATGCCCAGCACTTAGCACGAAATATTTATTTAGGACCTTTATGTGCAGGCGCTGTGCTGGACTTGTGACATACTTAATCCTATTAACCTTGTAAGAATCTAAAGAAGTCAATAGTAGTATCTTCAATCTACAGATGGGAAGATGGAAACTCAAGTTAAACAACTTGCCCAAAGTCGCACAATGACTATGTGGTGAGGCTGAGACTTGAGTCCACGTATACCTCAGAATATTTCCGCCCTTCCTCTGCTCTTCTCATTCCTGAGGTGCCTTAGGAAGTTGTCTGCAAGGACTTAGGATAAAATTGAGCAAAAGCACTCTTTCAGTGATCCTGTTATTTTTATTTTCTCCATTTCTCTCATGTTTACATGCCTCTAGACTTCCTATGCTGATTCCTTTTCCCATTAATGTTATGCTTTTCTGAAAAGTCAGATGTTAAGAATACTGCATTACTGATAATTTCTAAACCTTTCTGTTAGCCATATCATTTACTCTTGTGAAAAGTGGAGGTTATTTTCACTTGAATTGCCCATATGGGTTGCCACATATATATAATATATGGCATATATAATGGAATATATATTTATATATTCCATTATTTTGTTCATTATTGCCCCCAACTGCCATGCTTTTTGAACTCTTGTGTCTGCTTTTTGTAGTTTTTTGGCCTTCTCCTTTGCTCTCTTTTATAAAAGTGATGGCTATATCCAACCTTTTTTGCTTAAAAAAAGTAGTTAGCTGAAAATATAGATTACATGATTGGCAATCATCCAGCCACACCTGAAATATTGTGCCCATTTATAAAAGAAACAAATAAGTAGCGCTATATCCTGGATAGGAATAGAATAGTGCCAGAAAATGAGGATACTTAGTCCAAAAAAGAGACAACATGGGGGTAACAAGATTGTTTTCTTGAAATAGTTTAGGAGCTTTCTGACAGAAGAGGCATTTAACTCATTCTTTGACACACCAGAAAAGATAACTAGAACCAAGGAAGGGAGATGGTAGTGAAATTTCCAAGAGGCAGGTTTCAAGTCTATATAAGAATATAACTTTGCACAGGAAGAAATTTTGAATGTTAATAGTATGTGGACCTTAGAAAGGCCTGCATGTGTGAGTCAGATGCAGTATCTTGAATGGAAGGAGTTTGGATTCACTGGATTAAAATTTGATCCTAGGATGCTGTTCACAACAGCTGAATACGGTACCTGCTCATTAATTTTATAATTGAAATGGGACTCTTCTTCTAGAGTCATTGTTCTTACCACCCTGGTAGCTATGAAACATTCCCTAGATTTAGACTTTATTTCCTGTTAGATGCATATGGACCCTCACACTGACCTATCTTGTCAAATTGAGTTTAGGAAATGAAACCAAGTGAACAAGTTGTGTCTGTGGCTATGTTTAACAGATTTAAAGAGGTTGGTGAATTAGCCAGGAAGGAAACTGTCTGCTCTTTTTATTTCCTTTGAAAAAGGATTCTTATACTCACAGATAAAACAATGTGTTATTTTTGTATCCGTAAAGGATGAATGAACTGTGGAGTCAAAGTACCTTCTTTAAATAATCACAGGTCTTGTTTGGTTTGGACCTAGTGCCAGCACGAGGGCACATGAAGCTCTCAAAGGGGAAATTCCATATCAAAACCGACAACAGAAGTGTTAGTAACTAAAATCATTTCTGAAATTAACATAGCGCTCAGTAGCCCTGGAACTCAATGGGGCTGTTACAATTTCATCCAAGGACTTAAGCTATGCTTTATAATTATTAATGCAAATAACCACAATATATATAAAAACATTCTTTTTTTTTTTTTTTTTGAGACACAGTCTTGGTCTGTCAGCCAGGCTAGAGTGCAGTGGCATGATCTTGGCTCATTACAAGCTCTGCCTCCTGAGCTCAAGCAATTCTTCTGCCTCAGCCTCCCGAGTAGCTGGGATTACAGGCGTGTGCCACCACGCCTGGCTAATTTTTGTATTTTTAGTAGAGACGGGGTCTCACCACGTTGGCCAGGCTGGTCTCGAACTCCTGACCTCAGGTAATCCACCCGCCTCGGCCTCCCAAAGTGCTGGGATTACAGGCATGAGCCACCGCGCCCAGCCAAATCTGATACTCTTATATCAGATTTAGGCCTTACTATATTTCAGTATTATTTATAAGTACATAGGAGAAGACAACTTGAAGAAGAATAACTATCATTCTAAACATTTTTCGAAGATGATTGACAGATACAAAAATCCCAAAGGCACAAAAGGACTACATGAGGGTCCTGCAGCCTAAATGCTGGTCATGGCATTAGAGGCTGATTTGCAAACGATTGCACGTTGTCACTTGTTTGAGAAAGGACTCATCCAGTAGAAAGTAGACACTATGTTCCCTAATAAATTAAATCCCAGAAGTCAATAACAGAAAAAACTGAAAACAATATGGCCATGGGTCTTCAGTCACTGCTTTCTATTGCCCTTGGCCAGCTATCAGTTTTCAGTTCTCCATTTTGACCCTCCTCTGATCCCTGACTGACCTCCCTCCACGTTAGCTCCTCTCTTCCTGAATCCTGCCCCCAAATTCACTCCTATGACTATCCTGGCACTGAGAAAGGATGTGATAAACTAATTCGCATGAATATGTTGGGGATTGATGTTACACCTCTCATGGGTGTTGGCTATTTAGAAAGGTTTCCCGAGGAGAGAGCAGTGCTCAAAACAGAGATGAACCAGTTGTGCACTAATGTCAATAGGAGGGCTGAGGGACAGGGATACACATGCCTATACTTCAAATCTAACCAGTGACATAAAGCTGGCCTTGATCAAGAAGAATTTTAAAAAATGGTGATGGAATTCAGTTAGGCTGATTTGAGGTGTTTGTAGAGAGTTCTTGAGGCAAAATAATTCAAACTCAAAAGATATTCATCTTAATTCCTTCCGTAGAAACTAGGCTGGCATAAAACTGCATTGGGTATCATAGAAGTGGGTGTTAGGCCTAGGGAACTTGGTGCTGGGCTCTGCGAGGGCCTGGGACCATGTAATTAATATCTTGCGCTTATAGAACATGCAGTGCACTATTTTAAGCACATAACATCCGTAATCCTACTCAAGTTTTGCAATAATCCTACAGGTACAAGGAAGTACAGTTAGTTAAAAGGGAGAATCTAGGCTCAAAAAGGTTAAGTGACTTGTCCAGGGTTACACAGCTTGGAAATGGCAGAGCTGAGAATTGTAGCCATGTTCAACCATCCTGCTCTGTTGCTCTATAGGTTTTATGCTCTATACCTCAACTCTAAGGTAGCACAGCACGGTGGTTAAAAAGACCCATTCTGAAGCCAGATGCCTCACTCTTCATGGGCTGCATAACTTTTGCCAAGTTCCTTACCTTCCTGGTGCTTCCAGTCTCTCATTGTAAAATGGGCATGCTAATGATGGTATACCAATCTTTGTAGGCTTGTTGTAAGGATTAACACATTTAAAACAGCATCTGGCATATAATAAAAATTTTGTAAGTGTTAGCTAACATTACCGTTTGTTAATAAGATATACCAAATTCCATTTCAACAAAAGTTTCTGTATTATACTTTTCCTGGACTTAACCAGTGGGTCACCTAAAAGGTGTTCTAAGCCACAGAATTCCTGTTTGACTTAAGGATTTAACTTGTGAAAAAAGAAATGTGTTCCAGAACTAACGTCACGTAACAGCAATTTAAATATCCTTACTTAACAGTACTCTTGAAAATGTACTTAAAATATAATGGGAATACAGCATTTCCATACATCACTGTCCTTAGGAGTGGTTCCAAATTGGTGTACATAGATTCCTAAAAAACTTCATCGACAGTAATAAAGGTCTGCAGGCCTATTTTAACATTTCAATAGGCTCTAGAGAAACCATATAGTAAGTAAGGTTACCTGGATTATGCTGACTGGGTTTTACATAGAAGGAGATGGCACTGGTTGAGTGGCTTATGTTGCTCGGGGATCTTGAGAGTCAGGTCAAAGTGCATCTGAGTAATTTTCTTCTCGTTCATACCTAAATCTTTATTGAGACTTCCTCTGAGTCAATGCTGGAGACTCAAAGCGAACAAGAAACATGTCCTTCTCTTGAGGTCCTAACAGGTTAATGGGCAATAAACCCACATAAGTAGTTACTCAAATTATAATAACAATAGAACCAGAGAATAACACCTAAACCAACCTTAGGATCAGGCAAATTTCTCAGGGAGGTAGTGGACCAGTTGTTTGCAGAAATTGATGAGTACTTAGGTCCAAATCTGATTTGTTTCAGAAAGAAAAGGCAAATTGTATTAAATAATACATGCAATGTGTTTCAATGAAAAAAAATTACTCTGCACTTGAGGTCCAAAAAGTGATAAGGAAAAAAAAAAGAAAAGGGTTGGAGTAAGGGGTGTAGATGGAGAAACAGAGAGACGGTGGGAGAGGGAGGGAGAGAGGGAGAGAGAGAGAAAGGAAAGAAGGAAGGAAGGAGGGAAGGAAGGAAAGAAGGAAGGAAGAAAGGGAGGAGGGAAGGAAGGAAGGCAGGCAAGCAGGCTTCAAAATAATAGCTAACACTAAGTTAACACAATTCACGTGTGAGGAAGGGGCTGTTATCTCCACTTTGTAAGGATGAGGAAACTGGGGCACAGAGTACCTGCCCTTTCCCGATGAAACCTGTGTTCGGTCCCTAAGTCAAGGCAGGCCCTGGGACAAGGTGCTCTGGTCTTTTGCTTGGGGTGTTTCCTTAACTCCTTGGGAAACTCTGTCTGGTTATATTGCATGAGCTGAGTTGGCTGGCTCTGCTGCCTACCCATTCATGCAGTCTGATGCCACACAGTGCCATACATCAGGGCTGGTGTGATGCCGCCAGACCATGCAGCCCAGGCTGTGTGTACAGAGAGCTACTATTGCTATCAGGAAAGCTCAGGACACTGCGCAGCTGCAGAGACGTCAGGCAAGATACACACCCCTTCAGAACTCAGACCATCCCTGGTGTGGCATCTCCCCTCCCTATTCCAAAAGGGATGGTATAAAGCCTGGGAGAGTACTTGACGTGGAATGCTCTGTGCAACCAGGTCAACAGTCTGTCATAGATACAGTTAACATACACTCTTCAAATTGGCTATATTCTTGTCAGTATCCCAAATAAAAATAACCTTGTACCGTGTCCTGATGCTGGCCTTTCACGCACATCATGCGGGAGCCATGTCCCTGAGACCCAGTGCTAACTCCTAGTTACTGTCAAATCCCACCCACATTTCCCTGGCCTCTTTCCACTCCTGTGTGCTGCTGGGTTATCTCATGCACTTAGCTCATCAGCTGTCACCAGCAAATTGAAGCTGGGTTTAGTCAGGCCAGTGTGTTTGACTGCTGAGAAAACACCTAAGGGTTCACTTCAGTCAGTCACCCAGCATAAGACTGTCCTAACAGTCGCTTTTCAAACAGAGATAGAGACTAAGCCATCAAATGCAATAGAGCAATGATACTACAGCACATACTGTAAAATTCTAATATTTTTCAATAAGCAGTACTGAACATTATTAATATTAAATAGATCTTTCCTTCCCGATAAATGGTCATCTTGAAGATTTTTTTAATGGGCTGATTCCTTAAATGTGTAAGTATTTGCACACAAACACATTTGGTCCACTGAAATGAATTTTGCTTGAGTAAGGACTGTGGAATTAGACTTTGGGGGTCAGCTTCCTGTCCCATAGAATGCAGCAGGAAAGTTCCCACAATCAAGGGGGCCTCTCTTAGTGCATTCCATGCGGGAAGCATCTGCAGAGGTTTTATGCAGACAGTGCAATGTCTCAAGATGCTATCAGCATCTCCGACAGCCAAAGGCCACTGTGTCCTGAGAGGATCCCAATCCCAATCAAATTCCACAAAATTTATTTGCAGCATAAGCAAGAATGTGTGCGTGTGTGTGTGTGTGCGTGTGCGCATGTGTGTGTGTGTGTGTGTGTGTGTGTGTGTGTGTACAGCAAGGCCGCATTAAACCTCACTGTCACTGTGGAGAAAGAAACCAAACTCATATGAACTTGAGCTTACAATCTTCCCATTGTGAGGATGTGTAGTGAGAGAAAAGGTTATCACACTTAGAAATTTCTTTAAGGAAGTTATTTTCAATCAACCCCATGAGGTTCAGGGAAACTTAAGACCAGCTGACAAAGCAGCAAATAAGCCAATTCATTCATTTGACCACTATTTTCAGGATGTCTACTATATGCCAGGCACTATTCTGAACCCTGGAAATGTAGCAGTGAAGAAGAGGACCATAGCCCTACGTTCTGCTGCTTCACTCAGAACTTATAACACACTCATCAGTTCATAGTTGAATACCAGACTGTGAGCTCCAACCATGCCCTTTCTCTTCTAACTGTATACCAGCACCTAGAACATATCTGCAACAGAGGTGGTGGTCTATATGTTTTATGAAGTAATACACAGGAACAGAGACGTGACCCTAAACTCTTTTTTTTTTTTTTTGAGACGGAGTCTCGCTCTGTAGCTCAGGCTGGAGTGCAGTGGCGCAGTGGCACCATCTCGGCTCACTGCAACCTCCGCCTCCCGCGTTCAAGCAATTCCCCTGCCTCAGCCTCCTGAGTAGCTGGGACTACAGGCGCCTGCCACCATGCCCAGCTAATTTTTTGTATTTTTAGTAGAGACGGGGTTTCACGGTATTAGCCGGGATGGTCTCGATCTCTTGACCTCATGATCCGCCTACCTCGGGCTCCCAAAGTGCTGGGATTACAGGCATGAGCCACCGCGCCCGGCCCCTAAACTCTTTAAAACCCTCATGAAACTCTTTAGAGGTAGGTAAAGCAAAACATATATATACATTCATTCGCCCAAGCTGATGAGTAGGGTGAATAAGTTATGGACTCAGTCATCAGGAAGCACACATTTTGGCAGAGAAATAGCAAAAGCCAAAGCATGGATGTTCTGAAGGGTTGGTGTATTTAAGAAACTATAAGAACTGTGGCGTGACTGAAGCAAGTGGGAGGACAGCAGGAGATGAAGCTGAAAAGAGAGGCAAGGTTGGGCATAAAGGATTTAAGGATTTGGACTTTTATCCTGATGGTGACAGGGAACAGATGACGGAATTTAGACAGAAGAGTAATAGGATTTTAAATTGGTGATTTGGCAAGATCACTCTGGCTGCAGAGGTGGAGGACAGACTGGAGGGAGCCATGGCCAATGAGGTAGTCCTGGTGAGAACTGATAAGGCCTTATTTTAGGCAGTCACAGCTGGGTAGGAGAGCTGATAATTTAATGATCCAAGGAAGTAGAATGGGCAGGACTTTGTGATGGGTTGGATGGAGAGAAAATATCAGTTTCCACTCCAGACTAAAAGATAACTTTGTGGCGGGGACTATGGCCAATAGGAAGTGATTAATCTGCGCTTGTAAAGGCTGGAAGGATCAGAGAGGAGGAAGTGGCATACTCTTGGAAGCTTCGTGGTTAAGCATGTGCAGTCAGATTATCTGGGTTAAAATCACAGCTCCACCACTTGCAGGCTGTGTGACTTTGGGCAAGAGGCTTAATCTCTCTGTGTCTCAATTTCCTTATTCATAAAATGGGAATAATCTAGCTTGTAGTATTTTTGTGAGTCTTTGGTGAATGAATACATGTTGGTCCTTAGAAAAGTCCCTAGAATAGAAAGCACTCAATAAGGGCCAATGAGTTATTGTTATCTCAGGTTTCCAGCTTGTGCATTTGCTATGATTTGGGCAGGAAACCTTGGCTCCAACTGCCTGCAGCCTTTAGATCAAACCCATCACACAGATGCTCAGAATCCTCTATGGTCTGGTCCTGTCTTGTATCTTGTATTATACTGCCCTATCTTTTCCCAGGTCTGGGTCTTGTGTCTTGTTTTGGTTTTGAGATGGAGTCTCACTCTGTCACCCAGGATGGAGTGCAGTGGTGCGATCTCAGCTCACTGCAACCTCCGCCTCCTGGGTTCAAGCTATTCTCCTGCTTCAGACTACCGAGGAGCTGGGTGCCCCCCCACCACACCCAGCTAATTTTTTTTTTGTATTTTTAGTAGAGACAGGGTTTTACCATGTTGGCCAGGCTGGTTTTGAACTCCTGACCTCAGGTGATCTGCCCGTCTCGGCCTCCCAAAGCGCTAGGATTACAGGCGTGTGCCATCGCACTTGGCCAGGTCTGGGTCTTTACTCATACTGTTTCCTCTGCCTATAATGCCCTCCCCTGCCTTCATCTCTGCAGATTAAAATTCATGTCAAATGCCACCTCTTCAAAAAAGTATTATTAGATTACTATTAGATAGTAGTATATATTAGATTCCCTCAGCAGCCGAATCTTTCAAAATCTAATTTCTTTGTATTTGCCTTAAGTCTCTTGGTTAGGTTTGAATGGGGTCCTTGAGAGTGGCAACTGTCCCTCATTAATCTTTCTATCTCCTCCGGCCCCTAACCTTGCCTCTAGTACAACTCAATACATCTTTGTTGCATTGAAACAGAGAGCCCCCAAGATGAAGTGCTCATGTATGAAACTGGAGTATTACTGCCCCTGACTTCATAGTTTGCATGCTTAGAATATAATAAGTGCTCAGCAAATTAGATCCTCATCCACATCATTATTTCTAAAAAGAAAATTTCACTTGTCCTTTGCCCACCTTAATATAAACATCTATCTGTCTGTCTCTCTCTCTTTCTCTCCCTCTCTCTTTTGAGACCAGGTCTTGCTCTGTTGCCCAAGCGGGAGTTCAGTGGCACAATCATAGCTCACTACAGCATGGAACGCCTGGGCTCAAGTGATCCTCCTGCCTCAGCCTCCAGAGTAGCTGGGATTACAAGTGTGTGCTACCACATTTTTTTTTTTTTTAAGAGAAGGCATCTTGCTATGTTGCCCAGGCTGGTCTCAAACTCCGGGGCTCCAGCAATCTTCCCTCCTTAGCCTCCCAAACTGCTAGGATTACAGATGCGAGCCACCATGCCCAGCCACTTCTGTCTCATTGTAGTTAAGTTAAAGGATAAAGGCATTACTTTAGAATTCCTGGGAAATTGCTCACAAGAATCAATACTGTTCTGGCCCATGGAGGCATTTCTTTACAAATTCCAGAGTTCCCTCTCTGGAGGCATGGCTTGAATACTTTAAGTCTTTTCCTTTTGGTCTTGGAGGAACAGTGCTCAGCTTTTGATCTCTGTGATTCTGATAGAGAAGGTGACTGGGAAGGATTCAGGTCCAGCAATTGCCTCTTCTATCTCAGGCCCCCCAATCTGGCTGATGAAGCCAGAAACAGAGCCCTAGACAAAGGGAGTGGGATGTGGGCGCTTTGGGCTGGCAGTTCCAAAGGGAGCAAACAGGCAACTGTGACAGTCCTGGATTTATTTTTATTCTTAAATTCTACTTTGAAGAATTTTGTGAGTCCCAAAGTAGCCCTTTTATGTCATTATTTTGTCTTTTTTTTTTTTTTTTAGAATTTCCTCTAAAACTCATTAGGGAGATTTAACATATTCCAGATTTAGCATTTTAATGGGCTTTTGTTCCTGCCTTAATTTTTTCCCATTTTTAATTTCTCCTCTGATTTTTACTTAGCTGTTTCTGGAATTACAAAGTTTGCAAACTTGACAGCAAAATTTCTGGAAAGCCTTTTCTATGTGAGTTCATTATGTGAGTTCATGTATACTGCCTTTTCTATGTGAGTTCATGTATACTGCCTGGCTTAGAAGGTAAGAGATCTGTCCCAGAGACTGATTTTGTGGCAGCAGATTGGGTTCGCTATGATAAACCATTTAGGGAAACTGAGCCTCTTTTATAAAACCACAAAGATTCTGAGTTTGGGAATTTCTTTGTTGCACCACTATTGTGATTTTTTTTCTCTCCAGGAACCTCGGACAAGTCTAATCTGGAGCTGATCACTCTAACATGCACCTGTGTGGCTGCGACTCTCTTCTGGCTCCTATTAACCCTCTTTATCCGAAAAATGAAAAGGGTAAGAACATAGGTGATGTTCTATGCTCCTTTTTACATATATTCTAAAAAGCCCGATCTGATGTCTAGAGTAGGCAAACAAATGTTGGACCCTCTTTCTTTCCCTTCCCTCTCATTCCTATCTCTGACCTGGTGAACACAGAAAGAAAATAAATCATCAAAATGTCTCTAGCCACAAGGGGGGGTGTTCAAAAGAAAAGCCGTAACAATGAACTGATGAATACTTCTCAGGGACAGAAGGTATTTTTGATACAAAATATGTTAATAGAGTCTTTAAAGTCAGTGTGGGACCTGTGAAACCTTTATTTCCTAACGCTCACTCTCTGCTAAGAAATAAAAAGGAGACTGGGCACGGTGGTACATGACTGTAATCCCAGCACTTTGGGAGACCAAGGCAGGAGGATCGCTTGAGGCCAAGAGTTCAAGACCAGCCTGTCCGATATAGTAAGACCCTGACTCTACAAAAAATTTTAAAACTTAGGCAGGTATGGTGGTGCACACCTGTAGTCCCAGCTACTCGGGAGGCTGAGGTGGGAAAATCACTTTAGCCTGGGAGGTCAAGTGAGAAGTGAGTCATATGCCACTGCACTTCAGCCTGAGCGACAGAGTGAGACCCTGTCTCAAAAAAAAAAAAAAAAAAAAAAAAAAAAAAAGTAAAGGCCCCACCTTTGACTTCTCTCATAACATATTGGAAGTAAAAATAAGTGGACTCTTTTTCTATACTTTCTGAGTCACACCACAAAATTAAGTTCTTTAGAGTGTGAGGTCCAGGTTGGCATTCAGGACATCAGATTTCTATACTTAGGTCTGTAATATGATCTGCTTCTCTGAAATCCAGTGGGAAAAGAGCTTACATTTATTCATTCATTCATTCATGCTTCAAATATTTACTGCATACCCACTCAGTGCAGCATGCCAGGCCCTGTGCAAGACCCTCTGGTGACAGTGGGGCAGATGCTGGAGGGAGCAGTCAGGGGAGATTGGCTTTAATCAGCCACACAAATGTCAAACTGCAACTCTGAGTTAGCTGAAAGAGTAGCTGCCTAAAAGATGTGTAGGAGGAGTGTCAAGGTTAAGAAGAGAGGAAGGAGTGTTGTAGGCAGAGGCAAGAGCATTTAGGAGGCTGGGCAGGGGAGGGGGAACACAGTGAGAGACTGACAGAAGGCCAGGGCTACAGCGTGGAGAACAGGAGGAACAAGGTATGAGGTGAGGCTGCCAAGAAATGGGAAGGGAAAGCGGCAAGGCCTGGCCAGGCAGGGTCTCGTAGGCCATGGTGAGGAATTTGGTCCGTATTCTAAAAGCAATGGGAAGCCTTGGGGAAGAAAGCTATGTTAGACTAAGGCAGGAATGGGGGGAGTGGGGCACCTAGTGTGACAGATATATGTCTGGAAAAATTATTTTGGCTACTGTGAGAAGAATGGACCCGGGTGGTGGGGGGCAAGAGTGAATAGAGAGGCACCTGGTAGAAGACTTCTTGGTAGTCCAGGTAAGAAATTATGGTGGCTGCCGGGCGCGGTGGCTCACGCCTGTAATCCCAGCACTTTGGGAGGCTGAGGCAGGTGGATCATGAGATCAGGAGATCGAGACCATCGTGGCTAACAGGATGAAACCCCGTCTCTACTAAAAATACAAAAAATTAGCCGGGCGTGGTGGAGGGCGCCTGTAGTCCCAGCTACTCGGGAGGCTGAGGCAGGAGAATGGCATGAACCTGGGAGGTGGAGCTTGCAGTAAGCCAAGATCACACCACTGCACTCCAGCCTGGGCTACAAAGCGAGACTCTGTCTCAGAAAAAAAAAAAAAGAAAGAAAAAAAGAAAAGAAGAGAAATTTTGGTGGCAGGCCGCGCGTGGTGGCCCACACCTGTAATCTGAGCACTTTGGGACGCCTGGCACTCAGGGTGGATGGATCACCTGAGGTCAGAAGTTCAAGACCAGCCTAGCCAACATGGTGAAAACCCGTCTCTACTAAAAATACAAAAAATTAGCTGGGCATGGTGGCAGGCGCCTGTAATCTCAGCTACTGGGGAGACTGAGGCAGGAGAATGGTTTGGACCCGGGGGCGGAGGTTGCAGTGAGCCGAGATCACCCCATTGCACTCCTGTCTGGGCAACAAGAGTGAAACTCCGTCTCAAAAAAAAAAAAGAAAAGAAAGAAATTATAATGGCAGCCGGGCGCAGTGGCTCACGCCTGTAATCCCAACACTTTGGGAGGCTGAGGTGGGTGGATCACCTGAGGTCAGGAGTTCAAGACCAGCCTGGCCAACATGGTGAAACCCCGTCTCTACTAAAAATACAAAAATAAGCCGGGTGTGATGGCACTTGCCTGTAGTTTCAGCTAGCTACTAGGGAGGCTGAAGCAGGAGAATCACTTGAACCCGGGAGGCAGAAGTTGCAGTGAGTTGAGATCATGCCACTGCATTCTAGCCTGGGTGACACAGTGAGACTCTGTCTCAAAAAAGAAAGAAAAAGAAAGAAAGAAAGAGAGAGAGAGAGAGAGAGAGAAAGAAAGAAAGAAATTATGGTACCTCTGGCTAAATGATTAGAGTCAAGGATATTTGGGAAGTAAAATCAGTAGGACTTGAGAAGTATCAGAAGGCCTTCTCAATTTCTAGAGATTAGCCCTTATTAATATGCCAGGTCTTATGGGAAGCTCTTTATGTAGTATGTCAATAAATTATTCCAAAAATATGAAAAGGTAAATATATTATTATTCCCATTTTATAGAGAGGGCAACTGAGGCTCAGCAAGACAAAGTTAACTGATCCAAAGTCACTATGGTTGGACCTTAGTTTTGAACCCAGGCTATTTGACCTTAGATTTGATATTAACAACCAATAAGATATACTTTATAGTGCTGGTATGAGAGACAAGGCCAGCAGCCATCCTCTATGGTAAATGTTTAACATCAGGCTTTTGCCATTTGGAGTGACTGATTTTGAGACATGACAACTAAGTCCACTGCTTGAGAAGGAAACAAAGGTCACACAATAGTTTTGAAAGGGGAGATACACCATATAGGGAAATACATCTAACAGAAGCAAAACTTGCCAAATCTGCAAGGGAGGTACAAAGGCTATAGGAGTTCAAAGGAGGAGAAGGGGAGAAAAAACTTCCGAGAAAGCAAGGCTTGAGACAGACTTTGAAGGCTGTAGCTGGAAGGAAAGAAGCAGAAAAACAGCCCGCCCTAGTCCTTCCTACTCCCCAGAGCGGGGAAGTAGTCTGGTTACTTAGCATAGAGGAGCACAGTAGAAATAAAACTGGAAAGGGGCCGGGCACGGTGGCTCATGCCTGTAATCCCAGAACTTTGGGAGGCCGAGGCGGGCAGATCATTTGAAGTCAGGAGTTTGAGACCAGCCTGGCCAACATGGTGAAACCCTGTCTCTACTAAGAATACAAAAATTAGCTGGGCATGGTGGCAGGCGCCTATGATCCTAGCTACTCGGGAAGCTGAAGCAGGAGAATCGCATGAACCCGGGAGGCAGAGGTTGCAGTGAGCTGAGATCATATCGCTGCACTCCAGCCTAGGCGACAAGAGTGAGACTCCATCTAAAAAATATAAAAAATAACAAAAATAAAACTGGAAAGGTACATTGGGACTAGATTGAAGAGGTGCCTTCTATTTCTAAAATTCTGTGAAATTTTGATGTTAATAAGAAAGAATGAGAGCAAGAGATCATTATCTCAAAAACAGAATGCCTGTAAAATTTGAAAGGGATTGGGGGAGGCAAAGAGGAACAAGACATCCCAAAATATTTCCATGTGGTTCCTCTAACGACAATGTAAATTCCTCATTGATAAAGATGGCATTTTATATTTTATCCTCACCCTGCATAACTATAGCTAACATTTATTGTTATAATTATAGCCAACATTTATGGAGGCTTACTACATACCAGACTCTGCTCTTAATAGCTTTCCATGGATTATTTCATTTGATATTCACAACAACCCTATGAGATAAGTACCATTATTACAGATAAGAAAACTAAGGTTAGAGGGCAGTTTGTCCACAGTTATGTGTGTGGGTGAGCAGAAGTTGACCTGTGATTCAAACCCAGGTATTCAGCCCCCATGCCTGGGCTTTGAAGCACTTAGCTGTGCAGACTCCATGCCAAGCACCTAGTAGCTGCTCAGTGTTAATGTCAATTGAAAGAATAAATATTTGCCAACTAACATTTTACTATCACAGTCTCCTCAAAGCCCTCACTTAAGGTTTGTTTGGTGTCTCCTCTCACCTGCCTTATTGAGACAAACCATAAAATTCCATAGGTGCCACGTGGGAGACTGCCTACCACCGCCTATTCCCCTGCCTCTGTCAACACTACTGCCAGCCTCCCCACACATCCTGCATGAGCCCAAGATGTCCCTTGCGAGGTTTCAGCTATCCTATGCTCTGTGAGGATTGGAGATTGTTTCTCAGGGCTCGGGTATACAGGACATTGAAAAGTTTAGTCATAAAACCTACTACTACAGCAGTTTCTCTAATGGGCACCTAGTACCCTGTTATAGGAATTCATACTCTTCACAGAGTGTCTGGCAGGCCGGGCCCTCATAGTCTAACCCAATGGCAACCACAGTTTGTGACAAACGTGCTCCATATCGTTTTTTGCTTCTCATCCTTTATGGAGGCCAAGCAAACCTTTCTGCCTTGAGCTATTTGTCACACATTTTAGTGATAATTTTTGTGAGAAGGAGAATGATTTCAAGTGATGGATGAGGTGAGCTGTGACAGCCCAGAACAGAGTGAGTAAGGGCTGAAGAATGCGAGTGGGTGTCAAATGGTGTGTATGGAGAAGTTGTCTTCTCCATTCCAACTCTGATCCCGTTTAGGGAAAAGCACCAAAAGGAAGGGCCCCAAAACTCATTTAAATGAAGTTTACATAACTTCTGGCCAAGAGTTATATGGGAAAACATGCTTCCTTTCCATCCTATCCAAGAGTCTGCCCACAGACATGCAGTCATCAATTCTAGAAATTTGCCCATTAACAGGAAATACACCCACTGATATGAATCTAAGACATTAAATGTAAATCCACTTATCTATGATCTGAAATGAAGGGTATTTTCTGGGCTTGATTTGCATTACCAAGATAAAAAAGCACTTCAAGGCAGATGTCTGCCTTACTCACTTGACATCCTACCAATGGACAAATGAAGTCAGAATGTGGCTTGTGTATAAGTCTTATGCCATATTTACTCCTTGGCCTTTGAAATAATCTTTTTTTTTTTTTTTTAAGACAGAGTCTCGCTCTGTCGCCCAGGCTGGAGTGCAGTGGTGCCATCTTGGCTCACTGCAACCTCCACCTCCTGGGTTCAAGCAGCTCTCCTGCCTCAGCCTCCCAAGTAGCTGGGACTACAGGTGTGTACCACCACACCTAGCTAATTTTTGTATTTTTAGTAGAGTCAGGGATTCATCATGTTGGCCAGCCTGGTCTTGAACTCCTAACCTCAGGTGATCCACCCACCTCAGCCTTTTAAAGTGCTGGGATTACAGGCCACCACATAGACAGCCTCAACTTCCATTTCTTACAGAAGGTAAACCTTATTCCAGTCTCACTCAGGATTCAGCTACAACCTTTCCAGATAGCTGAAGCAACTAAGAGGTCAGGCCTTCTGAAAGTTTAAACACTTCATAAGAAATGTGCTTTTCAGTGCCCCAGGGATCCTGGGTTTACTTTGCCACTTCTTGCTTTTCCTATATATGTAGAAAAGCCACAGTGCGCCCCACTGTTGGCCCATATGTAATATATATTCCTGCTTATACAAGATGGCCATGGGAAGTTATTTTTAGTCATTGTTTGGAATGACTTTATAAAAATGCTTTGCATTTTTTAGCAAGACCATCATATAATTGTTTAAGATCAAGTACAACACATAAGGTCACTGGAGAATTTGAGTGCATGTTATCCAAGATAGGATGGTAGAGCTCACATTACAGAAATGTAGTGTGGGAATAGTAAGGAGTCGTTTAATAGAAATTGCACACCTAAGTGTGATGAGTGTATGTGAATGTGGAGAAGTACTTTCTGCACCTGGCCACACAGTTTCAACCAAATGATCCCAAATAAAACAGTGGATGTTAACGGAATATCTAGGATTTGTAAAGTTGTTTTCTTCTCGATGACTTTGAGATCTCTTTATTTCTCAGTCTTCTTCTGAAATAAAGACTGACTACCTATCAATTATAATGGACCCAGATGAAGTTCCTTTGGATGAGCAGTGTGAGCGGCTCCCTTATGATGCCAGCAAGTGGGAGTTTGCCCGGGAGAGACTTAAACTGGGTAAGATATTTGTTCAACAGATTCATAAACCTATACTGAGCACATATTACATGAAAAACACTGTGCTTTGAGAGATGCGAAAGTAAACTAGACCTGGGATTCTACCCTCCAGCTGCTCACAGACTAGCAAGGGAGATGGACACAAAAGTAAATAATTCCAATGCAATGCTCAGATAACAGTACAAGGTGACACGCAGCACCTGTTTGTTCTTGCAACAGTTATTAGGCACCTTCTCTGAGCAGCAGACACTGGTCTAAGCCCTGGAGACACAAAGGTGCTTGCATCTCTTCCCTCAAAGGGCTCAGTCTGGAGATAGGTGCAAAAGTGGTAAGTGAAGGGCGGCGGAGAGAGAGGCATTACAAGTACACGCACGCTTACATAATGAAACTGTTGAGGGATTAGAAATATGTGATCCAGAACATAATTGAGGGTGGCAAGGAACAGTGAAATCAAACATTCGGTGAAAGAGTTGGTGCTCTTCAAGGCCATGGATCAAAAAAACCCTCTGCACAAATCCACAAATTACATACTTTGATTTTCCTGGGAATGTCCAGACCGAGTAGAAAGCCCTAGGGGAATCATTTAAGTTTCACTTTTGAAAAGCAAAGACTGTTGTTTTCCAGGTAGGGCAGATGCTATAAACAGCAGGCAAATGTGCTTTCCCGCAGCCTACCTTCCAGTTCCTCCAGCTCAGACGTCACAAAGCCCATTAATCTCCAGCCTCTGGTGCTACAAAACAATTGGAACCTCAATTACTCCTACCCAAAATGTTTGGATTGTGGCTTCTGAAAGTTTTCCACTCACTCCTGTGTATGCCAGAGTCATTAGTAGTTGGAACTAAGAAAACAGATTGTGGATCCAGTGTTCTTGGAGCTTGTCCCTCTCGGTGTGGAGAGCCTGTTGTTCCAAATTCAACAGTATCGTCCCTCTCCTTACATGCAAATGATACTGGGGTGAGGGATTTAGGGGGCAGAGAGAGGAAAATGGCTTTTGTTTTTCTCTTGGGCCTTGAAATGATTCTGCTTACACTGAGGAAGGACTGGCCTCAGGAGCATGTTCTATTTGGCTTGGGGAGGAAACTTGGAAATCAGTTAAAAGCTGGAGAGACAGGAGAAAGCCAGCAATGGCTGTGGACAGGAGGAAAAAATCAACTACATTTAGAGTAGTTAAGGGCAGGTGGCACACTGGAAGAGTTCCTTCTGCAAGTCTAAATTATATGGCAGCTAGCCCAACCCCTCAGTGACCTTGGCAGGAAATATGGGATAATTTTCCCACAATCACGAGCCATTCTCAGCTCACATTGCTTTCCAGAGTTATTAGTCATAATCAAACATGCTTCTTCCAGTATAGGACACATGAGCTTTCTGTCCCATCGCTTCATTCCTTCCTAGTATCATTGTGATCCACACCACATCACAGATTGCTAATCCTTCTACCAGAATTCCCCTGGGGCTCTGTGGGTTTAAATAATCCCATTTCAGGAGAGTCTCCTTGTTGAAGATCATTCTTATCACTCTTTTCCTTTCCAGAGTTGCCACATGCTAGAATTTGGCTGATGTCCATTTGAGTGTCTCTGATGGGTGAGAGAAAGTGTGTCAAGTCTGCTAACTTTGTCTTTCAATACAGAGTGTGGCTGCAAGGCCCCGAGGTACACTCCTCTGATTGATTAACGTGGGAGCAAGGAGGCCCAAGACTTGTTTATTTCTTAAGCCAAATAAATGACAAAGTAATTTGAAGTAATGTCTAGCAACTGAAAATAACCCAGATTATGTCCAGATAGAGAGAAAAGGCTGTTTTAACTGGCAGTTATACTGGGGTTGTAAATGTAGAGAAATACACAAGGTTATATCTGGTTTCAGCTGTATCTACTTGTTGGTTACTATCAGCAGCCCTAGTGAGTGGGATTGGAATTTATAGTACCTGATAGATGGATGCAGTTGGAGGTTGGGTCAAAGGTGTTGCTACCATTAAAATTCCTGAAATCCAAGAACAAAAAGAATCTTAAAAAAAAAAAAAAGATTCCTCACTAACCCATGGGAGGGAATTCAGCTTCTATAAATTTATCACAGAAGTTAGGAGATAATTCAGCTCCTATATATTTATTATAGAAGTTAGAATAGGCTGGGTGTGGTGGCTCACGCTTGTAATCTCAGTGCTTTGGGAGGCTGAGGTGGGTGGGTCACCTGAGGTCAGGAGTTCGAGACCAGCCTGGCCAACATGGCGAAACCCTGTCTCTACTAAAAATACAAAAATGAGCCAGCTGTAGTGGCGCGTGCCTGTAGTCCCAGCTACTCAGGAGGCTGAGCCAGGAGAATCATTTGAACCCAGGAGGTGGAGGTTGCCGTGAGCCAAGATCACGCCACGGCACTCCGGCCTGGGCAACAGAGTGAGACTCCGTCTCCAAAAAAAAAAAAAAAAAAAAAAGTTAGAATAATGTTCAACACTGCATCTTTCTATTGAAAAATAATCAAAAGTCAGAATTACCTAATACAGCAAACAATACAGGGAGTCAGGAGTTTGGCAAGTGAATGGTGCCTGGGCTGGTGCTGCCTCTTGTAAGACCAGCCCTGAATGCCAGAGACGGCCCAACCCATGCTGCCATGCACTCTCCCCAGCGTGTCCAGGGCCCCTGGCCAGTCCAGGACATTCTTGGAGGAGATTCCAATATCCTTGCATTGTATGGCAATGACCTAGCACACTTCCGAGCTAGTTAGTGGCATTCCAGGAAACACTGAGGAGAATTTTAAGGGAAAAGAAAGATCAGGTGAGGTCAAGTCTGATGCAACTGGGCTCCCCTGAAACTGGAACCATGGGTCTGCAGAAGGATTCCAACACATCAGATGATTAAGGAGCCCATAACAGCTTCATGCTGTTTTATGAGGCAGCAGTCAGCTTCCAAGAGAATAAATGAAAAGGCTGAGGGAAGCCAAATGAGAGCCAGTTTATTCTCAATGATAAGAAGCAAAGTCCCAAACACTTGTTAAAACAAAGTGTGTTGTGACGGCTAAGACGGGATGTGGGGGCTGAAACTATGGAAAGTGCAAAGGATGCCACCTGCCCCAAACATGCAAGGGTCTTAGGTGTGTAAGGAGAAAAGATCTGGATATTTCTCAGGCTCAGGACACTTTTCTTTTTAGATGGTGGAAGGCATTGTGGAAGAAAAACATTGATACTTTATCCCAAATAAAGCAAGGAATAAACCTCCAACCAAAATGCACCAGTTTTTACTAGTATAGAGAAGGCATCTGCCAGCGCTGTTCCCACACCGGATTTTCAGATGTAGCACTTTCAGGATCCACTGGAGGCTCTTTTATTTCAAATCGAGGGTCCCCATCCTGGTCTATTTCTTCAACAATTTTATGCGAAGAAGGAAGCAGAGGCTGTAGCTCTGCCCGTGTTGCATGCTCTGGGAGGAATGTCATTTAGTAATCACTACGGGAGCATGTTTCACAAAAAGAGAAACGTGTCGTCTCCCCAGTGTTCTCTCTGAATGCAGAGCATGTCCCTGCAGACAGCCACACAGAGGCCCTAATGATGACACTGGTATAAGTGAAATTTTCATACATCCTAACTGGACACCTGGGGTGGTGGGTAGTAGAAGACATTAAGCAGAGCAAGGTAAAGACATTTTTGTCACTGAGTAGTTGGGCATAAAAGTAGAAAGGTTCTAATATGATGAGGAAGAAGCAAAGCTTCATTACAAACTACAAGAAAATTTTTTAAAAATGCCCTTTGGGGAAAGGGAGTGGAGTAATGAGGAAGGAAGGGAGGAAAGAAGGTTCATTAACTGAAGGCACATTATCAGACGGGTCTAAGAAAGAGCACTTGGTTGGGAAAGGAGGGGTTGTGTTAAATTAACACTCTAACTGCCAGGATTTATAATAGTTTTAACCAACCAGTGGTATTCTGTCATTTCCCCTTCCCCCAAGAAAAGCCAAAAAAAGACTGACTTACTTCACTTACTCTTCTTTGGGTATATCATGCTGGAGGTGCACCATTTCTCTGGGTTCTATTGAGCTGTTTCCTGATGTGCAAAAGGAGGTTCCCTGATATAAAAGGCAGCTTAGGTACTCCAGGGAGTGCCCTCCCTAAAGGGCATCAATCTCAGGGTCTCCATCCCATGGGCCCCTCTAGTTACCTATGACTAGGAGACTTGCTTTGGGCAACCCACACATTCCTGAACACCACTCTCCATTCTGCAGCAATATTCAGTAATAACAGATAGCACCAGGCACCAAGTTAGGTTCTGGGAAGATTCAGACATGGTCCTTGCCCCCCAGAGTAAAGGGGGGCAAGGACTCCCTGGGTCATTCTAGGATAGGGAAAGAAACATATTAACAGTCATTATAGCATAGCATTATGGGGACCATGAAAGGAACCTTGCTTAGTTATTGCATTTAGCAACTACCTCTCTGGGGTTGAAACAAATCACTACCAGTGGTTGACCAGGCTCCTGTGCTGAACCACGAGGATTTGTAATCTTCACCTAAGACACATTAGAAAGACTGGAAATATTTTGCCTGGTAGGGAAGTCGGATAAATGACTTAGTGATTATTTTAAAGTTATGAGCATTATTATAATCCACAGTAGTAACCACCATTTTCTATTTCTCCCTTTTTGCTGAAAACAGATGAGAGAAAAATGACTGTAAATGGAAAAAGAAAAAGAGCTTAGGTTCCACACAGGGAAGTCTTCTTGGTCATAATGTTATTAAACAATGGAAGAAACTACACGGGACTTGGTCCCATCTCTCCTACGGGAGAACGCTGTGGAAAGGAAACTGGACATCTACCTTCACTGAATGCCTTCTAGGGACTTACTCTATCTTTGAAGGATGTGGGGCCTCAGGAACAGAGTTAAGAGTTGAAAGGAAGAGACTCCAGAAATAAGTCCCTTACTTTGTCTCTTTTAGGGTTAGTTCACTGGAGATTCCATGCCTCACATGCACACATAGGAAAAGGCATTTCCTTCCTGAAAAAGACTTAAACTCACCCTATTGCCTCGGCAAACAAACCAGTGTCTTCTCTTCATTACAGGCAAATCACTTGGAAGAGGGGCTTTTGGAAAAGTGGTTCAAGCATCAGCATTTGGCATTAAGAAATCACCTACGTGCCGGACTGTGGCTGTGAAAATGCTGAAAGGTATGTATGCTGTAGTTTGGCTTTCAACTGACCCATCACCATTTTGCATTTCCTAAATGTTGGTACAAGTTAGATATAGCCTGGGAACAGACACAAGCTTTTCTGCTCTGGACACATAATTTTCTTCTACTGCTAGAGGCCTCTTTGCTCACGAGTTTTAGATTAGGCCAGCACGAGCTCAGAAGAAACCTTGTAAATGGAACAATCCAGCACTGTCCATAGGAAAATGATCTCTGTCACCTCAAAGGTCTTTCTCATCTCACATCACAGACTGTAGACAACAAGGGACTTAAGCCCATTGTAACTGCAGGTTCAGATTTTGGCATGATCTACTGTGATGTTGTAATGGAAACTTAGCAGCACATTCTAAATCCCAATGGCTTTGCTTGGGCTTGACCTGACTATAAAGTAAAACTATAAAGCTAGAACAATTGAGTTGATCAGAACTCTAAACTATTTTATACTAACTACCTCAGCCATAAAACATTTCCTCTTTAGCAGTTTAAAAACCTGAATTATCTTTCTAGTGTTGAAAGATACTACTACTCTGTGAAGCACTGGGAGGTAGAACCAAATCACACAGTGACTTATGCCCAACACCAAAGACAGATTGAAAATGAAAATCAGTGAAAGCTGTGTAAACCACATGTCTCAAAGACTCACAGGTCCTTTACAGTGTAGAAAATACTTCATTTCCTCATCTGTAATGGAATTTTATGATGCTTCAACTCAACAGAACTGAAAACTCAAAAAGCAGCTTTTAACTTTCCAAAGTCTCCAGGATACTGCTGGGAAATTTTGAAGCCCAGCAAGCTGTGAGTCCAACTACACGGGTACCTAGTACAGGCTCCAGGAGAAAGGGTTGTTTGCTTAGGGAGACGTCAAAGTTCTTAATCTTCTAGCAATAACTCCATTATTTCAAAAGCCCCATGTAAATATATTTTCAACTTCAAAAGGTTTACTCCTCAAGAAAAAACTAATAAAACTCTGCAAAGAACCTGCCAATTCTGCTCTGAAAGTAGTCTGGGAAGGAGTTTGGTATCCACAAGTCAGAACTTTTGTTTGGGGTAGACTTCCCAGACGAAGGCAGGTATTTCTGTCAAAATAGAGGCATGCTAGCACCCTCCCTGCAAGAACCCCAGATTCTGAAGAGAAGAGGCATCAACATGTCTTCTATGTAAGAAAGCACCAGACTAGATACTTTCACTTATTAGGCTGAACCACACAAAACAGCCATTTTTCTTATTTCCTCTCAACAGCTTTGTGAGGTAGACATTATTATCCTCAGTTTGCAGATGAGGAAACATGGCCAAGAAAGGTTAAATAGCCTCTGCAAGGCCACACAGCTGCTCAGCGTAAGTAAGGGTTTGTGTGCGAAAGTCTTCCAGCTTTGAATGCAGTGCTCTTTCCTCCATACCAGTGTGCCACAAAAGAGGGGCTGCAGAGACCTGGCCTCCTGGAATTGGCACACTGCTCCAAAACCCTGAAGATGATCCTGGCCTAGTTTATGGAGGCAATCCAGTATCCAACCTAGAGATAGGTGGAAACTAAATCTGGAAGCAACTGTTTCCTCAGCTAGTCCCGTTTCTCTGCTTGCTGCCACACATTGTCCTCTAGGAGAGGCAGCTCTGATATCCACACTAGTCTGTTGTGGGTCCAAGATAATACCTGTGGCCCTGCCTATAAATACAGCAAGCTGAACCAGCACCTGGTTTTTTTCCTCCAAAGAGGAAAGGGTTATAGGGAGATGAATGAGTTTGAAAGAAGATTCTGACTTGAGATTTTTTTTTCTTCTAAGAGACAGGGTTTTACTCTGTCGCCCAGGCTGGAGTGCAGTAGCATGATCATAGTTCACTGCAGCCTCTGCCTCTCAGGCTCAAGCAGTCCTTCCACCTCAGCCTCTCAAATAGCTGGGACTAGAGGCTCACACCATCACACCTAGCTAATTCAAAAAATTTTTTTTTGTAGAGACAGTATCGCCATCTTGCCCAGGCTGGTCTCAAACTCCTGGGCTCAAGCAATCCTCCTGTCTCAGCCTCCCAAAGTGCTGGGATTACAGGCGTGAGCCACTGCACCCAGCTGAGATTTTTTTAAAAGGCTCAGAGAATCTCTTCTATGTAATACAGATTGCATGTGTAGTGTCTTCATAAATGCCTATTTTTTTTTTTTAGCCATCAGCATTGATTGTAAAAGACTGCCAAATCATCCACTCTATAAAATTCCTTTAAAAAATTTCATTCAGCTTTCTTGCTTAAATTAATTGGCCATCTGATTCTGGGAGATAGAAAAAAGGCATGGCCCGGCGTGATGGCTCATGCCTGTAATCCAGCACTTTGGGAGGCCGAGGCCGGCAGATCATGAGGTCAGGCGTTCGAGACCGGCCTGGCCAATATGGCAAAATCCCATCTCTAATAAAAAATACAAAAATTAGCCGGGCGTGGTGGTGGGCACCTGTAGTCCCAGCTACTTGAGAGGCTGAGGCAGGAGAATCGCTTGAACCCAGGAGTTGGAGGTTGCAGTAAGCTAAGATCACGCCACTGCACTCCAGCCTGGGTGACAGAGCGAGACTCCGTCTCAAAACAAAAGCATAAAGTGAAACAAAGGCCATAAGTCAAAAGCTCTTTCAAAGTGTCCTTGAGCAAAAATATTAATCTTTTTGGGCCTTACACCCATGCCTGAAATGAGAAGAGTAATTGTGTTTATTTATTCCAAAATATTTGTTGAGCATCTACTGTGAGCCAGCCCTAACCCCATGCACAGGATTTGGAGTTTATCTAGTTATTATTAAAAATGATTTGTGCTTATGAAATACCATGTTGGTATCTACCACAATGTTAAATGCACATACCTCTAACCCACTTCCAGGACACTGTCCTACAGAAACACTTGCATGTGTGCACAGAGATTACACACAGACTATCACAGTATTATTTGTAATAGCAAAAAGACTATAGACACTCTAAATGTCAGGGACACCATTAATCAATTAAAAAGAATGGGCTCACACTGGCCACCATTAACGTGGTTAACCTGCTGGGTGTGGTGGCTCACGCCTGTAATCCCAGCAGTTTGGGAGGCCAAGGCAGGTGGATCACCTCAAGTCAGGAGCATGGTGAAACCCTGTCTCTACTAAAAATACAAAAATTAGCCAAGCATTGTGGCACACACCTGTAATCCCAGCTACTCGGGAGGCTGAGGCATGAGAATCGCTTGAACCCAGGAGGTGGAGGTTGCAGGGAGCCGAGATCGCACCAATGCACGCCAGCCTGGGCGACAGAGGGAGACTCTGTCTCAAAAAAAATAAAAATAAAAAATAAAAAGAAATAAAAAGAAGAGAAAAAGTCTCTGATTTATTAAAAGGGGGGAAATAGATTTTTTAAATAGACTATATATAGTCATATATATCATATATATATGATATATATATATATATATAGGACCTCTGATTGAATATTTATAAATGCATAGAAAAAGGTCTGAACACCAAACTATTAACCATGGCTGCTTCTAAGAAGGCAAGTGGGTCGGAGTGGCTTTTGCTTTTTATCTAGAACATTTTATTCCAACTCATATTGTTGAAATATTTTACAGAAAGATTATTTGATTTTTATATTTCTAAAAATAATTTAAAATTTTTAAATGCCTTGCATATTAACTAATAAGAACAAACAGAACAAACTCAATTTAGGCTTTAGACTCTGCTAATTCTTGGACTGATAATGCTTATCTCTGAGACTGAAGTTGAAGTCAGATGCTATGGATCCTCACAACCCAAGATAACCCTGTGAACTCCAGAGAGGACAGGGTTACAGGGAGAAAATAACACATTGCAAAGATGTTTACAACAGTAGCCATTCTGCCCTGGCAGGCCCCTTGTGCTCCTTCTCTGTGACTCCCCAAAGGGAGAAGGTGAGAAGAGGGGACGTGGAGGTGTACTCCCTGCCTGGTGGGTTCTTGCTGCACCTGGTTCTGACAGAAGGGAAGCCTTTGGAAGGCACTTTCACGAGGTGCCCAGCTCTGAGTCAGCGCATTGCTGAAGAGAACTAGGTCCACCAAGAGGAAATGTCCAGTGACTAACCCCACTACTGTGCTGGGCCTTACTGTAATCAAAAGGATGTTGGCTCAGGAGGGTGGGAGTAATGAAAACAGTCTGGAGACTTGGCCTTTCTGCAGAATGTGGGGAAGTTAGTGAAGCAACCGGCTGAGCATTGACAAACAAGGAGGGCAAGAATGCCGCCTCCGGCGGAAGGAGCCCCATTGTCCTGTCGCCCTGACTCTTCCTTGCTTCTCACACAGAGGGGGCCACGGCCAGCGAGTACAAAGCTCTGATGACTGAGCTAAAAATCTTGACCCACATTGGCCACCATCTGAACGTGGTTAACCTGCTGGGAGCCTGCACCAAGCAAGGAGGTAATGGAGAAGGGGAGGGCCGGCTCCGTCTCCCCCTGCACAGGCTGGGAGAACAGTTCTCTGCCTTACAGCTCCTTCTCCCCCGCACTGTGCTTCCTCGCCTCCAGGAAAACGGCCTCCCTAATAGCTCTAGAAGAAACAGCTTGTGCATCTACAGAAGGGTGCTCCCATAAATCCCTTCCCTGTGCCGTTAATTTAAAGATTCTGAAGAGGACTCCCTTTTTGATCTCCTTCCACAGGCTCTAGGCTAAGCAGAGGGCACTTTTCTCTCAGGATGGGTCTGAAGGAGTGTGGCCAGAGCCAAGGTAAAAGGTAGAAGGTTGCATATTCCTTGAGGCTTCACCTAAAGGAATGAATGAATCACTACTGGTAGGGTCCCAGGAGGAGGTGATGTGGGGGCCCTTCCCTCCAGATCCACCATGCAGATAGACCTTACCCAAGGGGGTAGGGACAGAGCTGTGCTTTATGATTAAGAGCTCCAGCATGTTGTCGCAGACCTTTCTTTCCGTATGGCAGGGTTAGGGCAGAGTAGATGTGTGATCATTGTTTGAGCCAGCAAGGTGCAAAGAGCTGTGCAAGCCAATGTTTTCCCCAGCTCTCAACAGAGGTAGCAGAGATGAAGGGTAGCTGGGGAAGACAATCTGCTAGGGGCGGAGGTGGTTAGAGAGGAGCTAAAGGCTGGGGAGGCCAGAAACAGTCGGAGGGACCTCGACACGGCCCCGCCTGCTTCTCCATCATCCCCGGATAACGTTTTATGAAGTTCTCTGTCGTGGCAACCTCATTCTGTTTGCCTCAACTTTGCATCTGTAAAACTGATCAGGTATAATGAGACAGCTTACCCTCATGTGCGGCCGTCAGCTCCGTGCAGCTGGGCGCCAGCATGGAAGCCCCTCTGAGGACGGTGGCTGGACCCCATGCGGGAGCCGAACTCTGCGGCATCTGCCGCCGTAGAGGGGACATAAAAAACTCTGGAAGCAACTTCCCGTTCTGGAACCTAGGGGGAAGATGAGATGCTGTTAGGATTTCTAGCGTGTTCCTCGTACTAAGAGAAAACCACTCCACCAGGACCAGCCCAACTTCTGCAAGGCACAAAAAAGAACTAGTGGCTTCTGGGCTCCCGGCATGCCCTGGGCAGCGGCTGGTGAAGCAGCTCCGGGGTCACTCCCCTTTGACCCAGAAGTGGTCCTTGCTTTGTGGGCTGCATGCCCAGCCCAGGCATGCAGTGGAAACGCAGGGCAGGAGAGAGGAGGCCTTCAGAGTGCAGCTGGACTTCCTTCCCAACCCTCTTGCTTCCTTCAGACCGGGGTCGGGTTGGCAAACCAAGGTCAGCCTGTGAGCTTAAAATGGTTTGACCTTTTTAAAGTTGGGGGAAAAAATAAAAAATAAAAATAATATTTCATGATATGAAATTGTATGAAATTCCAATCTCTGTGTTCATAGTTTTCTTGGAGCACAGTCATACTTGTTTGGTTGTTTCCAGGCTACAAAGGCAGAATTGAGTAGTAGCTCCTTGATCTGCAAAGCCTAAAATGCTTACTAGCTGGACCTTTACAAGAAGAGTTTGCCGATTCCTACTGTAGATCCTCTGGCAAGCCCCAAGGCAAATCGCGCAGACACTGCTGGCGAGAGACGGCCAGGTAGCCGTCTCTGTCGTGGTAGGGAGGGAGGAGCTGCTTAATAGTTCCAGGACTGGTGTGACAGTAACCAGAAGCCGCTCTACTCGCAAGGGTCTGGTTAAGAGGCAGGGAGGCTGGCTTTTGCCTCTCCCCTCCTCAAACGTATTTCTGTCCTTCTTCCAATCTTTTCTCTCTAATGCTTCTGCACTGCCCCTCACCTCCTTTTTTTTTTTTTTTTTTTTGTATTTCAATTGTATTCTTTAAACCCCTTCTTAGGTTAAACTGAAAAAGTCACCGTATTCATGGGCCTCTCATCCCTAAATCGCATCCCTTCGCCCCACTAATACAAAGGCTGGTTGGTTTGAGGTTTCTCAGGCAGGCTGAAGGCTGGCAAATGGCTGACTGGCTTGGTGTGGCTGAGCATGAGCATGTGCTGTTTTGGCTGCAGGGCCTCTGATGGTGATTGTTGAATACTGCAAATATGGAAATCTCTCCAACTACCTCAAGAGCAAACGTGACTTATTTTTTCTCAACAAGGTAAGGATTTCAAAAGTTGGAGGTTTTTAAAGATAGCAATGAGTTTTCATTTAGTCTGTAACAACATAAAGCAAGAGAAACCTGTATTGTGTTGTTAATGATTAAACTTAAAACTCAATCTCTGCTTCTTCTCCTTTTTTCATGTTTTTTCCCCTGATAATCTGTTACACTCTAGTGTGGATAGCACAGAGAATCATTTGATCCCTGTGTGCGTATGCAGCCATAATTGGAGAGTAAATCTACTAGCCACTTATCTAAATATCTAACAATAACTTTCTCTCTTTCTCCCCCTATATATGTGTGCATGTGTACATACACGCAAACATACATACACAAGTCACTTATTTCTTTAAGGAAGATAATAGTTAATATAATTGTCTCCATTTATTAGGTTAGATTTTGACTAAGGCTAAATCAACTGAGTGACTTGACAATCAGCAGTAGACCAATGATGTGGCCAGGGCCAAAAATCATTATCTTTCTTTTCCACTGCCCTTTCCCCTACTTCCTGACACCCTCACTACCCATGTCATCCCTACATATACTCTGAACCAGCCTTATTAAATAAAAGCTGTGTAGTAAAAGGAACATGTGGACCCAAGACCTAAGGGCAAACAAGGTTTAAAAGAGATTATTGGGCCAGGCACGGTGGCTTACGCCTGTAATCCCAGAACTTTGGGGGCTGAGGCAGGTGGATCTTGTGAGGTCAGGAGTTCGAAACCAGCCTGGCCAGCATGGTGAAAACCCGTCTCTACTAAAAATACAAAAATTAGCCAGGCGTGGTGGCCCGCGCCTGTAATCCCAGCTACTAGGGAGGCTGAGGCAGGAGAATCGCTTGAGCCTGGGAGGCTGAGGTTGCAGTGAGCCGAGATCAAGCCACTACACTCCAGCCTGGGCAACAGAGTGAGACTCCGTCTCAAAAAAAAAAAAAAAAAAAAAAAGAGAGAGAGAGATTATTGAATGGAGGAGAAATAATTTACTAAAACTTTGCCAGTGTGACATATGGCACCAATACTGTGTCCTTCTCTGAGCTGAAGAAGTCCAGGGGACAGTGATTCAACATTATTAACCAGTAATCAGCAACACTGGTGATGAACCCATGTAGTGTGGTGGTTAAACATTGAGACTCTGGAATCAGACTTCCTGGATTCAAATCCTGTCTCTACTTCTCATGAAATCTGGGAATGCAAATTACTCAACCTGTCTGTTTCAGTTCCCTCGTTTATTAAATGAAGCTTATAATAGAATCCAGCTGATGGGATTGTTGAGAGAATAAAAATCTCTCAGTCAAACATTCAATAAATGTTAATCATCACTGTCACCACCACTGTCATCATCATCATCAACATCATTGACCTACTAAGATAGAAAAATTGGGTGAGTCCAACTTCGTACCACTGATCTACATGGTGGATAAAATGTCTGAAATCCAAGAATGATGCCCATCTTTATAATGTGGGCAAGAATCTTCACACACAAATAAGAACCACTGGACAGCTGGCCAATTTTCTCATCCCTCAAACTTTGATCTAATTAAAGACAGAGATGTTCTACCGGACCGGCAATATATGCAAGAACATCATTTTCCCCAGGTTTAAGTCAGGTCCTCTAATAATAAGAACCTTTTTTTTTTTTTTTTTTTTTTGAGACAGAGTTTCTCTCTCTGTCAGTCAGGCTGGAGTGCAGTGGTGTGATCTCAGCTCACTGCAACCTCCGTTTCCTGGGTTCAAGTGATCCTCCTGCCTCTACCCTCCCAAGTAGCTGGGATTACAGGAGCCCGCCACAACGCCCAGCTAATTTTTGAATATTTTGGTAGAGACGGAGTTTCACCATGTTGGCCAGGCTGGTCAAACTCCTGACCTCAGGTGATCCGCCTGCCTCGGCCTCACAAAGTGCTGGGATTACAGGTGTGAGCCACCGTGCCCGGCCTAATAATTAGAATCTTGAAACTGAAAGGGATCTTTGTGATCAGTTGGTTCACACTCGCAGGCTGCAGA
The DNA here is from genome assembly GCF_000001405.40 of Homo sapiens. Lineage (NCBI taxonomy): Eukaryota > Metazoa > Chordata > Mammalia > Primates > Hominidae > Homo > Homo sapiens. The sequence goes on along the minus strand of NC_000013.11, from coordinate 28,325,464 downwards.
TGCGTTCAGAGAAGTCAAGTGATTCGCTTAAGGACACACACCTACCATGAGGTGAAGTCAGAAGGTGAAAGAACTCAGCTCTCTTGACTCCTCCTCCACTGCCTTTTCTGTGCACCACACTAAATGAGGTGAAAAAAGCATAAGAAAAAGTGGAAAGTGGTGCCTTGGGCTGAGGGCAGTACAAATTCCCCTTAGTACTGAAATTTTGGACTGGCTTCAGGAAGAGCTAAGCCAGCAGAATACCCTAGGGACCTGGGCAGGATGGAACGTTTGGGTTTGTGCGTCCTTTGTTTTGAAGAGTTTGCTTCCTTCTCTGGCTATATTTAATGATTTGCCTCCCTGTGCAACTTGGTGGAGCTTAGTGTTTTTGTGGAAAATCCATGGCTGTCTTTCATATTTGGAAGATAAAGGTAAAGGAAAGGCAAAACCAAAAGGCTAAATTGAAAATGGAATACTTCATTTTCCAAATAAATTAACTGGGATCCTTAAATATGGTTTGTAATAAATTCACTATATTCTGCCAGAGTCCCAAGAGTTCAGTAAATTACCTTTATTTAACAAAAGTGGTACTGATAAGCAAAGCTGAATATACAATTGATTGGGAGTCAGGAAGGGAGTGAGAGAGCCTGAGTTTTGGTCCTTGGAGACATGCCTAGGCTGTGACTTTTGGGTGCCGTGGGGAAGAAGGCTGTCCAGGGAGAGTTTTCACATGCAGAGCCCTGAGTGAGCCTGTGGAGCATTTTTCTCCCCATGCTATTGCCAGCGCTTTCTCTGATGCCTTCTGTCCCACAAAGGATCTTGTGAAAAATAAAATTCCAGTCCCCAACTGAACAGAATCCAATATAACTGCATTGTGGAAACACAATAACAAATAGTGAAAGTCTTTACCTGCCCTCAGGTGGGTTACCTGCAATGGCAGTGGGTATTCACTCTGAGGCCTGCCTCCCTCTGCAACCCCGGAAGGTCTCTTTTCAGGGGCTGGGAACCTTGGTGCCCTTTTGGCTTTTAGACTAGGTTAGGGCTGTCCCTCCTGAAGCTTTCTCCCAGTGCTCTGCTTGCTCCCACTGTGCCCTCTAGTGGAGGGATCACTCTTGCTTTGTGACATTTCTAGAAAAGCCCAGGAAGGATGGGGTACGCGGGTTAATCCTAGAACTGCCACACCATGCAAATGGATCAAGGGACACCACTGAACTCCAGTCCCTCTCTGCTTCTGCCTCAGTATTGCTGTCTAGCAGAATCTAGGCTACAAACATGGTCTTGTTATAAAGCCACTGAAAGTGCTAGGTTTTAGAGTGTCATAGTTACTAGATGAATTACAAAAGGCAATAAAAATCTTTTCTGGTTTCCCATGAACACCCAGAACTGACAACTCCTTTCCTATGAATCATAAAATAATAGTATAATAGAGCTTTTCAGAAGAGGATAATTAAACTCAGAAAAGTAAGGTGACTTGCCCAAGATCGCATGATTAATGGAAGAGCCAAATGAACCAGGGCTTGGATGTGCAGTCCAGGGTGAAAGGCCATTGCTACCCTTGTTAGGATCAAACTGTATCTTTGTTTAAATGGAAGAGAAAAAAAGCAATGTCCATGTTCCCTCCTTCCCCAAAGAAACCTGAGAAATTGGTAACTATAGCCTTCTCTTATAACTCCTCCTAGGGATTACAGAGTGAAGCACCAAGCACACTGAGGATCCTTTCCTCTCAGTGATGTCATCCTTCACAAGATGGCGTGTGGCATGGAAAAGTGGTTAAGGGCACAGATGTGGGCATCGACCAATCCTGGGTTCAAGCTTTGCTTTTTTTTTTTTTTTTGAGATGGAGTTTTGCTCTCGTTGGCCAGGCTAGAGTGCAATGGCGTGATCTCGGCTCACTGCAACCTCCACCTCCTGGGTTCAAGCAATTCTCCTGCCTCAGCCTCCTGAGTAGCTGGGATTACAGGCATGCACCACCATGCCCGGCTAATTTTGTATTTTCAGTAGAGACGGGGTTTCTCCATATTGGTCAGGCTGATCTCAAACTCCCGACCTCACGTGATTCACCTGGCTCGGCCTCCCAAAGTGCTGGGATTACAGGCGTGAGCCACTGTGCCCGGCCAGCTTTGCTATTTATTAGCTGCATGTGAATTTGATTACTTTACTTCTCTGAACCTGTTTCTCCATGTATAAATAAGAACTACTTCGTAAAATTGTTGGAAACACTAAACAAGAAATGTACCTAAAGCTTTTAATATACCAGCTCACACAGAGTAAGCATTCAGTAAATACCCACCACTCTTAATTTTTTTTTTTTATCTGATCTAAGATGCTGTCTAGAAGCCCAGGCAAGAGCACAATAGACTCTGCAACTCCAGAGGTAGTCAGGCTCCTGGACACCGTAGGGCCCCTGTGCTAGTTCACGATCCATTTTGAGAAGTGAAACGCTCTCATTTCTCATCAGGCGATTGCCAGTTGAGGGACTGGTTTCCCACTGCTGTGCTGGAGCTCCTTTTCACCTGGGTCCTTTTCGGTCTCTTCAAAGGATGCAGCACTACACATGGAGCCTAAGAAAGAAAAAATGGAGCCAGGCCTGGAACAAGGCAAGAAACCAAGACTAGATAGCGTCACCAGCAGCGAAAGCTTTGCGAGCTCCGGCTTTCAGGAAGATAAAAGTCTGAGTGATGTTGAGGAAGAGGAGGGTAGGTATTAATTCCTTCCTGTCCTACGCGCTGAGATATTTTTACAACATACTATGCATCTCTGAAATTTTTTTCTTATTTATCACTCTAATAAACATCCGTGGGAGACTCGAATGGTAATGTCCTGAGGAGATAAGATTTGAATTAAGATAATTTACAGAGTTACTAATTTTGACAGGGAACTGTACCGTTTTCTCCCCTCAGGGATTTTCATCTTAATGGATCATCCCCCTGCCCCCATGCTTGGATAAAGTGGGCTGGAGGCCTGGAAAAATCTCTGGTGTTCATGTTGAAACTCAAATACTCTTAAAAATGAACTCTGATCTACTTGTTGGTTTGTTTTATGTTTTGCTAACATTGTTCCAATAAACTGGGATTTGGTGGGATAACAAGAGCCATTACAAACAGTTACGGTTCTAATGCTTTCCAGATTCTGACGGTTTCTACAAGGAGCCCATCACTATGGAAGATCTGATTTCTTACAGTTTTCAAGTGGCCAGAGGCATGGAGTTCCTGTCTTCCAGAAAGGTCAGTCTTGCTGTTTACTGTTTTTCTTCTCTGCCAGGGCTGGACACACACCTTTGCTATAAATTCATTTTTCCTAGTATTTGCTGATACCTATGTTCTTAAATGTAGAACAAACACCACTGCAAGTGCCTTAATTTGCCTTGATATGAGGAGTTTTGAGAATGAGGAGTCATGGATACCAGTGGATAGAACTTAATTCTGGGGAAAACTCACAGGTTTCAGACTAGACAAACCTGGCATCGGCTCTCCACAGTATCCTCTGGCATATTTTCAAATCTGGCCCAAATCTCAGAAGACATGACTTCATAGGAGAGCTACTATTAATATAGCCATATAGGGCCCTCCCACAAAACTGCAGCTGGAGAAAGATCTCATCTTGGCAGCTCAGGATAAAAGACTGTGGGGAAAGTTTGCCCACTGGTAAATCTTAGATAACCAGCTTCGCTGATCAAATAGTAGCCCAGTGGATTCAGACCATTTCTTGACTTTGAGGGCTTGGGGACCTGTATTTGTAGAGAGGCTCTTCATGTTTATGGTAACTCTGTGTGCACCGAGAGGTGCTCCCTTCACAGCATGTGAAATGGATTCCCAAATTAAGATAATGACACTGACAGGTGTAGGAAATTAGTTGGTTAGGTTAAGGAAATGCATTGATTATGCAACTGTTTTATTATAGTGCATTCATCGGGACCTGGCAGCGAGAAACATTCTTTTATCTGAGAACAACGTGGTGAAGATTTGTGATTTTGGCCTTGCCCGGGATATTTATAAGAACCCCGATTATGTGAGAAAAGGAGATGTAAGTCAGTTTGATGTTTATTTGACTCATGTGTGTCCTATCACTTTTAAACCACAGACTTGGTAAATATTTACACTTCCTCAGCTGTAGTCCCTGAAAACCATCATTGGCTTTCTGTGAAGACAAACAGTCCAGATGAGCGGCATCCCAGAGAGCCCTTGTGTAAGGCTCAGAAAGGCCACTGTCTCCTGCTTCTGCTCTTCCCTAATGCCTGGCCTCCCACCTGTCCTTTGGGCAGCGCTGCGTGAGACTTGCTAACCTGAGAAGTGTTTGGTGGGGCCTGGGTGAGACCTTAGCATTACCTTCCTTTGAATCCTGAGGGAATTCCTTGTACCACTGAAAAGAACAGCCTGGACTCTTTCCCTCAAATAAACCCAGATGATTGATTCAGCAGGTGTATCTGTCTCAGGAAAGGGCGGGGAAGACCGTCAGCAGTAGCTGACTATGGAGGAGACTGTTTACCTCCCATGGCCTTCCATGCCTAGCATCTCCCCGCTGGCTCGTACTGGCTTCTCTTCCCTGCTTGTTTTTAGACATAGTGTTATTTTTCACTTTTGTGGATGACCTCCCATGTCCTCCCTTCTCCTTAACCCTCAGCCTATATACCCTGAGGGTTAAGCTTATGTCTGGGCGCCAATGAGTTACAGTAGTGGTTCCCAGCTTAATTGAACATACATATCACCTAGAAGGCTTGTTACGCTACAGTGTGCTGGCCTAACAAGCCTTCCACCCCCCAGAGTTTCTGAGTCAGTAACTCTTGGGTGGAGCCTGAGAATTTGCATTTCTAACCAGTTTCTAGACCAGGGGTGTCCAATCTTTTGGCTTTCCTGGGCCACATTGGAAGAAGAAGAATTATCTTGGGCCACACATAAAATACACTAACACTAACAATAGCTGATGAGCTAAAAAAAAAAAAAAATGCAAACAAATCTCATCATGTTTTAAGAAAGTTTACGAATTTGTGTCGGGCTGCATTCAAAGCTGTCCTGGGCCACATGTGGCCCGCGGGCCAGGAATTGGACATGTTTGTTCTAGAAGGTGCTGACACAGCATGTCCCAGGACCATACTTCGAGAGCCACTGCACCAGAATCTGTTGTATAGAAGGAAAACATATGACTTCACATTGATCCTTTGTAAAAATAAAAAAATAAAAATAAAGGAAAACAGACTTTCCTTGGGGCCCTGGTCTGGAGAGATGGCACCAACCTTCATGTTAGTCCTCCCCTCCTTTCTGTTCGTCTGTATCTGAGTCAGCCTCCCTGCCCCTCCCACTTCCTTTCTCCTTGTCTCTCCTTTATCCCATACCTCCCATCAATCCCCATCATCTAAAGTGGTGAGGCCTAACTCACTGGGATTCCTGCTATCTGAAAGAGAGGAAGATTTGTCTACATGTTTGAAAACTAACTGTATATTCTCTTTCAACACTGACTTCTTTCCTTCTTCTCTTCTTTCTGATGCTTTTGCACACTCTCCCTATTCAGTGACTTTGGAAATCTTGTCTTTTTGCATAGGAATGCTTTCAAAATCCTCCTTTGGAAAAATTTTTGGAAACCACCACCAGTTTTCAGGATATCTTCAAATTCAGATCACTCTTTTCCTTTTCCAAGCCCTGAGTGTGTCCCTGTGGAGTGCAGGCTTTCTTTGTGGGGGAGGATTTCTCACAGAGCTATGCAGATAAGGACATGCTGAACACATCAGAGGGGCTTACTGAACATATACTGCCTTCATGGGACTCAGTATAGCACTCTAGCTCCCTCTTTTAGCGTAACACTGCATACTATGGTGTTCTCTATGTTAGGAAACCAGAGCTGCTCTCGGAAATGATTTATAGGCCGTATGTTATCTGGGAGGTGACCCCATGGACACTCGGGTTGAATGTGCTTTGTTTTCATGCCCTTCTGCTCAAGGCCCCCTTGCCCTCTTCTAGACTCGACTTCCTCTGAAATGGATGGCTCCTGAATCTATCTTTGACAAAATCTACAGCACCAAGAGCGACGTGTGGTCTTACGGAGTATTGCTGTGGGAAATCTTCTCCTTAGGTAAATTTGGGAGAAGGAAGAAATCAAACAGCCCAGAAATAAATGTCTGCATCTTCTGCTGAATGTCCTTTGGTTAGACAGCCTTTAGATTAGAACCTACTGTAACAAAAAACTCTTAAAGTGTAATGGGCCCATGTAGACTCTCAGATGAGTAATGGCGTACGCATGTCTGCCCTCTACTGTAAAAGGGCTTTATATGATCATGAACAAGGTCAGAACAAGGTCATGTAAAAGGGCTTTATACGATCATGAACAAGGGTATAAAGTCTGAAGCAAAGTACTTTTTCTGTACTTTGCCCAATTCTGTCCTTTTCCAATTCCTCAACACCCACACCTCTAATGCCCTTACCGCTTCCCTCCCCGCGTCTCCCACCACCTCAGAATTTCTTCCTAGGAAAGGCCATAACAAGCTCAGCTGCCCCAGCGAGGAAGGTGTTGTTAGAAACAGGAGACCTTTCCAGTGCCTCTGATATGAACACATGATATGGCTCTGGACACTGGTTTATACAGGATAAGCAATAAACAACACTGGTTGTATTTATTCTGCTTGCAATAACATCCACTATGGGTGGCTGGAAGTCCTGTTCAAAGCACACAGATGCGTGCAGAGCCCACATCTGCTTGCAGACACACAGTGATGATCTGAGGCCTCTAAAACTCAAGTTCTCGCCAAGAGTCTTTTGGGCTTTGCCAAAAATTTGCCTTTCACAGCAAATAAAAGTCACCCAGTAACATCCCTGGTTTCCTGTAATGTGTGAAAATCATTCCCCTGCTTTCGATGACAGGCACCTGTTGCTTCCAGTCTTTGAAAGCAGCTTGGCGGCTGCAGTGGTCCTGCGATGACACGGTGCCAGCACTGCACGCCTCCCAGCTGCTTCCTACCAGCAGTAATCACTAGAAAATGCACACAAACAAATGCTGAGGTAGATGAGGCTGCAGGGCTAGAGCAAGAGTGCATTAGAAGGCCTTGCCACCCCCAGCCCTGGCAAGAATCCCCCCAAAAGGAAAGGTTGCAGGGGAATCCTGGGCAGTAAAGCTGGCAGAAGGCAAAGCCTAGGCCTCTCTGGCGCCCTTAGGTCTGCAGACTCCTGGCCACGGGCAGCCCCCACCCCATTCCACTCCATTCAGCCCAGCCCTGGAGCGCAAAGCCCCCCTTCCCTCAGGCCTGTCACAACTCCTAGAGCCCTGGTACTATAGGAAGGTTGCAAGAAAGTGAATTAAAGTCATTCCCACTCAAGTGTGAATGATTCCTATGTAGCCTATCCCAAGTCTATTGGCTTTTTAAAAAGAAGCCCAAGCCAAGTGTGGTGATGGTGAGCACCTGGAGTCCCAGCTGCTCGGGAGGCTGAGGTGGGAGGATTGCTTGAGCCCAGGAGTTCGAGGCTGCAGTGAGCTAAGATCATGCCACCACACTCCAGCCTGGTGACAGAGGGAGACCCGTCTCTTCAAAAAAAACAAAAGCTCACTAACCCAAAGGATGAGTCTCTAATGATGGGACTTCTTTAGTTACTTGTGGGGAGAAGGCAAGGACCCTTCAGACGACACCCCTTCCTCTGACCACACAGGCAGAAGTAGCCATAGGAATAGCCTGTGAGCACCAGGTGCCCCGCACCATGTGACCACCCAACCAAGCGGGTGTCCTTAGCAAGGATTTGCTGAGCTTCTCTGTGTGTTGTACGGTATGTTGAGATCTGTTGTAATCCCTGGGAATTTATTACTAAAACGTAGCTTTAAAGGGAGGAAAGAAACACTGAATTGTCCCCTCTTGGTCTTTTGTACCCTTAAGCCATAACAGGCCCTGTGTTTTCCACATTGTCTCCCGCAGGTGGGTCTCCATACCCAGGAGTACAAATGGATGAGGACTTTTGCAGTCGCCTGAGGGAAGGCATGAGGATGAGAGCTCCTGAGTACTCTACTCCTGAAATGTGAGCCCTTGGTGCCCTCTGCTCCCCATCTGACAGCTCGCTTTTCACCAGGGCATTCCTGAGAGGGGATGTTTTATGGATTCTTAGAGTCCCAGTCTTGGAAGATGCCAAGGTTCTTCTTTCCTTTAGAGATGCTCCCCTCAGCCCATCAGGCCCAGATATGCTGGGAGTGTTTTCTTGCAGTGGGGCACGTGGCCCTTGACCCATCCCTACCTATTTCCTGTCCTGACCACTGACATGACTTTTCAAGGGCTCTAGCTGGGAACTGAAGTTAGAAATTCAGTTTCTAGGTATGAATCCAGGCAAAACAAACAGACCACCCAGGAACTGAATGCAAGACCTTGGCCTCACTCACGGAGTGGGAGCCAAACAGGCCTAGCAGCCCCAGGGATGGAGGGCTAGACCTTGGTCTTGTGACCAGTCCTGTGTCTGCACAGAACACCCGTGAGGGGGTTGATGTGGTCTGCAGAACAGGTCTTGGAGAGGAAAAGGGGAACTTCCTGATGTCATGATTATGCTTCACAGAAGGCTTTGTGGGCAATACAACTTCTTTAGAATCCTTTGGGAGGAATAGGGGCCGGGCGCAGTGGCTCACATGTGTAATCCCAGCACTTTGGGAGGCAGAGGCGGGCGGATCACTTGAGGTCAGGAGTTCGAGACTAGCCTGGCCGACATGGTGAAACCCCGTCTCTACTAAAAATACAAAAGTTAGCCGGGCCTGGTGGCAGCTACTTGGGAGGCTGAGGCATGAGAATCACTTGAGCCTATGAAGCGGAGATTGCAGTGAGCCAAGATCACGCCACTGCACTCCAACCTGGGTGACAGAGTGAGATTATGTCTCAAAAAAAAAAAAAAAAAAGAACCTTTTAGGAATAGGCCCAGCAGCTGTCTGAAGCTGCCTGGTCAGATGGCTTTTCGGGTGTCCATGTGAGGCTTTCTCCACTGTGCAAATTGCACTTGCTTGCCTGTCTTGGACACTTTTTTTCCTGGGGCTTTGTGGATGTTTTGCACTTTGAGGCCTGAGCAGGAATGTGATGACACTTGCACTTTTGTGGAGCTGCTGACAAGGACTTGGGCCTCCCTGAGGCGGCACCACCTTTCCTGAACTGGCAGGGGCCCTCCCATTCCACCCACACAATGGGGTCCTGTCAGAAGCCCTGGCTGGCCTTTCAGAAGGAATCAGAGGGAATGCAGGAAGTGTGGGCTTGGCCAAAGGGCAAAGTCACTGTCTCTTTCCTTCATCATCTCGGGGTAAGGGTAGGTCAGACCCAGGATGGGGAACTGGACGAGGTGGACAGGAGACTCAGGCCCAACAGCAGGGCTGGGGAGCTCTGCCTGAGCGTAGGGAAGCGGGAGGGGACCTGTTCTTGTCACTGGTGCGTGGTGTCCTCATCAGAAAAGTACAGGGAGCTGAGGCAAGGCCTGTTTCTGAGAGCTGGGGATAGAGCTAGATGATTAACTTTATGATTTTCTAAGTGTTTTCCCACACATAGTCTCATTTGAAGTTCCCAGAGACCTTGAGGGGTGGTCAGGGCAGCTATTGTAATCTGAATTTAGCAAGTAATGAAACTGAGATGCCGAGAACTGAAGCAATGTGCCGTCTGTCAGCTGAGAAGCAAAGGAGACATTTAGAACCCAAGCCTCTGGACTGATGTCCCTAGACCACGGCTGATGAATTAGGAACAGACCCCACGTTCCTCAGTAGAAATGCTTCTCTGATATGGCCACTCATGCTTTGAATTAAATATGTCCTTCCAATCTTCATATAGTCTGAAAATCTCGAGAAAGTTCTCAATTACACTAATAGTTGTTATTATTAAATAACAATATTTTTACATCAAAATAAATGCAAAACAGTATGAAATTAAGTTTTATTTTTACTTCCATATAAATTCTAAATAGTATGAAATTAGTTTAGTTGGGTTTTTTTGTTTGTTTTTTTGAGATAGTGTCTCGCTCTGTTGTCCAGGCTAGAGTGCAGTGGCGTGATCTCAGCTCACTGCAACCTCCACCTCCTGAGTTCAAGTCATTCTTTTTCCTCAGCCTACTGAGTTGCTGGGACTACAGGCATGTGCCACCACGCCTGGCTAATTTTTATATTTTTTTGTAGAGATGGGGTTTCTCCATGTTGGCCAGGCTGGTCTCGAACTCCTGAGCTCAAGTGATCCACTGGCCTTGGCCTCCCAAAGTGTTGGGATTACAGGCGTGAGCCTCCATGCCTGGCCTGAAATTAGTTTTTATTATAACAGTATTGAATAGTACTGATTAAATAGTTATTTGGTGCTTATAAGTGCCACTATTTTAAGCATTAATTTATTTAATGCTCATAACAGTCCTATAAAGTAGGACTACCATGATCCCCATTTCACAGATGAGAAAACAGGCACCGCACATGTAAGTGATTTGCTCAAGCCTGCGTTGGTAATAAGCGAATTCAGCTTGAGTCCAGAGTCCACAGCACCATCCTACACTGCTGCAGAGTGTGTTTCCCATTCATACCCAGGCTGTGGTCGCAAATAACTCAGAGGTACAAAGTCACATCAGCTTTGGACCAAAAACTGCTTTGGACTTTCTCAAACCTTCAAGTCTTTACATAAACCTCGCTCAGGTAGCTCCCGTGCCTCAGGTGACCTAGAGAGAGTGGTATGGTTCCTTAATTCTGAGGAGGGAGAGATTTTAGAAATTTTAAAAAGTAAGAAGCTCTGTGAAATATTTCCTCAGAAGGCCAGACTTCAAACCTTCAGCCATTTTCTCCAGCATGTGAAAGCTGATGGAGTAATTTCCTTCTTGTTTGTTCTAACAGTAGGAAGGGCTGGGTGAGGACCAAGTGCAGCTTCTCAGAACTGGGATTCTGTGATCTGAACTTGGCCTAAAGCGGTGTGTATTTGGGAACTTGGGTGATAGCTTGGAAAGAAAACTTTCTGGGGGCCCCTCATCCCCAGCTTGGATGCAAGCTAATGTCTCATAACTTTACTAAACCCATTTACTTAGTGGTACAAAATCTTGTAACATTGAGTTGTTGGTTCCTGGCCCAGATACTGTTGAATCAGATGTCTTTCAATAAGGGAATAAGCAATGAATTTTTTTATTTTTTTTTTCTTTTCATTTGATGTTTGCTGAGATGATTTGCATTGGATTTTAGGCAAGAAGAGTGGAAACTAGAAATCGGAATCCAAGAGTCAAAAGTAACAAACAGCAAGTGGTTGTAGATGGTTCCGTTTACGAGTGTCAGCAGGGAAACTAGGGAGTGTCCTGCTCAGGATGGTGCATCTCCCAGACAGCAGCTTGATCCTGTGGGGAGACGATGGTGCAGGAGGAGACGAGCCCAGAGCCTCTGCCTGAAGGCCTCTCTTTGGAGCCCAGCCTCAACCTCCCAGGCTCAAGTGATCCTCCCGCCTCAGCCTCCTGTACTACAGGGACTACAGGCATGCATCACCATGCTTGACTAATTCTTGTATTTTTTTGTGGAGATAAAGTCTCACTATGTTGTCCAGGACGATCTTGAACTCCTGACCTCAAACGATTGTCCCACCATGGCCTCCCAAAGCATTGGGACTACAGGTGTGAGCCACCACACCCGGATTCTTCTTTTTTTTTTTTTTTTTTTTTACCTCCCTGTATTCTTACTGCCTTTGGCAGCCACCTCATATACTTTGAAACAAAATAGAAATATACTTAAGAGATATCTGGAGCCATTGGCGCCCCCTAAAGGCATACCTCTAAGAAGTGTCAGAGGGAGGATATGAACTAGGGTTTCTCAGGTTTTTTCCCCAGCAACCGCCATCTCCCAGCACAAGTAATGTCTGCAGTACAGCTGAAGAATTCACAGAAGGAGCAGAGTTATCTCTTCCCGGAGACCAGTCTGACTTCTTTTAGCAGATATTTATTGCCCTGTGGTAGGCGAGAGGTGTGGAAATGAGGCCCAGCCCACATAGTGCTTACAGCCCAATTCCCACCCAGAGCCAAATTCGGAGCCCATTCAGGTTTGAGTGTAAGTCAGAGTCCCTTCTCATCCAGACCATCTTCTGAGAGAAGAGTTAACATATAATAAACATCCCTTGAAGAGCACAAGGTTCAAGAAGAATCAATTCTTAATGCAGTGTGTGTATGGACCTCTGGCCTGTGTTTTTCAGAGAGGGCGGTAGGTACAGACCTCGATTCCGTGCAGACATGACCAAGAGAGGAGCCTGATACCTTTACATCTAAAATGTAAAGAAGAGGCCGGGCGCAGTGGCTCACGCCTGTAATCCCAGAACTTTGGGAGGCCGAGGCTGGTGAATCAATTGAGGCCAGGAGTTCGAGACCAGCCTGGAAAACATGATAAAACCCCATCTCTACTAAAAATACAAAAATTAACCAGGTGTGGTGGTGGGTGCCTGTGATCCCAGCTACTCAGGAGGCTAAGGCAGGAGGATCGCTTGAACCTGGGAGCCGGAGGTTGCAGTAAGCTGAGATCATGGCACTGCACTCCAGCCTGGATGACAGAGTGAGACTCTGCATCAAAATAAAAATAAAAATAAAAATAAAAATAAAAATAAAAATAAAATGTAAGAGAAGAATCACAGAGGAGTCTGTTGACATTGGAATCCCAGGACAAGATTTGACCTCTGTGCTATTAAGACAAATGTTTTCATTATCCAGGAGCCCAACCTGTGCTGTGTGCCTTGAGTGGTGGGAGGCCAGTTTGTAACAGCGGCTTTGCAGTGCTGGGGGAGAATGATCAGCTACACACAGGAACCTTGCTCACAGCCCCGGAAACTCCACACTGTGGGCTTCACCTTCTGGAAGTGACAAAGTCATGTACGCAGGACCTTCCCCACCAGTCTCCACTGCTGAGCCCATAAAGGGAGGTGTGAGGACTTGGAAATGCCACATGCTTTTTAAGAAGCCAGCTCAAACCAACCTTTGTTACAACTCGAGAATGAAATAAGTACTACAAACTATTCAGCCATTGATATTTATGGCTGTATGACTTTTTTTTTTTTTAACTTTAAGGACATCGTCCTACTTCTGTAAGTGTGGGGAGGAGTACTCCACTTCACATTGAACTGCAGTGAGCGGTGGGGTTTCCTTTCCGAATTGCTGTGTTTCATTCACAGAACTCAGACCTTCCATCTGCAGAGGCCACAGGCACAACAAAGAACCTGGGTATCCATGAGCTCTGGTGGGTTGGTTAGTCTGCCTTGGTAGACGTGTTTTCCACTGACCACAGGACCTGGCCCAGACAGCCTTTTAAGTGCTGGTGCTATAAACCCAAACCTAAAAATGAAGCAGGGTCACATAGTACAGAAAGCTTGGGCTTTATGCGGATGATGACAGCCCTCCCTTTGTAGTACGTAAGGCAATGCATAGGATGATCACTGCTCTCCAACTATTTCTGTTGCTGTTTTCCCCACCAGCTATCAGATCATGCTGGACTGCTGGCACAGAGACCCAAAAGAAAGGCCAAGATTTGCAGAACTTGTGGAAAAACTAGGTGATTTGCTTCAAGCAAATGTACAACAGGTAAAACTAAATTTATTTACATCAAAATGCCTTTGAATGTACGTCAGGGGGGCATTTTATTTGTTTTTTTTTTAAGAGCTATTAATATAATAGCTGAGATCAGAAGTTTAAAAAAAGGGTGTGTGTGTGTGTATACAGAATTATCTTCTCAAAACACAACCAAGATTGTGCAAATGACATAGTCAAAGTTGACATAATGGTTCATAGAAATTGTTGAAGTCAGAATTGGTGCAACGAGAGCTCTACCTTTGGTATTTTAGGATGGTAAAGACTACATCCCAATCAATGCCATACTGACAGGAAATAGTGGGTTTACATACTCAACTCCTGCCTTCTCTGAGGACTTCTTCAAGGAAAGTATTTCAGCTCCGAAGTTTAATTCAGGAAGCTCTGATGATGTCAGGTAAGATTTCTTTCTCAAACTTTATATCACAGAATTTTCCAACAAAAAAAAGAAGGAAAGAAAGACGAAAGAGAAAGAAAGACGAAAGAGAGAAAGAAAGAGAGAAAGAAAGAAAGAGAGAAAGAAAGAAAGAAAGATTATGTTGATCACCACCCATATGCCCATCCCCTAAATTCAACTGTTAACATTTTGCCCTATTTTGTCTATTATACTCTCTATGATTGTGTTTGTTACGGATTTTTCTTTTTGCCAAACCATTTAAAAGGAGGCTTAAGGCATAATAGCACTTTACTCCTAAATACTTTAGTATACATTTTGGAAGAAGGCTATTGTTGCTGGGCACAGTGGCTCGTGCCTGTAATCGCAGCACTTTGGGAGACTGAGGTGGGAGGATCACTTGAGCCTAGGAGTTCAAAATCTGCCTCGGCAACATAGAGAGACCTCATCTTACTAAAAATTTAAAAATTAGCCGGGTGTGGTGGTGGGCACCTGTAGTCCCAGCTACTCAGGAGGCTGAGGTTGGAGGATCACTTGAGCCCAGGAGATGGAGGCTGCAGTGGGCTATGATTATGTGACTGCACTCAAAGAAGGACATTCTCCTGTGTAAACCACACCAAAATTATCGCACCAAATAAATTCCTTAATGCCATCTAATAGTCAGATTTCCATAATTCCACCCAAGTGTCTTTACATGTTTTTTTTAAAAGCAGGATCCAATTAAGAATAACAGATTACATTTTCTTAAGTTTCTTGTCTATCTTATTCTAGAACCTTCCCCCATCTTTTCTTTTCCCCATTACATTGAATTTTTTGGTGAAACCTTAGATAAAACTAAACAAACAAAGCGAGCTGTGTTTTCATTTGTTTTGCTTTGTTTTGACCTAACAAACGCATCTATCCCGTATTACTGCAGAGGGAATTGGAGAAGGGGCAAGGCAAGGGAACAAATATGTACTGTGGCCACTGCTGGCCCGGGGACTGCACTTCAGGACTGATAGTTAGGCGTGCACGAAACCTGGGCAGGGATGACGGTTACACAGACAAGTGCTGGGTCTGGCAAGGTGCTAGGCTTTTTCCATGTATCAACTCCTCTTACGCCCAGAGCAGTCTTGGGAAGAACATATCATTCCCGTTACACAAATGGGGACCTTAAGGCTCCCAGAAGGAAGGCTTGCCGAAACTGTGTGGCTAGAAAGTGGCAGAATAATTTTCTAACCCAGGAGTTCTGACCCTCCCTCCCTGTACCCGATGCAGTCAGGACTCCTTTTAGGGCCTCCAGACTGTACTATGGGCCTCTAGCATCTCTCTTTGCAGTAGGCACAGCTCTCTGGCTCTAACCTCAGTTCAGCCACCAGGGAAGATATGGGAAGAAGCTGCAGCAGTCAGAAAATACTGCTTGCGGCCGGGCACAGTGGCTCACGCCTGTAATCCCAGCACTCTGGGAGGCCGAGATGGGTGGATCACCTGAGGTCAGGAGTTCAAGACCAGCCTGGCCAACATGGTGAAATCCCATCTCTACTAAAAATACAAAAATTAGCTGGGTGTGGTGGCACGTACCTGTAGTCCCAGCTACTCAGGAGGCTGAGGTGGGAGAATCACTTGAACCAGGGAGGCGGAGGTTTCAGTGAGCCGAGATCGTGCCACTGCACTCCAGCCTGGGTGACAGAGCAAGGCTCTGTCTCCAAAAAAAAAAAAAAAAAAAAAAGGAAAAAAGAAAATACTGCTACCCACCTGTGACAGGCCTCAAAGAAACCCAGTGGGCAAATCCAGACTTGTGGTGATGGATTACAGGTCAGCCTCACTGTTCAGGCCTCACAACCAGCCCAAGAGGCTGAAGCAGATGTGTCATCATTTTGTAAAGCTGGGAAAACTAGTTCGGATTAAATAAATTGGCAAGGTCTGGCTGGGTTAGAGAGAGGGAGGGGGGGTGGGTGGCATGGCAAAGTTATATGTGGACCCTTCTAAGGCTGCTTAGCCTTAAGCCAGTAGGGAGCTTGCCCAAGACACTGGGACTGGCAGAGAGTGACAGAGTATGGGACTGAGAAATTCAGTCAGTAGGTGAACTTGCCTTGTGAGTAACCACAGAGTGGATGTCTCCAATAGTCTTTCCTAATACATCATCAACAAAAGTCAGTAGGTAGTTATAGAGACATCATACAACACTACCCAATTCTCCCAATCTGTAATCACACACACACACAAAATACAAGCCTGGCGCTAGCACTCGATTATGCCATTAAATAATATTTAGCCGTGTAGCCATGCCAGGTCACTTTGCCACCTCACATCCTTTTCAGAGCACCTGATAAAGTCATACCACTTCCCTGCACATCATTTCTCTCCTGTGCCATTGGGCACTCAGACGAGATGATGCCTCCAGTCTCTCCTATGTCTGGCATTCTCTGATTTCACAACGGACCAGAGTAGGTCCCTCTGGGAGTTTCCTCAACCCTACAGAATGTGAATTGACAACCACGGGAGGCAGTGGCAATGCTGTCAGGATTCCCAGGGGTCACGGCGGGGAGATCGGGGCCTCAGGAGTTAGGTGATTCCTGTTGGTGTGTTGGTTCATCTTAGCTGGGATATGGTGCCTGTGGTCTCCTGACTCATTAGAGCTGGATGCCTTTTCCTGTCTTGATAATTCTTTCTGTTTCTTCATTAGATACGTAAATGCTTTCAAGTTCATGAGCCTGGAAAGAATCAAAACCTTTGAAGAACTTTTACCGAATGCCACCTCCATGTTTGATGTAAGTCGTGAAGTTAAGGTACCTAGTGCACCCCGATAGACCCCTTCTTCAGATCCCTTCCAAACACCAACGCCAGTAATGTAGTAGTTCTTGGTCAGTGAGGGTCTGGATTCAGGAGTGGCTGAAATGACAGTGTGGGGAGGACTGACAACTAGACCTAGCTGTGCAGAACTAATTTGAAAGTAGAGTTCCATGCACTCACTCCAGGACCCAAGTCCCTGCGTGGTAGGAATTTAGACCCTGAGGAAACTCCATTGTGTGTTTCTAAGCTGCTTAGCTGTCAGTGATGCAGCTTTGCTTTCAGAGTAACAGAGGAACTCCCAGCTGTGTGGGTGATGGGCTTTGTGATGTAACAGAGAGCGCGTTCCTGCAAGCAGCCTTGAGGCTGGGAGGGGTCCACCTAAGCCTTATGCTCCTTTCCCCTGAGGTTCTACAGATTGAACAGCTGTGTTCCTACCCAATCACAATGGGAGAAGCTAACCAGTATAGCCTGGCAAACAAGAGGTCTCCCAGCTCTTCTCTCTAAAGCCCTGTGATGTGGGGTTGAGGGGCTAAGGGGAGGAGAGGAGCATGGGCAGGAGCGATACTGCAGTTCTGATGTTGCAGACTCTGGGACTCACTGTGATCTCCAGATAGGCAGGTTCCTACGACCTAGGAACTGGCTAGAAATGCCAGCTCTCGGGACCTGCCCACACCCACTGAGTCAGGCTGCACCTTGGCAAGATCCCTAGGGGATTCCTGCACACATTAATGTTTAAGAAGTGCTGGTGAGGCCGGGCGCAGTGGCTCAAGCCTGTAATCCCAGCACTTTGGGAGGCCAAGGCAGGCGGATCACGAGGTCAGGAGATTGAGACCATCCTGGCTAACATGGTGAAACCCAGTCTCTACTAAAAACACAAAAAAATTAGCTGGGCGTGGTGGTGGGCTCCTGTAGTCCCAGCTACTAGGAAGGCTGAGGCAGGAGAATGGCGTGAACCCGGGAGGCGGAGGTTGCAGTGAGCCGAGATCGCGCCACTGCACTCTAGCAGCCTGGGCGACAGAGCTGGACTCCGTCTCAAAAAAAAAAGGAGTGCTGGCAATGACCTTGTCCCATAAAGGGCCTGGAAGGCCAATGACAGTGTGAAGGTGATCACCACAATCAGTGTGGCCTTGAAGCAAGCACAGTCACCCTTAAAAAAAAAAAAATCAAAAACGAAAAACCACAACCTTGTCAGACACACCAGATAAAGGGAAATATTATTTTAAATATTTTAAGCATCAAAAATAAGCTGAAGAATATAAAGGTGAAGTATATGGATATCTTGTTTGACTGCTTGGCACATTTTTTTCAAGGCCAAGGGAAAAATACTGAGCAAAACGTGAAAGAATTCTCAACCTTCACCCTCCCCACCCTAAATCAGTGGTGAATGATGACAGCTTCTTTATTTGCTTAGGTGTTTACTCGTAATTAAGGACAGGAACACTGCCCTGTAAGAGCCTTAAAGGGTGGCAGGAACAAAGCGTGGGATCCACTTAGTGGAACATGCCGTATTAACAAAGTAGTGAAGAGTCTGCAGGCAACTCACTGCCAAAAGAAACCAACAAGGAAGTCTAATTGCTGGAGACCATGACCAAGGGCTGGGGGCTGAGAATTCCATTGAGTTCAAGAAAAAAAATCGAATGATGTCTTTACGATTTCTTAGAATTTGTGTCTATGATGGCCACCACTACCATAGCATACTCATAGTCAATCGTGATCTGCCAAATTAGTTTTAGTATCTTTGTTGCAATAAATTGCATCACAGTTTACTATGGAAAATGCTAACCTGTTACTTGCCATTTCCCCTTTTGCCTAAATGTATTTACTTCATGTTCAGGAAGGGCCTCAAAGTCACTGGGGATCAGACATGATTTGCAGCGGGTCAAGTTTGTAGTGGCCAACTTAGAGAAATGCTTTGTCTCAATAGGCTGGGATTGTGGAGGGTGAGGCAGAGCCTGGATCAACAGATGTATCCCAGGATCATCCCTCAGGCTCAGCATGGACCCCCGCTGGGCCAGGCAAGAGTATAACCTTTCTCCTTCTCCCCCTAGGACTACCAGGGCGACAGCAGCACTCTGTTGGCCTCTCCCATGCTGAAGCGCTTCACCTGGACTGACAGCAAACCCAAGGCCTCGCTCAAGATTGAGTAAGAATTGGGTATCTTTTCTGTGATCAGTTGATGGAGGGGTACGAGGGGAGATGCTGGGGGAAGGTGGTATAATGAGGGATGTTTGAGGACTACTTGCCCTCCTGAACTGTGGTATCCGGGAGTTGCAGAAAACCATTTCCCCCCAGAGGGCAAAAAAAGGGGAACATCAAACGGGACATATGAGCAGCAAGCTCTGGGGAAAACATGCAGAAAATCTTGCAAAGACAGGCAGTCCAGATGTGGCCAGCACAGTGCCTCAGGTGAAAGAAGCCTGATGTGCCCACCTATGCGTGGTGCAGACAGAGACACGCTCCCGGCGGTGGGAGAGGATGCCCCCGCTGTCACTCCCTATGCCGGCAGGGTTCATACACGAGGAGACACAGTACTGTTTTCCGGGGCTAAGACCTGTACCCTGAGAGCTCAGCCCCTACAGATGAATGACTTTCCCATTTCATCCTGGCACCCTTTTCTCACTTGACAATTTCTCCACAAAGCCCTGGCTTGTAGTCCACCAGCTCCTCCCTCCACGCCGTGGCCACCACTGGGGAGTCCTTGCCTTATGCACCACCGAATGCCACTGCAGCTTCTCTGTGCGAGTCTCTACCTTGCAATGGTGCTGGACTGGGAAAAGCTGCACCTGTCGGATGTTCCTTCCTTTCCTCATTCAAATGCCTGTCCCTGTCTCACCCGAAGGCAGAACCTTTTCCTCTTTCACCTAAATCCGGGGTAGGCAGCCATTTTTTTAAAGGGCTAGATAGTCAGCAAATGCTCCCTACTGCCATTAGCAGGGGTGTCCAATCTTTTGACTTCCCTGGGCCACAATGGAAGAATAATTATCTTGGGTCACACATGAAATACACGGACACTGACAATCGCTGGTAAGCTAAAAAAGTTGCAAAAAAATCTCAGAATGTTTTAAGAAAGTTTACGAGTTTGTGTTGGGCTGCACTCAAAGCCATCCTGGGATTCATGCAGCCCGTGGGCCACAAGTTGGGCAAGCTTGCATTATAGTATAAAAAGCAACCGTAGACAATACATCATCAAGTAGGCATGGCTCTGTTCCCACACACTGTATTTACAGAAACAGGTGGGCATGGCCAGTGAGTACACGAAAAGATGCTCAACATCATCAGTCATTAGGGAAATACAAATCAAGACTACCATGAGGGGCTGGGTGTGGTGGCTCATGCAGTAGTCTCAACACTTTGGGAGGCTGAGGTGGGTGGATCACTTGAGCCCGGGAGCAACATGGCAAAACCCTTTCTCTACTAAAACTACAGAAATTAGCCGGGGTGTGCTGGCATGTGCCTGTAGTCCCAGCTACTTGGGAGGCTGGGGTGGGAGGATCACTTGAGCTTGGGAGGTTGAGGCTGCAGTGAGCCACAATTGCACCACTACACTCTAGCCTGGGTGACAGAGGGAGAAAAAAGGGAAAGAAATTACCATAAGATACCACTTTACGCCCATGAGGATAGCTAGATGAAGTCAGTGTGGCGAGGATATGGAGAAATTGGAACCCTCATACACTGCTGGTGGAAATGTAAAATGGGGCAGTCACTTTGGAAAACAGTTTAGCTGTTGCCCATAAGGTTAAACAGTTATCCCGAGACTCAGCAATTCAACTCCTAGGCATATACTCAAGAGAAATGAAAACTGATGTCCACAGCAAAACTTGCACACAGATGTTCATAGCAGCATTATTCATGATAGCCAAAAGTAGAAACAACCTAAATATCCATCAGTTGATGACTCAATGAATAAAGTATGGTATATCCACACAATATAATATTGTCAATAAAAAGTGTGAAGTATGCATGCATGCTACAATATGGATGAACCTTGAAAATATTATGCTAAGTAAAAGAAGCCAGTCATAAAATATTTCCTATTGCATGATTCCTTTTACATGAAATGCCCAGAATTGGTAAATCTAGAGACAGAAAGTAGACCAGTAGTTTCCTTGGGCTGGGGCTGGAGGGCGTGAGGAAGAAAGACTGCTAACAGGTGTGCGTTTTGGGGGATGATGACAACGCTCTAAAGTTGATTATGGTGATGGTTGCACAATTTGTGTCTATACAAAAAACCATTGGCTTACACATTTTAAATAGGCGAATTATGCACTATGTAAATTATATCTCCATAAAGCTCTCATTAAAAAAAAAAACACCAGACAGGTGGGCAGATATGGGTTATAGTTTTTGAACCCTGATCTAAATCAAAGGATGGCAACAAGTGCCTCCAAGTGATGTAGTTAGCACAACTCATCGGCCACAAGTAAATGGGAAAGACAGGGGCATTTCCAGGCAAACATCTGCGTGTGTGTTTCCTTTTCACATGAGCACAGTGGTATTAGAATTGAGTTACAGTAGATCAGAGGCACCAATGAGGAATGAATGGATCAAAGGGGAAGGTAGGATACTTGCTCTTTTGTTTCCTACTTTGGAACACTTCAGAAAATGGGTGGTGACTAATTTTATCTAGATATTTGTTAAAGAAGACCATAAATTGTATCCTCTACTCTGAGACTGAAAATATAGAACATGGACACGTTAGTCCAGACCGGTCTAAAACAAGCTTCACGGGTTCCCTGCCTCATCCCAGATCCTTTGAAAATAAAAAATTTGAACGAATATTAAAGGGCAAGAGCAGCGCTTCTTCCTCAGGTGTCTGTCCTAGTCTGGATGTAACACAGAGGACCCAGAAGCAAGTTTCTCCACCCTTGAGCCTTGCTGGTGATAAGCAGCACCGTGACTAAAACGTTTCCTCTTCTAGAACACAGGCACGACAGGCAGAGAGGCACTCACTTGTGTGTGTGGAGCTTTATTGTTTTTTGAGACTGTTGTAACAAGTTACCACTAACTTGGCAACTTACAAGAGAAATTTATTCTCTTGCAGTTCTGGAGGCCAGAAGGGATATAAAATATGAAAAATTTGAATATTTTGGAGGGTAGGAGGCATTTCTCAGCCTACCACAGAAGCTGTTTGACCCAAGAATAGGAGAGGGCTGCACCCAAGTCTTGGAGTTACTTTCCACCTGGATTATGGATTTGCGTTATCTTATCATACATTTCATACCCTCCCCCAGCCACTGTCTTTCTGCCCAATGACACCAAGCTGTTAAGAGGGAGGCCGTGTGCAGCTTTAGAACAGAGGAAATCTGACAGCAATTGAGGGGGGGGGGGTTCCAAAACCATGAACTCTAGACAGGTATGAACAAATGACCCACTCAGAAAGAGTAGATTTTAGTGTCTTTGTTTTCTAAAAAACCAATTTTGAATATTTGATTTCTTTCCTTTCTTTCTTTAGCTTGAGAGTAACCAGTAAAAGTAAGGAGTCGGGGCTGTCTGATGTCAGCAGGCCCAGTTTCTGCCATTCCAGCTGTGGGCACGTCAGCGAAGGCAAGCGCAGGTTCACCTACGACCACGCTGAGCTGGAAAGGAAAATCGCGTGCTGCTCCCCGCCCCCAGACTACAACTCGGTGGTCCTGTACTCCACCCCACCCATCTAGAGTTTGACACGAAGCCTTATTTCTAGAAGCACATGTGTATTTATACCCCCAGGAAACTAGCTTTTGCCAGTATTATGCATATATAAGTTTACACCTTTATCTTTCCATGGGAGCCAGCTGCTTTTTGTGATTTTTTTAATAGTGCTTTTTTTTTTTTGACTAACAAGAATGTAACTCCAGATAGAGAAATAGTGACAAGTGAAGAACACTACTGCTAAATCCTCATGTTACTCAGTGTTAGAGAAATCCTTCCTAAACCCAATGACTTCCCTGCTCCAACCCCCGCCACCTCAGGGCACGCAGGACCAGTTTGATTGAGGAGCTGCACTGATCACCCAATGCATCACGTACCCCACTGGGCCAGCCCTGCAGCCCAAAACCCAGGGCAACAAGCCCGTTAGCCCCAGGGATCACTGGCTGGCCTGAGCAACATCTCGGGAGTCCTCTAGCAGGCCTAAGACATGTGAGGAGGAAAAGGAAAAAAAGCAAAAAGCAAGGGAGAAAAGAGAAACCGGGAGAAGGCATGAGAAAGAATTTGAGACGCACCATGTGGGCACGGAGGGGGACGGGGCTCAGCAATGCCATTTCAGTGGCTTCCCAGCTCTGACCCTTCTACATTTGAGGGCCCAGCCAGGAGCAGATGGACAGCGATGAGGGGACATTTTCTGGATTCTGGGAGGCAAGAAAAGGACAAATATCTTTTTTGGAACTAAAGCAAATTTTAGAACTTTACCTATGGAAGTGGTTCTATGTCCATTCTCATTCGTGGCATGTTTTGATTTGTAGCACTGAGGGTGGCACTCAACTCTGAGCCCATACTTTTGGCTCCTCTAGTAAGATGCACTGAAAACTTAGCCAGAGTTAGGTTGTCTCCAGGCCATGATGGCCTTACACTGAAAATGTCACATTCTATTTTGGGTATTAATATATAGTCCAGACACTTAACTCAATTTCTTGGTATTATTCTGTTTTGCACAGTTAGTTGTGAAAGAAAGCTGAGAAGAATGAAAATGCAGTCCTGAGGAGAGGAGTTTTCTCCATATCAAAACGAGGGCTGATGGAGGAAAAAGGTCAATAAGGTCAAGGGAAAACCCCGTCTCTATACCAACCAAACCAATTCACCAACACAGTTGGGACCCAAAACACAGGAAGTCAGTCACGTTTCCTTTTCATTTAATGGGGATTCCACTATCTCACACTAATCTGAAAGGATGTGGAAGAGCATTAGCTGGCGCATATTAAGCACTTTAAGCTCCTTGAGTAAAAAGGTGGTATGTAATTTATGCAAGGTATTTCTCCAGTTGGGACTCAGGATATTAGTTAATGAGCCATCACTAGAAGAAAAGCCCATTTTCAACTGCTTTGAAACTTGCCTGGGGTCTGAGCATGATGGGAATAGGGAGACAGGGTAGGAAAGGGCGCCTACTCTTCAGGGTCTAAAGATCAAGTGGGCCTTGGATCGCTAAGCTGGCTCTGTTTGATGCTATTTATGCAAGTTAGGGTCTATGTATTTATGATGTCTGCACCTTCTGCAGCCAGTCAGAAGCTGGAGAGGCAACAGTGGATTGCTGCTTCTTGGGGAGAAGAGTATGCTTCCTTTTATCCATGTAATTTAACTGTAGAACCTGAGCTCTAAGTAACCGAAGAATGTATGCCTCTGTTCTTATGTGCCACATCCTTGTTTAAAGGCTCTCTGTATGAAGAGATGGGACCGTCATCAGCACATTCCCTAGTGAGCCTACTGGCTCCTGGCAGCGGCTTTTGTGGAAGACTCACTAGCCAGAAGAGAGGAGTGGGACAGTCCTCTCCACCAAGATCTAAATCCAAACAAAAGCAGGCTAGAGCCAGAAGAGAGGACAAATCTTTGTTCTTCCTCTTCTTTACATACGCAAACCACCTGTGACAGCTGGCAATTTTATAAATCAGGTAACTGGAAGGAGGTTAAACACAGAAAAAAGAAGACCTCAGTCAATTCTCTACTTTTTTTTTTTTTTCCAAATCAGATAATAGCCCAGCAAATAGTGATAACAAATAAAACCTTAGCTATTCATGTCTTGATTTCAATAATTAATTCTTAATCATTAAGAGACCATAATAAATACTCCTTTTCAAGAGAAAAGCAAAACCATTAGAATTGTTACTCAGCTCCTTCAAACTCAGGTTTGTAGCATACATGAGTCCATCCATCAGTCAAAGAATGGTTCCATCTGGAGTCTTAATGTAGAAAGAAAAATGGAGACTTGTAATAATGAGCTAGTTACAAAGTGCTTGTTCATTAAAATAGCACTGAAAATTGAAACATGAATTAACTGATAATATTCCAATCATTTGCCATTTATGACAAAAATGGTTGGCACTAACAAAGAACGAGCACTTCCTTTCAGAGTTTCTGAGATAATGTACGTGGAACAGTCTGGGTGGAATGGGGCTGAAACCATGTGCAAGTCTGTGTCTTGTCAGTCCAAGAAGTGACACCGAGATGTTAATTTTAGGGACCCGTGCCTTGTTTCCTAGCCCACAAGAATGCAAACATCAAACAGATACTCGCTAGCCTCATTTAAATTGATTAAAGGAGGAGTGCATCTTTGGCCGACAGTGGTGTAACTGTATGTGTGTGTGTGTGTGTGTGTGTGTGTGTGTGTGTGGGTGTATGTGTGTTTTGTGCATAACTATTTAAGGAAACTGGAATTTTAAAGTTACTTTTATACAAACCAAGAATATATGCTACAGATATAAGACAGACATGGTTTGGTCCTATATTTCTAGTCATGATGAATGTATTTTGTATACCATCTTCATATAATAAACTTCCAAAAACACATATATTTTCTCCCTGATTTGCTTGTTAAGTGTAAAAAAGAGGTCACAGGTGTCCCTGGGGGTGGAGGACTAGTGCTCTTTATTAAACACAGCACAAGAAAGATAAAGCAAATGCTGCTGAAGAGAGGGCAAAGAGGTTTCTATCGGTCCTAGAAAATGGCTGTGCTAAACAATCAGAACACTGCAACCAGTAAGTAAAAAACAAAATCAAACTAGGCAGATTGCCCAGAAAACTAAACCCTAACATCAACAGGATCATGAAACAAGTAAAGCATATGCTGGGTGTGAGTGCCAGCCGCAGAGAAAAGTGCCCTCAATTAAAAAGAGGCAGTTGTCCCCAAACACTAATTTTCAGCTGATAAATAATTAGCATAATCACAGAGGGTGTGTACACATGCTGCAGAAAACCACACAAAATAATAGGCAAAAGCTTGAAACCCAAGAATGTAAAAGTACACATGCCAGCTCTGTATTCTTCAATCTTGTTTTGTGGATTATGTCCTAGGAAAACAACTCAGGTCACTAAGTACTAGAAATTGAATAAGTGACCAACACTTTGTCTTAGAAATTGGTCATAGTATTACCCGCCTAATATCATCATAAGGAAACTAGATTGGAAAGATATTTTAAGGGGAAAAAATAGGCCTACTTTCTTTGGGACAAAGACAATAAAAATGGATAAATGACAAATCTCAGTACACTTTTAGTTAACTCAAGAGGGCAAGAGGCATTTTGTCTTCAAGAATCTGAAATCCTTTAAAAAGTATTATGGGTTTCATAACATAAGAATAAAATCATTCATTCAGGCAAATGACTTGAAGAATGCTTGAGGAATCAATGTCACGTCAGTTTAGAAATGTTCTCATGGCTCTGGAAACTTATAGTACATTTGGGAATTAATTTTTATTCTTTCCTCCAGCAGAAGTATGGCCTAGTAAGGTTTATTGGACTCCTCAGTGTTAAACATATTACCAGACTTTTGGGTTTCACAGGCCAGGAAATTAAAAAAAAAAATCCTTGATCCCAACACAGGGATGGCCATTCTTCTATTCTGCGAGCTAAGAACACTTGAGGGAGGGGGAAAAAAAAAACCCAAAATCCAACCAGATGCTACTAATGTTCTATTTCCTGATCCGGGTGGTAGTGCATAGGTATGCTCACCTTATGATGAGTCACTGAGCTGCACACTTACTTGTGAATGTGTGTGTATATATATGAATGTATGTACACAATTCTTCAATGCAATATTACTAAAAGAAGAAAAAAACCCCTGCCATTTAGTACCACTACTTTTCATAGGAGAAAACCCATTTTAAAAGGTGGAAGGGCTTAATCTCAGACTAAAATATATTTGTTTTGAAACATACCTATATTATCCTTCTTTTTCCCATTTTCATTTGTACTAGAATAAACTAATGAACACATGTTGTTCCACAGATTGGTATTTGGGAAGCAGTGATAGCTAGTAATTGCTATCATTGCTATCATTTGAGTACCCAATATGTGCCAGCAACTATTTAAAGTGCTTTAAAGGAACACACTTATTTTCAAGGCAATCTAACATGATAGGTACTATTAGTATATCCTTTACTTCAATGGGAAAATTAAAGAACTCCAAGACCCCACTTGTCACATCTCCCCACCTCCAAGCTTATGTCCCCATATACTGTGCTTGCCCTTCTAGACAGCCAACCCAAAACACACTGGTGTCCCTCTGAGACTTGAATTGCTTTAGCAATTCTCCACCGCCCCCCACCATCAATTTTCCCCTTTTCCACTGGAACATACATGTTATTTCTCCCATCTTACAAAATTTTCATCTGTACTTTCTCCTCCAGCTACCACCCAATTTCTCTATTTCCCTTTACAGCAAAATCCCATGAGCGAGTTGGTTATTAGTTATTATTACTTGTTTCCAACTCCTCTCCTCCCACTCACTCTTAAACCCACTCAAGCCTAGCTTTCACGATCACTCACTGAAACTGCTTTTGCTAAGGTCACCAGTGACTCCATATTGATAAATCCAATGGCTAACTCTCAGTCCCATTCTTATTTGACACTTCAGCAGCTTGACACTTATTCGCAAAAACAACTTCAGTTTGGTTCCAGGACATGATACTTTCTTCTTCCCATCTCATAGGCTACCTGTCTCTTTTGCTGGTTTTACCTCTTTTCCCTGACTTTTGAACATTGCTCTAGTTACCCCAGGGCTTGCCCTTGAAGCTTTCTTTTCTCAGTCTATACCAACTTCCTTCATGATCTCAACCAATCTCAGGGCTTTCAATGACACCCATATGATGACTTTCATGGACAGAAGAGATTCTTCCTGCCCGCTGCAACACTCTAAACTCATATATACACAAGTGCTAACCTGACATCTCCCCTTGATGCTCTAGCAGACTGTATTTTTTTCAAATACAGGTGTATTTTTCAAAGATATTGTACTGTATTTTTCAAAAATATTCTATTTTTCAAAGACAGCTGCAAGATTATCTCCCATCTCACACGACCTTTGGCACACGACCTTTGGCAATGTCCCCTCCCCTAGAATCAGAGCTAGCTTTAGGACTCACTTGTGATCAATGCAATGTGAAAGAAGGGACACTGCATGGCTTGGAGGCCAGGTCAGAAAAGATCATGCACTTCCTGAGTCTTGGTACACTCACTCTTCAACAGTTCCCGCCAGGGACCCAGCAGCCATACTTGGAGAAACCTAAGCCACATGGAGGCCATGTGAAGGTGCTCCCATAGACAGCAGCCAGCTGAGTCCAGCCCGCAAGTCACTCCAGCCCCCATCCATTGGAATTTCCCAGCGGAGGCCCAATCACAATGGCATAGAGACAAGCCTCCCTGCTGTGTCTTGCCCAGATTCCTGACCCACAGAATCCTTGAATGTAATAAAATGCTTGTTTTATGCCATTAAGGGTGGAGTTGTTACAAAGCAAATAACCAGAACAAATGTGTACTAAACATCTCAAACTTAATGGGCCTTAGACCAAACTCCCAAATTGTCTTTTCCTGTTTCTCCATCCTCCCCTGCCCTGTAGACTCTTTGTTCTTACAACAGTCTCTTCCAATTCAGCAGAATCCTCTATCCTGTGAGCATCAAGCCAAAGGAAATATTTTTTGAGACAGGGTCTTACTTTGTCGCTCAGGCTGGAGTGCAATGGCTCCATCTCGGTGCACTGCAGCCTTGACCTCCTGGGCTCAATCAATCCTCCCACCTCAGCCCCCTGAGTAGCTGGGGCTACAGGTGCGTGACACCATGCCTGGCTGATTTTACTTTTTGTAGAGACAAGGTCTCACTATGTTGCCCAGGCCTGTCTCAAAACTCTGGGCTCCGGTGATCTGCGCACCTTGGCCTCCCAAGTGTCGGGATTACAGGCATGAACCACTGCACCTGGCCAGCAAGCCAAAATCTTAAGAGTCATTCCTGACTTCTCTCTTCTTTGTCCGCATCCAGTGAATCAGGACATCCCTGATGGCTCTACCTTTAAAACCTTATTTGAAGTCCAGCCACTCTGCACCACCTCTACTGCTACCACCCTAGTCCAGGTGTTTTTTTTTTTTTTTTTTTTTTGACAGTCTCGCTCTTGTCAGACCAGCTCTGTTGGCCAGGCTGGTCTTGGAACTCCTGACTTCAGGTGATCCACTTGCCTCGGCCTCCCAAAGTGCCGGGGTTACAGCTGTGAGACACCGTGCTCAGTCGCAGGTGGGTTTTAAAACTCAAAGATGGCTGGGCGCTTTGGCTCATGCCTGTAATCCCAGCACTTTCAGAGGCCAAGACAGGCAGATCACCTGAGGTCAGGAGTTTGAGACCAGCCTGGCCAACATGGTGAAACCCCGTATCTACAAAAAATATAAAAATTAGCCAGGTATGGTGACGGATGCCTGTAATCCCAGCTACTCGGGAGGCTGAGGCAGGAGAATCGCTTGAACCCAGGAGGCAGAGGTTGCAGTGAGCCAAGATCGTGCCACTGCACTCCAGCCTGGACGATGGAGTGAGACTCCGTCTCAAACAAAACAAAAAAACCCAACAAAACTCAAAAGACATGGGTTTTAAAATCCAACATCCTTCACTTGGGATGCTGTCAGTTTCCCACCATGTCAACAGCTCACTTCCTCCCTCAGTCTGTTCACGTCGTAGCCAGAGTGATCCTTTTTAAATGTCTTATCATGTTACTCTTCTGCTGAAAATCCTCCTGCAGCTTCCTTTTTCTTTTGAGACAGAGTCTTGCTCTGATGCTCAGGCTGGAGTACAGTGGTGCGATCTAGGCTCACTGCAAGCTCTGCCTCCTGGGTTCACGCCATTCTCCTTCCTCAGCCTCCCGAGTAGCTGGGACTACAGGCGCCTGCCACCACGCCTGGATAATTTTTTTATTTTTGATAGAGAGGGGGTTTCAACATGTTAGCCAGGATGGTCTCGATCTCCTGACCTCGTGATCTGCCCACCTCAGCCTCCCAAAGTGCTGGGATTACAGGCGTGAGCCACTGCGCCCGGCACGGCTTCCTCTTTTGAGGGTAAAAGCCAAAATACTTAAAATGGTCCACAGGACACACCCCTTCCCTATAGACCTTTCTGACGTCACTTCCTACTTAACTTGGCTCTAGCCACATTCGCTCCCCTGCTGTTCCGCAAAGGCTCTGAAACATTCCCTTACCTGGAATACTTTACCACCAGACATACACATGGCAGACCCCTTATGCTTTCTCGTGAGTAGTCTTCTCTCCTAAACTACATTGTTAGTCATGTATTGTATTAAGATGTTTGGGTATAACTATACATTCTGTAAATACCAAGTCCCTGTATCTGTCTTAGTGCCTAGAACAGATCCAAGGACACAGTAGATAAGACTTAAGGACTACCTGATAAATTAATGAATAAATCTGCTGCCATTTCATCCAAATACAAAAATTCCTCCAAAATACAGAGGAAATAACCAATCTTTTAAAATCCAATCATAAGATAATCATCATCTTGTTATATGAACACGTGCAAGAAAAGGACAAATTTATCTCTGTAATTCTTTATTAAAAATACTGCTGTACACATAGAGACTGAAAACAGGATTAAAGATGAATAACACAAATTGGGTCATGACATTAGAACCTAACACACTGGTGCTTTTTAGGGAAGTTGTTGACATCCAAATCACAGAACCAAGGTCAAAAGCAAAATACAAAGGTACCCTCAAAAATATTTACAATGAAGTAAATACACTAACAGAATTTAAAACAGGTACAAAATATTGAAATGACCAACGTTACATGATTTCAAGGGTTGTCCTTTCTGTGCTTTTATCTGTCACGACAGGAAGGTGTGGAAAGTTTATATCCTTAATTTGACTACTCTTGGATATTAAAATCTTTCTATTAATTAAAAAGACTTTTAGACAACCTCTTAAATGGAATTACACTATGGAAAACAGGGCTCCCCCAAAAACACCTAGGCAGAACTGAGAGTTCTTTGAAAACCATTCCCAATAAAAACTAAATGAAAAATAAATATAAAACAAAGCTTAAAAAAATATGCATTACCTGACACCAACCTTTTCTGGCTGACAATATTTATTCATGAAAACATATCAGCTGTCTACCTTTTATATGCAAACCAAGTCCTGAGGTTAACTAGGGGCTGAAGCAAACTAGCATTTAGGATGCAAACATTCTTGGATTTGTGATGTAAACTTGCCTTGCACAGGGAAGTTTGCTGGTCTATACAGAATGAGAAATTCAAGCCCTATTTTAACCCCTGCCCTCTTTAGCTTTCACAAAACATTGGTCCACAAATTAAATTTTCAAAAAGTTCCCAGACCCCAAAACTAAAATAGATGATCCCCTTTCATTTTCAAAGAAAACAATATTGGAAAAAATCTCCAGCCCGCTTATAAATTAAGCATTTCATATTTCTTCTAGAATACAAGTAGTTCTTTTTTGTACAAAAGAATACAATATGATTTGTCAAAAAACATATAAAAAGACAGCTGCTCTTCCTCAAATACATGAGCTAATGATAAAAGACTTTTTCATGTTAATGTCTCCAAGTTCTTCTTTTTACATAAAAAAGAACATTATGGTGGCAAATGTGAATTATCCTTTTAATATTGAACATTATATTCTTTTAAAATCCATCCAGATCAAATGCAATAATTTTCTTTTTAACTCAACAACTGATGCTACCAAACGTGGACTCAATATACTTGTTAAAACGTGTAAAGCGTGTCTCTAGTCTTCAAAGCTTTCAGGTGAAGAGAGGTGCTTTTTCTTGATGCAAATCTCAAGGCAGAGAAAATCATTTTAAAGCTTATAAAAAGTGGACAGAGAAATATTAAAAACTTCTCTGAAATATACAAATATGTGTAATTATTAAAATTGAAGACAGTAACATCAGTTGCAAGTGCTTGGAAGTCTGTCCTGACCTTTTGAGTTTCCACATTTTCTTCAGTTGCATGGTGAGCACCCAGTGCTAGTAAAACATTCAGTGCTGGGAAAGGAGATATAGTCTTCATTACTGTTTTTTAAGAAAGAAAATTCCTATGTATTTGGCAGTCTTCAGTATCAAAGTATAGGTATTTCATTTACTAGAAATTCCATGAATACCCAAGTTTGGCGACAACTGCATGTCCAAATATTAAGAAAGTTAAGAGGAGGAAAATCCCAAACTTTTGAGATGGACTTATTCAGGAATATCGCACAGAGTGAGTTATTATCAAAAGTACTATTACTTTGGGCTAAGCAGTGACTGCAAAGGCACAGCAGATCGTTATCCCTCCAAATTCAGGCTGTAAAACATCAGAAAGCTCTTGATACCAGACCACTGCTGAGTTTAGTTCATCTTCTGAACAGTGTCTCTGTGTCTGTCTCCAGTGTAAAGGACCATAATAAAGCTGTGGTTCAAAGAGCAAAACTTCATAAACCTCCCCCCCGCCCAAAAAAAAAAAAAAAAAAAAAAAAAAAAACCAGCAAACTGGAAAGAACCTAAAGTAATACACTCCTGAACTTTAGGCCTTTAACACAATTTCTTAATTTTCTCCTATTTAAAAAATTTGCATAAATGTAAATGTATCTGACTAGCAGGCAAATGTCTTTTTAAAAAGGCTCTAGTTGAATTTGAAGGAAAGAGCTATACATGCTCCTTCAGTTACTGTTTATCTGATCTTTATTCAGAAAGGATTTAAATCAACTAACAGGGAATTCATATCCAACAATTCACTGGTATTTTCTTGGTATGTTCTTAAGAACAAAACAAAACAAAAATCTCAATTTGAACTAACAGTGGGTGGCATACAGAGAGCTTGCATACGATACTCTTACAAGAATTACGTACTATACTGAACTTCTATGAAATTATTTACCTGGTCCGTAATGTTATTCAGGGCAACCCATCCCAAAAAGAGCAAATTCTGCAACCCTCAATGGCAAAAACGCTGCCCAGCATTGCTTCCCAAAAATGTCCTTGCAAAGTTTCCCATTATAAGTATACAATGTGGCAAAAGTTCAAAGATCAGAAAAAGTCTTTAAAAAATTAAAATTAGTGCATATACAAGTGGAAAAAACAAAAGCAGGAACATCATTCACCTGATGGTGCTCCTAAATCTAAAATAAATTCTTCACAGATAACAGCCTCCAATGGCAGCCATAGCTCTTGGGTAAGTGAAACATTCTTCCTTTCAAGTAACAGTGTACCTGACTGAAGTGCAAGCAGCTTTGCTCATCTCCTGTTCGTTTCCCAAATGTGAATGAGATGATGAAAAGTTCAGCTGTAGTGCAATTTGCTATTGGTTAAGGTCTTTAGCCATGTCCTGCGTGCTTTTTTAGCAAATACTACAACTGACCATTTGCAGCTGCAATCAGTTCTTGAAAAGTATTTTCAAAGCAGCGCTTTAAGTCACTGTAGGTCACCACAAGTACACTCTTCTCATCTCTGGAAATCAGGCTTATTTTTTCTGGCACACCAGCATCTAGCTGAAACAATATATACACAAAATATGAAATTCATAACATGCAGAAAAGAATTTATCTACGTTTGCAGCAAAAATAAATAAAATATCTAAATTTTTTTTGTCACATTCCCTTTCAGATATCCATGAGTACATTTATATCATTCATCAGTATGCACATAATTTTCGACTCAGACATTTTTACACAAACACTGCCCTATGTTTCTATCCCTTCACGCTTAACGTTTGTTTGTATTATAGTTTACCCAGTTGATGCTCCATAATTTTTCTCCCAGTATCTTCCATTTTTGGCATAATAAATTACAGTGCAATGAACATACTCATCTACTTAATTTTTTTCTTCTGTGGGAAGTACTTTTTCCTTAGGAAAAATACTTAGAAGTATAAATATTAATAATAAAATGTAAAGTATTAAGAAATTGGTTTTTAAAAAATTTTAAAAAAACACAAAAAAGTAAAGTAGAAGTGGTTTTATAGCTTAGTACATAGAACCAAATTGTTTTCCAATCAGACACCATGAATTTATAAGTTTTTATTTTTATTTATTTAATTTTTGGGGATGGAGTTTCGCTCGTTGCCCAGGGTGGAGTGCAATGGCGCAATCTTGGCTCACTGCAACCTCTGCCTCCCGGGTTCAAGCAATTCTCCTGCCTCAACCTCCCGAGTAGCTGGGATTATAGGCACCTGCCACCACGCCCAGCTAATATTTTGTATTTTAAGTAGAGACGGGGTTTCGCCATGTTGGCCAGGCTGGTCTCGAACTCCTGACCTCAGGCGATCCACCCGCCTCGGCCTCCCAAAGTACTGGGATTACAGGTGTGAGCCACCGTGCCCAGCCTAATTTATAAGATTTTAATACTTTTCCAGCAACCCCACAGCAAATGAGCACCTTGCTATTTAAATTTAGATTTTAACTACTATTATCAAAGTTTTTTCATACATTTACTTTTGGTATTTCTGCTTGTGTAAATGCTAGTATATGATCTTTACTCATGACCCTAATGGAATTTGGCAGTAATATTTTAGTGAGGTCTTTGTAAAGCATAAATACTGATCCTTAGTCTATCAACTTGTCTTGTTATGGTTTTCACTTTATTTTTGTTATTTTCAATGTACTTTATTTCATTAATTGATACATAATTCATTAAAATATGTTTACAACTCACTGAAGGCTCAAACATTCAAATCATTTACCAGACAATTTCTGTCATTATTTCTACCAAAATAAGCTTATATAAAATCTTAATTTTGTATAATCAATCTGGCCATCCTTCCCTTTTAATTTATCACACTCTTTTCAAACTTAGAATATTGTCACACTTCAGATTTGGGGTATTATTTACTACTAGCTAGTTCATGATGTGAAACAGAATTTTCTTCAAATTTTCAATTATCCTAATATTCATTAAATGATCTTTGATGAATTTAATATTATCCTAATATTCATTAAATGATCTTTGCTTAAGGCAACTGTCCATGGCTTATTCCATATTACCTACTTGTCAATGTTTGTTCTGGTTCTACGTATTTTTAACTACTGGTACTCTGATACTATGCTCTAAAATCTGACAGAATTATTTTCTACATATTGCTCTCAAGAAAAGGTTTTTCCCCTAACATAAATAAAGGGAAAATAAATATATAACTCATACTGAATTAGTTCAATGATACATATAGTCTTGTGCAGTCTTTTTTCTTTTTTTGATACAGAGTTTTGCTCTTGTTGCCCAGGCTGGAGTACAATGGCACAATCTCGGCTCACTGCAACCTCTGCCTCCTGGGGTTCAAATGATTCTCCTGCCTCAGCCTCCGAAGTAGCTGGGATTACAGGCATGTACCACCACGCCCGGCTAATTTTGTATTTTTAGTAGAGATGGGGTTTCTCCACATTGGCCAGGCTGGTCTCAAACTCCCGACCTCAGGTGATCCGTGCACCTGGGCCTCCCAAAGTGCTGGGATTACAGGCGTGAGACACCGAGCCTGGCCAGTTTTGTGCAGTCTTAATGTAGGTTATTGACAATACTCCTTATAGAGTTTTAAGGAAGTTAAAGGAAGGCAAAGTAGTGCTTAAAAACAAACCGTAACATTTTCCCTGAAAGGTTACCACACTGTACATTAATAGTTCTAAATCATGTGCTACAGTAGATATTTTTTCCTCTAGTACTTATAATTTAGGAAAGTTTAGACCAAGAGTCAGTAAATGTTTTCTATAAAGGGTCAGACGGTAAATGTTTTAGGTTTGGCTTATTGTTTATTTTACAACTCTTTAAAAATGTAAAACTATTCGAGGCTCTCACGCTTTAAAAAAATAGGCCATAGAACGGATTTGGCCTGCAGGCCATGGCTTACCAGCTCCTGGTTTATACATAAACCTATACAGAGACTACATTTACTCCTGGAGACCAGTTCTAAACTTCATAATGCCAAGTAATTCATAAGGGAACTGTCTTCTTTCTTTTCTCTGTAAATTTTGTCTTTCCCAATCTTTTCTTTCTTTTTTTTTTGAGACGGAGTCTCGCTCTATCGGCCAGACTGGAGTGCAGTGGCCCAATCTCGGCTCACTGCAAACTCCGCCTCCCGGGTTCACGCCATTCTCCTGTCTCAGCCTCCCGAGTAGCTGGGACTACTGGTGCCTGTCACCATGCCCGGCTAACTTTTTTAATTTTTTAGTAGGGACGGGGTTTCACCGTGTTAGCCAGGATGGTCTCGATCTCCTGACCTCGTGATCCGCCCGCCGTGGCCTCCCAAAGTGCTGGGATTACAGGCGCGAGCTACTGCGCCTAGCCTTTTCCCAACCTTTTCTAAAACATAATGCTGCTGGGCGTGGTGGCTCACGGCTATTATCCCAACACTTTGGGGGTGGGTGGACTGCTTAATCTCAGGAGTTTGGGACCAGCCTGAGCAACATGGTGAAATCCCGTATCGACCAAAAGGACAAAAATTAGCTGGGTGTGGTGGCGTGTGCCTGTGGTCCCAGCTATTCAGGAGACTGAGGTGGGAAGGAGGACCACTGCAGCCCTGGGGAGTCAAGGCTGCAGTGAGCCATAAGTGCGACTGCACTATAGCCTGGGTGACAGATCAAAACCCCGTTCCAAAAAAAAGCTCACCTCACCTCTCAAATAAATTTATGATCTATTTTTTATCTACTTAATTCATCTAATCATCAAATTCACCATTTATAACAGCTGGACCTGCTAGTAACTGATGTCACTAGTATTGTGCTTTTATTATTTACTACTTGATTATAAAACCTAGAGTTAGGCCGGGTGCGGTGGCTCATGCCTGTAATCCCAGCACTTTGGGAGGCTGAGGCGGGTGGATCACGAGGTCAGGAGATCGAGACCATCCTGGCTAACATGGTGAAATCCTGTCTCTACTAAAAATACAAAAAATTAGCCGGGCATGGTGGTGGGTGCCTGTAGTCCCAGCTACTTGGGAGGCTGAGGCAGGAGAATGGCGTGAACCCGGGAGGCGGAGCTTGCAGTGAGCCTAGATGGCGCCACTGCACTCCAGCCTGGGTGACAGAGACTCCGTCTCAAAAAAAAAAAAAAAAAAAATCTATAGTTAATAATGATTTGATAACACCCAACATAACTCACAATGATTCGGAAGGGGTTCAATTTTTAAAAAATAAACACAAAATTATTTTTTTGCTTTTTACCATTCACTGTTTTAAGCGGCATAACAAAACCACATGTAAATAAAACATTGCATAAAGGAGGGAAGCAGTCATTTTGTGATACTTTATCATAATAAAAAGATCCACAATAAAACATTCTAAAATTATTCATGAAGGCCAGGCGCAGTGGCTCACGCCTATAATCCTACCACTTTGGGAGGCTGAGGCAGGCGAATCACTTGAAGTGAGGAGTTCGAGACCAGCCTGGCCAACATGGTGAAACCTTGTCGCTACTAAAGATTAGCTGCGCATGGTGATGGGTGCCTGTAATCCTAGCTACTCGGGAGGCTCAGGCAGGAGAATCACTTGAACCCGGGAGGCAGAGGTTGCAGTGAGCCAAAATCAGGCCACTGCACTCCAGCCTGGGCAACAGAGCAAGACTCTGTCCTCCACTGCCCCAAAAAATTATTCATGCAAGTATTGTAAAAATCCTCCCATTGTAGAAAATGTTATTAATAAAACGTCTTACAGGCTACTTTAAGAGTACATCCTGATTTCTTAAGTTTCCTAGTATTTGTAGAAGATACAACTCTATACAAATTATAGGCAGAATTATGATCTTAAAAAATCTAGATACAAATTACCTTGTTAAGACAAGAAATTATATGACTGAGGTCAATCCAGGGAGCACCTGCTTCTGTCACCTGATGAAAAAGATGATCCCTAAAGAGTTTCAACAGATAACGGTCTCCAGTCTCTGACCAAGTGGGATCCTTCTGAAACCTGGGGGAAATGAACATTTTACCTCAGTAACTCATGCTGTATGGTCTGTGGCCATATGTCTATTTTTTAGACTCCAAACTAGTTTTACTTTTTCCCAATAAACAAAAAATTGGGAGGGAGTCTGGTACAGTGTTTTTAAAAAATAATCTAACTGAACTAGTAAGTCTATGAATTCCAGTTTTCAGTTAGCAAATGTCAGGGGGAAATCATCCCTTATGCATTCCTATTTTACATTACCTCCTTATTTCAGCCCCTACCATTAGATAAAATGGAAAAGGTAAAAATATCTTTAAATATCTTCTCTTCTCTTCCTCCCACTCTGTAGGTTACAGAATAGAGAAAGGTCAGGTACATCTTCTACTTCACCAATAAGCATAAAATAGAAAAATGTTTAGGAAACAAAAAGGAAGTAAATATCGGTTTCCTACCATTCCATGTGAAAACAAGCTGTGAAGAACCAGATGACCACTGTGAGTTTTCAGTGACCTTAGGAACTTACAGTCTAGTAGGAAACAGACGTTATTCAAATAATCAAAGAAAGCTGTAACTGCATATTTACATAATGCTCCTAAAAGGAATATGATATAAAACGAAGATGAATTTATCTAGGGCCGCGCCTGGCTGATAATCCCTTTTCTGTATCATTTAAAGTCGTTCTGCTTCCCAGATCAAACTGTGATACAATTCCCATTAAGAAAAAATAGGTAAAAACAATGATTACAGAAAATGTATAACATTAAATTTATGTAAAATTATGTGTGAATATAAGTATATAAAGCAATTAAGGAAGGTTTTCCAGAGGAAGTAGTGGCTGCTCTTCCCAGAAGAAGGATGCTCCTTCGTCAGAGATCGGTATTTGCATGGACATTGAAGAAACTTAAGGAAGGTCATGTGTCTGAATGGGTTGGGGGAGAAAAGAGAAGAAAAGACGACAGAATACACGGAGAGGGAGGGTAAGGGCAAGGAAAAGGAACAGAGTGAAGACAAGAACAAAGAATGGGGGATGGGGGGAAGAAAATTAAATAAAAGGCAGATTTGACGCCAGGATGAGAAGTAGGTAGGGATCAGACTACACAGCTTAGGACATGTTTTAAAACTGGGTCTTTATTCTAAGAACCAGAGGAGAAGTTCACCATATGGTTTTAGCACAATCATATATGT
This sequence comes from Homo sapiens, assembly GCF_000001405.40. Classification (NCBI taxonomy): domain Eukaryota; kingdom Metazoa; phylum Chordata; class Mammalia; order Primates; family Hominidae; genus Homo; species Homo sapiens. The sequence continues at coordinate 28,286,822 of NC_000013.11, read as the reverse complement.
ATGTTTGCAAAGGTCACTCCAAGGACTTCCAATTAAAATGAAGATTAAACACCCATTTATCTCTGCTCCCTTTCAACAGCCCATCAAATTGACAGTAAATACCTAAAAAAGGGTATAAACACAAGGACAAAGGGATCAGAAAAAGCAACAATAGTGAACAAGAGATAATCATGAACATCTGGAATGCAGAGGCAGATAGGTAAGTGGGATGACTTAGTAGACCTGACAAAACTGAACCCTAATTCTACAAGGGATGTGGGAAGAGGGTGCCCACAGGAATCAAGCAACCCACACTGGCGTAGCTCAGAAACTGAAGCCACAAAGGACTACTAAAAGTGCAAGTTTGGACTGAGGCTGAAAACAGGAGAACTGAGAAAAGGTTCTATAAACAGCAAACAGATAACCCATCTCTCAACCCCACTGCCACCTGTCTGGCAAAAATCTGGAGGTTTTACTTTCTAAAAAGGGTGAAAGAGAGAAGCTTGAGCCTCAGGGATGCCAAGCAAACCAGAAGATGAAGAGCTGAGGAGTGCTGGATGACACCCTATTCAACAAATGCTTTCCCTCTGTGTGGTTCCCAAACCCTGGCTGTCAGGCTTATACCACAGACAGTAGAGGTTGGAAGATTCTTTTCAGGGGATGCTGACCTGTCCAAGACAAATGATAATCCTTGACAGTCTATCAAAAACAAACAAAAATCATGTATAACAACATCACACTGCTTTATCACAGAGAAAGGTTCAACATTCTATAATCCCTGCCCTCACAAAGGCTTCCCATTGGCTTTTTAGGACCTTATTTTTAATACAAATGGACAGCTAAGTATCAGAAATCTTTTGTTACAAAACAAAACAAAATAAAGCAAACTCTTGTTTCCTATGAGATACTGCAGGGAATGGAACAAAACTTAAAACTAAGACAAACAAAAACCAACCACCAGCAAAAATCTATTAACTGACGGCCTCAGAGAAACAAGAATTAGATGGTACAAGACAAACATTCAGAAAACAGAATTGTTCTTGGAAAATAAAAATATGATAGCAGAAATTTAAAAATTCAAAGAATTAGAAAAAAAACTTTAATTTTAGAAAAATGCAGTTGAGATAACTGCCCAGAAAGTAGAACAAAAAAAATTAGAGATAGAAAATAGAAGAGAATATTTGAAAATCAATTGCAAAGGTCTAACATCTGAGCGATGAGAATTCCAGGACAAGAAGTTATTAAAGAAACAATGAAGACCATGTCCCAGAACTGAAGGACGTTAAGTTTCCAAGATTAAAGGGGTTCACCTGTTAATCCATCATTATGACTCAAAACCTACACCAAGGAACATCACTGTGAATTTCTGAACATCAGTGACTAAACAAACAAACAAACAAACAAACAAAACCCAAAAGCTTGGAGGAAGGAAAGGATTTATAAAGAAAATGCCTTTGAATCTGCCTGGAAGTTAAAAGGAACAATGCTTCAAATTCTGAACTATCATCACTAGTACTTACCTATGTACTGAAAGTACCCGCTAACACAACCACTCAAGAGAAATTAAAAGTATAGAAACTGGGAAGGAAACTATCATTATTTGCAGATAACACCTGGGAAACTCAAAGAGAATTTACTGAAAACGACCCAAACAATAAGGTACCAGAGCATAAAATTTAAAGAAATCAAGAATTCTCATATATACCAGTAACAAGAAGACAGAATGGGGGAAATTTTCCCACTTATAATAGCAACAAGATGAAATACCTAAGAATACACTCAGTATTGCTATAACTATATAAAGAACAACTTAAATACTACTGAAGAATACAAAAGTAGACATCAACAAATAGAATGACATACCATGATCTTGGTTACGATGACTCAACATCTAAAATCACAAATGTTCCCAGAGTTTAAACACGATAAATATGCTATCTTCCCTATGAAGAAACCATCAGGTTTATTGATTTTTTTTTAACTAAAGAAGCTGATTCTAGAATTTGTACAGAAAATTTAATAGTATTAGGAAAACAACAAAGTGGTGCCCAATGAAATGGAGATGGGAAAGAATACTGCTAGATTTCAAAATTCAATTTCATGATTGAATTAAAATAGTATGGAAGAGGTGTGGCTTCAAAAACCAGTGGGGAAAAGCTAGATTGTTCGACTATTCAATAAACAGCTTTTGGACTACTAGGTAGTCTTGGGGACAAGGGGAGATGGACTTACACCTTACACCCTATACAATTTCTAACCACATAAAACATTTTTAATATGAAGAAATGAAACCACAAATGTTCTGGAAAAAACCATGAAATAGTTCCTTCATAATCTTGGAGTAGAAAGAGGCTTTCTAACTATGATTCAAAATCCAGAAGCAAAGAAGAAATTTGGTCAGTTACAGACATATACAAATGTCTCCAAGGGTGGGGAATGAGCAGTCAAAAAAAAAAAAAAAATCACAAAAAGAGTGAATCTCTTTAGCTCTTATATATCAATAAGAAAGACAAGCAATCCAATTGAAAATAAAAATGGGCAAAGGATATGAATTGAACAGGACATAAGAATGGATCAATAGCATAAAACAGACCCTCAAACATGCTTGTTAAGAGTACATAGAACATAAAACTGCATTTAAATTCAATTTTTCACCTACAAGGTTGACAAAAATCTAAGAGTTTGAAAAAAGTATTTTGGTGAGGCAGTCTCACGAATTACACACATGGGTAAACTATTCTCCAATAGCTATGAAATTATAGTGGCACACCTACTGACCTAGCAATCACAATTGGCCTATATTTACATATATATAAGATTAAGTATGCACAAGTTAGTCCCTACAGTACCGCCCACCCTAGCAAAGGACTGAAAACAGCCCAAATGCCCACCTATAGGGAACTGGGGAATAAACTATAACACATCCATAGGATAAACTACTACCAGGCCATTAAAGTATGAGGAGACACATAGCATAGTGGTTAGGAGCACACACTCTGGAACCATACTGTCTAGACTGGAGTCCTGGATCATATACTTATTAATTACGCAACCTTTGTTCAAGTTATTTAACCTCTCTATGCTGCAATTACTCTGTTAAATAGGAATAACAATGGTAACTCCATCATAGGGTTGTTATGAGGAATAAGTCAGGTCATATTTGTAAACTATTTTGAATAGTGCTTGGCATATACTAAACATATCTAAATAGAAAGATTTCTAAAACACGCTGTTATGATAAAATATACTGTGTATGGTTTACAATTTTTATATATTTAAAGGGGGAGGGGATAAGAATATATAGTTGTATTTGTAACTCTGGAATAATACAGAAGAAACTAAAAATATAGACTGATGGGGGAAACTGGGAATAGATATTGGGGATGTCAGGTATGAAAGAGAGACTTTTACAGTTTTCACTGCAAACTTTTCCTACTTTTTACTTTATTCATAGACAACCTATTTAAAAAATTTAATTAATAAGAATAATTTCCTGGCTGGGCACAGTGACTCATGCCTGTAATCCTAGCACTTTGGAAGGCTGAGGCAGGTGGATCACCTGAGGTCAGGAGTTCGAGACCAGCTTGGACAACATGGTGAAACCCTGTCTCTACCAAAAATACAAAAATTAGCTGGGCATGGTGGCATGCGCCTGTAATCCCAGCTACACTGGAAGCTGAGGCAGGAGAATCGCTTGATCCTGGGAGGCGAGGGTTGCAGAGAGCCAAGAATGCGCCATTGCACTCCAGCCTGGGGGATAGAGCGAGATTCCCTCTCAAAAAAAAAAAGGAAAAATTTTCTGAGGACAATCTAGAATTTAGTATGCATTCACAGTATCAATAATGTGTGAAAGTAGAATAATGCCATTTTCAAACTTGCAAGACTAAAAAAACTCACCTTTTTCAGGAAGCTACAAGGACATGCTCCATTAAGTCAAAATAAATAAATAAATAAATAAATAAACAAACCAAGGAATAAAGCAAGAAAACAGGGTATCCAACACAGAGAGATAATGAGAATTCCCAGATAATACTGAAGGGAAGTTCCAGTTCTAAAGTGTAAGCACGTGCAGGCTTAAAGCATAACCAGCCCAGATAGGAACAGGAAGTGCAGAGGATCCAGAGCCAATTCTCTAGGTGGGAGGGAAAAAAAGGAACTGATAGGTTACCTATTTTTGACCGCATGGGAGAGGTGTTTTGTAACACTAAATACAGATTCAACTCATGTGTGCATGTGTGTGTGCACGTGCGTGCACGTGTGTAGGGAAGAGGATGAGTCATTAGCTGAATTATATATTGGGGGAATCAAGAATAGAACTATAAGCAGACATTTTAAAGTAAAGAGATAAATGCTAGAAGAAACAGCTAAAAGTTTATTAAAAATGGTTTAACATATATTGTTATGTTCTCTTCACTTAGAAAAATTATTAGGGAAGACACTAAATGAGTCTTTCGACTTTGAAGAAAAGCAAGTGGACTTGAATTCCATGGTAAAAAAAAAAAACAACCCCTCAAGTAATAGTATTTATCTCTCACCTATCTCTATTAACAAATCAAACATTCCTGAAATGTAACTTACGTATATAGTCATAGTAATTGCAAATTCTGTTCTACCTGTCTTTGACAGTTATGTAGTACAAACATCGACTCTGCTTATGTATATATGGTTAACATTAACTTACAAATGAGGTGGAACTAAGTGACAAATAGTGTAAAAGGTAATGCCTTTCCAATGTCACTTATATGATGGCTATAAAAAGTATACTTTAGGCCAGGCGTGGTGGCTCATGCCTGTAATCCCAGCACTTTGGGAGGCCAAGGCAGGTGGATCACCTGAAGTCAGGAGTTCAAGACCAGACCACCCTGGCCAACATGGTGAAACCCTATCTCCACTAAAAATACAAAAATTAGCTGGGTATGGTGGTGCACACCTGTAGTCCCAGCTACTTGGGAGGCTGAAGCAGGAGAATCGCTTGAACCTGGGAGGCAGAGGTTGCAGTCAGCCGAGATTGTGCCACTGCACTCCAGCCTGGCGACAGAGGGAGACTCCGTCTCAAGAAAAAAAAAAAAAAAAAAAAGTGTGCTTTAATAGAAGGTAAGAGGCATGCAAAAATTAGAGATTTCTCAAGTCTCTAAACTGACCAGGGTAAACTTACATGAAACTTCTTCCTCAAAAAGAAGATAGGGTAGAGGTAGTATTAGTCATAAAATGTGCCCTCATGTGCAAACCACAAGAGATTTCTAACACACCATATTTTCTGTGTGTATACATGTGTGTAAAATTCGTAAGGACAGCCACACCTAGGCTGTTGTTAAAAATAGCACCTTAACAGCTAACACAATCTTAAGGTCACTTCACATGAGAATTTTTCTCTTTTTCCAAATAAAGCCAGGCATACTTATTCTTATTATGCAAAATAGTGCTCTCGATTAAAAATATATTGTAAAATACTGTAAATCCTTACTCCGGCCTCTCATTGATTGTTCCCAATTTTGCTAGGAGCCTAAACAGTCTTCCATTTTGAACCTCCTATAAAACATTTTAAAAAGAGAAAAATGTTAATGTTCCAGATAACTGAACATAAAAGCCAAAATTTACAAAAACTGGTAACCTGTACCAATATTACCTTTAAACAATAAATCCTAACATCCCCACCTTTTGGTTATACTTTTAAACAAACACAATATGTCCATTTCATTTCATAATGGTACTCAAGAAGATTATGGAGCTGTCCATAGGAATTGGAAAAGTAACTCACATGAAAAACCAAGATTTTTGTCACATGACTGTAGCAAAGCCATGAATGAAAAGAACAGTGTTGTCCAGAGGACATAAGAAATTAAAATACCAAACATTCAGTGCCGACAAAAATATCTGAAATCTTAGCAAATAAGGCATTATATTTAGTACAATGATTATTTTGTGTCTATTTATATACACAGATGCAAGTTGTGTGTACATTCTTTTAATTACACTCTTTACTGGCCAGGTGCAATGGCTCACGCCTGTAATCCCAGCACTTTGGGAGGCTGAGGCGGGCGGATCACTTGAGCTCAGGAGCTCAAGACCAGCCTGGCCAACATGGTGAAACCCCGTCTCTACTAACAATACAAAAATAGCGGGGTGTGGTGGCGTACACCTGTAATCCCAGCTACTTGGGAGGCTGAGGCAGGAGACTCGCTTGAACCCAGGAGGCAGAGGTTACAGTAAGCCGAGATAGCACCACTGCACTCCAGCCTGGGTGACAAAGCAAGACTCTGTCTCAAAAAAAAAAAAAAAAAAAAAAAATTTACACTCTTTACCTTTGCAAGGTCTTCCTCTATGACATCATTTCTCATTTGAGCAGCATCCAATTGAGTATAAAATCGAGCACCAATCATGGGCATGATGTCATTTACACTTCGCATCCTGTTTTGGTCAGTCAACAAATACCTACCCAAGATAAAAGAGGAATTACTTGGATGTCCAACATGCAATTTAAAAAACAAGATAACCCAAACATAGCTGTTTTGGCTGCCGTCATCTTAGCACACAAAATTTTGAAAACATTTTAATTCATGCAAGTCAAGTTCATTCTTAAATATTACATTTCATTCCTCTGGAAAACTGTAACAGCCAATGGAGAAACAGTAAACATGTCTCTTCTCTACATTTTCACTACTATGGAAATGAGAAAGAAAAGTGAAGTAGGACTGCACTTACCCATTTCCATTCTCAAACCCTTCTTTACAATAGTGCTAGATGAAAAGATTGTTACAGGCCAGGTGCAGTGGTTCACACTTGTAATCCCAGCACTTTGGGAGGCCGAGGCAGGTGGATCACTTTAAGACCAGCCTGGCCAACACGGTGAAACCCCGTCTCTACTAAAAATACAAAATTAGCTGGGCATGGTGGCGGGCACCTGTAGTCCCAGCTACTCAGGAGGCTGAGGCAGGAGAATAGCTTGAACCCAGGAGACAGAGGCTGCAGTGAGCTGAGATGGCACCACTGCACTCCAGCCTGGGCAACAAAGTGAAACTCCATCTCAAAAAAAAGGAAACAAACAAAAAACAAAAATAAATTAATAGAAAGAATTTTTTTTTTTGGTGACAGAGTCTCGTTCTATTGCCAGGCTGGAGTGCAGTGGCGTGATCTCGGCTCACTGCAACCTCTGCCTCCTGGGTTCAAGCAATTCTCCTGCCTTAGCCTCGTGAATAACTGGGACTACAGGCGTGCGCCACCAAGCCCAGATAATTTTTTTCTATTTTTAATAGAGACAGGGTTTCACCATGTTGGCCAGGATGGTCTCAATCTCTTGACCTTGTGATCCACCTGCCTTGGCCTCCCAAAGCACTGGGATTACAGGTGTGAGCCACTGCACCCGGCCAAAAAAGAAAAGGTTTTTAGAAACTTTTTTGAGAGGACTAAAAGGGGGTAGGTGTGGGGTGGGGAGCTTTTCCTGTTGTTTTGCAAAGATTAATTTTCAGAACTAAAACTGGGTTTTCAATTTTGCTAAACTGAATGAGCCTTTTTAAGAAGCTGTCCTCTGCTCTAAAACTTAATTTACAAGGTATCATGACATATTCATTTCTGAGAAATGCAGTAACACGCAGCAGAAGGAACCAGTTAAATTTCTTCTATCATTAGAACAGTGGCAGAAAATACTACACATTTCAAGGGCTACCTGTTAGAACACAAAGATTCTCAATCATCTACTGCCGCTTATTCTATACGTAAAGCCATTCTCTGCCCTTTCTCATGAAAGCAGCCTCCTACTCACTCCTTCACTCTTCTGCTTGTAATTCTCTTATTTTCTTCATAGGTCTTATCACTACCTGAAAATATCTCACTGGTTTTTATGTTTATTTACTCTTTCTTCCCATTAGGGTGTAAGCTCCAGAAGATGGGAATTTTGTTCACCTCATTCAAAGTATCCTGCATTTGGCATATAGTAGTCATCATTTTTGTGGATAAATGAATAGCTATACCCATGTGAATAAACTATATCTTAGCAATTCATCCGTAAGTATGGACATATGTGTACCCTGCTAATCATATTTAATGTTATTACAGGCTATGTGACTTTGGCAAGTTATTTTATCTCTGTGGCTCAGTTTTGTAACTCTAAAATGGGACTAATAATGGTATCTAATTTATAGAGTTATTGGGAGAATTAAAAAAATTAATTCACATCAAGCAGTTTGAAAGGGCCCGATACATGGTTTAATTACTCCATAAACTTTAGTTTGTGTTTATTATTAAAGTATGGCTTTTTTGTTTATTCATTTTTTTAATAAAGAAAATTTCAAACATTTATAATAGAATAGTAATATAATGAATCCCCATGTATCATCACCCAGTTTCAATAATTATTAACATATGGCTGATTATTTTTGTCCTCTATCCCCACTTTTTTAAAAAGGAAAATTTAGAGATTATAACCTGAAATTATTTGAGGCATCCTAGGTATTTGCAAACTAAGGCTAGGAATCACTGTTGTGATCATATATAAAACAAGTATTTTTATTCAGAAGATAAATCATCTTATTTGAATTTGATTATGAATAGGATCCAGACAACCACTGGCTTCTAGTGCTGTCACAAGTAGGACATTTATGCCAGTGTAACAAAGAACAGGTGGGCAATCCCACCCTCCATCCCCCAATTCATACCCCAGGGCTGGTCCAAAAAGAAACTGGATCATCCAGGGCTACACAGAAAGATCAGAATGGGCAGCTGTAAGCTAAAAGAGACTGTTGATTAGCACCTCTTCTCTAATATAGCTCATAACTGTAATAAAGGTCGTGGTTGCCCACCCTCTGGGATCTCCCAATAGTAGCTATATCTTACGGAGAAGTCCTTCTGTTGTGACAGTAGTCCACACAATGGGTTTCTCTTAAGCCAAATTCATCTCAAATCGATACTCAAGGATTCTCTGGAGCGTTAAGATACTGGAGTGTAAGCATGGGGGTCTCCACACAAATGCTTTCCAGAATGGGTATTTTGGCCAGAGTACATGACTGGATTGCACCTGAGGCTTACTCATGATGGCTTTCACACTCTCTAGAGCAGCACTATCCAACAGAACTCCAAGATGAGGGAAATATTCTATGTCTGTGCTGTCCAATTATATTAGCCAGTAATTACATGTGGCTGCTGAGCTCTTGAAATGTGACTAGTGTAATTGAAGAAGTAAGCTTTAAATTTCAATTAATATCAATGTAAAAGGTCACATGTAGCTAGTGGATACCAACAAACTTCTACTGGGTGCCCTTTAACCAAATGTTTAAAACATCAATAACTAATTTAAACACACTGGTTTATCAATTTATCTAAGAAATATTTACTTTGCAATAAAAATAAAGACATAAAGTTTCTGTTTTGCTTGATTTTAAATAGTGGGAACCAAAACAATCACTTAAAACAAAAAAAGCTCTGTCTTATCGCAAATAATCATTCTGTACAATTTATCATATATTAAAACTTACAAAATCAGATTCTTCAGGTCAGAGGAATAGTTGATTGTCACCAGTTCCATGGCTTTCTGTAAATTCTCTCGCTGAATTCCTGCCAAAGAGTTGCAAGCCAAAGCCAACACAACTTTTCCTAATGATATCAGATCTGCTTGCTGACATGAAAGAATAAATATAACTTTTAATTTTCATTTCACAGGTACTCATTTAATACACTGACACTACTGCCTAAATGGAAAAAGCATCATTATAAATAAGCTGCAGGCAGGGTCCTCAAATACTGGTGATTCTCAGAATAACCTGGAGCTTATTAAAAAGACGACTTCGAGCCTCTCTACCAGAGATTCTCATTGGGTGGGTCCAGAAAATGGCTCAACATTTTTAAAGCACCCAGGTAATTCTGATGAAGGTAGTTCTAGGTCCACGCCTTAAGAGACTTTAAGCAATTCCCATGCCAACTACAAATTGCCACTTTTAAAAAGTTTTTCTAATTTTTTCTTATTTAAATAGAGGTAATATTCTTCTCTATTACAACAAATTTAAGGTTACTATACATTTGCTTTGCTATGACCACTATAACTTAACATACATACTTTGCTCATTTTCTGTAACTCCCAGAATATAGTGGGAATGTGAAGGATTATCTGAAGAAAAGTTATCCTATTACAAACATTAGCATTAACCAGATTTTAGAGCAAATTCTCTAGAACATCAAAAATGCTGCAAACCTCAATGAATGACATCCCATCTATCTTTGTTTCCAAATAGACTATTTTTCCTCACACTCTAACAGATCTTTGAGCTCTGGAACCACCACCTGCTTTCCTAAAACCTCTCCCACTCAAGATTTACCATTCTGAGGCTTTCCTTCTAAAAGGATTTTCAAAAGACAGCTGGCTGAATTAAGTCCTTTATCACCTATTATAACTCCAGGAAACAGTATGGTCATCCCAAGTGGCCCTGATTGGTAGGAAGCTATTAACAACCACATGCCTTCAAGAATGGAGTACTTCAGAGTTAACATGAAACCACCTGAAGCAATTTCTACAACAGACATTTGCAGATCTTTAAAATCTGAGAACTCATCTAAATTATTAGACACACGTTCATTTACTGAACATTCGTTTATTATAAGGAATTTTCAAGCATAGCTGTATATTACCATCACTTGAGAAGCTTAAAAACAAAACCAAAATCAGCAGTAGCCATCCCCTCGTCCCAATTTTGGTATAATTAGTCTGGGATAAAAATCTAGGTATTGGTATTTTTCTAAGCTTCCACAAATGATGGTAATATGCAGCCAGGATTGAGAACCACTGGTTTGTTGGAATATTTGTAACTTTAAGGCAATCATTAGTGAAATTCTAGCATTATATGGTTATACTTAACAACAGCCTACCCAAATAATGAGTAAAAAGACGTTAAACTCCATTACTAAAATAACATTTAAAAGTTCATACTAAAAAATTTATCCAAAACTAGCATTTGTGAATCTGACACTGAACATGAGATAAGGAGACAGACTGATTAGGTAGACAAACTACTTTGAATCTATTAGAAAAGATTCAAAGATTCATCCCAGAAAACTTTTAAAACTTCACTGGTGATAGAGTCAGGAGCCCAGAATGGCAGGAGGGAAGCTGGCATGGGAAGGAGAACTATTACTGTTGCCATCATTTCTGTTTGCTGGAGGACACTGTGATGAACTCCAAAAAGAATTCCTCTCAATCACACTTTAGATCAAGTAAAACATTCCAAGTTATATTCATGAAATTACAGAAATCTCAGCCAAAAGAAATCAGTGCATATAAATGCCAACTATAAATTTCTATGGGCGATTCAATCCAAAGTATCCAGCAAAGCATACCAAAGATTGTTGTTATTTATCACGTGTTTGAGCAGCAGGTACCAACACACAGTCTTCCAACTCTTCAAGCAGCAGAATTTTCAGTTTGGTTCCACCCTGAACTGATGCTGTATTAAGCCTCCCTCCCAGAATATTCCATTATTCTCTATTATGAGACAGAAAACCAAAATGGTCCAAGAGAGCTGAAGAACCAGATGGGTTTAAAAAATAACATCTGATTTTTAGTACATCCCATCACCTCTCTAAAGCGGACTCAAGGTAAGAACATCCACTTTTTGAAATAAAGTACATGTATGACACAGTCCAGATTAAATTAGAGTTGTTTTTTTAAACAAAAGAAGTTAATAAAATCTTAAGAGAGTTTCACACCGTAAAACCCAGTAACTCTCCTTTCCTTATTTCTCAGCTAAATAATTTTCCATTTGTTATTTTGCTTCTTACCTCCATCTGGTTTCCCCCCATTTGTTGAATTCAGGAGATTTGCCCCCCAACTGATTTTCAGTTTCTTCCTGATTCTTGACTTCTTGATTTCTTTTTCTGATTCTATCTATGGCTCTACTTATGTCCATTTTACTCAAAGTCAGTCTCTATTCACGTGTCTGAAACAAACTATGAAAAATAGACTACAAGAAACAATGCACTCCTCATGTATCCTCTTCTCTGTAAAATCACACTCCCCCTTTGGGACTATCTTTAATTCTTTCCTATACCTTACTATAATAAGCAATATAAAAAATCAGCTACACATATATACCCAAAAAAAGAAAGCCTGATATATATCCTTTAATGCTGAAAAAAATAAACAGGTGATAATTAATTGAAGGTTGCCTGATTTTATGAATGAAGGCATATCCTGACTTACAAATATTAATAAGGTGCCCTAAATGCTTAAAGTTGGTTGTCTGAACTCAGGGATTTTTTTCTTATGAAAAGTTTTGTTTTTCAAGGTAACTACACGACTCATAACATACTTGAAAAGGAACCCTACTGAGAAAAGAATGAGGAGCGTGTGCAGTTTTTTTTTTTTTTAATGCAGACACGGGTTTCTAGATACTTACATTAGAAGATGATGGTACTGGCTCTAAAAATGTGTAATTTTCCTTCAAAAATTTAATATTATCTGCTTGGATGTATATCCAAGTGTATATATTCACTAATATTTTAACAGTCAATAATCTGTCACTTTTGGAAGCATAAAGGTCATAAAGAAAAATTAATCGGAGCCAACTACCTAGGCACTAAGTATAAGAGAGAAGATAAGAATGAAAGTAGCTAAGAAACAATGTCTCCAGATAAGAAAGAGGGGGCAAATGCCCTCAGGCAGAAGAACAGAATGATGCTGCTGGGGGAAAAACAGAACTAATCATATTCCTCCCTGTGTTGCCCACTAGATGTTGCTATCAACCAGAACAGCTTGGCTGCTGCTGAGGTTAGGTGGGCACAAGCAGAGGGAAAGAAGGGTGTGAAACGTCTGCAAACAACTGAATGCAATGAGTGCCTGCAAGTCTTTGGGACTGTATTCTCTGTGGTTTACGAGCAAAACAGATTTATGCATGAACTGAAATACTAAACACTGATTAGACTCTACTTCTCATTTTATCCTTTTTGTTCTCTTTTTGTTCTGAAATTCTATCAGTGAACTAAAATCTTCTTCCAAAACTTTAAACAAAATAAGTTGAAAAGAGAAGAATAAGGTGTTTCTCCATGTAATTAAGAAATTCTGCCTTAGAGCAAACCTTTGTAAGTTAATAAATGTTCAAAAAACCCAAAAACTTCTTATACACAAAGAACTAAAATTGTCTTAAAATCATAGCTGCCTATCCTAATGTGAAGCATTCCAATACAAACTGAATGACCTATTTACTTTAGTTTTGTTACTTGCAGAGTAATCAAGGCAAAAACAACTATTCTCTTTTTTTTTTTTGAGATGGAGTCTAGCTCTGTTACCCAGGCAGGAGTGCAGTGGTGCGATCTCAGCTCACTGCAACCTCCGCCTCCCAGGTTCAAGCGATTCTCCTGCCTTAGCCTCCTGAGTAGCTGGACTACAGGTGTGTGCCACCACACCTGGCTAATCTTTGTATTTTTAGGAGAGGTGGGGTTTCACCATGTTGGCCAGGCTGGTCTCCAGCTCCTGAGCTCAAGTGATCTGCCCACCTCAGCCTCTCAAAGTGCTGGGATTACAGGTGTGAGCCACCACACCTGGCCTAAAGCAACTGTTCTTAATGCTTGAAGATACGTTCTTATTCTTCGATACTTTATCATTTAAATCAGGAAATAAGAAACAGCAAAATAGCTAAGAAGCATCACGAGGCCTAAATCAACACTAATAAAATGAAGTCAGACAATAATCAAATACTAATAAAGTATAAGAAGTGAGTGGTATGTTCTGACTAAATAAAAAAATTACTTAGAAAATGGCAATCCAATAACAAACCTATGAAAACATTTCTAAAATTTCATGACTGGTAGTCAGACAAGTGTTCTAAAAGTAAAAATAATAGGTGTAATTAAAGGAGTGAAAAAGAAGGGTGTCATTTAATATAATCCATTCATCTGATTAGTCTTGTTTTAATCTATCTATGCTTAGGACACGTTTCCTAAATCACATAAATACATTTTCATTTTGAACAGTTAAGAGTCTCTGACGTTATCAGGAGGCCGGGCACAGTGGCTCATGCCTGTAATCCCAGCACTTTGGGAGGCCGAGGCAGGCGGATCACCTGAGGTCAGGAGTTCAAGACCAGCCTGACCAACATGGAGAAACCCTGTCTTTACTAAAAATACAAAATCAGCCAGGCATGGTGGTGCATGCCTGTAATCCCAGCTACTCGGGAGGCTGAGGCAGGAGAATCGCTTGAACCTGGGAGGCAGAGGTTGTGGTGAGTTGAGATCGCGCCATTGCACTCCAGTCTGGGCAACAAGAGTGAAACTCTGCCTCAAAAAAAAAAAAAAGAGTCTCTGACATTGTCATGAATTCTCTTTATTCCAACCCACAAGGGCTCTACACTAAGTACATCATAATGGTTAAGAAATACAGCCTGGGCAACATCGTGAGCCTCTATCTCTACAAAAAATAAAAATAAAAAAAATTTTAGCCAGACACAGTAGTGCACATCTGTAGTCCCAGCTACATGGGAGGCTGAGGCGAGACGATTGCTTGGGCCCAGTTCAAAAGCTGCAGTGAGCTGACAGCACCACTGCACTCTAGCCCAGGTGACAGAGCAAGACAGAAGCAAAAGAATAGAAAGGAAAAGAGAGAGAAAGAAATAGAGAGGGGAAAGGAAAGGAAGAAAAGAGAGGGAGGGGAGGGGGAGATACATGTTCAAAGTCTGCATAGACACCACCCCAAAATAAATTAAAATCTAGGCTTAAAACACTGAAATACTTTAAAATGAACAAAATTTGTCTTTAATAAAGGAAAACAAGTAAATATCCATGTTAATTCTTACTCACCTGGTACTGGGCCATTAATGCCAATGGATTATTATTTTGACTGTTATCAAATGTTAAAACATCAAAAACTCCAACACAATTTACTCGCAACCTTTAAGGACCAGATAATTTAAAGAAAATAATTAAAATAAGTTTTTAAAAAATTGCATACTCATGGAAAAGTAACATTTCCCAAAATATTAGGAAGGATCTCAGAATTGAGTTTAACTTCCATCCTACCCCACACCACCTCCACCAACCACCATTTTAGAAATGGTAAAATTAAGGCTCAGAGATATCAAGTGATATACCTACAGCTGTAAAAGTCAGAAACTGAGAAAGCCAGAACTATAACTCACATCTCTTGACTAACAGGTCAGTGTCCTTTTCACCATTCCAAGCTGTTTATTAGTCATTCATAAAAGAGAACTAGTTAGCTTTCTAACACTTGCAAAAGATGTACCAGACACTGTTCTAAGCATTTTACATGACTCATTCAAATCCCTCAATAACTTTATGAGGGGTACCTCATAAATAAGCAGAATGGAGTTAGTAGTACACTTGTCTAATAAGGTTGTCAAAACACAATTTGAAGAAGTAACTTGTTCAACGGCATATCGACAGTAAACTATCAAAGCCAGGATATGAACTTAAATAACTTGGTACCAGATCTTCAGCTCTTTATGTTATGCAGCCCAAGACAATCACAAAATTACAGCAACTCAAAACTCAGGTGAAGACAAGACTGATAACTGTACCAGTTGTTCTCAAAGCATGTGACTCAACAGCAGCAATGGCAACACCTAGAAACTTGTTAAATATGCAAATACTTAGGCCCCAATGCAGACTTATGAATGAAAATCTCTGGGGGTAGGGCCCAGCAAGCTGTGTTTTGTAAGTCCTCCAGGTGATTCTGATTCATGCTAGAATTTGTGAACCATGGTGCTACATAGAAAAGTTGTATTGATATTATTTTTATATTCCCCTAACCCTAACCACATATACTTCCCTAACCTTTCCCAAGATTTTTGGTTAATAACCAGGCATTTTATTCAGAGTTCAACTTTTTTTTTTTCTTTAAAAAGCTTACAAATGAATTCAAAGTTACAGAAGTTCTTCTGGATGGAATATATGAAAAGGCAGAATTAAAACAATCATGTTTTGTTTACTAAGCTGTCAAAGGTAAGACGCTCAATAAAAGAAACCAAAACTCAAAATGCTAGTACCTTGTTTTGCCAGTTATCAGAATCTTTGTTGGATCCATAACTCGACATGCCAAACCTGCTGTATGAATGGTACGCAATGCAGAACTTAGTTGGACAATATATGCCCAAATAAGAGATTCTGGCAATAATCCAGCATGCTGCCTGGGCAATGGTCCCTCGTGCTGACCTATACAGCAAAGAAATCCAAAAAATGACATCTTAAGTAATCAACTAAAAGACTAAAGCATTAACATCAAAATTAGCAAAGACAATTCATGTACACTCATGGCACAACATGTCAATTTATATATGTGTGTGTATGTATGTGTGTAATTTAAGTTTAGTCTATTGCCCAAAGATTCCTGTCCGAGATTATGCCTTTTATATTGATACCAGCAATAGGGCTCTCACTGAAATGCTCTTTTCTGTAACCACTTAATTATTGAATAAAAATTACTTAAAGTAAGAATTTATATGTAATTGTTAACCAAATAAATATAAAAACAGAAACCGTAGAGGTTTTTCTACTTAAAATGTGGCTGGCTAATCCTACCCTGTATTATTGTTTAGGCATGTGAGAGCTGTTCATTGTGTGGCTTGATGGAAATAAAAGTCTCTACCATCACTTATGTTGAATGTTTGTTTTCCTTATATCACTCAGGCCCCTCTACCACAAAGGTGGATTCTATCAACTCATTAAGTGGTTTTTGATAATATTTTCTAGGTCATTGTTAATATGTTGTAAATCAGTAGAAAAGGAGACATATAAATTTAATCAAGATTTTGTAATTATTCCAAGGAATATGACCTTATATTCTTTTCTTTGTAGAGACACTTTTGCTACATTGCCCAGGCTGATCTCCAACTCCTGGGCTCAAATGATCTACCTGCCTCAGCCTCCCTAAGTGCTGAGATTGCAAGCATGAGTCCCTACACCCTGCTGATCTTATATTCATATTGTTGTAAAACAACCTTTTGTGAATCAGTTATAAAAAGCAACATAATTAAATGGTTAATTATGTACTTATAATAAATAGCAAATATGTACTTATGGCTTGGAATAAAATTTCTGGTAAGCAGCACATACAAAATTAAAAATAATTATCTCTCAATTTGGACAGAACAGAAGATAATATACTCTGGAAATATGTGTAAGAAGGCTCAAAAAAATGGGACCGGTAACAAATGCCAAGACAATGTGAAAAATGACTATGAACTGTTTAAATGAAACTATTTAATTAATGTAGTAATAAGGAAACAAGAGTTTTTGCAGCAAACATATAGTGCTTACTGTGTGCCAGACTCTGTTCTAGTTGTTTTACTGATATAGACTCATTCTGAATCTCGTATCAACTCCACATGGTATGCTATTCTTCTCATTTTCTAAATCAATATATTTCTTATACTTTGCTTTTTTTTTTCACTTGTGCTAAGATAATAAATTACATAGTGTAAGAAAATGGTAGGCTTTTATGCATGTATGGTATGGTTAGGGAAGTTACGACTACTCAAACAATATTTTAAACTATTAGAAAAAAGGACTACTTCCTATGAAAATATAAACATTAATATATTAATCAGTGAACACCAAAAACAGAATAATTATGATTAAAAAATTACTGGAAAAGAATGCTATAAAAGAGTGGTTCTCAAAAGAAACCACTCCAGCATTTGGCAACATCTGGAGATATTTCTGGCATTACAATAGGGGTAGAGGGGGATTGCTACTGGCATTCAGTAGGCAGAAGCCAGGCCCTTCAGTCAGAAGAGGCCACTATAAACATTCTGAAATGCATAAGACAGCCCCCACAAAAACTTAAGCAGTTGAGAAACACAGTTATAAATTAAAGCCAACAGTCATTTCACAGGTGTTACTACCAAAATAAATTTGAGCAACAACTATAGTCATCTATAAGAATAGTTGTACCACATCCCCTTCCACAAAATTATGCATGTGTCTACAGATGACATAGCAAAAGGAAAAAAATGACCACATTCTATGACCAGATTTTAAATGTGAAACAGCCATGTAACCACAACTTTCTTTTTTCAACTGTCAGGATGCAAAAAAAAAGAAGTAACAAGTAAACAGAAGTAATATATTTTTGTCTATAATTAGAGTCTTGAAAGGAGTTGTAATCTGAAAGATACTAGAATATGGACTCAAATCTTTCTCCCCTCCTCTTTAATTTTCAAGTCAAGAAAATCTTAAGATTAAAAAGCATAATAACGTGATGCTGCTTTCTTGCCCCCATAGACTGAGACCTTCCCTAAATACATAAATTAATGAATAGACATCTCAAAATGGATTTACTTTTCTCTGAAATCATTTACCCTTTAACACACATTTGTTAGAATTCAAGTATTCTGGTTGTTTGCAAAATCTCAATGATAAAACAATTCTTTAAGTATATATTAGAAAGGGACAAAGAAGAAAATATTTCATGTTTAAGGAAAAGTTACTTAAAATTCTATTTTGAAACCTTAGATTAAGTAACATGGAATCCAACCTTCAAACAAAAGCATTTGTTTAGGGAAATAATTACATAAAGAACAATATAGTCATAATAGGAATCATTAAATTATATTCAGAGAATATAAAAACTATGGGGAAAATACCTATAATAAAGAAAAGATGTAATATGATATAAAAGGTTAAAACAAAAAACAATGCAAAAGGAGACAAAAACAAAACAAAGCAAGATTGAAAAGAAATGTACTAAAAGATTCACAATGGTTGTACTTAGGCAGGGAAGCCAGAGAGACTATTTCTAAGCTATTGAATTTTCCAAGTCACCTTTATTAAGAAAGCATCATATTTTTAAAAGAAAAACATTTTAAAGAGAAAAACAATTTTAACACATTTCCAGTTAAATATCTGATATCTATGTGAGTCTTCAAAAATCTATCTTATCTTAGTAAATATGCAAAAGACATTATTTCCTAACTTCTTGACCATCATCTCCATTTCTTTGACATATTTCTTTTTAAAATGTGATATGGTTTGGCTGCGTCCCCACCCAAATCTCATTTTGAATTGTAACTCCCATAATTCCCACAGTGTTGTGGGAGGGAGCTGGTGGGAGATAACTGAATCATGGGGGTAATTTCCCCCATACTGTTCTCGTGGTAGTGAATAGGTCTCATGAGATCTGACAGTTTTACAGGGGGAAACCCCTTTTACTTGGCTCTCATTCACTTCTCTTGTCTGCCGCCATGTGAGACATGCCTTTCACCTTCTGCCATGATTGTGAGACCTCCCAAGCCACATGGAACTGTAAGTTCATTAAACCTCTCTCTTTTGTAAATTGCCCAGTCTCGGGTATGTCTTTATCAGGAACATGAAAACAACTAGTACAAAATGTAATAGAGTCTTTAAACTAAATGATTACAGGGAAAAATTATACGTATTTTAAAATAGAAAACTACTCTTCCACAGAGCAAAAGCATTAGTCAAAATATAGTTTGCCTGCATCTTTTTCTTACCCCACTTTCTCTTGGTGAAGTAGGCATCAGCATTAGGGTCATTAAAGTGTCTGCTCATCATAGTTTCTCCTCCAGCATGGAAATCATATGCAAACACAAGAGCTTAAAATAAAACACAAACACTCATTACTGAAAGCTGGCTTCAAATAATGAAGCTCACCAGCAGAAAGACAAATTACAAGTTACTCACAGGGCTCAGCAAATGCTTTAGTGGTAAATACTTCACGCAAAGTTACGATATTTGAGTGTTGAATTTTCTTCCACATGTCGACCAACACCATGCACTTTGTGTTAACAAGACGAAAACCTGGAAGACAATTTTTCTACTCCAGTAAACTCTAATTGACGTCTCCTTCATATTCCATCAGAAATGGAAAAAAATTGCCATATTTATACATTGCTCATGAGGTACTAATTTCCAAATAAAAATTTTTAATTCATATATTAAATAATATATTCAAGAAGGTTTGAATAATCTTAGCCTCAATGATACGATTATAAAAGAAGATAACTTATCTTCCTTACCATGTATCCTCCGAAGGCAATATGGCAGATCATCTTTGCTGTTTACAGCTTTGTAGCAAGATGTAATATATCCAAAATTACTTGATTTCTGTATCCGGTTGGGAGGTGGCAGTGGTTCTAGAGGGAATAGGCTATGGTAGCTGTCAACCTCTGTAGGAACTGCTAGAGTAATTCATAAGAAGATGACTTGAAAATACAGGCATTCATAAATCTTTCTCAAAAATACAGAAGACATGATATTTACTATAAACCCCTTGTGTATCACAATGTGCTCTTGTATTTTAGAATAGTGTAAACATTTATTACAATTCCATAAGACAAACTAGCTTCAGTATCAATAAAAATAGGCATTATATAATAAAATAACCAAAGAATAACTAAAGTTCATACATTCAAAAACATTTCCTTTTATAGCACAATACAAATTTGTTCCTCAGAAATAATTTTTATAAATAATTTGAGTTATCACTGAGATAAATTTTTCTGGAGCAAACATTTTATCAGGTTTATAATAAAAAAACATGTATTTTTTAATGCTTCAAATACCATCATGTTTTCCAATTGAACACCAACCTATACTTTCATTCTGTTAACTGTCTCGAATGACTTCGGAATGCTCATGATATTTTAAGTGAACGGAAGATAACCCAACATGTAGTACAGCCATAGTAAACCAACTAGAAGAAAATATAGCAGATGGTAACAATGGTAACCTTTTAAAGGGAGGATTATTATTCTTTTCTATACACTATTTTGTATTTGCCAAATGTTTTATAATATACATGTTTAACACTATTTTTAAAACATGGCATTATGTCTGTTAAAAAAAAAAAAAAAAAACCGGCCGGGCGCGGTGGCTCACGCCTGTAATCCCAGCACTTTGGGAGGCCGAGGCGGGTGGATCATGAGGTCAGGAGATCGAGACCATCCTGGCTAACAAGGTGAAACCCCGTCTCTACTAAAAATACAAAAAAAATTAGCCGGGCGCGGTGGCGGGCGCCTGTAGTCCCAGCTACTCGGGAGGCTGAGGCAGGAGAATGGCGTGAACCCGGGAAGCGGAGCTTGCAGTGAGCCGAGATTGCGCCACTGCAGTCCGCAGTCCCACCTGGGCGACAGAGCGAGACTCCGTCTCAAAAAAAAAAAAAAAAAAAAAAAAACCCTATAAACAAAAACAACTGATAATTTTTGACCTCTGGTAAGAAACACAGATGAAACCCTATTAAGAAAACTAATTCCAGAAGACAGGTTCAAAATGATCCTTCCTCTGCATTTGCCAAATACTTTATGCCCATTATCTCTTAATTCTCACAACAATTCCATGAGGTAGAATTCCCTATTTCATAAATGAGGATAATAAGGATTGCATAGCTGAGAGAGAAAGGTAGGATGCAAACCCAGGACTTTTTGATTCTATAATCATAATCTCTACATGGCATGGCCATAATGAAAAACAAATGTAGAATGATTAAATGTCACCAAGTGGCATGTTCTACTTAAATAAAGGCAGTATACTGCCAAGTGTCATTGCATGTGACTATAGTCCTAGCTACTTGGGAGGCTGAGGCAGCAGAATCACTTAAACCCAGGAGCTGAATTCAGCCTGGGCAACATTTAAGACCTCATCTCTTAAATAAATAAATAAAATAAAAGCAGTACAACGGAAGAATACACACAAGTGAAATAGCTGTAACTTTTACTTTTGCGCATTTACCTAGTTTGTATTTGAATGATTGGTATAATGTCCATAAGGAAGTTAAAATGGTAAATTTTGTTTTCCAGCTATTTCATTTATTAAGGAGCACTTAATACAGGATTAATTTCAAATCAGCAAAATATACTGAGCATCTACTATGTACTAATGAACCTAAAGAAATATTACGTTCTTACCCTCAAGAGGCCTAGAGAAAAATAAAGAACACAAATTTATACAAAACATGTAAGAGGTAAAGTCGCCATTTAAGAAGTACAATTCGCTATGGCACTGGTTCTTAAACGTCACCACCTGTCACAATCACCTAAAGCCTTGTTAAAATATAGTTTGCTGGGCCCCATTCCCCGAGTTTCTGATACAATCTGAAGTGGGATCCAAGAACTCACAATTCTAACAAGTTCCTAAAAGTCAATGAAAATGAGCCTCTGGTTAAGGAATCATACTTTGAGAGCTAATACACTATGAAAATACAAAGAACAGAGCAATTCCCAAGGATAGTAGGCACTCGTTTGCTATGGGGTTGCTAGTAAATTATTACAACTTACAAATCAATGGTGTTTAATTGATATCCCTTGGAAAGCAATTTGGTTCTATGTAATAAGCTTTAAAACCACTTCTACTTTACTTTTTTCTTTTTTTTTGGAGACAGAGTCTCCCAGGATGGAGCGCAATGGCACAATCTCACTGCAACCTCCACCTCCCAGGTTCAAGCGAGTCTTGTGCCTCAGCCTCCCGAGTAGCTGGAGTTACAGTTGGGCACCACCACGCCTGGCTAATTTTTGTATTTTTAGTAGAGACAGGGTTTTGCCATGTTGGCCAGGCTGGTCTCAAACTTCTGACCTCAAGTGATCCACTCACCTTGGCCTCCCAAAGTGCTGGGATTACAGGTGTGAGCCACTGCGCCCGGCGCGTTTTTCTTTTTTATATCTTTTTAAAAGAGCATCAATTTATCAATTATTTACATTTTTTATACTTAAAAGTATAAATAATTATAAAAGTATTTCTGAACTACT
Source organism: Homo sapiens (assembly GCF_000001405.40). NCBI lineage: Eukaryota > Metazoa > Chordata > Mammalia > Primates > Hominidae > Homo > Homo sapiens. Next base: position 28,264,152 of record NC_000013.11, on the reverse strand, counting down.
GAATCTATAGATCAGTTTAGAAATACTTGAAGTATTTCTTCTAAGGAAAAAAATATTTCCTACAGAAGAAAAAAATTAAGTAGATGAATATGTTCACTGCACTGTAATTCAGGATGCCAAAAACTATATTATCAAGTGTCAAATGGGTGAACTATAATGCAAACAAATGTTACGCGGGAAGGGATAGTCAGAAACATAGGGCGGTGTTTGTTTGAAAATGTCTAAGTTGAAAATTGTGTGCATACTGATGAATCATGTAAAGTACTCATGGATATTTGAAAGAGAACGTGACAAAAAAATTTTAAATATTTTATCATCGCTACAAATGTAGATAAAATTAATTTTTATTTTTTAAAGTATTTTAAAAGTAGATAAAATACACTCATTTATATTTTACAGAAAGAGTTTTAGAGTTCTGTTTTAGACATGTAAGTTCTTAATCTATTTGAAGTTGACTTTTTAATGTGGCTTGAGATAATGACCCAATTTTATCTTGTCAATATAGAAAACCATTTTTTGTGGCCTGAAGCACAGTGGCTCATGCCTGTAATCCCAGCACTCTGGAAGGCTGAGGCAGGTGGATCACTTGAGTCCAGAAGTTCAAGACCAGCCTCAGCAACATGGTGAAACCCTCTCTACAAAATATACAAAAATTAGCCAAGTGTGGTGGTGTACACCTGTAGTCCCAGCTACTTGGGAGGCTGAAGTAGGAGGACTGCTTGAGCCCAGGAGGCGGAGGTTGCAGTGAGCTGCGATCACGCCACTGTACTCCAGCCTGGGTGACAGCAAGATGCTGTCTCAATAAAAGTTTATTTTTTTAATTAAAAAACCAAAAACATTTTTCCAATGCTTTCTTTTCCCCCACTTATTTGCCAACTTTATCACAGAACGTGTCTGGCTCTCTCTAATCTGTTCCGTTAATCAATCTGTTTAACCCTGTGCTATCACCACATTGATTTAGTTACTGCAGACTCAAATCAAACCTCTCCTTCCCTAATACACAAACAAATTCTTCATATGAACATAAATAATAACCATACTCTTCAAAGTACCTTGGATGGTCGTGGCCCTTTATTCTTTGATACATTTTATCATACTCCATGAAAAGATTTGACTGGAAGTTATGCTTTGACTGGAATTCTACTGGATCTACATGTCAGTTCAGAAAAATTGACATCTTACTTGTTCTGTCTTCCTAATCATGAGTAACCTCTACTAATCTACAGTATTTCATTTATATTATTTAATACTGCGTAATAAATAAATCTCCCCTGCTGAAATCTTACCTATCTTTTGTTGTTATTTATTCCTACATACTGATATTGCAAAACCATTTTAAGTAGCATTTGCTTTTAATTATATTTTGAAGTTAACTGGGTACTGGCCTACAGAAATGCAACTGATGTATTAATCTTACATCCAGCCATTTTCTACAGTTTGTTATTTCAAATAATGTCTAATCTGCAGTCACATGATTTATAGATGGTAGGTTTATTTTCTCCTTTCCGGTCTTTGTGCCTTCCATTTTTTTTTCTTTTTAAACTTTTGCAAAACCTGGCTAAAGCCTCAAATACAATATTAAACAGTTAAGAAAAATTCCAAGATGAATATTTCAAAGGTTATGACAAGTAAGTTCCTTCCCACCTTACCTGGAAAGATCCATCTTAAGGTGTAACAGCCAGACATATTTCTTTTAATTCTTTAGCAATCAAGAGACAACACTCACTAGACGATGCTGAATTTCTGATTACAAGCAGGCATTTTGAGATCTTTATGGCAAATGTATTCCTACTGTATTATTTATGAAATTTTACTAAATTATATCATATTTCATTTATACAGAGTAAGCTAAGGAAAGATACTTTAATACGCTTTAAGAAATATTGTGGTACAGTTAGAACAACCTAGTTTTAAGTCTGGAATCAGTCAGCTGTTTACCAGCCATTGGTCCTGAAGGTTAAGTTACTTAACCTGTCAACTTCAGTATTCCTCATATGTAAAATGGAAATGAAAATAATATGTCACAGGATGTTTGTGAGAAATAAAGTAAGACATGTAAAGTATTTAATTAGTATACTGTCTGGCACACAGTAGTCTCACAAATAGGCCTAATAATTACCATCCTCTCCTGCTTAAGAACCCATACTTCATTAAGTTTCAGGAGATAAAAATATTCTGGTGCACAGTAAAGTAAATCACCATGAATTCTAAAATTATATACTTTTTTTGTGAACTAGAATACTGTCATATGTAGAATTAACAGAAATAAACTAGATGATCAGTAGTACCTTGGGACTGTCCTTTTTTTTTTTTTTTTTTTGAGACAGGGTCTCACTCTGTCACCCCGGCTGGAGTGCAGTGGGGCGATTATAGCCAGCTCACTGCAGTCTTAACCTTCAAGGCTCAAGTGATCCTCCTGCCTCAGCCTCCTGAGTAGCTGGGACTACAAATATGCACCACCACTCCCAGCTAATTTATTTTTTGTAGAGACAGGTTCCCACTATTTCGCTCAGGCTAGTCTCAAACTTCTGGGCTCAAGCAATCCTCCTGCCTCAGCCTCCCAAACTGCTGGGATTACAGGTATGAGCCACCAGGCCCAGCCTGGAACTCTTCTTAATAATGCATAAAACATGTACTACCACGTAAGAATTATAACAGCCTTTAAAAGAAAGGAAGGATCAACTTGCTTTTTACCTGGCATATCTGCTTGATCAATTTGAGCCATTGTTATTAAATGTCTGTTGATCAGCTCCTATGAAACAAAATAAGTATATTTTTATTTAAACACAGATTCTGAAACCTGGAATTCCTATTATAATTAAATAACCTAAGTATTAATATTTTTGGCATATGCACTTTTTAAATATTAAAATCATTTAAATATTAAAACATTTCTAAACATGGTAAAATGTCTGAACTCCAGGCCCAGACAGACTTAGACATGCCATAATTAAGATTGGGTTTAAGTAGATGTGCCCCTTAAACACGGGTAGCTGGGCTACCCAAAACACGTGACTAACGCTGTGGCTGAAAATTCAAGGTCTACTAGTAAACTGGTAATAATTAATTTAAAAAACACTATACTGGTAGAACTCACTTCTATGAAACAAAAATATTTCTGAGAATCTGAGTGTAAAGTGAAATTCTACATACCAAATAACTAGCTGTTTACCAAAAATTAAACAAAACAAAAAAACTTTTAAAAAACATTCTTTTAAAAAAATATTGAGCTCTCTTAAAGTTATTTCCTGAGCCAAACTACTTATTTTTAACCTACATCTATTAGAAAAATACTGTTAGAAACCATTTAAATTATTTATATACTTCAAAGAGCCTTTTCATAGAAATAAAATGAAGTACAGAACAGTGAACCATTTAAATAGCTATTCTATGTTTTATATCCTGCCACATAATTTATTTGAAATTTTTTTAAAAGACAGGTTTCCTTAAAAAAAATACCAATTAAAACTTCTAAATTCGATGTGCTTTACTAGAGCATATTTGATTAAATAATATGATTTGAAAAGAGCTCTGTTCTTTCCCCTGTTCACTAAAGCACAGGAGACATTAAGTATTCCTACTATGAATTCTGAAAGCATACCTGTCGGAGTTCATCAGCCATGAAGAAGGAAGGTGCGTTTGCTTTCGGTTGCATATAAGCAACGTGAGGTGCAGTTGGAGGATAAATATGATAGTTTGGAAACACCTAAAAAGGTAGGAAGGGGGTAAATGTAATCACTCATTTTTCTTTCTTTTTTTCAGATGGAGTCTTGCTCTGTTGCCCAGGCTGGAGTTCAGTGGCGCAATCTCGGCTCACTACAAGCTCTGCCTCCCGGGTTCAAGTGATTCTCCTGCCTCAGCCTCACGTAGCTGGGATTACAGGTACCCACCATCATGCCCAGCTAATTTTTGTATTTTTGTAGAGACAGGGTTTCACCATGTTGGCCAGGCTGGTCTTGAACTCCTGACCTCAGGTGATCCACCTGCCTCGGCCTCCCAAAGTGCTGGGATTACAGGTGTGAGCCACCACACCCAGCCTGACTAATTTTTCATAATCAATAAGCTTTATTATTGTTTTGATAAAATTTTAATCTTTACATGATAGCAATAAATTTTAATACATTTTAAATCTTTAAATAATATTGAAGTAAAAACCTCAGAGAATAGCTGTTAGAGAATACTTTCTGAAAGAATTCATATTAAAAATAATATTTCGGCCAGGCGCAGTGGCTCACAACTGTAATCCCAGCACTCTGGGAGGCTGAGGTGGGCAGATCACCTGAGGTTGGGAGTTCGAGACCAGCCTGACCAAAATGGAGAAACCTGGTCTCTACTGAAAATACAAAATTAGTGGGGCATGGTGGCGCAAGCCTGTAATCCCAGCTACTCAGGAGGCTGAGGCAGGAGAATCACTTGAACCAGGGAGGCAGAGGTTGTGGTGAGTGGAGATTGTGCCATTGTACTCCAGCCTAGGCAACAAGAATGAAACCCCGTCTCAATAAATAAATAAATAAATAAAATAAAAAATTAAAAAAATAAAAATAAACATAATATTTCAGTAATCAATTAAAAATCTAATGAGCCAGCCTGGCCAACATGGTAAAACTCCATCTCTACTAAAAATACAAAAATTATCCTGGCTAACATGGTGAAACCTGTCTCTACTAAAAATACAAAAAATTAGCCGGGTGTGGTGGCATGCACCTGTACTCCCAGTTACTCGGGAGGTTGAGGCAGGAGAATCATTTGAACCCGGAGGTGGAGGTTGCAGTGCACCAAGATTGAACTAACGCATTCCAGCTGGGGTGACAGAGCCGAGACTCCATCTCAAAAAAAAAAACAACAAAAAAAACACAAATTAGCCAGGCTTGGTGGCAGGCACCTATAATCCCAGCTACTCAGGAGACTGAGGCAGGAGAATCGCTTGAAACTGGGAAGTGGAGGCTGCAGTGAGCCGAGATCGTGCCACTGCACTCCAGCCTGGGGGACAGGGGAAGACTCTGTCTCAAAAAAAAAAAAAATCTAATGAGAAAGAAAACATTTCTTCAGATACAGTAAAATTTAAGCTCCATTGAGAAGATAAAAGTAGCTCTTTGGAAGAAATGTCACATAGTCAGCCTTCTGTATCCCTGGGTTCTGTATTCAAGGATTCGACCAACCATGGGTAGGAAATATTCAGGGGAAAAAAATGACAATACAACAAATGAGAAGTAATACAAATTAAAAATACATTATAACAACTATTCACAAAGCACTTATACTGCATTAGGTATTATAAGTAATCTAGAGATAATTTAAAGTATACAGGAGGATGTGTATAAGATCTATGCAAATACTATGTCATTCTATATCAGGGACTTGAGCACCCAGGAATTTTGCTATCTGTGGGCGTCCGGGAATCAATCCCCCTTGGATACTAAATGGCAACTATACAAGCAGTTCATCGCCACTTTTTGAAAGCAACTGGAAGGAAGGAAGGAGAAACTAAAGGTGTTTGGGTACTGGGAGATAAGGAAGTGATATTGCCCTGGCTGCCCAAAGAATTTCCCCTTTCACAGGCATTTTGTGGCCAAACTAAACAAAGTGTTATTCAAACCTACTCTAGGTCAGCAGTTTAAGTGAACAGAAGGATACAATAATACATTTACCTTCCAAGCAAACTACAATAAAGTTACTAAATCAGCTTCCAGCTTCTTGTCTTTCATTCTTTCAACTGGACTCATCCCACCACCCTTTGTTCTCTTTATCACTCTTTTCTCTGCCTCTCCTTCACTGGTCCATGATACAAAATCAAAGTTCAGTTTTAAATATCTTTTCTATTTTTTCATTCTTTCATTTTAAACAATGAAACCTTTTTTCTCTTTTAAAAACGAATTCAGCTGATTTGCGCTGCCCTAACATGACTGCTCTGCTCTGCATCTCAACTAGGAAGCAGTTTTGTGATACTTGTAAGGTTTCCTTTAGCCTGTGTCTGCAGGGAGAATAATATCTCTTTTTTCTTGTGTTGGTTTCCTTACATAAGATAGCATAGTTTAGGCTGGGCATGGTGGCTCACGCCTGTAATCCCGGCACTTCAGAGGCCAAGGTGGGCGGATCATTTGAGGTCAAGAATTTGAGATCAGCCTGGCCAACTGATCAACTGGGTGAAACCTCATCTCTATTAAAGATACAAAAGTTAGCCAGGCATGGTGGTGTGCGTCTGTAGTCCCAGCTACTAGAGGCTGAGGTGAGAGGAATGCTTGAACCCAGGAGGCGGAGGCTGCAGTGAACAAAGACTGAACCACTGCCCTCCAGCCTGGGTGAAATAGCGAACATCCATCTCAAAAAATATATATATTTATATAATTTTATATATTAATTATATATTATATATAATTTATATATAATATATAATTAATTATATATTATATATAATTTATATATAATATATATTAATTATATATAATATATATAATATATATTTATATAATTTAATAACTTTACATATATATAAAATATATATGTATTTTACAATATATTTATAGTTTACAATAGGGTTCATGTTCCTATGGAATCTAATGCCTCTGCTGATCTGACAGGAGGAGGAGCTCAGATGGTAATGAGAGCAATGGGGAGTGGGTGTAAATACGGATGAAACTTCACTTACTCGCCCACTGCTCACCTCCTGCTGTGCGGCCTGGTTCCTAACACTGGTCTCTGGTCCAAGGATTGAGGACCCCTGTTTTAGTGGACTCTGACTTTCTCACTCACTTCATCTACTACTTATTTTTCTAGGGTAAATAAAATAATTTTTGAATATGGATGAAGTAATGAAGCTAAAAAAGGTACAATTTACGTAACATGGAATCCTTCCCTCTCCTTCCCCATTCATTCTCGCCCCCTGACTCCTGTTCCTTCTCCCTCTCCTGGAACATTACTAATTGACTCTGATAAGAAATCTTTCTTTCTGGCCATGTTCTTCCTCTTTTGGTCTTAATATTCATGTTTCCTCTGGGGCCACCTCTTCCCATTTGTTTCACGATTCTTCCCTCACTTCATCGCCAGTCCTTTGGTAGCTCTTTCGTCATCTACAATCATGGCTCTCTTGGGTCTGACTACTCTATCTCCTGAGCATAAGAGCCATACTGCAGGCCCCTTATCATTATGTGTCACTCCACCATCCACAGATCTAGCTGTTAAATAACTACCTCATCTGAAATAAGGGTTTATCATTGATTTGCTTCCAGTAACTACTGAGGACATACCATCTACTTTTTCTAGCTTCTTACTGAGGTTAAACTATCTATACCTATAAACAAATGTCAGCAGGCATCAATTCCAGCTAGTACAAGGTAAACCCATAAGCAAAACATGCCATAAAGACTAAAATAAGAGCATGGATATAATCTAATTTCTGATTAAACCAGTTTAGTCCAAAACTAGAATTATTAGTAAGGCAGAACTAGATTAATTTGAAGAGTTGAGAAGAAGAGACTAGACTTCTCATCTAAGTTAGAAAATGAAATACTTTTTTGCATCACAATAAAAAGCTGCAGGAGGGGGTAGACCGCCTCACAACTAAGAAGGTCCTGTTACAAGAGAGTACTAAAATTTCCTCTTTAATGTAGACATACCATTCCAGTCAAAGGTGCTGGAGTTGTGTCTGTATAGAAGTAAGTCGTCCCACCAACAGTTTCCTTTTGGATCACCTGACCAGAAGACGGAGTCTGAGAAACAGGATTATTAACAGATGTAGAGGCACTAGAAGGCACCATGTAACTTGCTGGATTTGGAGTGTGACTTCTTCTTCTGGGAGCAGGAGAAGTATGTGGAGTAATCTTGGGGGAATGAAGAGGGGAAGACCCAGCAGACAACGACATTCCTGAAGAAGATGTAAAAATGTTTCTTAATGGAGCAATAATTGGTTTTAGAGAACAAGTCTGGAAAATAAAATGCAAACATTCATTTGGAAGAAACATCATCTTTGGGATCGTAAGTGCAAAGATGAAGGAAATAATTTTATCTTGTTTTGTTGTAGAAAAAGCTCTGATTAAAGCAAATGTAAAGTTTCTTTTTTCAAATGTACTTATTTCCAAATATGTTAGCAGATTTACTGCAAGAATAGTCTCCTCCATATCAAGGTTTACATCAGGAAATTTAATAGCAAGAGTGACCAAAAATTTAATAAATTAATGGAAGAGTGGGAAGTAACAGAATTGTGGCTCTTTATAAAATTATGCCTTTTATAAAAGTTTTTCTTTTATAAAAGGCATAATTCCTTTTTTATTAAGAATCATTAACAATACAAATAGCACATTCCCCAAATATATTACAGTATTAAAAATTCAAATTATCTAATGAAGAGCTACTAGATTTCATTCAGCCAAATATAATTAACAAAATTGTTTGAAAAAGCAAAAAAAAAAAAGTTGAAATACATAGCAGCTTAAGTGCCATATTTTTAGTATCAAGCAGTCTGTTGTTTTGATGCCTTTTTGTCATTAACTCTAAACAGGCATACTCTGAAAATTTCTACAGATGCATACTATTTAGAATTAGGCCAATTGATACCATTATGTTCTAGTGGAACAACCACTATGTTCCAGTGGAACAACCACAACCAGTAAGAAACATTATGTGCAAAGCGCCCTCTATTATGAGTTTATTGTGAAGAAAGGGAAAGGACAATTGTCTTTACCCTTCAGGAGATTCCAAGCTAGCTGAGAAAAAAAGACCAGGTCACATGTAAAAGACATAAAATAACTTAAAAAAACCCAAATATAAACTAATACACTACAAACTACATGCATAAATGCTGATGAAATGCAAATTAATTAAAACCAGGTAGCGTTAATCAAAGGCTTAATGGAGGTGATCAGTTCTGAGCAGACTGAAAAGGGTATTTAGAGCAACAGTTACCCTTCCTGAAAAAAATAAGCTTATCCAGGAACTGTTTTCTGGCTATTTGGTGAATGCCTAAAAACCTTCACCACTGAAATAATATGCCACCTCACAATATAAGAAAAGGGCTACCAAAAATGCCCTAGTCACAAAATTATGATTAACAGGGATATGAGTTTCAATTTCTAATAATTCATAAGATACCAACATGTTTTCTGAAAACATGTAGGTGAACAAAAATAAGCAGAGAACTGAGGTAATACTTTTCTTTTCTTTGGATAGCCCTCTGTACTTTCTGAAGAGCCTCAACATAATTATTTCTGGTTTTCTGAGCAACTAAAGTAGGTAGGTGAGGTAAATCAGGCTATAAACACCACAGGACATACATGCAAAGTCAACAGCAAAGCCAAGACTCAAACTCAACTCTCCAAATTCCCAATCTAGTACTCCTACTTACTATAACACAATGTCTACTGCATTGAGATTAAAATAGGATAGGAATTCTCGAGTTATGTCTTAAATGTGTATAAAAGAAACTTTAAAAAAACCCAAACTCCTTAAAAAAAATATGAAGCCAAATTACTATATTTATATAAACCTTTTATTTTATTTTTTAAAAACTATTCCAGAGCTGTTTTTAATCTAACTCTATATTGTACAGTTAATTAAAGGTTAATCCATACAGCAAAAATTATATTAGACTATTATCAATGGATAAAAACTCCCTACTTGTCTAAAATGAAATGCATTTAGACAGATTTTCCTAAAGCTAGTCTCTAAGACTTTCCAAAATAAACTGGCCAAGTAACCAAAGATGAGTAAATTTGTTTACTATTATGACATTAAGTAATACAACAGAACTACAATTCTTGAGCCCTTTCAATGTTTCAGGCACTAATCTAAGTGCTCCACATCCATCAATCTACTTAATCCTCACAACCACCCTGTGAGGTAGGTATAGCATATTTATTTCAGAGGAGAAACTAACTTAAAAGATCAAAATAATTACTGTAAGGACAAATATAGGTAATTCAGCAACATAATCAAGACTCAAACTCAGGTTGATTTAATTCCAAAGTCAGTGCTCTCAGCCAACATGCTATATAGTTGACCAATTCCTAAGTCTTACACACATACGAAAACAGGAAATCAATTACATGTTTTACTAGCTTTAGTGTGACTACTAAAGCTACGTGGGGATGGGGCTATGTGTAGCATTGGCTGAAGGGAAAGATTCTGACATCAAAGTAGGTATGTAAGTGAGACAAAAAGTAGAATCTCTCTTCAAGGCTGAGTACGTGGAAAGAGATTACCATAAAAACAATCTAAGGTGAGTTAAGATAGAAATTCACCTATAGTAGAATTTACTATAGGGTATCAAGAGTTCTCTTAAGAATTCTAAATTTTGTGAGGTTATTTTAATATAAAGTTGCAGAAATAAAATTTGAGTTCATCTGAGCTGAGGCTGACTGGAGTTACTTAAATACATTCAAATGTAAGCTGAGTGCAGTGGTGTGAGCCTGTAGTCCCAGCTACCTGGGGGACTGAGGCAGGAGGATCGCTTGAGCCCAGGGGTTTGAGGCTGCATGAGCCACAAAGCGCCCATGAACAGCCACTGTGCTCCAGTCTGGGTAACATAGCGAGACCCTGTCTCTCTAAGGAAAAAAAAAAAAAGGAAAGCAAAGAAAGAACATTCAAAATAAAACATGTACAACAGTAAGCATCACCACCCCCGCCAATAAGGATAATAGGATACTTAAATTGCATAGGAAATTAAAAACTAAATTACTGAAATACCTAATCTAATCACAAAAGACACAGCTTTGTGTCATCTGTATATTTTATAAGTGTGTTAAAGAACTGAGTAAAATATCTACACATCCACTTGGAGAGAGGTATTCTGTATTTAGTATTATGAAGACAATACTAACAAGATGCCCATTCTTAAGTGCCTACATACAGTACTAAATTATAAACAGCAAGAAAGAATAGAACCACACTACAGGAACAAGTAGTTTAAAATAGGATGCTGAATTAAAATGAGCAGATTCTGCTCAAATTAAGAAAATCTGATTGAAAGTTAAGAATTCTTAATTTAAAATGACATCTTCCATTGCATATTATTTAATGTTTAACCACAGGAATCTTACGCTAAAAGGGTTTCAGGAAACCATTTGATATAATAAAACTAAAGGTCTTCTTTTAATAATGAGGTACATCAGATACACTGTAATAGAAGTTTCTTCTTCTTCATTAGAAATTTCATGTTTCACACATAAATATTCTTGTATAATTTCAATCTTTCCATATACAGCAGGGAAAGGGCTACCAATGGTTACTGGAACACCCTGATATTAACTGACACTCAATCAACAGAGCACTACAGCAAATATAGTAATACATAGAAGATCAGCATAACAACAATCTAGAAGGATGAAAATTTGTATTTTAAATATTCTAAATTAAGAATATTTCACTTTCGTATTTCATTTTTTGTATTTTTTTTTGTCATTTACTCTTGAAATGACATTCTGATGACATCAGTATACAATAATTACACTGTAACTTCTAAAGTGAACATGCAAACTGAGATATTTAAAAGTAATATATGATAAATTAACTGCTTTAGGGCATTTGAAAAATGATTCTCAAAAGTACCCAATTCAAATAAAAGTAAGGAACAACACAGGAATGTCTACTGGAGAAATTAACTGGAACTAACAAAAGAAAGAAATGAGATTTTAAAAACTTCAAGGCTAATCTATAAAGGCAAAGCATCACTGTTTTTTTGGATAACACAATTCTATTTCTGGAAAACCTAAGAGAAACAACATAAAAAACTCCTGGAAAATAATTACAGAATTCATTAATGATTAGAAAATTAATATATACCAAATCAGCACCCTTCCTAAATACAACCAACCAGTTAGGACAATATTATTTCTGGAAAATGAGAGACTAAACTAACATGGACACCCTCCCTCAACCCCTACCAATGTTATGAACACACAGAACTGTGAGATAAAACACAACATCCCAACATTTAAAATATACCTGATCTTAAAAAAAAAAAAAAAAAAAAAAGGGCCCGTCGCAGTGGCTCACACATATAATCCCAGCACTTTGGGAGGCTGAGGCAGGCAGGCCACCTGAGGTCAGGAGTTCAAAACCAGCCTGGCCAACACAGCAAAACCCCATCTCTACTAAAAATACAAAATTTAGCTGGGTGTGGTGGTGCGCACCTGTAATCCCAGCTGCTCAGGAGGCTGAGGCAGGAGAATCATTTGACCCTGGGAGGTGGAGGTTGCCGTGAGCCGAGATCACACCATTGTACTCCAGCCTGGGCAACAGAATAAAACTCTGTCTCAAAACCAAACAAACAAACAAACAAACAAACCAACCCCAAGAGCAAGAAACTAAAGCAGAATCTGAAGCCAGGAGGTTATGTCGTGGAGTTTGGGGAATTATAAGCTAGGTCAGATACAGTCTCTACAAGTTGAGTTTCTAAGGCCCACAAGGGTACACGAAATGTGGCCATGAGCCCACAGAATACAGAAAATGAAACTAAAACCGCTGTGTAAAACCAGGACTCTGGAAAAGCAGTAAATACAGGACATTTCTATCAGCTCATAGAACAAAAAGGGAAGCCTGTCTGTCGAAGAGCAATGGAGAAAAAGGAGGAAGGTTGGAGGACTGGGGTGACGTCTTAAGAGAAATGGAAACCACATGCCTGTTCCATGCATAAGTATAAGAGAGAAAATCCTCATGAGATTCCATGTTACAGGAATCCCGACAAGAAATCAACACAATACTCGACCTGCTTTGGAAAAACTCTTCAGACACCTTGCTGAAGCAAACACCAAACTATTTTGATGAACACTTCCACAAAAATGACAACATACAAGAACCTTCCACAGAAAATAATCGCACTTAAAAGAACTCATAAGAACGAGCATGTACAACATACTTGAGAATTAGCAACACAAGAACAAAGAGTCCAGGTAACAGAACCATATAAAACAGATTATAAAATATAATTACTACGGAGGTGATTAAGAATATGAAAGAAGTGACAAACATCACAAAAGAATAAGGTGTCTGTAATTCTAAAACAGAGTGCACTGGCTCTTTAAGAGTGAAAACATAAGCATTAAAATTAAAGGGAAAAAACATCAAAAGATGCATTAAATAGCAAAGTAGATAAATCAAAGAGTGAAACAATAAATTAGATAAATCAAAGAGGGAAACAATAAATAAATAAATAAAGATCTGAGGAAATTAACCAGAAATAAAACCTGGAAAATTTAAAAGAGCAGTTAAGAGATACAAAATAATGAAAATGTAAATATCCAGGAAAAGAAGAAAAGAATACTGGAGAAGCAACATTCGAAAAAAAAGAATTGTGATTTTCAAGAACTCAGCACACAACTCCTCACTCAAGAAGTTCTAAGTTAAGAGTTCTCAGCAGAGGCTGAATGTGGTAGCTCAGACCTGTAATCCCAGCATTTTGGGAGGCTGACGCAGGCGGACTGCTTGAGGCCAGGCGTTAGAGGCCAGTCTGGGCAACATGGTGAAACCCCGTCTCTACAAAAAATATAAAAAATTAGGCCGGGTGCGGTGGCTCATGTTTGTAATTCCAGCACTTTGGGAGGCCGAGGCGGGTGGGTCACCTGAGGTCAGGAGTCTGAGACCAGCCTGGCCAACATGCTGAAACCCCGTGTCTACTAAAAATACAAAAATTAGTCAGGCATGGTGGCAACATGCCTGTAATTTCAGCTACTTGGGAGGCTGAGGCAGAAGAATCACTTGAACCAGGGAGGCAGAGGTTGCAGTGAGCAGAGGTTGCACCACTGTTCCAGCCTGGGTGATAAGAGTGAAACTCCGTCTCAAAAAAAAATTAAATTAAATTAAAATAAACCAGACATGGTATGCACCTGTAGTCCCAGCTACTCAAGAGGCTGAGGTGGAAGGATTGCTGGAGCCCAGGGAGGAAAATGGTAAAGCGAGCTATGATCGTGCCACTGCACTCAGGCCTGGGTGACAGAGAGATGCTGTTTAAAAAAAAAAAAAAGAGTTCTGAGCAAAATAAGTCCTTTCTACCAATTATGCAAAAATGCAGCATGCGAAAGACAAAGAGAAAATCTTAAGAGCTACCAGAAAAGAGACAAATGATCTAACAAAAGAAAAATAATTATGCTAACTGTATCAGCAACACTAAACAATGAAATTTTCAAAGGAGAAAAGATAACTGTCTACTTGAAATTTATATACAATCTACAAATGAAGAAAGAGAGACATGTTTAAGGTTTGTCACTAGCATCTCCATGGTGAAAGAACTATTAAAAGATCAACTTCACTAAAAAGGAAACTCCCCTCTTAAAAGGCATGGAATGTAAGAATATGTGAGAAAATTTGAATAAGCACTGACAGTAAAAGAATAAAAGTCAAAGTGTAACTAAAATTCTAGATAACTAAAACACTGAAGGGGGACAGGAAGGCTCAAAGTCATTAAAAATTCTTATTGGCCGGGCGCGGTGGCTCACGCCTGTAATCCCTACACTTTGGGAGGCTGAGACGGGTAGATCCCTTGAGGTCAGGAGTTCGAGACCAGCCTGGTCAACATGGTGAAACCCCGTCTCTACTAAAAATACAAAAAATTAGCCAGGTGTGGTGGCAGGCACCTGTAGTCCCAGCTACTCGGGAGGCTGAGGCAGAAGAATCACTTGAACCCAGGAGGTGGAGGCTGTGGTGAGCCGAGGTCACGCCACTGTACTCCAGCCTGGGCAACAGAGTGAGACTCCACCTCAAAAAAAAAAATAATAAAAATCTTGCGTTAATATTTTTACTGCCCATCTCTTCAACAATTCCATACTTAGTTAAAGCATGAATGGTAAAAATCTAGTGGTGACCACGTGAAACAGAAACATAATATATAACATCCAACACCTACTTCATACCATATACAAAAATTACTTCAAAATGAATCAAAAACCTAAATGCACAAAATACAACAAAGAAAACATAGGTATAAACCATTGTGACTTTTAGTCGAGCAATGGCTTCTTATGCTAAGACAAGTATTGCCAGTGGAGCAGATGCAAGAAATAAATAACAAACAAACAAATAAATAAATAAAAGATAGGACAAGTAAAGCACAAGCAACCAAAAACATTTTTTTAATCAGGCTTCATCAAAATTTAAAACTTTTTGTAACTCATAGGAAACTATCAAGAAAGTGAATAGGCAACTCACAAAATAGGAGAAAATATTTGCAAATCATATATTTAATAAAGGTCTAACATGCAATGGTCAGTTCAACAGATGTTGAAAAAAATATTTGCCAATATTTAACATCCCTTTATGATAAAAACAACAAACTGGGTAAAAAAGAAACTTACACCAAAACAATAAAAGCTATATATGACAAACCCACAGCTAACACCATATCGAATGAGAAAAGTTAAAAGCCTTTCCTCTGGCCCAGCACTTTGAGAGGCCAAGACAGGAAGATGGTTTGAGCTCAGGAATTTTAAACCAGCCTAAACAACATGGTGAAACCCCATCTCTACTAAAAATTCAAAAAATTAGGGTATGGTGGTATGCGCCTGTAGTCCCAGCTACTCAGGAGGCTGAGGTGGGAGGACTGCTTGAGCCCAGGAGGCGGAGGTTGCAGTGAGCCAACATTGCACCACTGAACTCCGGTCTGAGTGACAGAGCGAGTCCCTGTCTTAAATTTAAAAAGAAAAAAAAAAGAGCCTTTCCTCTAAGATCTGGAACAAGACAAAGATGCCCATTTTCATCACTTTTATTCAATATAGTACTGGAAGTCCTAGCCCCAGCAATTAGGCAAGAGGAAAAAACAAAGGCAAACAGTTTGGAAAGGAAAAATCTAAATCTAATCATCCTTGTTTGTAGGCAACGTGATATTATATTTAGAAACACCAAAAGACTCCACCCAAAAACTGTCAGAAGTGATAAACAAACTTAGTAAAAGTTTCAGGATATGAAACCAACTTAAAAAAACCAGTAACATTTATATATGCCAACAGTGAACAACCTGAAGAAGAAATCAAGAAAGCAATCCCATTTGCAATAGCTACAAAAAATATAGAATATCTAGGAATAAATTTAACCAAAGAAGTGAAAGATCTCTACAAGCAAAACTATAAAACACTGATGAAAGAAACTGAAGAGGACACAAAAAGAGTGAAACATATCCCATGCTCATGAATTGGAAGAATTAATATTGTTAAAATGTTAATACTACCCAAAGCAATCTACAGATTCAACACAGTCTATCAAAATATCAAGGACATTCTTTACATAAACAGAAAAAACAATACAAAATTCATATGAAACTAAAAAAACCTGAATAGCCAAAGCATTCTGACCAAAAATAACAAAGCACGAGACATCTACTACTTGCTTCAAAATATATTACAAAGTCACAGTAACCGAAACAGTATGGTACCTGCATAAAAACAGACACACAGACCAATGGAACAGAACACAGAACTTGAAATAAATACACATATTTATAGGCAACTAATTTTCCATAACGGTGCCAAGAACACCTATTGGGGAAAAGATGGCCTCTTCAATAAATGGTGTTTGGGAAACTGGATAACTACATGCAGAGAATGAAGCTATATTCCTTTCTCTTACCATATGCAAAGATCAAATCAAAGTGGATTAAAGACTTAAATTTAAGACTTGAAACTATTAGGAAAAAAACATTGGGAAAGCCCTCAGGACATCAGTCTGGGCAAAGATATTTTGCGTAAGATCTCAAAAGCATAGGCAACAAAAGCAAAAATAGACAAATGGGACTATATTAGACTAAAAAGTATCTGCACCGCAAAAGAAACAATCAACAAAGTGAAGACAATCTGCAGAAAGAGAGAATATATATGCACACTATCCCTTCATCGGGAAATTGATGATTAGTATAAAGAACTCAAACACCTCAATAGAAAAAATAAAAATAAAAATAAAAAAATAAATCCAAATAGTCTGATTTTAAAATAGGCAAAAGATCAGGACCGACATTTCCCAAAAGAAGACATACAAATGACCAAGTTATATGAAAAAAGTCCAGCATTATTAATCACCAGGGAAATGCAAATCAAAACCACAATGAGATCATATTACCCCAGTTAAAGTGGCTTTTATCAAAAAGACAAAAATAATGAATACTGGTGAGGATATGGAAAAAGGAGAACATTGGTATGCTGTTGATGGGAATGAAAACGAGTACAGCCACTATGGAAAACAGTATGGAGGTTCCTCAAAAAAACTAAAAACAGAACTGCCATATGATCCAGCAATCCCACTGCTGGGTTTATACAAAGAAAAGAAATCAGTATGTAGAAGAGACATCTACATTCCCACGTTTATTGCAGGACTATTCACAATAGCCGAGATACAGAGTCAACTGAAGTGTCCATTAATGGATGAATGAAGAAAATGTGGTACATACATACAATAGAATATTCTTCAGTCATAAAAAAAATGACATCCTGTCATTTTCAGCAATACAAGATGGTACTGAAGGTCATTATGTTAAGTGAAATAAGGCCAGGAACAGAAAAATAAACACTGCATGTTCTCACTCATATGCAGAAGCTTAGAAAGTAGATCTCATAGAGATAGAAAGAAGACTGGTGGTTACCAGAAGTTGAGAAGTGTTGGTGGGTGGGGGACTGAAGAGGTTGGTTAACGGGTACAAAAATACAGTTAGAAGGAATAAGACTTAGGGTTCAATAGTATAGGAGGTGACTACAGTTAACAATTTATTGTGTAATTCAAAATAGCTAGAAGAGAAGAAGTGAAATATTCCCAACACAAATGTTTGAGGGAATGGCTATCCCAATTTCTCTAATTTGATCATTACACATTGTATGCATGTATCAAAACAACACACATACCAGCAAATTATGTACAGTTATTATGTATCAATTTAAAAAAAACAGGTCTAGTATGAATAAGAATATAAAAACCACACAATGATTTAAAAAAATCAAACAAGTAAATTTAAAACTGGGCAAAGGATTTGAATGGACATTTTTTTCCAAAGAACACATACAAATGGCCAATAAGCACATGGAAAACTCCTCAAAATCTTTAGTCATTAGGGACACAGAAATCAAAACCACAATAATATACTGTTTCATACACACTAGGATGGCTATAATCAATTGCTATGACCCTAACAGTGGAATTGTGATTCCACTACTAGGCATATTACCGAAGAGCACTAAAAACATAGGTTCGCACAAAAACATGTACATGAATGCTCATAGTAGCATTATGCATAATTACCAAAAAGTGGAAATAATCCAAATGTCTATCAACTGATAAGCAGGTAAACAAAATATGATATATCCACATAATGGAATATTATTCACCCATAAAAGGAAGGAAATACTGACATACACTACAACACGGATGAACCTTGAAAACATTAGCTGAAAGAGGCTAGACATAAAAAAGCCACATATTATATGATTCTATTTATATGAAATGTGCAGCACAGGCAAATCTATAAAAAGTCAGAAAATAGATTAGTGGTTTTCAGGGAATGGAGAGAGAGAAAAACGGGAAGTGTTGGTTAACAGATACAGTTTCCTTTTGGGGTGATGAAAATGCTGTGGAATTTGAATGGTAATGGTTCCATGATCTTTTGATATATTAAAACCTACTGAATTACATACTTTAAAAGGATTGATTTTATGGTATGTGAATTATATCTCAATGAAAAAATTAATATTCAAATCACTGCTTGGGGGTAGGGAAGAGGAATCAAAAGGGATCAAGAAGACTATCAATCAAATGTGGGAGGGGTGTTGGGGGGACAATGAAATACAATGTAAAAAAAAAAAGGAACCCACTTACATTTACTAGCAGCAACAAAAAAGATAAAATCTGTAGATATAAACAACTAGAACTGTATAAGACCTGTATGAAGAAAACATAAAAACCTACTGACAGAAATAACAGATTACTTAAACAAAGGGGAATAAACACTCATTTGTTATAAAGATGTCAATTCTACCCTAAAATAATCTAAAATTATGATGCTAGCTCAATAAAAATACCAACAAAATTTAAAAATATTAGCCAAGCTGGCTGGCCACATTGGCTCATGCCTATAATCCCGGCGCTTTGGGAGGCCGAGGTGGGTGGATCATGAGGTCAGGAGTTCAAGACTAGTCTGAGCAACATGGTGAAACCCTGTCTCTACTAAAAATACAAAAATAAGCCGGGCGTGGTGACGCATGCCTGTAATCCCAGCTACTCAGGAGGCTGAGGCAGGAGAATTGCTAGAACCCGGGAGGCGGAGGTTGCAGTGAGCCAAGATCGCGCCACTGCACTCCAGCCTGGGCGACACAGCAAGACTCCATCTCAAAAATAAAATAAAATAAAATAAAACAAAATAAAAATATTAACCAAGCTAATTATATCTATGTGGGGGAAAAAAAGCATCAAGAATAGCCAGAAAAAAACTACTACTGAAGAAAAGAAAAACAATTAAGGATGAAATTGCAGAAAATTTAAAAGAAAAAAACAAAAACAAGATAAAAGTGGGCCATAACACCATTAGACACTGAAAAATGATCAAACCTACAGTAATGAAGATAGATGTTTGATAGAGGCTCATATGAATAGTGCAAAAGAATAGGACACCAAAACCGATCTCAAATATGTATATATAAAGTCAGTAAAACATAAAGGTTATACTTTATGTTATATTCAGACTTCAAGGGAGGAGATGACCTGCTCAATAATCAGATGTGACAACTTGCTAGCCATTACTAAACAATAAAGTGAATAAACAAACAGATGGTTATATAGATAAAATAAAAAAAGTGAATCTCCCTTTCATTCATTACACCCACATAAATTTCACATGAATATTCAGACTAAATATTTAAGAGTTTAAAATAAAATAACTCTCAGACTACTTTTTAAAATATGCTGTTATGAAGAAACAAAATCCGAAGGTCAAAAAATAAAATGTTCATCAATTTAACTTCTTCAAGAGACAAAAATTGCTACAGAACAAAAAAAGATACCTGCAACACTTAATAAAGGGCTAGTCTGCTTAACCTACAGTTCTTAAAATCATAAAGAAAACAGAAAGCAAGCAGTGGAAAATGAACAAATTATACAACTAGCCAGTTTGCAGAAAAGAAAAATGCCTCGAACATAAAAAGATGCTCACATCTGGTGCTAATTAAAAAGATGCATCTTTTCTGAAAGAGTTTATGTTTTAAAAAAAGAACTAGGCCAGGTGCGGTGGCTCCTGCCTGCAATCCCAGCACTTTGGGAGGCCGAGGAAGGTGGATCACGAGGTCAGGAGTTCGAGACCAGCCTGACCAACATGGTGAAATACCGCTCTACTAAAAATACAAAAGTTAGTTGGGCGTGGTGGCGCACACCTGTAATCCCAGCTACTCAGGAGGCTGAGGCAGGAGAATCACTGTAATCTGGGAGGCGGGCTTCACAGGGAGCCGAGATCATGCCACTACACTCCAGCCTGGATGACAGAGCAACACTCCCTCTCACAACAGAAACAAAAACAAAAACAAAACCTAAAGAGATAGAAATTAAAAGTGGCTCACTGTTAGCCTCTTCTCAGATTGGCATAGATTAAAAAAAAAAGTTTAATCAGACCATTATTAAAAGGCTGTGTGGAATATAAACACTGCCGTAGACTTCTGGTATCTTTTTAAGTCAATGTAGCAACACCTACCAATTAAAACATTTTCATTATGATAATGGCAAGTAATTCAAAGTGTAAGTAATTCAAATGAAGACAGACACAAATGAAAAATAAAAGCTGTGAATTCCATAAAAGTGAAAATTTTTGTTTTGCTTATGTTTTTGGCCCATAAAAGTCACTGAATAAATGCCTCATGAATTAGTGTCAAGGTTTTAAATCCATTCCAGTAAAATCTGGAATATTTGCTTCAACCAGAAAAGTTAAAAAGGGTATCCAAATCAAGTGCATCTGAGATTCCAGAGTGAAGATCATCCTAAATAGGGAAATATCAAAAACATTCTTTTTAAAATCAGTAACAAGACAAAAATATCAACTATGAGCACTTCTCTATAACATTGTACTAAAGGCCCTAGCCAGCACAAGATGGCAGGAAAAAAAACTGGAAGGGAAGAAATAAAGCTATCATTGTTTGCCATCATCCAAATACAAGAATCTACAAAATATTTGAAATAAGAGTTTATCAGGGTGACCAAATACAAAAGTTTACCATATATCTAAACATCAGAAATAATCCATTTAAAAGATTTTTTTAAAGACACCAATTATGATACCAGTGAGTACTACAAAGCATCCTGTATAAAGATACAAAATAAACCTAACGAAATATGTATAAGACCTAAACATGAATAATTACAAAACTTTGTGGAAAGACATTAAAGACAACCTGGGAACAACTGGAGAGGGAGAACCCATCCATGTTCACAGATTGGAAGACAATACTGTAATGAAGATTCTTTTCAAATTCTCTAAAGATTGATACAGCTTCTCTGAAGACACCATGATGCTTCATGTACCCACACATCAAAAAAGCTTCTCCTTCCTCTCATACATCAACAGCCGTACTTGCCAACACCAAATACTCTAAACCTCAACCTCACAGTAAATTCTAGTTCATCCTTCTGAAATACCTTCTTGATGAAGATTTTCTTGACACCCATATCTAAAAATTATTCCCATCACTTTGTTCTTCTTTTTGCTGCAAATACCACATGTGATTCAATTGTTCTATGGGGAAGAACTGTGCCTTAATCCTCTCTGTATTCCCATCTACACATGTAAATGGCACACTGTGTAGATGGGAAATTATTCAAAAAAATAATTTTGTTGAAAAAAAATGGATTAGAGGTGAAGATCTCCTCTTTTCTTGGTACCAACAACCAAGATGCTAAATACAGCAATAGCTATCATCATCAAATTGCCTGCACTGACAAAGGCCATCACGGAAGAAGTACTAAGTATAACAAAAATCTGGGGGCAGAGGAAAAGTAAATGATCATGCTATCAAGCAGCACATATGTCAGTCAATACTATTTAAAAGCAAACATGAAACAACCCACTAGACACTACGAGAGAAATAGAGGAATGTGAAGGAAGCTGGGATGAAGGACATTCTTCTGACAAAGTCTCATTACTCTAGTATGTGTTACTTTTTCTAGGTCAATGCAATCTGGGTAAACATGGGTTATACAAATAGTTTTAATGAAGTTCCAATAACCAAACTAAATCCTCAATAATAAATTGTCATGTCTAACTACATTGAAGATAATGATTTAGATTAGAAATTAATAAAACATATGTCATCTTGAACAGATGACTTGAGAACATGTGAAGCATTATCTTCTTAATAACAAGGCCAATATCTGGGGCTTTTGCCATGAGAAAAATCATACTAAGGAACTTATGTAATCATAATCAAAATACAAAAAATGCGCTACTACTACAAATACTTATTCATTTTTAACCAAATTCCCCAAATCACCCAAAATTAAAGAATACACACTTATAGCCCAAAACACAGACACTGTGTTTATATCCCCAAATTCTAAGAGTCCTAAACATGTTAAGAATTAATAAAGTCTCTTCTTTGATTTTCCTTATGATTCAAAGAGTAGAAATAAATAAACTATCCAAAGTTGAGTTCAACGAAGCCTCCCTCACAACCCCACCCCTGCCACCACCACTTGTTATTTCAGTGCTTCAGAGACAAGCTTTATTCCTCAGACCATTTCTATCACTGGCTCTTCTTAATAGAAGAAGAAACTGAGTTTAAGGAAGGTATTTCAGCATAATTACTATTGCAATTAAAGTTTGAATGTCACAGCATTATTTGCAATTGATGCAACCTAGTCAAAAAAATTCCCAAGCTCCAGATGACTATATACTATATGCAAGTACAGCCTTCTGTTGAAGAGAACTTTCTTTTTTCTTTCTTTTGTCCTTTTTTTGAAACAGCGTTTCACTCTGTTGCCCAGGCTGGAGTGCAGTGGCGCCAACATGGTTCACTGAAGCCTCAACTTCCCAGGCTCAAGCAATCATATACTGCCTCAGCCTCCCTAGTAGCTTGGATCACCAGCACATGCCACCACCCCTGGCTCATTTGTGTATTTTTTGTAGAGACAGGGTCTCAACATGTTGCCCAGGCTGGTCTTGAACTCTGGACTCAAGCAACCTTGCCACCTCGGTTCCCAGCAAAGTGTTGGGATAACAGGCATGGGCCACCACATCCGGCCGAAAAGGAAAATTTAAAAGTGGACACAAATAAAGATATGACTGGGACAAACAAGACATAGGCATATGTATGTTTTAAACATGGATCTCATCCCAGAATAGAGTGTACAATATAAAACCAACCACTTCACCATCCAAAAATCAACAGAATCAGAAAGTAGACACTAAAATAATACTAGCCTTTACTTCTTTCCTCAAAATAATTTCATTTTTTCAATCAAATTAACCTTTGCAGAGAAAATCAAATCTGGCAAAAAATGTTCTTAATCAAAAGTATCAAGCTTAACAAGGTAATAAGAATCATGCAGCTATGGAGCGAAAGTTGAATTTTCTGCAAACTCATTTGTCTAAAGCCCAATTTTCTAAACTCTGCCATGATGGATGACTATTTGTACTTCTAGCCTAATCAATCAAAGATATTTAAAGAATCTACTCAAATACTGGCTAGGTAATACTATCATTACTCCTATATATTTTCAACCATCCCAACTTTCAAATGATTAAAATAAAATTTATACATTTATAATCTTTTAATTCTTAAATAACAAAATTATATGCGTTATCACACAGACACAGCTTTGGGATTTTCTATGTCATCCCACAGCATGTTTTATCTTCAAAAAGACAATCCACTGTATCCCTGTATAATTATGGCCCAGAAAATTAGGGTATGAAGCTTTTTATTCTGTAGCTTAAATCCCTCATGTTTCAGATTAAAAATCCATATAATTAAACATTATAATTAATCTCATTTCCTCAAAGATTGATTTTTAAAAGCCTGTAAAGTTTTAGGGTAAAAATTCATTATATCTTATTAATAAAAGTTATCTAAAAAGCATGTTAGCCATAAGCCAAAATATACTCACTAAACTAGCAAAATATTTACTACTCAAATTAAGTTCCATTAAATCTTAAAAATTCTAAGCCACAAATGCATACTACCTTTGTAAAGATGAAATAATCCAAGTGTCAAAAAGTTTACTTGAGAGAAATGTTTATAACCTCATATATTTTAAAAAAAGAAACTTGGATTCATAAGTAGACTGCAAAGCTTCTATGCTGACCTCTCAGTGCATACAAATTCTTGCTGGCAAAAAAAGCAGTAAAATTTATCCACTTTAAAGAAGTTTGACAATAAAATAAAAACGAAGTCAGTAAGAATACTGATGTTAATTGCCAGAACTGATTCCTTCACAAACCCTGTTTTCACAACAGCAACCCCTTATGATTAGGGGAATTAAAAGTTGCTGAACTCAACAATCCCTTCAGTTAAACAAACAGACCCCTCATAGAGCTGTCCAACGCTGCCCAAACTATCCATCCTTTAGTCGAATCAGTCAGTTTCATGAATTGTAGGATTTATCTTCAAGTCCAGTGCTGACTCAGAGGGTAGCTTGTTCCCTAGAGAAAACAACCAACAAAAATCAGAACAGCTACTGCTCATAAGCTCTTTCAACACCCAAGTGGAAAGGACAAACTTACTGGGTCCAAAAAAATAGTTCAACTTCCTTTCAACTACAGAAGTAGCCAATGAACCAAAGGCATCTATATGTCATGGGCAGTTCTTGATTAAAGCTTTCACTCAGTTACAGTGAGATTGTTAAATAGCTAACAAAGTTTTCAAGAGAAGCTATAGCACAAACCATATGGTTTCTCACTGGGAAAAAATATGAAGGGAACATAAATGGAAAGTATTATAAGGGCCAAAGCTATTTTCATTTTGTTGTATTTTTTCTTTGACAAGTTGGTTACTTTCCGTGTGTGTGTGTGTGTGTGTGCGTGTGTGCATGCGTGTGTGTGTGTGTGTGTGTGTGTGTTGGCGGGGGTGGGGGGTGGGGGGGGTGGGATTAAAAGTCTCCACCAGAAAAGCAGTTTGGATATCTAGAGTAACTCTGCTTAACGCCATACATAATGAACTAGTGAAATGTTACATAATTCCTTAAATTCAAGGTTCTGATTCACTTGTTAAATAAAATATTCTGAATCAAAAGATTGAAAAGAGTAACATGTTCTGTTTCAAGACCTCAAATAGTGGCTTGCCTTCCTTATTATGTCTAAACCCAAAAAAAAATCAACATGCATAGCCTTTGAGCTTCAAGATATGCCATAACAAAACAAGGGAACATTCCCATTTTATGAGTTAGTGGTTTTATCTATAATACACTATTATGAAAAAAAAGGGGAAAAAATAAGAAAAGGAACTAAAGAGCTCAAGCTAATTTCATAACACTGAAACATCATTTTTCCTTTTGTATGAATTAGACTGAAAGTTTTTTTGTTTACAAACGTTACTCAAGCCTGCATCCAGACAGAATCATGAAGGTGGCCAATACAACTTTTCATTAAAAAAAGTATCAATGCTATTAATTAATCAAATGAAAATCTATCCTAATTAAAATATATCTTTCTCATTTCCAAGTTTTAACATGAACAAATCTTGATTCTCAGCCATAAACTCAGTGCCTAAGAGCTCAGACTTGTGAAATACAATATAGTAGTGACCATGCATTGTCTTGAAAATTGTACTCATTTGAATATAGGCATCTGACATTTTGGTTAAGTGTCTTTTTTGTTTGGTTCCTTGGTTTTTAATGCCTTATTGATTCCTCACTTTCCCAACCTTTCAAAAGGGGTTTCAGGGGGATTAAGCACCAATGAGCTAAACACCCATTGTATAATGCCACCTGATAGACATTACCCTTTGCAGAATGACAAAATAATCGCTTATATCACTTTTCTGTACTCTTTGGTTCAAATGAGGAATCTCAGCTAAGAAAAGTGCTGCAGCCTTCCAGCCTCCTTAACCTATGTACTGGTAAATTCCCTCCTACTGAGAAACAGGCCACCTATGGCAGTGGTTTTAAAACAGTTTTAACTACACCTTAGGCTTCCAGCAGTGCCTCGGGGTTTTGTAAATGCCTGATTTGAATTTCTTTTTATCTGTTTTTCCACTGTTTATTAAATAAATAAAAACACACAAATGCAGGTCAAATTAACATGCATTCATGTTTTAACATACCAACACCAATATACTTAATTTTGTGTTGGGTTAGGATATTTTCATGCAGACCTCAAGGTAAAGCCTCTCTCTTGTCACCATTGTGCATACATACAGATGTTTTTTATTAGGAAGGTAGTGACTCTGCAATAATCTTTGTTTAAATGCACATGTACTCAGAGAAACTTGAACACATGAGTACACAACTTACCCATGGAATTCATGATTTTCATGTTACTATATGATTAAAAATATAAAAAAGGAGACTTGAGGGATACAAAGTTAATTATTATTCTTCACCCACCAATTTCAAGCTATTATATTCAATAAAATACTACATAGCCTTGTTATTCTCACTGAATAACTTTATGAGTTAATGTAATAAACCCGAACCGGTAAATTCCAGCTTTATCTGCTTTATGTAACTTTAGGTTTGGGGGTTCACACAGGACTTCACAAGAGTACTGCTGCTATTTTTTAAAAATGTATGAAAACTAATGTTCTAAGCTCTAATTAAGTTTTGGTGCTTCTGGTTCACAGGTTCTCTAGGGGCAGAAATGATAATTAAGTCTTAAGGTTTGGTTGCCTGTTCATTTCTGAGTTCCAGTGATATAGTTAGGTTCCAACCCATCTTTTCCAGTCTTATTACCTACTAGTCTCTTCTCCCCACATTCTGACAACCCTCAAGAAACAATGTGCCAAACTCTGTGAAGCTGATGGCAAATAAAACTGTTAAAAAGATTTTAAAAGAGGAGCATCAGGTACTTAACATGTAAAAAAAAAAAATCTGTCTACCTCTAGGCCATTTTCCATTAATTTTTCCATGTTCCAGCCCAATCTAATGTTTTCACTGGCCTAACAATGCTAATTTTAAAACAAAATTCTACTCTTTGGATATAAATATTTGAAAAGATAAAAAGAAACTCCACATAACAAAAGCAGGGACTAAGAGCCTAAGACAGAGCTCTGTAAAACAAAAGAATCCATATGATTTCAATATTCTAAATAGTCATGCAAAATCATCACTTTTAGAGA
Source organism: Homo sapiens (assembly GCF_000001405.40). NCBI lineage: Eukaryota > Metazoa > Chordata > Mammalia > Primates > Hominidae > Homo > Homo sapiens. Next base: position 28,236,946 of record NC_000013.11, on the reverse strand, counting down.
GCTGATATTTAACCAATATGCACTGATACCAAGGTACTGTTTGCTTTTAAGAAAAACAAACAAAACAAAACAAAACGCTTTGGGAAGCCAAGGCAGGAGGATCGCTTGAGTCCAGGAGTTCAAGACCAGGCTGGGCAACAAAGGGAGACCCCATCTCTACAAAAATAAAAAGAACCCTGCTCTAAGCCTATGGCTTGGAACCATGCCTGAGATTTTCTTCACAGATGTTCATTCAGTCTTCACCTAATTCAGACTGAATTAATTTTTAAACATTCACTGAGAACATTGTCTTTATGCTAAACTGGTTAAAACAAATAGAAAAAATAACAAACTTCACTGACTCTCAACTGCCCATTTTTAAAACAGATAAAAAAATCTTATCCTTCCTTTAAAAACCATCTCAGTTCTTCTTCCATGAAAGTTTTTTCCTTTACATCCTCATTCAAATCAGATAAAATTTACCTTCCTTCAAATTTTCTGGCATTTTGAACATTTTTTACTCTAGATGTAAAGGGGTATATGTTAGAATCTCCTGTGAATTTTTTAAAAATATAGATAAAGGCTGATGCTCCAAATCTGTGTTTTTGATTTAATAGGTCCTAGATGGGGACTAGAGAATTTATATTTTCAAAGCACCGTATGTGATTCTGATCTGTACCTATATATGAAAGCTCACTGGAACCAGCATGAGATCAAACGCTGAGCAAGATTCTAAAAATTGAAGATATCGAGAAATAAAACCTAGGTCTAAACTCACACAGTTCACATTCTACCATAAAGCTCATTAAAATGCTTAAAAATGTTCAATCTTAATACTTAACTGTAGCTCTTCATATGTGAGCACAATAAAGGATAAAATACCACAGGAGCATTTAACTTTAGTGGAGGAAATAAATACGTATAAAACTAACATGAAGGCCATGCACGGGGTTCACGTATGTAATCCCAATACTCTGGGAGGTGGAAGCAGGAGGATCATTTGAGGCCAGAAGTTTGACCAGCCTGGAGCAACTTTCACCAGCCTGTAGCAACCACAACTCCATAAAAAAAAAAAAAAAAATTTAAAAATCAGCTGGGCATGGTGGTGAGTGCCTCTAGTCCTAGCTACTCCACAGGGTGAGACAGGAGCCCAGGAGTTTGAGGGTGCAGTGAGCTACAATCGAGCCACTGCTCTCCAGCCTGGGCTACAGCCTATCTCTAAAATAAATACATATATATATATATGTGTGTGTGTGTGTGTGTGTGTGTGTATGTGTGTGTGTGTATATTAGAGAAAGACAAAAATACTAAAAAATTATGAGATACTCAACACACTATAAAAGCAAAGAAATGGGAGATACTATAATGACCAGAGAAGTAGCTATGACTTCCAAGAAAATGACATTTGACCTAATCAATAAAAAGCAGGCAAAGATCTCAATAAATAGGAGAGCCTTCCAGGCAACATAAGGCCCAAGCAAAGGCACAGAGATGATGGGGAAAAGGCTGACCATGTTCAAATACATATTCTTAAAGAACAGGAGATGTACTTCATAAAAGAGTGAGGTCCTATATGAAGTAGAGTCAAAGGGACTAGGTCCATTTAATCAGAAAAGAAAGATGGCAGTATTTTAATAGAACCTTCAATTATTTAAAGGAAGTAAACAGGGGAAGAGGATGGAAAATAATGGTGGGAAACTTCCTTTACATTGTCAAAGGCCTTTTTTTATAAGTGACACTTTAGCAGGGACCTAAGAAGAAGAGAAGGAACCAGCCATGGAAGGAATGGGAGGAATGACACATGCAGAGAACATGAATCAAAAGGAGCTTTACATTATTTGGGGAATGTCAGTAAAAGGCCAGAACGGAGTACACAAGGGAAAGAATGACAGGTGAGATTATAGGTATATAAAACAGATTATGCAGGCCATGGTAAGGGGCTTGGAAATTATTCTAATGACAATTTAGTCATGATTTGGTCTATATTTAAGATTACTTTTGTTATTATACAAAAAAGAAATGCAAGGGTAGACCAATTAGCCTAAATAGTGCATGGAAGCGGCTATGATGGCAAGAGTAAAAAAAGGAAAATAGAAGACAGTTCATAGATATAATATGAAAGCCAAGTAGATATGGAAAATGAAGATCACAAAAATAAACCTTAGGTTTCCTGTTCAAGAATCTTTCTTAAAATGAAGGTTTTGAAATTAAAAACAAAAAAGAAAGAAAAATAAAGAATACTCAAGAGGAAGATGATCAGTTTACTCAACTTCATAAAAGCCTAGAGAAGAAAAAGCCTTAACTCAGCAAACAGAATGTAGGATAAGAGTTAATAAATTCTAAAATGAATTGAGGTATGAAGACAAGTTAGGACATACTTTCCTAAGGCAATTAAGAGATTTTCACATAGCTTAGGTAGTAGCTACAGAGAAAACTGAAGATGGGAAAATGAATTAATCAGTTTAAAACCCTTGTTACCTATAATTTTTACAGCATATAGAAATTATACATTCACATGCACACCAATAGTATCTTCATAATCATACAAAACTCCAAAACATGAAAAATTTTAATTTTTCATAATAAACAATATATTAAAGTTTTCTTCTAATTATTAACATATGGAGGCCAGTAATCTCAGCACTTTGGGGGCCAAGGTGGGAGGACTGCCTGATCCCAGGAATTCAAGGCCGCAATGAATTATGATCACTCCACTGCATTCCAACCTGGAAAAGAGAGCAAGACCCTGCCTCTTAAAATAACAACAACAAAACCCACATGGAACTGAAAGTAAGAGGAAGGGGGAAGCCTGTTCTCCCTGACTGTACCAGACCACACTAGTGCTTCTTAACTGCCTCAACTCTCTTAAGGCACTGGTTCTTAAATAGGATTGACATCACAATACCTGAAAGGCTTTCTAAAAAAAGACATTTATAGAACTGAAAGAAAAGAAAAATGGAGGTCTGGATGAGAAACTGGATTGGTAGGTTTAGGGGTCCTGGCCAGCAATGTATATTTTAAAAGCACCTTGGGAAATGCTGATACACATCTTTGGTTAATTTTTAAAAGATTAACATGAAATCAATGTTAATGCAATAAAACAGAATTTCTGATGAAATAAATGGAACTATATTCTTTTTACAGAAATACAAAGGGAAAACATCAGGGAGATTAGATTTTAGAAAGACTATAAACCTGATATTTGCCAGTGAAATTATAAAAGCCTTTTTAATTTCTACACTGATTTTATGACATCCTGAGGTACCTCTAAAGCTTCCTCAAGGAATAAATGTTCAAACACAAAATTAATTTGCAACATAAAAAAATGCACACAGCTACACAATATACTTTTCCTCCAAACAAAATAAGCCACAATTCTAATAAGAATGTCTTAATTTCCAGGCCGGTCATGGTGGCTCATGCCTGTAATCCCAACACTTTGGGAGGCCGAGGTGGGCAGATCACTTGGGGTCAGGAGTCTGAGACCAGCCTGGCCAACATGGTGAAACCCCATCTCTACTAAAAATACAAAAGTTAGCCGGGTGTGGTGGTACACGCCTGTAATCCCGGCTACTCAGGAGGCTGAGGCAGGAGAATCGCTTGAGCCCAGGAGGCCAAGGTTGCAGTGAGCCGAGATCATGCCACTGCACTCCAGCCTGGGCAATAGAGTGAGACTCCGCCTGAAAAAAAAAAAAAAAAGTGTCATAATTTCCAAATATTAGGAAAAAATGCACCTAAGCAAATCACAAAAATCCCTTCTCCTCTATATGAGGTTTTTAACATAATTTTTTTCCACTTTTTAAAGAATTACTAAAAGCAACCATCTGAAGTTACTACCCATGATTTTCCTAACTATACCAATACATTTGCCTTTCAGAATTACTGATTTAAAATTTTCGTATTCTAGTTTAACAATCTGCATGCTGGATATCTATTAAGCTACTCAAGAAAAAAAAAGATAATAGTATTCTAATCTGTAAATTCAGATGTTTTATAATGAATCTAACCTAAAAACTTGTTCTGTAAAATTGATGAGGAATATGTACACTCACAAATCATTATTTTCATAGAGGCCTGATTTCCCCATAGATCACAGTTATGTTATTTTCTGTCAACAGGTTACAATTTTAGCCTAACATAATAAAAGGGAGTCTTTAAAAAAAAGTTTTTGGATAAGGGTTGCTCACCCTCGAACTCAAATTAACAGATCCCTTATCTAAACACTTAATGTGATTCCTAATACATGTATATGTAATTCTGTGCATATCATTTGTGTTTATGCCAATGGAAATTAAATTCTCAATACAGTATTTTATAAATTTTTTATTTTTTAATCTTTATAAATTTTTTAAAAATATATTATAATGCAGAACACTTCATGAATTTGGATGTCATCTTTGCACAGGGACCATGCTAGTTTTCTCTGTACTGTTCTAATTTTAGCGTATGTGCTGCCAAAGTGAGCATACATTTCAAAGATTTTTTTTTTTTACGTTGAAGCTACTAGAGCTTCATCTTCTATATGCAAATATAATATATCCCATTTAAAGTGGGTCAAATCAATAGTTACCATTAAAACAACAGTTTTTTAGGATGTGATAGAACAATTTTCTACTCTTGAAGTATCCAACATCTAGATTCGGGGTAAACTGAACCTTGGATTCAAAGACTATGCTCTTTATGATACCTAATTCTACTCTTATTTTGCTGTCCTTCAATGTCTATCTTAACAACAGTCACTTCTTGGAAATTTCTAACCCCTTATCCTCATTTTTACAGCCTCCGGGTTGCGGGGGATTAGGAATTCTGTGAATGAGACTACAAAGATATTACAAATAAAGTATTCTTTTTCATTTTTTTGAGAAGTAAACAAGAACTGGTTTTCACTTTTGGGTAAATATAAAGGAAAAGTGCTAAATGTTTACCTTATGACTGCGTAACAGTGACATTTCAATTATAACACCATGAACTGATTAAAAGTACAAAATCTCTTTATATTATGCAATAAAACGACAAATTTCAAAGTACTCTAAAAAGATTTATTTATTTATTTATTTTCATTTTCAGAGACAGGGTCTCACTGTGCTGCCCAGGCTGGAGATCAATTGTGTGATCATAGCTCACTCCAGCCTTGAACTCCTGAGCTCAATCAATCCTCCCGCCTCAAGCTCCCAAGTAGCTGGGACTACAGGTGTGTGCCACCATACCTGCCTATGGTTGTTGTTTATTTGTTTTGAGACCAGGTCATGCTGTGTTGCCTAGACTTATTTTTACATGTAAATCACCTTTAATAGAGGCCATGTGGATCTAACCCAAATAATTGCAACTTAATTTCCATCTCTGATTTTCCCCTTAATAACTACAGAATTTCATCAACTAATTTATATAATCCTACTTCATTTTGGCTGAATATCTATCTATGATAGATACTTAAGACTATCTGGTATTAGAAATACTGTAAGCATTAACAAAATAATTAAGTACCTTAAAGCTTTCTCATAAAATGTATTTAATCTTATTGACCAAACTCAGGCACATAATGTCAATTTATATGATGAATTTAACCTGAGCTTTATCAAACACACAGTCCTCAATATTTGATAGAGATCACAGCCTGCACAACTACTTTGTTTTCCTGGTCTACACATAGTAATCTTCCCTTTGACATAACTTCAGTCTTGCCTGTATTAATGGTGTCATTTCTAGATGAACTGTCATTAATTAATTTAACAAATATCATTAGACTATTGATTGTATAAAGTGCAGTGCCTAAATCCCAAAAACATGAATAATTCAACATATTTTAAAAAACCAGCATCAGGGTTTTAACTATACTAGTAGGAATCTTACCCACTGGCCTATAATAGTAGGTTACTTACTTCGGTCTCTATGTTTGAAGAAACAAAACAGTAACCTACCTGCTTGTCCCCAAACTTGGCCAAATGATCTAAAATGATGGGATCTCCCTAGACTCTACAATGGTGGCAATCTTTTAAATAATAACACTTACTTAAACGAAGCATCAAAACAGAGGGAAGAAAGGTGTTAGCTACTAAATATAACTGTTTTGGTTGAAAAGAACCATTTTTTTCTTCTTGAGTGGTAGTGACTGTTTGAGTAAATGGTGTCCTTCATTCATAGTGATAAATTGTGTTGTGTTGTTTACAAACAAGAAACTTAAAGACAAGAGTGTCTTATGAAAATTAATTACAAAAATTCACACAAAAAAGTAAGATTTAGTTAACAATGTAATTTTAATTTTGGATTTCTTTCCAATGAAAAAAGCTACCACCAAAGTACAAACAAAAATTAAAGTTGATCTCCAGAAAACTGTGGTTGAATCAATAAGTGCCTCTTATTTATCTAACATTAACAACAATTTAGTTGTTTTCTCTTATTTTCTCTTTCTTTTTTTGCCAGGACATGTTCTCATGTGAACAATTTAGTTGATTTTTTTGTAACAATTTAAAAACATACATATTAAAGTGTAACATGTAAATAAAAGATATCTGATTACTAGTTCCAGAACCATAGGGTTGTTTTTTTTTTCCATCCATGGAACTCTGCTTGAGGGTTTTATATTTTAAACAGCCACAGTACTTATGCTACTCATTTCCTAAGTATTTTGAAAAACTAAAAGTTATAGTAACTAATTTATATTTTGTCTCACTAACATTACCAAGGTGGAAGGAATCCGTTTCCCAGATTTATTCATGACTAAGCATCGGCAACTCCTATATTCATGAATTCAACAATAACTCTAGTTATTCAGAACACAGACATTAACCAGAAATGAAGTGATACTAGCCTCAGCCAAAGGATAATATAAAGCTCATGTACCTTATTCACAGGAAACAATTCAAGTCCTTGACTCAAAGCCTTTTTCTCATTTAAAAAAAAAGAAAAAAAAAAAGAGGTACTAAAAGATATCTTTGTGTTCTTAGCTCTCAGCAGATTAGGAGGAGGATGAGAAAGGGAGATTAAGAGGAAAGAGGAGATAAGAATGACAAAAGTTCTAAATCGAGCAGTCATTCTCAAAATGAAGTCCCAGGACAAGCAGCAGCATCAGCAACACCTGGGAACACATCAGAAAAGCAAATCTTCCCTGGTTCACCCAGAGCTACTAAATCAGAAACTCTGGGGATGGAACCACGCAAATGCTGGAGTTTAACAAGCCTCTAGGTGATTCTGGTAGACTGAAATTTGAGAATCACTGTCACAAACAGCACAACAGAATTACCAATAAAAAAGCCAATAAAAACAAAAAAAATGATCAAAGTAAGCTTGCCAGATTATGGCCATTCAAGGCACTACTTTCAGGCACTTTAAGAGACTCAGAAGCAAGAGAAAGACCTTACCTTCAAAAAGTTATAACTAATTCATTGGAGCAGAAGACCAGTGGAAAGAATAACAAATCTAAGTAATCACATAACTTGAAATAAACTCCTCTACAAACTTGGATATGTAAAGAGTCAGTGTATTCTGGTTCAATACAATTACTGAGGCACATATAGTTGAACAAGAGTCATCAATAAATAAGATTATATTTTGTTTTAAGCCAGAGAGTACTATGGAAAAATTTTGGAAAATATAAAGTTCTGACAATTAAAACTGTAAGCTTCTGATACCCAAAAAATTCAAGTATGCTGGAAAGATTCATTTCCCCTGACGCTAGATAAATCAGTTATTGCAGCTGCTTTGGTGATATTTTTAAAGTCATTACAAAAGATGCAAATGAGAAAATATCTCAAATGTATATTCATGAGATAACCAGGATCAACTGTTAAAAACTTTTGCTTCTAAAGGAGGCTGGGAAATGTAGCCAAGCTGCTTAAAATAGTTTAAGTCCAGATTTTAGTCAAAAGTCATCATAGGAGAAACTTCCAGGCTTGGGTCATCCCATCTTCCCATTCTTGCTCCTTCATGCTCTTCCCCTTCCTTTCTAGCTCACTTGAGAGATGCTGAGAAGCTCTTCCCCTGTGTCCCTTATAAGCTATGTGAAGAGCATCCTAGCCAACCTGAACACCTGCCTTGGAGTGTTACAAAAGCAAGAAATACATTTTTGTCATATTAAGCCATGTCATTACATTTTGGATCTATTTGTTTGGGCAGTTTAACTTACACCACCTCGCACACAGTGAGCAATAAGATTATGACCTATATTAACTATGGCTGAGAGAGCAGCATATTAACTATGGCGGAGAGAGCAGCTGATGAATACACTGACACCCTTTACACCAATACTAATTAACATCAATAGGATGTTAATATATTTAATCTTAATGTTATTGTTTACTGTTAATTTTACTGTTTTCTCAAAGGTACCCCCACCAAATGACTACTAGTTATTAGTTACTATGTATAGGGATACCATGCTAAAATCTAGACAACCACATGTAAAATATAGAAAAGTGCTTATGAAATCCTAAGAAAACATCTTATTTCAGACATATCAATATGTAAGAGATTCGTGACTGAAAAATTTAGAACTAAACATTATTACCATAATAAATATGCAATCCACATCTAGGTTGTTGCAGGCATTTATGAGTAGGATTTACATGCCTATATGCATTGGGGGTTTGAAAAAGGCCACATCTATAATTCCTCTCCTTTTACTAAGACCCTACCTACATGCCCTACTCTAGAGTAACTACATCTGAAAGGCAGTAAGAATAAGAAAAAGATGAATTTCATGGTCAAGCTGAGAAGAATCAAAGGATAATTCAAGAAACAGAAGGGGCTACAACCATCTGATTCATTCCTACAGAATTAGAGGACCACTCCTAACTAGACATGTAACACACAGAACAGTAAATTTATTCACACAAATACTATCTTCTCCACTGAGTAGGCACATTGCTCTGGGTATCACTGAGCTAAAAGGTTGAAGAAAAAATGATCCCTGGTGCTCTCAACCTACTTGACTAAAGAAGAAGGTGGAAGGAAGATCGACATCTAACTCTCCACGTTCAGCTATGAAACAGATCGGAAACATTCTCGGGCATTCATTTACACCTGTTCTCTCTGCTTCTCAGTTCATCCAGAACAAATACAATACTCTGATTCACCCCAGACTCTAATCTTACATTTGCTGAAACAAAACTCCCCTCATCTCCACCTATGAAACAAAGGGAGCCATGGGAAGATTTTCTATTTACACAGAATAAGTCAAGAAGTCCATATGCCTTCTAAAATCTTTCTTAAGTCTAGTACAAATGTTATCCTTCCCTTTTTACTACTTCGCACCACTGTCTTCATTTCTGTCTCTTTACTGTCCTCTATGCTTCTACAGATTTCCATGTCTCAAAAACACAGAATTTTAGATTAGAAAGACTTAAAATCATCTACTATTACCTTCTTATAGAACTGAAGACTCTAAAACACAGAAACCAAGCGGTATGCTGAAAATCACATAGCTGCTTCAGTAGAACTGGTACCATGTTCTAAAGGCAATCGAGTCATAATACACTGAAAGCAGTCCAAGAGCAGCAAGAGACTTTGCTGCAGCTGTAGATCACTGGATCGGTAACTCGTAGTTAAAGGAAATCCCTACCCACTCCCATCCAGCCCCTACCCCCTAATTATGGGACAAAATAGCCAATTCAATGAGATTTAAACAGGAAGTTCACAAGAGGAACTCTTATACCTATGAGGACCCATTAACCAGGGATTCCACAACCAGTAGAATATTATCTACTGGTAGCTATTTAAGCCTTACCTGACAGGTCTCCAAGCCAGCTGCAGCAGCCACATCCCTCTCTGCGCCATAAACGTCTCGCCTCAGTTTCCTGAAATTCCCAACTGAGAAGGGAATATAGCCAGCAGGCACTCCCAACCCTGTTATGATTCTACAGTTCTACTGTTAGTAAATTTCCCAGGGGCATCACAATCTGTGTCCTTACACATGCATACACAGAGGAGCTTCCTTCTAGGATGAGCTCCTCATTACAGGGCAATTAAAAGGTCCACTTCACAAAAACCTTGAGATCCCTCATCTTAATCATAAAATAGTTGTTAATTTACTTGTTTTTTAATGAAGAAAGCAATCTCCAAACTAAATAACTTGGAAAGATTTGAATGAATCTGCTGAATATACCTGAAAAACAAAGTAGTTACAAAGAATGGAAACATGCAATTTAAAAATACAAATACTTTAATTGGTTATAAGAGTGCTTCAGCATCTCAAAACACAGTGTCTAGTTTTGATGCTGTTAAACTTTTTCACCAGGCACATTTCTGTTCCTCATTTGACTATTCACCTGCATATTCTTGAACATTTGCAGTTTTTAGAAGTTCTTCAAAGATGTTTATTAATTAAAATTCACTGTACTTAAGAGATACCTAACAATTACAAAATTATTTTCCAAGACAAAAATTAAGCCTTATCTATTGAGTAAGCATTTATTAAACACCATTTATACCTAAATTTGTACTAGATGAGAAATGGCATGGTCCCTTCTTCTTAAGCAATTTGTGAGATGTTTAGGAAATCTAATTAATTAATTAGAAGGATACTTTAATGCCAAACTACCATTATTGATATTAAGTACAAAACTAATTTGAAGAATTCAATTTAGACAGAAATCAAATTAATTTGAGCTGTAATTATTTGACTATCCCACAGAATCCATTTAACAGTAGACTTCTGAGAAACAATTACAAGGAAAATCTGTTATGTTTATTAAAACTGGTGATATTTAAGAACCATATAAATATGGTTACAATTTTTATTTTTAATAATTATATCACTTAGTAAACACAAAATAATCTAAAGCAATCGCTTATGGAGTTTTTGTGCCTTGAAAGACTTAACGTAGAGCCCTAAAACGCACAATGAAATTTAAAGTCTGAGCTTAGATATTCACCATCTTCAAGACCATAGATTCATCCTGTTTCCCCAAAAAAAGAACAGTTTCCAAAGAGTTTCCTGTTTTCCCAATGGTACACTCCTTAGCTGGATACCAAAGTAGTAATATAGCTAGGTAGACATATCTGTGGATTTAATTTTACCCACACTAGTGTTCTATTCCTTATGACTTACAAGAGTTCACAATTTTGGACCTATACAATTCGTTGAACTGAATAATACTTCTCCCCGGTTGCCTGACGCCACCTTGTCTGTCTTACAAATAAATCAGTTATATGGACACACACAGAACTAGTCTGAAGAATAAAATAACTAAAAGAACTATCATATAGGAAAGTTTTTTTTTCCCATTCAGCAAAAAAGGAGAGGACTAGGACAAGTGGATGGAAGAGAGACAAGACTTTGGTTTAGCAGAAGACTGAGTTTTCTTTTGTATTCAAATTGTTAAAATGTACACTGGGCTGGCTGCCTTGGTTAGTTAATGAATTCCTTATATTACTGTAAATGACTAAGCAGAGACTAGATGACAATCTGTCAGAAATGCCACCTCTAGATTGGCGCAAGGCTGGACTATGTAAATCCCAAAGGTTCCACTTAAATCAATAACCAATATCATGTTATTGCCTAATCCAACTACTATGTAATTTAAATACCTAATACCTCCATTTGCTCATCTATGATATGAAATGCCATAGAGATAATCAATCACGGAATTTTGTTTTTTGGCACAGAACTTTAAACTGAAAACGATCTGCTTATCCCAACCCTTCAACATTATAAGAGTAAATAACTATTTTTAGTCTACAACGTTCATAAAAAGTTTTGATATTTCTGAACAAGAACGACAAATATTAATTTCCCCTTTTTCTTTCCCTTCCCTTTTTCCCTCACATATTTCTCAAGCTAAAAATGTTTATTTAAAAAAAGGGTATTAGCCAATTTTACCCACCAATTTGGCACCATAACCTCAGGAATATATAAGAAATGACTTTTCCGTATTTTTAAAAAACTGGATGTAAGAACATAATTTTCTTTGGATTTATTTTCCCAAAAGCCTACAATAAATAAACTTGGTAATAAATGAATACAATTATTTAATAATGCTAATTTTGGTATAATAATTAGATGATTCTCCCCATATCAATCATATGAGTTTGCCTTAATAATATGCAACAAAGGCTGAGTGAGGTGGCTCACCCCTATAATTCTAGCACTTTGAAAGACTGAGGAGAAAGGATCACTTGAGGCTAGTTTGAGACCAGCCTGGAAAATATAGTGAGAACTCGTCTCTACAAAAAAAATTTAAAAAGAATTTTTTAACTTGGCATGTATCTGTAGTCCCAGCTACTCAGGAGTTTGAGGTGGGAGAATTGCTTGCGCCGGAGCTGGAACTGGAGGCTGCAGTGAGCTACGGTCATGCCACTGCATTCCAGGATGGACGACAGAGTGAGACACTCTCTCTAAAGTAATAATAATTTACAAGAAAACATATCTAATGATTAAAAAAAAACTGCACTATTTTCATCTTGAAGGAATGAATATTGACAAATGCTGAAAATCACTGTGACTCATTTTCTCATTTATAAATTAATGATGACATTTGCAAATATAAGAACTCATCTCTGCCCCTCCTAAGGGCCCACACATGATAATTAAGCAGAAGGAGAGATGCTCAATTCCTGAGACACAACTGTGCACTAAACCACCAAATGATACACAAGAACACCATGCAGAAATGTGTGCTGCTCCTGCTGCACTTACAGTCACTTTCAAACACACTGTGACACTGTAAATTTGTTAACACTGAGGTAATTAAACCTAAAGTACACGAAGACTTAGTTAACTATGTCTACTATTAAAAATACTCGGGAAAATTCTGATGAAAAAGGACATTCAGCAATTAGTTCTCACGATAAAATTACTTTTTGGCCGGGCGCGGTTGCTCACGCCTGTAATCCCAGCACTTTGGGAGGCCGAGGCGGGCAGACCACGAAGTCAGGAGATCGAGACCATCCTGGCTAACATGGTGAAACCCTGTCTCTACTAAAAATACAAAAAAAAATTAGCCGGGCGCGGTGGCGGGCGCCTGTAGTCCCAGCTACTCGCGAGGCTGAGGCAGGAGAATGGCGTGAACCTGGCAGGCCGAGCTTGGAATGAGCCACGCACTCCAGCCTGGGAGACAGAGAGAGACTCTGTCTCAAAAAAAAAAAAAAAAAAAAAAAAAAATCACTTTTCATGGCACAAAAATTAAAGTATAAACTATTATTTCATATATTAAGCACATTCATAACTTCGTTTCCAGAGATCTAGTCAAAAAAACCCTCTGCCTAAGCCAGAGCTACTAGAAAAATGTATCTTTAGGCTATGTGTTACTTAAAAGTATTCTTACTGTATAACACTCTGGAAATTAGTCTTAAGTTGTGTTAAATCAGTGGTTCTCCAGGAGGTGGAGGTTGCAGTGAGCAGAGATCGCGCCACTGCACTCCAGCCTGGGCAACAAGAGCAAAACTCCGTCTCAAAAACAAAAAACAAAAAACAAAAAAAAAAACAGTGGTTCTTAAATTTTGGAAGGCTGTGAACCTCTGAGAGAATAATAAAAGCTGTTGCCAGAGAAAAATGTCTATTTATAAATAAAAATATGCATAACTGGAGGGATTCTTAAAGACAAGCCCAAGTGCCATATCTTTAGTATCATTAAAACAACTAACTTCACAAAAGATACTTAGAAATGTAGCTATTGTTCATAGGTTCAATATGCATAACAAAACTGTATCTATAAATCCTTGATTCCTTAAATTAAAAAATGAGTGTGTATACAATTTGATAGAAATACATGTCACAAATTTTAACGCTTTTTAAAAACCTAATTAGCTGTGAGTAAATTCAAATATTTGTATAAAGTTTTATTTCTTACATTGAGACATATACCAAAAACATGACTTATTTTTTCTTAAGTGATCAAAACAAATTTTTAAAAAGCAATGTGATTCACTCAGGGTCTCCTTTGTGCCAGGCATTATGCCTTTGTTCCTCATAATTTGAGGAAACCCACTCTTAATATCCACTCAACTTTGCTCAAATATTGGGACAAAATAAACTGGCCTAAAAATTTTGACAAATATATTTGGTCAAAAATATATTTAGATATGTACTTTCCCATACGTAATGAAAATGATGTTACCCTAGTTTACATAAGTGTCAAAGTATTTAAGGTTTCATATTTTATAGTAATTTGATACTTTCGAGGGCAATAGTTTTGGGGATAGAAACTTTAAATTAAAAACTTGTAACTAAAATCAATGAGTTACACCTATAATAGACAGTAAGAATTAAAAATAAACTAAATCACCACTACCGTAGGTAAATAAACTCTTTATTTATTCTATAACCTTACACGGCAAATGTCAAGAACCCTTCCTTAAACAAAACAACATTTGTAGGTAAGAAATGATGGAAGACACTGAGAGTACAATGGTTTTTCCGAAAGGCAGACTTAAATATTTTTTCTTTGCTCATCTCCAGAGTGTTAAACCAATAACCAAACAGAAAAAATAATTAATGCAAAATAATTCATCATTGTTGAAAAATATTTTAACTGAGTTGTCATCTGAATGAAGAGCACTTTTAAAATAATAGTCATTAGAATTCAAGAATACATTTCATATGATATAATGACCTATTTCCAATGGTTCCAGAGAGTGATCACTTTCATTGTTAAGAGGAGCTAGAATAACCATTTAATGCTAGGGCTATGTAGAAGAATAGATTTTCAGCTAATTTAATTTTTAAATTAATTAATTTCACCCTAAGTTTCTATTGTGAGGTCCAATTGGGACCAATGAATATACCTACCTCCAAATAAGCTTATACCTATACCATAAGCATTAATGGATTTTCTTAAACTGAATGTTTTTAAATTTAAAATTCCCTTTAATATTTTTAACTCCTCCAATTGAAAAGGCTAATTTTTTTTGAATGGCATGTCTAAATTAGTTTCATGAAATAAGTTAACAAAATGTTTATTTCTGATACGAGGAAGGAAGTATTGTTAGGGCAAAATAAACTGGCATGTAATTAAGGCCAAAGTTTTCTGATTGCTATATGGATCCCATTATTGCGGATGCTTTGGAAAGAGACATATAAAGTTGAATTACAACACTGCTCAGAAGTCTAGACAATGCCTAAGAAATTTTAAGATGTGTAGCTCATTTGCAGATTATGCTCATGTAAACAATGTGAACACACCTCAACAAGAGAAAAATCATAGTAGTATATTACTTACAATAAAACTTTAAGGCTACCAGAGATATTCAATTCTGACACTGCTCTCTAGGGAAGAAAGGAAAATGCTTACAAATTTAACTGAACCTGGAAAAAAACCAAAGTAGAAGAAAAGGTAAGGGAACAAGTGGTGGGAGGGGAGTTGGAAGGGAGACAGGTAGTAAGAGAAAGAATGGTGGGGAAATGAGGCGCTGACAAAATCCTTAGCAACACAAGGTTATTAAGCTCTGAGTACTCTGATACTTTAATGCTAAAACAGATGCTCTGCGCCACTGTGTTATCTTTATCTTCTCCCATTTTTCTTCCCAAAGAGGTCCTTGAATTAGATATATGAGTATTTAAATCAACGATTTACTTACTAATTAGATTAAGCCCTGGAGACAGTACCAGTTCCTGGCTGATCTAGATATATCCTTTGGCTTTGTTTTAGTGTGTGTATATATTTCATTTTATTTCTGTTTTTTTTTTTAATGTCCAAGACCAAGTGATGATTTTCCTGTATAGGTTCTAGAAGCCTAATTTGTGTGTGCAACTCAAACATTCGACAAACATAAGATACCAATCTGCTCAGCACTTACTATGAATTCAATGTGATTGTGCATACCACCTTACTTTCCAAATCAAGGTATACAGCAGTGGGGATAAGTGATGTTAATTTTAAAAATTTAAATATTTTTATACTAAAATAAACATTATGGAGTAGCAGATGCAAAATCTGCATGAATTCTTAAGATAAAAATGAAGACTGCAAAGAATCATAGATTTCTCAAAGGGTCACATTGAACTATGCCTTCAGGACTCCTGGAGTACAAGCACATTTGCCCAAATTGTTCTGTCATTATGGGTACACTTTATGGGTACATTATGGGCAGAAGATAACTAAAAAGTGTTTTTCTCTACTGCAATGATCCCTCATGTAGTATATTTTTTTCCTACTACTGTTTATAATACTTTACCCAATTTAAAATTACTACTATAGCATTTATAATCAAATATCTGAAAGGGAATACCATCTAAAGATGTAGAATGATTAAATTATTTTTTAGAAATTTAATGTAAAAGGAGGACTCTGAGGCATATGTACATAAATATTCACGTTCTTTCTGATGCCTTTGTAAGTTTGAGTGAAACAGCACAAAGTTTTAAAAATAGAGAAATACAAAAAGATAGATTTTTTCCTAAATAACCATTTCCCCTTTAAATTTTTTTGTGAGTTTTATATATAAAAATTCTTATATGTAATTTCATTCATATTTAAATTTTGCTTTAAAATTCTCAACTACACATTTGGCCTATGGTACCAAAAACTAGAACATAAAGCTCTTAATGTTCAAATGTGAATCATTCAAGTATACAATTTCAGTTCTGATAAATTAATAGTAAATGGTGCTTACAGACATGGTATCTGGAACTCACTGGAAATAGTTACTCAACTTACCTGGCGCTAATCCAGCAGTAGCAGGGCTTCCCATGGATGGGTGAGAGAAAACTTGAGAGAAGGCAGACATATTTGACTGGGACACGTTACTCAGCCTGGAGGTTGATCCTCCTTTAGGAATAAACTCGCTTGCAGTAGGATTTGGTGTCTATTTAAAAATCAAATATAGTAAGTTAACACACTTTAAGCCGAAAAAAGACATTGAATCTACTAGGCATATTCCACAGTGCTTTATTTACTAAGTAAAATATATTATTGAAAGGATTAACAAGTGTTTTCGGTTCCATATTTTGGTGTGTCATAATTATATTTCTTAAAGGAAATCTGATCATCAAATTTGAAGACTTTAATCATTTCATTTGCAGAATTTTAACCTCAGTAATGTGTAAAATTTGTCTTTATTATCAAGCATGCATCATTACCAAACTACTAAGTTTTAGAGAACTGGGAGGTTGAGATTACCTCAAAACTGAGCAACAAATTTCAAGTTTAGTATCTTTAAACCACTTCTACCAAGATAAAGGTCAAAACTGCCTTTCTTCCAAAATTAATCACTTTCTTTTTTGTAGGTACTTCAAACATTTCCCTAATAATATGGTATCATGTATTTAAGTAACAAAGTAAAGGTTAGAGAAACATTTAAAAACACGGCAAATATGGGAGGAATCAAGATATAAGAAAAACTAAAGCGATCCTAATGCCCATGCAGTACCATGCGTGACTTGTTACACTGAAAAATATTTGGCTATGAGATTACACGGAAAACACCTTTTTCACAGTGGTACTATGCTACAACTCTTTATATATTCAAGTGGCATGCTATTTTTAGCTTTAAGAAATACTAGAACATATGAGACTATACATAAGATTCATAAAAAGTCTATATAATATTGCCCACATTAAATTTCCACAGGAGGCAGAAAGAACAACTTCCCTATTTAATTTGAATGAGTTAAGAGTTCAAAATACTAGATCTGGAAGGTAACAAGTCACCAGGCTAACCCAAATGTAAACTCCAAAACGAGTATTATCAGTTATGTGCCAGCTAAAGTTAAATAAAAAGTGATAAAATATAGAACAAATGCTAAATCTGGGCTTAATTAAAATACACTAGAACTACAGAATCAATCTTTTACTGCCACATCTAAGGCATGAATTTCTGAAAAAGTATAATCAGGTCTGAGGCTATATTTTCCAAAGGGGAAAAAAATCCTCTTTTGTGACTTAAATGTGTTTTTAAAAAATTTCCAACTATAACATTCCCGAAAACAGTGGCATGTTCTCTAAACAGATGGCCAATTCCTTGATTTCTGGAGAAGAAAACCAGCCACTGCATTTTACTAACGTAGTACCTTCCTAGTTATAAGGGAACAAATGGCTACCAACAGAATGAAAAGTATGTCAGGGCCGGTATGTCCCAGTTAAACCTAAATCTTAGAAGTTGAGGGTCAAGATAAAAGCCATTGATATCTTGATAAAATAGTCCAAAATGCCTAGAGACGTGGACTTCAGGATTACGCAAGATTACCAGGAGACAGCAAAATTACATAAGGAAAATAATACACAATATGAATACTTTTAGTGTGTTCCTGAGAAACAGGTATTACCCAGTTTCTATTTCACATATATCCTATAATTACAGTAAATAACAGACTAATTTCAAAAATGAGTTTCTCTAACCTTATTATTTTGAAAGAGTATTTTTATTATTTTTGAGACCCTGTAAAGGGGAAAAAAGAGGGGAAGGTCCATTCTACCTTTCATAACAAATTATAAAGGACCTCCAAATATGTACGAGTGGAAGTTATTAAAATTAACCTAACTATTAAGAGTTACATACAACACTGTAACTTCTACAGATTCAATAACCACGGATGCCAAAACCTACTCAACAATGAATCTGAATTAAGAACTGAAAATGATGACCTAAAACTCTCCTTCCTTTCTTGATTTAGTATTCCTTGATTTGGTGATTTGAGAGTTTGTTTTGTTCAACTGTGAGCACTTGAGATTAAAGATAAAATAATTTAAATGGCAGAAAAAATAATTATGTAAGATTCAGGTACAACAGCACACAAAAAAGATCTTTAATAGATAATATAAATTAATTGTAGCCAGATCAGAAAATGATCAGATACATTTAAATTAAAAATCAGAAATTAAGACCTTACCTAGAATACTTTTTCATGATAAAAATCTTTAAAATAACATGTAACAATAAAGATGCATTCTTAAAACTTCTACTGGTTTAAAATATAAATCTTTTTTTAAAACTATAAAATCTATTAAAAATAGCATAGGTATATATTTTTAACATGTTAAGAATAATTTTTTGAAAGATAAGGCTAAACTGGTAACTAGAACAAGTATCACATTAAAATGAAATACCTGTTGAGAAAAGAACCTATTTCTTTCAGGTGTAGGAGGCAAAGGTTTTATCTAGGATTAGATGACATAAGAACTTGAGTTATATAAATTATAACTTCAACAACAATAAGGAGTTTGGGATAAATAAGAAAAATAGAAATAAAAAAAACTAAAGTTTTACTATCCCTGACCTATGTTTGAATAATCCTTTCCTAAAGACAGATATTTCTCTATAATATTAAATTTTTGGTTTCTGTAAAATATACAGATATGCACTCATTTATATTCATAATTAAAACCCTAATTTACGTTTATATTTTAAATAGTTCTAAGTGGACATTTTAAAAAAATTAATGTTCATTCAATAGTCTAAGATTCTCATACACTCAAATTTACCCCACAATTTTTTTTTTGTTTTTTTTTTGTTTTTTGAGACAGAATCTCACTCTGTTGCCAGGCTGGAGTGCAGTGGCACAACCTTCACTCACTGCAACTTCCGCCTCGCAGGTTCAAGTGATTGTCCTGCCTCAGTCACCCTAGTAGCAGGGATTACAGGTGTGTGTCACCAAGCCTGGCTAATTTTTATATTTTTGGTAGAGGCAATGTTTCATCATGTTGGCCAAGTTGGTCTCAAACTCCTGGCCTCAAGTGATCTGCCCACCTCAGCCTCCCAAAGTGCTGAGATTACAGGCGTGAGCCACTGTGCCCAGCCTGCCCCCCAATTTTCATGTCCAAAACAACCAAGTGCTTCTTATATAGTGAGTTCTCCAAAATGACATCATCCCCCAACTTTCAAAAATGATCCCTACTGCTACCTTCTAGACCCAAATATAATAAATCAAGAATCCTGACCGTTAGCTTAAATGTTGTTGTAATTATTATCATTTTTTTTTTTTTTGAGACAGAGTTTTACTCTGTCACCCAGGCTGGAGTACAGTGGCGTGATCTCGGCTCACTGCAACTTCTGCCCCCCGGGTTCAAGTGATTCTCCTGCCTCAGCCTCCAGAGTAGCTGGGATTACAGGCGCCCGCCACCGCACCCGGCTAATTTTTGTTTTTAGTGGAGATGGGGTTTCACCATGTTGGCTGGGCTGGTCTCGAACTCCTGACCTCAAGAGATCTGCCCACCTTGGCCTCCCAAAGTGCTGGGATTACAGGCGTGAGCCACCACACCTGGCCTAATTTTTTTTTTTTAATTAGATGGAAAGACAAGAAGTTTCTGTTGAATGATAACGGAACGTAAGATATGTAACATTTCATTGCATATATGGCCCAAAAAGGCCTATAAGAAAAAAATTGTTATCATACAATGATGGGATGAATGAGAAACTAATATTCCTGAATACTGGTCAGGGTTATTTTAATCACATAGTAAACTCATAAAACTATTGGACAGCTCTTTAAAGAGCTCGGCCTGCTTTAGCTATCTTAAGGGCTCTGTAAATTGGTATCAGTAATCTTTCCATCCTCTGAATGAAAACCTAACCTGGTGACTTTTTGTTAACAACTTTATTTAAGATACAATTAACATGTAATACACTGCACATACTTAAAACTTTGGTAACTCTTGACACAGATATACAACCTGGAAACCATTACCCAAATCAATATAATGACCATAAACATCATACTAAAGTCTGCACAGGCCTCTTATAAACCCCTCTCTCCTTTCCACCCCTCTCTGCTCTCTGCCCCCAAGTCTCCAGGAAACCACTGAGACTTTCTGTCACTATGAATTAGTCTGCATTTTTAAAAATTTCACATAAATGGGTCATACACATATATGTATTTTTTACCTGGCTTTTTTTTTTTTCTCACTAAACTTTGTTTTAATGGGTCTCAAAATTCTGCGACAGAATTTCGGTCAAGTTGTTTCCATTAAAACGTACTGATTTAAAAAACTAGTAAAACTACCACATGCAAAAGAAAAAAGAAAAAAAACAAAAATGAAGTAGTTCACAAAACATTCTCCTTTCCTTCTGAAGGTTTTAAGATGCATTGTTATCTTTAACCAGTCTTTTACTATTAACTTAAATGGCCAACTGAAACTAACAGTCCTGAGACCATTCTTCCACCACTGATTAAGACTAGAGTGGCAGGTATTAGGGATAATATTCATTTAGCCTTCTGAGATTTCTGGGCAAACCTGGTGACCTTGCCAGCTCCAGCAGCCTTCTTGTCCACTGCTTTGATGACACCCACAGCAACTGTCTGTCTCACATCACCAACAGCAAAACAACTCAGAAGAGGATGGTCTGAGAAGCTCTCAGCACACATGGGCTTGCCAGGAACTATATCAACAATGGCGGCATCACCAGACTTCAAGAATTTAGGGCCATCTTCCAGCTTATTACCAAAATGGCAATAAATCTTTACCTTCAGCTCAGCAAACCTGGATGCAACATGGGCTGTGTGGCAATTCAGTACAAGGGCATAGACAGCACTGATTTAGCCTGAATGGTTCAGAATAATCACTGAGCAGTGAGGCCAACTGCCTTCATTCGTGGGTCATTTTTGCTGTCAACAGCAACACTCCCCCAACGAACATCTTTGACAGACACATTCATAACATTGAAGCCCATAATGTCTCCAAGAAGAGCTTCACTCAAAGCTCCATGGTGCATTTCAATAGACTTCAGTTGTAACGTTGACTGGAGCAAAGGTGACCACCATAACGGGTTTGAGAACACCAGTCTCCACTCGGTCCACAGACACAGTACCAATACCACCAATTTTGTAGACACCCTGGAGAGGCTGGTGCAAGGACTTGTCAGTTGGACAAGCTAGTGGGAGGATGCAGTCCAGAGCCTCAAGCAGTGTGGTTCCACTGGTGCTGCCATCTTTATGGGTGACTTTCCATCCCTTGAACCAAGGCATGTTAGCACTTGGCTCCAGCATGTTGTCACAATTCCAACCAGCAAATGGCACAAATGCTACTGTGTCAGGATTGTAGCCAATTTTATTAATATAAGTGCTGACTTCCTTAATGATTTCCTCATATCTCTTCTGGCTGTAAGTTGGCTCAGTGGAATCCATTTTGTTAACACCAACAATTAGTTGTTTCACACCCAGTGTGTAAGCCAGAAGGGCATGGTCGCCAGCCTGCCCATTCTTGGAGCTACTAGCTTCAATTTCACCAACACCAGCAGCAATAATCAGTACAGCACAGTCAGCCTGAGATGTCCCAGTAATCATGTTTTTGATGAAGTCTCTGTGTCCTGGGGCATCAATGCTAAGTCATGTAGTACTTGTTGGTCTCAAGTTTCTACAGGGAGATATCAATAGTGAGACCACATTCATGCTCAGCTTTCAGTTTATCCAAGACCCAGGAATACTTGAAGGAGCCCTTTCCCATCTCAGCAGCCTCCTTTTCCAATTTTTCAATGATTCTTTTGTTGATTCCACCACATTTGTAGATCAGATGGCCAGTAGTGGTGGACTTGCCTTGAATCTATGTGTCCAATGAAGACAATGTTGATAAAAGTCTCTTCCCATTTTGGCTGTTAGGGGTAGTTTTCATGACACCTGTGTTCTGGTGGCAAACTCGTTGCAAAAAAGTTGATTGGGTTCTTTCACTCAGCATGAAGATTGATCCACTTCACTGCACCTATCAATACTTCATTTGTATTGCTTATTAGTATTCGACATTATCAATATACTATAATTTGTTTATCCTTTCATCCATTAGATATTTAGATTGTTTCCAAGTTTTGGCTATTACAAATAAAGCTGCTGTGAAGATTTGTACACAAGTCTTTGTACACAAATACACGTTTCATTTGTAAACAAATACACATTTCATTATTCTTGGTTAAAAACGTAGCAGTGAATGATTTGGGCATATAATACGTACGTATATATAACCTTTTTAAGTTAGTAAACTGTTTTCCAAAGTAGTTGTGATTTTTTATTTTTTTTTCTTTTGGAGACAGGGTATTGCTTTGTCACCCAGGCTGGAGTGCACTGGAGAGATCATTGCTCACTACAGCCACTCAAGCGATACTCCAGCCTAGCTGTACTATTTTACTACATCCACCAGCACTGTATAAGAGATCAAGTTGCTCTATGTACTCAGGAATACATACTTTGGTTGGTCTTTTTCATTTTAGACATTCTAATAGGTGTGTAGTGGTATCTCATTGTGGTTTTAATTAGCATTTCCCAAATAACTTATTTGCCATTTTATATCTTCTTTGAAGTGTCCACATTTTTTGACTACTTTTAATGCATTTTTAAATTTTCTATTACGAAGTTGTGAGAGTTCACCAAATAGTCTGAAGTATCCCCCAACCTTTTTTTTTTTTTTTTTTGCTGTTTTTTCAAAAACATTTCTTTTGACATAATGTGAGACTCACAAGAAATGGTACCTTTTACCTTCTTTGATGGCAGGTAACATCTTACATAACCATAGTACGTTTCAAAACAGTAAACACTGGTGCAATAATTTTAGCTAAACTGCCCACCTCGTTTGAATTTTACCAGTTTCTGAGTGCATAAATGCACTCAATTTGACTGCATTTTTGCAGGATATTTTTTCCAAGTATGGAATTCTAGGGTGACACTTTTTTTTCCTTCCTGTATTTTAAAGATACTGTTATACTGTCTACAATTTGTATTATTTCCAGTGAGAAATCAGCTATCACTACGGTGGTTTTTCAGTATCCTCCAGCTCCTCTGCAGATACCAAAATCCACAGGTAATTAAGTCCCTCATATTAAATGCCTAGTAGTTGTATGTAGTCTATGCATATAGGTGCATACTCCTGTATACCTTAAATCATCTCTAGATTACTTATACCTAATGAAATATAAATGTTATATGGCATTCTTTATTTGTATTATTTTTATTGTAGTATGATTTTTTTGGTGTTTGGGTTTTTTTTCTTCCCCCGGTCCATGATTGGTTGAATCCAAGAATGCAGAACCCATGGATACGGAAAGCCAATGGTATTGTTATTCCTCAAAAATGGTTTTGTTTTGTTTTTTGGTATGGCTGCTTCTTTGATGTGCCTTGATGTAATTTTCTTCATGTTTATTTTGCCTGTGGTTCACTGGACACCTTGAGTCTGTGGGTTTACAGCTTCATCAAGTTTGGAAAATGTTGCCCATTATTTCTTAAAATACTTTTTCTGCACATCCCATCAGCCCCATCAGGAACTCCAATTATAAGGATATTAGGTCACCTGATGTTATCCCATGGCTCACATTTTCTCTGCGTGTGGTTTTCTGGGGCAGTTTCTATTGCTATGCCTTCAAGTTCACTAAACTGTTCTTCAATGTCTATTGCCATTAATCCCATCAAACATATTATTCATTTCAGACACTATAGCTTTCAACTTTCAAAGTCTGATTTGGATTTCTTATCTATGTATATATGTTTCACTCCTGTACTAACATGTTTAATCTTTCCTCTAAGCTTCCTCAACATATGAAATACAGTTATAATAATTATTGTTGATGTTTTCACGTAACTATTTCTGGATCAGTTTTGAATGATTACATTTTCTTTTCTTTATGGGTCTTACTTTCCTCCTCCTTTGCCTGTCTGGTACTTTTAATTACATGGTAAATAATGTGACTTTTATCTGCTGGGTGCTGGATATTTTCATATTCCTATAAATCTTCTTGACCTTTGCTCTCTGTTGTAGCTAAACTGCTTACAAATTAGTTTCATTCTACCAGGTCTTGCTTTTAAGTTTTGTCAGGAGGAACCAGGGAAGAATTTATTCTAAGGCTAATTTGGCCCCACTACTGAGGGAAATGGCTTCCAATTAGCCTTACTTGGTGCTTCACGAGTTACGAAGTTTTCCACGTTGGCCAGTGAGAACAGGAACTACTCCTGGCCATGTATAGATCTGAGAATTGTTGACTGTGATCTTCTTGGCAACTGCTTTTTCCAGCTCTGGTAGCCTCTTCATTCACATCCTGAATTCACATCAGCTAAAGATTCAAGAGGGATCCCTTGGTAAATTGCCAGAGTTCTCTCTGTATGTGAGCTCTCTCTTCTTCAGTATGTTTTCTTGTATAGTATTGCCACCTTAGCCACTGTGGACTTCCAGTTTGGTCTCCTCAATTCAGACAGATCAGCAGGCTCCACCTGATGTCCCCCTTTCTATACAAGGTTGGGAAACTCTCCCAAGGTAGTAAGCTGGGTTAATCACAAGGTTCACCTCATTTGTTTTCCATCTCTCAGGGATCACTGTCCTTCACTGTCTGATATCTCATGTCTTGAAAACTGCTGTTACATATGTTTTTGTTCAGTTTTTTAGCTGTTTCTGAAGAGAGGTAAGTCTAATCTCTGTTCTTTCACCTTGGCCAGAAGACAAATTTAGTGGTAATGTTTTGAAAATATTAAGGAATTTTTTGACTTTATCAATATATAAAGTTTAGCCAACTCTTTTTGGTTAGATTAAACACCCACTAGGAGAGAGGCGATCTACAAATACCATTTCAAATAACTTGTGAGCAATTCAATCTACTTTCTTATAAAGTCGGTTTTTCAAGTTTTGTTGTGCTTTCCTTACAATCTCTTTCCTAAAAAGATAAATCATGTCACACGCACAGTTCAACTAACTGTCCTTTTGATAATGCCCACATCTTTGAAGCACCAAGTCACAGTCTATTTTACATAAATATTTCTCCAATACAATTATTTCTATCCATGCCACTGGGAGTGACTAGGCAACAGCAATGAGCAGTGAATTATCTGGAAAAGCAGAAGAGAGGGTACTAATAATGAGAAAGAAAGACAGGGTGGAGGAATTTTTTTTGCCTTGTTAAAGTGATCTAAAAAGACATAAAAAGATGAGACCCAGCCAGGCATGGCCGCTCACACCTGTAATCCTACAACTTTGGTAGGCCAAGGTGGGAGGACTGCTCAAGGCCAAGAGTCTGAGATCAGCCTGGGCAACAAGAAGAGACACTCTCTCTACAAAAAAAAAAAAATTTTTTTAAATTAGCCAGGTGTGGTGGTACGCACCTGTGGTCCCAGCTATTCAGGAGAACTGCTTGAGCCCAGGAGGTGAAGGCTGCAGTGAGCCATCTCTACACCAGTACCCTCCAGCCTGGATGACAGAGCAAGACCCTGTCTCAAAAAAAATAAAGATGAGATCCATGGACCTAAAGAGCAGCCCAATTCAGACCTAATTTTACTAGTCTCCAGTGTTAACAAGCAACACAGGATAAAGAGGAACAGAGGGAGATGGAAAGGAGTAGTCAGATGGTAACAAGAATCCCCAGGTTCACATAAGGTTTTTTTTGTTGTTGTTATTTAATGAATTGTTATTTCCACTTATTTCAAGCACATACAAATATGGCCAATTTAAAATGTATTATCAAAATATACTCAACTTCTGGGTTAGTCAGAAACTGACCTATTTAAAACCTGCAAAGTTTAATTAAAAAAAAAAGTTAAAAGTGACACCTAAATACAATGACTATTGTAAAATTAGTCTAATAATATAGTTTATAAACTTTCTGAAGCAAACTAAGCCCTCCGATTTAAGCATCTCAATAAAGGAAATATAATTTTCTAAATCAGATAAAATTGGTGGAGACAGCAGAAGAAAGCTAATTACTAGTATTTCCAAAAGATTCATATTAGCATTCTTCTAAATAAAAGTTCTCCTATTTATAACTTGACAATCTTAAGAGGAAAGTAGCATGTGTATGTTGGAACCCGGCAAATGAAGATCAATTAGTAACAAGCTTTACATTAGAATGGAGGAAAACAAAAATTTTTATGATCTCAGCATAAAGCAATTCTCTGTACATAACAGCTTGACATTATAGACATGTAAATTTCCAAAGACAGTTGTTAGCTCATCCTTTACAAAGTTTGCCAGAAATGGATAATACTATAAACATCTCTAACAATCTCCTGGTGTACCTTTTATGAGAACAGTTTGATAATATTATCAAAACGAAAAATAAGGCCGTGCAGTGGCTCACACTTGTCATTCTACTACTTTAGGAGGCCAAGGGTGGAGGATCACTTGAGCTCAGGAGTTCAAGACCAGCCTGGGCAACAAAGCAAGACCCCCATCTCTACTAAAAATTAAAAACAATTAGCCATGCATGATAGCACACACCTGTAGTCCCAGCTACTCTGGAGGCTGAAATAGGAGGATGACTTGAGCCCAGAAGATCAAGGCTACAGTGAGCTGTGATCATGCCACCGCACTCCAGAGTGGTAAAAGGAGAAAGGAAAAAGGGAAGGAGAAGGGGAAAAGAAAAAGAAAGGCAGGCAGGCAGGCAGGCAGGAAGGAGAAAAACGGGAGGAGACGGGAGAAGAATAAGCAAAGAATAAGCATGCCCTTGATCTAGCAAACTCACATCTAGGAATTAAAGCTAAGAAGAAAAATGACACAAGTAGATAAGGTTAGCACAGCACTTTTTTATTATAGTATTTTAAAAAAAGAAATAAGTAAAATATCTACCAGTAGGGATTTGGTCATGTGGACTGTGGAACATATCATAATGTATAACTATTAAAAATTATGAGTTGATATATTTTTATTAAACATGAAAAGAGACACCTATACTACTGATTCAGTAAAAATAAAAGATAAGCTAGAGAACAGCAATGAAACTAAATTGCTATTTATGTAAAATAGTTTCCTTATGCCTGAGAGGGAATGGGGGAATGCGTATGCACGCAGGTGTGTAAAAACATGCTAAAGATGGTCACTAAAATATATCAGACAAGTTATCTGTGGGTGGTAACCTGGCTAGGGACATTTTTGCCTTCTTCTTCGTACTCTTCTATAGTATCTGATTTTTTTCAATAGTATATACAGTCAGCACTCCGTATTCATGGGTTCTGAATCTGCAGATTCCACCAACCACAGATAAAAAATATTTGGGGTAAAAAAAACCAACAACAATTTTAAAAATACAAACAAAAACAATACAGTATAGCAACTATTTACAAAACATTTACATTGTAATAGCTATTCTGGAGGATGCACATAGGTTATATGCAAATATTATGCCTTAAGCACCCCAGTATTTTGGTATCTGCGGGTGGTGAGGAGGTTGTTGCTAGAACCAATCCCACAGAATACAGAAGGACCACTGTATAATTTTTACAAAAAACTTCTAAGAAAGTTCAAGATTTCTAAATCATAAAACCACTTACACCATTCCCTTTTTCATTTGCATATCATCGCTGAATGGAATTATCGTAAGAATTCACATGGATTGTACATTTAAATTCAGACCAAAAAAATCAATGCATATAAAAAGATAATCTGTATCCAAAGAATAGAAGACACTTAAAAATAAAACCGGATGTGTGCATCTGCTACAAACTAGGTATCCCTAATCAGAAAATCTGAAATCTGAAATGCTCCAAAATCTGAAACTTTTTGAGCTCAAACATGATGCTCAAAGTCAATGTTCAATGCAGTATTTCGGGCCAGGTCTTCTCAGGTTTAAGATGCTCAACCACTAAATGGATTCAAACATACCCCCCAAAAAAAAAATCTGAAACACTTATAGTCTCAAGTATCTTGGATAAGGTATACTGAACCTGTACTTAAAAGAATCTGAAGTTATTTACATGTAAAAGTGCTCCAATAACAGTAATAATTCATAATCACAGGGCATACCACCTAGTTTATTCTATCACTGTCCCTAAAAGGAGGAAAAATGTTTACTTAGGTCAGTGAATAAGTAGTACAGGAAAGTGAGACTATCACAACATTCCAAAGAGGCAAGAACTACTTTACACAGCTACGATTATTGCTACTTATGCATATCTTCTATCCATAGCCATATAACAGTAAAACCTATTTGTCATATTCCACAGTAATTTATAATACTTAGATGTATTCTTTCTAACAAAGAATCCTACCATATTAATCATAAATTTTAACATATATTAAGATTTTCAAATATTTTCCACGTTGATATTTTATTTAATGAAACTGTACCAAGGGAAAATTTACAAAAATATGTAAAGCATTAAATTTCAGGAACACATTAGGTCAAATATTCATCCAGCTAATCAATAATCCAGGTCCATCCATTTAATTATTTGAATACCTAATATATAAAAGACACTGTGCAAGGCAGTGTACTAGGCGCTGTGAGGAAGAAAGACATAAAACATAGACACTGTGTTCTACAAGTTCACAGGCTGACATTTCACAGGTATACAATGTATCCTGAACCCAATTCCACACTCTCAAGAACTCAGAACATCCATGTATCAAAAGACATATATTATCTACAATGTGCCATGATCAGTATATTGATATTAGTTTATGTGATAAGTTCTATAAATGAATAATTAGAATCTGGTAAGTGCTAGGACAATGTGAGCAAACATCTAATGCTGTTTAATTAGGCCATAAGACCGTATGTATGAATTCAATCTTAAAAGACAAGTTTGCTAAATCAAGACAGAAGGAAGGGTACATCAACCAAGGTGAATGTTCAAAAAGAATAGCCAAAGGAGAAGCAAGAACATGGAACTCTTCATGGTAGCTACATGGTACCACAAATAGTTCAATAGGAACAAGAGCAAGGAGCAGCTTGGATGCCTTCATAAGGGATTTTGACCTTTTTTCCCCCAATGACAAAGATGAGAGGCAAGATCAGACAATCAGGTAGTTGTTTGAAAAAGAAGACTAGAAGCAGGAAACCAGCTAAGACACCACAATATAATAATCCAAGCAAGAATTAAAGGTGGATCTACATTATAACTAACAGAGTAAAAATAATTTCAAACCAGCAACAGATCTTAGTTGCTGAAGGATATGGCAGGTAAGGAAGTGAGGGGTCAAAAAGAGCTCACAAGTTAGACACCAAATGATATCAATAACCAAGATATATGGTGGCATATAGTTGTGAATAAGTGTCTACAGATGTGTGTAAATGAAAAACAGGTTTGAAGAAAAATATACAGCGTTCATTTTATTTTTTATTCATTTATTTTTATTTTTTACAGGAACCCGCCCTGCCTCTGTGAGAGGGGGAGGATCCCTAACTTGGTGTTCATTTTAGACAGGTTGAGTTTTAAGTCCTATGTCATGGAGATGAAGATGTTCAGAAGAAACCAGAAATATAATAGAATGAGTGCAGAGGACTAGGAGGGGAAAAAAGTATCCAGGAGTCAAATGTGACTAGGAAGGAGCTGAAGTATTGAAGACATGTGAGATTACAGAAGAGCACTATGAAGAAAGAGTGAAAGAAAAAACAGTCAATGACAGAGCTTGGCAGAGTTCTTGAGGGCAGTACAAAGGCCAAGAAGTCTTACAAAAAAAAAAAACCCACTAATAACAATCTAAGAGCTAAGAAAATAAAAGTTTCAAAAAAAGAAGAATGGTCAACTGTCAATTGTAGCAGAGGGCAAGTAAGAGGAATGCCGTTGATTTTGTCAGTTAGGGGCCGCGTGTGGTGGCTCACGCCTGTAATCCCAGTACTTTGGGTGGCTGAGGCAGCTGGATCACCTGAGGTCAGGAGTTCGAGACCAGCCTGGACAACATGGCAAAACCCTATATCTACTAAATATACAAAATTAGCCGGGTGTGGTGGTGCAGCCTGTAGTCCCAGCTACTTGGGAGGCTGAGATAGGAGAATTGCTTGAACCTGGGAGGCAGACACTATAGTAAGCCGAGATCGCACCACTGCACTCCAGCCTGGGTGAATCAGTGCGAAACTCTGTCTCAAAAAAAAAAAAAAAAAAAAAAAAGTCAGTTAGACGATCTTATCAAAAACAGTTTCAATAGAATGGTGAAAAGGAAAGGGAAAATATTGGGAATTAAGGGATGAACAAAAGGTGAAAAAGTAGTCACCATAATAAGTAGGAACCATTTCCCAAATTGTATCGCAGAGTTTTCCAAATGTACTGACCAAAGAACCTTTTCCTCATGTAGCATGCTTTGTTGTGGGGTTCATAAAGTATCAGAAAAGATTTAAACATGGAATGCTTATAAGTTAAGAGGATGTAACCAACATAGAGAAATAAGAGTAATATTGAAGAGACACATGAAGGAATAAGTTGCTGGAAAAAAATCAAGATGGCCTTCAGTATATAACAAACACCTATTTGTCTGAGACAGGAGGAAAAATAAGAATATTAATGAAAATATAGATAGGTAGAAAGCTGATACATGAGGCATTTCTTTTCTTTTTTTTTTTTTTTTAAGAAACAGTTTTTTTGTTTTCGTTTTTTAAGAGGGTCTTGCTCTGTCACGCAGACTGGAGTGCAACAGTGCAATCACAGCTCACTGCAGCCTCGAACTCATGGGATTCTCTTGCCTCTGCCTCCTGAATAGCTGAGACTACAAGCACATGTCACCACACCCAGCTAATTATTATTTTTTCTTTTGTAGAGACAGGGGTCTCACTATGTTGCCCAGGCTGGTCTCGAACTCCTGGGCTCAAGTGAATCCTCCCGCCTCAGCCTCCCAAAGTGCTGGGATTACAAGAATGAGTTATCACACCCAGCCCACACTTTATTCTTTCTAAAATTTTTAAACTTTGTCACAGTAGACAGAACCACAATGAATTCTTAATGACCTTTTTTCTCCCTTCCATGAAGAACACAAGGTCATTACTCTAAAGTGATAGAGTAAGGGTTGAGTAGGTCTGAGAACATTAAAGATTTCGAGTATCAGCTAGAGAGAAGAGGAGGTCCAGGGTGAGATGTGTGAACAGAAAGTAGTACATTTACAGAAAGGCCACTGCAGCTGCATCATAGTTCTATAACTCTTCAAAGTCCCCAGGCACCCTAAGTAGATAGCTTGAAGCTTCACCTTTACAAAGTCCAATCCATTGCATCAAAAGCCTACATTATCCCATTTCCTGTGGCCTAGAGATTACAAATCACCTGAAGTAATACCAAAACCCAGTGAGTAAAGACGGAAGTAAATCTAGTGAGTTTCCAACCACCCACCGCCCCCGAGATCTTAAAGGAAGCAGTAACAAGCAACTAGAACTCACATGAGAATTTATAGGCCAAGAGATTTTAATGTAAGCATTCTTATAATTAAATACCTCTTACAAAAAATGCCATTTAATCAGACAAGGGGAAAAAAGTAGCATCAAAAGAGATGCTGACAAGGAGACAATGAAATCAAATGGATCCCCTAACACATGCACAGTCCAACAGTTCTTATTTAATTGTATCACTTCACTAAAACAATAGTAATATTATAACTTATGATTCACAACCACACAATTTTCAAAAGTCTGAGACAAAATTAGCGTGATTTTATTTAATGTATCACTACTTTTAGGTAAATCTTAACCTGCAATATTATGAGAAATTTACAAAATCATACATTTCCCAGAACCTTTCATTCAAAATGAAATGTAAAATCACAGGAAAAAACACATTAAGTTGTCCTTTCAAAAAAAGCATTTATTTTTCAAAATATTCAAGTGAGTTAGCATTTAAATGTGAGCCCTTAAAAGAGACCAAGTGTCACTGCCCCATTATACACATATCATGATTTAAGCACATATGAATATAACTGCAGGCTGTACTCTAAATAAATATAAACAAACATCAACTTTAGGAGATAAGGTGATAAGGTAAAACTGGACAATGGACATTTATTTAATATCTATTATGTGCTTGGAAATTTGAATCCTCACAACAACTCTGTAGGACAGGTGATAAAATATTTCAAGCCCAAGCAATGGCAATTTGAACTATGTAGTCATAGAACAAATAGAAAATGTTGAATTCACATACAGATTGGTCAGGCAAAGTGACAGGTAACCATCCAGTGATAGGTAAACATCCTGGGCAAAGACTAAAGGAAAGATCAAAGTGAATTTGCACTTAGGTGAAATGAAGTGTTTTTGATGTGGTGTCTCAGGTGATCTTCCATTCACCACCTGCTTGGTGTCTGGGCTGAGATGATGAAAAAAATATAAAACAGAGAAGCTGGTCGGGCGTGGTCGCTCACGCCTGTAATCCCAGCACTTTGGGAGGCCAAGGTGGGCAGATCACGAGGTCAAGAGATAGAGAGATCAAGACCATCCTGGCCAACACGGTGAAACCCCATTTCTATTAAAAATACAAAAATTAGCTGGGCGTGGTGGAGTGTGCCTGTATCCCAGCTACTCGGGAGGCTGAAACAGGAGAATCGCTTGAAGCTGGAAGGTGGAGGATGCAGTGAGCCGAGATCACACCACTGCACTACAGCCTGGCAACAGAGCAAGACTCCGTCTCAAAAAAAAAAAAAAAGAAAAGAAAAAAGAAAAGCAGAGACGCTTTCTCACTAAACAACACTGTCAAGAGGTAATTAAGTCTATTACAAGGCTTAAAAGATTAAAAAATAGCAAGAATACTTGGATAATGTTAAACTTTAAGATGGAAGATCTCTAACATTTCAAAATAAGCCCCAAAAAGTCTATGATTAATTTTTTTAAATACAGAAAAGCCAGACCCAGTGTGGTGGCTCACACCTGTAATCCCAGCACTTTGGGAGGCTGAGGCAAGTGGGTCACTTGAGTCCAGTAGTTCAAGACCGGCCTGAGCAATATGGAGAAACCCTGTCTCTACAAAAAAATACAAAGAAAACCTAGCTGGGCACAGTTGCACATACCTGTAGTCCCAGCTACTTGGGAGGCTAAAGTGGGAGAACTGCTTAAGCCCAGGAGGTAGACGCTGCAGTGGGCCATGACGATACCACTGCATGCCTGCCTGGGCAACAGAGTGAGGCCCTGTCTCAATAAGTAAATAAATAAATAATATAGAAAAGTCTTAAAATAAATTACCACAAAATTACATATATTACCCAATAAAAGAAAATTAAGGTCAGGCATGGCAGCTCACACCTGTAATCCCAGCACTTTGGGAGGCCAGGAGTTCAAGAACAGCCTGGGCAACACGGTGAAACCCTGTTTCTACCAAAAAAAAAAATTAGCCAGGCATGGTGGCACACACCTGTGGTCCCAGCTACTTGGGAGGCTGAAGAGGGAGCATCGCTTGAGCCTGGGAGGCAGAGGTTGCAGTGAGCCAAGACTGCACCACTGCACTCCAGCCTGGGCAACAGAGTGAGACCCTGTCTGGGGGGAAAAAAAATTAAGAAAGAAAGAAAGAAAAAAATTAAACAGTAGCATTTAAAAACAAGTAAAATACTGGGTTGGTGCAAAAGTAATTGCAGTTTTTGCATTAAAAGTAATGGCAAAACCGCAATTACTTTTTCACCAACCTAATACCTTCAGGATACAGAAATAAACACATGCTTAACCTCAAGTATTTACAATCCAGTAGAAAAAGACAAACAGGCAAACAAATTTAATACAAAACAGAATGAAGTAACTGTAAAACACCAAATACACTAGGAATAGTAAAGTAAGTTAAACAAATTGTGTGTGTGTGTGTGTGTGTATACATATATATATTCTATCCTGCCTGCTGTGTATACAAGTAATCCCAGAGAAAGTAGTATTTGAGCCATCTCTTAAAGGAAAAAGAAGGAAGATTTTTCAGGCTCAGTTAACAATGGTTCAGAGAACTGACAATGTATTTTATATTTTATGTAACATAAAAGACCTCATATGGTTAGGATGTAGTATATATGGATGGATATGAAGAGATAAACTCAGATAGGTAGAATAAATCCTAAAAAAAATTGACAAAAATTATTCAGAAGCTGTATATGCGTAAGGAATAAACAATCTCACTATTTATAAAAAAGGGAAGAGGGGTAAGATACTGTAGACTTTAAAAAAGTAAGAATTAGAGACAGATAATATAGCAGGAAAATCTCAAGATTTAGAACAGATCTTGGCTAGAATTGCAGCTCTACCACTAACCAGCATTAAGCTTTCCTAAGGCCCAATTCTGTTGTCAAATGGGGATAATATGTGATTATTGTTATAATGTACACTGTCCAATATATTCTATTTTAATTAATGATCTGTCAAAGCACAGTAGTTTCCTTCTTATAATAAGTGTTAGATTAAAAAAGTAATCCAGGGGGGAAAAAAAAAATAAGAGGTAGAATGAAAGAGAAGGCAAGGAAGGAATATTTAGTCTCAGAGATAGGGAAGATAATGCCATAAACTGAAGAAGGAGTATAGGAGAATATATGCGAAGCAGTAAATCTGGAAAACCAAAAATTAAACCGTATTTCTAGACTTTCCAGATTTGTAGGGAGAGTGGCATATTTACCCACATGCAAAGGTATCAGAGGCACAGAAAATCTGAGCCTTGAACTCAGAAGACAATTCTAAAAGTAACATTTCAGAATCAATGACATACAAGAAAAAGCAAAGAACAAGTGAACCAAGAACAGGAGCTCACATGGAGCCAGGGACGAAACAAAGAGTTAAAAGTACAAAGACAGGCAGTTGTGGTCGTTTATGCCTATAATCCCAGTATTTTGGGAGGCTAAGGTGGAAGGATCACTTGAGGCCAGGAGTTCAAAATCAGCCTAGGCAACAGAGTGAGACCCCCACTCCCCCGTCTCTTAAAAAAAAAAATTATTATTACTATTTTGAGATGGAGTCTTGCTCTGTTGCCCAGGCTGGAGTGCAGCGACACAATCTCTGCTCACTGCAAGCTCCACCTCCCAGGTTCACACCATTCTCCTGCCTCAGCCTCCCAAGTAGCTGGGACTACAGGCACCCGCCACCATGCCCGGCTAATTTTTTGTATTATAAAAATTTTTTTATTAAAAAATGCAAAGAAAGAAATTTCATGGCCAGTACAGTGGCTCACACCTGTAATCCCAACACTTTGGCGTGCCAAGGCAGGAGGATAGCTTGAGCCCAGGAGTTCAAGATCAGCCTGAGCAACACGGCAAGACCCCATCTTTACAAAAAGTGAAAAAAAAAAAAAAATTAGGTGGGTGCAGTGATATGTGCCTGCAGTCCCAGCTACTCGGGAGACTGAGACAGGAGGATCGCTTGAGCACAGGAGGTCGAGACTATGAGGTGAGCCATGATTGCATTACTGCATTCCAGCCTGGGTAACAGAGACCCTGTCTCGAAAAAAAAAAAAGAGAGAGAGAGACAGAGAGAGTTTCACAATAAAAAAGTAGCCAGCAATATTAAGTGCTCAATAAAACTGCTGGATTTGGCAATTATGGAGATCCCTGGAAAACTCTGAGAGCAATTTCAATAAAATTTTGGTAACACCAGTTTGCAGACATTTAAGGAGTAAATGGATGGTAAGGAAATTTAGAGAAAAGAGTGGAAACCATTCCAAAGGTTCCCGACTGCGGACTTTACAAACATATTAATGGAGATCAGATGGGTCTTATCAATATCTCAAACAGCCATATGAAGAATAAATTTACCCTCTACAAACGTACAAAAGATTAAGAAAAATTTTAAGCTTCTCTGTTTCTCTAATTAGCAGCTCCACATATGTATTTTTCAAATGTATCACTGTTTAATAAATGCCATGTTTGGCAGACAGGCTCCTTCGTATCATAAAGTATTTGGTTAAAAAATCAGTTAAAAGATTACTAAGTAATAAAGGGTAGGGAATCATAAGCCTCTTGAAAGAAATCCAGCACTGAAGAGAATAAATGCAGTATGAATGACTGCATTCCATCAGAGCTCGGAAACTTGGACCAAGGTTTTGTTAAGTTTCTTGTTAGTTGGTTTGTTGGTTTTCCTTTGTTTTCAGAAGTAGAAAAAGACCAAGATGTTAGGTCAAGATTAAGAAATGAACGTAAAGGAATGTTTAAAGTTCCAGAAAGAAAAGTAGTTAAATGGCACAGAGGAAAAAGATGAAGCACAAGGAAAAATGACAGAGCTTACATGCTGCAGAGTCATACGTAAGTTACAGCCCGTGTCTATACAACTATGGATGCATCCTCATCCTCAAAAGCTGTCCTGCAGAAATTCAGTTAACCAGTTAGATAATTAAACCAACTGTAGTTACTAGAGCTACAGCACATAGAAGTAAAGAGATTTTGAGTCTGACAAAAGTGGACTCAAATATCTGTTCCTCTACTAACTGTTTAACCTTAGAGCTACTTAGCTTCTCTGAAGATGTTTCTTCATCTAGCAGTAACATCTATCCCATAAGCTATTAGCAATACCAAAAGACAATACGCGTAAAGAGCTTAGCACAGTGCCTGGCACAAGACAACCATTAAAGAAACATAGCCATAATTATTAACATAAAATATTTTAAAACATTTTTCTGACCCTAGGATTGAGAGGACCTAAGATTTAAGGAAACAAATGGAACAGGAAAGATGAATATGCTCCTGACACAATTCTTTTAACTAGTATATGTCGAAAACACAAAACGATATTAAAAATACTTTCTAATCACACAAAAGGAAAAAAAAATGGTATGGAATTGGTAAGTTACTTTTCTCTCACAAGAAAAAGATAAAAACTCCAATACAAAAATATATATTGACATACTATTTGCTTTGTATAAACTATTCCAGACCCCCAGTTTGGAATCTACACAGACAGTAATAGAGACGAGATGAGTATTTTTCAGTACTTCAACATGTGCCTGGTAAAGTGAAACATTTTAGAGATTATAAAGCTCTAAATTTGGGTACAGCATTCCTTATGTCCTTAAAGGAAAAGAACTACCTGAAGTATAAAATAACAGTATTGGAAACATTAGATTCAGATAACACCAATTCAATATTTCACACATTAATGCAAATCTATTACTATTTTAATTATAAATAAAACATAACTATAATCAACCTAAAGATTTTTCAAGCTATTCTAAAAAAAAAAGTACCTCAGAACTGCCACCAGGATAATGGGGGCAGTCGTGGAGAGGTCGAGTGGCTACACCTCTGCATTGGTAAGTGTTTCACCCCCACAACCTACAAGTAATTCCAATTTCACTTGTATCTGCTCTTAAATAGCTGTGGTCCAATTTTTTTCTTCAGACCTTCTTTTTTAAACTAAAAACTAATTGTAACAACCCGTATCAAAAACCTCTCCACTACTGATATAAAAGACAAGCAAATTCAGTTAAAAAAACTATACTGTTATTCATAATTGACATAGCCAAAACTTTCCAATGAAATTTGAAGCATATGGTTATATGAAACCCCTGTCTTTTCTTATCTTTAGAAAATATTACCAAAATATCAGCTGGAGCAAATACTACATTTTGCAATATTTACTTTTGGAATAATTTATTTATTCCTATGCCCAAGGCAATACAGATACTACTCATGTATCAGTAATAAACAGAACAAAATACTGTGGAACCTATTTATAACATAAGGTTGGAAACAGAAATAAAACCAATTTGTTACCTTTGTTATATCTTTTCTGTGTGTGGTATGTACATGTGGGATTATAGGCTTTGCCTTGGGATATATTTTAAATGCAAGTTTGGGAGTAAAGACATTCTACCTCTGGCTAAATTGAAATTTGGTTAATAAAACAATATTACAGAATAATTATCAATTTTTTAAAAATGGAAATAAAATTATAATCCAGATTAAAATGGCATATAAATTTTTTTGTTGGTACTTCAAAATATTATATAGAAACTACCTGACATAAATTTTCATTTGCATTATTCAGTATTGACAAAAAAGGTACAGTCAAAGATGGAATGTATTTGTAATGACTCTATGACAACATACTATTGAAGTTAGTTTTAGAGCAACTCTTGACAAGTTTGTTTACATATAATTTTTGTTTCCTAGTAAAAATGTTAAAAAGACAACATATGAAGCATCTTGTTCTTCAGATTTCCAAATAAATGTGACTTTGTGTAATAAATTTTATACGACTCTTTTTTTTTTTTTGAGACAGAATCTCGCTCTGTTGCCCAGGCTGGAGTGGGTGCAGTGGTGCAGTCTCGGCTTGCTGCAACCTCCGCCTCCCAGGTTCAAGCCATTCTTCTGCCTCAGCCTCTCGAGTAGCTGGGATTGCAGGTGCTCCCCACCACACCTGGCTAAAATTTTTCTTTTCTTTTCTGTATATTTGTAGAGACGGGGTTTCACCATGTTGGCCAGGCTGGTCTTAAACTTCTGACCTCAGGTGATACGCCTTCCTCGGCCTCCCAGAGTGCTGGGATTACAGGCGTGCACCACCATGCCCGGCCTTATATGACTCTTCAATGTAGTCCTATCCTGAATAACTCTTGGGTAGTAAAAATAATTGAACTCAAGTATTAACAAAATTGAAAACAGAAAAACTAAATTTAACTAAATATAGTAAAATATTCGGCCAGGAGAGGTGGCTCATGCCTGCAATCCCAGCATTTTGTGAGGCCAAGGCAGAGATCACCTGAGGTAGGAGTTCGAGACCAGCCTGGCCAACATGGCGAGACCCCATCTCTACTAAAAATACAAAAAATTAGCCAGGCATGGTGGTGTGCACCTGCAGTCCCAGCTACTTGAGAGGCTGAGGCATGGTATCTTGAATCTGGGAGGTGGAGGTTACAGTGAGGTAAGATGGTGCCACTGCACTCCAGCCTGGGGGACAGAGTGAGACTCTGTCTGAAAAAACAAAAAACAAACAAACAAAAGTAAAATATTCTACAAAGAGGAAAAGCTCAAAAAGCCACCAAGAAAAAATCATTTAGTTGGTTAAGGGTCACTAACTTTATTCTGATTAAAAATTTTTTTAATTACCTAAGTATACCAGCTAAGTCATCCAATCCTTTCACAACCACCACCCCAAACAGACACAGAAAGCAGCCAAGACATTCACTTTCAAGAAATGTCTAATAAAAATTATTTTTACCTGTAAATTGTTTTCTGTGACTCTGTTCCACCAAACCATATTGATGGGTACTCCTGATTTACACCTGTCAGCAAGGCAGCCAATAGGGTTCTTTGCTTTTCGTGCCTTTGATCCCATCGGAACTAGCCTCTCCTCCAGCATCCCCAGGCGATACTTCCTTGGCTAGGAAAAAGAAGGAAAGAAACCAGGCCACTCCTAACATCCCCCACACTAATCTAAACTAACATAACTAACATATACAGGATACTGGGAACGGTGGGATAGGAAACAAGTTTCTAAAACACTCCTTCTAATATCCTTACCACCACCCACCACCTCCCACCCCTGCACCAAACCCACACCTCCAAAATAACCCACACTCCTAATGGGCTAAAGAATATTATATAAAGCAACAGATGTTTTTAGAAAAATACATTTAATCTGATTTTATACGACTTTACTTAATGAATAGAAATTTAACTTATCAGCAAAGAAAAATGCTTTGCAAAATTTTTTCTACTGTCACTTACCTATTCTCACTGCAATATGAAGAAATGGTTTCAAGGACACAGAATACAGATTTTTCTTTTTTATAAAGTTCGCCAAACTACAACTTTTTCAGCTCACCATCTTGTTACTTTATTTCCTACTGAGAACTAACCCACTTTTAAAAACGCAGTTGTTTCCTAATAAATTGATTTTTAAAAAATTTTAATTCTATGCACGTTAGACTTGAGTACAACTCACTCTATCTTAAATAGGCATTCACCCTAAAGTATTCAATGAAAAAAAAAAACCTCAGACTAAAAAACAACAACAAAACAGTAACACAAATTGGTCTTTTAAATCTCAATAATATGAACAGATTGATAATGAATAAATTATTCAATAAAATCATAAATTATTTGCCTAACATTATAAGAAAATTAATAAGCTATCTTAATAGTGGTTAGCAGGACTTTTATTCATGAAAATTAGTGCTTGTTTCCACTATCTCACTTCTCTTAATTACAGCAAATTTGCACTAGACTGCATCTTAAGGAAAACTTGTATGTATTTTTTCCCTTCAGAAAACACTAATTCATGCTTAGGAAGGTAATTAATTTAAACTCTGAAATAAGAAAATATATGTTTACTCATTGTTCTGTCATGAGGTATAAGACTGCTGAAACAAAGAGTTAAAATTAAGTTTCTTCAAAAAAAGATGCTGGCCAGGCATGGTGGCTCATGCCTGTAATCCCAGCACTTTGGAGGTTGATGCAGGAGGATCACTTGAGCCCAGGAGCTCCAGAACAGCCTGGGCAACATTGCAAGACCCTGTCTCTATTAAAAAAAAAAAAACAAAAAAAAACCTATAGCCAGTCAAATATATTAATAATGTTTTCTAGTATAAAGAGAACCAATTTAAAAAAGACATAATTTCCAAATTTCAAAATCTTGCAAATAATGCCTATGTAAATTATTCCATGCAAATTAGATTCTCCACTCCACAAGTGTGCATCTGCTATACTGTCTTTGATTTAAAGAGGACAAGGCTGGGTGCAGTGGCTCATGCCTTAATCCCAGCACTTTGGGAAGCCGAGGTGGTGGGTCACTTGAGGTCAGGAGTTCGAGACCAGCCCTAGCCAACATGGTGAAAGCCCATCTCTACCAAAAGTACAAAAATTAGCCAAGCATGGTGGCACATGTCTGTAATCCCAGCTACTTGGGAGACTGAGGCAGAAAAATCACTTGAGCCTGGAAGGCAAAGACTGCAGTGAGCCGAGATCATGACACTGCACTCCAGCCTGGGCCACAGAGTGAGACTCCATCCCAAATTTAAAAACAAACAAACAATAAAAAACAACAATAACAAAAAAAAACAAGGACAAAAATAACTAAACTTGCATTGAGAAAGGTAACTAGAATGCCTACTTACTCAATAATTATGGCAGTGGACAGAGTTTTGTTTCTTTTTTCTTTTTGAGACAGTGTCTCATTCTGTCGCCCAGGCTGGAATGCAGTGGTACAATCACAGCTCAGTGGCAACCTCTGCTTCAGGGGCTCAAACGACCCTCCCACCTCAGCCTCCCAAGTAGCTGGGACTACAGGCATGTGCCACCACGCCAGGCTAATTTTTGTATTTTTAGTAGAGATGGGGTTTCATTATGTCACCCAGGCTGGTCTGGAACTCCTGGACTCAAGCCATCCACCACCTCCCAAAGTGCTGGGATTACAGACATGAGCCACCACATCAGCCTAACGAACAGAGTTTTATGAGACTAACATACCTCCACCTTTATGCAATCTTGAACCAATCTAGTTACTCTCTATGTCTATAGCATAGGGAACATTTTTTTTTATTTGCTATCATACTTTAGAAAAGCCATAGAGGGAAATTTTGTGAATAAGAATAAGTATGTACCCTTAGTGATTCATGCCATGGAACCACGTTATAAGTGAAAGAATTTTAAAGCAAGTTATTTCTAGTAACTTAATTCCTTGGAAAGAGTATAAGAATTAAATTGTACATTTTTGTGTTCAAATAGAAAACTACAAGGCTCTGACATACAGTAATATAACCCTAATTAGACACTTACTAATTTAAAATTTATATTTGGCCGGGAACGGTGGCTCATGCCTGTAATCCTAGCACATTGGGAGGCGGAGATGGGCAGATTGCCTGAGCTCAGGAGTTCAAGACCAGACTGAGCAACAAGGTGAAACACCATCTCTACTAAAATACAAAAGAAATTAGCCGTGTGTAGCAGTGTGCATCTGTAGTCCCAGCTACTTGGGAGGCTGAGGCAGAATTGCTTGAACCTGGGAGGCAGAGGTTGCATTGAGCCGAGATCACGCCACTGCACTCCAGCCTGGGTGACAAAGCAAGACTCCGTCTCTACAAAAAAAAAAAAAAAAAAATATATATATATATATACATACATATATATGTATATATACACACACACACGTATATATATACACACACATATATGTAAATTTAAGAAAATTTCTGAGCTAAAATTAACCTTGTTCTATCAGGAAAGTTCAACATATCAAAGAACGTTTACTTAATCAAAATCTCAGGTTGTCAAATGATTTATACATGGACACCTAAATTCCAGGTCATATATCTGAATGCATGAAAATTATTTTAAAAGGTCTTCCGTAATTCAGATCCTTCACAAATTCAGATGTACTTTTTTTTTTTTGAGACAGTGTCTCTTTTTATTTTTTTTTTTGAGACTCCATCGCCCAGGCTGGAGCGCAGTGGTATCATCTCAGCTCACTGCAACCTCCGCCTCCCTAGTTCAGGTGATTCTCCTGCCTCAGTCTCCCAAGTAGCTGGGATTACAGACGCCTGCCACCACACCTGGCTAATTTTTCTATTTTTATTAGAGACGGGGTTTCATCATTTTGGCCAGGCTGGTCTCAAACTCCTGACCTCAGGTGATCCACCTGCCTCGGCCTCCCAAAGTGCTGGGATTACAGGCATGAGCCACCGCACTGGGCCTCAAATGTACTTTTGACACAGTTATTACAGTCAATACAATTCACTTTCTATGTAGTAGTACAGTAAACAACATTGAAAAAAAAGGTTGTTGCTCTTTGGTTAGTTTTTGTTTCTTGGGTTTTTTTTTTTTTTTTTTTTAAGTCAGGGTCTCACTCCCAGGCTGGAGTGCAGTGGTGCAATCTCAGCTCACTGCAATCTCTGCCTCCCAGGCTCAAGAGATCCTCCCACCTCAGCCTCCGTAGGAGCTGGGACTACAGGTGTGTACCACCACGCCCAGCTAATTTCTATACTTTTTGTGGAGATGGGAGTCTCTCCATGTTGCCCAAGCTGGTCTCAAACTCCTGGGCTCCAGTGATCTGCCTGTCTTGGCCTCCCAAAGTGCTGGGATTACAGGCGTGAACCACGTGCCCGTCCCCAAAAATGGTTTTAAATACATCCAACGTATCATCCTCCCTCTTTAACTGCACTCATTAAATTACGTTTCTTCATTTCAAAAAGGGAATTCATCATTCCTCTCCTTCCACTCCATGCCCTAAAACCCTTAACTAGCCTAAAGCCTCTCCTCAATAGGTAGAAGAGATCTCTAAACATGTGCCATTATAAACCCTAAATTTTTTCAATAAATAGCCAGAGATTAAACTCTAATCCAAAAGTAAAATCTTCTCTGTGTAACTAAATGAAAATATCCTAAAGCAAGCTT
This sequence comes from Homo sapiens, assembly GCF_000001405.40. Lineage (NCBI taxonomy): Eukaryota > Metazoa > Chordata > Mammalia > Primates > Hominidae > Homo > Homo sapiens. The sequence continues at coordinate 28,193,174 of NC_000013.11, read as the reverse complement.
CTCCAACCAGAGGCCCAGGATGACTCTGAATGTGGCCCAACAAGAATTCGTAAACTTCTTAAAACATTGAGATTATTTTGCCATTTTTTTAAAGCTCATCAGCTATCATTAGTGTTGGTGTATTTTATGTGTGACCCAAGACAATTCTTCCAATGTGGCCCAAGGAAGCCAAAAAATTGGACACTCCTGCCCTAAGGTATCAATACTATTTAAGGTACCATTATAAGCGACAAAATACAAAATAACATCTGAAAAGAGATGGTAGCAATGTAAAACATGATGGTGAGGCGAAAGATTACATAGAAAAGTTTTATTGCATAGAATGTAAATTATAACAATATCTCATCTATAAGCTAATTTCCAAATTACTAATTAATCCCTGAAGAAAAAAATGTACTTTCAACTAAACATCTGAGAATCTACTTTGTATCAGGAACTGTTCTAAGTATTTGGAACACAACACACACCTTACGCTCGAAGACAGATTAAAGGCTAGGAGGTAACAGAAATGTAAACAAACCACAACCCACTGTGATATAACAATGCATAAGTAATCATGTATGAATAGAGCAGAAACAAAGGTAGCTTCACAGAGAAAAGTGAATGCCTGAGTAAAGTTCTGAAGGAAGAATAAATGTGCCTAGATAGGAAAATATGAGATGGAAGTATGTAGTATAGGTTAGGGGAAAACTATGTATACAGACATGATGGTGTTTAGAGGAAACCACAAGTATGCAGTTCACCATTAGCAGAAGGTGAAGTTTGAGAACAAAAGATGAAGCTTGAATGCAATTTTTAAAAAGTATTGGCCAGGCACGGTGGCTCACGCCTATAATCCCAGCACTTTGGGAGGCTGAGGCGAACGGATCATGAGGTCAGAAATTCGAGACCAGCCTGGCCAACATGGTGAAACCCTGTCTCTACTAAAAATACAAAAATTAGCTGGGTGTGGTGGCAGGCGCCTGTAATCCCAGCGACTCAGGAGGCTGAGGCAGGAGAATCTCTTGAACCCAGGAGGCGGAGGCTGCAGTGAGCTGAGATGGTGCCGCTGCAGTGAGCTGAGATGGTGCCACTGCACTCCAGCCTGGGTGACAGAGACTCAGTCTCAAAAAAAAAAAAAAAAAAAGTATTGTTTTAGTGCCAAGCACAGTGGCTCATGCCTGTAATCCCAGCACTTTGGGAGGCAGAGATGAGAGCACTGTTTGAGCCGACTTCAAGATCAGCCTGGGCAACACAGTGGGACCCCATCTTTACAAAAAATGAAAAAAGGAGCCGGGTATGGTGGCCCATGCCTATAGTCCCACCTACTCTGGAGCCTGAGGTGGGAGCATCGCTTGAGCCCAGGAGGTCAAGGCTGCAGTGACATGTCTCATCTCTCAAAAAAAAATTAAAATAAATAAGTAAATATAAACATATTGTTTCCTAAGCTAAGGAATCTGAGGATCATTCCATGGTAAAGAATAAATGACAAAATCAGATTTGTATTTTAGAAAGGAAGGTCTGTGGCAGTGTGGAGGAAGAATTGGGGAAGAGGGAGTAAAAGTGGAAATAGGTCGACAAATTAGTGGACTCTGGCAGTAGTCTAGGTTAGGGTTTCTCAACTTCAGTACTACTGACTTTGGATAATTCTTTCTTGTGGGGGGCTGTCTTGTGCATTGTAGGATGTTTAGCAGCATCTCTATCCTCCCACTAAATACCACTAAGCACCAAGTACCCAGTTGTAACAACCAAAAATGTCTCCAGATATTACCAAATGTTCTCTGGGGGTAAAAAGACACAACTGCCCTGGCTACGAATCACTAGTCGAGAAAGAAGGATATGAACTTGAGGCAATAATAACAGAAATAGAGAACTAGTGAAAGCTTACTTGTGGCAACATCTGGTAGGTTAAAAACCACTATTGGTGATTAACTGGAAGCAGGTGCTAAGGGAAAGGAAGAGGTTAAAGAGAAGATCAGAAAATAAACAGGGCAAACACAATTTTAAGGGAAATATTTATTTACTAAAGTTTTTTCAGTTCTTTAAGATCCAAGCCCCTCCTTCAGAGCAAACAAAAGCACCAACTCCTCTTCCCTTCCGAGCTTCTAGAAATCCTTACCTAGACCAACCTTATGAACACAGTGGTCCCCCAAAAAAGGTAAATTCCCTTATTGATCCTCTATTCTTGATAGCCTGACCAGTCCCATCTTGCTGGTTATTATGAAATAAAAGCATTTGAAAATGCCACATCCTATTGATAACCAGCTTTTGTGCTCCACACGTGTAAGTTAACATTGTATAACAAAATTCCCAATCCCCTTGATATAGTTTGGCTGTGTGTCCCCACCCAAATCTCATCTCAAATTATATTAATAATGCCCATGTGTTAAGGGAGTGACTGAATCATGGGAGTGGTTTCCCCCGTGCTATTCTCGTGATAGTGAGTGAATTCTCACGAGATCTGATGGTTTTATCACTTACCATGATTCTAAGTTTCCTGAGGCCTCTCAGCCATGTGTAACTGTGAGTCAATTAAACCTCTTACCTTTATAAATTACCCAGTCTCGGGTATTTCTTTATAGCAGTGTCAAAATGGACTAATACACCCCTTTTCCCGTGGTAAAACATCCAGCAGAGGCCAGGCACAGCAGCTCACACCTGTAATCCTAGCACTCTGGAAGGCCAAGGCAGGAGGACTGCTTAAGGCCAGGAGTTCAAGGACCAACCTGGGCAACATAGTGAGAACCCCCCAATCTCTACCCCCACCCCCGCCAAAAAATTTTTTTAATAAGCCAGGTGTGGTGGTGTGCCTATAATTCCAGCTATTCAGGAGGCTGAAGTGAGAGGATCACTTTAACCCAGGAATTCAAAGCTGCAGTGGGCTATGACTGTGCCACTGCACTCTAACCTGGCCAACAGAGTGAGGCTCTATCTCAAAAAACAAACAAATTGGCCAGGTGAGGTGGCTCACGTCTGTAATCCCAGCACTTTGGGAGGCCGACGCGGGCGGATCACCTGAGGTCAGGAGTTCCAGACCAGCCTGGCCAACATGGTGAAACCTCATCTTTACCAAAAAATACAAAAATTAGCCAGGCGTGGTGGTACGCGCCTATAATCCCAGCTACTCTGGAGGCTGAGGCAGGGGAATCACTTGAACCCGGGGGGCAGAGTTTGCAGTGAGTCAAGATTGTGTCATTGGACTCCAGCCTGGGTGATAAGAGCAAGACTCTGTCTCAAAAGTAAAATATCAAAACAAACAAAAAAGCTCAAGGCTTGAATAAAAGTTTTCAAGAAGAAAAGGTTTGAAAATATATTCTAGAGTAGCACTTCTCAAACAATAGTGAACACAGAAATCTTCCAGGGATCTTGCTAAAATAAAAGATTATGATTCGGTAGGCCTTAGAGCGAGGTCTAAGAATCTGTGTTTCTAAAGACGCTCCCAAGACTGCAGATGCTCCTGGTCTGGTGATCGCACTTTGAGTACTAAAGTTCTCAATAACGTCAGAGAGATCTGGAGAAGAAATAACTAGTGATACAAACAGAAATTGGAGTCACTCCTCAAAATGAAAAGGGGTAGGGGTTTAAAAATTCAGCATCGCAAGTCCTTGTAGCTCCTTGCCCCCTTGGAGCTTGATCTTAACACTGAGAGTTTTTTTGTTTTGTTTTGTTTTTTTGTTTTGAGACGGGGTCTCACTCTGTTGCCCCAGGCTGGAGTGCAGTGGCATGATCTCGGCTCACTGCAACCTCTGCTTCCTGGGTTCAAGCCATTCTCCTGGCTCAGCCACCCAAGTAGCTGGGATTACAGGCACCCACCACCACATCTGGCTAATTTTTGTATTTTGAGTAGAGATGAGGTTTCACCATGTTGGCCAGGCTGGTCTTGAACTCCTGACTTCATGATCCACCCGGCGTGGCCTCCCAAAGTGCTGGGATTACAGGCGTGAGCCACCACGCCTGGCTAACACTGAGAGCTTTTAAGATCACTATTTGTAGCCCTCAAAGCCCTAGCTTTTCCAAAAACCTTTGCCCCACTTCATAAAAGCCAGTTCCAGTGGTTTAGGGCTAAGGGAAGTCCACTCTCATTACAAGGGAGGTAAGCCTCTAGACTCACTATGTCAAAGGAAAGAACAGAAGGTAATTTTAGGACACACATGTATATTTTTTCATTCCTTGATTTACTCAACATTTCAGTATAAACTTCTCTATCATTCTTAAAAATAAAATGATCAAGAAGATCTATTCTCTTCTCCCAAAAAGTTCAGAGTGCAGCTAGAAGAACAATCTATAAATACCAGCACTTGTATAAAAAATGTAGTTAAAGCTACTAAGTAACAGACCAATTCTCAGAGCATTTAATTCTTTTGGTAATTGCAAAACAGCACCATCTCCAAAATGCCTCACATTATCAGTCACATGTTATTACATATCATGGTCTACTCATTAATAATAAACTAGAGAAAACTGTTGCTTCAGGACAAAAAGTTTCCAATGCCGTGAATTATAAAAACCTCCTTTGAACATCAAAAACATAATCACTGTGTAATCATTTCACTATTTACACTCTGAAACAATGTAATTTTTTTCTTTTTCTTTTTTTTTCTAGACAGTCTTCTGTTGCCCAGGCTGCAGTGCAGTGGCCCAACTATAGCTAATTGCAGCTTCAAACCCCTGAGCTCAAACGATCCTCCCACCTCAGTCTCCCACATAGCTGGCACTATGCGTGCACACCACCATGCTCCATTAACTGTTTAAAATTTTTTGTGGAGACCAGGTCTTGCTATATTGCCTAGGCTGGTCTCAAACACCTGGCCTCAAGTGATTAACCACTAATCATTAATGGTATAATTTGATATTTAATTCTTATAATTGCAGATATGCTAAAGTATCAGGATATTTAATGAACAGAAAGAAGCTCATTAGGAGTCAGAGGAGGTTGCAAAAAAAATGCAGGCTTATTTTGAAATAAATATATAATAAATCCTAGGCCAGAGATTTCTCAATTGATGTACCTAAGACCCTTAGGAGTGTCAGGAGATAGGCTGCTGAGTTGATGCTGTAAAAGAAAATAAATTCATATACTCGTTTAAGCAGTGTCTGAAAAGAGATATTTCACATTTGTATACTACTATTTTTCAAGTTTGTAAAGATGTTCTGATTAATAAAACATAGATCATTTTAAAGTGTCATTTAAATCATTCATTGGGCCAGGTGAGGTGGCTCATGCCTGTAATCTCAGCACTTTGGGAGGCTGACACAGGAGGATCACTTGAGACCAGGAGTTCAAGACCAGCCTGGGCAACAGAGTGAGACCCAGTCTCCACAAGAATTTAAAAAATTAGCTGGGCATGGTGGCATGTGCCTGTAGTCCCAGCTAAGTTGGGTAGATGAGACAGGAGGATCACTTGAAGTCGGAGTTTGAACCAGCCTGGGAAACAGGGCAAGACACTGCCCCTCAAAAAACAAAAATACGTAAAAAATGAGAAAAATAAATTATATCAAACACAGCAGAACATAATTTACATGTATAAACACATATACACGTATTTGTAGCTTCTGCTATGAGTCAGGTCATTGAGGGGGACAAACATTATCTACATAGTAATTTAAGGAAGTCTACAAAGCAGTCTTTACTTATGTTCTTAAAATCTCAGTGTTACAAAGGGATTTTATGCTACCAAAAATAAAATCAGTTGGAAGACCTTGCTATGCAAGGGCACATTCAATTTCTAAAGAACTGGAACACCAACTGCAACTTCTTATATCCTTGTGCTTTAGACTGGAACCACAATACGTACCAGATATAAAGAAATAAAATAGCATGCCAAAGTTAATAAAATATTTTGAGTGAAAAAAATTGTTGTATTTTTTTGAGACAGGTTCTTGCTCTGTTTCCCAGGCTGGAGTGAAGTGGTGCAAACACGGCTCGCTGCAACCTCAACCTCCTGGGCTTAGGTGATCCTCCCACCTCAGTCTCCCAAGTAGCTGGGACTACAGGCGTGCACCACCAAGTCAAGCTCATTTTTGTATTTTTTGTAGAGACAGTGTTTCGCCATGTTGCCCAGGCTGGTCTCAAACTCCTGGACTCGAGTTATCCACCCACCTCAGCCTCCCAAAGTGCTGGAATTAAAGGTGTGAGTCATCTCACGAGGGCTTTTTCTTTTTAAAGACGGGTCTTACCATGTTGCCCAGGCTAGTCTCAAGCAATCCTCTTGCCTCATCTTCCCAAAGTGGTGATAGTACAGGCATGAGCCACCATGCCAGGCCAGTTTTATTTTTTTAAACAAGAAAGTTATTTCCATGATAATCTATCAATTGTAATGATCATTAAAGTTTTCTATCAATTTCAGTCCCTTACCAAATGCATTCATTATATTAACAGTCTTGTTCTGTTGTCCAGGCTGGAACACAGTGGCCCGATCACAGCTCATTGCAGCTTCAAACCCCTGAACTCAAACCTCCCACCTCAGTCTCCCATGTAGCTGTCACTATGTAGCTGCCAGAATGTCTACTGGCTTCTTAGCAAAAGGTTTCCATTTTATTTAACTTGTATGTGTACACTTTTTCAGAAATGAGTTTTATTATAATTGAATTTAAACAAAGATGGTAAATAATGAAAAGTCGTCTTGTACATAATTAGATAAACAAACTTTTAAATTGCAGATCATAAATAGGAGACTATAACAATAACTACCATTTGACAAGTACAAGGCATTATAAACACTATATCCATTAATGTATTTAATTCACATAATTCTGGGACATAGCGCCTATTTTATACCAACTTTACAGATGATAAAAGTAAGTCTGAGAGAAGGTTAAAATAACTTGCCTATTATCTCAAAATTAACATAGGGTCAGGTTCCAACAATTGTACTCTTAACTATAACATCTCATATCCAACTCAAAGAAATCAATTCCACATTCTGTAATACTCCTTAACACATTACAATCTTAATGTCATTCTAGCTAAACCTAAGATAACAAAATACATATACCCAAATGAAGAAATATTTTTGTATTTAATTAGCATGGATGGAATCAATGAGAACTGATAAAGACTTCATTCAAATAACTAGAATTTAAAAGTTCTCCTTCCCCGTTTTCAAAATACAAGGACAACAAATCTTGGGAATAAAACAGAGTTGGGGAAAACCACACGGTTTTGGTTACATTTAATTTGGAGCTTAGGCTAGCATGTTTGTGGATGAGAATTTTAAGTTCACCTTTACTAATTCATTCCCCATACCTACCTCCTAGGAAAATAGGGATGAGCTATCAATAATGCTAGGCCCCTAAATATCAGCTACTACACTTCGCAAATAGAATGACCAGAGTGTAAAGAAGCCAACCAGCTAACCTTAGAATGATCTACTAGTTTGTAGGTTCAAGAGATAAATGCACCATGGTTTTACTTAAACTACCATTACTGTGTATAAGAACTCAAAATCTTCAAAGCTATAAAATTAGATGATGAGTACAGCCAACAGTATTACAAACTGTATATAAAAGGCATAAAAAAATTTCAGTTCACGTTTAAATATGATAAAGCATCAAACACCATACTACCACACACACCTTTAAAAAAAAAGGCTTCCAAAACAAACTCATGAGAGCTCTTTTTAAAAATCAATCAACAGAACAAAATTCTCCTACAATCATGAATTTGGAGGAAGTTTTCTGGATTAAACAAAAACAAATGGTCGCTGCACACAAAGTGCCAATTAAAATAAAGTACAGGAAGTACATGGTTGAACCTCACACTTGTTAAAACAAAATTTAATCTGTTCTTTCCAAAGTACATCTTTATCTCAACCCAATCCTGGAAACTCAACCACGAATACTCTTTACTTAGCAGGAAAGAAAAGTCAACTCTCAAAGTCTTTCTCTATAAGAACTACCATATTTTTAGCAAGTTTCAATCTAATGTTACTTGTATATTTTAAGAAAAGAATAGACTGAGACTGGAGATAACCAACAGGAAGAACATTCAAGCCTACCAGTTAAAAAGCAGAGAAAAGAGAGAACACATAGCCATTTACTAAGGGAAACTGATTACTAGAGATCATTCACAATAAAAATCACAGTGTATTCAAATTAATTATATAAAAACAAGGACGGCCCTTTATATTCGAATTACTAACTCATTAGAGCAGAGATTTCCATGTTATTTTAACAAAAATTGGCTTAATATTTTGCTATTTTAAACATAGTATGAGAGAAACAGAGTAAGCATGACATTTCAAAACTGACAGCATAAATTACTTGTGAAATTCAAGACCAATAACAAAATGGAGGGAAACTGTAACATGTGACAGAAGAGATTTACATCTCTAATGTACAAAGACCTCTTACAATGAATTTAAAAAATAGCCCAATAGGAAATGAGAAAAGGACATAAAATAACACTAATGACCAATAAACATAAAAGAGAAGTCTACAACACCATCAAATTTAAATGAAGTTTTTTGCCTGTGAAATTACAAAAATATTAAAGATTTTTATAGCCCAGTGTTTTCAAGACTGTAGAAAAACCAGCCCCTATTAGTTGGAATATAATTTGTGCTACATTTCTGAAAAGTTGTCTGTCAATTATAAAAAATTCAATTGTCTATTCTTGCCCCAGAAACCATTTTGACAGAAATTTACATTGAAAAAAATCACTTAAGTGGAAAAAGAAGCAGGCATAAGGTTAAACGATGTTTTATCTCCTCCTCTCCATATTACCAGTGGCCTATTTTTCACCCTAGAGTAAACTCAGTCAACTTACCCTTCTCATATTGCCCTATGTAATTTATATTATTCTATGCAAATTACTTGATCTCTCAAACTTCTATTTCCCAAAACAGAAAAAATAATCTCTCCCAAAGAACTGTTGATGTAACTAAATGATATGATAAAATATAAAACATTTAATTTATAAAATAATTATTTAGGTTTACCATATTATCTGGAACAAATACGGAAAATCATCATTCATATAAATAAAATCAAGTTTCTATCTGTCTGCAATTATGTTGCAAGAAACCCCCAATGGATTTTCACATGATCTGGAGGACATGTTTGAGAAGCTAACAGGAAGAAGTTTCTGTGAGGAAGAAGGCAAAAAATTAATACTGGGGGAGGAGGAGGCCTGAACATCTCAAAGAAAAGGTAGACATCCTCAGAGCAGCTACAGAACCACGTTTCCAGAGGACAATTTTAGTACAGCCTGATACAGAGTGAGTAGCCAGGGATACTTAATTAACAACAGTTAACAATTTCCAAGCAAAGTTCAAAATTTGACCAACACCACTTACTACCTACTACCAATAATAGTCAACACTTCTGTGCCAGGCAACATGTCCCATTTAGTCCTGAAAACAACCTTACTTACTAGGTACCACATTCTCATTTTGCAAATGAAGAAACAAAAAGGTTTACTAAGTTGAAGACACAAAGATAATCAGTGAAGCAACACTAATTCAATCCTGACTGCCTCGCATCTAACTCTAAACCCTAAAGCCTTAACCACTATCCAACACTGCCGTGTTATTATCATTCCTGCTGTTTGTTCTTTGAAAAATTAAAATTCTCCAAGAGGCTCTGAGTAAGCTATAAACAGGAACCACACATGGGTGTCTTCCCCATACCCCGAACTTGGACTCCAATAACTGTGTCAGTTTCCAAAGGAAAACATATCTCTAAGCCTAAAAGCTCTCCTAAACTTGGCTTAGGCTGAGATGGCACACATTCCCTCCTCCATCTTGACAAGCGGAGGTGAATGAATGTTTAGTGATTTCAGAGCATAATAGTTCTGAGGGCATTAATTTGGAATTCTCGCCACAATTTTCCAGAAACATTAGTGAACAATACTCAATGGGTAAAAGATAATGATGTGGCTTACTGGAAATCTAAATACCAAGTAAAACATTATTTCTTTGAGAACATACATAAAGAACCTAAAAACAGTCATTTTACAGATTAAATTTAGATTACAATCTCCTTTAAAATTTTAGTTATTTTTCAATGTCTTCTCCATTTTCTCCTTTATTTTTTCTGACATCAATACTTGATTCAATATGCAAAAAAGGCCTAGCTTAACCATCAGAAGGATTAAGATTTACATTCCAAATTGTCTATGCTATACTCAGATTAATTTCTCCAAATTTACTTTATCTTTTTCCATAGAAGAACTCTACCGTAAATATGCTCTAGTCTTTGTTATTCCATATTTGCTTGCCTAGAATAGAAATAATGTAAAAATCATTTTTCAAAGGAAGACTTTAGAATAAAAATGCTATAAGAAAACTTTTAAATGTCAAGTTAATCAGAAAACATAAAATATTTATCATCAGTAAGTTTTGTAACAGAGAGAGATGGGTGCTCTTAAGATAAACAACAGTGCAAAAGGGAGACCCAAGCTAGGTTCAAACAAAGAAGAAAGCGGAGAAAAGTACTGCTGGTGAATTTTTCTCTCAAGCAGAATAATCCAGAACTGTACCTCTAGCAACCACATCTCCTCAAAAATAAGCTATCAGCAGACGAACCAGCCAGCTCCCTTTGGTCCCACTTCCCTAGTCCTAACAAAAAGCTTTAAAAGCAAGAACAGAAGAGATAAACATGATACTTCAAAAGTCTTTGCCTCCTAACCCCAAAGAATTTAACTTGTTATTAAAACTTAAAAAAATTTACAGAAGTGAAAATCTGTTATCTCCGTATTAAAAATATAATACAAATATCCACATAAAACCGCATATTGACTGAAACAACATACTAAAGTAAACCAAAGAAATATAAACGATGGGTATAAACCAAAGAAATGGAAGAAGTAGGGGGAAGCTGAATAAAAATGTGACTAGGTGAATAAAAAAAGAAGATGAAGAAGGGCAATAGCCCAGAAAGATATAAAAGGAGAAAGCCAAGCTGACACAAATTTGAAAGATTTCTCATTTTGCCTGGGATTTGCCTCAATCATACATGGTTGCCCTACATAAACACTTCTATCTTAGCAAGAATCATCAGCAAGATATCATAGCACTGAATCACTTCATTTATGAATATCTGTATTCCAATATCTAACTCTGTTGTAAAGATATTTTGTTCCCAAATAATTTCTCATTGGAAATTTTAATGCTTGTCTAGATCACATTTGTGATTCAGTGACTCTCAAAACTACTTCTTTTCATAACAGTGGTCAAATTTAATTTTATCTATCTTGCTATTAAGGTTTACTCATGTAATAATCTCTTGTATATTAACTCCTATTTTTAACAAACCTCAAATAATGGTTACTTTTTCTCTCTATAAAATTAGGCATTCCTAATGTGACAAATAAAAGAAAATCAGTGCTTCTCAAACATCAAAAAAGATCACTTTTTAAAAAATCTCCTATAAATCATGGTCCTATAATTTTGTAAAATAAAGATAATTAGAAAAATGATTCCATATTCGAATGTCACAGTATTATCAAATTGTTATAGAAGTCTCTAGACATTTATTTTCAGTGTTTATCTCCTAACAGACAATTCACAGACTAGCACTGGTCCCATGACACATTATGAGTAGTACTGCCCTAAGGCATACATTCTCACCACACAACTCTTCAGGAAGTTTCTCACATAGTTAACAACAATTATACAGCCTAGATATATGGCTGTGACCCTTCTGTACTTTGTTTTGTTTTGGGCCTTTTTTTTTTTTTTTTTTTTTTTTGAGACAGGGTTTTGCTCTGTCACACAGTGCATTAGAGTGATCACGGCTCACTGCAGCCTCCACCTCCTGGGCTCAAGTCATCCTCCCACCTCTCATCCTCCCGAGTAGCTGTGACTACAGGCGTTCACCACCACTCCTGGCTAATGTTTTTGGCTTTTAGTAGAGACCAGGTCTCACTACATTGTCCAGGCTAGTCTTGAACTCCTGACCTCAAGTGATTCTCGAGCCTCAGCCTCCCAAAGTGCTGGGATTACAGGCATGAGCCATTGTAACAGACTGTACTATTTTTCACATCCCACATTTCCCTTGAAGTTCCTAAAGATACTAAGGGGCCTCAGCCGTATTTCTTAGTTTATCTATGATTCTCAGAATGAAGAAGAATTAGAGTTTACTAAAGCTCCTACCTCTATCACCTGTAAGCAAGCATACCTTTTGCCTAGGTATCTTTGCCTCTATACATTCCTCATCCACAAAAAACCCAATTCAAAACATCTTTTCTCCATAAATTCTTCAGGATCTAGAGAATTCTTTGCTACCTAGCAATCATCAAATATTTAAATTGGCACTAATTAATATGCTGCTGAGTAAATGTTCCCTTGTAGGTTCATGTATTGCATCTCCAATTAGATTTAAGGGAAAAAAAAAAACTCAGTCCTTCATTTTCAATTTGTCCACATAGCATATAGTAAAACTGCCTACTATAAAAATACCTGACTATTCTGACCCCAGTAAATCACATAATCCCACAGGCAAAAGTTAGCATATCTGGCTCAGAGACTGGCCCAACTGAGATTTTCAGAAAATAATTTACCTCACTAGCTATGAAATAGTGGTAAGCATAGTTTAATTATTTGTTCTCCTATATCACTGTAAAACAAAATACCACTAAGTAATCATGCTAGCCTGCTGAGATAAATTTGGAATTACAATATTCATATAATTTTGAGTTACTTCCACTAAAATTACTTCGTTAAACAGACATTTTTTCATATGCCTTTAATTCACTATGTGTAATATGTCATACTCCTATGCCAAGAGTATTTCTAATGTAAAGAGATTTTGAGATTTGAAACCTTCTCAACTCAACCATTAACAATTTTAAAATATATGCAACCTGTACCCACAAAGATTCTAACTATATTGCTCACTACTGGAAAAACTCTGTGTCTGTAGATTACACATCATTTTAAATATAAATGGCAAGAAAATATAGTCCTTCAAGCTATATGAATATATGAACCACAAATTTCTAGGTAGAAACTGACATATGGATGCTTTCAATTTAGACAGACATTAAGTTTTAGAGATGAAGGACACCACAGCAACTATGGTAATGATGAGGTCATGCTCTTCATTTCACAGATGGGATGATTACAGCCTAGAAAGTTGGCCATAGGTCACAAAATGGGAGATCCAGGGCCTCAAATATCACAGTAGAGTGCTCATTTTTCTATATTAGTCTGCTTCCATTGGATATATTCTAATATCTCTCCAAATATTTAGGTCACATTTCTACTAACATTATTTTCAAATTTCTAGTAACATTTCTAGTAACATTTTATTGTATTAAAATAAATTATAAAAAGAATAGGTACTATATATTCTCAATTTCTAATAATTTTTATTATTTTCTCAAAAGTAAATGTCAGGAGCTCTAAATCATATATTTCCACTTTAAGACACATCCCACTAACCTCTTATATTAGAAATACTTTTAAACATTAATTTGTCATTCTAGTTTTACTTTCTACTCGTATGTCTGAAATGCTAGTTATTAACTGATTTTTTTTTTTTTTTGTCTGAGACAGGGTCTCACTCTGTTGTCCAGACTGGAGTGCAGTGGCATGATCTTGGCTCACTGCAGCCTCAACCGCCCAGGCTCAAACGACTCTCCCACCTCAGCTGCGACTGCAGGTGTGTACCACCACACCTGACTAATTTTTTTTATTTTTATAAGAGATGGGGTCTTGGTATGTTATACATACTGGTCTCAAACTCCTGGGCTCATGCAATTCTCCCGCCTTGGCCTCCCAAAGTGTTGGCATTATAGGCCTGAGCCCCTTGCCCAGCCAAGTTAACTGATTATTTTATAAATGAGAAAAAGTGATTAGGGAATACCTAAGAAAATTTAAAGACTTTCTGTTTTCCCATAAAAAGCTCCAGATAACTTGATTTCCAGGTTGTATTCGCTTTTCAGCATTTTACTGCTTGCTTCCACATTGTTAGGCTTTGTCTATTGTCCTGGGTCTGTTTCTGTCCAACTCTATTATTACACTGCTAACATACGGATTTAGAAACCAAGTATTCCAGTTTATAAGAGAAGTATGTAAAGCAGGGTAAATTTATCCATGATAAGAGCCTATAAGGAAATCCATTAAACCCACAGATTTTAGTCTATCAATTCTAGTTGCTAAAAAGCATTTTGTAATTACCTTCTTATTCTCATCCATGTCTCAAAATGGAAATAACATTAGGTACATGAGGTTTTAACATAATTTATATCAGTCTTCATAACTTTTTTTTCTCTTAAGAAAATCTAGTCTTTCTGAATTTTTTAAACCACTTTATTGAGGTCTGATTGACATGTAAAACGCTATACATATTTAATGTATACAACTCAACGAGTTTGGGGATAACTATACACCGTGAAGCCAACACCACCACAGTCTTCTTGAATTTCATTTTATACTATCTGCTGATCAGATCCTTCTTAAAAGTATCTTAAGTTCATATCAGTTATTCTAAAATTAATATTAATGAGATATGTTGAAATATTTTATCTTCATTTCTGAGCTTTAGTTAATTTTACATTTATTACTCTCATTAAATTTTGGGTCTTTCTTCCATTACTTAGGAAACAATGTTATAACTTTATAATAACTTCCACCAAGATTTAGAACCTCTTTAACATCTTTAGCTGTTGCTGATCCTAACCAAAAAAGACTATCTTCTCTAGATGATTATTAGTATTAACAAGATTCTCATTAAGACTCAAAGGCATCAAATTATTCAACTTGTCACAACATCAGTCCTTATAAAATACTTCAAAAATCCATACATGGTCTATCAATCTAAATTCCAAATAAAATTAAATTTCTAATGTGAAGAGATTTTCAACTTTTTAAATTGTTGGGCCCATTATGAAATGTTGAAAATTTTAAGTTTGCCTTGTAATCAGGAGTAAATTAGGGAAGAATTTTTGAAATTTAGATAAAGCCATCAAAAAATAAAGTTTAAACATGATTAACATGCTTACAATGGGTCACATTAACAGCAACTTAACATTAAATTAGATGTTATCTTAAGAACAGAATACATTGAGATAAATAAACTGAACAAAAATAAGCAGGATTTCATCCCTTCACACAAAATCTCTATTCCATGCAGAGATCAAATAAATTTCCACATATAAAAAGATAAAGAAAAAGGATAAACAAAAGGCAGGAAAAACACTAAAGCCCATAAAAAGCTCTCCCTCCACTTACAAAAACATTGACACTACATAGGTAACAATGCCAACATCACTTCTAAATTCCATTTAGTTTAATTCAAGTTTCAATTTCACCTACCTTTCGTCTCTGAGAGATGTTGAGGGCACCAAAGTCATTAAACAAGGATGAAGCAGGTGATGTTAGAGGATCTGAAAGGTAAGTTACGTAAGTTTCCACACATAAAACTTGGGTAACCCGCAAATCTAATAACTGTTTAATTTGACAATGCCTATAAAAATCAAATGACACAATAATTAAACTTAGTACCTAACACACAGTTATGTTCAAATATTTTCTGAGCAAATAAAACACAAACTGGTGAACCAATTTGCTCAAATATTCAAAAGCTATATGGATCAGGATAGATCTATTTGACTAGAACCAAAAGAAAAATCAAATAAGAGAAAAAAACCTCTTAACCATACTATTGTGA
Source organism: Homo sapiens (assembly GCF_000001405.40). Lineage (NCBI taxonomy): Eukaryota > Metazoa > Chordata > Mammalia > Primates > Hominidae > Homo > Homo sapiens. The sequence goes on along the minus strand of NC_000013.11, from coordinate 28,177,580 downwards.
GTGTGTTTATGAAGGCAGTAAGTTGACCTAAAGTAAATAAAGGTTTATAATCTTGAGACCATATCTTGGGAAGGATAAAAAGGAGGGTGAGGGGTGGGGGCAGTGTCAACCATAGACTCTGAGAGATCCTGTCTTGGATTTCAACACATCAGCAAGGCTTTAAAACCATTTACTCTGCAAACTATTCCATATTTTAAAGTCTATCACCAGATGTTTGATATTATTACTAAAAAGATAAAGTAAAATATTAAGTTAAGACAGAAATAATAAAGTTTTTCAAAATTTATTTCAAACATGAAATCCAAAGATTTTGTAGGTTCAAAATTCCACTACTCTGTAGAAAGAAGTTACAAATAAAATTATATATCTTAATTATTTCTCACTTTACAAATGAGAAGAGTCTCTGAAAAGGCATGTGTGAGATATACTTAAATATTTATCTTCATTTCTGAGCTTTAATTTTTTATTTATTAATCTCATTACATGTTCTGCTAAATCCTAAAAAATATATTAAATGCCCTTACGTAAAGGAACCTTAAATCTCTTCACAATGTAGTACATATAGACTGCTGCTTCATTTCTCTGCCTTCTTCTTCCTGGTTTTTCAGACTTACCTTCATTAAAATTAACATGAATTTAATATTAAATAACTAATAGTGCAAAGAGCAAGATGTTAATAAAATAGCATGTTGAAATTTTTGTATATAACTTATACACTTTTCTTTTTTTTTTTAATAATAGAGACATGGTCTTGTTATATTGCCCAAGTTGGTTTCAAACTCCTGGGCTCAATCATTCCTCCCACCTGAGCCTCCCAAAGTGCTGGGATTACAGGCATGAGCCACCACACCTGGCCTGGAATCTAAATCTCAATAGTTAGATCTGAGTGGGAAGATAATAATTTTTATTTTCTTCTTTATGCCCGTTTACAATTTTCAAAATTTCTACAATGGTTGTATATTACTTTTAGAGTAAGAAATATATACACAGACACACATAAGCAAAAGGGATCAGGTCTTACCATGGGCTGAATATGGCTTGGCACTGTCATTTAGAAGGCTTGGGGAGCTGCTACTATTAGTCATTCTCTGAAAAACAAAATATTTATTTATAACATCACTGAGGAATACAGAAATAAAAGTATCCAACCAATTAAGACTGGCTCTCTTTGCTTCTTCCCCTCCAATCTACTGTTCACATTACTGACAATCTAATCTTCCTGTAAGTGTTACTGCTTGGATTACAACTATGTAAAAACCACCACATGAAATGAAAATTTTACTCACTACCCAGGTATTCAAAGCCAAAGCTACAGACCTATTTTGAATTGTGCTTCCATAACTTATTAGCCTGGGCAAAACACATAACTAAGTTTCCTTGTCTGTAAAACATAAATTCCAATATCCACTGAAGAGGGTACCCGTTGACTATGAATAAAATGAGTAAATGCTCTAATACCCTTTCTCCATTTGTACTACCATTCATACACCTTATAGAGCTTATAAAATTAGGTATTTTCTGTTCTCTAAACACGTTCTATGCTTTCTAGACTCACTCCATAGCCTGTATGGTCTCTCCATCCTGTAAGGCCCTTCATCCCATGCCCACAAATCCTTGTCTCATATGTAACTTCTAACTCAATGCCTTAAAAATTATAAGTTAAGAATTTCTAGCTCTGGCTTTAATTCTAGAGTCCTGAATCTGTTTACTCAACTTCTTATTTAATGTCTGCATAATTTTAAAAGAGAAGAAAAAAGCTAAGCTCCTGAGGTAATTTTAATACAAAAATATATATTAAAAAGTACCTGAAATTGTGGCTCACAGGCAGTTAAAATAAGGTATAACTATGCATTAAACTAGTTATATTGTTCATAAAACATAACCATTTCTATATATGGCTGTGCATGTTTCTTTATAAACAACCCTTAGAGTGCATATCTACACGAAATAAGTTAAAATAATTCAAAAAAGCATTGGTTTCATACAAACCCTTAAAATCAGTCCAACTTGAAGTATAAACACTAGGCCAGGAGTGGTGGCTCATGCCTGTAATCCCAACGTGTAATACCTCCTTTGGGAGGCCACGGCAGGAGGATCACTTGAGACCAGGAGTTTGAGACTAGCCTGGGCAACACAGACCTCATCTCTGCTAAAATTATTTTTATTAGCCAGGCATGGTGGCACACACCTGTAGTCCTACCTACTCAGGAGGCTGAGGCAAGAGAGGAGTATTGCTTGTGCCTAGAAGGTTGAAGCTGCAGTGGGCCATGATTGCGCCACTGTACTTCAGCCTGGGTGACACAGCAAGACCCTGTCTCCAGAGAGAGAGAGGGAGAGAAACGTAAAGATGAATTTCTCTTGTGTTTAAATATCCTATTGTAATAATGGAGAAAACCATCCAGTAGTACATCACAGAAACTAGAAAGGACAATACATTGCCTTTACTATTATGGCAGTTTTCCAATTAAAAACACTAGAATACTTTCCAATTTTATTCCAATTCTACAAAATTGTGCAATACAAATCAACAAAAACTCATCTAAACACAAATCTCCTAAGCATTGCATGCAGTCATATGATAAAGGGGAAAAAAAGAGCCAAAAAGAACAAAGTGGGGTTAAAAAAAATTCAAAGACATTTTTAATGTAAAATGCTCCAAGTACTATGACTTTAAATTCAACATTTTAAGCATTAAACAAAATAAAACTAGCACTATGCTTCTATATGCAAAGAATATTCCTGAGAGGATACACAGGAAACTTGTAACCAGTAATGATAGCTAACTCTAGGAAGGTTAACTGGAAAAGTGATGAGTAGTGACGAGAGGGAGGCCCTTTTGTAACTTAACTTTTATAATACATGTATAACCTGCTTAAAACATAATTTTAAAATTGCAATCACTACCAAGTTTAACTAACATACATACAAAATACACAAGTGAAATTAGTCTCTAACTACCCTCTACATACTCCCGTCACTCTTGCCCCTAACCCTACCAAACCCCCACTTACAAAAGCTCTCATTAACTCCAACCCCATGGGAGATAGTTTACCTACATCTCACCCATCTCACTGCCTCCTAAAATCTCACCTCCCACTCAACAAATGTAGGAATAAATGAAGACTCTATATGTCCTCTGGCCCTAGAATAAACTTCATAGTGCAATATGAATTTATACTAAGGATACCTGCATCAGGGGATATTTTGTTTCTACAGGGCTTCCAAATCCATTGACTCCAATAAAGCTGGTGCTAAAATAGGAATCTGTGAGACTTGTATCAGTTAAAGCACCTCCATCCATTCCTGGAACTGAAAGAGAAGGAAAATTCAAGTATTTAAAATTATTTCAGAGGATGAAACATTGATTTCACTTCTGTGTTCCTAAATAAGTTGTAAAGTCTCAAATCTGTCACACTTATTTTTATTTACCAGTTCATAACAGGTAAGATCAAATAAAATTGGGTTGGCTCCAGAAATATGTTAAACAGTGCTCAAGCTGACTAATTATTTCCCACAGAAATAATTTATTTTCTGAGTCACCAAATAGCCCCCAGGCACAATATGATTAAGTTTCTACCACTTGCATTTCCAGTTTCTTCATCAAGTTTTCTTTCTTCAACTCAGTAAAAGGACAACAATTTCTCCTGTGAATCACTGGATGGTAAACAGAAGCAATTTTCTCAAGACTGTTTCTCAAAACACATCTTTTGAAACAAACCAGCAGACTCACACTAACTCAAAATTCAGGGGGAAAAAAATCTGCAGAGGTAGCAATAGGATGGCATTCAGGAATACTGATAGTTCTCTTTAGAGTTTAGGGTAGGATGATACTGAAGGACTGTAGAACTATTAGGGCAATCAACGGGACACTGTGTCTTAGATGCTACTTCCTAGTAAGTGCTTAGCATACAGCTATTTTCTAATCTGCTAGTTTAACAATAAGATGGGCCGCAAGTAGGCTTGCTCTTCTCCAGGCAGTCATTGAGAAACCCCCTTCAACCCCAGTAAGAAGCAAACTACAAAAATGTGGATAGAAGGGATGTTGGGTCTCTTTGGAAAACAATCTGAGGTAATTTTTATTTTCTTCTTAGTTTTTAAAATTTATTTCCCAAAACATCCATAACGAAAATGTACTGCATTTATAATTACAAAAAGTTTATTTTAATGGTTCATATCTTTTGGTGATTACAACTTCAGGATATGGCTGAATAGTATCATCAGAAACACCTAAATATTTACATATAAAAAGTTCATCTTTAACAAGAAATTTGAAACAATGTGAAATGGGAAAAAAAAGAACTATTTATTATCCGAAGAATGCAAACCCTTTTAATATCAGGCCCAGAGAGGTATTAAAATGAGACAGCAGTCACAGCCTACTCCCCACTTTGAGCTATGTGCTCATCTCTTGAAACTGCCTGCTATTGCCGTAAGTAGCTATAAATTAACCTAATAATGCCACATTGGACACTGTAACCATCACCCTACAGCTTAACAATGTATAGCTGAATCAATGTTATTTCTGTAAGCCAATGAGAATTCCTGACACACTTTCACTCCCTGTCCCCCCATTTTACCTTTAAAAATCCACTACTGCTAATCAGAGGATATATTGAGGGCAACTTGAATCTATGCTCCTGGGTTGCAACCCTCAAGTCTGGCCCAAATAAACTCTCTTCTTTTGTTTTTGTAGAGACGATTTTGTTATGATCCTCAGGCTGGTCTCGAACTCCTGCCCTCAAGTGATCCTCTCATCTCAGCCTCTATAAGTGTTGGGATTACAGGGCCACTATGCCTGGCTGACTCTGTTTATATTAATTTTGCCTCAGCTTCTTCCTTGTAGGTTAACGTGTCTAACGACAGAAGAATGATTAAGTAAATCCATAGAAAAACTACTATGAAATAATTCAAAGTCATGGTAACTAATGTCCAGGATATGTTTAAAATATTTCAGCAAAACAGAACTAAAATTGGAGGACAGACAAAATAAGACTGGGAAAAATCAATCATTGTTGAAGCTGGGTGACAGGGATGACACTATCCTCTCTACTTTTATCAAAGTTTAAAATTTTCCATAATAAACTGTTATAGAAAATGATAATAAAGACTAAATAATTTTTTTTTTGAGACAGAGTCTCGCTCTGTCACCCAGGCTGGAATGCAGTGGCGTGATCTCGGCTCACTGCAAGCTTCGCCCCCTGGGTTCACACCATTCTCTTGCCTCAGCCTCCCGAATAGCTTGGAATACAGGCGCCCACCACTACGCCCGGCTAATTTTTTGTATATTTAGTAGAGTCAGGGTTTCACCATTGTTAGCCAGGATGGTCTCAATCTCCTGACCTCGTGATCCACCCGCCTCGGCCTCCCAAAGTGTTGGGATTACAGGCGTGAGCCACCGTGCCCAGCCAAGACTAAATAATTGTATGTGTCTGTGACACTGCGAAAGAAATACATATTTCTTTTGTCTTCATCTATAGTTCCTGGCACAGAGCTCCTAAAAAAACTTGTTTCCTAAGTGATAGGCACTAGGAGCATCTTTTGTTCAAATATTTGGTGCTGGGAGCATCTTTGGTTCAAATATTTGGTCTCTGACCTCGGTTCCTAACACAGACCTCCTAAATCCCTCGGAATTTCCAGGGTGATAGGAGTAGCGTTTGTTCTAATGAGGTGACTTTTGTTAGGTACCTAGATGGGAGCCGTTCACCAGAAAGACCAAGCCCTGATTACCAGTTTGGAACTTTCAGCCCTACCCAACCATCTTCCAGTGAGGAGAGAGGGGCTACAGGCTGAGTTAATAATTTCCCTTGCCTGCGAGATGAAGCGTCCATAAAAATCCCTTAACTGTGGGGTTCAAGGAGTTTGTGGGCCGGTGAACACATTTATGAGCCAGGAGGGTGGCACACCCCAACTCCACAGAGAAAAAAGATCCTTGTTCTACCTTTTCATCTGACTGTTCATCTGTATCCTTTGTAATAAACCAGTCAAGCAAGTGTTTCCCTGAGTTCCATGAGCCATCATGGCAAATTATCAAACCTGAGGAGGGGTCGTGGGAACTCCCAATTTGTAGCCAAGTCGGATAGAAGTGTGGATAATCTGAGGACCCGCTACATGTCACTGGTATCTGAAGTGGAGAGCAGTCTTGCGTGACTGAGCTCTTAACCTCTGGAGTCCGCACTAACTCCAAGTAGTGTCATAATTGAATTGTAGGACACCCATGTGGTAACCAGAGAATTGGAGAATTGGCTGGTGTGGGAAAAAAACTCCACACTTCTGGTGTCAAAAGTGTTGTGTGAGAGTGTAGTAGAAAACAGGAGCAAGTTTTGTTCCTTTCTAGTGTAATAACCATTTACAATGTGAAGTGAAAGGGGAACACATTTTTATTTGAGGGTAATGATGTGTGCTTACACATACACAGAAAAAAATGACTAAATATGTCAAAATGTTAACAATTTTGGGTCATGTGGTTGGTTAAAAGGAAGATGTTTGGCCAGGCATGGTGGCTCACACCTGTAATCCCAGCACTTTGGGAGGCCAAGGCGGGCGGATCGCCTGAGGTAGGGAGTTTGAGACCAGCCTGACCAACATGGAAAAACCTCATCTCTGCTAAAAATACAAAATTAGCCAGGCATGGTGGCGCATGCCTGTAGTCCCAGCTACTCGGGAGGCTGAGGCAGGAGAATCACTTGAACCTGGGAGGCAGAGGTTGTGGTGAGCCAAGATCGCACCATTACACTCCAGCCTGGGCAACAAGAGCAAAACTCCATTTCAAAAAAAAATGAAAAAATAAATAAAGACATTCGTCATTTATCTTATGACTTTCTTTACAATGTAGTTATTTTCACAGTAATGATGATGATGATGATGATGACAGAGCAATCCATAAGGGGAGAGGTTCCTCCATTCCTTAAGGCATCTACTCTTCACATTTTCCTAATAAAATAGAATGGTTACTCCAAAATAGAGTACAATTCTAGAGTAAAATTGTTTTCTAATATAGCATTTTGATTTTAAATGCTTTTCACTTCAAAGGCTTTTATTATGTTTATTAATTTCAAATCCAATTTTCTCTTTTCACATTTTGTACAAGCCAATAGAACAATTATTGAACATGCCAAGAATTCAAATATCTATGGTCAATGTCTTGTCTTAATAGAATTTTTAAGTTCCTCGAAAGCAAGGTCCACTGCACATAAGCAAAATGAAATACTGGTAAAATTAATGAATATTAAACTATTGTCAGAGGACAATAAAACCATCTTATAAAGTTCCCACCTTTTAATAACACCTTATCATTAAGAAATAGAATTTGTCCCAATAAACACACAAATTTCTGGTAGTTATTTTCACTATATTAACACTGGTATATATATTCCTTTCAGATACACAACTTTGATAGAAGACGACTTATGCTCCCTAGCAGAGGAAACACCTGACTGGACTTAACCAAAACAAGGGTAGGTGGCAAGGGAGTGCTGATATAGCCAGTAATCAATGGTTAAAATTATTATTATTATTATTGTATTATTATTATTTTGAGATGGAGTTTTGCTCTGTCGCCCAGGCTAGAGTGCAGTGGTGTGATCTCAGCTCACTGCAAACTCTGCCTCCCAGGTTCATGTGACTCTCCAGCCTCAGCCTCCCAAGTAGCTGGGATTACAGCTGCCCGTCACCACGCCCAGCTAATTTTTGTATTTTTAGTAAAGATGGGGTTTCACCATCTTGGCCAGGCTGGTCTCAAACTCCTGACCTCATGATCCACCCGCCTCAGCCTCCCAAAGTGCTGGGATTACAGGCGTGAGCCACTGTGCCCGGCCTAAAATTATTATTTTTTAAAGTAAACATTCCACACACGCATATACTTACGTTTGACTTTTCTTGTTTTGGAAGGGAGAAAAGAGGAATAGATACTTGGAGTGCAGTTAGGAAAAAATCACTAACCAATGATACGTTATTCCATCCTATACAGATCATAAATATATTAATTTTTTTTAATTACCAAGAACAGGCACATATCCAACCTACTTCACCAGGTGTTCAAAGAGAAAAATACAGCCGGGCGCGGTGGCTCATGCCTGTAATCCCAACACTTTGGGAGGCCGAGGTGGGCAGATTACCTGAGCTCAGTTCATCTGAGACCAGCCTGGCCAACATGGTGAAACCCTGTCTCTACTAAAAATACAAGCATTAGCCAGGCGTGGTGGTGGGCACCTGTAAGACCAGCTACTTGGGAGGCTGAGGCAAGAGAATCACTTGAACCCGGGAGGCAGAGGTTGCAGTGAGCCAAGATTGCGCCACTGCACTTCAGCCTGGGCAACAAGAGCGAGACTCCATCTCAAAAAAAAAAAAAAAAAAAAAAAAGCAAACAAAAAAAAAATGAGAAAATGCATGTAGAATACTTTTAAATTTAAATTACTTAAGTGTAAGATATGTGAGTGACCTTAATTACCAAGAATATATCATCAAGAATTTTTCAGTCCTTCAATCCTTTATTTTTGCAAGCTACTTTAAGTAAATCCTACACTGTTTCCATGGACTAATAGTTTGCAATTCACTTTTTTTTTTTTTGAGACGGAGTCTCGCTCTGTCGCCCAGGCTGGAGTAGTGGCGTGATCTCGGCTCACTGCAAGTTCAACCTCCCGGGTTCATGCCATTCTCCTGCCTCAGCCTCCAGAGTAGCTGAGACTACAGGTGCCTGCCACCACACCCAAGTAATTTTTTGTATTTTTAATAGAGACGGGGTTTCACCATGTTAGCCAGGATGGTCTCCATCTCCTGACCTCATGATCTGCCCGCCTCAGCCTCCCAAAGTGGTGGGATTACAGGCGTGAGCCACCACATCCAGCCACAATACACTTCTTTTTTTTAAGAGAGTCTCGCTCTGTTGCCCAGGCTGGAATGCAGTGGCACGATCTCAGCTCACTGCAACCTCCGCCTCCCGGGTTCAAGCAATTCTCCTGCCTCAGCCTCCCAAGTAACTGGGATTACAGGCATGTGCCACCATGCCTGGCTAATTTTTGTATTTTTAGTATAGACAAAGTTTCACCATGTTGGCCAGGCTGGTCTCAAACTCCTGGCCTCAAGTGATCCACTCGCCTCAGCCTTCCAAACTGCTGGGATTATAGGCATGAGCCACTGTGCCCAGGCTGCAATTCCCTTTTCCATAAAAGCTCTATTGCCATCTGTATTAAAGGTTTATTATTACTTCCCTAATCTGGAACCAAAAACGCTCCAGAATCTGAAACTTTTTGAGTGCCAATGATGCTCAAAGGAAATGCTCACTGGAAGATTTTCAATTTTTGATTTTCAGGTTAGGGATGCTCAGCGAGTAGGTATAATGCAAATAATTCCCAAATCCAAAAATATTTGAAATCCAAAACACTTCTTGCCCCAGGTATTTCAAATAAGGTATACTCAACCTGTAGAACTATTACATCTCTGTGTGCTATGGTCTCAATGTGTCTCCCAAAATTGATATATTGAAACTTAATCCACAATGTGATATTACTGAAGTGGGACCTTTAGAAGGTGATTAAGTCACAAGGACAGAGTCCTCATGAATGGCATTAGTGCCTGTATGTAGAAAAGAGGTGTAAGGTGAGGCAAACTTTCAAGGGATAAACTAGGATATTTGACAGGATAAATCACTAAGCAAAGTGTTGAGGATGCTATATTGCTTCTCTTAATTGCTTATAGTAATATGTGAGAAATGAATTAAAGATTTGTTTGTTTGTTTTGTTTTTTGAAGCAGGGTCTCAGTCACCCAGGCTGGAGTGCGGTGGCGCAATCTAAGCTCACTGCAACCTCGGACTCCCGGGTTCAAGGAATCCTCTCACCTCAGGCCCCCAAATAGGTGGGACTACAGGAATGAGCCACCACACCCAGCTAATTTTTTTTTTTTTTTTTTTTTGTAGAGACAGGGTTTCACCATATTGCCCAGCCTGGTCTTGAACTCTGGAGCCCGAGTGATCCACCTGCTTCAGCCTCCCAAAGTGCTAGGATTACAGGCATGAGCCACCTCACCTGGCCTAAAGATCAAATTTACAATCAAAAGGGAAGCAGGACTTAAAAATTTGGGAAATTCTCAGCCTGGCTAGGTTGTAAAGATTAAAAATGGGTATTGGGCCGGGCGCAATGGCTCACACCTATAATCCCAACACTTTAGGAGGCCGACGTGGGCAGATCACCTGAGGTCAGGAGTTTGAGACCAACCCGGCCAACATGGTTGAAACCCCATCTCTACTAAAAATACAAACATCAGCCAGGCAGAGGCTGAGGCAGGAGAATCACTTGAACCCAGGAGGTGGAGGTTGCAGCTAGCTGAGATTGTGCCACTGCACTCTAGCCTGGGCAACAGAGACTCTGTCTCAAAATAAAAAACGGGGGTGTGGTATTGGAAGAGAGTACCACAAGCATGATCAAGCGACCTTTTGATAAGGAGATTGACCAGCCTGGGCAACATAGCGAGGCCTCATCTCTAAAAAAAAAAAAAAAAAAAAAATTAAGATAAAAAATAAAATAAAAAGGTAAAGAGATTCATATAGATAAAAGGAAGCAACTGATATTCATCAAGACAATGGAAGAATGAACCCAAAGACATTTCAGATTGCTTCAAGGCTGCTACTCCCTACCACAGGCCCACAATGGCAGAGCCTTGAGCACAAAACTGTTTTCTAGGGAGAGGCCCAGTTGCCCAGGGTTGCCTCACATCTCTGCTCCCTTTATTCCCAAGCAAGACTCCCTGACTACCCCCACTGTGGCTCAAGTGCAGCCAGGTGCAGCTCAGGCCTCCACTCTGGAGGGCAAAAGTGGGCACAAGGGGTAAACCTTGGTGATGCCTACATGGTGCTAACTCTTCAGGAGTGCAGTACACTCAGAGGCATGGCTATCCCCACCTAGATTTCAAAGGATTCCTCAGAAAGCCTCAGGGGCTAGACAGAGAACTGCCAAAGGGGCAGGCTGCAGCAGAGAGCTTTTACCAGGGTTATGTCTAGTGAAGTTGTGAAGGCAAGACTGCCCCCAGAGACCTCAGAACTGTGCAGCCACCAGCATCCAACACCAGCCTAGGAGAGCCAGAGGCACCAGACTCCAACCTGTGAGAGTTGCATTAAGGGTTGCCCCAGATAAAGCCATAAGGGCGTGGTTCCCTGAAGCCTTCAGGACCCACCCCCAGTCCCAGTGTGTCCAGAAGGCAAGAAAAGGAGTTAAACAAGATTATTCTCAGGCATCCAGATTTAATGTTGTTTGCCTTGCTGGGTTTTGGGCTTTCTTGGGATCTGCTATCCCTTTCTTCTTTCCAATTTCTCCCTTTCTGAATGGAAGTATCTATCCTGTGTCTGTCCTACCATCGTATTTTAGAAAAGCGTAACTTGTCTGATTTCACAGGCTCATAGCTGGAGAGCAATTTGCCTTAGGATGAATACCTTGAGTCTCATCCATACCTAATTTAGATGAGACTCTGGACTTTGGACTTTTGAATTGGTGCTGGAAGACTTTTGAGACTACTGGGATAGAATTAATGTTTTTTGCATGTGACAAAGACAAGGATTTAAGGGATCGGGGCAGAATGCAATGGTCTGAATGTCCCCCCGACCCCCTGCAAAATTCATGTGTTGAAACTTATCAATGTGATAGTATTGAGAATTGGGGCCTTTAGATGGTGATTAAGTCATGAGGGTGGACCATGCCATGATGCTAATGGAATTAGCACCCTTATGAAGCACAAGGAAACTGTTAGACCCTTCCACCATGTGAGCAGGTGGCAACAAGGCACCATCTTGAAGCATAGACAGCAGCCCTCATCAGACACCAAACCAACCCACCTTGGTTGGACTTGATCTTGGACTTCCCAGCCTCCAGAACTCTGAGAAATAAATTTCTGTTCTATAAAAATTACCCAGTCTCCAATATTTTGTTAAGAGCTGCAGAAATGAACTAAGACACTATAGAATAATAAGAAATTGAACAATCATTATAGATATGAATCTACATCTGAATAACAACTGTGGCAAGGTTGATATTCTTTTTATTTTATGGTTAAGCAAACTGATTCAGAGATTATAGCTTGCCCAAAGTCACAACACTAGTAAATGGTACACGTGGGACATAAAAGTGATCTTGCTACTATACTAAACAGTCTTTCAAATTTTTAAAAGAAATGGGGCCAGGCATGGTGGCTCATGTCTGTAATCCCAGCACTTTGGGGGAGGCTAAGGTGGTATTATCACTTGAGCCCAGGAATCCAGGACCACCCTGAGCAACATAGCAAGACCCCCATCTCTACAAAAAAAAAAAAAAAAAGGATATATAAGTATAAATCAAGAGACAAAATTTCAAACTTTGGACCAAAGGATCCTATACCTAATGAATCAGAACTTCGGCTGGGCACATTAGCTCACGCCTGTAATCCCAGCACTTTGGGAGGCCAAGGCAGGAGGATCACAAGGTCAGGAGTTCGAGACCAGCCTGACCAACATGGTGAAACCCCGTCTCTACTAAAAATACAAAAATTAGCCAGACGTGGTGATACATGCCTGTAGTCCCAGCTACTCGGGAGGCTGAGGCAGGAGAATCACTTGAACCTGAGAGGCAGAGGTTGCAGTGAGCTGAGATCGCGCCACTGCGCTCCAGCCTGGCAACAGAGTGAGATTCGGTCTAAAAAAAAATAAGAACTTCTCCATCTGTCAGCAGTTACCCCATGACTATTAACAGATAAATGTACACAATTATAACCTACTTTTTAAAAAAATCCAATCCTGCAGCTTAATTTTCTTCTTCAGACTTAACCCCTCTTAATGAATTGAGTCTAATTCTCCAAAAACATCATACTAGAGCAGTGTTACTCAAAAGGTCATCTATGGTCAAGAAACTTGGAAAATTCTGGGGGAAAATGAGTAAAAACAAGTAAACCCATTTCTTTACTGTACAACTTCCCAGGATGTGTGTATACAATGTGAACTGTGATCATCCAAAAAGAAGTCAGAGTACTTCCCAAATTTACTTGAGTAGGGAACCCTTTCTACATGGAACATCTTCAGAGACTAGAGTTCCATCATAGAAGACATTTTCCAAAAAGTACCCAGCTACAAGTGCCAAGTAGGGCATTACAGAGAAGATGCTGGCGATGCTCACGCTAAAGGATGAAATCCAAACTTCTTAGTTTGACATTAGCATATCCTCAACAATTTGTTCTCAACTATCATGCTAATACTTCTAAAAGGTGCTGAGTTTGAGTCTTGGTTCTGCCATTTACTGGCCACAAAGTCTTGGGCAAAATGCTTATAAGATGCAGATTATGCCATGAATTATAAAATGAAAATCATACCATCTACCAAGAAAACTTCAATTAAGAGTTATGAAAAACAATATCTTAAAGTTATTTTAAAAAACTGTATAACTCTATACAGTTATTAAAAATAACTGAATTGTACTTATAATAGGTGAATTTAATAGCATGTAAATTACATTTCAATAAAGGTTTTGGTTTGGTTTTGTTTTTGAGACAGCTCTGTTGCCCAGGCTGGAGTGCAGTGCCACAATCTCAACTCACTGCAATCTCTGCCTCCCAGGCTGAGGAAATCCTCCCACCTCAGCCTCCCAAGTAGCTGGGACTACAGGCGCACACCACTATGCCTGGCCAATAAAACTTTTCGTTTAATTAGTAGAGGAAAAGGGGGATTATTCAGTAAATGGACTTAAGACAACTGAGTATCCATCTAGGGAAAAAACTGAATACCTTACACCAATATTTACAAAAGATTAAAGATCATGGCGTAAAGTAATAAAAGTATACATCTACTGTAAGATCTTTACAAGAATCATATAACGATTGAACTTTCTCCTCCAGTTACAATGATATACTCATTATATGCTTAAAATCTCCCACACTTTACCATCTGGAGTATAATCAATTTCTAATATACATACTCAAGACTCAGGTATGATGAGAAAGAAAAAATACTTGGAGTTACACATTGAGTTTGGGTCCTACTTGTGCCATTTACATACTATATGAGCATGAGCAAGTAACTGTAAATTTCATTTCTTCATCTGAAAAAAGAGGTTAAATACCATCTCACTCATAGGGTTGTGGTGTGGAATCAAATGAAATAATCTATGTAAAGTGCCTAGTATGTTTTCTAACAGGTCATCATAAACATTATTTTTTAATTTGCCCTTCTCTAGAAAGTATTCCCCAATTATTCCAAGCTGTTAAAACCTTTACCTCTTAAGATACTATTTATATCACTCATTTGAGAAAAAAAAACTTCCTTTTGACTTTTTATTGCTGTCTTCAACTACAGTATTTAAGCCTTTACATTTTCAGGTATTTCTGTACTATCTACTAATGTAAATTATCTTATCTTTGTTTTGTTTTGAATTTATTTTTTATTATTTTTTGTAGAGACAGGGTCTCATTATGTTGCTGGTCTCGAACTCCTGGGCTTAGGAAATTGAGGCTGCAGTGAGCTGTCATCATACCACTGCACTACAGCCTGGGTGACAGAGCAAGATGCTGTCTCAAAAAAAAAACTTCCTGGGCTCAAGTGATCCTCCTGCATTGGCCTCCCACAGTGCTGAGTTTACAGGTGTAAGCCACTGCATTCGGCCTTAAATTATCTGTAACTACACTGTATGTATCTGTAATTATGCACACCTTTCACTTTTTGGTACTCCTTAATCTAATAGCACATTTTTGTTAGGTTTTTTTTTTTTTAAGCTTGGTGGCAAGTTGTTATTTTTGAGAAAAAGTCTCCCTCTGTCACCCAGGCTGGAGTGCAGTGGCATAATCAGCTCACTGCAGCCTCAAACTCCTGAATTCAAGCAATCCTCCCTCCTTGGCCCCTCAAAGTACTGGGACTACAGGCATGAGTTACTGAGCCCAGCCTAGCACATTTGTACAAACTTTTATTTTCAATTAAATGCTTTTTTTTTTTTAAGGCAGAGTCTCACTCTGTTGCCCAGGTTGGAGTGCAGTGGCGTGATCTCAGCTCACTGCAACCTCCACCTCCTGGGTTCTACAGGTGTGCGCCACCACGCCCATATAATTTTTTGTATTTTTAGTAGAGGTGGGGTTTCGCCATGTTGCCCAGGCTGGTCTCAAACTCGTGAGCTCATGCAATCCACCCGCCTCGGCCTCCCAAAGTGCTGGGATTACAGGCATGAGCCACGGCACCCGGCTGATTGCCTCCACTTTTCCAATGAGGAAACTGAGACCTCAGAGATGCCAGATGACAGTACAGTGAGTGCAGGCCCAAGAAACAGGGGCTCCTCTACCCCCTCAGCAGATACTCACACCATCCTTTTCTTTATCGGATTGTGGAATGAGCATAGACTTTTAACAAATACTGACCATGAGGTCTGTTTCAGCCAGTTGCCAACTACTAACCTTCAACAGTATACTTAAGTCTCAGTTTCTTCCTCTGTAACACTAAAACAGTAGCATCTACTTTCCAAGGTTGTTGTGTTAATTCAGTATACTGGCATGCCCAGTTGATATTAGGTGCCAAATCTACTTATTTATTTGCAAAAAGTAGCCTGCTTTTTCTGATGAAACACTAATATGCTCTTTGTAATAGAGTGTGTTAGGAAAAACTTTCCATGTAGGTTTTTCTCTTTTTAATTTTAAAATAAATGATAAAAAGGTAGGCTGGAATATTTTACACATCTGTTATAAAACCCACAGAAGCTGTCTGTAAAACAAGACTCAAATCCAAAGCAGGTGGACAAGACATACTGTCTGTTTGAAGAGCTGGAACTCCCTCGAAAGTTCACAAACCAAGGAAAAAGTCAAACTGTCAGAAAACAGCAATTAATGACTATAAACACTGTGCTTCCTGCCCTTATGATAAAGCTTCTGTGGAGACAGTCATGAAGAGAACAAGTTCAAATTCTCAATTCTCTACCTAACTCCGAAGCTCCATAAGGCATTTCAGGTTATTATCTCATTTGTTTAACCACACAACTGTTAGAAGTTCAACTGTCCCTCCCAACCCCCACCACATTCCTATGCTGAAGTCTTAATCCCCTGTACCTTGGAATGTGACCTCATTTGAATATAGAGTCACTGCAGATATAATTAAAGATGAGGTCATTAGGGCAGTCCTAATCCAGTATGACTGGTGACATTATAAAAAAGGGAAATTTGAACACAGATGCACACAAAGGGAAAACATCAAGTAAAGATGACAGGAGTGATTGGGAAGATGTTTCTACAAGCCAAGAAATGTCCAAGATTGTCAGCAAACCAAAAGCTAAGGGGAAAGACATGGAACAGATTATCCTCCACAGCCCTCAGAAGAAGGCAATCCAGCCAACACCTTGATCTTAGACTTTCAGCCTCCAAACCTGAGACAATAAATTTCTGTTGTGTAAGCTCCCCGCCCCCGAAAACATACAATAGAGCCACATAATAAAAGATTAAATATAGATTAAACTAAAAATACAGGTTAATAAAAATATTTCAGTCAAACATTAAGCTCAGACATTTTGAAACAGACAAGATAAAAAAAGGGAAAATGGAAGTTTAAAAATTGCTTGCTTAGTAAAATAACAAATACCAATTTGTTTGAGCAAAAACCATTTTTCCTAGTACTAAACTATTCGAAGAAATTATTACAAGGATTTTTCCATAAAGAACATTGAACACCATGACATCTTCAAGACAACTGAAAGATTTCTTGAAACACTTTTTATATTTATTCTCAATAGAAGTACAGAAAAGAATATTATGCCACAACTAAAGTGAGGTAATTCCATAAAGAACTAACGATATAGTTCAAGTACTTAACTTTCCAGCAATCTAAATAGATCAATCTCTCCCTCTTAAACTCTCATCCATTTACTGTGAAACATTCAACCCTAGTTCTGATAAATTAGATAAAATAATACCAAGTGTTACTTATTGACAGGTTTATATGCACAATCCCAACAGTTCTTTAAGATATATATGGTTATTTCTCATTTTAGTGAGTGTCAGAGTTGAGATTTAAAGCCTTATTTCAAACATTTCAAAAATCACTATATTCATCTCACTCAATCCTAATCTCCTAACTCACATTTCCAACTGCCTATTACTAAAAGTCTCTAAGACATGTGACAAGTACTTTAAAACTAAAAACTTAGTTATCCTTGCCTCCCTTCTCTCCCTTATGCATCCCAAGTAGCTGCTTCACCAAATCTCTCTAAAATGTGCCCCCTCTAATTCATTTCCACTGCCCTAAACCATGTCCTTAGCGTTACTCCCTTTAACTATCATAAAGACTGTTCCAAATGATTTCCCCATTTCCATCCTTAGAAGTCAAAAAAGCCTACTATAGTTATCTTTTCAAAATAAAGAGTAAAGCCGGGCACAGTGGCTCATGCCTGTAATCCCAACACTTTGGGAGGGGGACGCAGGTGGAACACCCAAGGTCAGGAGTTTGAGACCAGCCTGGCCAACATAGTGAAATCCCATCTCTACCAAAAATACAAAAATTGGCCAGGCGTGGTGGCGTACACCTGTAACCCCAGCTACTTGGGAGGCTGAGTGAGGCAGGAGAATCACGTGAACCCAGGAGGCAGAGGTTGCAGTGAGCCAAGATCACACTACTGCACTCTAGCTGGGTGATAGAGCGAGACTCTGTCTCAAAAATAAAAAATAAATATTAAAAAAAAAAAACCTTTTATTTCAGTTTCAGGGGTATACATGCAGGTTTGCTACATGGGTAAATTACATATGGCAGGGGTTTGGTGTACAGATTATTTTGTCACCCAGATAATATGCACGGTACCCAATGGGTACTTTTCCCTTCCTCACCCTCCTCCTACTCTCCCTGCTCAATAAGTCTCCAGTATTGGCCAGGTGTGGTGACTCACACCTATAATCCCAGCACCTTGGGAGGCCAAGGTGGGAGGATCACCTGAGGTCGGGAGTTCAAGACCAGCCTGACCAACATGGTGAAACCCCATCTCTACTAAAAATACAAAATTAGCCGGGCATGGTGGTGCATGCCTGTAATCCCAGCTACTAAGAGGACTGAGGCAGGAGAATCGTTTGAACCAGGGAGGCGGAGGTTGCAGTGAGCCAAGATTTGTGCCATTGCACTCCAGCCTGGGAAACAAGAGCGAAACTCCATCTCAAAAAAAATAAAAACAGAAGGCTCCGGTGTCTATTGTTCCCTTCTTTATGTCTATGTATACTCAATATTTAGTTCCCACTTATAAGTGAGAACATGTGGTATTTGGTTTTCTGCTACTGCGTTAGTTCATCTAGGATAATGACCTCCAGCTCCAACCATGTTGCTGCAAAGGACATTATCCTGTTCTTTTTCATGGCTGTGTAGTAGTCCATGGTGTACATGCCCCAAATTTTCTTTATCTGGTCTACCATTGATGGGCATCTAGGTCACTTCCATGTCTTTGCTATTGTGAAGAGTGCTGCAATGAACATATTCATGCGTCTTTATGACAGAACAACGTATATGCCTTTGGGTATACACCTAAAAATGAAATTGCTGGGTCAAATGGTAATTCTAAGTTCTTTGAGAAATCATGAAACTGCTTTCCCCACTAGCAGTGTAGAAGTGTTCCCTTTTCTCTGCAACCTCACCTGCATCTGTTATTTTTTAATAATAATCATTCTGACTGGTATGAGATGGTATCTCAATGTGGTTTTGATTTGCATTTCTCTAATGATTAGTGACGTTGAGCTTTTTTTTTTTTTTCTGAGATGGAGTCTTGCTCTGTCACCCAGGCTGGAGTGCAGTGGCGCGATATCCACTCACTGTGAGCTCCGCCTCCCGGGTTCACGCCATTCTCCTGCCTCAGCCTCCTGAGTAGCTGGGACTACAGGCGCCCACCACCACACCCAACTAATTTTTTGTATATTTAGTAGAGACGGGGTTTCACTGTGTTAGCCAGGATGGTCTTGATCTCCTGACCTCGTGATCCACCTGCCTCCAGCCTCCCAAAGTGCTGGGATTACAGGCGTGAGCCACCACGCCCAGCCAATGTTGAGCATTTTTTCATATGCTCATTGGCTGAGTATATGTCTTCTTCTGAAAAGCGTCTGTTCATGTCCTCTGCCCAGTTTTTAATGGAGTTGTTTTTTGCTTGTTAATTTAAGTTCCTTATAGATTCTGGGTATCAGACCTTTGTCAGATGCACCATTTACAAATATTTTGTCCTACTCTGTGGGTTGTCTGCTTACTCTATTGATAGTTTCTTTTGCTGTGCAGAAGCTCTTTAATTAGGTCTCATTTGTCAATTTTTTGTTGTTGTCGCCATTGCTTTTGGCATCTTCCTCATGAAATCTTTGCTGGGGCGTATGTCCAGAATGGTATTTCCTAGGTTTTCAAGGGTTTTTATAGTTTTAGGTTTTACATTTAAGTCTTTAATCCACCATGAGTTAATTTTTTGTATATGGTGTAACAAAGGTGTCCAGTTTCAATCTTTTGAATATGGCTAGCCAGTTATCTCAGCACCATTTACTGAACAGGAACTCCTTTCCCCATTGCTCGTTTTTGTCAACTCCGTGGAAGATCAGATGGTTGTAGGTGTGAGGCTTTATTTCTGGGCTCTCTATTCTGTTCTATTGGTCTATGTCACTGTTTTTGTACCTGTACCACGCTGTTTTGATTACTACAGCCTTGAAGTATAGTTTGAAATCAGGTAATGTGATGCTTTGCTCTTTTTGTGTAGGATTGCTTTGGCTATTCAGGCTGTTTTTTTGGTTCCATATGAATTTCAGAACAGTCTTTTCTAATTCTGTGAAGAGTGTCATTGGCAGGTTGATAGGAAAAGCATTGAATATTTATTTTGTTTTGGGCAGTATGGCCATTTTAACAATATTGATTCTTCCTATCCATGAGCATCGAATGTTTTTGCATTTGTGTCATCTCTGATTTATTTTAGCAGTGTTTCCTAATTATCATTGTAGAGCTCTTTCACCTCCCTGGTTAGCTGTATTCCTAGGTATTTTATTTTTCACGGCTATTGTGAATAGGATTGCATTCTTGATTTGGCACTCAGCTTGGATGCTGTTGGTGTATAGATATGCTACGGATTTTTGTACATCAATTTTGTATCCTGAAACTTTGCTGAAGTTGTTTGTCAGATTTAGGAGCTTCTGGGCAGAGACGACGAGGTTTTCTAGGTATAAAATCATATCATATACAGAGATAGTTTGACTTCCTCTCTTCTTATTTGGATACCTTTTATTTCTTTCTCTTGCCTGATTGCTCTGGCTAGGACTTCTAGTACTATGTCGAATAGCAGTGTTGAGAGTAGGCATCCTTGTCTTGTTCCAGTTCTCAAGCTTTTGCCCATTCAGTTATGATGCTGCTGTGGGTTTGTCATACATGGCTCTCATTATTTTGAAGTGTGTTCCTTCAATGCCTAGTTTATTGAGGGTTTTTAACATGAAGGGATGTTGAATTTTACTGAAAACCTTTTCTACATCTATTGAGATGATAATATGGTTGTTTTTAGCTCTGTTTATGTGACGGGTAACATTTATTGATTTGTGTATGCCCGACCAGTCTTGCAACTCAGGGGTAAAGCCTACTTGTTCATGGTGATTTAGCTTTTTTTTTTTTTTTTTTTTTTTTTTTGACAGGGTCTCACTCTGTTGCCCAGGTTGGAGTACCATGGCCCAATCTCAGCTCACTGCAACCTCTGCCTCCCAGGCCCAAGCCATCCTTCCACCTCAGCTTCTCAAGTAGCTGGAACTACAGGTGTGTGCCACCACACCCAGCTAATTTTTTAAATTTTTTGGTAGACATAGGTACTCACCATGTTACACAGGCTGGTCTTGAACTCCTGGCCTCAAGCCATCTACCTGCCTTGGCTACCAAAGTGCTGAGACTACAGGCCTAAGCTACTGCTCCTGGCCTGGTGGACTAGCTTTTTGTTATGCTGCTGGATTCAGTTTGCTAGTATTTTGTTGAAGATTTTTGCATCTATGTTTATCAAGGATATTGGCCTGAAGTTTTCGTTTTTTGTTGAGTCTCTGCCAGGTTTTGGTATCAGGATGATGCTGGTCATTGAATGAGATAAGGAGGAATCCCCTCCTCTTCCATTTTTTTGAATAGTTTCAGTAGCAATTGTACCAGCTCTTTATATTAATATGTCTGGTAGAATTCAGCTTTGAATCCATTTGGTCCTGGGCTTTTTCTGGTTGGTAGGTTTTTTATTACTGATTCAATTTCAGAATTCATTATTGCTCTGTTCAGGGTTTCAATTTTTCTCTAGTTCAATCTTAGGAGGTATATTTCCAGGAATATATCCATTTATTGTAGGTTTTCTACCCTACATGCATAGAGGTGTTCATAATAGTCTCTGAGGGTTTTTTGTATTTCTGTGGGGTAGGTGGTAATGTCCCCTTTGTCATTTCTGACTGTGTTTATTTGGATCTTCTTTTTTCTGTATTAGTCTAGTTAGCAGTCTAGCAATCTTATTTATTATATTAAATAACCAACTTCTCTTTTCACTGATCTTTTGTATGGTTTCTTGCACCTCAACTTTATTCAGTTCAGCTCTGATTTTGGTTATTTCTTGTCTTCTGCCAGCTTTGGGGGTGGTAAAACACAGATCTTATCATATCACTTACTAGCATATCCTAGAAGGGCCTTCACAACGTGGCCACAGCTTATTATCTGGTACCACTCTCCATAATTGGCCTATTCTCTAACCACATCAGATGACTACAAAACTATGAATAGAGCTTCCTCTCAAAATCTGTGTCTTTTCTCATCTACCTAGAATGCCCTTTTCTACCAGGTATGTATGCCTCATACATCTTTCGAAAAATATTTCAAATATCACCTCTCAAAATATCCCTGAATAGAGTTTGTTATACATTTTATGTATATGTGTGTGTATATATGAGATGTGTATATATATATATCATACTATGTCATAATTTATAATGTCAAACTCCTTTATTAATCTATGCACTCACAAATGACCAGGGCCATGTCCGATACATCTTTGTTTTTTAATTTTTATTTTTTTTCGAGATGGAGTCTCACTCTGTTGCCCAGGCTGGAGCGCACTGGTGCCATCTCAGCTCATTGCAGCCTCCACCTCCCGGGGTCATGCAAATCTCCTTCCTCAGCCTCCCAGTGGCTGAGAATACAGACACATGCAACCACACCTGGCTAAATTTTTGTATTTTTGGTAGAGACGGGTTTCACCATGTTGGCCAGGCTGGTCTCAAACTCCTGACCTCAAGTGATTCACCCGCCTCGGCCTCCCGAAGTGCTGGGATTACAGGCCACTGTGTCCGGCCTGATATGTCTTTGTATTCCCCAACATCTATATGATACCTAGCACAAAAATGTTAAATATATGTTTAATAATTAAATTACATTCTCTAGTCAGTGCCTAGAGAACACATATACTACGTCATTTAGTAAACAGTGAGTTACCTGCAGAGGTATCAGACCTCCAGGGAGGAAAGTTAACATTGTTTTAAAAACCGCAAAGTCGCCGTGCGCGGTGGCTCACGCCTGTAGTCCCAGCACTTTGGGAGGCCAAGGCGGGTGGATCACGAGGTCAGGAGATCGAGACCACGGTGAAACCCCGTCTCTACTAAAAAAAAAAAAATACAAAAAATTAGCCGGGCATGGTGGTGGGCGACTGTACTCCCAGCTACTCGGGAGGCTGAGGCAGGAGAATGGCGTGAACCCGGGAGGTGGAGCTTGCAGTGAGCCGAGATCGCGCCACTGCACTACAGCCTGGATGACAGAGCGAGACTCCGTCTCAAAAAAAAAAGAAAAGAAAAAAAAAAAAAAACCTGCAAAGTCAGGCCGAGTGTGGTGGCTCACACCTGTAATCCTAGCACTTTGGGAGGCTAAAGTGGGTGGATTGCCTGAGGTCAGGAGTTCGAGACCAGCCTGGCTAACATGACGAAACCCTGTCTCTACTAAAAATACAAAAAATTAGCTGGGCGTAGTGGAGGGCACCTGTAATCCCAGCTACTTGGGAGGCTGAGGCGGGAGACTCACTTGAACCCTAGAGGCAGAGGTTGCAGTGAGCCAAAATCGTGCCATTGTACTCCACCCTGGGCGACAAGAGTGAAACTCTGTCTCAAAATAAATAAATATATAAAAAATACAAACTGCAAGGTCTATCTGGCAAACTGGCTCTTAAGGAAGTTGTCATATCTATGCACCAAGATAGCCACAGCAAGGCCTATAGTAAGAAAAAAAAAACCAAAAAATCCCGAAACAGAAATTTTAGATGAATCAAGTGGCTTAACGACAGGTACCCAGCTGAGATCCCACTGTTTCACTGGAGTGTATACAGTACACTATTTTGACCTGAACATGTTTATGATATGCATTATTACCTAGCCTCTTCAATCAGAAAAGAACTGCAGTGCAGTAAGACTCTGGTAAAAACAGCTGATTCTGGGGAGTGCTGCAATACCATACACATTCCAAGATGAACTTACTACAAACTTGAATATCAACAACTAAATAAATTGGGTTCTTGGGTGAAGCTATTTAGTATCATCAATCTGAATACTCACCGAAAAATATCCTCCAATAAAGCAGTTTTAGTTTGAGATCTATGCCAAGATAATTACTATTTTCTACATAATCGAAAGCTGCCAATAAAGCAATAAATGGCCTAAAAAGTTTTCCATTATTGTTTTCTAGTAATGCGGCTAGAAATTTAATAACAGAGAGAAAATTTTATTTCTAAAACCAGCTTACTTGTCACATAAAGTATCAGCTTAAGATCATCCAAACCCATGGATGAGCTCAGAAGGCTAATGCTGAATTTTGGAGAAACTAGCAAACCACATGCATTTCCAATTATTTTGCTAAATCTTGTAGTAAGCTAGCATCTGGAGGGTTGGGTTTGGGTTCGTCTTTTGTACGTGTGTATGTTAGTTATCTTTACTGATTCTTTTTCTGATTATAAGAGACTTGAGGAAAAAATATTCAGAAATACAGAAATCGAAGTTTCCCATCATGCCACCACAGAAATACTAACATTAACAACTCAGTGCTGTCTCTAGATCTTTTCTTCTTACATATCTTTTAAAAGTGTATTACGACTGGGGATGGTGGCTCACACCTGTAATTTCAGCACTTCTGGAGGCCAAGGCAGGAGGACAACAAGGTCAAGAGATTGAGACCATCCTGGCCAACATGGTGAAATCCCATCTCTACTAAAAAAAATACAAAAATTAGCCAGGCATGGTGGTGGGTGCCTATAATCCCAGCTACTCGGGAGGCTGAGGCAGGAGAATCGCTTGAACCCAGGATGCTGAGGTTACAGTGAGCCGAGATCGCGCCATTGCACTCCAGGCTGGCAACAGAGCGAGACTCGGTCTCAAAAAAAAAAAAAAAAAAAAAAGCGTATTATACATAGTTTTGTAACTTCTTCTTCCTATTTAGTAATATATTTTAAGCATCTTGTCTGTATATAAAACTCTTGTTTTTACTGCTGTATGATATCCTGCTATATGGATAACACCCTTACTAACGGGAATTTCACTATTTTCAACTTTTCCCTACGTCAGATCAGCTGCGTTGAATAACTCTGTACATATATCCTGTGTTTCCATAGAATGAGTCTAACAATAAACTATTGTGCCAAAGGATGTGGACATCTTAAATTTTAATGAATACTGACCTCGAAAAGCGTCATACCAGAGTGTCTTTTCCCCCCCATACCCACACAAACACTAGGTATCAACAATCTTTGTGCTCTTATCAACTTGAAAGGTAAAACATAAATAAGTGAATGCCTGTTTTAATTTGCTTTTATTCACTTGTTAGGAACTTTTATATACCTATTGGCCATTTGTATTTCTTCTGTAAACTGCCAGAGTTTTCTGAAGGGCTGTCATTTTTTCAAACGGGACATTTATCTTCAGCTCCATGCTAACCTAACCATACAAAGGTAGCTAATTAGAATAATCTAGCAAACACTGAATGTTCGTCTCACAAAAGGACTCAACTGTAATAAGATACACATTTTTTTTTGTTTTTTGGTTTTTTTTTCATGGAGTTTCACTCTTGTTGCCCAAGCTGGAGTGCAATAGCGCCATCTCGGCTCACTCCAACCTCCGCCTCCTGGGTTCAAGCGATTCTCTTGCCTCAGCCTCCTGAGTAGCTGGGATTACAGGCGCCCACCATCACGCCCAGCTAATTTTTGTGTTTTTAGTAGAGACACGGTTTCACCAGGTTGGCCAGGCTGGTCTCAAACTCCTGACCTAAGGCGATCCACCCCCCTCACCTTCCCAAAGTAGTGGGATTACAGGCATGAGCCACAGGGCCCAGCCTCTGACTTCAATTTCTTAAGGTCATATAGCAGGGGATAGAGAGAGGATTTGTAATTGTTTGCTTATTAAAACTAGCCTTTTTTTTAAGGGCTAGTTTTAACCTGTCAAATGAAAACAGTATCTATCTCATGAAATAGTTATTAAATGTGATGGGATAGTGTATGCAAATATATATATGGCATGACTGGCACATATGTAGAACCCAAATGTTACTTACCTATTCTTTCTTTCTCCTAAGAAAAAGAAAATAGCCTACTGATTTATCAATAGATTTGTGTTTCCCAAGTTCTTATAGAAGCCATATTCCTTGGTGAACTCATACAGTTCCATGATTTTAAATGCCAAGTATACACTGAAGACTTGAAGTTTATCATCTCCAGTCCTAATCTCTCTCAAGAACTCCAGACTTGTATCTACCTAACTCCTCAAAATCTCCACTTGAATGGCTAATATATCTCTCAAAGTAACATGTTCAAAACCAAACTCCTGATCTGCTCTCCCATATTTGCTCTGTCTGCAGCCTTCCTCATCTCAGCTGGCATCAAGTCCATCCATAACCTTCCACACTCTTGAAACAAACCCTTGACTCCTCTCTCCAATGCCCTACATTCCAAGTGAAATTATATTGGCTCTACCTGGAAAACATGTCTGAAATCTGACTAGTTCTTGCCATTTTCAATGCTGTAACCTGCCTAAACCACCATCATCTCATCATCTCTTGCTGGATTACTGCAAATAATCTCCTAAATTCTCTCTTGCCCTCTTGCCACAGAACTTTTTTTTTTTTGAGACAGAGTCTGGCTCTGTCACCTAGGCTGGAGTGCAGTGGCACAATCCTGGCTCACTGCAAGCTCCGACTCCCAGGTTCATGTGATTCTCCTGCCTCAGCCTGCCGAGTAGCTGGGACTACAGGTGCCCACCACCATGCCCGGCTAATTTTTTGTATTTTTAGTAGAGATGGGGTTTCACCGTGTTAGCCAGGATGGTCTTGATCTCCTGACCTGGTGATCTGCCCACCTCGGCCTCCCAAAGTGCTGGGATTACAGGCATGAGCCACAACACCTGGCCCACAGAACTCTTTTAAAACCTTAGATTCTATCACTCCTTTTGACACAAAATAAAAGCAAAAATCCTAATTCTTCCCTGTTCCTCACTCCACACCAACCTATTAGCCTTCTATCCCTCTGCCTGAGATACTCTTTCTCCTGATGACTGGCTTGGCTATCATTCTCCAGTCTACACTCAAATTTCAACCCCAGTGAGGTTTACCTTGATATCCCTATTTCATTCTATAACAACCCTATTCCTACACTCCCATTGCCTCTTACTCTATTACCTTTTTGTTTTTAGTAGGACTTGCCATCTTTTAACATACTATACAATTACTGGGGTTATATTTATAAATACTGTCTGCTTTACCCATTAAGAGGTAAGGTCCACAAAAGAAGGGATTTTTCTTTAATCTATTTGGTTCACTAAGATATCCTAAGAACCTAAAACAGTACCTAACAGAGTAAACACTCAATAAATGTTTATTAACCAATTAAATGAATTAATCTCCATTTATTATTAGCCCAAATTACACTAAGCTGAATGCTTGTCATAATCTAAGTTTTTCAAAGATATTACCTATATATACATTAAATCTTTTTTTTTTTTTTTTTGGAGACAGAGTCTCGCTCTGTCGCCTAGGCTGGAGGGCAGTGGCGTGATCTCGGCTCACTGCAAGTTCTGCCTCCCGGGTTCATGCCATTCTCCTGCCTCAGCCTCCCGAGTAGCTGGTACTACAGGTGCCCGTCACCGCGCCCGCCACCACGCCTGGCTAATTTTTTGTATTTTTAGTAGAGACGGGGTTTCACCATGTTAGCCAGGATGGTCTCGATCTCCTGACCTCATGATCTGCCCGCCTCGGCCTCCCAAAGTGCTGGGATTACAGGCATGAGCCACAGTGCCTGGCCCACATTAAATCTTTTTATAATATATATCATATCTGAGGACCTCGCTAAAAATTTTCTTTAAATGCTGCCTTACTAATTTTCCAAAGTTTTGGGAGTAGGCAGAAGATTCCCTGTCCCATCATGTATCAAGGAGGCTTCAGAGATAGCTGACATATTGTCACAGCATCTATGAACCATAAAAACTGACTTATGGAATTTAAAAGCCCTCATTCCATTTTGTCCTTCTTCACCGTGATCTCATCTCTCAATCAAGTATACCATCAAATTCAGGAACATCAGTATTACAGCAGAGTAAACTTAGAGGAGCAAAATAAGAAAGTTAAAATAAAGATATATAAAGTCCTTTCCAGCTTTTTCCAACTATATAACTGCTGTATTTGATATCTCTAAAAGCAGCGTAAGATATCTATATAAAGAATGTAGGCTTGGCATGGTGGCTTATGCCTGTAATCCCAGCACAACACTTTGGCCAACTAAGGTGAGAGGTTCACTTGAGGCCAGGAGTTCAAGACCATCCTGGGCAACACAGCAAGACCCTATCTCTACAAAAAATTTAAAAAATTAGTCAGGTGTGGTTGCCTGTCCCTGTAGACCTAACTACTAAGGAGGCTGAGGCAAGAGGGTAACTTGAGCCCAGGAGTTCAAGGGTGCATGCAGTGAGCTACAAGTGTGCCACTGCACTATAGCCTGGGTGACAGAGCAAGACCTCTAAAAACAAAGCAAAACAAACAAAACATGAATGTAGATCGACTAGTAAATAATCAATAACAATATAATTTTATTACATACCCAAATGAAACTTTCTAGCGACTACTAGGCTACTTACAAATATGAACTTATTAAGTTACCAAAGACGCGATTTATGTAACTATTTCTAGATATGTGAGCCATTGGGGAGAAAAATTTTACCGGGGCAGATATGAATGAATATTTCAAGTATCTTATTTTCAACCAATGGTATATAAATACAGTGAGTTTCTTTTTTCTTTTTTGTGGAGACAGGGTCTTGCTGGAGGGCAGTGGCATGATCACGGCTCACTGCATCCTCTACCTCCTAGGTCTCCTGGGTTCAAGCAATCCTCTCACATCAGCCTCCTGAGTAGCTGGGACTACAGGTGCACCACCAAGCCTAGCTAATTTTTTTTATTTTTAGTAGAAACAGAGTCTCACTACATTGCCCAGGCTGGACTCAAACTTCTGAGCTCAAGTAATCTTCCTGTCTCGGCCTTCCAAAGTACTAGGATTACAGGTATGAGTCGCCACACCCCACACAGTGTTTTTTTTTAATGTATCAACTGTGAACCAGATTACTGAAGACTCTATATGCTCCTTAAGTATATATCACATAATTGTGTAAATATATATGTAAATAAATATACATAGTACATTAAAACATAACTTTGTGCCAACATTTGTAATAGCAAGACTATAAACCACTAAAATATCCATTATAAAGAATCTAATAATATAAACATATAATGGAATATTTACACAGCCACGAGAAAGAATAAAGTAGATTTCTATGTGCGAATGTGGAACAAACTACAAGATAAGCCATTAGGTAAGAAAATTCAGAGTACATTAGGCTTCCATGTGTGCACTCATGCATATGTGTATATATGTGTGTTAATGTGTTAGACATAGAGAAATATAAACATATGAATAATAGTATAGGCAAAGAATATTTGTCAGTGGCTACCCCAAATAAGCTAGAAAGAGTGTCTCTGGGAGACAGGGATCAGGTAACTAGGGAGGGAAGGAGGCTATTTTTCACTATGTACTCTTTTGCACTATTTAAATTTTTAACCTGTGCATGTATTACATTTCTAATTCCAAAAACAAGATATTGTTCTTATTTTTCTGACACTGGCATTTTTTTAAATATTAAAAATATATAACCAGGCATGGTGGTACATGCCTGTAGTCCCAGCTACTCAGTGGACTGAGGAGAGAGATTTGCTAGAGCCCAGGAGTTCAACGCTGCAGCGAGCTATGATTGTACCACAGTACTCCAGCCTGGGCAAATGAGCAAGACCCCATCTCTAAAAAATATATATATACAAACACACACGCTATAATTTAAAACTAGCTTTAGGCAGGGTGTGGTGGTCTTTAATTCCAACATTCTCGGAGGCCAAGACAGGAGGATCACTTGAGCCCAGGAGTTAGAGAACAGCCTGGGAAACACAGGGAGACCCCATCTCCACAAAAAATTCAAAAAGGAGCTGGACATGGTGGCTTATGCCTGTAGTCTCAGCTACTTGGGAGGCTGAGGCAGAAGAATCGCTTGAGCCCAGCAAGTCGAGACTGCAAAGAGCTGTGATCACACCACTGCACTCCAGCATGGGAAACAGAGCAAGACTTTGTCTCAAAAAGAAAAGAAAAAAAAATCAAACTAGCTTTAGAAAAATAGGAACAGTATCTTTATTTTTTACAGAAAAAGCAAGAGAGAGAATGCCAAAAGAGGTATCAGAAAAGACAAAGCTTTTTTCAGGGAAGAGGGCTATTACCTACATGCCAACTGACTCAGCCAGGATTAGTGAGATCTGCATACCCTTACTTAGACAATTCCCAACTGACTATGATGGTTTGACTTTATGATGATGTGAAAAATGATATGAGTTCAGTAGAAACCATATTTCAGATTTTGAGGTTTAATCTTTTCCCAGGTTAGTGATTCGTGGTATCATACTATGTCACAAAGTTGCACAATGGCAGCAGGCTACAGCTCCCAGTGAACCACTCAATTAGGAGGGTAAACAACTGATACAGTATACTGTGCTGTCAGGTAATTTTGCCCAACTGTAGCTAATGTAAGCATTCTGGGCCTATTTAAGGTAGGCTAGGCTAAGCTATGATGTTTGATGGGTTAGGTGAATTAAACGCATTTTCAACTTAACAATAGTTTCTACTTAACAAGGGTTTTATTGGGATGTAACTATTTTAAGTCAGTACTGTTATGTCAAAAATGCGTTTAATGCCTGAATAAACTCATCCTAAAGTCAAAAACTGGAAGTCGAATCATCGTAAATCTAGATATTCCTTAGACTTATGGATGGGGCTACATTCTGATAAATGAATTGTAAATTCAAAATGTGGGGACCATCTGCAAAGAAATGTATTTTCACACAGACCGAATGACTAGCCAAAGGCTAGTTTTATTTTGTAAGAAACCGCAATAAAATTAAAATTTCGGTCCAGTACTAATTACTAAGTACTGAAATGAGACACAAACATATATTGATTTGTTGGTAACAATGTTTTGGTCGATAACAAACCAAATGTATGACGGTGATCACATAAAACTGTAACACTATATTTTTACTGTACCTTTTCTATTTTTTTCTTTTCCTTTTTTTTTTGAGACGGAGTCTTGCTTTGTCACCAGGCTGGAATGCAGTGGCACGATCTCAGGTCGCTGCAACCCTGCAACCTCTGCCTCCCGGGTTCAAGCAATTCTCCTGCCTCAGCCTCCCTAGTAACTGGGACTACAGGTGTGCTCCACCACGCCCAGCTAAGTTTTTGTATTTTTAGGAGACAGGCTTTCTCCATGTTGGCCAGGATGGTCTGTATCTCTTGACCTCATGATCCGCCTGCCTTGGCCTCCCAAAGTATCAGGATTACAGGTGTGAGCCACTGCGCCTGGCCTGTTTAAATGTTTTAATACACAAATACTTACCTTTGTATACCACTGCCTAAAGTATTCAGTACAGTAACAGGCTGTACAAATTTGTGGCCTAGAAGCAACAGGTTATAGACCATATCACCTAGCATGCAGTAGGCTATACCATCTAGGTTTGGGTGCTCACATACCTAGATAATATAGCCAGGAGAGAGCCCTCACCAGGAACCCAACTCCTCATCTGGGACTTCCAACCTCTGAAAGTCTGAGAAAATACTTTTCTGTTATTTAAACCACCTAGCCACTCAAGTTCCTGGATCTATGGGGGGAGGAGGGGCAGGGGGAAGTTAACTACCCAGCCTATAATATTTTCTTTTGGCAACCCAAGCTAATATGAGAGAGAGAGAGAGAGAGAGAGAGACAGAGAAAGAGGAAAAAATATATATATTTAGGTATATATGGTATACATATATTTTAATATATATACTAGATATATGTCTATACCATACAATGTGTAGAAAAGATCTAAACACACAGACTATTAATAATGATTAACCCTGGACAATAAGATGAGGAGACTGATTTATTTTGACTTTATACACTTCTATTCCAATGTAAATTTTTACCAAAAAAGTGTACCTTTCATCATGTAAAAACTGAGGGCCAAGCATGGTGACTCACACCTGCAATCCCAGCACTTTGGGAGGCTGAGGCAGCCTTGAAGTTAGGGGTTCGAGACCAGCCTGGCCAACATGGTGAAACCCTCATCTCTACTAAAAATATAAAAATTAGCTGGGCGTGGTGGCGCAAGCCTGTAATCCTAGCTACTCAGGAGGCCGAGACATGAGAATTGAGAATCACTTGAACCTGGGAGGTGGAGGCTGCAGTGTGCCAAAATTGCGCCACTGCACTCCAGCCTGGGTGACAGAGGGAAACTGTCTCAAAAAAAAAAAAAAAAAAAAAATTAGCTTGGCACGGTGGCTTCCACCTGTCACCCCAGCTACTTCAGAGACCAAGGCAGGAGTATTGCTTGAGGCCAGAAGTTCAAGGCCAGCTCGTCTCCTTAAAAAAAAATTAAAAGTTAAAAACAAATTAGGCTAGGCACAGTGGGTCACGCCTATAATCCTAGCACTTTGGGAGGTCAAGGTGAGCAGATTGCTTGAGGTCAAGAGTTTGAGACCCGCCTGGCCAACATGGTGAAACCCTGTCTCTACTAAAAAGGCAAAGAAATTAGCCAGGCACGGTGGCATGTGCCTGTAAGTCCAGCTACTCATGAGTCTATGGCATGAGAATTGCTTGAACCCAGGAGGCGGAGGTTGCAGTTAGCAGAGATCACACCACTGCACTCCAGCATGGGTGATAGAGTGAGACTCTGTCTCAAAAAATTGTCAAAAAAAAGTCAAAAAATTGAAAGCCAAACCATTAAGTTAGGCACGATCTGTAATATGTACACACATACACACACACACGCAAGTGCAAATAAGACCGTGGAAATGTAAACAAGTAGACTACAGCAATCAATACTGGCCATGATACTGTACTACAGCTACAAAAGATGTTACTATCCTTTATAAAAGAAGAGTACATGAGATATCCGTATTGTATCTTACAATTTCGGGTGATTCTATAATTATCTCAAAATAAAAAGTTCATTTAAAATTGGGGGAAAAATTCCTCAAAATGGCATATAAAAGGATGATATTGGGCCAGGCGCGGTGGCTCACGCCTGTAGTCCCAGCGCTTTCGGAGGCTGAGGCAGGTGGATCACGAGGTCAGGAGTTCAAGACCAGCCTGGCCAAGATGGTGAAACCCCATCTCTACTAAAAATACGAGAATTAGCCAGTCGCGGTGGCAGGCTCCTGTAATCCCAGCTACTTGGGAGCTGAGGCAGGAGAACCGCTTGAACCTGGGCAGCAGAGGTTGCAGTGAGCCAAGATGGCGCCAGTGCACTCCATCCTGGGCTACAGAGTGAGGCTCTGAGGAAAAAAAAAAAAAAAAAAAAAGATGATGTTTTGGTTTGCTTTTGATAATCATTTATCTTCTTAAAGGGTCATTTCAAATGCACTTTCAGTCTATGATCATACCACTCTGAACACGCCCGATCTCATCAAATGCACTTTTACAGGAAAAAGTGCTTTATTTGTTAACTCAATCTCACCTGGAGTTACGTTATCCCTCGAGTTTTCCTCATAAAACTTATCGAAACCGGCCGGGCCCAGTGGCTCACGCCTGTAATCCCAGCACTTTGGGAGGCCGAGGCAGGTGGATCATGAGGTCAGGAGATTGAGACCATCCTGGCTAACACGGTGAAACCCCGTCTCTACTAAAAATACAAAAAAATTATCTGGGCGTGGTGGCGGGCGCCTGTAGTCCCAGCTACTCAGGAGGCTGAGGCAGGAATGGCGTGAACCCAGGAGGCGGAGCTCGCAGTGAGCCGAGACTGCGCCACTGCACTCCAGCCTGGGAGACAGAGCGAGACTCCATATCAAAAAAAAAAAAAAAAAAAAAAACAAAAAAACTTATCGAAACCAAGTATTACCTTATAGATATTTATAGCCCCACTAGAATGTAAACTCCATTAGGGCTGAATTATGTTTTTTTGTTGCTGTTGTTGTTCCTATCACCTTAATCAGAGCTTACCACCTTGGAAGCAGGATATTAAATGAGTGAAATGAACAGTATTATAAAGCCTTCATGATATACTAAGTATATTATTCCAATAAAAATGTTTAAACTTATGCCAGCTATCCTAACAGCAAATCGCCAGTACTCACTTCTCTGTCACTTAGTATAGGTTTGTGGGATGAAAAGGCTAGTCTTGGCTTAAACAAAAACAGCTTTGCCACACGCTACACATTACATATTCCAAAGCTAACATTTGAACTTCAAGTTATCCATGGCACTGCTCTCCTCCATTTGGACAATCACAATTCAATAATCTGTAGCTATTTTACTAGTCTTCAATGTATGCCCTCAAAAATTTGAAGAAGGAAATACAGAGGTTAACTATAGATTATTAATATTTAATAATAGCAATAACTAAGACTGAAACCTCAATATGTGCAGGCAATGCCATGCAATTTTCATAACATCTCCATTTTCCAGATGAGAAAAACTGAGGCTTAAAGGTTAAAAATTCGTTCAGTCACA
This sequence comes from Homo sapiens, assembly GCF_000001405.40. Classification (NCBI taxonomy): domain Eukaryota; kingdom Metazoa; phylum Chordata; class Mammalia; order Primates; family Hominidae; genus Homo; species Homo sapiens. The sequence goes on along the minus strand of NC_000013.11, from coordinate 28,143,571 downwards.
AAGCTAGTCAAAGAGCCAGGATTCTATCTGAAACATGTCTTATTCACTAGTAACTACATTAGGAGAATTGAAAAGTGTATTTTGGTAAATTAAAACTACTGGGTTTCAAATAATGTACATAAAATACAAATATTGGCATATTTTACCTGTTAAAAATTGTACACTTTGAAGATTAAAGCCATTTTGAAAATCTAGCCAGTTGAAAATATTAGAATTACATCATTAAATGTCAAGAATCGATAATGCAGTTGAATACAAATCAAATCACTCTTAAGCCTTAGAAAAATCCCAAGACTAACAGAAATACGAAATGTTACGTAAGCTACATGGTACGGCATACCTGTAGTCCCAGCTACTCAGGAGGCTGAGGTGCTAGGATCACTTGAGCCCAGGAGTTGGAGTCCAACCTAGACAACACAGCAAGAACTCCCAACCCCCTCCTCAAAAAAAACAAAAACAAAAACAAAAACAAAAAATCAAATTGCAGTTTCCTTATAAGGTTGAAACATCATTGCAACTAAGTGTATTAAGAAAAAGCCTTTGTGCTTCAGTTTTCCAATGGCTGCAAAATAAAGATAAAGTTTTCTCATGCACCCACCTCCAAGGTTTTAACACTATCTGAAACACCAACAAAACAAAAACAATTCTGCAAATGTGAAGTGCTAAAGTTAGAGTCAAAACCTCAAATGCCTAGATATAAAAGTCATCCAGTTAGGGAATGAGTCAAAATGGAGAGAATTATGCTCTATCAACAGCTCTAATTCCAACACAGGTAAGAGACATCCTTAAAGGGAAACCAGAAATTTGTACTTCTATATTAAATCTTTTGTTTCTTTTGTTGTCAAATGATTCAATCAAAACCCACAAACATAGAAATTAAAAACACTAAATTATGGTATATATGGTGGCTCACAGGGTAGGCAGATCGCTTTGAGCCCAGAAGTTTGAGACCGGCCTGGGCAACATGGGGAAACCTCATCTCTACCAAAAATACAAAATAATTAGAGGTGCTTGGTAGCCAGTGCCTGTGGTCCCTGTCTCAAAAAAAAAAAAAAAAAAATTGCCATCTATTTTAACTGCCTCACACACATAATTAACCAATGAAGGCCAGATGTGGTAGCTCACACCTATAATCCCAGTACTTTGAGAAGTCAAGGCAGGAGATTGCTAGAGCCCAGGAGTTCGAAACCAGCCTGGACAACACAGCAAGACATCATCTCTTCAAAATAAAATAAACGGATCAATACTGTCTCAAAACACACTGAATGAGAATACAGTAAAAGGTAGAAAGCAGTCTAAAAAATGAACAATAAGTGTAAAAACTCAAAAAAGCCATACAATTACCAACACAACCTTTTTTCCTGATTCCTGAGCAACATTATTTCCCACTCCTTGGTATCTCTCAGTAATACCTAGGTTGTGATTCCTTATGAAGAAATCTCCATCCATAAGGAATTACTGAGAGATACCAAGAAGCCTATCACAGAAAAGAGGAGCCTTAGGCTTCAGCCAGACAAGCTAAAGCAAACACCACAGAATCTAAATACATAAATCAACTATTTAATCAGACAACTTTTACTAACAAGTGACAAAGTATTAATTTTAAAATACCTTTTCAGCATTAACTGCCTGTCCTCTCGAGTCCCTATATCTCAGTTATTTTCCTAAGATGTCCCACCTTTGAGCCACTGCTAATATTTTTTCCTCCACCTTAAGGGTACTTACCTTCCCCTCCCATCTTCATCTGCTTACATCCTGTCCTCTTTCAAGTCTCAGCCCTTCTACCTATTGTGTGTTAATTAGAAAATCCTCGGCCAGGTGCGGTGGCTCCCGCCAGTAATCCCTAGGAGGCCGAGGCAGGCGGATCACCTGAGATCAGGAGTTTGAGACCAGCCTGACCAACATGGAGAAACCCCGTGTCTACTAAAACTACAATATTAGCTGAGCGTGGTGGTGCCTGCCTGTAATCCCAGCTACTAGGGAGTCTGAGGCAGGAGAATCTCTTGAACCCGGGAGGCAGAGGTTGCGGTGAGCCGAGATCACTAGATTGCACTCCAGCCTCGTAAACAAGAGTGAAACTCCGTCTCAAAAAAAAAAAAAAAAAAAAAAGAAAAAAAGAAAAAGAAAATCCTAGAATGATCGTCAGAGCTGTCTGTCAGGAATAAGATTAATAGATAAATAAAACTTTAAAAGTTTTTTTTAAAAAGAGAATCCTAGAAAGATCACCTATGAAGTCTAACACCAGCATTTTAAAAAGTGCCTCTTTCTGGCCAGCACAGTGGCTCACACCTGTAATCCCAGCACTTTGGGAGGCCGAGGCGGGACGATCACCTGAGGTCAGGAGTTCGAGACCCACCTGGCCAACATGGCGAAACCCCGTCTCTACTAAAAATACAAAAATAAGCCGGTCGTGGTGGCGCATGCCTGTAAAACCCAGCTACTTGGGAGGCTGAGGCAGGAGAATTGCTTGAACCTGGGAGGTGGAGGTTGCTGTGAGCCGAGATCGCACCACTGCACTTCAGCCTGGACGACAAGCAAGCCTCCGTCTCAAAAAAAAAAAAAAAAAAAGTGTCTCTTTCTGTCAGTAAGAAAACTATTGTTCAGTGTCATTGGTTACTAATCAAACATTACTACTGAGTCACGACTCACACATCCAGCAAAACTTTAACCTGAAAATGCAAAGTTGATGCTCGAAAGTGATAAAATTCCACCCATAAGTAACCATTTGTTTTACAAAACATCTGAATTTACAAAATTAATTTTCTTAGCATTATCAGCCTTAGCAAATATATCTTCATTAAAGTCAAGCCCATCACAACAAATGAAACACTTCTATAAAAGAAAAAGAAAGAAGAGAGAAAGGAGAAAAGAACAGAACAGAACAACACTTGGCCCAGCATGGTGCCTCACTCCTGTAATCCCAGCACTTTGGGAGGCCCAGGCAGGAAGATCGCTTGAGCCCAGGAGTTCCAGGCCAGCTTGGGCAACATAGGAAGATCCCGTCTCGAAAGAAAAAGCAAGAAAGCAAAACCCCGGGGAAGATATTAAATAATCCTCATAGACCAATTAAATGCTAAAACTTCCTATCAGGTTCATTAACAGTGTTTAAGAAAAAGACAAAATGTTCTCATGTACAAATTGAACTGCCTATCAGATTATTTTAAGATCTAGTTCTCCAGAATTCCCAAGAAAGTAGGACTCCTATTTGGTTTAGAAACGCTCAATATACTAAGAAACAAAACAGGGACATCTGGCACCGGCTCTATTCGTAAAGGCAACATTCTCTAACAGATTACGCTCACATTCAATTGTAAACTCCACTAACAACTAACAAGCTTCAGGTCAATAGATAACAACACACTGAGAGGCTGAGGAGGACAGATCACTTGAGGCCAGCAGTTTGAGACCAGCCTGGCCAACACAACGAGACTACTATCTCAACTAAAACTACAAAAAATTATCTGGCCGTGGTGGCGCGCGCCTGTAGTCCCAGCTACTCCGTAGGCAGAGGCAACAGAATCGCTTGAACTCGGGAGGCGGAGGTTGCAGTGAGCTGAGATCGCGCAACTGCACTCCAGCCTGAGCGACAGGGCGAGACTCTCTCCAAAACAACAACAACAACAACAACAACAACACATGAAAAAGAAATATAAACAGCCTTAAGATGTCCCCACCCAAGTGCTCAGTCGCACATAAACGCAGGCTGCACATGACATGCATTCAAGACACAATGCTGAGTTTGCTTGATACAAAGCTATAGAAGACAGGATCCCAGCTGACACCAGCAAACTTATTCTAGCTTTCAGGGAAACTCAGATGAAATGCGTCTTTGTGAAATCCCTACTCTAAACTCTCGATTAAACCTGAGCACACTTTGAACGCGACAGTCCGCTCCCTCCTAATCCTTAGAAAGCATTTCCTGCCTGCAAAACCTTTCTCCCGCAAGCCTTCTACAAACTTTTTCCGTTCTTTCAACCTACTCCACGAAGCCTTAAGCCCGCCCCTCACCTCCCGCCCCCTACACACACACACACACACACACACACACACACACACAAACACACCCCTCCCCACTAGGGAACCTCAACACTCTGCAGACGCCACTCCACAAGGACACGCAAAACACATGTGCCTGCAAACCCAGCCCCTTTCCACACCCCCCGGAAACGACACCCCCTTTCTCACACTCCGCACGCCACAGCCCATCCCCCTTCCTCCCCGCCCCCCCTTCACATCACCCCAGTCCTCCCACCCACGTTCCCGGGAACCCAACCTCCCCGCGCTCTCCGACTTGCCGAAGGCAGTGGGGAGGGGAAGCAGGAAGAAGGAAGGAGGGCTCAGGCCCGGCCTAGGCCTCTCAGACCGCCTTGGGAGGTGAGGGGGGGAGCCCGCGGGCCGTGCTCAGCTCCCGTCGGCAGCAGGGCCTCATCCGGCCCAGGCCTGCCCTCCGCCGCCGCGGCCCGCCCCGCCCGAAAAACACTCACTTGCCAGCCGCGGTCCATCGAGTCCCCCGCTACTGCCTCCTCCGCCGGCTGCGGCTCCGGTCCCCGGGTCCCCCAGGTCCGGCTTCTTGGGCCCGGGGGGCGGCCCAGCTCCCCCGCCCGCGACGGCTCCCGGCGGAAAGCCGGCCACGGGTGCACCAGCCAGAGCCAGGGGGACGCTGTTGCTATGGAGGCCGAGGCCCGGGGCAGCCCCGGCGGCAGGGTCCTCATGCAGGAACTGACACTCCTCCCCGTAGAAGCAAGTCTTATCCTTAGCGTAGTAGCGGCAGTACTTCAGCTTCACTCCTACCGCCGCCCCGCCGGGGACACCCCCGACCCCCGGCGGGGCCACCACCGCCACCGCCGCCGCCAGCGAGGAGGAGGAAGGGGAGGCGGCGGCCGAGGGGGGCGGGAGGCCGCCGCCACTGTTCATGGCAACGCCGCAGCCTCGTCTTCCGCCGCCGCCCGAGGAGCCGCCGCCGCCACCACCATAGACGGGGGAGGAAAGGAAGACGCTGCCGGTGCCGGATAAAAGCCTGGGCGGGTGGGTCTGTCCCGCTGCGGGAGCCGGAGCCGCCCGGGGAGAAGGGGGAGGGGAGAGGGGAGGGAGGAGGGGGTAGAAGGAGGGAGGGTAGGGGGAGAGTTGGGATTCTCTCACTCACTCTCTCGTTCTCTTTTCTTAAAGGGGCCGCGCGGGACGACGGGGTGAGCGCGCGGGCCCAGACGGGGACTTCGAGGGCGCGGGCAGGGGAAGAGGGAGCGGCAGCGGCAAGCGGGTGGGGAAGGCGGAGGGGCCGGTTTATTTTTAAATTCTGCCTCCACTCGCTCTCTCGCGCTCTGGTTCCTCCGAGTTGTTTATTCCATTTTCCTCTTCCTGAGACGGCCGTCGCCGCTGCGCGTGCGCGCTGAGACGCGAGGGCTTATGGGTAGCGGGAGCGCTAGGGGAAGCCTGGCCGGCGTCGGGCCCCCGGGGGCATCCGCGAGCTATCGGCGGTTGGACCGGCGGCTCTCGGTGGGGTTCCGGACGCGGATCTGGCGCCGAATTCTCACGAGACCTGATACCTTCCTTATTTGTATATTCTCTTACTTAAAAAGCCAGATGTCTTTTTTTTTTTTTTCATTGAAAAGAGAAAATTGACAAGGTAAACGGTCGTTTGGAGGGGCCACCTGGGGACGCGGCCCGAGCCCTGGCTCTACCTGAAGAATATCTTCTATTTGCCACACTTCCTCTCCCCGTTTCCTTTCTTCGCCCCTCTCCTCTTTCCCCTTCCCCTCGAAGGTAATGAGAACTACTGGACCGATTACGCTAACCTCTTGGCCCTTTGTCAAAAAATGGAGCCAAAAAGGTTGATTTAGACAGACCCCCTGCTCAGTGCAGCACCTGTTATTCTCTGTATTTATATTACCAAGGGCCTTCGGTAAATTATGAAAAATAGGATGCCACCTGGGACAACACTGCTTAGACAGCACTGGAAGACCTTTATAAATATACTAGGTTGCTTTTCTCCAATCAGCCTAGCCTTGATTTGAAATTCATTTTTATTTTTTTTGAGACGGTGAAATTCATTTTTAAAAGATAGTTTTAACCTCAGCGATCTCTGATGTTTGCGCTAATACCCTTTTAAAGGCTTTCAGAAATTTTAAAGAATTGCTATGAAAGGAAAAGTAACATTCTAGTTTTTCTCTGTAAAAGAGGTTCACAAACGGCAGATCGCTGTTATGAAAAGGAGGGGTGGAAGTATTTAAGGAATTGTGGCAAACAAAGTCACAGAAGAATGGATATAAGCAAAAGTAGCACACTGAAAAAAATGGGGAAAAGTGGAGTCTAGATCACAAACTGGTAAGCTTGGTGATGTTCTCTAGCCAAATTCGAAGGTAATAACATTGTATTATGGCTTTCTGTTTAAAAGCAGTTTCGCTTATTTGATTATTCAACAAATCTTTATTAACACGCATTACGTGTACCAGAAACTGTGGTACACTTAACTGTGGAGCTGGGGAAGCAAAAGTGAACATGCCGCCTTAAGTGAGTTCAGATGGCTTATCTTCCGGTTGGGGAGGCATCAAGTACACAGGTCCGTTGTAAACCAGTGTCTTAAGTGCTAACCTTATCACATTTGCTATTAGAGGATATTAAACATGTCAGACTTCTTGGAGAAAGTTGATATTTTCATGTTCCAAGTTTGGGAACATCATTGAATTCAGACAGATCTGGATTGAAACAGATTAAAGTGCCTACACTTTAATAGCTGTGTTCCTCTCAGTTAATTGCTTCATTTCTCTGTGCCTTGTCTGTACACCTGGATTAAGAATAGTACCTACTTCATAAAGTATAACTAATAATGTATATAAACTGTCCCATGCCTAATAAGAATTCGGTAGGTTGTAACTATTATTAATAGTATTGGCCAGGCGCAGTGGCTCACGCCTGTAATCCCAGCACTTTGGGAGGCCAAGGCGGGTGGATCACCTGAGATCAGGAGTTCGAGACCAGTCTGGCCAACCTGGTAAAACACCGTCTCTACAAAAATACAAAAAAATTACTGGGCGTGGTGGCGAGCGCCTGTGATCCCAGCTACTGGGGAGGCTGAGACATAAGAATCACTTGAACCTGGGAAGCAGAGGTTGCAGTGAGCCGAGATCTCGTCATTGCACGCCAGCCTGGGCGACAGAGCGAGACTCCATCTCGAAAAAAAAGTAGTATTGCTGCTAGTGGTAGTCAGTGTATAGTCAAAGAGCATTCTAGGCAAACAGCTTTTATTGTTAGAATACAGTGATAGTGGAAAATGGAGCAGAGTCCACAAAAGTCCTTGTAGGGCCATGTTAAAGAATTGAACTTTTGGCCAGGCGCAGTGGCTCACGCCTGTAATCCCAGCACTTTGGGAGGCTGAGGCGAGCAGATCACGAGGTCAGGAGTTCAAGACCAGCCTGGCCAACATGGTGAAACCCCCGTCTCTGCTAAAAATACAAAAATTAGCTGGGTGTGGTAGCAGGCACCTGTAATCTCACCTACTCGGGAGGCTGAGACAGAAGAATTGCTTGAACCCGGGAGGCAGAGGTTGCAGTGAGATCGCACCACTGCACTCTAGCCTGGGCGACAGAGCAAGGCTCCATCTCAAAAAAAAAAAAAAGAATTGAACTTTTTCTTGAGGACAATTGGAAGTTATTACAGGGTTTTTAAAAGTCAACATGGCAGGGCACAGTGGCTCACACCTCTAACCTCACTGCTTTGGAAGGAAGCCAAGGCAAGAGGATCACTTGAGGCCGGGAGTTCAAGACCCTCTTGGGAAAACTAGCAAGACCCTGTCTATACAAAACAATTTAAAAATTAGCCAGGTGTAGAGGCACTTGCCTATAGTCCTAGCTACTGGGGAGGCTGAGGCAGAGGATCATTTGGGCTCAGGAGTTCCAGGATGCAGTGAGCTTTGAAGGCGCCATTTTATGCCAACCTGCACAGCAGTGAGACCCTCTCGGTCAATAAATAAAAAATAAACTTATTTGCCACACATTTCATATCTCCACACTTTTTTAGGAGACAACTACTTATTCCTATAGTAGGGTTGTCTTTTTAAGCAGGGTTCATTGTTGAGTATTCCTTTACTAAAAATAAATATGTAGTCAACTCTAAGTTATTTTCATGTTAATGAAGATTACATCCAAAACTGCAAATAATCCATAAATTATTCATAAAATGTATACTTGACCTCCAACAGCATTTCCCCAGCAACAGAGACTACATTGCTAAAGGGTAATGTTAATTTCTATTAAATGCTAATAATTGAGGCCAAGCGCATTGGCTCACACCTGTAATCCTAGCACTTTGGGAGGCGGAAGTGGGTGGATCACTTGAGGTAAGGAGTTTGAGACCAGCCTGACCAACGTGGTGAAACCCCGTCTCTACCAAAAATACAGAAAATTAGCTAGGCATGGTGGCAGGCACCTGTAATCCCAGCTTCTCGGGAGGCTGAGGCAGGAGAATTGCTTGAACCTGGGAGGCGGAGGTTACAGTGAGCCGAGATTGCGCCATTGCATTCCAGCCTGGGCAACAGAGCGAGACTTCATCTCAAAATTAATAATAATAAAGATTGAGAGGAAAACGTCACATTTTCTGAATGGTTAATTATTATATTAGTGATAGCAGCCTGAGTCTTAAAAATTCTCCCTTAAGGACAAGCATGTGGCTCACACTTATAATCCTAACACTTTAGGAGGTCAAGGCAGGAGAATCACTTGGCTCAGAAGTTCTGAGACCAGCCTAGGCAACATAGGGAAACACTGTCTCTACAAAAAAATTTAGCTGGGCATGGTGGCATTCTGTGGTCACAGCTACTTGGGAGGCTTAGGTGGGAGGATTGCTTGGGCCAGGAGGTCGAGGCTGCAGTGACAGCCTAGGTGACAGCAACCCTGGTGTCACCTGGTGAAAAAAAGGTGACCCTGTCTCAAAAAAAAATAAAAATTATCCCTTAAGATAGAGTGGAAACTGCATGTGGATAAATGAGAGTTGACTGTTTTTGAGTCCTAGAAATGAAATTTGCTGCATATGTATAAATACATTTCTTACATATTTGTAAAGTATGTTCCTTATGCACTAAGCTCTATAATTTTATACAAAGTTACTAGCAACTGCTTAATTTAATCTTGTTGACAAATTTTGGGTGCACTAGAAGCAAAAACCTTCCTATTTGTGGCAGTGATAAATAACTGATACATGACAGATTTTTTGGCCAGGCGCAGTGACCCACGCCTGTAATCCCAGCATTTTGGGAGTCCAAGGTAGGCGAATCACTTGAGGCCAGGGTTCCAGAACAGCCAGGCCAACATGGTGAAACCCCATCTCTACTAAAAATACAAAAGTTAGCCAGACGTGGTGGTGCAAGTGCCTGGTGCAAGTGCCTATAATCCCAGCTACTCGGGAGGCTGAGGCACGAGAATCACTTGAACCTGGGAGGCAGAGGTTGCAGTGAGCCAAGATCGTGCTACTGCACTCCAGCCTGGGTGACAGAGCAAGACTACGTCTCAAAAAAAAGATTTTTTAATGTATCTATGACCCTTTATAGAAGACATAGTCTTTCATCATTATCATCATACTTATGTACTGATATATACTACATAGGTTTTTTTAGTGTTTATGGCAGTAAAAGCAATTTGTTACCTTTCTATACAAGTTTTCAAAGGATTTCAAGATGCTCATATTTATTATATTCTTGTGAAATACATTAAAGGCAAATATGATTTTGAAATTAATTATATCTTGGAAATGGCCCTGACAATCTAGTATATCATTGGTATCATCCCATACAACTACCACCAGCCATATAGAAGTACCTTTAACTTAGCAAAACTCACTATTACCACTTCTGTTGGTTAAGCACCCCCTACTCCAGAAACTAATATTTGTATGTGAAATATGACCATTATAATCTTAAATCGGATAATTCTCTATTAATAATTGATTTTACTATTTCAAAGACTATGTTTATTTCAGTTTAGATTTTCTAATTTATACTTGGATGAAAAACTTTAAATCAGGAGACTTGCTGAAAAAGATATGTATTAAAGCAAGAATTTTTTTTTTCTTTTTTTTGAGACGGAGTCTCACTCTGTCGCCCAGGCTAGAGTGCAGTGGCGCAATCTCGGCTCACTGCAAGCTCCACCTCCCGGGTTCACGCCATTCTCCTGCCTCAGCCTCCTGAGTAGCTGGGATTACAGGCATGCGCCACCACCCCCAGCTAATTTTGTATTTTTAGTAGAGACGGGGTTTCTCCATGTTGGCCAGGCTGGTCTCAAACTCCTGACCTCAGGTGATCCACCCGCCTTGGCCTCCCAAAGTGCTGGGATTACAGGCATGAGCCACCGCTCCCGGCCAGAATTTTTTTTCTTAATCTTTACAACTTTTCTGTAAAAAGCAAGAATCTTAATAAGATATACTATTAATAAAATGAAGCTCCCGAAAAAAAAAAAAAAAAACTTTGTCTTTTACTGTCTGTTAACCCTTTCACATGACCTATTATAGAGCAATAATATAAGTGCTAAAATTTATTCACAAGGTTTTTTATTTTATTTTATTTTATTTTGAGACAGAGTCATGGTCTGTCATCTAGGCTGGACTGCAGTCGCATGATCATGGCTCACTGCAGCCTCAACCTCTTAGGCTCAAGTGATCCTCCCACCTCAAAGTAGCTGGGACTACAGGCATGTGCCGCCAGTCCTGGCAAATTTTTTATTTTTTGAAGAGACAGGGTCTCACTGTGTTACCCAGGCTGGTCTTGAACTCCTGAGCTCAAGCAATCCTCCCACCTCAGCCTCCCAAAAGCTGGGATTACGAGTGTGAGCCATCGCAACCGGCCTTATTTTTCATTTATATTTCTATTTATTTAAGAGACAGGGTCTTACTATGTTGTCCATGCTGGCCTCAAACTCCTGGGCTTAAAGGATCCTCCTGCTTCAGCCTCCCAAGTAGCTGGGACTACAGGCACTTAAATAGCCAGACTACAGTCTTAACTATTTTTATTATTAAAAAAGAATTAATAATAACAGACTTTAACACAAGGACAAAAATGAATCAAGAGCAAGGAGGAAAAGGGAATGTGTCATAAAGCAAAGGCTGAAATTAATAAAATGGAAAACATTAAAAATCTTAAACCAAACTTTCGTTATTTTTAAATAACAATAAAAATAGATACACTCTTGACAAGTCTAAGAATGGTAAAAAGAAAGAAAAATACACATCATTAGTATCTTCAGTACACTTATAGAAAATAACTAACTGCCAGTCTAGCATTCAATGTCTAATGAAAATATCCTTTAAAATGTAAGATGAGGCCAGGAGTGGTAGCTCACGCCTATCATCCCAGAACTTTGGGAGGCTGAGATGGGAGGATCACTTGAAGCCAGGAGTTTCAGATCAGCCTGGACAGCAAAGTGTGACCCCATCTTTACAAAAAAAGGAAAAAATAGGCCGGGCATGGTGGCTCACGCCTATAATCCTAGCACTTCGGGAGGCCAAGGTGGGTGGATCACCTGAGGTCAGGAGTTCAAGACCAGCCTGGCCAACACAGCAAGACCACCATCTCAACTAAAACTACAAAAAATTATCTGGGCGTGGTGGCACGCGCCTGTAGTCCCAGCTACTCTGTAGGCTGAGGCAGGTGAATCACTTGAACTCAGGAGGCGGAGGTTGCAGTGAACCGAGATCGCACCACTGCATTCCAGCCTGGGCAACAGAGGGAGGCTCTGTCTAAAAAAAGGAAAATTAGCTGGGCGTGGTGATGTTCAGTTATAGTCCCAGCTACTGGAGAGGCTGAAGCAGGAAGATCACTTGAGCTCAGGAGTTCGAGGGTATAGTGAACTACGATTATGCCATTGCACTTTAGTGGGGGCGACAGAGCGAGAACCTGTCTCTAAAATAAAGTGATTAATAATAAAAATAAAATGGAAGGCCAGGCACAGTGGCTCACGCCTGTAATCCCAGCAGTTTGGGAGGCTAAGGCGTGTGGATCACCTGAGGCAAGGAGTTTAAGACCAGCCTGGACAACATGGTGAAACTCCGTCTCTATTAAAAACACACAAAAAAATTAGCCGGACCTGGTGGCACACACCTGTAATCCCAGCTACCAGGAGGCTGAGGTGGGAAAATCACTTGAACCCAGGGGGGCAGAGGTTGCAGTGAGCCAAGATCACACCACTGCACTCCAGCCTGGGCAACAGAGCGAGACTCTGTCCCCCCAAGAAAATAAAAATAAATAAAAATAAAATGGAAGATGAAATAAGGACTTTCAGAAAAAGTGAGATAATTTGTCACTAGCAGATGTACACTATTCCAGATGGAAGGAATCAAGAGCAATTGAGTGAAATATGTGGGTAAAAAATTAATATTGACTATAAGACAACAGTGTCTTGTGGAGTTTTAAATAGATGTAGAATTAAAGCACACAAAAACATCAACATATAAACCATCAGGTATAAATCAAGGACCGCAAAGTCTTTGTATTTTAAAAAAGTAATAAAAATGGTTATTTATCTTAGACTAAAGTAAATCAGAGATACATGTTATAATTTCCAGGGCTACTAATATAATAGCAAAGTAAAATAATAAATAACCTCATAGAAGGGAATGGAACAATGAAGTACTTAATCGAAAATGAGAGGACAGAAAACAGAACAGGGGGAACAAATAGAAAACAATTAGATTAAAGTCTGAATACACTAAATGTAAACAATCAAGCTTCAGTTAAAAGGCAAAGACTTTCAGGTTGGGGTAATAGAATAAGAAAACTGTGTATTAGGGTTCAATCGGAGAAGCACAACCACTATGAAAAACAAAGAATGAGGGGTTTATTGTAGGATTAGATTTGACACCATAATAGTAACTGGTGGAGGAGTCTATGCTGTGTTATTGTCAGCATCTAGTGCAGAGCTGAAGCCGCTATGGGTCAGCCTAACCAGTAGTGTGGAAGGAGTACTGGATATGAACAAGAACATGGGCAAAGGGGAATCTAAAAAGGACAACTGGAATTCCTGAGGACAAACTAGAACACACGTCTATTTCTCACTGACATCAGCAGTTGCCATGGCATTGCACATACTCTTGGCCCATGAATTATAAAAACTGAAGGAAAGATCCTCAGGCCCGTTGCCTCCTCACTCCACTATCAGATCAGTGACAACCTGTGCAAGTTGCAATAGTGCCTGGTACGCTGCACTGGCTACTGCTTCACTTCTGCCTTCCAAATTGCATACAAAGTCTTCTTGTCTTCAACAGTGATGAAGAACTGTACTAGGAAAGAAATTCTGGTAAATACAGTTACAGTTTAGCTAATTTCACATAGTACAAAGCCACCACAGTCTACATCTTGGCATCTATACACACTTTTTCTGTAAACATTCTTAACTGACAATAACAAAGTCATGTTTCCAGCTAAGATGATCAGTTTCCTTCATAAACTTAAGCAACCCTTGCAGGACAGGAGGATATAAAGTCACTCCTAGCTGAATCACACTATAATGATCCTGTAATGTAAATCCTATAAGGTTAATTACCATTGGCACAAAGTATATTCGATGGTAGAGGAGTGGGGAGGGAGAGAAAAAAGATGTTTAATATACAAAAACATATTCAAAAGAAGAAATAACTATTCCAACCCTCATTTCTGCCCCTTATTCACATGGTCAAAGCTGTTTATTACAACAGGTCCTTCAATAATGTTTAGTTATAACATTAATGAGAAAAATTCTCTTTCCAGCTGGTGCCACTGTCGATGTGGAGTTTTCATGTTCTCCCCATGTTTATGTGGGTTTTCTCCAGGTACTCCAGTTTCCTCCCACATCCCAAAGCGGTGTACAGGAGGAGAATTGTTGCAGCTACATTTTCCCAGTCTGAGTGAATATAGGTGTCATGTGAGCATGCCCTATCATAGAATGGCCACCTGTCTAGGCGATTCCCGCCTAGAGCTCTGAGCTACTGGGATGGGCTTCAGCCACCCATGGCCCTGAGCTAGAATATTTGGGTAAATAATTATCTTACTTATTTTTATTAATATTTCTTAAATGTATGTATAGCCCACATTTTTTTCAATGTTTAATATTAGAAGTGCTTTGGTCTTTATTTAGAACTTTGTTGATGTTTTCATGACCATAAATAGAGTCTGATTAAGGGATTTAACTCTTGTTTATATCAGCCTCTGGTAAAATTGTTTTCTTCATACATCATTTCACTGAAAGGTGTAGTTTCCAAGAACCTGTTGACAACCTTAAGTTAGGACTTACTGTACTTCCTTCTTCCACTATCTATGCCATGTTTCCTTTGCCTTCAGCAGCCACCCAGGCTTTCATGATTCCTATCTGGTGAGGTGACCCACATCTTCATTTTTAAGGGTCTGGGTTGTTAGCAGTCCTGTCTGTAGGGGATAGTTATAGTTTGACTTTAATCACTGGGCAAGGGAGTACTGTGAGATGCCCCAGGGGACCTCATACATTCCAGACATACTGCTTACCTAATTGTGTAATAGTGATCTGATTGCTTCTTCTTTTTTGAGACAGGGTCTCAGTCTGTCACCCAGGCTGGAGTGAAGTGGCACAAATCATGGCTCACTACAGCCTTGACCTCCTGGGCCCAAGTGATCTTCCTGCCTCAGCCTCCCAAACATCTGGGACTACAGGTGTATACCACCTCACCTGGCTGATTTTTTTTTTTTTTTGTAAAGACAGGGTCTCACTATGTTGTCCAGACTGTCCAGTTTCTTCTTGATAGGATTAGTCACCCCAGCTACTACAATAATTTCCTTCTTTTATTTACTGTTTCAGAAAGCTAAATATGGCTAAGTGCAGTTTCAACTCCTAATTCAGTGGCTCAATTAACATGTGCCCCCTTTACTAGTGGAAGCAAGGTAATCAATACCTTTAAACCTAATTAGATTAGAGAACTAATTCCAGAGAATCCAGAAATAATACAGACAATCCATCTGTAAGGTTCTATTCCACTTCTGGCTATCCACTGCTGAATAACAACCCACCTCGAAACATAGTGGCTGAAAACAATCATTTATTTCTGCTTACAGATTATTTATTTCTGCTTACAAGTCTTCAATTTTGGTAGTATTTGGCAGCAATGGCTTATATCTGCCCCATGCAGTGTCACCCAGGGCAGCTTGTCTGGGAGCTGAGAATCCACTTTCTTTCTTTTTTTTTTTTCTCTTTTTTATTTTGCCACATCTCACCTGAATGGGAAGCCACTTTCAAGATATCTCAGGCATATGGTTGACAAGTTGGTGCTAGTTGTCATATGCTAGATCACCCAGGGCTGTGGGCCAAGGCCTCAATTCTGCTCCACCTGGTCTTCAATATGGACTGCTTGTGCTCCCTCACAGCACTGTGGCTGGGTTCCAAGAGTGTCTGAAGAGAATCATGCAGAAACTGCATGGCCTTTTCTAACTGAGCCTGAGAAGTTACACAGGGTCAACTCCACTATAGGCTATTCATGGAAGCAGGCACCTACCTACCCAGACTCAAGGAATAGGGAGTTTAACTCTATCTTTTGATGAAGATGTAGTTTCTAGAAGAGCATGTGGGATGGGGACATACTGTTGAGGCCACCTTTGGAAAATAAAATCTACCACAGTATGCTACCTTAAAAATAAGGAATCAAGAAAACAAAGGAAAAAGCTGGTAAAAATGTATAATATGAGCACTAACAGCAAGAAATACTCCTAGAGATAAAGAAGGACTTTTGTTTTCTTTATTTTTGAGACGGAGTCTCGCTCTGTCGCCAGGCTGGAGTGCAGTATCTCAGCTCACTGCAATCTCTGCCTCCCGGGTTCAAGTGATTCTCGTGCCTTAGCATCCCACGTAGCTAGGACTACAGGCGCGTGCCACCACGCCCAGCTAATTTTTGTATTTTTAGTAGAGATGGGGTTTTACCATGTTGTCCAGGGTGGTATTGATCTCTTGACCTCGTGATCCGCCCACCTCAGCCTCCCAAAGTGCCAGGCCTGTGAGTCACTGCGCCCGGCCAAGAGGGACATTTTATATTGATAAGTTAAATTCACCAATAAGATTTTAACAGTTCCAGGCCAGGCATGGTGGCTCACGACTGTAATCCCAGCACTTTAGGAGGCCAAGGCAGAAGGATTGCTTGAGCCCAGGATTTGGAGACCAGCCGGGACAACATGACAAAACCCTGTCTACAAAAAATACAAATATTAGCCAGGCATGGTGGTGTGCACCTGTAGTCCCAGCTACTCAGGAGGCTGAGGTGGGCTGATTGAGCCCAGGAGGTTGAAGTTGCAGTGAGCCGTGATTGTGCCACTGCATTCCAGCCTGGGCAACAGAATGAGACCTGGTCTCAGGGGGAAAAAAAAAAGTGCATATTTGCTTATTTATTTTGAGACAGGATTTTCCCCAGTTGCCCAGGCTGCAGTACAGTGGCAAGATAATAACTCACTGCAGACTTCATCTCCCAGGCTCAAATGATCCTCCCACCTCAACCTCCTGAGTAGCTGAGACTACAGGCACACGCTACCACACCCAACTATTTTTTTTTTCAGCAGAGAGGAGATCTTGCTATGAATTTAATCTTTTTTTTTTTTTTTTTTTTTTTTTTTGAGACAGAGTCTTGCTCTGTTACCCAGGCTGGAGTGCAGTGGCATAATCTCAGCTCACTGCAGCCTCTGCCTCCCAGGTTCCAGCGATTCTTCTGCCTCAGCCTCCTGGGTAGCTGGGATTACAGGCGCCCTCTACCATGCCCGGCTAATTTTTGTATTTTTAGTAGAAACGGGGTTTCGCCATGTTGGCCAGGCTGGTCTCGAACTCCCAACCTCAGGTGATCTGCTGGCCTCAGCCTCCCAAAGTGCTGGGATTACAGGCGTGAGCTACCGTGCCTGGCCTTTTTTTTCTTTTCTTTCTTTCTTGCGTGGTGTGTGTGTGTGTGTGACAGTCTCACTCTGTCTCCCAGGCTGGAGTGCAGTTGTGCAATCAAGAATTTAATCTTTAAAGCCACTTCTAAAATAGTGAAGAGTGGGAGTGGGTTATGAACAACACATATAACCAGACAACATGTAAAGAACTCCTACAAATCAATAAGAAAATAATAAGCACCCCAATAAAAATTAGTAAGAGATTTGAAAAGGCATTTCTCAAAAGATGATATGAAAGGGCTGGGTATGGTGGCTCATGCCTGCAATACAGCACTTTGGGAAGCTGAGGCAGGAGGATCCCTTGAGACCAGACCAGGCAACATTGTGAGACCCTATCTCTACAAAATATTGAAAAAACTATCTGGATATGGTGACGTGCACCTGTAGTCTCAGCTACCCTGAAGGCTGAGGTGGGAGGATCACTTGAGCCCCGGAAGTCAAGTCTGCAGTGAGCCCCATGATTGTGCCACTGTACTCCAACCTGGGCAACAGCGAGACCCTATCTCAAAAAAAAAAAAAAAAAAAAAAAAAAAAGAGATACGCAAATAGCCCATAAGCATGTGAAAAGGTATTCAATATCATTAATAATCAAGGAAATGAAAATTAAAACAAAAATGAATACTACCACTGGGACTCGGAAACCAATACCTCAAGGTCTCTCTGACATTCTCACCCTCCACCCTCCCCTAGACTTTCCCAAATAAGAAAGAAATTTTCTGAAGTTCCTTTTTCTGCCTGAGATCCAGACCCGCCAAGGAGAACAATTGTTTTTTTCTTTCACACCCTGTAAGGCCAAGAATGTACACCTGAACAGACCCTTTCACAAGCTTATGTACAGATTAATCGCTGTTTCCTGATCCATTCATTCTACCTAGTAATCCCCTCAACACAATTCCTCTTCTCATCCCCCATAACCCGTTTTGCCAGGATGATGTATAAGCTTCTGAACTCCTTTGGGAATGGATAATCACTCCGTGATTCTCCCCATGTATACATTATATAAATTTGTATGCCTTTCTCCAATCTGCCTTTTATGTATTTTTTTTTTTTTTTGAGAGTCTAGTTCTGCTGCCCAGGCTGGAATGCAGTGGCGCCATCTCAGCCCACTGCAACCTCTGCCTCCCAGGTTCCAGCAATTCTCCTGCCTCAGCCTCCCGAGTAGCTGGGATTACAGGCATGCGCCACCACGCCCGGCTAATTTTGTATTTTTAGTAGAGACGGGGTTTCTCCATGTTGGTCAGGCTGGTCTCGAACTCCCGACCTCAGGTGATCCGCCCACCTCGGGCTCCCAAAGTGCTGGAATTACAGGCGTGAGCCACCGCGCCTGGCCTAGCCTCCACTTTTAAGTGAGAACGTGAGGTACTGGGTTTTCCATCTCTGCATTAATTCGCCTAGAGTAGTGGCCTCCAGCTACATCCAAGTTGCTGCAAAGGACATGACTTTGTTTTTTGGGTTTTTTTTTTTTTTTTTTTTTTTTTTTTTTTTTTTTTTGAGACAGAGTCTTGCTCTGTAACCCAGGCTGGAGTGCAGTGGCGCGATCTCGGCTCACTGCAACCTCCGCCTCCCGGGTTCAAGCAATTCTCTGCCGCGGCCTCCGGAATAGCTGGGATTACAGGCGCGTGCCACCACGCCCAGCTAATTTTTGTATTTTTAGTAGAGACAGGGTTTCACCATCTTAGCTAGGCTGGTCTTGAATTCCTGACTTCGTGATCCACCAGCCTTGGCTTCCCAAAGTGCTGGGATTACAGGCGTGAGCCACCGCGCCCAGCCATTTTTTTTGTATTTTATTGGAGACGGGGTTTCACCGTGTTGCCCAGGCTGTTCTCGAACTCCTGAGCTCAGGCAATCCGCAAAGCCTCCCAGAGTGCTGGGATTACAAGCGTGAGCCACCGTGCCCGGCCGACCTTGTTTTTTTTTTTTTTTTTTTTTTTAATGACAGCCTTAACCTTTTTTTTTTTTTTTTTTTGAGACCGAGTCTCGCTCTGTCGCCCAGGCTGGAGAGCAGTGGCACGATCTCGGCTAACTGCAAGCTCCGCCTCCCGGGTTCACGCCATTCTCCTTCCTCAGCCTCCCGAGTAGGTGGGACTACAGGCACCCACCATCACGCCCGGCTAATTTTTTTTTTTTTTTTTTTTTTTTGTATTTTTAGTAGAGACGGGGTTTCACCGTGTTAGCCAGGATGCTCTCTATCTCCTGACCTCGTGATCCGCCCGTCTCTGCCTTCCAGAGTGCTGGGATTACAGTCGTGAGCCACCGCGCCCGGCCTTAGCACTCCTCTTTTTTTTTTTTTGTATTATTTATTTATATTTTCAACTTTTATTCCAGGGGTACATGTGCAGGATGTGCAGGTTTGTTACATAGGTAAACATGTGCCCTGCTGGTTTGCTGCACAGATCAACCCATCACCTGGATATTAAGCCCAGCATCCATTAGCTATTCTTCCTGATGCTTTCCCTCCCCCAGCCCCCACCCCACAGGCCCCAGCATGTGTTGTTCCCTTCTTCGTGTCCATGTGTTCTCATCATTCAGCTCCCACTTTTTTTTTTTTTTTTTTTTTGAGATGGAGTTTCCCTCTTGTTGCCCAGGCTGGAGTGCAAATGGCATGATCTCCGGCTCACCGCAACCTCCGCCTCCTGGATTCAAGCAATTCTCCTGCCTCAGCCTACCGAGCAGCTGGGATTACAGGCATGTGCCACCACACCCGGCTAATTTTGTATTTTTAGTAGAGACGGGGTTTCTCCGTGTTGGTCACGGTGGTCTCGAACTCCCAACCTCAGGTGATCCCACCTGCTTCGGCCTCCCAAAGTGCTGGGATTACAGGCATGAGCCACAGCGCCCGGCAGCTCCCACTTATAAATGAGAACATGTGGTGTTTGGTTTTCTGTTCCTGTGTTAGTTTGCTGAGGATAACGGCTTCCAGGTCCATCCATGTCCCTGCAAAAGACATGATCTCGTTCCTTTTTATGGCTGCATGGTATTTCATGGTGTATATGTACCACATTTTCTTTCTTTCTTTCTTTCTTTCTTTTGATATGGACTCTCACTCTATTGCCCAGGCTGGAGTGCAGTGGCGCAATCTTGGCTCACTGCAACCTCTGCCTCCTGGGTTCAAGTGATTCTCGTGCCTTAGCCTCCCAAGTAGCTGGGATTATAGGCACTCACACTACCATGCCCGGCTAATTTTTGTATTTTTAGTAGAGATGGGGTTTCACCATGTTAGCCAGGATGGTCTCTGTCTCCTGACCTCATGATCTGCCCACCTCGGCCTCCCAAAGTGCTGGGATTACAGGCATGAGCCACTGCGCCCAGCCTATGTACCACATTTTCTTTATTCAGTCTATTATTCATGGGCATTAAGTTGATTCCATATCTTTGCTATTGTCAATAGTGTTGCAATGAACATACGCATGCATGTATCTTTATAATGCCTAACCATTTTTTTTTTGAGATGGAGCTTCACTCTTGTCGCCTAGGCTGGAGTGCAGTGGCACAATCTCGGCTCACTGCAACCTCCACCTCCTGGGTTCAAGCAATTCTCCTGCCTCAGCCTCCCAAGTAGCTGGGATTACAGGTGCCTGTCACCACGCCCAGCTAATTTTTGTATTTTTGGTAGAGACAGGGTTTCACCATGTTGGCCAACTGGTCTCAAACTCCTGACCTCAGGTGATCCACCTGCCTCAGCCTCCCAAAGTGCTGGGATTACAGGCGTAAGCCACCCCACCCAGCCCCTGCCTTAACCTTTTTTTTTTTTTTTTTCTTTGAGACAGAGTATCTCTTTGTTGCCAGGCTGGAATGCAGTGGCACTATCTTGGCCCACTGCAACCTCCGCCTCCCGGGTTCAATCAATTCTCCTGCCTCAGCCTCCTAAGTACCTGGAATACAGGCACACACCACCACGCCTAGCTAATTTTGTGTGTGTGTGTGTGTATTTTTAGTAGAGATGGGGTTTCAGCATGCTGGCCAGGATGGTCTTGATCTCCTGACCTCA
Source organism: Homo sapiens (assembly GCF_000001405.40). Classification (NCBI taxonomy): domain Eukaryota; kingdom Metazoa; phylum Chordata; class Mammalia; order Primates; family Hominidae; genus Homo; species Homo sapiens. The sequence goes on along the minus strand of NC_000013.11, from coordinate 28,122,692 downwards.
TGATCCACCTGCCTCAGCCTCCCAAAGTGCTGGGATCACAGGTGTGAGCCACCATACCCGGCCTGCCTTAACCATTTTTAAGTGTACAGTTCAGTAGTGTTAAGTATATTCACTTTGTTGTGCAACCAATCTCCACAACTCTTTTCATCTTGCAAAACTGAAACTAAAATACTAGCCTTTGGGGTTTCCAGAGCAGTCCTTAAATCATCACTTTGAGATTTCCCCGGGACTAACTCACAAGAGTTTATGATGAGAGTGAAATAACAGTTCTCTGTCAAAGAGGGAATGAAAAAGAGATCTAGTTGTGGGTAGTTAACACTGCTGTTGCCGGGCGCGGTGGCTCACGCCTGTAATCCCAGCACTTTGGGAGGCCGAGGAGGGCAGATCACGAAGTCTGGAGATCAAGACCATCCTGGCTAATATGGTGAAACCCCATCTCCACTAAAAATACAAAAATTAGCCGGGCATGGTGGTTCACACCTGTAGTCCCAGCTACTCCAGAGGCTGAGGTGGGAGGATTGCTTGAGCCCAGGAAACAAGAGGCTGCAGTGAGCCAAGACTGCACCACTGTTCTCCAGCCTGGGTGACAGAGCGAGACCCTGTCTCAAAAAAAAAAAAAAAAGAAAAAAGAAAAAGAAAAAGAAAAAAGTTGTGTCATGTGGTTAATGAATAATTCATTAATTAAAATAATTTAATAAAAATTAAGTTATTTGTCTTGATTTTGTGAAATCTGTGATATTTGTCAGCTTTTGAAAATCTGTAATTTGTTGTGATTCAATTCTAAATAAATATTTACTTTTGCGCCTAATTTTATACTTAGAATTTTGTATTCTTTTTCCTTAATAAGTTTCCCAAAATTGTATGATTCAGGTATCCCAAAAACCTGGATCCTTCCTTTGGCTCTGATAGCAAGGAAAAAAAAAACTGCTCTAGGACCTTTAGATGAGGACTCACTTAGAAAGTCGATATAGATATACAAAACAGGATGGATCAATGAACAGAATAATTTCATTTCCCAATGAAAAGGGAAGCCTGCTGGCTGCTGCAGCCCAACACTCAGAAGCCTAGTTTCTTGCAGAATATACACTTTCACTTGGATATTGTGTTTCTGGGCTCTTCTCTCCTCCTTCTGAACTATTTTCCTAGATGATCTCACCTCTTCCCAGATTTCAGTCTCATGGCTTAAATACTACCCATAGGCTGGTGACACCCAAATTTCTATCCCTACCTCAGACATCTCTTCTGAACTCCAGACTTGTATGTCAAAATGCTTACCTGACATTATTGTTTGAATTTTCAACCTTAGCTTGTCAAAATTGCACTATTTCTCCAAGCTTTTTTCTCTGCCAGTCATTCCCATCTTAATAAAGGGCATTTCCGGCGGGTCGCAGTGGCTCGCGCCTGTAATCCCAGCACTTTGGGAGGCCTAGGCGGGCAAATCACGAGGTCAGGAGATCGAGACCATCCTGGCTAACACAGTGAAACCTGTCTCTACTAAAAATACAAAAAATTAGCTAGGTGGTGATGGCGGGCGCCTGTAGTCCCAGCTACTCTGGAGGGTGAGGCAGGAGAATGTCGTGAACCCGGGAGGCGGAGCTTGCAGTGAGCCGAGATCCTGCCACTGCACTCCAGCCTGGGCGACAGAGCGACTCTGTCTCAAAAAAGAAATAAATAAATAAAATAAAGGGCATTTCCGAACACCCAGTTTGTCTTAAAGCAGACACCTGAGAGTCCAGTACTTTGGAAGGCCAAGGCAGGTGGATCGCTTGAACCCAGGAGTTTAATGCAGCCTGGGCAACACAGTGAAACCCCGTCTCCAATAAAATACAAAAAATTAGCCAGGCATGGTGGCATGAGCCTGTAGTCCCAGCTACTTGGGAGGCAGAGGTGGGAGAATCACTTGAGCCTCGGAAGTTGAGACTGCAGTGAGCCATGATTGCGCCACTGCACTCTAGCCTGGGCCACAGAGTGAGACCCTGTCTCAAAATAAAATAAATAAATAATAAGAAAAAGAAAAGAAACCTGAGAGTCATCCTGATCACCTAACTCCCTTCAGCCTTCAACATCCATCCATTGTCTTCTCTTCCCCTCCACTGCCCAGAGCCTTGTTTAAATCATCATCTCTCTACTATACTATTGCATCAGCCTCCTACTTTATCTTGTATAATCTATTCTCTACAGAGCAGTCAATCAGCATTTTACAAGGTAAACTGGATGATCACACCCTTGCCACCCCCAGTTACAACCTTCATGTCCCATTGAATTCAATATAAATCCAGACTCCTTAGCATGACCTTCAGAGCCCTATGTGATATGGTATATCTCTCCAGCTCATCTCCTATCAGTAGGTCCCCTCAGGCCTTATTTCAGTTCCTCCACACAAGAAACGTTTCTACTTCAAGGTCCTTATACATACCATTTCCTCTGCCTGGAATGCAGCCCCTTCTCCCCGACCATATATGCTTTGCCTGACTGACTTGAACACATCCTGATGCGGGTCTCAGTTTAAATCTCCTTAGAGAGCCTTTTCCTTATCATCCAATTTAAATTAGGTCTCTCTTATATAGTCTCTCCCAGCACCCTGCACTTCCCCCTTGTAGCATTTATCACAATTTGTAATTATAGATTATTTGTTTCATATTTGACTGTCCTCCTGAGCTATGGGCTCCATGAGAGCAAGGACTGTTTCTATTTAACTCAGCACTTGGTGCACAGAAAGATTTCCACAAATATTTATTAAATGAATGAGTAAACAAATATGACCCTGGCATGGTGGCTCACGCCTATAATCCCAGCACCTTGGGAGGTCAACCCAAAGAAACTTTGTTTTTTTTTTGAGACAGAGTCTTGCTCTGTTGCCAGGCTGGAGTGCAGTGGTGCGATCTCAGCTCACTGCAACCTCCGCCTCCTGGGTTCAAGTGATTCCCCTCCCTCAGCCTCCCAAGTAGCTGGGACTATAGGTGTGCGCCACCACACCTAGCTAATTTTTTGTATTTTAATAGAAACAGGGTTTCACCATCTTGGCCAGGATGGTCTCCATCTCCTTATCTCGTGATCCGCCTGCCTCAGCCTCCCAAAGTGCTGGATTACAGGCGTGAGCCACCACGCCCGGCCAAAACATTTATATTAATGGTAGAATAAAAATACAGTTTTATATATGATTAGTAGTAAATTCTCATTGCTCCTCTTTCTTTTCAATGCATTTTAACTTTTTCTCCTTTCATCAAATTTAATGATTTCCTGCACTGACCAAAGTTTTATACATTTCTCAATTCATTTATTAAGGTTTGAAAGTAGGCTACCCAGCACTTTGGGAGGCCAAGGCGGGTGGATCACGAGGTCAGGAGATGGAGACCATCCTGGCCAACATGGTGAAACCCTGTCTCTACTAAAATACAAAAAACTAGCCCGGTGTGGTGGCATGTGCCTGTAGTCCCAGCTACTTGGGAGGCTGAGGCAGGGGAATTGCTTGAATCCAGAGACTGCACCACTGAACTCCAGCCTGGCAACAGAGCGAGACTCTGTCTCAAAAAAGAAAGAAAGAAAGAAAGAAAGAAATTAGGCTAAAAAAAAAGCGTATAGTTATCTGTTGCAGCTTAACATTTTAATTCAAAGCTTAGCATCTTAAAATAACAAACATTTGGCCAGGTGTGGTGGCTTATGCCTGTAATCCCAGCATTTTGGGAGGCCGAGGCGAGTGGATCACTTGAGGTCAGAGTTCGAGACCATCCTGGCCAACATGGTGAAACCCCATCTCTACTAAAATCCAAAAAACTAGCCAGGCGTGGTGGTGTGCGCCTGTAGTCCCAGCTACTTGGGAGGCTGAGGCAGGAGAATCGCTTGAACCCAGAGATCACGCCACTGCACTCCAGCCTGGCAACAGAGTGAGACTGTCAAAAAAAAGAAAGGAAGGAAGGAAGGAAGAGAGAGAGAAAGAAAGGGCTAAAAAAAAGCGTATAGCTATCTGTTGCAGCTTAACAGATTAATTCAAAGCTTAGCATCTTAAAATAATAAACATTTGGCCAGGTGTGGTGGCTTATGCCTGTAATCCCAGCACTTTGGGAGGCCGAGGTGGGTGGGTCACTTGAGGTCAGGAGTTTGAGACCAGCCTGGCCAACATGGTGAAACCCCGTCTCTTCTAAAAATACAAAAATTAGCTGGGCATGATGGCGGATGTCTGTAATCCCAGCTACTCGGGAGGCTGAGGCAGGAGAATCGCTTGAACCCGGGAGGTGGAGGTTGCAGTGAGCCAAGATTGTGCCACTGCACTCCAGCCTGGGCAAGAGAGTAAGACTCCATCACAAACAAACAAATGAACATTTATTATCTCACAGTTTCTATGGGTCAGGAATCTGGGTGTGGCTTAGGTGGGTTCCTCTGTCCCAGGTTCGCCCACAAGCTGTAATCAAAGCCAGGGCTGCAGTCATCTCAAGGCTTGACTGAGGGAGGGAGCATTGCCTTCTAAGCTCAATATGTGCCTATTGTCAGGCCTCATGTCCTCCCTGGCTGTTGGCCAGGGACATTGGCTCGTTGCCTCATGAACCTTTTATGGGGAAGCTCAAGATATGGTAGCTGACTTCTCTCAGAAGGAGAGAGGGCAAACAAGATGGAAGCAACAGTCTTATTTTTATTTTTTTCGACAGAGTCTCACTCTGTCGCCGAGGCTAGAGTGCAGTGGCGCCATCTCGGCTCACTGCAGCCTGGACTTCCCGGTCTCAAGCAAACCTCCCACCTCAGCTTCCCTGAATAGTTGGGACTACAGGCACATACCACCAGGCCTGGCTAGTTTATTTGTGTTTTTTGTAGAGACAGGGTTTTACCATGTTGCCCAGGCTAGTTTTTTAGGGGTTTTGTTTTGCTTTGGTTTTGTTTTGTTTTGTTTTTGTGTTTTTAGGAGCGGAGGTTTAATAGAAGAAAGAGAGAGGAGAACAGCTCTCTCTCTAGTAAGAGAGAGGGGCTTCTGAGAGGAAAGAACCTGCTTTGTTTCTTTAAGACAAGTTCTCACTGTTGCCCAGGCTGGAGTGCAGTGATGCAATTATGGCTCACTGCAGCCTTGAATTCCTGGGGCTCAAGAGATCCTCCTGCCTCAGCCTCCCGAGCAGCTGGGCTCACACTACCATGTCTGGCTAATTTAAAATTTTTTTTGTAGAGACAAGGTCTGAGTTTGCTGCTCAGGCTGGAAGCCACAGTTTTTTTTTTTTTGTAACCAAACTGTGAAAATGATGTCCTGTCAATTTTGCCATGTTCTTTGTGTCAGAAGGGAGTCATTAGCTCTTACACTCAGGGGAGGGCATTACCCAAAAGCATGAATGACAGGAGGTGGAAATTCTTAGGATCAGCGTAAAGGTTGCTAGTTGTGAACCATTTTAACTTTAACTAAAATCCATTAATAATCCCTTGAATACTTGAAACCGATTCAAGCAGAGAAAGTCTTTAGTTAATATGATTCTTTTTTGTTAACCATAAATCTAGAAATGTTCAAATGTTGTTGGTATATATACTCATAGCAATCCTAACTGACTGAAGACATTTGGTTATTGTTTGTTGGAATGCTGAGATTTTCAGGATTATGTTCATGATTTTTAGGGGCAAAGGGAAGGAAACAAAATTTATGAAATCTAAATTATCCTCTAAAATCATAAAAGTGTCAGTAAAATTCTCTAAAACATGTATTTTGAAATTTCATAGCCAGAAGTGCTCAGGAATGGCTTTGTTTATAGGCAAGTAAGTCACTGGGCACCCTTGGAGACTTTCCCGTGTTATTGGCAAGGTTTACATTTTTCCTGCTGCTTTTCCATGGCATGAAAACTTGTGCTGCTCTGAGAATATCACCAAATTCCCATTTCAAATTAAAGCCCTCATATAAAATTGATCCCCATCCTTTCATTTCACTACCTTCATCTCTCACTGCACCCCAACAGGAGTTTTCTATTTACCACCTGAACTCATCTAGTGATCTCTCCCTACAGGTCCATCACCTAGCAATCACTCGAATTGATAATAGATTCTTTATATTGGCACTATCAAGCCATGTTATTCCCTTTCCTTCTTTTAAAAGTCACCTTCCAGACTAATTCTAGCAGATTTTTAATCATGCAAACCTAATTAGACTTGAATTAAGATGCAGACCAGGGAGGGGATTGGGAGTTGCTATTAGATTGGTGTATTGAAATTTAAGATTTCAAAGGTAGAAGATTTCAAGGTGTAACAATAGAAAAGGACTGATAAATTGTAGTCAAAGTTGTTGGCAGCAAGGGTGTCTATGTTCTTTAAGGGTAGACGATTGGACGGGTATTTGTCATCATGAAAAGTGCTGGAGTGGAGAGGTGCAAATGAATGAGAGTAACTAGCTGGGAGTGCAACATTCCTTCCACTCAGTTCAGGAAGTGAAAAGTTGTGTAAGAGATTACAGTTCAAAAAGGTGGTGGTGGCCAGACACAGCGGCTCACACCTGTAATCCCAGCACTTTGGGAGGAGGCAGAGGTGGGCAGAGAGTGCTTGTGCTCAGGAGTGCCAGACCAGCCTGGGCAACATGGCAAGACCCAGTGTCTACAAAAAATACAAATAACAGCCAGGCATGGTGGTGCATGCCTGTAGTCCCATTTAGTTGGGAGGCTGAGGTGGGAGGATCTCTTGAGCCTGGGAGGCAGAGGTTGCAGTCAGCTAAGATTGCACCATTGCACTCCAGCCTGGGCGACGGAGTGAGACCCTGTCAAAAAAAAAAAAAAAAAAAAAAAAAAAAGAAAAGGTAGCAGTGGCTAAGAGGAATACATGAGAAGCCAGATTTTTTAATTTTGAAAAACGTGATGTGAACTAGCCAAAAGAGACTGGCCTGTGTGAATTATCCTGAAAGGTGCACCCAGCTTCCAACTCCTGATGCCAGATCTACAACCAATAATCATAAGCACAAATCACAGCCATCCTGAGCTCCTCTTAGGCAGGTGAGTAAACTTGCAACTCTGGGAAGTTTTTAAATTATAAAAAAAATTGATGCAAATTACAATCTTAACATTTTTGTGCAGGTGTAATAAGTTTGCAATCTGTTATAGTTTCTGTGTTTTGTTCATGATTTGAGGTGTTTCATGTGTTTTAAGAGAATCTGACAGATTTATGTTTTTAGGTGAAATCCTTAGAAAAATGTAGCTAATTAAGTTTGTAATGACTGTGTAAACATGTGAAGGAATCTAATTAGTATATCTGCAAATTTTGTATTATTATGCATGTAAATGCTTCTTAAATGCTGAGAAAGTTTAATTAGACTTTTATTAAGTGTTTGAAGCACTACAGAGGAATAAATTTACTAAATGTGTGACTAGTTTGAAACTTCTAAGAGAATTTCATAAAGGTGTTGAATGTTTAGGAAGATTTAATACAATTCAATAATTTAAATTTATAAGATGATTATCAAAGTACAAGTAAGATGAGTATTTTAAATTTCAAAACTATATTCGATTTATAAATTAAATGACAATACTTGTAAGTTGAGCTCAAAAGCTTCAAAAAACTAAGTTCTAAAATGTGCAGCCTTGGCCAGGTGCAGTGGCTCTCACCTGTAATCTCAGTACTTTGGGAGGCTGAGGTGCGAGGATTCCTTAAGCCCAGGTGTTTGAACAAGCCTGGGCAACACAGCGAGCCTCAATCTGTAAAAATAAAAAATAAAAAACAATTAAATAAATAAAATGTGTAGCCATAATAACTGAATATTAAAACAAAGATACCTGGCCAGGCACCGTGGCTCACACCTGTAATCCCAGCACTTTGGGAGGCCAACACAGGTGGATCATGAGGTCAGGAGTTTGAGACTAGCCTGGCCAATATGGTGAAACCCCGTCTCTACTAAAAATACAAAAATTAGCCAGGCGTGGTGGCATGTGCCTATAGTCCCAGCTGCTCGGGAGGCTGAGGCAGGAGAATTGCTTGAACCTGGGAGGTGGAGGTTGCAGTGAGCCGATATCGTGCCACTGCACTCCAGCCTGGGTTACAGAGTGAGACCCCGTCTCAAAAACAAAATGCCAGGCACGGTAGCTTGTGCCTGCAATCCCAGCACTTTGGGAGGCCTAGGCGGGTGGATCACCAGAGGTCGGGAGTTCGAGACCAGCCTTACCGACATGGAGAAACCCCGTCTGTACTAAAAATACAAAATTAGCCACATGTGGTGGCACATGCCCGTAGTCCCAGCTACTTGGGAGGCTGAGACAGGAGAATCTCTTGAACCCGGGAGGCAGAGGTTGTGGTGAGCTGAGATCGCGCCATTGCACTCCAGTCTGGGCAACAACTCTGTCGCAAAAAACAAAACAAAAAACAAAATCAAACATATCTATAAAATGTCCAAAAGCATGTATTGGTTCCATAAATTATGATTCATCCATATCATGGAATGAGTAACTTAACAGTAATGTTGTGGCATAATCAACATGGACAATATTTGATTTTTTTTTTTTTTTGAGACGAAGTCTTGATTTTTTGGCCAGGCTGGAGCACAATGGCACGATCTCAGCTCACTGCAACCTCTGCCTCCCAGGTTCAAGCAATTCTCCTGCCTCAGCCTCCCAAGTAGCTGGGATTACAGGCACGTGCTAGCACGCCCGGCTAATTTTTGTATTTTTTGTAGAGACAGGGTTTCACCATGTTAGCCAGGCTGGTCTCGAACTCCTCACCTCAAGTGATCTGTCCACCTCGGCCTCCCAAAGTGCTGGGATTACAGGCATAAGCCATCACGCCCGGCCGATTTTATTTTATTTTACTTTATTTATTTATTTTTTTTGAGACAGAATCTCGCTCTGTTCCCCAGGCTGGAGTGCAGTGGCGCAATCTTGGCTCACTGCAAGCTCTGCCTCCCGGGTTCACGCCATTCTCCTGCCTCAGCCTCTGGAGTAGCTGGGACTACAGGCGTCCGCCACCATACCCGGCTAATTTTTTTTTTTTTTTTTTTTGTATATTTAGTAGTGACGGGGTTTCACTGTGCTAGCCAGGATGGTCTCGATCTCCTGACCTCGTGATCCGCCTGCCTCAGCCTCCCAAAGTGCTGGGATTACAGGCGTGAGTCACCGCGCCCAGCCCAATTTTTTTTTTAAGTAAGCAAAGAAGGAGCATGTGTATGATAATCCTATTCATAAAATATATGTTTAGATCTATGTATAAATATACTCATAGAGAAAAAACTGGATAGACTGGCATCGAAGTGTAAATGGTTATCAGTTGGTACAGGTAGTGTGAGTGTGCGTATGGATACTTTCCAACTTTTTTCCTTTTTTGCATTTAACATGTACACTTATGCTAGAAAAAGAATACTCCCTTTTCTTTTTTTTTTTTTTTTTTGAGACAGAGTCTCACTCTGTCACCCAGGCTGGAGTGCAGTGGCGCCATCTTGGCTTACTGCAGCCTCGGGCTCCCAGGTTCAAGCGACTCTCATGCCTCAGCCTCCCAAGTAGCTGGGACTACAGATGTGCACCACCTTTTTTTTTTTTTTTTTTGAGACGTAGTTTCACTGTTGTCGGCCAGGCTGGAGTGCAATCGTGTGATCTCAGCTCACTGCAACCTCCGTCTCCCGGGTTCAAGTGATTCTCCTGCCTCAGCCTCCCAAGTAGCTGGGATTACAGGTGCCTGCCACCACATCTGGCTAATTTTGTATTTTTAGTAGAGACAGGGTTTGACTATGTTGGTCAGGGTGGTCTCAAACTCCCAACCTCAGGTGATCTGCCCACCTCGGCCTCCCAAAGTGCTGGGATTACAGGCATGAGCCACCACGCCTGGCCCATTTTTGTATTTGTAATAGAGAGGGGGTTTCACTATGTTGGCCAGGCTAGTCTTGAACTCCTGACCTCAAGTGATCTGTCCGCCTGGACTTCCCAAAGATTACAGGCATGAGCCACCATGCCCCGCCAAGAGTATTATTTTTAATAGAAAAAAAATAGGTAATGATCTGTAAGTAGCAATGGAGAACTAAAAGAATGCCAATATTCCAGGCTTCATCATATATGGAACAGGGGGAAACAAGAATTTTCCCCAACTGCTTCCTCTGTAGCATTTGAAAGAGCTACAAAGGAAGCAGTTTCCTTGGGTTAAACCAAGGTTTCTAAGGGCCATAGTGAAGGGAATGTTTTATGGAGCACATTTTTCACTGTGACCCTAGTATGCCTGGCACATGCTTTTATCAAAACCTCTGTAACACTTTGGTGCAAATATTTGTTTATGTGACTGTCAAGCAATATTATATTATATACCTTTGGGAATAAAGAATAACTATTTCTCTTATTGCCTCTACACTGTTATTTTTTACTTATTTATTTAGAGACGGAGTCTCGCTCTGTTGCCATGCTGGAGTACAATGGCGCTATCTCGGCTCACTGCAACCTCTGCCTCCCGGGTTCAAGTGATTCTCCTGTCTCAGCCCTCCAAGTAGCTGAGGTTACAGGCACATGCCACCACATCCAGCTAATTTTTGTATTTTTAATAGAGATGGGGTCTCACCATTTTGGCCAGGCTGGTCTTGAACTCCTGACCTTGTGATCCGCCTGCCTCGGCCTCCCAAAGTGCTGGGATTACAGGTGTGAGTCACCACGCCCGGCCTACACTGTTTTTTTAAAGTGCAGATCCTGATTTGAAGACCCTTATCCCCTAAAATAAAAATCCTGAAAATACCTCCTTACCAGATTGCCACAGTGATTAAAAATATCCCAATTGAGGCTGGGCGCGGTGGCTCACGCCTGTAATCCCAGCACTTTGGGAGGCTGAGGGGCGCGGATCATGAGGTCAGGAGATCAAGATCATCCTGGCTAGCGTGGTGAAACCCCGTCTCTACAAAAATACAAAAAATTAGCCAGGCATGGTGGTGGGCGCCTGTGGTCCCAGCTGCTCAGGAGGCTAAGCCAGCAGAATGGCGTGAACCCAGGAGACAGAGCTTGAAGTGAGCCGAGATCGCACCACTGCACTCCAGCCTGGGCAACAGAGCAAGACTCCGTCTCAAAAAAAAAAATTCCCAATTGAAGTAGTCCTTTTTAGTTAAAACGTTGTCTCCAAAAACTGCACTCTGGAGCTCTACTCATTCTCAGGAATGACAAAATGATGGTCATTGTTGAAACAGAGTGATGGATACATGTATCATTATATTATTCTTTCAACTTTTGTGTATGTTTGAAAATTTCCATATTAAACAGTTTTTTTTTTTTTTTTTTTTTTTTGGTCAAGCACAGTGGCTCATGCCTGTAATCTCTGCACTTTGGGAGGTCAAGGTGGGAGGACCACTTGAGGCTGGGAGTTTGAGATCAGCCTGGACAACACAGTGAGACTTCATCTCTACAAAACACATAAATAAATAGGGGCCAGGCGCAGTGGCTCACGCCTGTAATCCCAGCACTTTGGGAGGCCTATGTGGGAGGATCACCTGAGGTCAGGAGTTCGAGACTAGCCTGACCAAGATGGAGAAACCCTGTCTCTACTAAAAATACAAAATTAGCCGGGTGTGGTGGTGCATGCCTTTAGTCCCAGCTACTAGGGAGGCTGAGGCAGAAGAATCACTTGAATCCGGGAGGTAGAGGTTGCCATTAACCGAGATCATGCCATTGCATTCCAGCCTGGGCAATAAGAGTGAAATTCTGTCTCAAAAAAATAAAAATAAAAATAAATAAATAAATATGCCAGGTGTGGTGGTGTGGGTTTGTCATCCCAGCTACTCAGGAGGCTGAGGCAGGAGGATCGCTTGAGCCCGGGAGTTCAAGGCTGCAGTGAGCTATGATCATACCTCTCCACTTCGGCATGTTGGATAATGCGAGACCCTATCTCAAAAAAACAAAATTTTTTTTTAGAAACTTGTCAATATCCTCTGGTGGAAAAACCAACAACAACAACAAAACAAAAATAAAATAAATAAGATAAAATTAAAAGAAGAAACTCGTCAATAAATTCACCAGTCATGCAATGAATATTCATTGATTTATGAGAGCATGCTGGGTACTAGTCGTTGTGTTAAGGTCTAGGAATGCAAGTGTGAGTAACAGTTGGGGGATGAGGTTCAGGCAACAGTTGGACAAACATAGAGGCTAAGAACTGTAGTACAGTGGGACAGACAGAGGAGAGAAACAAGAGGATGTACCTGAGTCACATGTGGCTGGGGGGATAGCGATAGAGTAGTCAGGAATGAATCTAGAAGGTGAATCAGAGTTGGTCACATAGACTGGAAGGGGCAAGGGAAATAGTGAGAAAGGGGCATGGGTCATTGCAGATACCAACACAGGTATCAAGACATGGAAACAAGAAGAACATAATGAATTTGGAGTTCTGGTTCACTGTGACTCTAACTTGGGTTTATGTGGAGGAGTGGTGGCTATGCAAACAGGGTACAAAGTAAGCTATTGTTACAGACAGCCCCCAAGCACCATGGATTAAATGAGACCGAAGTTTATTTCTCTTAAGCAGCAGTCTAGAGGGATGTAGGTAGTACAGGTTTTGGAGTTGCTCATGCAAATCTAATGCCTTCTATATTGTTGTTCCACCATACCCTAGGCTGTTGTTCATGTACGTATTGTCAAAATGGGATTACTGTGACATCCATGTGCCAGCTCAAGGGAAGAAAAAGCATATTTGGAAAAAGCCTAGTGTGATCAGAGAGTGTAGTACAGTCATGTGCTGCATAACAACATTTTGGTCAAGATGGACAATGATCCAAAAGATTATAGTTCTGGTTTTCTACTGTACTTTTTCTATATTTCAATATGTTCAGATATACAAATACTTACTATTGTGTTACAACTGCCTACAGTATTCAGTATAATACATGCCATATAAGTTTGTAGCCTAGAAGCAACAGGCTATACCACATAGCCTGGGTATGCAGTAGGCTAATATCTAGGTTTGTGTAAGTACACTCTGATGTTTATGCAACAATGAAATTGCCTAGCAATCCATTTCTCAGAACCTGTCCTATTAAGTGACACACAACTATATTTATAAAATGCCATGTAAGTCCAAAAAGAAGATGTTTTGTCTGCTTGTAGGATATAAATTCTACATAAATGTGTTCACTCTTTCCTTGTTAATTACTTTGTTCAAACCCCTTATGTCCTTAGTTATTTTTGACAGTGTAAAATGGGCCAACTCGCCTTACCACAGATACCTCCATCTTTGTAACTTGTCTTCTTTCCATGAACTCCCTCTTTTGGCTTTCTGGATCATCCATCTCTCCTGCTTCAAAGTTTAGGCTGCTATTAGACTTCTTTGGAATGGGAAAAATACCTAACCTATGGGATTGTTATTAGTATTAAGTGAAGCAAAGATTGTAAAGTGATTGGTATAATGTTTGGCACATTTTAGGAACTCAAATGGTGGCAATTATTATTCTAAGCCATAATGGCTGAAAGCAGGGGTTTTGGATATGAGCCAATTTGAATTCTAATCACATTCAGCCTCTTACTGGCTGTGAGACTTTAGGTAGGTCACCTAACAGCTCTGAGCCTTAGATTTCTGATGGAGAAATCAGTTCCATCTCACTAATAAGGCCATGAGTCAGAGATAATCAGTTTGCATTTTAGTGTATTATCTTCTAGTTATTTGAGTAGGCATATACATAATTTCTGAAAATTTAATGACTGTCATGTCATGTAGTTTGTACCCTTTTTTAACCTTAAACTCTTTGAAAGCAAAATTTTCAACAGCTCCCATTTTTGTGTTGACTTCTAAAAGTTACCCATGCTCAATATTTTTTGTAAAAGTAAAATATCAAATTGAAATCTACTTAATATATCAATTAACAAGCAATCTATAGGTGAAGCAAATGAATTAATTTCTATTGATTTTGAAATCTATCCGTTAAGGGCTGAATTGTGTCCCTTAACAGGACACAATTTTTTTGTGGTCCTAAAAAACGTATTTTTGAGGTCCTAACCCCATATTCCTCAGAATGTGACCTTATTTGGAGATAGGCTTTTTACAGAGGTAATCAAGTTACACTGAGGTCATTGGGTGGGTCCTAATCCAATATGACCGGTATCCTTATGAAAAGGGGAAATTCAAATGCAGCGCTAGACAGACACACACACAGGGAGACTGCCACGTGAACATGAAGGCAGAGGTCGGGGTGATGTAGCAGAAGCCAAGGAGCACCAAATATTGCCTGCAAACCACCAGAAGCCAGTACAAGGCTTGGAACAGATTCTCCATGACAGCCCTTAGAACCAACCCTGCCAACACCTTGATCTTGGACTTCTGGCCTCCAGAACTGTGTCTGTGGTACTTTGTTATGGCAGCTCCAGCAAACTAATACATTATCTGTTGCGAATAATTCTAAGGAGATGATTATTTTGAAATCATCTTAGACATAAAGGAAGAACTATCAATTATGAAATTCTGCAGTTGGAATTTTGCAGTTTACCTGTGTGCCACCAATTGCATAATGGAAACAGATTCCAGGGTCCTGTTATTGTTCATCCCATTTAGATGGGTTAATAAAAACACAGTAAAGAGCAGCTCATGAGTTCTAAGCAGGGGTAGTCATCTTCCACACATTCAGGATAAGTTAACTTGTCCAATATTTCAAATCTTTTTTTTTCCCTTGGAAGAAAATGACTTTATTCTAATTAACTCACAAAGAATAAAATCATAACAGCTCTTTTAAGGAGGCCACACAAACATTTGCCCAGCCCCAAATTCTACAGAGTAGGAACACCCCCTTCCATTTCAATTCAGAAGCAAGGAAGCTAGGAATGACACAAGAGGTTTAACTGATGGTTACACTTTATACCTTCACTATCAATTTGATTTTTATACTAAATTAACTTGGTTATAGAGCTGATTTTCCATTTCTCCAGGTTGAACTTCTTGATCAGGCCAATCGTTTTGCCAGTCGGCACTGTTTCAGCACCTCATTGAAACCCTCACAGAGCTTGATGTCACCATGGTTCTGGGCACACTCCAGAAACTGTTCGATCTCATAGAAGCAAGGCTGCTGCTGCTGTGCCAGCTGGGTTCCCTGAGGCTCCTGGTAAGTGATGTCAGGCCTCGCAGGCTCAGCATTACTTCCTCCACTAAACCCCCCAGTAATGGCGTGACCCAGTGTGTGCCCCACGGCAGAGCCCACAGCCGCGCCAGCTGCAGTGGTTGCCATTTGGGCCATCAGACGGGGCACAGCAGCAGGAGAGCCAACTGCAGATGGGGGTGCCGCTGCTGGTGGCTGAGCGGCTAGTGCTGGCCTGGATGCAACTCTCATCTGAGGGGCCCAGCTGGCTAGAGGGGTCACGCGGGAGGTGCAGCTTCAGCTTCCACATGGCATCCTAGGTACGCAACGGCTCGGCCTTTTCTTCAAATCTTTTTTATTCAAAACCTTTTATTATAGAAAATGTCTAATAAAAAGTATAATGAACTTATATGACTGTGGCTGAGGTGCAACTACTGGTGACACATGGTTAATTTTGATTGCTCCACTCAAACCCTCCACATCAGATGATTTTGAAGAAAATCTCTGGCTTTATGTCATTTTTTACAGCTTCACTGAGATCCAATTTACATGTCTATAGTTCACCTATTTAGCCTACAATTCAGTGGTTTTTAGTGTATTTACAGAGTTGAGCAACCATCACCATAATCTAATTTTACAATAGTTTCATCATCCGAAAAAAAGAAACCCTGTTCCCATTAACTGTCACTCCTTATTCCCCCTCAACCTTCCCATTTCATATCATTTTTTCTGTAACTATTTCATGTGTACCTCTGCAAAGATAGGAATGATTTTTAAAATATATAACAATGCTATCATCACACATAATTTTTTTTTTTTTTAATGGAGACAGAGTCTCTCTCTGTCCCCCAGGCTGGAGTGCAGTGGCGCAATCTCGGCTCACTGCAACCTCCGCCTCCTGGGGTTCAAGCAATTCTCCTACCTCAGCCTCCCACACACATATAATTTTTTATAAAATAATATCAAAATTAAAACCAGTGATCACATTTTCCCAATTATTTTATGTATATTTTTCGGGTTACTTGAATCAGCATCCAAATAACATCTTTACATTGCACATTACAATTGCTTGATATTGTAATGTCCTTAATATATCTTAGGTTTCTTTTAATTTATAGGCTCCATCTCTTTTTTTATTTTCTTACAAATTTTCGTTGAAGAAACCAAGATATTTGTTCCATACAGTTTCCTAGGTTCTGGAATTTTATTTTATTTATTATTTATTTATTTATTTATTTATATTTTTTTGAGATGGAGTCTTGCTGTGTCACCCAGGCTGGAGTGCAATGGTACCATCTGGGCTCACTGCAACCTCCACCTTCTGGGTTCAAGCGATCCTCCTGTCTCAGCCTCCTGAGTAGCTGGGATTACAGGCGGCCGCCACCATGCCCAGCTTATTTTTGTATTTTTAGTAGAGACAGGGTTTCACTATGTTGGCCAGGCTGGTCTTGAACTCCTGACCTCAAGTGATCCGCCCCCCTCAGCCTCCCAAAGTGCTGGGATTACAGGTGTGAGCCACTGCACCTGGCCTTTGGAATTTTAAAATTATGTCCCTGTGTTGTCCCATATTCCACTATCCCATGTATTTCCTATAAATTGGTAGTTGGATCTGGGATCTTCAGGTGTGCGCCACCAGGCCCTGGAATCTTAATCAGATTCAAATATCATTTGTTTGTATAAGAATACTTGTAGGTGAAAATGTGTCAAACTTATTTATTTATTTTTAATTATTATTTTTTAGAGACAAGATCTTGCTCTGTTGCTCAAGCTGAAGTGCAGTGACACAATCGCAGCTCACTGCAGCCTCAAGTTTCTGGGTTCAAACAATCCTCCTGACTCAGCCTCCTGAATAGCTGGGACTACAGGTGTGAGCCACATACCCGGCTAATTTTAATTTTTTTTTTCTAGAAGTGGGGTCTCATTTTATTGCCCAGGGTGGTCTGTAACTTCTAGGCTCAGTGATCCTCTTATCTCAGCCTCCCGAAGTGCTGGGATTATAGGTGTGAGCCACTGTGACTGGCCTCAAACTTCTTTAATTTTCCTTTTTTTTTTTGAGTTGGAGTCTTGCTCTGTCGCCCAGGCTAGAGTGCAATGGCACCATCTCGGCTCACTGCAACCTCCGCCTCCTGGGTTCAAGTGATTCTCCTGCCTCAGCCTCCCTCCCAAGTAGCTGGGATTACAGGTGCGTGCCACTGTGCCCGGCTAATTTTTGTACTTTTAGTAGAGACGGGGTTTCACCATGTTGGCCAGGCTGGTCTCAAACTCCTGACCTGTGATCCGCCCGCCTCGGCCTCCCAAAATACTGTGATTACAGGCATGAGCCACCGCACCCGGCCTTTAATTTTCTTTTGTTGTGAAATACATCATATTCACAGCAGTGTGTAAAAATAATTACATAGTTTAAAGAATAACAATAAAATGAACATCCAGCACCCACCACAGAGGTTAAAAAAAAATAGGGTGTGGTTGGACATGGTGGTCCACACCTGTAGTCCCAGCTACCCAGAGGCTTGAGCCCAGGAGTTCAAGGCTGCAGTGAGCTATGGTCGTGCCTGTGAATAGCCATTACACTCCAGCTTGGGCAGTGTAGCAAGACCCTATCGCAAAACAACAATAGGGTATGTTAGCACCTCAGAAATCCCCAGTTTGTCTTCTCTAATTAAACCTCCTCTTCCCACCCCATACCAGACGTAACCACAATCCTGACTTTTGTGGTAATTATTCCTTTACTTTCCTTATACCCCTATGAATGTATTCCTAAGGAGAATATTGTTTGCTTCCGCCTTTATGTCTATTATTCCATGACTTGCTTTTCCCCCTCAACATTATGTTTTTGAGATTCATTCATGGTGTGTCAGGTAACTGTAGCTCATTCATTTACACTGTTATTTAATATATAGGTATTTTATTATGACTGTACTGCAATTTATCCTTTTGTTGGTGGGCATTTAGATTGTTCCCAATTTTTTGATATTATAAACAATAATGCTATGAACATTCTTATACTTGTCTCTTGGCACATATGTGTTTCTTTGAGGTTTATATCTGGGGGTGAAACTGCTGGCTGGAGGATATGTTCAACTTTAGTAAGATATGCCAAATTATTTTTCAAAGTGCTCACACCCATTGGGATGTCCACCAACAGTGTGTGGGTGTTCTCCATTGCTCTGAATTCTTGTCAACACTTTGTATTGTCAGATTTTGCCAATTGGTGAGTTCAAAGCCCCTATTAATAAAAGATGTGTAAAATTATACTATAAAGTTGATATCTCAACTGAACTCACATGAACCCTATTCAAATATTCCTTTTGTTTGTCCCTGATTTTCAGGAAAACATAAGGCTTTGTAAGTTAAAAATGACATGAAAGTATTTCACCTGTGAGCTGCTACGAAACTATGTCACAATTTTTGGAGAGAGAGAGGAAAGGGAGAGGAGATATTTGTGTGACTTAAGGGGTGGAAACATGGTATCAAGATGCTGGTAAGATAGATGACCACTTACTCATGGCTAAGCATCATGGTGCTAAGAATCTAGATAAAATACATCCTTTCGTAGAGTTAGCACTAGACACTCCATTCAACCCAGAAACAAACTTACTCTTCTCTTTTCCGATTTCCCGTTTCAGCTCATTTCTTCTAGTTGCTTTTGACCCTTTAAGAGTTTCTTTATTACAGAATTCCTATCATGAACTCTGACACCAAAATTTCATACTTGGGCATGCATACCTGGGCGTGTAATCCAGGACTCTAGACAATTTCAGGCTACTTTCCTTAAGTGTTGCTGTGAGGAAGAAATTAGTTCTCATATTAGATATGACTCTTGGCACATCACAGAAAAACATGGGCATTACTTCACCTTCTGTTAGCCTATACCTCATACTCCAAAATATTTCAGTCTATAAGATTTGCTCCTTCTAGAATTATTTTTTCCACCAATTTCCACGGAAAATCAAGTGTTCCTAGAAACCATTCCTGGCTGGCCGCGGTGACTCACACCTGTAATCCCAGCACTTTGGGAGTCCAAGGAGGGTGGATCACGAGGTCAGGAGTTTGAGACCAGCCTGGCCAAGATGGTGAAACCCTTCTCTACTAAAAATACAAAATTAGCTGGGCGCAGTGGCGGGTGCCTGTAATCCCAGCTACTCAGGTGGCTGAGGCTGGAGAATCGCTTGAACCCGGGAGGCGGAGGTTGTAGTGAGCCTAGATCGTGCCACTGCACTCTAGCCTGGGCGACAGAGCAAGACTCTGTCTCAAAAAAAGAAACCATTCCTAACTTCTCCTCTCTCACCAACCCCCTTTTTCATGAAGATCTCTGCCTTGTGTCCAAGATTCTTGGACAAAGCAGCAGTATCTTTATGATTTTGTATCCTGAATACTGCTGCACTCAAGCTGATGTTCTGCAAATTTGTAATAATCAGTTTCATTTTTTTTTTAGTTTTTCATTTTATTTATTTATTTTTTTGAGACGGAATCTCCCTCTGTCGCCCAGGCTGGAGTGTAGTGGCGCGATCTTGGCTCACTGCAACCTCCGCTCCCCAAGTTTAAGCAATTCTCTGCCTCAGCCTCCTGAGTAGCTGGGATTACAGGCGTATGCCACCACGCCTGGCTAATTTTTTGTATTTTTAGTAGAGACAGGTTTCACCATCTTTGCCAGGCTGGTCTTGAACTCCTGACCTCGTGATCCACCTGCCTTAGCTTCCCAAAGTGCTGGGATTACAGGCATGAGCCACTACGCCCGGCGAAGACCAAGTCTTGCTCTGTTGCCCAGGCTGGAGTGCAGTGGCATGATCTCAGTTCACTGCAACATCTGCTTCCTGGGTTCAAGCAATTCCCCTGCCTCAGCCTCCCAAGTAGCTACGACTACAGTGCCACCATGCCCAGCTAATTTTTGTATTTTTGTTAGAGATGGGGTTTCACCATGTTGGTCAGGCTGGTCTCCAACTCCTGACCTCAAATGATCCACCCGCTTTGGCCTCCCAAAGCGCTGGGATTGCAGGCATGAGCCACAGCGCCCAGCCAATCAGTTTCCTTTAAGACAGTAATTGAGCTTTAAATAGAAGGTAGTGTGTTAGGTCTTGGCCATTGGAAGCTCGCTTTTCTCCCCATAACCAGCCTGTTTCATTGCTTTATCTCCTCATGTTTCACTTATTTCAGGCCATCTTCCTTCACTTCTGTTTCTGACCTAAGGTAGACACAACACTCTTTAAAAAAATTTTTAAACCCCCAGCAGCTACACAAAAACTTAAAAAATTTAAAATTGAGGTAAAATACACATACATAAAATTTACCATCTTAACTTTTTGTTTTTGTTTTTGTTTTTGAGACAGAGTCT
The DNA here is from genome assembly GCF_000001405.40 of Homo sapiens. Lineage (NCBI taxonomy): Eukaryota > Metazoa > Chordata > Mammalia > Primates > Hominidae > Homo > Homo sapiens. Next base: position 28,102,413 of record NC_000013.11, on the reverse strand, counting down.
CACTCTGTCACCCAGGCTGGAGTGCAGTGGTGTGATCTCAGCTCACTGCAGCCTCTGCCTCCCGGGTTCCAGTGATTCTCCTGCCTCAACCTCCCAGGTAGCTGGGATTACAGGCATGCGCCACTACGCCTGGCTAATTGTTGCATTTTTGTAGAGATGGGGTTTCACCATGTTGGCTAGGCTGGTCTCGAACTGCTGACCTCAGGTGATCTGCCCACCTCGGCCTCCCAAAGTGCTAGGATTACAGGCATGAGCCACCGCACCCAGCCTTAGCCATTTTTAAGTGTACAGTTTAGTAGCGTTAAGTACATTCACATTGTTGTGCAACCAGTCTCCAGAACTCTGCTCATCTTGCAAAACTGAAACTCTGTATCCATTAAACACTGGCTCCCCATTTCCCCCTGCCCCCAGCCCATGGTAACCACCATTTAACTTTCTGTCTTTATGAATTTGTAATGGGATACAGTATTGTATTTTTTGGGACTAGCTTATTTCACTTAGCATAATGTCAAGATTCATCCATATTTTAGCTGTATCAGAATTTCCCTCCTCTTTAAAGCTGAAAAATACTCAGTCGTATGTATATACTGCATTTTTGTTTATCATTCATCTGTTGTGGACATGGGTTACTTCTGCCTTTTGACTACTGTGAATAATGCTGCTTTCAACACGGGTGTACAGACATCTCTTCAAGACCCTGCTTTCAATTCTTTTGGCTACATGGCCAGAAATGGAATTGTTGGACCGTATTTTTTTTAATTTTTTGAGAAACCTCTATAGTGTTTTCCATAGTGGCTGCACCATGGTAGACACTTCTAAAGTTTCTGCCATACCCTAGGGGAAAGAATTATTGTACTGTAGACAACATCTAAGGAAAAGAACTGTATGGCCAAGAGTAAACAGTCAATTTTCATGCTTTATTAGAAAATAATTAAAATAATTAAGAGCGTGGAATTCCTAGAATTGGGAGAGACATTATGAACCATTTGGTCCATCCCTTTCCTTTACGATGAGTAAACAGAGGTTTGTGGAGGTCAAACGGCTAGTTAAGTAAGGGAAGAACCAGAACTGGCATCCAGAGCTTTCCAATCCTCAACTTATTGCAAAGAAAATAATAATAATTTTCAACTCGAAAAATTATGCGATGAAGAACAAGAACTATTGAGCGGATGATTCGCAACATCCTCTGGGATGTATTTTCTGTGTGTTTTGTTTTGAAGGCTGTTTGTTAACCTCCCTAATTGCCTTGGTTGACATTGAAACCCTGCCTGTTTTTCTTGATCCCGCCGCTGACTGGGTCCTGAGCATCCTAGGAGATGGAGGCAGAGACAAAGGAAATCAGTCCACAATTAAGAATGGAATGGTTCTTAATGGAATGCTCGCCTGTGCGCTGGCGGGAGTTGCCAGCGTGCCGAGCGGATTCAGCGCCTTTCTCAGGGCCTCAAAGATCCCAGCGCACTAGGAGGGTGGTTTGTGGCTCCCTGCAGTCCCCACGCCCCGGATCCAAACGACAGAGTTCGGGGACTCACAGGGGCAGCAAGGCGGCAGAGCCGCGGAGCCAGTGCAACTTCTCCGGCGGGACCGCGCCCAATCTTCCCCGCCGCAGTCGGGGAGCCCCGGGGGCCGCCGAGCACAGGCTGCGGACCGCGGCGGGCACGTGGGCTCGGCTGCAGCGCTGCGCCAGGCACCGGCTGCTCGGCTCTGCCCAACCTCTCCGCTCCCGCCTCGGTCCCTGCCTCTGGGGAGAGGGTTCCTCCCCCCTTCCACTTTGCACCAGTCCGAGGGAATTTGCGGTCGGTGACGCGCATCCTTAAGAGAGCCACCTGCAGCGCGAGGCGCGCCGCTCCAGGCGGCATCGCAGGGCTGGGCCGGCGCGGCCTGGGGACCCCGGGCTCCGGAGGCCATGCCGGCGTTGGCGCGCGACGGCGGCCAGCTGCCGCTGCTCGGTAAGGCCCCGCTCGCTCGCTCGCAGCCCCTCGCGGTCCCTCAGCCCCCACCCCGCAGTGTGGACCCGGGCGCGCGCCTCCTCCGGCCCAGCCGCCTCGCTCCTCCCCGCGCTCGCTCCTTCCATTGCCTCCCGCGCCCCTCCCCTCTTTCGCGCCCTCCGGACTCGCCCACTACTTGCCTGCGGCCCCGGCGTTTCCCACCCCGCGTCCTCTTCCCTCTTCTCCGAAGTCTCTCCTCTGGCTCGGGCCGCGGTCCCGAGTGGCGGCCCGGACTTCGCAGACGGCCTCGCCGAGGCGCTGCGCCGGGTCTGGGGCAGCTCGGCCCGCGCGCTCGGGTGCTGGGCCGTCCGTGGGAGTCTGCGGCCGCGAACTCGGCGCCAGGTGGCCAAGGACCTCTCCTGGCCCGGCCCTTGGATACTGTAGACACCTGGGTGTCGTCTTTAACTCTTCTTTTGAGGTTTTGATTTATGGAGGGAACTCTGATGGGAAAATGCGTCCGCGTTCTCCCCTAGAGCGAGTCATCCTCAATAACGATACCCCCCAGCCCCGCCGAATTTTGGTTGGATCAACGAATAGTTTACCTAGGAAATATTATGCAAACAGATTTACATATTAAAATACTAGCTGTCCCTTTCTTCTAGTCTCTTCTTATCCTGGCATAAACCCCAAAGGGGTTTTCAAGGACTCCGAGGACTGTCCCCAAAGAATCTGCTGGGTAGCATAGTTGTTATTGAAAAAAAAAATCTTCCCATCGGTTCGCGTCAGCTTTCTATTTGGAAAGATGAGAGGACTGAATCGAATTTGGGTTGAAGGCGACAGAGTTCTGGGTGCCCGGCAGCTCCGGTCCCTGTCCTAGGTCTGCAACCTTGGGACTGACACTCACCTCCCCCGGCCTCCGCGTCCTCATCTGTGCAGTGAGGGAGTCCGTCCGAGTCCCCTTCAGCTCTGAAATGCTAGGACTTGAAGTCTCTGTGGTAAATAGAGAAAATGCTTGCAATATAGAAGTGCAGGAATTATATCCAATAGCTTTTGTTACAAATAATTCTGAAATATAAAAAGTAAAAAATGGAAATCGGGGGAAAAGAGTTGAAAAACAAAGACATTTTAGTTCTTAAATAGTTATCTTTACTAGTTAGTAAATCTGTAATTTCAAATGTGTAGTACAATATGTTTTCCAGATTCCGTTAATACAAAATGTTAGCTTTCTATTATGTATGATATTAAGTAGTAAGTGCATTTTTCAGAAGCATAATGGGCTTTCTAAAGGTATAAGCATCAATACTTGCAACGATATTTAAGCTGCATGGAATTCTTTTCTATTTAGGAAAGAATTCAGAAATTTCTATGTCTCTCTCTCCAGATATTTCTAAATGAAGTATAATTGGCACACAGTAAATATGCACACATCTTAAGAGTACAATTTCATTAGTTTTCACATATGTACGTGCCCAAATAACCACGATCAGACTGAGATATAGAGCAATTCTAGCTCCACCCTCTCTGTCAGTACCCCCTCCCCAGGTAGCCACTATTCTGACTTCTGATGCCATGGATTGCTTTTGCCTATGTTTGAACTTCATGTAAACCAAACCATCATCGTGTGCTCTTTTATGTCCACCTTCTTTTACTCAACATTATAATAATAAGATTCAACCTTGTTCTCTGTAGCAGTGTTTTTTTTTTTAATTGCTGGTACCATTCCGTGGTATGAATAGATCTTATAATTTATTTTATCCATTATGTTCACGAAGCACATGGAAGTTGTTCCAATTTTGTGTAATTATGCATAGCACTGCTGTGAACATTGTTTTATATATGGTGGACATAAACACCAGTATAAAGGATTATGCCCACAAGTAGAATTCCTGGATCATAGGGAAGGGATATGTTCAGGTTTGGTAGATACCGTCAAACGGTTTTCCACAGTGGTTACACCAATTTCCACTCCCACTAGCAGTGTATGGCAGTTCCAGTTCCTCACATCTTTGCCAATACTTTGTATTATGGATTTTCTTGAATAAAGAAGGATAAAGTGAGAAGCTTAAACATGAGAACTTTAAAATGGTTAATAGCCTTAAATTCTTTGAATTAGAACATGGGATCCCAATTTCCCTTATATTGTAAACACTACTTTTTTTTTTTTTTTTTTTTTTGAGACGGAGTCTTGCTCTGTCACCCAGGCTGGAGTGTAGTGGCGCGATCTCAGCTCACTGCAACCTCCGCCTCCCAGGTTCAAGCGATTCTCCTGCCTCAGCCTCCTGAGTAGCTGGGATTACAGGTGCGTGCCACCGCACCCAGCTAATTTTTGTATTTTTAGTAGAGACGAGGTTTCACCATGTTGGCCAGGCTGGTCTCGAACTCCTGACCTTAGGCGATCCACCCACCTCAGCCTCCCAAAGCGCTGGGATTACAGGTATGAGCCACCACACCCGGCCATGCCCAGACTTCTATTCATCATTTATGAATAATGATGAAGCTTTCTAAGTGGCATTTGAAGGAGAGGAACATGTTCCCAATGGGCTTTTCTGCATTATCTGCTGATACTGGACAGAGAGAAGTATTTCAATATTTTAAGAGCTATGATACTACCTTTTTCATTAGTGTTAAAAAAAATTCGTATTCAAAGCCTTGAACTGCACATTTGAGTTGCCATTCTTTGCTCTTGTTGCTTATCTTAGTTTATTTGCCTTCTTGGAAACTCCTAGCCCAAGGGGGAATGATTCAGGAGAAAGTGGAGGGAAGGGACACTCAGCAAAGCTTGGTTTGGATTGGATGTGAGCCCAGACCTGCCGACCTGACATTAATGTCCCCTCTGACTCTGAAACTCTAGTTCTAATTTTTGCCATTATATAGGTGTAGATTGGATATTCATTTCTTTTTAGGTACTTCACGTCTATCTATAGTAAATTATCCTCTTAGGTTTAATTGTGAACTTCTTGCCTTACATTAAAAATGGATTAACTTTTTATAACTAAGAAGGCACTTTCAGTAACTCTTAGCTATTGGTAAATATTTGTTATTGGATTCTCCTGTTGTTTAAACTGAAAAACAATCAGGCAATGAGATATTAAATGGGAAGGAGGAAGACTTACTTATATTCCAAGGGAAGACTTCAGATAAGAAAAATGAAGAGAAAACATGCATTAGGAAGAAAAAATCTGTTTTTATTTAACAAACTTTAATTGAATACCCATTTTTTTCCTTCCTTCCTTCTTTCCTTCCTTCCTTTCTTTCTTTCTTTTTCTTTCTTTCTTTCGACAGTCTCCCTTTGTCATTGAGGCTGGAGTGCAGTGGTGTGATCACAGCTCACTGCAGCTTCAACCTCCTGGGCTCAAGCAAGCCTCCTACCTCAGCCTCCTGAGTACCTGGGACCACAGGCACGTGCCACCACACCTCATTAATTTTTTGAAAAATTTTTTGGTAGAGATGAGATCTCACTGTATTGCTCAGGCTAATCTTGAACTCCTGGGCTCAAGTGATCCTCCCAAAGTGCTAGGATTACAGGTGTGAGCTACCGTGCCTGACAGAATACCTATTTCTTGCTAGGCACAAGCAGTACAAAGATTAAAGAGATGGAGGTAGGGGAACTTGTGTATAAATAACCAATTTTATTTTTTTAAGAAATGTGTGGTCATTGCCTTTCCCCAGGAAAAGTATTTCAGTATGCTTTCTTTTATTAAACCTTCCAACACAGTTATTATGATTACTAAATATACATTAAAAATTGCATGAGTCTGGCTGGGTGCGATGGCTCATGCCTGTAATCCCAGCACTTTGGGAGGCTGAGGCAGGCAGATCACTTGAGGAGTTTGAGACCAGCCTGGCCAACATGGTGAAACCCTGTTTCTACTAAAAATACAAAAGTTAGCCAGGCGTGGTGGCAGACGCTTGTAATCCCAGCTACTTGGGAGGCTGAAGCAGGAGAATCACTTGAGCCTGGGAGGCAGAGGTTGCAGTGAGCCAAGATTGCGCCATTGCACTATACCCTTGGTGACAGAGTGCGACTCCATCTCAAAAAAAAAAAAATTGCATGCGTCAATGAAGGAAGCTTTAGCCTGGTCAGAAAAGGGATCCCAGTTTTTTGCCCCCTAAAACTACTTTTTAAATTTTTTTTGAGACAAGACCTGGCCCTATCACCCAGGCTGGAGTGCAGTGGTACAGTCTCGGCTCACTGCAACCTCTGCCTTACGGACTCAAGCAAGCCTCCTACCTCAACCTCCTGAGTTGTGGGACTACAGGCATGCACCATGACACCCGACTAATTTTTGTATTTTTTGTAGAGATGGGGTTTCACTGTATTGTCTAGGCTGGTCTTGAACTCCTGAGCTCAAGCAATCCTCCTGCCTCAGCCTCCCAAAGTGCTGGGATTACACATGTGAGCCAGTGCGCCCAGCCTAAAACTACTTAAAAATGGAGATATAGTACTGTATTTAATGCTTATGGGAAAGAAAATGCTCTTCCATTTAAAGTAAAAGGAACAAACTGTTCCAAAGCTAAATATGGTCATCTTTTAGGTCTTGGGAAGAAGCACTTTTCCAAATCATTCTTTAAGCAAAGGTATTGACCACATTTTACTCTGGGAGGGTATTCCTGCTCATTTGAGAAGCCCACAAAATGCCTCGGCTTCAACAACATATCCACGGTTCTTTGTGTTCCTCTCATCTCATCCTTGCATGACACTCGGCAAGCAGGGTGACAGTAACTAACCCCTATCATTCAAGTTCAAGATTACAGTCTTGCTGCCTCCCCACATACCTACCAGACATTGCCTTAATCTTTGGGCAAAGATTTTGATTTGACAAAAAGCAAATAATCTCAAGAGTATTGTATTTTATCATTTTTCTTAACTTTGAAAGGGATCTTGTAGATAACAGGAGTAAGAATTTGGAGAGGGGGCCGGGCAAGGTGGCTCATGCCTGTAATCCCAGCACTTTGGGAGGCCAAGGTGGGCAGATCACGAGGTCAAGAGATCAAGACCATCCTGGCCAACGTGATAAAACCCTGTCTCTACTAAAAATACAAAAATTAGCTGGGTGTGGTGGCGCACGCCTGTAGTTCCAGCTACTCAGGAGGCTGAGGCAGGAGAATCACTTGAACCTGGGAGGTGGAGGTTGCAGTGAGCCGAGATCATGCCACTGCATTCCAGCCTGGAGACAGAGCGAGACTCCTTCTCAAAAAAAAAAGAGAGGGGAAACTGAAGGGCTGGAAATTGGCTTAGCTTGGTCTTGACACTGTGCTGTATCCTTTATTCCCTCTGAAATAGCAAATTCTTGTGAACTTCACAGTAGGTGGTTTGTCTGAGTAGAGCTTTTTGGTTTTTTGTTTTTTCTTATATACCCAGACTGCTCACCTGCAAGCTTTTTGGTTTTTATCAGGAGACTTTGTGATCTTAAGATGTTTTTCTATGACTTCCAGAAAAGCTGTATCCACTTCTCAGGTAGTCACAGTTATAGGGTCGAAGATTTTTCTGTCTTTGGGGAATCTGCGAGTTTTATACCTAAGTGATTTAGTTATTCTTGGTTGATACTTTCTATGGCTGCATTATCAGTGGTTTTGAAGTAATGAAAGCTTTTGTAGAAGTCACTACTGGTCACTAATTTGACTCACGCAATTCTGTTCTATGAGTACCAACACATGTGAAGGAAATTTTAAAATAATATAAAAGTAGGCAGAGTGCAGTGGTTCACACCTGTATCCCCAGCACTTTGGGAGGCCTAGGTGGGAGGATCACTGGAGCCCAGGAGTTCAAGACCAGCCTGGGCAATACAGCGAGACCCAGTCTCTACAAAAAAATTTAAAAATTAACTGAGCGTAGAGGCACATGCCTGTAGCCTCAGCTACTCAGGAGGCTGAGATAAGAGGATAGCTTGAGCCCAGGAATTTGAGGCTGCAGTGAGCTACGACCATGCCACTGTACTCTAACGTGGGTGACAGAGCAAGATGCTATCTCTAAAAAAAGAAAAAAGAAAGGAAAAAAATATATAAAGTGCACACAGTGTTCTTTTGTGGCCACAGAAATTGCATAAGATCCTAAAAGAGGAACCATTTTTTTTTAGGTTAAACAGTAAAAAAATATACATTTTTTTACTGCTGTCATTATAAGGTCAATTGGTAGCCAAGAATCTTCCATACAATTATTTACAGTCTATGCTAAAGCAGGCTTTAGTGTATAAGACAGTGTATAAGATAGTCACTGAATTCGGTCTTGGAATATTTTGTTATTTGAGTTATGCTTTTCCTAATGTTTGATATTATGTTCTTGGAGGTAATGCCCATAGATATATTAGGACTAAAAACACATTTAAGAAACGTGCTGTTTTCTGTGGCAGAGAATGTCTCTGCACTTAAGTTCCTCATTTGTAAAAAGGAGATAAGCAGTATCTTACTCCTTCATCAGATAATACTTGTAAAGCACAGCTGCACTCCTTGTTAGGCACGTGTTTTGCAGAAAGAAAAATATATGAAGTCTGAAGACATTAGGATTTGGAGTCACAAGATTTGCCTGCCTCTCTCCTTCCCTCCCTTCTTTTTTAATTCCCTCCCTCCTTCCCACCCTTCCTCCTTCCACAGATGTTTTTGAGCGCCGTCTATGTCTAGGACCTGTGTTAAATGCTACACAGTACTGTTTCCTGCCCTCAAAGTATAATGTTAGGGGTGTTGGTGGGAGAAGGTCAGACATATAGAAAGAAAATTGCAGTGGAGTTTTAGAAATATGCACAGTGGCTGAACCTCTAACCCAGACTGAGAAGGTAAAGCAAAGCTTCCAAGAGAAGGTGATGCCAGAGTCATACTGGAAGAGAAGTAAGACTTGTCAGAGAAAGAAGAGGGTGAGGATGTTCCAGGTAAATAGGACAGCAAATGGAGTTTTCCACAGATGGAAAACTATGATTTCATTCCGAGTTGTTGTGACACAATGTATAAGGTCGCCAGGATTAGAGTAACTATCATTTATAAAGTTGTAATTCAGCAAATTATTTGAAGATTTCTAATGAATAGGTTTTAAAAAAAGAAAATTCAGGGTTGCCTGAGCATAACATGTAATGTGTAAGGGATACTTTGGTGATGTGTTATGTTAAGTGGTTGGACTTTATCATGTAGACCAAGAGTCTCTGGATGGTTGGTCTGACGTGGGGATCCATGCCTGTAGTCCCAGCTACATGGGAGGCTCGCTTGAGCCCAAGAGTTCAAGTCCAGCCTGGCCAACATAGCAAGATCCCATCTCTAATTAAAAAAAAAAAAAGAGGCCAGGTGTGGTGGCTAACACCTGTAATCCCAGCAGTTTGGGAGGCCAAGGTGAGTGGATCACTTGAGCCCAGGAGTTTGAGGCCAGCCTGGGCAACATGGCAAAACCCCATTTCTATAAAAAAATACAAAAAAAGTTAGCCAGATGTGCTGGCACATGTCTGTAGTCCCAGCTACTAGGGAGGCTGAGGCAAGAGAATTGCTTGAGTCTGGGATGTGGAGGTTGCAGCGAGCCGAGATCACACCACTGTACTCCAGCCTGGGTGACAGAGCGAGACCCTGTCTCAAAAAAAAAAAAAAAAAAAAAAAAGTAGTCTCTGGATGGATTTCAGGGGGGTTGTTATATCTTCCCTCTGTGTGTGTATGTGTGTGTGAGCATGCTTTTTTTTTTTTTGGAAAGTGAGTTAATTGCGACCTTCAGATTTTCAAAGGGATTTGTGACTCAAGAAAGGGTAATCATTGCTGTTGGTTCTGGAGGGCTTTAAGCAGAGGTGTGACATGCTCTGATTTGTATTTTAGAAAGACACTTCTGGTGTCTGTGTAGAGGATGAATATGGGGCCAACAGAACTATGGCAGGGAAGTTGTTGGCAGTAGTCCAGGCCAGAGATGATAACGAGGGCTTGAATTAGGGTAATGGTGATAGAGATGTGGAGCTGAGAATTGCTTTGAGAATTATCAAGTAGTCAAAATGTTAGCTGAGCATGGTGGTGTGCACCTGTAAGCCCAGCCACTCTGGAGGCTGAGGCAGGAGGATCACTTGAGCCCAGGAGATTGAGGCTGCAGTGAGCTATGATCCTGCCACTGCACTCCAGCCTGGGTGGTAGAGCGAGACCCTATCTAAAAAAAACAGTCAAAATATAAGGGTTGGCAATTGCCTGGGTAATGGGAAATGAGGGAGAGGGAGGAGTCAAAAATGGCTTCTGGGTTTCTGGATCCTGTGACACTGGAGGTTTGCCACTGAGGAGGATTTGGGGAGAGGGAGGAGAGAGGGAGATAGGAAGAGGTGGGGCTTAGGGAGGAGAAAGGTGAGTTAAATTTCCATTTGAGTTTAAGGTTCCTGGCGGGGGTTACCCAGATATATAGTTAAAGACACAGAAGGTATGAATTAGGAACTTGTGAGCAGATATATTCTTTTTTATTTTATTTTTATTTTTTGAGACGGAGTCTCGCTCCATCACCCAGGCTGGAGTGCAATGGCGCGATCTTGGCTCACTGCAACCTCTGCCTCCTGGGTTCAAGTGATTCTCCTGCCTCAGCCTCCCGAGTAGCTGGGACTGCAGGTGCTGTCCACCACGCCTGGCTAATTTTTGTATTTTTAGTAAAGACGGGGTTTCACCATGTTGGCCAGGCTGGTTTCGAACTCCTGACGTCAAGCGATCCACCTGCCTTGGCCTCCCAAAGTGCTGGGATTACAGGCGTAATCCTGGCCACGCCTGGCCTATTTTTTATTTTTATAGAGATGAGGTCTTGCTGTGTTACCCAGGCTGGTCTTGAATGCCTGAGTTCAAGCGACCCTCCCACCTTGGCTTCCCAGAGTGCTGAGATTACAGGCGTGAGCCACTGCACCCAGCCTCACCAGCAGATAGACAGTAGTTAAAATTATGAGAATTTATAGAGAAAGAACATTGAATGAATGAGTTCAGAGAATGAAACCTTGGAGTTACCCAGTCTACTGCCCTCATTTACCACAGGAAGAAAATGGGGGGCCGGGCGCGGTGGCTCACGCCTGTAATCCCAGCACTTTGGGAGGCCGAGGCGGGCGGATCACGAGGTCAGGAGATCGAGACCATCCTGGCTAACACGGTGAAACCCCGTCTCTACTAAAAATACAAAAAATTAGCCGGGCGTGGTGGCGGGCGCCTGTAGTCCCAGCTACTCGGGAGGCTGAGGCAGGAGAATGGCGTGAACCCGGGAGGCGGAGCTTGCAGTGAGCCGAGATCGCGCCACTGCACTCCAGCCTGGGCGACAGAGCGAGACTCCGTCTCAAAAAAAAAAAAAAAAAAAAAAAAAAAAAAAAGAAAATGGGGCCCAAAGAGGATAAATGAGTTGCTCAAATTCAGTTTTCAAAGCTGATAACTTTCAGAAGAGGGACTTGGAACTCTGGTCTCCAACTCTTTGCCTCACAGAAGAGAGCTTGAAAATGAAGTGTCTTGACATCCTCTGGTTTGTTTCATGATGTGTAAAATAAAGCCACAACTCTTTAAAGTTTTAGATTAATGTCAACTTTTGTTTTACTTACCCCCACCCCCATCCCAGTACTGTCCCTTCAAAGTGTACCACTTTGAGAGCTCTTTTTCAATTCCAAAGTTGTCCTCACCGCTCAGAATGTGTTTGGAACTGGATTCTGGGAATTTCCATTAAGGTTTTAGAATGAATTTTTGGAAAGAACCTTAATATTGATGGTGGCAAATTTCCTTTGGCTTTGTTCTTTTGTTGAGGGGGCAGGGGCGGACAGGTCTCACTCTGTCACCCAGGCTGGAGTGCAGTGGCATGATCTTGGCTCACTGCAGGCTTCACTTTGCGGGCTTCAGTGATCCTCCCACCTCAGCCTCCTGAGTAGTTGAGACCACAGGTGTGCACCACCACACTAGGGTAGTTTTTGTATTTTTGGTAGAGATGGGGCTTTGCCATGTTGGCCAGGCTGGTCTCGAACTCCTGAGCTCAAGTGATCCTCCTGCCTCGGCCTCCCAAAGTACTGGGATTATAAGTGTGAGCCACCGCATCTGGCCAGCTTTTTAAAAAGTCAGGTTTATTGAGGTACAATTTTCATACAGTAAATTTCATCCTCTTTAGTATGCAGTTCTATGAGTTTAAGAAACAAATACAGTCATGGAACTGCCACCACTACCAAGATATAGACATTTCCATTCCCCTTAAAAGTTCCCTCATGGTGGTGCACAGTGGCTCGAACCTGTAATCCCAGCACTTTGGGAGGCTGAGGCAGGCGGATCAAGAGGTCAGGAGTTCAAGACCAGCTTGGCCATCATGGTGAAACCCTGTCTCTACTAAAAATACAAAAAATTGGGCATGGTGATGCACGCCTGTAATCCCAGCTACTCGGGAGGCTGAGGCAGGATAATCATTTGAACCTGGGAGGCGGAGGTTGCAGTGAGCTGAGATTGTGCCGCCACACTTCACCCTGGGTGACAGAGACAGACTCCATCTAAAAAAAAAGTTCCCTCACGGCGGGGCGCAGTAGCTCACGTCTGTAATCTCAGCATTTGGGGAGGCCGAGGCGGGCGGATCATTTGAAGTCAGGAGTTTGAGACCAGCCTGGCCAACATGGTGAAACCTTATCTCTACTAAAAAAATATATATAAAACTTAGCCGGGCATGGTGGCAGGCGCCTTTAATCCTAGTTACTCGGGAGGCTGAGGCAGGAGAATTGCTTGAACCCAGGAGGTGGAGGTTGCAGTGAGCCAAGATCACTCCACTGCACTCCAGCCTGGGCAACACAGCAAGACTCCATCTCAAAAAAAAAAAAAAGTTCCCTCATGCCCTTCTGTAGTCAACCCTGATCCCTACCCCAAGCCCCTCACAACCAGTACTCTCTTTCCTGTTTTCATTCCCTTTATAGAATGTCATGTAAGTGGAATCTTATGATACGTAGCCTTTGAGTGTGTTTATTTCACATAGCAGAATTATCAGATTTATCTGATCAGGTGATTGTTACGTATATCAGTAATTTTTTCTTTCTGGTGCTGAGTAGTATCCTATTGTATGGATAGGCCTCAGTTTGTTTATCCATTAACCAGCGACTGGTCATTTGTTTGCTTCCAGTTTTTGGCAATGATGAATAAAACAGCTATAAATATTTGAATACAGGTTTTTGTGTAAGCATAGGTTTTCATTTCTTTTGGGTAAATACCTCAGAGTGGTATTGTATTGCTGCACTGGATGCTAAGTGAATGTTTAACCTCATGAGAAACTGCCAAACTGTTTTTCAAAGTGATTGTACCATTTGTCATTTTCCCCAACAATGTGTGAGAATTGCATTTGCTCAAGGTCATCGTCAGCATGTGGTATTGTCAGTTTTTTGGTTTGGGTTTTTAACCATTCTAATAGCAGTGTAGCAATGTGTACTGTGGCTTAAATTTGCATTTCCCTAATGACTAATGATGTTAAGCATCTTTTCATGTGTTTAATTGTCATCCTATATTTTGTTTGGTGAAGTGTCTCCCAAAATCTTTTGCCCATTTTTAAAACTGGAGTGTTTGTTTTATTATTATTGGGTTTTAAGGGTTCTTTGCATATTATGGATACAAGTCCTTTTTCACATGTATATCATCAAACTATTTTCTCCAGTCTGTGGCTTGTCTTCATTTTTTAAGAATGTTTTCTGGGCTGGGTGGGCAGCTCACGCTTGTAATCCCAGCACTTTGGGAGGCCGAGGCAGGCGGATCACCAGGTCAGGAGTTCAAGACCAGCCTGGCCAACATAGTGAAACCCCGTCTCTACGAAAAAACAAAAAAATTAGCTGGGCGTGGTGGTGGGCGCCTGTAATCCCAGCTACTCGGGAGGCTGAGGCAGGAGAATCGCTTGAACCCGGGGGTGGAGGTTGCAGTGAGCCAAGATCGCACCATTGCACTCCAGCCCAGGTGACAGTGTGAGACTCTGTCTCAAAAAAAAAAAAAAAAAAAGGTTTTGGATGGCTCACACCTGTAATCCCAGCACTTTGGGAGGCCAAGGCAGGTGGATCACCTGAGGTCAGCAGTTCAAGACCAGCCTGGCCAACATGGCAAAACCCTGTCTCTAGTAAAAATACAAAAATTAGCCAGGCATGGTGGTGTGCACCTGTAATTCCAGCTACTTGGGAGGCTGAGGTGTGAGAATCACCTGAACCTGGGAGGTGGAGGTTGCAGTGAGCTGAGATTGTGCCACTGCACTCCAGCCTGGGCAACAGAGTGAGACTCCGTCTTAAAAAAAAAAAAAGAATGTTTTCTGAGGAGCAAAAGTTTTTCATTTTGGTGAAGTCCACTAGTAAAAGAAAATTAACTCTAAACTGAACACTGCTTTGATCCCACCTAACCCAGCTTAAATGCAAGACATGAAAGAACAAAGTGCTCACCATAAATTTAATTGCATCCCAGAAAAAAGTTCAAGAATATTTAACAGAAGACAAAAACATCCAGCACCAGGTAAAATTCACAATGTCTGACACCCAGTTATAAATTTACTAGACAAACAAGGAACAAGAAATATTTAACTTAAGGAGAAAAATCAGTCACCCAAAAGGGACCCAGAAATGACATCAAATGTGGAATTAGTGGGCAAGAAAATTAAAACGGTTATTATAACAATATTCCAAATCTTTCTGAATGAGGAAAGATTGTACATGTTAAGAAGAGACATAGCAAATATAACAAATTACTCAAATTGAACTACTAAGGATGAAAACTCAATTACACTGGAGAGAATTAGTACCAGATTAAACATTGTAGGAGAAAAGATTAGTGGACTTGGCGGCATAGCAACAGAAACTATCCAAAATGAACAGAGCAAAAAAGACCAAATAACGTAAACAGAGAATTAGGGAGGTACAGAACTTCAGGTCGTCAGATATACATGTAATTAGAGTCCCTAAAGGAGAGAATGGAGGAAAGGAAGATGACAGTAAAGATATGTCAAAAATAAGGGAGGAAAATTGTCAAAATCGGATAAAAATGATAAACCTATGGGTTCAAGAAGCCCAGTGAAACTCAAACACATGACTTATGACAACTACAAAAGGCTAATTATCATCAAATTGGTTAAAGCCAGAGACTAAGAGAAAATCTTAAAAGCATCCAGAGAAAAAAAGATACATTCATTTGGCAGACTTCTTGTCATGAACTATGTAAGTCAAAAGACAGTGAAGAAACATTGCAACATCTTTAAAGAACTGAAGGACGCTTTGGGAGGCTGAGGCAGGAGGATTGCTTGAAGCAAGGAGTTCAAGACCAGCCTGGGCAACATAGCAATCCACTGTCTCTACGAAAAATAAAAGAATTGGCCAGGCATGATGGTGTGTCCTTGTAGTCAAAGCTACTTCAGAGGCTGAGGTAGGAGGATTGCTAGAGCCCAGGAGTTCAAGGCTGTAGTGAGCTATGATCATGCCACTGTACTTCATCCTGGACAACAGAGCAAAACTAATAATATAAATGTGTAGTTCTATATCCAAAAATAAAACACTTTCAAAAATGAAGAGAAACAAATAGTTTTTCAGATGTACAAAAACTGAAAGAAACAATCACTACCAGACTGGCACAATAGGAACTGTTAAAGAAAGTTCTTCAGACAGGTGGGCATGGTGGTTCATGCCTGCAATCCTAGCACTTTGGGAGGCCAAGGTGGGCAGATCCCTTGAGGTCAGGAGTTCAAGACCAGCCTGGCCAGCATGGTGGAACCCCATCTGTACTAAAAATACAAAAATTAGCTGGGTTTGATTGTGCAAGTTTGTAATTCCAGCTACTCGGGAGGCTGAGGCAGAAGTATTGCTTGAACCTGGGAGGCGGAGGTTGAAGTGAGCAGAGATTTCACCACTGCACTCCAGTGTGAGTGACAGAGCAAACTCCATCTCAAACACACACACACACACACACACACACACACACACACACACACACGAGTTCTTCAGACAGAAGGAAAAATAATACAAAATGAAAATCTGGATTTACACAAAGGAATACAAAATAGTGGGAATGGAAACTATTTGAGTAAGTATAGCCTTTTTTTCTTATTGTTTAAATCTCTTTAAAAGACAATTCACTGTTTAAAGCAATAATAATAATAATGTCTTGTGGGGTTTATAGCTTACGTAGAAGTACAGTGTATGTCAGCAATACCACAAAGCCTGAAAGAAATGAAACGGAAATATGCCAGTGTAAGGTCCTAGTATTAGATACGAAGTAATGTAACATCACCTAAAGGTAGACTGTGTTATGGTAAACATGTAATACTATGAACCTTAAATCGACTACTAAAACAAAACAAAGCATTATAGCTAATAATCCACAAAAGGAAATAAAGTGGAATCATTTTTTTAAAAGCTCAGTTATTCCCAAAGGAGGCAGAAAAAAGAGAAGAAAGAATAAAAAACAGAAGGGACAAATGGAAAACAAAGAACAATATAGTAGATTTAAATCTGATCATGTCAATACTTTCTGTAAGTTAAAATGATCTAAATATCATAATTAAAAAGCAGAAGTTTCAGATTTGGCTAAAGAAAAGTAAGACCCAACTATATGCATCATAAATGAAACCAGTCCTGGATATTTTTTTAATGTAATTTTTTATTTAAAGAAGGGGTCTTGTCATGTTACCCAGACTGGTCTCAAACTCCTGGGCTCAAATGATCTGCCCACATTGGCCTCCCGAGGTGCTGGGATTGCAGGTGTGAGCCACCATGCCCAGCCCTAGTCCTGCATATGAAGACACAAATAGGTTAAAAGTAAATGGATGGGGAAAAAAATCCCATTCTAACACTAATCAAAAGAGAGCCAGAGGTAATGATGTTAGACAAAGTACATTTCAGAGAAAAGAATATTGCTAGAAACAAAGAGAGCCATTTCATAATGTTATAAGGCTTGATTCATCAAAAGGACATAACAATCCTAAACGTATGCACCTAATAACAGAACTTGAAAATACATGGGGCAAAATCTGACTGAACTGCAAGGAGAAATAAACAAATACACAATTATATTCAAAGTGTATGACACTCCTTCTCCTTCAATAATTGATAGAACAAGGACAAATAAATAAGTAGGATATAGAAGACTTGAACAGCATTGTCAAGCAACTTGACCACATCACATTTATGGAACATTCCACCTAACAATAGTCACAGTAGTCAAATGCACCTCTTTTTTCTTTTCTTTTTTTTTTTTTTTTTTTTTTTTTGAGATGGAGTCTGGCTCTGTTGCCCAGGCTGGAGTGCAGTGGCACAATCTTGGCTCACTACAACCTCTGCCTCCCCGGCTCAAGTAGTTCTCCTGCCTCAGCCTCCCGAGTAGCTGGAACTATAGGCGTGCGCCACCAGGCCCAGCTAATTTTTTGTATTTTTAGTAGAAACAGGGTTTCACCACGTTGGCCAGGCTGGTCTTGAACTCCTTTCTCAGGTGATCCGCTCGTGTCGGCCTCCCAAAGTGAGGTGTCACAGGCGTGAGCCACCGCCCCGGCTTGCACATCTTTTCAGGTGCACACTTACCAAGGTAAAGCATATTCTGAACCATAAAACAAGTGTCAGTGAATTTTTTTTTTTTTTTTTTTTAGAGGAAGGCTCGCTCTGTCGCCCAGGCTGGAGTGCAGTGGTGCGATCTCGGCTCACTGCAAGCTCCGCCTCCCGGGTTCACGCCATTCTCCTGCCTCAGCCTCCCGAGTAGCTGGGACTACAGGCGCCCGCCACCACGCCCGGCTAATTTTTTGTATTTTTAGTATAGACGGGGTTTCACCGTGTTAGCCAGGATGGTCTCAATCTCCTGACCTCGTGATCCGCCCTCCTCGGCCTCCCAAAGTGCTGGGATTACAGGCATGAGCCACTGCGCCCGGCTGTAAATTTTAAAAGATTCAATACATACAAAGTATATCTTCTGACTACAATAGCATTAAATTAAAATTTCAGCCTGGGCAAGATGGCAAAACCCCATCTCTACAAAAATTAGAAAAAAATAATTAGCCAGGTTGGTGGCAAATCCCCATCTCTACAAAAATTAGAAAAAAATAATTAGCCAGGTTGGTGGCATTTGCCTGTACTCCCAGCTACACAGGAGGCTGAGGTGGGAGAATCACCTGAGCCCAGGGAAGTTAAGGCTGCAGTACACCGTGATCACACCACTGCAGTCCACCCTGGGTGACGAGTGAGACTCAAAACAAAAAACAAACAAAATTAATAACTGCAGGACATTTTTGTAAAAAAATAAAAAATTAATTAATTAAAATTAATAACAGAAAGAGGCCAGTACAGTAGCTTGCGCATGTAATCCCAGCATTTTTGGAGGCTGAGGTGGCAAGATCACTTGAGGCCAGGAGTTCAAGACCAGCCTGGGTAACATAGCAAGACCTCGTCTCCCAAAAAATAAAAAAAAATTAGGGAGACGTGGTGGCCTATGTCTGTAGTCCTCACTAGTTGGGAGGCTGATGTGGGATGATCATTTGAGCCTAAGAGTTCAAGTCCAGCCAAGGCAACACAGCAAAACACCATTTCTTTTAAAAAAAAGAAAAAAAGTAAGCAAAAGAAAGGAAACACAGTAATAATCATCAGGGTGAAAAATCAAAGAAAAAGAAAACAAAAAAATTAGAAATTAAAACAATAAAACTAAGAACAGTAAAAGATCAATAAAATCAGTAAACCTCTAGCCAAACTGATTAGAAAAAAAGAGTGAAGACGTGAATTGCCAATATCAGGAATGAGAGAAGTAGTATCACTACATAATCTACAGATATTAAACGGTTAATATGGAAATATTACTAACAACTTTATACCTATACTTTGACAACTTTGATTAACAGAAAAAAAATAAAAGACACATACTATCAATGCTTGTTCAAGAAAAATTGATAAGCTAAATAATGCTCTACTAAAGCAATTTAATCTGTAGTTAAAAATATTCCCACAAGGAAAATTATTAGAGCAGATGGCTCTCACTGGGAAATCCACCAAACATTTAAAGAGGAAATAAAACCAATTCTATACAGACTCCTCCAGAAAACTGAAGAGAAGGCGACACTTCTCAACTCATTCTATGAAGCCAGCATTACTCTAATACCAAAACCAGACAAAGGTTAAAAGAAGGGTATAGATCAATAACTTCCATGAGTGTAAATGTAACAATCCTTAGTAATATTTTAACAAATTGAATTCAATGATATATAAAAAAGATAACAGGTGATGTCCCGCTGATGTTTATTCCAGGAATGCAAGGTTGGTTAACATTTGAAAATCAATCACTATATTTACAGACTAAAAAGAAAATTATTACTAAAAAAAAAGAACAAAACCAAGTCTATCTGATTATCTCAATAGATACAGACAAAGCATTTGACAAAGTTCAATATCCATTACTGACAAAAACCTCTTAGCAAACTAGGCATAGAAGTGATTCGGCTGGGCACGTGGTGGATCATGCCTGTAATCCCAGCACTTTGGGAGGACAAGGTGTAAGGATTGCCTGAGCTCAAGAGACCAACACCAGACTGGGCAACATGGTGAAACTTCATCTCTACAAAAAATACAAAAATTGGCCAGGCGCGGTGGCTCATGCCTGTAATCCCAGCACTTTGGGAGGCCAAAGTGGGCAGATCATGAAGTCAGGAGATCAAGACCATCCTGGCTAACACAGTGAAACCCCGTCTCTACTAAAAATACAAAAAAAAAGTAGCTGGGCATGGTGGTGGGTGCCTGTAGTCCCAGCTACTCGGGAGGCTGAGGCAGGAGACTGGCGTGAACCCAGGAGGCAAAGCTTGCAGTGAGCTGAGATCGCGCCACTGCACTCCAGCCTGGGCGACAGAGCAAGACTCCGTCTCAAAAAACAAAACAAAACAAAACAAAACAAAACAAAACAAAACAAAACAAAAATTAGCTGGGCGTCGTGGCTCCTGACTGTAGTCCCAGCTACTTGGAAGCGTCCCTTCCAAGGTTGGAGGATCCCTTGAGCATGGGAGGTGGAGGTTGCAGTGAGCTGAGATCGCACCACTGGACTCCATCCTAGGTGACACAGTGAGATCATGTCTCAAAAAAAAAAATTCCTCCTGGAGTGAGCAGCAGAAAAAACAAAAAATAAAAGACTAGGCACAGTGGCTCATGCCTGTAATCCCAGTGATTTGGCAGGACGAGGCAAGGGGGGTTGCTTGAGGCTAGGAGTTTGAGACCAGCCTTGGCAACATAGCAAGACCCCATCTCTACAAAAAGTTAAACAATTTTTTAAAAATTAGCTGAGTGTGGTGGTATGTGCATGTAGTCCTAGGTACTTGGGCAGCTGAGGTGGGAAAACTGTTTGAGCCCAGGAGTTCAGTGTTGGAGTGAGCTATGATAATGCCTCTACACTCCAGCCTGGGCGACAGAGCAAGATCCTGCCTATAAGAATCAAAGTAGGCCGGTGCAGTGGCTCACGCCTATAATCCCAGCACTTTGGGAGGGTGAGGCAGGCAGATCACCTGACGTCAGGAATTCGAGACCAACCTGGGCAACATGGCGAAACCCTGTCTTTACTAAAAATATAAAAATTAGCCGGGCATGATGGTGGGCACCTGTAATCCCAGCTACTCAGAAGCTAAGGGACAAAAATTGCTTGAACCCGGGAGATGGAGGTTGCAGTGAGCCAAGATCGCACCATTGTACTCCAGCCTGGGCGACAGAGCAAGACTGTGTCTCACAAAAAAAAAAAAAAAAAAAAAAAAAAAAGAATCAAAGTAAAAAAATCAAAGTAAATCAAAGTAAAAATTATAATAAAAATATTACAGAAGAGAAAAGAACTTATCTTCCTCAAGCTAATTAAGGGTATCTATGAAAAACCAATAGCTAATATTATACTTCATAGTAAATTAATAAATCTTTTCCCTAAGATCAGAAACAAGGCGAGGATATCCACTCTTCACTTCTTTTATTCAACTTTATACTGCAGATTTTAGCCAACGTATTAAGACGTGAAAAAGAAATGAAAAGCATCCAGATTGAAAAGGAAGATGTAAAACTCTTTATTTACAGACAACATGATAACCTATGTAGAAAATTCTATAGAACCTACAAAAAGTGACTGTAACTAATAAGTGAGTTCTGTAAGTTTGCAGGATGTACTATCAGTGTGGAAAAAAATTAATTATCTTTCTATGTCCTAGCAACTAACAATCAGAAATTGAAGGGAAGAATACCAAAATAGTATCCAAAAATATGAAACAGGGAGAAAGATGGGCAAGACCCATAATGAAAACTATAAAACATTGATAAGAGAAATTAAGTAAGATCTAATTAAAAGGAGTGATATGCCATATTTATGTATTAGAAAACTCAATATTGTTATAATGTCAGTTTTGCCCAAATTGATCTAGTGATTCAGTGAAATTCCTTTTAAAATCCCTGTAGATCTTTTTGCAGAAATTGACAAGCTGATTCTAAAATTCATATGGAAATGCAAGAGAACTAGAATATCCAAAACAACTCTAAAGAACAAAGTTAGAGAATTTGTAGTAGATTCCAAGGCTTATTATAAAGCAGTAGTAACCAAGACAATGTGGAATTGGCATCCAGATAGACAAACAGATTAATGGAACAGTATAGTGATTTGCGACCTAGAAACTGACCAAAAATATATGGTCAATTTATTTTTGATAAAGGTGTAAAGGTAATTCAGTGGAGAAATCAGTCTTTCAACAAATGGTACTGGAACAATGGCATATTCATGTGCAAAACTTTGATCCATATGTCATAATGTATGAAAAGTTAATTGAAAATGGATCATAGACCTAAATATAAAATTAAATGTAAATATGACTTCTAGGAGAAAACCTTTCTGATTTAAGATTAGGTGAAGATTTTTTAGATACAAAGCCAAAAGCATGATCCATAAAAGAAAAATTGATAAATTGGACATCTTCAAGATTAAAAATTTCTGATCCTCTAAAAACAAGCCACAGACTGGCAGAAAATATTTGCCAATTACATAAGTGATAAAGGACTTGTATCCAGAATATATATAATTTTAACCTCTCAAAACTCAATAATACAAAGTTTCAGTTAGGAGGGTAAGTTCTGGATATCTATTGTACAGCATGATGACTATAGCTGATAATAATGTTGATATAGTTTGGATATTTTTTGCTCTAAATCTCATGTTGAAATTTGATCCCTAATGTTTTATTTATTTATTTATTTTTGAGATGGAGTCTCTCTCTGTCACCAAGGCTGGAGAGCAGTGGTGCGATCTCCACCAACTGCAATCTCCACCTCCTGGGTTCAAGCAATTCTGGTGCCTCAGCCTCCTGAGTAGCTGGGATTACAGGAATGCGCCATGGCGCCCAGCTAATTTTTGTATTTTTAGTAGAGACGGGGTTTCACCATTTTGGCCAGGCTGGTCTCGAACTCCTGACCTCAGGTGATCCACCCACCTTGGCCTCCCAAAGTGCTGGGATTACAGGCATGAGCCACCGTGCCCGGCCAGATCCCCAGTGTTTTAGATGGAGCCTAGTGGGAGGTGTTTGGGTCCTGGGGGTGGATACCTCGTGAGTGGCTTGATGTCATCCTGTGGGAATGAGTGAGTTCTCATTTTACTAGTTCCTACAAGACATGATTGTGAAAAAGAGCCTGGCATCCCCCTCCTCTCTCTTCCTTCCTTTCTCACTATGTGATGGCTGCTCCCTTTCCCCTTCTGTCATGAGTGGAAGTGATATGGTTTGGCTGTGTCTCCACCCAAATCTCAACTTGAATTGTATCTCCCAGAATTCCCACATGTTGTGGGAGGGACCTAGGGTGAGGTAATTGAATCGTGGGGGCTGGTCTTTCCCGTGCTATCCTTGTGCTAGTGAATAAGTCTCACAAGATCTGATGGGTTTATCAGGTGTTTTTGCTTTTGCTTCTTCCTCATTTTTCTCTTGCTGCCACCATGTAAGAAGTGCCTTTCACCTCCCACCATGATTTTGAAGCCTCCCAGCCATGTGGAACTGTAAGCCCAATTAAACCCCTTTTTCTTCCCAGTCTCAGGTATGTTTTTATCAGCAGCATGAAAACAGACTAATACAGTAAATTGGTACCAGTAGAGTGGGGTGCTGCTGAAAAGATACCTGAAAATGTGGAAGTGTCTTTGGAACTGGGTAACAGGCAGAAGTTGGAACAGTTTGGAGGGCTCAGAAGAAGTCAGGAAAATGTGGGAAAGCTTGGAACCTCCTAAAGACTTGTTGAATGGCTTTGACAAAAATCCTGATAGTGATACGAACAATAAGGTCCAAGCCGAGGTGGTCTATCTGATGGAGATGAGGAACTTGTTGGGAACTGGAGCAAAGGTGATGACTCTTGTTATGTTTTAGCAAAAAGACTGGAGGCATTTTGCCCTTGTCCTAGAGATTTGTGGAACTTTGAACTTGAGAAAGATGATTTAGGGTATCTGGCTGAAGAAATTTCTAAGCAGCAACACATTCAAGAGATGACTTGAGTACTTGTAAAGGCATTCAGTTTTGTAAGGGAAGCAGAGCATAAAAGTTGGGAAAATTTGCAGCAGGATTATGCAATAGAAAAGAAAAACCCAGGCCGGGCATGGTGGCTCACGCCTGTAACCCCAGCACTTTGGGAGGCCAAGGCGGGGGGATCACGAGGTCGGGAGTTCAAGACCAGCCTAGCAAACACAGTAAAACCCTGTCTCTACTAAAAATACAAAAATTATCTGGGCATGATGGCGTGCACCTTTAGTCCCAGCTACTTGGGAGGCTGAGGCAGGAGAATCGCTTGAACCTGGGAGGCGGAGGTTGTGGTGAGCCAAAGTGGTGCCACTGTACTCCAGCCTGGGTGACAGAGTGAGACTGCATCTCAAAAAAAAAAAAAAAAGAAAAGAAAAACCCATTTTCTGGGGAGAAATTCTAGCTGCTGCAGAAATTTGCATAAGTTGCAAGGAGCCTAATGTTAATCCCCAAGACCATGGGGAAAATGTCTCCAGGCCATGTTGGAGACCTTCACAGCAGCCCATCCCATCACAGGCCCAGAGGCCCAGGAGAAAAAAGTGGTTTCATGGGCTGAGCCCAGGATCCCCATGCTGTATGCAGCCAAGGACTTGGTGCCCTGTGTCCCAGCAGCTCCATCCATGGCTGAAAGGGACCAATGTACAGCTCAGGCTGTGGCTTCAGAGGGTGGAAGCTACAAGCCTTGGCAGCTTCCACGTGGTGTTCAGCATGCGGGTGCACAGAAGTCAAGAATTGAGATTTGGGAACCTCTGCCTAGATTTCAGAAGATATATGGAAAAGCCTGGTTGCCCTGAGAAAAGTTTGCTGCAGGGGCAGGGTCCTCATGGAGAACCTCTGCTAGGGTAGTGTGGAAGGGAAATGTGGGGTCGGAGCCCCCACACAGAGTCCCTGCTGAAGCACTGCCTACTGGAGCTGTGAGAAGAGGGCCACTGCCCTCCAGACCCTAGAATGGTAGATCCATTGACAGCTTGCACCATGTACCTGGAAAAGCTGCAGACACAATGCCAGCCCATGAAAGCAGCCAGGAGGGAGGCTGTACCCTGCAAAGCCACAGGGGCGGAGCTTCCCAAGACCATAGGAATCCACCTCTTGCATCAGCATGCCCTGGATGTGAGACCTGGAGTCAAAAGAGATCATTTTGGAGCTTTAAAATTTGACTGCCTTGCTGGATTTCAGACTTGCATAGGCCCTGTAACCCCTTTGTTTTGGCCAATTTCTCCCATTTGGAACAGCTGTATTTACCCAATGCCTGTACCCCCATTGTATCTAGGAAGTAACTAGCTTGCTTTTGATTTTACAGGCTCATAGGTGGAAGGGACTTGCCTTGCCTCAGATGAGACTTTGGACTGTGGACATTTGGGTTAAGGCTGAAATGAGTTAAGACTACGGGGGACTGTTGGGAAGGCATGATTGATTTTGGAATGTCAGGACATGAGATTTGGAGGGGCCGGGGCAGAATGATATGGTTTGACTGTGTCACCACCCAAATCTCAACTTGAATTGTATCTCGCAGAATTCCCACGTGTTGTGGGAAGGACCCAGGGGGAGGTAATTGAATCATGGGTGCCAGACTTTCCCATGCTATTCTCATGATAGTGAATAAGTCTCACGAGATTTGATGGGAATAAGTCTCACGAGATCTGATGGGTTTATCAGGGGGTTCTGCTTTTGCTGCTTCCTCATTTTTCTCTTGCTGCCACCATGTGAGAAGTGCCTTTCGCCTCCTGCCATGATTCTGAAACCTCCCCAGCCATGTGGAGCTGTAAATCCAATTAAACCTCTTTTTCTTCCCAGTCTTGGGTATATTTTTATCAGCAGTGTGAAAACGGACTAATATATGAAGCTTCCTGAGTTCCTCACCAGAAGCAGATGCTAGCATCATGCTTCTCACACACACTATGTAACTGTGAGCCAAATAAAACTCTCTTTTCTTTTGTTTTCTTTTTCTTTCTTTCTTTTCTCTTTCTTTCTCTCTCTCTTTCTTTTTCTCTTTTTCTTTCTTTCTTTCTTTTCTTTCTTCTTTCCCTTCCTTCCTTCCTCTCTCTCTCTCTCTTTCTTTTCCTTCCTTCCTTCCTTCCTTTCTGTCTGTCTCTTCCCTCCCTTCCTCCCTCCCTTCCTTCTTTCCTTCCTTCCTTCCCTCTTGCTCTGTCACCCAGAGACAGGGTCTCACTCTGTCATCCAAGCTGAAGTGCAGTGGCATGATCACAGCTCACTGCAGCCTTGACCTCCCTGGGTTGAGGTGATCTTCCTGCCTCAGTTTCCTGAGTAGCTGGGACTACAGATACATGCTACCACACCTGGCTAATTTTGTATTTTTTGTAGAGACAGAGTTTCACTGTGTTGCCCAGGCTGGTCTCGAATTCCTGGGCTCAAGCAATCCTCCCACCTTGGCCTCCCAAAGTGCTGAGATTACAGTCCTCACTCATGCTACAAACACTGCCTTCTCTCTGCCTTCTGGAGTAGAACACCTTTTCTCCTCCTGCCTTTGGACATCAGACTCCAGGTTCTTTGGCTCTTGGACTCTGACACTTGCACCAGCAGCCTTCTGGGGGCTCTCAGGCCTTTGGCCTCAGACTGGGGTTGCATTGTTGGCTTCCTTGGTTTTGAGGCTTTTGGTCTTGGACTGGGACACGTTACTGGCTTTTCTTTCTCATTTTCTGGCTTGCAGACCGCTTGTCCTGGAACTTCGCCTTTGTAATCACATGAGCCAATTCTCTCTAAAAAATTCCCTTTCATATACAAATATATGAAATATATGTATATATATCCTATTGGTTTTGTCCCTCTGGAGAAGGCTACTACAAATGTATTGTGTAAAATGAAATAAAATAAACGTCAGCATTTGATTATGTTTTGTAATATATTTTCTCTTTTTGGGGCCATTGTAGGTACTTAATATTTGTTAATTGCATGGATGGATGAATAAATAAATGTCAAAATGCTCATATTTTAAAAATGCATTGTATATGAGAAAATTGCTATGAAGGGCCATGTGCAGTGGCTCACGCCTATAATCCCAGCACTTTGGGAGGCCGAGGCGGACAGATCACTTGAAGTCAGGAGTTCCAGACCAGCCTGGCCAACATGGGGGACCCTCACTTCTACTAAAAATACAAAAAATTAGCCGGGTGTGGTGGTGCATGCCTGTAATCACAGCTACTTGGGAGGCTGAGGCAGGAGGATCACTGGAACCTGGGAGGTGGAGTTTGCAGTGAGCCGAGATGGTGCCACTGTACTCCAGCTTGGGTGACAGAGTCAGACTCTGTCTCAAAAAAAAAAAATTGCTAAGAGAGTAGGTTTTAGATGTCTCAACATGAAAAAATAAATACATGAAGTGATGCATCCATTTTTTTTTTTTTAGACAGAGCCTCACTCTGTTGCCCAGGCTAGAGTGCAATGGCGTGATCCCTGCTCACTGCAACCTCTACCTCCCAGGTTGAAGTGATTCTTCTGCCTCAGCCTCCTGAGTAGCTGGGACTACAGGCATGCGCCACTTCACCCGGCTAATTTTTGTATTTTTAGTAGAGACAGGGTTTCACCATGTTGGCCAGGCTGGTCTTGAACTCCCGACCTCAAGTGATCTGCCCACCTCGGCCTCCCAAAGTGCTGGGATTACAGATGTGAGCCACCATGCCCGGCCTTGTGATGCATCTATTTTTTATTGATACATAATATTTTACATATTTATGGGGTACATACGATATTTTGTGACCTCCATAGAATGTGTAATGACCAACTCAGAGTATTTGAGGTAATCATCACGTTGAATATTTATCATTTCTATGTGTTGGGAACATTTCAAGTCCAAGAAATATATGAAATATATGAAAAAATGTTCAACATCACTAATCATCAGGGAAATGCAAATCAAAACCACAATGATGTATATGTTAATTAGCTTGATTTAATCATTCCACAATGTATGCATATATTAAAACATCACATTATACTCCGTGAGTATATATTTTTGTCAATTATACAATACTCAATACTTTTTAAAATGAGCAATCTCATTAAAAAAGGTTAGATGTGGGCAAAAGATGTGAACAGATACACCACCAGAGAAGTTATGGAATGTGATAGCATCATCTAAATGGATGTTCAATGTTCATTAGTCAGGAGGAAAATGCAAATTAAAACCACAATGAGGGCTGAGCGCAGTGGCTCACACCTGTAATCCCAGCACTTGAGGAGCCCAAGGTGGGCAGACAACTTGAGCCTAGGAGTTTGAGACCAGCCTGGACAAAAAATACAAAAATTACAAAAATACAGAAATTAGCCAGGTATGGTGGTGCGCACCAGTTGTCCCAGCTACTCGGGAAGCTAAGGTGGGGGGATGGCTTGAGCCCAGGAGGTCAAGGCCGCAGTGAGCTGTGATCACGCCACTATACTCCAACCTGAGTGACAGGGTGAGACCCTGTCTCAAAAAATAAAAAATAAAAATAAATAAGAACACAATGAGATACAACACACTTATTAGAAAGGCCAAAATTTTAAAGTCTCATCATACCAAATGTTAGCGAGGATGTGACACAACTGGAATTCCATACACTGCGAGTGGGAACATAAAAGCTCTAACCTCTTTGGAAGACAATTGGGCACTTTCTTAAAAAGTTACAAATACACTGACCATATAACCTAGGCATTCAATTCCTTAGTATTTACCCAAGAGAAATGAAAGTATATATCCATATTAAGACTTTTATATAAATAGCAGCTTTATTAGTAACAGCAAAAGTGGAAACAGCCCAAATGTGTGTCCACAGGTGAATAGATTAAAACAAATTGTGTTATATATCTATACAACAGATTACTACTTGGTAATTAAAAGGAATGAACTACTGATATCTACTACAGTATGGACAAATATCAAAAAAATGCACAATGAAAGAGGCCAGACCACCCACCCTATAAAAAAACAGTTCATACTGTGTGATTCCATTTGTATGAAATTTTAGAAAATTCAAACCAGTCTATAATTACAGAAAATAGATCAGAGGTGGCTTGGGTGTGGGGGAATGGGGTTGGTAGCAGGGCGTGATATCAAAGCTTCATAAGGAAACTTTTGAGAGTGATAGGTAACTTTACTATCTTTTAAAAAAAATTGTTTTCTTTTTTTTCTTTTCTTTTTTTTTTTTTTTTAGAGGCAGGATCTGGCTCTTTTGCCCAGGCTGGAGTGCAGAGGCGTGATCATAGCTCATTGCAGCTTCAAACTCCTGGCCTCAAGCTATCCTCCCACTTCAGCCTCCCAAGTAGCTGAGACTTCAGGCTCGTGCCACCACACTTGGCTAATGTTTTAAAAACAAATTTTTGTAGAGATGGGGTTTCACTCTATCTCTCAGCCTGGTCTCTAACTCCTGGTCTCAAGTGATCCTCCCACCTTGGCCTCCCAAAGCGCTGGGATTACAGGTGTGAGCATCATGCCCAGCCTTAAATTCACCATTTTGATTGTGGTGATGGATTTGCAGATATGTATGAATTTACTAAATTGTATACTTTTAATGTGCACGATTTATTATAAGTTAATTATACTTATAAAATATTTTTTAAATTACTATTTTTTTAAAGACTAGAGAGAAAACATTACAGAGTGGAGCAGGAAAAGTTCTTACTTTCTGAGACTGTCTCAGATTATGAGATTACAAAGATGGCTGGACACATATATTACCTCCTGTCGCTATCTACAGACCACTCAAGTGACAGTAAAAAATGCTTTTTTTTTTTTTTTTTCCAGAGATGAGGTCTCACTGTGTCACCCAGGGGCTGGAGTGCAATGGTGCAATCACATCTCACTGCAGCCTCAACATCCCATGCCTGAGCGATCCTTTCCCACCTCAGCCTTCTGAGTAGCTGGGCTGGGACTATAGGCGCACACCACTATGCCCAGTTAATTTAAAAAAAATTTTTAGAGATATGCTTTTACTGGGTTGCCCAGGCTGGTCTCAAACTCCTGGCCTCAAGCAATCCACCCACCTCAGCCTCCCAAAGTGCTGGGATTACAGACATGAGCCACCAGGCTCGGCCAAAAAATGCTTTTAAAGAGATAAGCATATTTGTTGTTGTTGTTTTTTTTTTTTAGAGACGGAGTCTCGCTCTGTCGCCCAGGCTGGAGTGCAGTGGCACGATCTTGGCTCACTGCAAGCTCCGCCTCCCGGGTTTACGCTATTCTCCTGCCTCAGCCTCCCGAGTAGCTGGGACTGCAGGCGCCTGCCACCACGCCCGGCTAATTTTTGTATTTTTTTAGGTAGAGACGGGGTTTCACCACGTTAGCCAGGATGGTCTCGAGCTCCTGACCTCGTGATCCACCCGCCTCGGCCTCCCAAAGTGCTGGGATTACAGGTGTGAGCCACCACGCCCGGCCGCATATTTGTTAAGAGAATAGATCTTGGCCAGGCACAGTGGTTCATGCCTGTAATCCCAGCACTTTGGGAGGCCAAGGCAGCTGAATCACTTGAGGCCAGGAGTTTGAGACTAGCCTGGCCAGCAAGGTGAATGCTGTCTCTACTAAAAACACGAAAATTAGCTGGGCATGATGGCGCACACCCGTGATCCCAGCTACTTGGGAGGCTGAGGCAGGAGAATCACTCAAACCCCGGAGACAGAGGTTGCAGTGAGCAGTGATCGTGCCACTGCACTCCAGCCTCGGCAACAGATCAAGACTCTGTCTCAATTTAAAAAAAAGAGAGAGAGAGAGCGAGAGAGAGTAGATCTTAAATGTTCTCATCACCAAAAAAGAAAAAGAAAAAGATAAGTATACAAGCTGATGGATAGGTTAGTTAGCTTGTTTGGGGTATTCGTTTCACAATGTGTGTATGTATATGTGTATATACTTATATGTACATATATACTTAAATACATAAAGAGAAGCCCATATATATGTATATATACTTAATATATACATATACATACACACATTATATATAAATACACATATATTTTTATATATATATGAAAATTACATGATGTACACTGTGAATATATGATGTACACTGCAATTTTTATTTGCCAATTATACCTAATACCCCCAAAGAAACAAAGATATAAACATAGAAAGACAAAGAGGGTGGAGAAGGAGAAAGTAAAACTTTGAGAGCTTTAAAGCAGATAAAGCTGGGTGTAGTGGCTCACACCTATCATCCAACAACTTGGGAGGCCAAGGCAGGGGGATCACTTGAGTCCAGGAGTTTGAAGTCACTGTGTGCAACATAGCGAGATCCTGTCTCTTAAAAAAAAAATTAAAAAGAAGAAGCAGATGATGAAAGCTGAATTATAGTTGGGGGTTGAGAAAGCTGAGAAGCAGCCTGCTTTTCATTGCAGGACCCCACAATAGTATAACTTGCCAAGACCAGCTCGCAGGACACAGGCAGCAAGCAAGAGAGAGAATCTTCTCTGGGGAGTCGGACCAACCGGTGAGAAAAGACCTAAATATACACCTACAGAGATTGAGCCACAAGCCACATCATAGAGCTTAGGATAGACGCTCAGCACTTCATTCTTATATGTGAAGAGACTGTCAAAGATTGTCAGTCATTTGGGGAAAATATCTAAATCATGGGCAAACAGAAAGTAAAGAGGAGAGAAGGAATCAAAGAAATAATTCAAGAAAATGCCAAACAGAGGGATATGAATTTCTAGATTGAAAAGGCCCACTGAGTACCCAGCACAATGGATGAAAATAGACTCTCAGGAAGGCACATAATTTTGAAAATTTTAGTGCTGTGGTTTCAAAGAAAAGATTCTATAAGCACCCATAGAGAAAAAAAGAATATACCAGGCCGGGCACAGTGGCTTACACCTGTAATCCCAGCACTTTGGGAGGCAGAGGCGGGTGGATCACCTGAGGTCAGGAGTCCAAGACCAGCCTGGCTAACGTGGCGATACCCCGTCTCTACTAAAAATACAAAAAAAAAAAGAAAGAAAATTAGCCAGGCACGGTGACGGGCACCTGTAATCCCAGCCACTCGGGAGGCTGAGACAGGAGAATCACTTGAGCCTGGGAGGCGGAGCTTGCAGTGAGCCAAGAACGCGCCACTGCACTCCAGCCTGGGCGACAGAGCGAGACTCCATCTCAAAAAAAAAAAAAAAAAAAAAGGTAGAAATCTATATACAATAAAAAGTGCACACACACACACACACAAATCATGTATACAAATAATCATTTCCTCAGTCAAACTAGCCTCATTTCAAAAGCTTAAGAGCCACATGTAGCTAGTCGCTACCATATTAGACAGCACAGGCATAGAACATGTCCATCACTGCAGACTGTTTTATTGGACAGCCCTGCTCTAAGTATCTCTGCTCCTGATTTAAACTAGACTAAACTTGCATAAAATCAAATTTCCTACATACTTTCATAGTGGCCAATTTCCTCTGATTACACTTTGTTTTGTTGTTTGGTTGCAAGATAAATGCATGTTTTCTTTTTAAGGTGTGCATGTATCAACATTATCATTTTTATTTTGTTTTACAGTTGTTTTTTCTGCAATGATATTTGGGACTATTACAAATCAAGATCTGCCTGTGATCAAGTGTGTTTTAATCAATCATAAGAACAATGATTCATCAGTGGGGAAGTCATCATCATATCCCATGGTAAAGTAACATTAAAATTATACCTTTAGCTGTTTTTCTCTAGAGAACGTAATTTGTAAGTTATTGAAGCCTACCATGGCTAAATGGGCTTCTCTTTATGTATTTAAGTATATTATGGCCTCACATCTGGTACCAACAGAGCATCTATACTCCTAGCTCCCTGGCACTCCATTCCTTCAAGAACCGTATTCTTCATATGAGGATTTAGGAAGGACACTGATTGATAACTAGCATGAAGTAATGAGTAGAGTCGTCCCTTGGTATACAGCGGGGATGGTTCCAAGACTCTCACTAATACCAAAATCCATGGATACTCAAGTACCTGATATAAAATGGCTTGGTATTTGCATGTAACCTATGCAGATTCTGTATATTTTTGAGACAGTCTCATTCTGTTGACCAGGCTGGAGTATAGTGGCATGATCATAGCTCACTGCAGCCTCGCCCTCCCGGGCTCAAGCAATCCTCCCACTTCAACCTCCCAACTAGCTGGGACTAAAGGCACATGCCACCACACCTGGCTAATTTTTTTTATTTTTTGCAAAGATGGGGTCCCACTCTGTTGCCCAGGCTGATCTTGAACTCCTGGGCTCAACTGATCCTACCACCTAAGCCTCCCAAAGTGCTGGGATTACAGTCCTCAGCCACCATGCTTGACCCTCCTGTATACTTTTAAAATTATCTCTAGATTACTTATAATACCTAATACGATGCAAATGCTTTATAATACCTAAACAACTATGTGAATAGTTATTATACCCTATTGTTTAGGGAATAATGATGACAAGGGAAAAAAGTCGGTACATGTTCAGTACAGATGCAACCCCATTTTTTTCGGAATATTTTCAATCTGTGGTTGGTTGTATCCATGGATGCGGAACCCATGGTTACAGAGGGCCTACTGTATTTCCTTTTCTCCTTAAAGAGAATCCTGGCTTTTCTTCCAAGCCTGAATCCCTCACTTCCAGCTGCCCCCAGTATATAGGTAGATTTTCCATTTGCACATCAAAATCCACCTATGTCATTTATTTTATTTCATTTCTATTTCCCCAAGCCTGCTCTTATTCTTGTATTTATTGATTTCTGTTTATACCCCTGTTTAGTTCCCAGGCTTGAAAGCTCAGCATCATTTTGGACTACTTTCTTTCTATTACTTTCACATTTGGTCAGTTACCAAGTGTTGTCGATCCCCTTTAGGAGTTCTCATATAATCATCTCATATTCTCTAGTCTCACTGCCACTTCCCTAAGTCAAGCCCTCGTTAACTCCCTCATAATCACAGTGATATCCTAAGTGGCCTCTTCCTGCTACAATTCATCTCAGAGGTAGCTGCTGGGCTAGCCTCCCTGAAGCAGGCACATCCTTCATTGCCTGGCTCTGAACCCTCCATGATTTCCCATTACTTAGACTGATACCAAGATTGCTCAGTAATCTGGCTCTGGCTCCTTCAAGTTCCGACTTTGTTTTTCATGACTCCTCTCTTTTACGCTGTTCGTCTTGTTTTTCATTACCCCCTCTCTTGTGCTATTCCTACCCCTCTATTTTAAAAACATATATTTAGTAAATTTACTCAAGGGAAGCTTAAGTGATGGAGAACTGAAAATAGTAGAAATCAGCCAGGTACAGTAGCTCACACCTGTAATCCCAGCACTTTGGGAGGCCAAGGTGGGTGGATCGCTTGAGCTGAGGAGTTTGAGACCAGCCTGAGGAACATGGTGAAACCCCGTGTCTATCAAAAATACAACAACAACAAAAAAATTAACCAGCCATGGTGGTGTGCGCCTGTGGTCCCAGCTACTTGTGAGGCTGAGGCCGGAGGATCATCTGAACCAGGGAGGTGGAGGTTGCAGTGAGCCAAGATTGTGCCACTGCCCTCCAGCCTGCCTTGGCCTCCCAAAGTGTTGGGATTACAGGCATGAGCCACTGCTACTGGCTGATATATATCTCATATATATATATGATATATATCATAGATTTTTTTTTTGTAGAGACGGGTTTTGCCATGTTAGCCAGATGGGTCTCGAACTCCTGACCTCAGGTTATCCGCCCACCTTGGCCTCCCAAAGTGCTGGGATTACAGGCATGAGCCACTCACTGCACCTGGCTGGGAATCGCGTTTCAACATGAGCTTTGGAGGGGACACACATCCAAACCATATCACCAACTATTCCATATTCTTCAAATTTGCTTTTAAGAGATGACTATACTAAGGCACCAAGTATTCACAGCAGCTGAGTGAGATGTACTGTTTTTTTTTTCCTGTCAGTGATTAGAGAGCATAGGCAGGCAATCCACCATAACTCTAAAATTATCTCTCCTTACCAAATAGGTTCATTTATACCTCCCTTCCTCCAGAAAGTCAAAGCTGCATTTAATGTCACATTCCTCCTGAACAGATCTTGTGCCATTGCGGCACAGTCTAAACAAAACAAAACAAAACATAATAAAAACAAAAATAATAAAAACAAAAAGTCTCCACTATGGTTTAATGACTGGTTTTCTCTTTGTGAAGAACTGAAGTTACTGGAGTTGACCAAATGTGTTTGACAATCATGACCTCATATTTCAGGCAGGTGGCCTGCACAAGCCAGCTTATTTTCTTTATTTGCCATGTCCCACCCTGTACTTCTAGAGAATGAGTTGTTGATTTGTTTGTTTGTTGGTTGGTTTTCTGTAACAAGGATTTGGGAAAGAATGGTGGACTTTGTGTGATGGATCATTTTACGTGCTTTCTCTGGACTTTTCACAGCTTGTGCAGCTGTTTTACTTACGTAAGCA
Organism: Homo sapiens; assembly: GCF_000001405.40. Classification (NCBI taxonomy): domain Eukaryota; kingdom Metazoa; phylum Chordata; class Mammalia; order Primates; family Hominidae; genus Homo; species Homo sapiens. The sequence goes on along the minus strand of NC_000013.11, from coordinate 28,067,712 downwards.
GACAACAACTGTGTTAGTGATTTCATGTCCTCATTAGTTAGCTATACTTGTTATAAGAAGATCAACAGACTGAATTTCAGTGTTATTACAAAAGTTGTATTTTTTTTTAACATTGTGATTTTGAGATATCACAGTCTCTTAAATTCCAGTGCCTTCATGGCTCTGTGGGACTCAGCTCTGCCAGGTGGTGAAGAACGTGGCCTGGCCTTCAAGAACATCCCTTGGCTCCTGGTCAGCCTGGCTCAAGCTATTCCCGGACTGCCAGCGGTGGAGCCCACTGCCTCTGTACTGTGCATTTATCATGCTATTCTCTCTCCTCTGAAGCCCGCAGATTTGTCTATCCAGATTGTGGATTGTACCCAGCTTTAATTTTTAAAAACTTTTTACAGGGGCTGGGCACGGTGGCTCACGCCTGTAATCCCAGCATTTTGGGAGGCCCAGGCAGGTGGATCACCTGAGGTTGGGAGTTCGAGACCAGCCTGGCCAACATGGAGAAATTCCGTCTCTGCTAAAAAATACAAAATAAACCAGGCGTGGTGGCGCATGCCTGTAATCCCAGCTACTCAAGAGGCTGAGGCAGGAGAATCGCTTGAACCCCAGAGGCGGAGGTTGCGGTGAGCTGAAATCATGCATTGCACTCCAGCCTGGCAACAAGAACGAGATTATGGATTTCTGGCAAGAATTTCCCAGGAGCGTGCCCTTCCCAGAGCATCATATTCAGAGTGACAGGAAGTCATTTGGTGTCATTATGAAGATGTGAACCTTGATCATTAGAGTTAGACAGTGCATGCCAGGTATCCCCACTGCAAAGTTACTATTTTCTTCACTTATAATTAATAAGTGTCTTGGAGGGGATGCAAATATCCTGTTCCTTCTTTAATTTTCACCTACTGATTTTAGCACCCATTGGTGGATCTTGCCTACGATTATTATGGTGGTGTTTGCCTAATGGTGCTTTTCTTTTTCCTACATTCCCTCTATGTTAATTGGAATGCTTTGTAAGGAAGCACTGCCCCTTTCCCCTCATTTTATTTATGTATTTATTCAATTTTTTATTTATATCAGTAGAGGCCCATGAATATTTATTTTATCCTCTGGATTGTAACCCAATACAATCATTATTTATTTTGTTGCTCAAATTCTTCCAGCTTTGGCCATTAGGAACTACTTCAGTTTTGCTCCTGTGTCCTTTCAACATCTCCTCATCTTTTTCCAAGCCCTTCCTTAATTTTTGACACACTACCAGATAGTTCAGGTTCATCTTGTATTTTTCTTTTCTTGCCTTACCCCTGGAATTCAGCACTTCTCCAAAGAGCACTGGCTTCTCTGGGGGGTAGTATTTAGGAACCAAGATCTGAGAGTTGGGTGTGCCCATTGCTGCTGGGATATCATTGCTTCTAGGCCCTCTCGGCAGGCAGAGCCTGGAAATACAATATATAGATAATCTAATTTTAGAATTACTAACCCATACCCTGGTGAGAAATAGATTTACTAACTAAAGGACAGTATTTGTGTACAGTGCTTTTTGTCTTTAGCCTTAAGGGATCCAAAGTATTATTTTCTGAAGTTACTTAGGTTAGTTCCTTTCTTTCCCATCCCTTCACTATGGTGTTATTATTTATTTGTGATACAATTGAATTAATTTGGTTCGTATTCCGTCTTGATATTTCTTCCAGCCCCCTCATTTCACATATTCTAGTTGGTTTATTTATTTATTTTATTTATTATATATTCTTTTACTAGAGACAGGGTTACACCATGTTGCCAAGGCTGGTCTCGAACTCCTGGACTCAAGCAATCTGCCTGCCTCGGCCTCCCAAAGTGCTGGGATTACAGGTGTGAGCCACCACACCTGGATTATTATTATTATTATTATTATTACTTTGAGACAAGATCTCGCTCCGTTGTCCAGGCTGGAGTGCAGTGACACAAACATAGCTCACTTCAGCCTCAACCTCCTAGGCTCAAGCAATCCTCCTGCCTCAGCCTCCCAAAGTGCTGGGATTACAGGCGTGAGCCACCACACCTGGATTATTATTATTATTATTATTATTATTATTATTATTACTTTGAGACAAGATCTCGCTCCGTTGTCCAGGCTGGAGTGCAGTGACACAAACATAGCTCACTTCAGCCTCAACCTCCTAGGCTCAAGCAATCCTCCTGCCTCAGCCTCCCGGGTAGCAAGGACCACAGGCATGCACCACCATGCCTGGCTAATTTTTTAATTTTTTGTAGAGATGGGGTCTCATTTTGTTGCCCAGGCTGATCTTGAACTCCTGGGCTCAAGTGATCCTCTTGCCTTGGCCTCACAAAGTCCTGGGATTACAGGCATGAGCCACTGTGCCTGACCCTCCTGGTTGGTTTAATTACTTGTTTTTTGAGACATGACATGACTCTTGTCCTAAAAGTCAAAACAATGTGAAACAGTATACTCAGAGAAGTATCACTGTCTCCTCACTCCTACTGACAAGTTTCCACCCTCTTTCTACATATCCCTGTAATTAACCAATCCCTTTAGATGTTTTGCTATTATTCCAGTATTTATTGTGCACAAGTGACCAGATACATATATATTTCCTTATATTCTCCTCTTTCTTACATAGCATAGCATACTTGAAGGTAGATACTTTTTGCACCTAGCTTTCTTCACTTAACAGTACATCCAGGAAATCATTGCAAATCAGTTCTTAGAGGTTGTCTTCATTCTTTTTTATAGCTACATAGTACCCCCTGGTGTGGATGTACCATAATTTGTTCAACCACTCATCTATGTACGAGCATTTAGGTTGTTTTCAGTATTTTGCAATTATGAATTGTGCTGCAATTAATTGCTAGAGGTGTGCTTATTCCCAGAAGTGAGATTGCTGGCTCAAATGGTGAGTGAATCGCAAGTTTTATTAGGTATTGCCAAATTCTTCTCCAGAAGGGTTGTGCAGGGTGTGTTCCCCCAGCAATGCAGGAGAAAACTGTTTCCCCATGGCCTCACCGACAAAATGTGTTGTCATATTTTTTAATTTTTTGCCAGTCTGATAGAGGAGAAGTGATATATTAGTCTTGTTTTAACTTATGGATTTCTAATTATAAGTAGGTTTAATATTTTCTCATATGCTTGAGGGCCATTCTTTTTTTTCTTTTTTTGAGATGGAGTCTCACTCTGTCGCCCAGGCTGGAGTACAGTAGTGCCATCTTGGCTTACTGCAGCCTCCGCCTCCCAGGTTCAAGCAGTTCTCTGCCTCAGCCTCCCAAGTAGCTGGGATTACAGGTGCCTGCCACCACACTCGGCTAATTTTTATATTTTTAGTACAGACAGGGTCTCACCATCTTGGCCAGGCTGGTCTCGAACTCCTGACCTTGTGATCCGCCCACCTTGGCCTCCCAAAGTGCTGGGATTTCAGGAGTGAGCCATCGCCCCTGGCTGAGGGCCATTCTTTATATCTTTTTTCTTGAATTGTGTATTCAATTCTTTTTCCCAGTTGTCTACTGTGTTTTGGTTCTGTGTCCCTCAATTTTCAAAGGTTCTTTTTATATTAGGGGTATTCGCCCTTTACTTGTAATATATGTTGGCATATTTTCTTCTAGTATGTCAGCTGGGTTTTTTTGTTTTGGGACGGGGTCTTGCTATGTTCTCCAGGCTGGACTTGAACTCCTGGGCTCAAGTGATCCTTCCACCTCAGCCTCCTGAGTAGCTGGAACTACAGGCATGTACCACCATGCTTGACTTGTCTATTATTTTTTACTTTATCTTGTGCCCATCTTTTATGATCCAGCTCAATTACTGGACTTGGGTGAAAAACTTAAACATCCGGCTTAGAAATCTCTTCTCCCTCCTTTGAAGTTCCAGGGCACTTACAATTTACATTTCAAAGTATTTGGTATCTTTTTATGGGACACTTGTATTTCTCCTGTGTTTTACTTATTTATTCCTAGGAGACTCAAACTCTTTAAGGGCAAGATTAGTCTTTTTTTTTTTTCTAGTCTCATAGTACTCAGCAGATGGTCTTGCACTTATCATAGTAAGTGAACAAATAAGACCAGAAATATGGTTTTTGACTGGTAGCAGAAGAGCTACCCTGCTCTTCACCTGAAGAAATATGTGTGTGCTCATGTGTGTGCATGTGTGCATGCTGTGTTCAGCCATGTAAAGGAGATAGGAGGTGGGGGACTCCACAGCAGAAGCTGCTCCAACCCCTGCTGTCAATATATCTTAATTAATTAATTAATTAATTTTTTGAGACAGAGTCTGACTCCGTCCCCCAGGCTGGAGTGCATTGGCGGGATCTAGGCTCATTGCAACCTCCATCTCCCAGGTTCAAGTGATTCTCCTGCCTCAGCCTCCTGAGTAGCTGGGATTACAGGCGCCTACCACCACACCCAGCTAATTTTTTGTATTTTCAGTAGAGATGGGGTTTCACCATGTTGGCCAGGCTGGTCTCGAACTCCTGACCTCAAGTGATCTGCCCACTTCAGCCTCCCAAAGTGCTGGAATTACAGGCGTGAGCCATAGCGCCTGGCCTCATATATCTCAATTATTTAAAGCAGGCAAGAAGTGTGGTGGCAGTGTGGCTATGGGGACATCTGCCCAGAAAATTTGGTTTTTAAATTTCCTCTAACACAGATACCAATTTACCATTGCTTTATAAATTTTTATCTATATACCAACAATCACAAAAATATTTACCTATATATTATAGATTTTATAATTACGGTCTGATTAGTTTGCTAGGGGTGATACAACAAACTACCACAGACTGGGCAACTGAAACCAACAGAAATTTATTATCTCACAATTCTGGAAGCTAGAAGTCCAAAATTAAGATGTCAGCAGGGTTGGTTCCTTCTAAGGGCAGTGAGCAAGAATCTGCTCCAGGCCTCTCTCCTTGGTTGGAAGATGGCTGTCTTTCTGTTCACATGGTGTTCTTACTGTCTGTGTATCTGCCTTCAAATCTCCTCTTTTTTTTTTTTTTTTGAGACAGAGTTTCACTCTGTTGCCCAGTCTGGAGTGCAGTGGCGCGATCTCAGCTCGCTGCAACCGCTGCCTCCCATGTTCAAGCCATTCTCCTGCCTCAGCCTCCCGTGGAGCTGGGATTACAGGTGCCAACCACCACTTCCAGCTTATTTTTTGTATTTTTAGTAGACATAGGGTTTCACCATGTTGGCCAGGCTGGTCTTGAATTCCTGACTTCAAGTGATCTGCCTGCCTCCGCGTCCCAAAGTGCTAGGATTGCAGGTGTGAGCCACCGTGCCCTGCCTCCTCTTCTTATAAGGACACGAGTCATACTGGATTTAGGCCCACCCTAATGACCCATTTTAACTTGATTACCACTGTAAAGACCATCTCCAAATAAAGTTGCATTTGAGGGTTAGGACTTCAACATATGAACTTGCAGAGGTAGGGGGACACACGCCATGACAGTCCGTACAACATTTTAGAAATGCAGCCCAATGTTATTTATCTTTTCTTTAGAGAATTATAATTAATAGGACCTTCAGTCGGCAACGTGTTCTCAGTGGGTTCCAGCTTGTGTGGGTGTTGCGTGCAGTGTGTCAGCATGCATATGTTTGATAAAGTTTTGATGTGAAGAAGGGGAGGCCTTAGACCTGCAGTTTTCATGAATTCACTTTGTTCTATCTGCAACGTAGGTATCAGAATCCCCGGAAGACCTCGGGTGTGCGTTGAGACCCCAGAGCTCAGGGACAGTGTACGAAGCTGCCGCTGTGGAAGTGGATGTATCTGCTTCCATCACACTGCAAGTGCTGGTCGACGCCCCAGGGAACATTTCCTGTCTCTGGGTCTTTAAGCACAGCTCCCTGAATTGCCAGCCACATTTTGATTTACAAAACAGGTAAGTGGAGGAATACCTTCTTGACATAAAATGTGGTTCATTTGGAATTTTGTTTCAAGTTTCTGTTCATGTTTATTGTAAACCTTTTTTTTTTGTGAGTCAGGGTCTCTCTCTGTCACCCAGGCTGGAGTAGAGTGGCACAATCTTGTCTCACTGTAGCCTCGACCTTCCAAGCTCAAGTAATCCCCCCACCCCAGTCCTCCCAAGTAGCTGGGACTACAGGCGCGTGCCACCACACCCAGCTAATTTTTTAAATTTTTTCTAGGCACCATGGTTTTTCACCATGTTGCCAAGGCTGGTCTTGAGCTCCTGGGTTTAAGCGATCCACCCACCTCAGCCTTCAAAAGTACCGGGATTACAGGTGTGAGTCACTGCGCCTGGCCTCGGCCTGTTTTTTGTAACTCTTATCTTCAGTGAAATAATGAACTAAAAATACAGTTAGGGCATCAATACATGACATTATATATCTGTCAAATCTCATAGGATGTATAACACAAAAAATGAACCCTAATGCGAACTATCTCGCTCTGTCATCCAGGCTGGAGTGCAGTGGCCTGGTCTTGGCTCACTGAAACTTCTGTTTCCCAGGTTAAAGTAATTCTCCTGTCTTAGCCTCCTGAATATCGGGGATCACAGGCGCACACCACCACACCCAGCTAATTTTTGTATTTTTAGTAGAGATGGGGTTTCACCATGTTGGCCAGGCTGGCTTCGAACTCCTGACCTCAGATGATCCTCCCACCTCGGCCTCCCAAAGTACTGGAATTACAGGCATGAGCCACCGTGCCCGGCCCAAACTATGAACTTTAAAATTGGTTCATCAATTGTAACAAACATATCACACCTATACAAGATGTTAATAATAAGGGAAACTGTGTGTGGAGGGAAGGGCATATATGGCATCTTTCTGTGTCTTCTGCTCAATTTTCCTGTAAGTCTAAAACTCTCTAAAAAGTAAAGTTGGTTGGGTGCAGTGGCTCATGCCTGTAATCCCAGCACTTTGGGAGGCCGAGGTGGGAGGATCACCTGAGGTCAGGAGTTCGAGACCAGCCTGGACAACATGGTGAAACCCCATCTCTACTAAAAATAAAAAAATTAGCCTGGCATAGTGGTGCGGGCCTGTAATCACAGCTACTTGGGAGGCTGAGGCAGGAGAATAGCTTGAAGCCCAGAGGGGGATGTTCGGTGAGCCGATGTCACGCCACTGCACTCCAACCTGAGAGGCAAGAGTGAGACTCCGTCTCAAAAAAAAGAAAAAAAGAAACAAGTCTATTAAGTTAAACCTATACACACAGACACATATATAAGTATATAGAAAGCAGTGAGTGGCTGGCAAAATGTAAAACAAATAGTGAAAAGAATATCTAGGATTTTTTTTCCTTTTTCTTTTTTTTTTTTTTAAATATTTTTACCTTATTTACAATTAAGAATTTTTTTTTTTTTTTGAGGCAGAGTTTTGCTCTGTCTCCCAGGATGGAGTGCAGTGGCACGATCTCACCTCACTGCAACCTCTGCCTCCCAGCTGCAAGCAATTCTCGTGCCTCAGCCTCCTGAGTAGCTGGGATTACAAGCACCCACCACCATTCCTGGCTAATGTTTTTTGTTTTCATTTTTTTTTTTTTTTTTGTATTTTTAGTAGAGACAGGGTTTCATCATGTTGGCCAGTCTGATCTCAAACTCCTGACCTCAGGTGATCCACTCACCTCAGCCTCCCAAAGTGCTGGGATTACAGGCGTGAGCCACCGCACTGGGTCTATTTGGGATTTTTTAAGTGTCTTGTTTTTTAGTTGGATATCATGTTAAAGATAAAATTTAGAAAGTTTTCATTTCATTCTTGTTAGTGTAGCAAGAAATTTCTTTTTTAAATTTATTTATTTATTTATTTATTTATTTATTTATTTATTTATTGAGGCAGAGTCTTGCTCTATTGCCAGGCTGGAGTGCAGTGGCATGATCTTGGCTCACTGCAACCTCCTCCTCCTGGGTTCAAGCAATTCTCCTGCCTCAGCCTCCCGAGTAGCTGGGATTACAGGCACCTGCCACCACGCCCAGCTAATGTTTGTATTTTTAATAGCGGTGGGGTTTCACCATGTTGGACAAGATGGTCTCCGTCTTTTGACCTCTTGATCTGCCCACCTCGGCCTCCCAAAGTGCTGGGATTACAGGCATGAGCCACAGCATCCAGCCAAGAAATTCTTTAAAAAAAAATTTTTTTAAAGGAAATTTATTCTTGGGAAATGCTTGGGAAAAGAACATTTGATCTTATCTATTTTGTTTCACAATATGATAAGCAGAATTGCAATGTTATGTGCTATCTACAGATTATTTAGTAAGACATTGATCTGTCTGTGAGGAACATCGATCTCATCCAGAAAAATGTCTTAGCCAAGATGTGTGGGTAATGTCCTAACCCTGTATAGCTCTATGCTGATTGCTGCCCCCTGCTGTCCTTGTCCTCTTGCCGAAATGAGATGGGGCAAAGGACATAGGTCAATTAAATGCCCTCTTAACGCAGCCTTTCTTTTACATTCTTGTGGCTGTCCTGTTGTCCCTTAGGTGTAGAGAAGGCACGCGCTTTCCAGGAACTATGTAGTAAACAGTACCCAAATGGCCTGCAAGGGGTATCGGGCCCCTTGATAGGGTCTTGGAGAACGTCTCTGTGATCAACTTGTACCAGTTATTTGTATTTGTTTTTAAGGTCAAATACATTCTTCTCTTAAGTGATTTGCAGGACAGTGAGTATAGTTCTGAAGTTGAGTTCTAAATCTTGGAACGCATTCATTTTCCTTTCCTCTTTTGCGATTGTATTACTCACTTCTTGTTTTTTGGCTGCAAATGTGCTGGGATTACAGGCGTGAGCCACAGTGCCAGCCACATTTTTTCTTTTTATTGGGAAGGCATCTCAATATGTTGCCCAGGTTAGTCTTGAACTCATGGCCTCAAGTGATCCTCCTACCTCGCCTCCCAAACTTCTGCGACTGCAGACGTGGTGGCTCATGCCAGGCGAATGGTTCAGAGAAAAAAAGCATATCATCAAAATAGATCTGCAGAAGCAAATCAAGTATATATCCTGCTAATTGACTGTGTTTAAGAATGCAGGCCCATGTTCTATTGAACCTGCTTGCTGCTTTAAAGCAGGGCTTCTCGAATATAACCTGTATTTGGATTGCCTGGGGATCTTGTTTAAAATGCAGATTCTGATGAGTAGGTCTCAGTGGGACCTGAGATTCTACATCTTTGTCAACTCCCAGCTGATGCTAACACTGTTAGAGAAAGACTACACTTTGCACAGTTAAGGGTCTAAAGGTCAGAAAGTGTGAACTTATTTTATTATTTTATTTTATTTTATTTTTTGAGATGGAGTTTCAATCTTGTTGCCCAGGCTGGAGTGCAATGGCATGATCTTGGCTCACCGCAACCTCCGCCTCCCGGGTTCAAGCAATTCTCCTGCCTCAGCCTCCTGAGTAGCTGGGATTACAGGCATGCGCCACCCCACCCAGCTAATTTTGTATTTTTAGTAGACAGGGTTTCTCCATGTTGGTCAGGCTGGTCTTGAATTCCCGACCTCAGGTGATCCACCCACTTCAGCCTCCCAAAGTGCTGGGATTACAGGCATGAGCCACTGTACCTGGCCGTTTTTTTTTTTGTTTTTTTTTTTTAATTTTTAAAAAATAGAGGTAGGGTCTCACTATGTGGCCCAGGCTGGTCTTGACCTCCTGGGCTCAAGTGATCTGCCAGCCTTGGCCTCCCAAAGTTCTGGGATTACATGTGTGAGCCACTGCACCCAGCTTACTGTGCTTTTGTTGTTGTTTTTTCAGTTTTTTTTTGAGACGGAGTTTCACTCTTGTCACCCAGGCTGGAGTGCAGTGGTGCGACCTGAGCTTGCTGCAGCCTTTACCTCCTGGGTTCAAGCAATTCTCCTGCCTCAGTGTCCTGAGTAGCTGGGATTACAGGCGCCTGCGCCATTCTCAGCTAATTTTTGTATTTTTAATAGAGACAGGGTTTCACCATGTTGGCCAGGCTGGTCTCGAACTCCTGACCTCAGGTGATCTGCCTGCCTCGGCTTCCCAAAGTTCTGAGATTACAGGTATGAGCCACCGCACCCGGCCTCCTGTGTGTTTTTAGATGGGAGTTTTCGATCCTAGAAGCTCAGAGAAGGTGAGATGATGGCACCGGAATGGAGCTCTCCCACCCTCAAGGGGAGGACTGGTTAAAAGTCAGGGTTCAACGAGCAACGCCCAGGCTGAGTGCTGGGCACATGACAGAAGCTGTGTTCTCCACAGAGCGGCTTCCGTGCCAGTCGGGGAACGCTGGAGTACCAAACTGCCTTTTTAGTCACTATGAAATTTTGTTTTTAGTTTCACACATTTTCCAAAATAACTAGTTCTCTTTCCTGTTTTGCAGAGGAGTTGTTTCCATGGTCATTTTGAAAATGACAGAAACCCAAGCTGGAGAATACCTACTTTTTATTCAGAGTGAAGCTACCAATTACACAATATTGTTTACAGTGAGTATAAGAAGTAAGTCCAGCCTGCTACTAGTATTCCAGCCTGGAATACCACAATATTTCAAAGGAGTGGTTTAGAACCCGTTAGCTTGACCAGCTCCTCTAGACATATTCAGGTTTCCCTTGATACGTAGTTGGATTGATTAGATTCCTGTCAACCCTCTGTAGAACCTATAGAGAACTGAGAATCACTGATGAATCACTGATGTGTGCCGTGGGCTCTCAGAATGTGACTGCTGCTAAAAACGCCTGGGACGTCCTCTGTTCAGTAGCAGATGGCTGACAGGGAAGAAATGGAAAACATTTTGACCTTGGAATCAGAAGACCTCTGTTCTAATTCTGGTTCTGATACTACCACCTATGGCAGGTCACAATTTCTCTGAGCCCCGATTTCCTTATTGGTAAAATGAGGATAAAAATACGTACCTCACAGGATTGGAAGGTCTCAGCGTGATCCAATAGAACTTTCTGAGATGATGAAAATGATCTTGTCTGTTCTTTCCAATACAGTAGCCACTGGCCACATGGGGCTGTTGAACACTTGAAAGGTGGCTAAGGTGACTGAGGAACTAAAGTTTTAATTTTATTTAATTTTAATTTGTTAAAATTGGAATGTAAATAGCCCCATGCAGCTAGGGGCTACTGTGTTGGACAGCGCGGGCCCACATGCGTGCTAGACCATATGCAAACTGTAAGGAACGGTCCAGATGTTCTGACCAAGGGAGGCAGCTGTGCAGTTGGCAGAGGCACCACCTGCGTGTGCTTTCTGGCTTCTCCTTGTTTCGTCCCCATCATGCACAGACTCCGTGCTATGCACACTGAACTTGCTGCTTCGCCTTCCATGACCAAGAAGGACTAAAGGTGTCTGCATTCACTTAGGTCCTCGTGCCTTTAGGGGCCAGTGCAGTGCTCCAAAAACCCTGGGTTAATATCACTTGAAATTAGGTCCCCCCGACACATTGACACAACTTGCCAGGCTCCCCTCTTCCTTGTCAGTGACTAAATGTCCGGCCCACAGAGGTGCCCTGGGTCAGGAGTAACCACAACTGCCCTTTGCTGAAGATCTTCTGCCTGTTTCATCTCAGATGCTCACAGCGATCCTGCATGCATGTAGATGAGAAAACAGCCCCTCTGAGAGGTGTGGTGGTGGGCACAGCTGGAGGCTTTCTGCACCACACTGCCCTGGGTCTTGTGTGAGAATGTGTGGGTCTTGCTGTCAAAGCTACTAACAGAAGAGAGCACGCAAGAGTCCCAGAAGCATCATCTTACTGGGGTTGGGGGTGGAGTAAGGTTCTAAAGTCAGCCTGTAAGGTATACATGAGCTAAAGTCAAAATTACCCAAAATTTATTCTGGAAAGTCCTTTAATTACTCTGAAAATGATAGGACCAGAGCCCTACAAGCTCCAAAGCCGAGAATCACCTTATGTTGCTCTTTAATGTCGGTCATGTTCCCTGCCCCCTTTCTAGTCCCTCACCGCCTCTGTGGGACAGTAAATACGTGCCCCAGGTTGGATGAAGCTAGGACGTTTCTTGTTCTCTACTTCTCTTCCTCTTTCTCCTTTTTTCTCTCCTTTTAAAATTTTCTTGCCAAGTATAAACAGTTGTATAAGGTAAGTGGGCATCTGCTGTGTCTCTGTTATACTTAGGGTATATTCCTTTCACTTAAGATTTACAATGTAAAAATGTAACAACAGTTATTCAGGTAAATTATAACTTATTTTTAGCATTCTGCAAGGTGGTGGGATCCAAAAAATAGGTGGGAGAGATGTGGCAACAGTCAGTGTGAAAAAGAGGAAAGGGTTTAGTCAACCACAAGCTCAGTATTAACCACCAGCGTGGCATGGTTGCCAAAAAAGTAAATTTGAACCTTGGCAGTGTTCATGAAAATATAACGTCTAAATTAAGGAAATTAATAGAAGCTTATTCATTTCAGTTCTACTTTTTTAAAGATGAATACTGACAAAATGAGCAACCAGGATAGTGGAAAACTTGGAATTCTTTAAATTAGGAGCAGTTGAAGGAATTGGGAATGTGTAGTATATAGAAGGAAATGTTTTGAGGAGACGATAAGATTGATTGCAGTGTAATGCAGAGGAAATTCTTTTGGGATTTGAGTCAGGAAACCTGAGCTAACTAGTTAAAGTACCTTGTATGGTAATTATCTCCCTTGATCTCGGTTTCTGATTTTAAATATTTGAAAGATTTTCATATGGAATCAAAGCTAGACTTTAAAAAAGTTGCTCTAGAGGATATGATAAGAACCAATTGTTAGAAATTACAGGGAGAAAAAGTAAAAATCACCTCAAGATGGGAAAAAATACTTGCAGTTCACAATCAACAAAGGATTAATAGTCATAATATGTAAAGTCAATAAGATAAACAATCTATATAAGTCAATAAGTCAATAAGAAAAACGAACAAAATGAAAACCTAGTAGAGCAATGAACAAAGGACATGAGTAGGCATTTCATTTTTGGAACATGAAACCTAAATGGTCAAGAAACATGTTAAAAGATAAACTTAGGCACTTTAAAGTTGTAAAGAGTATATTTGAGCAGAAAGCAATTCATGAATCAGGCAGTACCAGATGGCAAGCAGGTGGGCTCCAGTGAGGAGATTCAAGGGTAAGACTTCTTTCTATAATGTGTTCCCGGAAGCAAGACAAAGAAAAAATTTGATTGTTTAAAGAAGGACAGTCCCTGGATTGGTCAGTTTGCAGTTCCTCATTGATTAAGCTAAGTTGCATTTTGCTGCTCATATTGAATTGGGTTTGTTTTTTGCTTTTTGTTGTTGTTGTTTTTGTAGAGACGGGGTTTTGGCATGTTACCTAGGCTGGTCTCGAACTCCTGGGCTCAAGCGATCCTCCCGCCTCACCCTCCCTAAGTGCTGGGATTACAGGCGTGAGCCACCTTGCCCGGCCTTTATTCTTTTCCTTTTTTTTTTTTTGAGTTGTGTTGTGATTTGTTTACCTAGGAACTCAAGCTGTTAGAGTTGTCTCAGCCTAATGGACTCCCAATTAATTATTTTAACACATGTTAAATTAATAATGGAGAAATTAAATTAAGACCACAATGAAATACCATTTTATACTTGCTGGATTGCTGAAAATTAAGAAGTCTTGGTAAGTCTATAAAGCAATAGGTGCTCTCATATCCTGCTGTGTAACATAAATTAGTATAACCACTTTGGAAAACAAATGATCATTATGTGTAAGGCTGAATGTGCTCATACCATGTAGACCAGCAGTTCCACTCTTAAGAATGTTATTAAGGAAACTGTTATACACATGCCTCAGTACAAATGTGTAGAATGTTCAGAGCACATGGTTGATCATACAAAAAACTGTGGCCGGGTGTGGTGGCTCATACCTGTAATCCAAGCACTTTGGGAGGCCAAGGCAGGAAGATCACTTGAGCCTGGGAGGTTGAGGCTGTAGTGAGCTGAGATTGCACCACTGCACTCCAGCCTGGGTGACAGAGACCCTGTCTCACACACACACACGGAAGGAAACAACCCAAATGTCTACTGCAAGAAAATGAAAAAATAATGATATATTTACCAATAGAATATTATGTAGCAGTAAAAAAAAAAATGAATAAAGTATAGCTACATGTAAAACCATGGATGAATTTTAAAAACATAAGGTTGGATGAAAAAATGAAGTTGTAGAAGTTACATATTGATTGATAACACTATTTTGAAGCTCAAGAATGAAAAAATCAATATATTGTTTAGTGCCACATATTTATTTGGTATAACTACTTTGAAGAGTCCTCGAATAATCAACAAAATTCAGGATAAAGGATACGTGCAGTTGAGAGGTGGGGAGAAGCATAAAAGTAGATCAAAAGGTATTTATTAATATTCTAGTTATTAGGTGGATAGTGGCTCCGTGGGTATTTGTTGTTGTTATGCTTTGAAATTTACACTCCATATATTCTTTCATATATATATATATATATCAAACAGTACATAGTATTTTCAAACAAAATTTATTGTAAGGAGAGAGGCTGGAATTCAGTATAGGGAAACTTTCTTTAAAAAAAAAAAAGTTTGTCAGAAATTAGAATGACCTGCCCTGGGAGGTCATGAACTCCAGTCTCTAGAAGAGTCAAAGTAGAAGTAGAAAGTTTATGTTAGAAATAGCTGGGAGTGAAGGATGGTGTGTGTGTGTGTGTGTGTGTGATCCAGGGTGAGTGGGAGGCTCAACTAAACCTCTTAAGTTCTGTTGCAATTCCAACTCCACCCTACCATGTTTCTTCTGTCTTTCTAAATCTTAGTATATTTCTGCCTAGTTGCAGATCAAATTATAGGAAGAAAGTTGAGGTCTAAACTATGTGTTAAACAAGGGTTTAAGCCATATGTTATTGCTAATTTCCTTTTTCCTGTGCCTATCAATATTTGTATTTTCACATGGCTTCACTCGACTACTTTAGTTAGCTGTGGATTTGTGAAATACCCAAAGAAATTGGCCAAGAGGAGAAATGTTCAAGTTGACACTGCAGCCACAGCTAAATTTAATATAATGGTTGGTTTGCTTTTGATGCCTTTATTATGAAAAAAGAAAAAAATATGTATACGTAATGGTTGAGAACTTTTCATAATGACATAGAATCCTTTTCTGAGGGGCTGCTAAGAGAATTATTTTTAAAATAGTAAAATGTTAATAACTTATGATGCTTTAGATACCCTGCTTTACACATTAAGAAGACCTTACTTTAGAAAAATGGAAAACCAGGACGCCCTGGTCTGCATATCTGAGAGCGTTCCAGAGCCGATCGTGGAATGGGTGCTTTGCGATTCACAGGGGGAAAGGTATGACACATCCATGGTAGCTGCTATTCTCATAATTTCCTTTTGGCCTTTTTCTAATGTAGTTGACATCAAGCTGTATGTAAAATTTAATTTATGCTCATTTAAACAGGAAACTTTGGCTTCTTAAAGTTAAAAAATGGCCAGTATAGGGCCGGGTGAAGTGGCTCACGCCTGTAATCCCAGCATTTCGGGAGGCCAAGGTGGACAGATCACTTGAGGTCAGGAGTTTGAGACCAGCCTGGCCAACATGGTGAAACCCCATCTCTACTAAAAATACAAAAAATTAACTGGGTGTGGTGGCAGGCACCTAAAATACCAGCTACTCTGGAGGCTGAGGCAGGAGAATCTCTTGAACCTGGGAGGCAAAGGTTGTGGTGAGCCAAGATCACGCCATTGCACTCCAGCCTGGGCAACAAGAGCGAAACTCCGTCTCAAAAAATAAATAAATAAAATTAAAAAAATAAAATAAATAAGTAATACAGAATGGCCAATGTGGGCTTCACAGGGAGGACAAGGATTTTTTTGGTAAGGGGCTTTTTGGAACCCCTCAAATCAACTGCAGGGCCCTTCCTGGGCATCATGCTACACAAGTAAAAGTCCCTCTACGTTCCAGGATTGTTGGCTCCCTGGGCATCTGGTTGGGGCAAAAAGAAAGATACTGATTTTAAAGTAGAATTATCTTATAAGTAAGAAATTCTAGGCTGGGCACAGTGGCTCACGTCTGTAATCCCAGCACTTTGGGAGGCCAAGACCGGCGGATCACGAGGTCAGGAGATCGAGATCATCCTGGCTAACATGGTGAAACCCCATCTCTACTAAAAATACAAAAAAAATTAGCCGGGCGTGGTGGCGGGCACCTGTAGTCCCAGCTACTCAGGAGGCTGAGGCAGGAGAATGGCGTGAACCTGGGAGGCAGAGCTTGCAGTAAGCCGAGATCGCGCCACTGCACTCCAGCCTGGGTGACAGAGCGAGACTCCATCTCAAAAAAAAAAAAAAAGGGAAATTATAGGCTGGGCACAGTGGCTCACACCTGTAATCCCAGCAATTTGGGAGGCCGAGGCAGGCAGATCACCTGAGGTTGGGGGTTCGAGACCAGCCTGACCAACATGGTCAAACCCCGTCTCTACTAAAAATACAAAAATTAGCCAGGTGTGGTGGTGGGCATCTGTAATCCCAGCTACTCAGGAGGCTGAGGAAGGAGAATTGCTTGAACCCGGGAGGCGGAGATTGCAGTGACCCGAGATCGCGCCATTGCACTCCAGCCTGGGTGACAGAGTGAGACTCCATCTAAAAAAAAAGAAAAGAAAGGAAGAAAGAAATTCCTTGTGACAAAATGTTTAATTTCTGATTATCCTGTTTGTTCTGGGAAAGCAGTCTAATATGATTGTTTAAAGATATAGAATCCAGAGCCAGATAGCCTGGGTTTGAACCCTGGTTTGCTTAGCAGCTGTGTGGCCTTGGACAAGTTACTTACTCTCTGTGCCTCATCAGAAGAATGCGGATGACAACAGATACTTATAGGATTGCTATTCTGATTAAATGAATTGATATATGTAAAGCACATAGAACAGTGCCTAGCCAATACTAAGTAAGGTATAAATGTTTACATAGTTTTTCATATATGCCAAAGTTAAGTTCTTACAAAGTAAAAATTCATGCAGTTTGAACTAATTAAAATTTACTAAACAACTTTTTTTTTTTTAAAATAGGACCAAATAGAAGGAGAAAAAGTACCAAATACTTTGTTCCAAAGTGGTACAAAAGTTCGCTTTCTGCTGAGGCAGGGAGAGGGGTTTTGCTCTGTTGAATACTTGGGAGTCTTGGCTGACTTCCCTTGTGGGTGACACCTTGGCCCTCCTCTGTTCCTATGGGAACTCGGGTGACTTTTGAAACTTTAGCTTCCCCCTCCCTTACTGCGTCCCAAAAGGATGCTTACCTTGCTAAACTTCATGAAAGCCCAATCATGCTTTTTCTCTTCTCTCTTTCTTCTCTTTTTTTCCTTTATCTTCTTTCTCATTTTTTTCCCTTTCTTTCCCTGTCTTTAAACAACAGCAACAAAGAGATCACCAAACATGAACAATTTTAAACTGTTTTGTTATGTAATTCTCCTTAGTGTTATGCTAATTCATTGCGATAATGAGTAACTAGCTAGCTCCCCTCTGAGCTCTTAGCTGAAACCATAGATATGGGCTTGTTTACCTTTTGACCTTTTGTTTACCATTTGACCCTTAAAACTGGCTCTAGAACTTTGTTCTCCTCTTGAGCATTCATTTGTAATTTTAAAACTTGTTTAGCCAAATGGTACTTCTTTTCTAATTGCAGCTGTAAAGAAGAAAGTCCAGCTGTTGTTAAAAAGGAGGAAAAAGTGCTTCATGAATTATTTGGGACGGACATAAGGTGCTGTGCCAGAAATGAACTGGGCAGGGAATGCACCAGGCTGTTCACAATAGGTAACACTATAATATCATGCACTTTCATTTTCAGTGACCGGTTCTTAGCAACTATCAGGGACTAACAGTAACTGCGTAGGTGATCATTCAACTTCAGAAATCCTATCATTCCTTCAGGTCACAGTAAATGCAATATTATGGATTCTGTAAATGCTGATTTCTTCATAAAAGAGGAGTCAGTCTCTAAAAGCTTCTTTTATTAATGTGGTTAGTAATATTTGAGATGATGCTAAAGTCTTTGTTCAGAATGTTCAGGATATCTTTTGTGATGAGGCAAAAATCACTTTTTTTTTCTCACTTGGGATGTTTTCATCTCCTAGATCTAAATCAAACTCCTCAGACCACATTGCCACAATTATTTCTTAAAGTAGGGGAACCCTTATGGATAAGGTGCAAAGCTGTTCATGTGAACCATGGATTCGGGCTCACCTGGGAATTAGAAAACAAAGCACTCGAGGAGGTAATAGGACAAGTTTGTATTCTGAAAATGCAGGAACAATTAACTAATAGTCTGGATTGAAAACATTAAATGCAAACTCTGTTTTATTAAAACCTAGGGCAACTACTTTGAGATGAGTACCTATTCAACAAACAGAACTATGATACGGATTCTGTTTGCTTTTGTATCATCAGTGGCAAGAAACGACACCGGATACTACACTTGTTCCTCTTCAAAGCATCCCAGTCAATCAGCTTTGGTTACCATCGTAGGTAATGCAGGCTGCTCACACAATCTTTATTCCTATTTTTAGTCGCTGTAGTGTGGAATGTGAAGTATGTGGTACAAATTCTGATTTCAATATAATGCTACTATCAAACACTAAGAAAGAAACTGAGTTAGAATAGCTTTGCAAAGATAATCTGCCCACCCTCTTCCTTTTCCCGTTAAACCAGGCTCGCTTGAATGCCACTGTCTTTGCATATAACACATTGTAATATGACCATCTGTTTGTGTACTTTTATCCTCCAGTAGACTGTAAGTTTCTTAAGGACAAGAACAACTCATTCTATCCTTGTAGTTCCAGAACCTGACACAGAGCCTGACACAAAATGGACAATAAATACTAGTTCTAAGAACCAACTAACCGCACTGTTAGGGCAGTGAGCACTGAGAGACAGTACAAGCCCTTAGATGCACTGAAATTTTGGTGGGGTATGTAGGATCTGAAAATAACCACAGTTCAATAATCTCAGATTAGGGCACAGCGTTCAGCCATAATGAAAATGCCGAGAAATACAGCGATGCTCTTAGCAGATTAATAAGGAAGTGTTCCATAAGGCAACCTCGTGAATATTGCTAGCCAGATCGCTCTTTTATTTGTGCCTTGAGTTTATTTTACTCTCTCTCATCAATGGAAGAGTGGTGCTGGCTGAGAGCAGGGGCCAGACAGTCAATTATCTACATCCCATTCTTTTTCTTTCCTTCTTTCTTTTTTTAAACATTTCTTAACTTCGAAAGATGATGAGCTCAGGCTTAGAACTAGGGATAGGACTCCTGGGTTTTCACTTGGATTATCCAACCTGACCTGCAGCATGCCAACACTTGAGTTTTCCTGTGTTAAACTGATGAATACAAGTTTATTTTATCTTCTCAATACGTTTCCCTATGAATATTATTAACTAACTCATAAATGCCTATTTTTTCTTACAGAAAAGGGATTTATAAATGCTACCAATTCAAGTGAAGATTATGAAATTGACCAATATGAAGAGTTTTGTTTTTCTGTCAGGTTTAAAGCCTACCCACAAATCAGATGTACGTGGACCTTCTCTCGAAAATCATTTCCTTGTGAGCAAAAGGGTCTTGATAACGGATACAGGTGAGACCACAAAGGACTCTAAGATACCATTTTTAGCATAATTCTCCTTGCTTGTCGCCCTTGAGAAGGACAGTTTTATACTTATGGAAGCAAATTCACTTATGAGTTTAACTATTATTGAGTTGAAATTGGAGATAAGAAAACAATAAGCAGATGTGAGGATACAGTAGCAGTCTTACCATTACTTTAGATAATATAACCTGCTGCATGAAAACAGAAAGAACCGTATTAGTCTGGTCTAGTTTGAGTCTGGTTCTCTGGCATTTTCTGAGTCACAAGGTAGTTTTTACTTCCTGTTTGAGAGTGCGGTGTGTAGGACACTGAGTCTCCCCTAAAACATTTGCAGATGATTGAGGAAGTAAAACTCCTTAAAAACAGAAAAACATTACTCATAGGTGTATTGATTTAAATTTTCAAAAAATACATGCAGAAATAGCCCAATAGTAAGTGCTGAAGGAAAATGTTGTTTTCCTCGGGATTTGTATGAGAAACTATGCAAGATTCTTTTTTTTAAGAACAACAAATTTTCTTTTCTTTTTCTTTTTCTTTTTTTTTTTTTTTTTGAGATGAGGTCTCACTCTGTCACCTAGGCTATAGTGCAGTGGTGCAATATTGGCTCACTGCAACCTCCACCTCCCAGGCTCAAGTGATCCTCCCACCTCAGCCTCCCAAGTAGCTGGTACCACAGGTGCACACCACCACACCTGACTAATTTTTTGTATTTTTGGTAGAGACAGGGTTTTGCCATGTTGCGCAGGCTGGTCTCGGACTCTTGAGCTCAGGAGATTCACCCTACCTGGGCCTCCCAAAGTGCTGGGATTACAGGCGTGAGCCACTGCACCCAGCCGAAAGATTCTCTTGTGGGAGGAATTCTCCATTCCTTCTTTGGAAAACAAAAAACAACTTTCCCCTATATCTTCTATAGTTATGACATCTCTTGTCTCTTTAAACTAATGCTATGGAACATGGTTTTGGACTAGGCTATGAGACACTGAGACGCACATGTTATCTTTCAAACAAGTCAATGGACTAGAATAAATCATCCTTTCTCAGCATGTGGTCTGTTGAACAACTGTGTAAGAATCATCTGAGCAAATGTTTAAAATGTGGATTCCTGGCTCCCATTCCAGACATGCTGACTCAAAACTGGGGCAAAACGCTCAGACTCTGCTTTTTTAATGAGAACCTTTGGTGATTCCTATCACAGGTCTAGATCTGTGCTGTCCGGTACGGTAGCCACCAGCCACATGTGGCTATTGAGAGCTTGAAGTGTGTCTGGTCCAAATTGAGATGTACTCTAATTGTAAAATACACACTAGATTTTGAAGACTTAGTATGAAAAAAAGAATGTAAAATATATTATTAATAATTTTTATATTGGCCGGGCTCGGTGGGTCACACCTGTCATCCCAGCACTTTATGAAGCCAAGGCGGGTGGATCGCTTGATCCTAGGAGTTTGAGACCAGCCTGGATAACATGGCAAAATCCCATCTCTACAGAAAATACAAAAATGAGTTGAGTGTGGTGGTGTACACCTTTAGTCCCAGCTACTTGGGAGGCTGAGGTTGGAGGATTGATTGAGCCCAGGTGGTCGAGGCTGCAGTAGCCATGATCACGTCACCGCACTCCAGCCTGGATGCAGAGCAAGAACCTGCCTCAAAAAGAAAAAATAATAATAAAATTAAAACAATTTTTACATTGATTATATATTAAAATGATAGTATTTTGGATATATCGCATTCAGCGAAATATGTTATTAAACTTAATTTCACCTGCTTCCTTTTACTTTATACAGCCAACAGAATTTGTAAATGATGTACAAGGCTTGAAGTTGTGACTCACATTCTGTTTCATTGGCTAGCCCTGTTCTAGATGAAGAGTAGGAGTTCTTTTCACCTTGATTCCGCTAAGTGTTTGTTTCATGATTATTGTTACTCTTTATACCTAAAAGGGATTTGTACTAAAAGTCCCTTGTTGGGACTTTTAGAATCTCAGTGCAGGGTTTGCATGGAGTTGTCTACTGTCTCTTACTGAAACCCCCCAATGTTCAGAGCATTCATTTTTAAAGTAATTAAGAATGCAGACTGGTCTGGGAGCTGACTGAAACACACTCCCCCAAACTCAGGGTTTGTCAACAGTGGCGCTGCTGGCATGTTGAGCTGGATAATTCTTTGTTGTGAAGGACTGTCCTGTGCACTGTAGGATACTTTTCAGCATCCCGGGTCTCCTCCCACTGGATGCCAGGAGCACATTCCCTTTTCCCAGTGTGACCAAAAATATCTCCAGACACTGCCAAATTGAGAAAAATAACCCCTGGCATTTTTTTTTTTTTTTTTTTTGAGAACCATTGCCTTAGAGGCATCAACCCACAGTCATCGTAAGCTGTTATTCAGAAATATCAAGCTTTTTTTTTTTTTTTGAGACAGAGTCTTATTCTGTTGCCCAGACTGAAGTGCAGTGGCACGATCTTGGCTCACTGCAAGCTCCTGGGTTCAAGCAATTCTCCTGCCTCAGCCTCCTAAGTAGCTGGGATTATAGGTGCATGCCACCATGCCCAGCTAATTTTTTGTATTTTTAATAGAGACGGGGTTTCTTCATGTTGGCCAGGCTGTTCTCGAACTCCTGACCTCAAGTGATCCAACCGCCTCAGCCTCCCAAAGTGCTGGGATTACAGGCGTGAGCCACCGCGCCTGGCCCATCAAGCTTTTAAATGTAGAAGGTTGGAGAGTCAGCCCCTCTTTACCCTAGTTGACTTGATTACCACTTGGCCTGTGTTCAGAAGGAAATCAGCATATCACTGTCCCCTCTCTCCTTTGTATCCTATCCCCATGTTAGATAAGCTCTTAGCATTATGGGAATCTCTTCTGAACCTGATTCAAAGAGAGAAGGGGTCGATTCAATTTAGTTCAACAAATATTACTTTAATATCCTCTTGATGGGTGTGATGCTGTGATGGGCTGCAAGAGTGAATAAGGTAATGTTGCTTTCCCTCTCCCGCAAGAATGTACACAGATTGCTACTGTGCTGGTGATATCTGGTATAACCTTTTGAGATTTTACAGAATCGCCAGTTGGGGACCATGTCACTGACATATGGGTCATGGGCCAATGTAGTGGGCTGCTTCATGTAGTTTCATTCCATGGCTACAATCCATACCCATGACCCCAGATTGTTATCCTATAGAGGTAGCCAAATGAATGAATTAGGTGAGCTCCTGACTCCTATAGCGTTTTGTACCTCACTCATTCCTACTTATCTGGCAACAGATAAGTATGTATGTCACATCTCACCAGGGAGTTTATAAACTCTAAGAATAGGTATGCTGCCATATTTCTCTATCTTTGTACAATGCCTTGTTCAGTAAGTGTGTTTAATAAATGAATGAATTCATCATCATATCTGGAATGCAACTCACAGTGCAGTCTGGGCCAAAGATGAGTCGACAGCATCCTCTTCACTGCAAGGACCATGCACATGGTTCTTAGCACAACACCCAGTACTCAGTGTTTATTGTTATTTGAAAGTTCTTGAAGAGCTACAGTGTTTGTGCTAATGATGTGCATTGTTGGTACTGATAATGTACCAGGTGTTATGGGCCACTGACGACACACAGCAAAGGAAAGATGGGCCCTCCTTCTTCATGAGAAAACATGCTCAAAGTACTGAACAAGAAACGAACAACACAAAATTTGAACACGCCTCTGAGTGCTCTAAATGTCTTTTTCTCTCCACATGAGGCTCTATGTTGAGATGGGGATGGAGGACTAGATTATAGTCAGGGGTAATTTCCACTTTTCTTTGTTTTTGCCTTTTTTTTTTTTTTTGAGACAGAGTCTCACTCTGTCGCCCAGGCTGGAGTGCAGTGGCATGATCTTGGCTCACTGCAACCTCCGTCTCCTGGGTTCAAGTGATTCTCCTGCCTCAGCCTCCCTAGTAGCTGAGATTACAGGCATGTGCCACCCTGCCCAGCTATTTTTTTGTATTTTTAGTAGAGACGGGGTTTTGCCATGTTGGCCAGGCTGGTCTCGAACTCCTGACCTCAAATGATACGCCCACCTCGGCCTGCCAAAGTGCTGGGATTACAGGTATGAACCACCGCGCCTGGCCCTTCTTTTTGCTTTTTTTTTTGAGACGGAGTCTCGCTCTGTCACCCAGGCTAGAGTGCAGTGGCGCAATCTTGGCTTACTGCAACCTCCTCCTCCTGGCGGAGGTGATTAAGTGATTCTCCTCTCGGTGGAGGTGAGTAAGTGATTCTCCTGCCTCAGCCTCTCGAGTAGCTGGGATTACAGGCATGCACCACCACACTCGGCTAATTTTTGTATTTTTAGTAGAGACGGGGTTTCACCATGTTGGCCAGGCTGGTCTCAAACTCCTGACCTCGTGATCTGCCCGCCTTGCCCTCCCAAAGTGCTGGGATTACAGCCGTGAACCACCTTTCCTGGCTTCTTTTTGCTTTTTAGAGTCAGGGTCTTGCTATATTGCCCAGGTTGGATTCTAACTCCTGGGCTCAAGTGATCCTCCCGCCTCAGCCTCCTGAGTAGCTGCAACTTGGCGTGTGCCACTGCACCCGTCTTTCCTTTTGACTTTTTATTATAGAAAGTTTCAAATTTACTAATAAGTTGAAATAATAGTGCATGAGCATTCTTTACCTACCACCTAGATTCAACAATTTAATTGAACCGAATTTGGTTTGTGAAGTACAGTATTTTAGTCATGTATCAAGATTTTATAGGCAAAGTGATACAATTTTTTAAAAATCTGTTACTGAAAGGCCCCTGTAATAACACTACCCCTGAAAAAACTTTGGTGTGGTCATGGTATGTGCACCAGAAATCTCTCGGCTTCCCCACTTTCATGGCTTCATTTCTCCAATTTACTTCCTCAAATATTACGCCAAAGTTTACTAGGGCTTGCCTTTATGTTTTATTAAATTATAACTTTCTAGCCGTCCTGGTGTCCTGGTCCTGATAAAGGTTTCCAGGATATTTCACCCATTAGTTTGTATAATTTCCTATCTCTACAGACTTAATTACAAATTCCAAATCTACCTTAGCTTTTTCCACTTTTATGGGAAAAAAAAAAAGGAATAGGACTGTTGTAATTACTTAGTAACCTCTTCTGAAACCTTCTCCTTAGCCTTGCCTAAGCCTGATGTTTTCCTTTTTCCTGAAATATTTAATTTTCCAACTCTGTGAATCTAAGTTTTGCCCACAGTAGGCACTAACCGAGTGCTTACGGGGTAAACAGCTGTGTGGTGGTCGTTTGGGTTCTGGGTGGTGAGCCAGGGTCCTGCTCAGAAGAACCACAAACTGAAAAGCAGGCTGTCACATACAATGAGTGACACACAATTGCAGAAGATTATGGAGCCTGGGAGAGGAGTTGTTTTTTTTTTTTTTCCTATTTTCTGAAGGAGTTGAGCCTTGAGCACAGACAGAAAGGAGGGAAAATGAGGGAAAAGTTTGAGTCTAGAGAAATACCAGCAGCTCCTACCTAAATGCCGTTCCCATTCACTTCTGCAGTTTGAGACAACATTCCTGGCTGCAGGTCTTCCCAAGACCCCACTCAGTTGTAAGTTATTAACCACATCTTAAGAAGCCATTCTGTGAGAATAAAAGATCCTTCTTTGAGCTCTTACCATGTGCAAAATCCTATAGGTGTATTACCTCATTTAACTCTCATAATCCCATTTTATGAAATGTGGAAATTGAGGCTAAATTACTTGCCCAATCACAGAAGGCAAAGCCAACACCCTTTATTCCTTCTTTTTCTGAAATTGCCTTAAAAAAACACATAATTCCACCTCCAGAGATAACATTGCAGACTTTTTCTATGTAAGCACCATGATAGAAACATACAATATGGATCTTTGTATAAACATGAAATAAGGTACCATTTGTAATCTGATTTTTCACTTAAAATATATCATGAGTATCTTTCTATATTAATAAGTATGTTGTTATATCTACCTTATTGCTGTAATGGCTGCATAGTATTCCACTTTTCAGAAATTTTTATTTTAACTAACTCCTGTTGATGGGCATCAACTTTACTTTTTTTTCTTTCTCTTTCTTTGACATTTTTATTTATTATTATTATTATTATTATTATTATTATTATTATTATTATTTCGGATGGAGGCTTGCCCTCTCACCCATGCTGGAGTGCAATGGTGCGATCTCGGCTCACTGCATCCTCCACCTCAAGCGATTCTCCTGCCTCAGCCTCCCGAATAGCTGGGATTACAGGCGTGTGCCACCGTGCCCAGCTAATTTTTTGTATCTTTAGTAGAGATGGAGTTTCACCATGTTGGCCAGGCTGATCTCGAACTCCTTACCTCAAGTGATCCTCCTCCTTTGGCCTCCCAAAGTGTTGGGATTGCAGGCGTGAGCCATCGTTCCCAGCCAAGAAACCCCTTTTCTTAGTTTTAATGAGAACGCATCTTCTTAGACACCGAGGTATTGTTTTACTGTAAACTCAAATGTCCTGACCTCCGTCTCCTGCCGGCTGGCCATTTGTAGAAAACCCCTAGGCGAAAGAGGAAGCTTTGCATCTCCCAATCAGCCTAATTAGTTAGTCCCCTTGGAATTCCCATGGGGTCAGGACACGGTTGTCATTGCAGTTGTCATTGTTTCCAGGGTTAACTGTCATAAGCATGAGGAAAGGCAGTTTAAAGCCATTGGATATTCAGTTTTGTGTTCCTGCTATTTATGTGACCAATTTCATACTTGGAGTTTGTTCAGAAGAGTGAAAAATGTTTCAAGTGCTATCTCTTCTAAACCATGGCAAACCACACTCTATTAAGACAGCACAAAAGACTGAGGAAGAAAAATGTTTACGAAACATTTTGCTTTGGTCTGCCTCATGATAAGTAATTGTACTGGTCATTTCTTTTTCCACTGAATTGACTGGTGTCTCTGACATGCTCTCTGGTGAGCCACACTGGCTTCATTACCTCCTCTCTTCTCCTTTTTCAGGGTCTTTGGCCATTGTCCAGAGAGAATTACACTTTCTCTCTTAGAAGCTCACGTCTTTCTTCTCTTGGGCCACTTCCACGCCAGCCTCTTCCACACTGCCTTCCTGAGGTCGGGCACTGGCATGGAGCTCTGTTTCCTCTTCTCCTCCCTAGGGTTGTAATCTGGCTTTCCCCCAATCTTTCTATTGTTTCCACTTCACCAGTGATTTCCTCCTTGTTGTCCAGAAATAGGTCAGGATAAGAAATTCCCCTTTTTGACTTCTTCAGCCTTCTTGTTAACAAAGCAAAAGAAGGTTAAACACCTTATTCAATGCTCAGCATTTTTTTTTTTTTTTTTGAGTCCGGGTCTTGCTCTGCTGCCTAGGCTGGAGTATAGTGGCTCCAGCAATTCCCCTACCTCGGCCTCCCAAGTAGCTGGGACCACAGGTGTGTGCCATCGCACCCAGCTAATTAAAAAAAAAAATTCTGTAGAGACAAGGTCTTGCCATGTTGCCCAGGCCGATCTCAAACTCCTGGGCTCAAGTATTGCACCCTCCTCGGCCTCTCAGAGTGCTGGGATTACAGATGTGAACCCCTGCACGCACCCAAAGGTCAACTTTTAACTGCCTGAAACTTTTGATAGGTCAGAGAGATGAATTCTCTTGTTCACAATACACAGTCAGAATTACCTTGGCTTACGAGTTCAGGGCACAGAACATTGGTGTCACACAAACGTGGGCTCAAAAGCTGCAATTACGCAGTGGCGTTTTGTGGATTTTTTTTGTAGAGATGGGATCTCAGTAGATTGCCAAGGCTGGTCTCAAACTTCTGGCCTCAAGCAGTCCACCCATCTCAGCCTCCCAAAGTGTTGGGATTACAGGTGTGTTTTGAGTCTTGGGGACCAACTGGGATTCTCTTCTCCCCTTTATCTTCTGTATCCAATCTAGCCCCTGCCATTTCTTTTTTTCTGGTGCCTCTAGGGTTTGCTCTTTTCTCTCCTTTCCCATTCTCCTCCATTAAACAACGCTCCCCTTGTCATGCTCCGAAACCTCAAATCTGAACTTTTACTTCTCCTATCACAGAAACTTCCCACACTCCAACTGCTTATTACCCCTCTACCTTCACCACCAAATTGTAAATTCTGTGAGAACAGAAACCCAATTTTTTGAATTTGCTGTTGTGTCCTCAATTTCCGTCACAAACAGGTTCTAACATTGACAGTTGAATGAAGGAATGAATGAACGAGTTCTTGGATTGCTACAACTGCCTTTAAACTTCCAGTAAACTTTTGCTGCCATCAGCAGGTGCATATAAAACACTCTTCATAGGCCAAGCCACCCTGACTCATACCTGTTATCCCAGCACTTTGGGAGGCCGAGGTGGGGAGGATGGCTTGAGGGCAGGAGTTTGAGACCAGCCTGGGCAACATAGTGAGACCCCATCTGTACAGAAAAATTACATAAAATAAAATTAAGGCTAGGTGCAGTGGCTCATGCCTGTAATCCCAGCACTTTTGGAGGCCAAGGAGAGAGGATCACATGAGGTCAGGAATTCAAGACGAGTCTGGCCAACATGGTGAACCCTGTCTCTATGAAAAATATAAAAATTAGCTGGCTGTGGTGGCGTGTGCCTGTAATCCCAGCTACTTGGGAGGCTGAGGCAGGAGAATTGCTTGAACCCAGGAGGCAGAGGTTGCAGTGAGCCAAGATCACGCCACTGAACTCCAGCCTGGGCGACAGAGTGAGACTCCATCTCAAAAAAAAAAAAAAAAAAGTTTTATTGCAATGCTCAGGGCAGTAAGCATTGTTGTAGAAAATAAGTAATTTGTATTTTTAAAATGCGTAATTCATCCCGGCACTTTGGGAGGCTGAGGTGGGTGGATCACTAGGTCAAGAGATCAAGATCATCCTGGCCAACATGGTGAAACCCCATCTCTACTAAAAATACAAAAAATTAGCCGGGCGTGGTGGCGGGCACCTGTAATCTCAGCTACTCAGGAGGCTGAGGCAGGAGAATCGCTTGAACCTGGGAGGCAGAGGTTGCAATAAGCCGAGATAGTGCCACTGCACTCCAACCTGGGTGACAGAGTGAGACTCCATATCAATAAATAAATAAAGTAAGTAAATACAATACTGTTCATGATATTCTGCTCCCATGAGAGGCTTGCCGTTCCTCCTCACTGCAGCCCTATGACTTCCCGTCTGGCGCCTTCAGTCGCTGCTTTGTCTCCTCCTTGGATGCCTTTTCTTTTGTCCTCTCATCAAAACCAACTCATCCGTGAGGCTCCAGCTCGAGCTCTACCTCCTCTATGAAGGCCCCGAACCTTTCCCACCGACACAGACCTCTGCCTTCTTTGATCATCTGCTGGACTTCAGTTTAATGCTTTAATGATTCCACTTGTATGGGTCCTGTCTATCCACCCGGTTTAGGTATCTTTGAAGATAGGAGCTACCTACTTTTTAGGTCTTTTGCATCCTCCACACTCCTCATCTAAAGCTGCGTCCACTCTGACTCACCTTCCTAACCTGCCAGGCAGGGTCTTTTTGTTTTTTAAACTTTAAGTAGGCTAGGCTGGGCGCAGTGGCTCATGCATGTAATCCCAGCGCTTTGGGAGTCTGAGGCAGGCAGATCACAAGGTCAGGAGATCGAGACCATCCTGGCTAACACGGTGAACCCCTGTCTCTACTAAAAAATATAAAAAATTAGCCGGGCGTGGTGGCAGGAGCCTGTAGTCCCAGCTACTCCGGAGGCTGAGGCAGGAGAGTGGTGGGAACCCGGGAGGCAGAGCTTGCAGTGAGCCGAGATAGCGCCACTGCACTCCAGCCTGGGAGACAGAGCGAGACTCTGTCTCAAGAAAAAAAAAAAAAAACTTTCAGTAGGCTATGTGGAGGTCGAGTTAGATATCTTCGGTACAAGCCTTAGATTTCTTTTTCTGTTTTAAGGGAATTTTTTTCTTTTTCTCCAATTTTGTTACTGTGAGTGCACGAAGGCATATTCAACAACTCATTGCTGCCCTGCCTCTCCTGCACCATCCAACATCTCACTGCAGTATCCAGCAACCCACAGGCCTGCTGGGCGTGGTGGACAGTCCCCAAGATCAGGTTATCTGTGTCAAAATATTGAGTGGTTGATGAGTGCTCCAAGTAGGCACTAGAGCCTGCTGAGAGCACTCAGAGGTTTCTGCACAAGCTCAGTGGATTTGAGCCCTCATCGTTGTTCATTGCTATGTAAGTCAAGGGTTGGTCATAGGTCCTGCCTTGGACTGTCATTTCAGGAAGCAGGGCAGCTACAGCAGCAGTCCCCAACGTTTTTGGCACCAAGGATCCATTTTGTGGAAGACAATTTTTCCATAGATTGGGGGTAGGGGGATGGTTTCGGGATGAAACTGTTCTATCTCAGATCATCGGGGATTAGATTCTCTTAAGGAACGCACAACCTAGATCCCTGGCGTGTGCAATTCACAGTGGGGTTTCCGCTCCTGTGGGAATCTAATCCCTCTGCTGATCTGACAGGAAGCGGTAAAGCTCTCTTGCCTGCTGCTCACTTCCTGCTGTGTGGCCCCTTTCCTAATAGGCCATGGACAGTTACCAGTCTAGAGGCTGGGGGGCTGGGGACCTCTGAACTACAGGCTTCTCCACCTGCACAAGTTCTGAGAAGTTAGACTATCCAGAGCAAGAGGGGCAGGAACTTCCTGGTCTCACTGAGAATCTTCGGCCAATCCCAACTCCCAATGGGCATATGACTCACATGGTGATCATCTTAAAATGCAGATTCTGAGTCAGTGATTTGGAAGGGACCTGAAATCTTGCAATTGTAACAAGCTCCCAGATGATACCAATGGCGATGTTGATGCTGCCTGTCTGTGGACCACACTTTGAGTAGCAAGGGTCTACAATATGGACATTTCCTTTTCCAGTGAACTTTAGCAAGTGAGGAGCATTTCAAGGAAGACACCTCCCATGCACACTGTCATTAGTTGCAGCATCTCCTGTAGCAATTGGGCTAAATCTGTCTTTAATTCTTTTTCAAACAGCATATCCAAGTTTTGCAATCATAAGCACCAGCCAGGAGAATATATATTCCATGCAGAAAATGATGATGCCCAATTTACCAAAATGTTCACGCTGAATATAAGAAGTAAGTTAAATTGCCGAGAATTTGATTTTTATTTTTTAATTCCTTAATTTTTTATTAGTCTTAACTAGGAAAAGTTAAGTAATGGCTTAGAAGGGCTACTACAAAACTGTTTTTGTACGCTGAAGTGTTTTGAAACTTTACTCTCATATCTACTGGCATTGATCATATATCTTTTTATTTTTTATGTTATTTTGTTCTGTTTCATTTTTAAGACCAGGTCTCACTCTACCACGCAGGCTGGGGTGCCATGGCACAATCATAGATCCCTGTAGCTTCAAACTCCTGGGCTCAAGTGATCCTCCTAAGCCTCCCGAGTAGCTGGGACTACAGGCACGCGCCACCATGCTCAGCTAATTTTAAAACCATTTTTGTAGAGAGGGGGCCTCCCTTTGTTGCCCAGGTTGGTCTCAAACTCCTGGCCTTAAGGGATCCTCATACCTTGGCCTCCCAAAGTGCTAGGATTACAGGCGAGAGCCACTGCACCTGGCCATATATCTCTTTCTGTGTGTATCATCAGAAGCTGAAAGACTTATTTCACATTGTCTCTGAATATGAATTAGTGTTATGACTTTATTGATTTTAGTATTTTGAAAGGTCATGTTAAGGAAAGGCTGAAAGTCATTTTATCTCTCATTTATTTGTTTTTAATAATTTTCATTTCTTTGGCTTATAAAACAATGAGAAGTCCAACTTCTCCTGAAGCTAAGAATCATTTTAAGGCATGCAAACAGGTGGAGGTCTGTACCTCAGCTCTCTCCAGGGAGAGGCTGGCAATGGAAAAATGGTGTGTAGCAGAGAGGTTGCATGGCAAGGAGGTTGCATGGCAAGGAGGAAAGAAGAAATTACCAGAGGTCTGGAGGCATCCTAAATGAGAAATCCTCCCAGAAGCACAAACTGCCCTGGAGTAAATGGGTAGCCTGTACTGTAGGCAACTTTGAAACTATTTCCAGAAAGTACCATACTCCAAGAGCTTATTTTATTTTATTATTTTCAGAGACAGGGTCTTGCTGTGTTGCCCAGGCTGGTCTTGAACTCCTTGGCCCAAGTGATCCTCCCACCTTGGCTTCACAAAGTATTGGTATTATAGGAGTGAACCACTATGCCCAGCCAGTGAGCTTATTTCACACGTTCTTTTCTATAGGGAAACCTCAAGTGCTCGCAGAAGCATCGGCAAGTCAGGCGTCCTGTTTCTCGGATGGATACCCATTACCATCTTGGACCTGGAAGAAGTGTTCAGACAAGTCTCCCAAGTAATAAGGACATTGATGCCTCTTATAATGGAAGAACATAAAACTCTCTGACCTATTGACTCTTTCATGAATACAGTTTAAGAGGAAATGATGAAATATTTAAAATGCTAACCTTCTCAATCAACCATAACTCTCAATAGTCATAGACTGTTTCTGATAACTTATACTG
Organism: Homo sapiens; assembly: GCF_000001405.40. Taxonomy (NCBI): domain Eukaryota; kingdom Metazoa; phylum Chordata; class Mammalia; order Primates; family Hominidae; genus Homo; species Homo sapiens. Next base: position 28,035,765 of record NC_000013.11, on the reverse strand, counting down.
GATGAATCTCTTTTAGAACTCGCTGCAGAAATCCTAACTTCCAATCTGATGACAGCTCACCTGTCTAAATTCTTTGCTATTTTTTTTTTCAGCTGCACAGAAGAGATCACAGAAGGAGTCTGGAATAGAAAGGCTAACAGAAAAGTGTTTGGACAGTGGGTGTCGAGCAGTACTCTAAACATGAGTGAAGCCATAAAAGGGTTCCTGGTCAAGTGCTGTGCATACAATTCCCTTGGCACATCTTGTGAGACGATCCTTTTAAACTCTCCAGGTACAACAGTTGTTCTTGTGATATTCCACCATCAGGAATTCCCCACTAGAAGTTAGTCCCCATCGCTGACTTTTACTTGGGGAATTTTACAGGAGAGTATAGGGTCAGTGTGTGAGAAAAGGTTTCTTGAGTCAGGCAAGAATCCCCAGAGAGACTGTTTCACAGGTTGGGGCGGAGTCCTCCCTGTGCCCTTGTGACTCATGTGTCACAGTGACCGGGAGAAGCAGAAACTCCCAGTGTGGTGAATCTCCATGGAAAGATCTAACTCTAGAGAAACAGATTTTGTCACTTGGAGTCTCTGTCATTTTCCCTTTTGATTAGCCTCCTTATTTGCCCTCAGCTTGCTGTTTTATAATTTTTGGTTTGCTTTTTAGAGCCCTCCTAAGTTAAACAGTTGTGAAACCTGGCTGCCCACCCTAGTAGTTAGGATCACCAACCTCACAAAACTGACTTCTCCACTTTCATGTGCGACCTTCATAAAAGGGATATGAACTTCTTTTTTCTCTGACTTGTACATCCTGTAGGTTTAAATCCATGCATTTTTTTTTTTGAGATGGAGACTCGCTCTGTCACCCAGGCTGCAGTGCAGTGGCGTGATCTTGGCTCACCTCTGCCAGGGTTCAAGCGATTCTCCTGCCTCAGCCTCCCGAGCAGCTGGGATTACAGGCACCTGCCACCACGCCCAGCTAATTTTTGAATTTTTTTAGAGACGGGATTTCACTGTGTTGCCTGGGCTGGTGTCTAATTCTTGGACTCAAGTGATCCTCCCATCTTGGCCTCCCAAAGTGCTGGGACTACAGGCGTGAGCCATCGTGCCTGGACCAGATGTAATTCTTGTAAATTTACCCTAGTAAATGGTTTTAAAGAATGGATTGAGAATAATCCGCAATTTTCTAGGGAGGAAATGTATCCTTTACAGGGACATTGCCTGATTGTCTGTGGGGAGTAGAGTATATGTAGAGTGGTTGTTAGGACTGAAAATGATTATTACTGAAACAGGATGTGAGAGATTATAATGAGTTGTCCACTATTTATAATGTCACACAGGAATTCTGTTTCATCGCTGAGTGACACTCTTTTGTTGCAGGCCCCTTCCCTTTCATCCAAGACAACATCTCATTCTATGCAACAATTGGTGTTTGTCTCCTCTTCATTGTCGTTTTAACCCTGCTAATTTGTCACAAGTACAAAAAGGTAAAAGCAAAGGTAAAAATTCATTATTCTTTCCTCTATCTGCAGAACTGCCTATTCCTAACTGACTCATCATTTCATCTCTGAAGCAATTTAGGTATGAAAGCCAGCTACAGATGGTACAGGTGACCGGCTCCTCAGATAATGAGTACTTCTACGTTGATTTCAGAGAATATGAATATGATCTCAAATGGGAGTTTCCAAGAGAAAATTTAGAGTTTGGTAAGAATGGAATGTGCCAAATGTTTCTGCAGCATTTCTTTTCCATTGGAAAATCTTTAAAATGCACGTACTCACCATTTGTCTTTGCAGGGAAGGTACTAGGATCAGGTGCTTTTGGAAAAGTGATGAACGCAACAGCTTATGGAATTAGCAAAACAGGAGTCTCAATCCAGGTTGCCGTCAAAATGCTGAAAGGTACAGTATAGTGGAAGGACAGCAACAAAGATGCACAAAAATGGGAGGCACAGTTTCCCACCCATGCCTTCTTCTCTTTTCCATCCTTTTAATGGTTACTGTTTGCCATGTTTCAAGGCTAAAAATGGAGTGGATTGGGGTGTCAACCCAGTCATGAATACAAAATTCAAGTCATAAATACAAAACTCCACCTCTTCTTCCACTTCTCTCTTTGTTTATTTTTATTTTCTTTTATTTTTTTGAGACAGGGTCTCACTCTGTCACCTAGGCTGGAGTACAGTAGTGTGATCATGGCTCACTGCAGCCTCCACCCCCTGGGCTCAGGCTCCTCAGCAGCTGGGGCTACAGGCGTGCACCACCACGCTCAGCTAAGTTTTTTATTTTTGGTAGAGACGGGGTTTCACCATGTTGCCTAGGCTGATCTGGGACTCCTGAGCTCAAACTATCTGCCCGCCTCGGCCTCCCAAAGTGTTGGGATTACAGGCGTGAGCCACTGTGCCAGGCCTATTTAGTTTTTATAGGCTTTGATATTTGGGGATACAGTTGCCACAGGCAGAAGTTCTTTCTTACATTTGTGTTGTTTTATTTTTAGAGACAGGATCTTGCTCTGTTACCCAGGCTAGAGTGCTGTGATCATAGCTCACTGCAGCCTCGACCTCCTTGGCTCTAGCAATGCTCTCACCTCAGCCTCACAGGAGTGTGCCAAGACAATTGGCTAATTTTTTTTTTTTTTTGTAGATACGGTGTCTCACCATATTGCCCAGGATGGTTGCAAACTCCTGGCTCAAGTGAGGCTGCCTTGGCCTCCTAAAGTGCTGGGATTACAGGTGTGGGTTGAAACAGACTCTGGGTAGGAGAGAAAACTGGGGCCCTTTGTATCCTCACTTCGTTGCTCCATCCATTCCGATCTGGCGTCCAGCCCCATTGCTGGCCTCACCGTTACCACCGCTGACCCAGCAAAAGCATCTCCAGCTGGCTCTCTTGCTAAGGTCAACAGTGACTTCAAACCAAACCAAGCCTAATGGATATTTTTCAGTCCTCATTACTTGATTGTTCAGCATGAATTGATGCTGTTGATTCTTCTCTCCATCCAGAAGCTTTCTTTCTTTGGGTTTTGTGTCACCATATTCTGGTTTTCCTCCCACCCCTCTGCCCTTCTCAGTCCTTTGTGGGCTCATCTTCTTCCATCCAGCTTTTGTTGTTGTGGCTGATTTTGAAACTCAGTCCTTTGTGGGCTCATCTTCTTCCATCCAGCTTTTGTTGTTGTGGCTGATTTTGAAACACAGCCTTGCTCTGTTGCCCAGGCTGGAGTGCAGTGGTGTGATCTCAGCTCACTGCAACCTCCACTTCCCAGGCTCAAGCCATCCTCCCACTTCAGGCCCCTGAGTAGGGGGGACTACAGGCATGCGCCACCATGCCTGGCTAATTTTTGTATTTTTGGTAGAGATGGGGCTTCGCCATGTTGCCCAGGCTCCATCCAGCTTTTTATGGGGCATCCCTGTGGGCTTGCTCCTGGACCGCCTTGCGTTTTCGCTCCACACACTCAACACAGTCCATCCCCACTACACCCGTGATGTCCTCCCATACACCAAGGGCCCTCATGCTTGCGTCTCCTTTCGGAGCTTCAGGTTCATATGTTAAATGTTTGGATGTCTCAAAGGTCCCTTTAACACAGTGTATGCAAGGTGAATTCCCCTAACCCTGGCCCTGCACCAGCAGTCCTCTCTGTGACTGGTAATGAATGCCAGTGAATAAATAACCACATTCTATATAGTTGGGCACACTAGAAACCCGTGACTTTTCCTTGACACCTTCCTCTTTCTAACACCCTGTGAGCTAATCCTATCAGGTTTCCGATTAGTGTCTCTTGATTCCATCCTCGTCCCTCCATCTCTATGACCACCACTCTAGTTCAAGGCTCTCTCCTGGACAAAAGCTTCCAAAGCAGGTTCCTGTATCCACTCTTGCCTCCCTTTGGCTTCTCCATACTGAGGTCCAAGTGACAGTGGCGAAAGGCTAAGCAGATCAAATGGCTTTCCTACTTCACATTTCCTCCACCACCCGCATGGCTGGGCCACCGCTGCCTCCCCACCTCTTGCTCTCGGCACCCCAGAGCGCTGGCCTTCTTTCAGTTCCCCCAGCACTGTCCTCCCACCCACTGTGGGGCCTTTGCACAAGTGGATCCTTCTGCTTCCCCTTCCCCTTTCATGTAAGTATCTCCCACTGCCCCCTCAGATCTCAGCTTAAACACCACTTCCTCTGTCTCACACCACAGACAATATTGAGGCCCTTGCAATGTGCGACATTAGCTCTCTGCAGGCTTTCCCCCGTAGAATCCATCACCTTTGTCATGACATTTTTTAACATCCAATTGTTGTCCCATCTGTCCAGTAGCCCCTGTGCCTCATGAGGGCAGGGTCTGTGTCTGTGGTGCTGTGCTCTCTCCTTTCTCGACCTTTGCCCACTCTTTCACAACCCTCAGCACTGTTCTCCTCCCCTTCCACCATGAGTCACCTGGCCAGCTCCCATTTTTCTTCAGGACTCAGTTTAGACATTGAATGCTCCTTTCTCCACCCCTCCAAGGCTAAGGTAGCTATCCCTTTTGACCCTACAGTACCCCTGCACTCCTTTGCCACGTTGCATTTTTTCTTCTTTTTTTGAGACGGAGTCTCACTCTGTCGCCCAGGCTGGAGTGCAGTGGCACCATCTCAGCTCACTGTAAGCTCCGCCTCCTGGGTTCACGCCATTCTCCTGCCTCAGCCTCCCTAGCAGCTGGGACTACAGGCACCCACCACCACGCCCGGCTAAATTTTTTTGTATTTTTAGTAGAGACAGAGTTTCACCGTGTTAGCCAGGATGGTCTTGATCTCCTGACCTCGTGATCCGCCTGTCTCAGCCTCCCAAAGTGCTGGGATTACAGGCATGAGCCACCGTGCCCAGCCCAACGTTGCATTTTTTCTTTTTCTTTCTTTTTTCTTTTTTTGAGATAGGGTCTCACTCTGTCACCCAGGCTGGAGTGCAGTGAAGTCATCATAGCTCACGGCAAGCTTCAAGTCCTGGGCTCAAGTGATGGTCTGCAGCCTTTCCAGTAACTGGAACTACATGCAGGCACCACCAAGCCCAGCTAATTTTTATTTTATTTTATTTTATTTATTTATGTATTTTTACTTTATTTTATTTTTAAGTAGAGACAAGCTCTTGCTATTTTGCCCGGGCCTTTCTTGAACTTCTGGGTACCAGCAATTCTCCCGCTTGTCTCAGCCTCCCAAGATGTTGGGATTAGAGGCGCGGGGACCCACGTCTTGCCTGCCGTATTGCATTTATGGCACTGTATTGTCATGGCTTATTTACTTCTCTGCCTTCTCCAGGAGACTCTAAGATCCAGGAAGACAAGGGTTGTGTCTTGTTTTTCCTTCATTCCCCAGTGTCTAGGACATTGGCTCTTACAGAGTAGGCACTCAATAAATACTTGTTGAATGACTGAATGAAAGAGGTAATGGTACATGAAAATGCTTAGAAGAAGCTAAGCATGCTAAAAAATGTAAGATATTATTTTAGCCATGAGGAATAGGACATGAACAAGTAAAGCCCCGAATCCCTGTCCAGCGTGAAGCTGAAGACATGATGTATTAGGGGGTCCCAGTGCCCACAGGAAATCCCACCCCCAAGCTAAAATCTTGGAAACAAGGATACCCCTGAGAGCTTGCCCAAACCAAAATAGAGGATGTCAGCACCGGAGAAGCCACTATAAAGGTTAGGATGCCTTCCTGGACAAAATAATGGAACCTGGCAATCGAACCAAATCTTCACTGAATGTAAAGAAGAGTTACTATATCTGGAAGAAAAAGTCTGTTCACAGAGGGGTGGTGCCTGGAGCCTGGAGAGGGAAGTCCAGAGACCCTGCCCTTGCCCCTGTGGCTGCCCGGGCTGCCCTGACCAACTGCACATGAGCCGCAATGACGGGAGCCCTTGGATTCCATAGTGACTTTCCTCACACTGTGCTTCTAAGTCAGCTTATAAGTACAGTTTGCTGAGCTATCTGGAATTTTCCCTAGAGAGAGAATGCATTGGCCAACCAATATGTTCTAGCCTGCTTGGCAGTTTTATTTCTCAATGTCAATTAATGGGTCTCTTGAGCACCTGATAGTGGGAATTAGTCCTCTTTGACCTTCTCCCATTGGACTTGCTGGCAAATCTAATGTTCTAGACCTGAGGGCCACAGGCTAGAGTCAACCATGCTCACGACACTGTTATCTCTCTCTGACTACAACAGATCCAAGAGTTCAAACAAACAAACAAAAAGGACGTTTCTCCCTTCTGTTAACTTGTACTGAGGAGGAAAAGCATGTGTTATTATTTTGTTTGTTTGTTTTGAGGGCCAACTGTAAGGATTTTTATTTTGGTAGGTAGAGGAAAGTCCTGTTGAAAGGTGCATTACCAGATTCAACATTTATACTATAGTCTTTGTTTTGTTTTGTTTTGTTTTGTTTTTGAGACAGAGTCTCGCTCTGTCACCCAGGCTGGAGTGGTGCAGGGGCTCAATCTCGGCTCACTGCAACCTCTGCCTCCCCAGTTCAAGGGATTCTTTTGCCTCATCCTCCTGAGTAGCTGGAATTACAGGTACGCACCGGCACGCCCGGCTAATTTTTTGTATGTTTAGTAGAGACAGGGTTTCACCATGTTGGCCAGGTTGGTCTTCAACTCCTGACCTTAAGTGATCCACCCGCCTTGGCCTCCCAAAGTGTTGGGATTACAGGTGTGAGCCACTGCGCCCAGCCCTATACTACAGTCTGAATTCTGCCTTAGGCTGGGCATGGTGGCTCATGCCTGTATTCCCAGCACTTTGGGAGGCGGAGTTGGGAGGATTGCTTGAATCTAGGAGTTCAAGACCAGCCTGGGCAACATGGTGAGACCCCATCTCTACAAAAAATATAAAAATTAGCTGGGCATGATGGCCTGTGCTTGTAGTACCAGTAACTTGGAGGGCTGAGGTAGGAGGATCACTTGAGCCCAGGAGGCAGAGGCTACAGTAAGCTGAGATCATGTCACTACACTCCAGCCTGGGTGACAGAGTGAGATACTGTGTCAAAAAAAAAGAAAGAAAGAAAAGGAAAAAAAAAAAAGAAAAAGGAGAAATTCTGTCTTAAAACACAGGATATTGTTTGTTTGTTTATTTATTTATTTATTTTAAGATGGAGTTTCACTCTTGTTGCCCAGGCTGGAGTGCAATGGTGCAGTCTCAGCTAATTGCAACCTCTGCCTCCCACATTCAAGCGATTCTCCTGCCTCATCCTCCCAAGTAGCTGGGATTACAGGTGCCTGCCACCACGCCTGGCTAATTTTTGTATTTTTAGTAGAGACGAGGTTTCACCATATTGGCCAGGCCAGTCTTGAACTTCTGACCTCAAGTGATCCACCCACCTCGGCCTCCCAAAGTGCTGGGATTACAGGCATGACCCACCATGCCTGGCTTCTCTCATAATTTTGAATTTAAATAAATAATGCAGATTGACTCTGAGCTGAGAAAAATTTTATTTAATGACATAAAATTCGTATTTTACTTGAGTTTTACATTTTTAATGCTCCTTTCTTTGACAGAAAAAGCAGACAGCTCTGAAAGAGAGGCACTCATGTCAGAACTCAAGATGATGACCCAGCTGGGAAGCCACGAGAATATTGTGAACCTGCTGGGGGCGTGCACACTGTCAGGTAACCCACTTCCACGAAAATCACCTCATCAAAAAGACTGTAGCTTGATGACAAAGAGGATGTTTGCTCTCTCTCTCTCTCTCTCTCTTTTTAATTCTTTGTCTTTTCTCAGTCACAGTGTGAACTCTCAAACCCAAGTGGAATTAGACACTGAGCACTCTATAAATCAGAGGGGTCAAAATAAAGAATGCCTCATTCATCTGCTTTATCGTGATATATTGCATAATTCTCACCTGCTTAAAAACAACAACAACAACAACATTGCAAGTACATTTGGTGGTGTCTGTGCTTCTCTCCCAGCTTGGAAGCTGGTGCACAGGCGTGGTGAGAGTGGTTACAGAGCCTGGCCACTGCCCCAGTTGGGCTGCCGTCAAATACGGCACAGCCTAGCTAGGATATCAGACTTTACTTTCCCAGAATTCTCTGGGGCATGCCCTCTGATCTTCTCTCTTCTGCCTAGAAATACCCAAATGATGTGCCCAAGGTTCATTCTTTCTGCAGCAGCAGGCCTGGGGCTGGTACTAAAAGAAAGGAAAAAGAGGAAAGTGAATCTGAGAGAGGACTGGGAATATATTTCTCCCTCCTCAAGCAAACAGCAAATCAGCATATAGTTACCAAGTGTTCACCTATAATACACAGCTAGAACATTACTTTCAGTTGCCAACTGGAGAATCCAGGAGGCCAGTGGTATTGGTGAGGCCACACATACAAAAAAGGGCCACAGAGAATGTCAAGAAGATGCTGCTTTCCAAAGAAATTTGAGCAAAAGCTGAAACTGAATTTAAAGTATAAGAAGAGCTAGGCTCAGAAAAAGTTGTACTGTCCCCAAGTCAGCAGAGAACCAAGCCCTCCTAAGAGTATGTTGTCTGCTACATAGACTTCTGAAATAACAGTTTGCTTTGTGTATGCCTATAATTGAAACTGTAACTATTTCAGGACCAATTTACTTGATTTTTGAATACTGTTGCTATGGTGATCTTCTCAACTATCTAAGAAGTAAAAGAGAAAAATTTCACAGGACTTGGACAGAGATTTTCAAGGAACACAATTTCAGTTTTTACCCCACTTTCCAATCACATCCAAATTCCAGGTAAGAGGCTGGGTCAGGGTTTCGTAATTACACATCATAGAACGTAGGCAAAGTGTGCTGTTCAAACACACTTCGTTGACCAGTTTCTAAAGGCACCGTGAAGTCTGTGGGTCCTGCAACCTAGAGATTTCCTGAATCTTTGCTATAGTTTCCCTGTTGACATGGAACGAGTCCTGTCCCTTTCCTTCAGTACAGGTACTATAGCTGAGCTAGTCTCTCTCCACCCATGCCTGCATCACACCATAGACGCCTATTTGGTTTGGGGAAAGGTGCATTATTCGGTCTTTCAGGACACCTGGTTGCCTCACAGGTATTGGTAGAAAGAATGAAGACTTTTTCCAAAGTCCTTAACATATGCAAAGAGAGCAGCTCGGGTCCTGGGACTATTGCGCAAAAGAACGCTGAACTCAAATTGGATTCTAAGATATTAGGATGGATTGATCGACACGTGATGGGGACACAGTAAAGTAGCAGTAACCTTGTCTCTGCTCTGTGTTTATCCTCCGCATCCATGGGGATCCTGAGAGATGCTTGGTCCTGCAGGGATTTATTGCTTTAGCGGGCATAAATGAGGGCTGTAGGAGTTTGCTGGATCTCCTCCTCATCCTTGAACTTTCTTGCTAATTACTTGAGCATCATGGCTTTGTAGCACCTTTCTCTGAATGGATTCCCAGGCATTCTGATGGAGGCATTCGTTGAGCCTTGGAGCATTCTTTTTTTTTTTTTTTTTTTTTTCAGACAGAGTTTCGCTCTGTTGCCTAGGCTGGAGTGGTGCAATGGTGTGATCTCGGCTCACTGCAACCTCCACATCCCAGGTTCAAGCGATTCTCTTGCCTCAGCCTCCCGAGTAGCTGAGATTACAGGCATGTGCCACCACGCCCAGCTAATTTTGTATTTTTAGTGGAGACAGGGTTTCACCATGTTGGTCAGGCTGGTGTTGAACTCCTGACCTCAGTTGATCCACCCACCTAGGCCCCGCAAAGTGCTGGAATTATAGGCATGAGCCACCGCACCTGGCTGAGCCTTGGCGCGTTCTTATTTCCCTCCCTGTATGGAAGTTCTCCCTTATTCTGAAGGGTATTTGTTTATTGGAGACTTTTTTCTTTACCAGGGGCTTTTTAGGGATACATTTGAGAGTCCCGGCTTTGTTTTCTTAGAATGTAAGTTTTAAGTGCAGGCCTCTGGCCTTCCAGGTCTGAGACACAGACCCAGTGTCTTAAAGCCACCAGGCCCCACGGAGATCCCCATGCACGTCCGTGTGCAGCTGCCCTTAACCTATGCATGCCCGTCACACCGTCCTCTCCTTTACACTCATTTCCCAGCTCATCGTCTAGAAATGAGAACTCTATAAAGCCACTCATATTCTGGAACAGAGGGGCTATCCTACTGAGTCCGATGTGTGTGACCAGTATCCACTGGTCAGTACTTAGCCCCTTTGATTCGTTCTGTTCACTGGAATATTAAATACACTGAAATTATTCCTTTTGGAATATTTGTGGTCTGAAAGCATGAAGCCATTTCCTAAAGATATGTAAATTGTAAATTGGGTTAAACTCGTATATTAGAATAAATTGAATCGTGATCTACTTATAATTCCTACAGAGCTCCTCAGGGAAGAATTTTTATATACCTTAAAAGAGATTTGTATTATTGCTATTTATTAATTTCACAGTAAAAAGAAATGAGCTTTACAAAGGCAAACTGGAAAAAAGAAGGATGGTGAAACGCTTACGGGACTCTCGGGAAGATCTGTATTATGTGAGGGAAAGTGGGCTGAGTTCAGAAACCAAAGAATGAGATCGATGTGAGTCCTGGTTCCACTCGAATCATATTTATCTCACTGTGCCTAATTTCTCTTTTATAAAATGCCACCCATCTCATAGGTTGTGGCAAGGATTGAGTGAGGTCCTTTTTGAACTGTAAGATTCTATATGGAAAACAGGGATTACTTTTATCTTAGACTGGCAAGCCCAGTTACACAGATGTTTTTAATGTACACAAAAAATGGACAAATGGATGGTGTGCTTTTAATTTAAAAGTCAATTTATAACTGGAATCCATTTATTTGATGAATTACATTTTTAAAATAAAATGTCTGCTGAGAAGAATAATGTAAATAATGAAAAAACAAAATTTTTTAATAGCATGCCTGGTTCAAGAGAAGTTCAGATACACCCGGACTCGGATCAAATCTCAGGGCTTCATGGGAATTCATTTCACTCTGAAGGTAATATTTTATTCTAAGTAGTAGCACTTTAAAATGGAAATGAATGCAAAAGTTTTATGTTAGCTATTTTTTAAAAGTGTGTAAACACAAAAGCATTTTAAAATTTGCTAATTGTCAGATGATAGCTAAAAGCCAGTTTGTATACTGTAGATTTTATGTCAACATTCAACTAATAAACACTGAGGACTATTTTATTTGGTCAGATTATTCATTTAAAGTCATATATTAATTACAGCCATCTTATTACCTGACAAGTGGAAGAGATAATGAGTTCCGAAGTTACATAGAATTTGGATTAACTTCTGCTTACTTTGCTTTCTGACTGGATGACTTTGGACAAGTTATGTGACCACCAGAATCACAATTTTCTTGTTTATAAAATAGGCCTAACACTACCTTCCTCACAGGACTGTTAGAAGGAGTAAATGAGGGGCTGGCCGTGGTGGCTCACGCCTGTAATCACGCCTTGGGAGGCCGAGGCAGGCAGGTCACCTGAGGTCAGGAGTTCAAGACCAGCCTGGCCCAACATGGAGAAACCTTGTCTCTACTAAAAATACAAAAATTAGCTGGGTATGGTGGTGCACGCCTGCAATCCCAGCTACTTGGGAGGCTGAGGCAGGAGGATTGCTTGAACCCAAGAGGCAGAGGTTGCAGTGAGCTGAGATTGCACCACTGCATTCCAACCTGGGCAACAGAGTGAGACTTCAACTCAAAAAAAAAAAAGAAAGAAAGAAAAAAAAAGGAAGGAGTAAATGGAAGAATATAAAATGCACAATATAGTTTATAAAATAGGATAGATGGGCCGGGCACAGTGGCTCATGCCTGTAATCCCACCACTTTGGGAGGCTCAGGTGGGTGGATCACGAGGTCAGGAGATCAAGACCATCCTGGCTAACACGGTGAAACCCTTCTCTACTAAAAATACAAAAAATTAGCATGAGCCTGTAGTCCCAGCTACTCGGGAAGCTGAGGCAGGAGAATCCAGTTGCAGCAGGCCAAGATCGTGTCACTGCACTCCAGCCTGGGCGACAGAGCGAGACTCCTTCTCAAAAAAAAAAGGGATAGACAATTAATATTAATTCCTTTCCCACTGTGACAGCCCTACCTAGTGCAAAAGAGAAGTATCTAAAACTCCTGACTAATCAATCAGGAGGTCATCGGTCATCAAAGCAGTTCCAAAGTTTATCTCTAACCAAAACAAGTCTCCAGTGACCCTTCATAGGCAGCATAAACAGGTCATCTCTAATGCTGCCGGGAAGATAATGCGATAGCTTCATGTCTTAGCACCTCACCTAACTCTGGCTTGAATAACCTTCCCATAGAGATTTAATAAGGCAACTTCTTAGAGTTTTGGCAAAAGTGAAGACTGGCTCTATTTTACAGATGAAATTGAATATGAAAACCAAAAAAGGCTGGAAGAAGAGGAGGACTTGAATGTGCTTACATTTGAAGATCTTCTTTGCTTTGCATATCAAGTTGCCAAAGGAATGGAATTTCTGGAATTTAAGTCGGTATGCTCCTTTTAAAGAAAAAACAAACCAAAAAAAAGATTTGAAAAGATGTGCTTATATATGTTTTCTTGTTTATTTTAACTTGTATCCCTTAAAGTCTGCCTTTTCTCCCCTGTTCACTGTTGGAGTCACCTAGCGTGTTACCTTGGCTCTTGGCTAATTGTAGTAGCATAAAGGCCTGGGATCCCTTGTGAGGTCACGGCTAGCACAGCCCTCCCAGGCTGCACAAAGTCCCCTGAAACTTCCAAGGCTGAAGGTCGAGATAGGAAGTCCTCAGAAATCCTTCCTCAAAACAAAGCGTAGCATTGTCAGTCCCTTTCAGAACGGCTGTTCAGGTTGTGCCCTGCATGTGGGCATTCAACCCAGGGGATGAGAGGAGGCTGAAACCGAGCCAGCCACCCTGAGTGTCTTTGTCTAATTCTCACCCTGCGTGCTGTGGGCTGGCAGCAGTCCTGCAGGCTCACTGCCTCCTCTGTTGCTAACCCCAGATCCATTCGTTGGTAAGGCCCTGGAGCCTGCCGTGAACCATGTCTCTACCCCAATTTTGCACTCTTTTTGAACTGCCTTTCCACCCGCTGTTCTCTGTGATTTCAAATGTCTCCTGCCTATAAGCAGATCATAGCCCACTCTCTGGCTACCTTCCTTCCTCGTTTGCTTGCCTTTCATTACCTTCTCTTTATTTCCCAAAATTCTTCCCCCTCATTTTTCTTGCAGTCTTCTAATCTCCTCCTCCTCTTCTCCTCCACTTCCTTCCCCTTGCCTCTTCTCTCCTGTTTTCTCTCTGAATTTGGAAAGACTACTTTCAATTGTATTTTTTTGTTTTGTTTTGTTTTGTTTTTGGAGACAGTCTCGCTCTGTTGCCCAGGCTGGAGTGCAGTGGCGTGATCTTGGCTCACTACAACCTCTGCTTCCTGGGTTCAAGCAATTCTCATGCCTCGGCCTTCCGTGTAGCTGGGACCACGGGTGCATACCAGCATGCCTGGCTAATTTTTTGTATTTTAATAGAGATGGGAATTCACCATGTTGCCCAGGCTGGTCTTGAAATCCTGAGCTCAAGCAATCCACCTGCCTCAGCCTCCCAAAGTGCTGGGATTACAGGCGTGAGCCACCACACTCGGCCTTTTTTCTTTAAAAAATTACTGCCTCAGCCAGATGTTCATGGTGTGTGTCTGCAGTTCCAGCTACTTGGGAGGCCAAGGTGGGAGGATTGCTTGAGCCCAGGAGTTGGAAACTGCAGTGAGCTAGGATCGCACCACTGCACTCCATCCTGGGTGACAGAGCAAGTCTCTTTCTCTAAAAAATAAAAAATAGGCAGCCGGGCGTGGTAGCTCACGCCTGTAATCCCAACACTTTGGGAGGCCGAGGTGGGTGAATCACGAGGTCAGGAGATCGAGACCATCCTGGCCAACACGGTGAAACCCCGTCTCTATACAAAAAAAATTAGCCGAGTGTGGTGGCGGGCGCCTGTAGTCCCAGCTACTTGGGAGGCTGAGGCAGGAGAATGGCATGAACCTGGGAGGCGGAGCTTGCAGTGAGCCAAGATGGCGCCACTGCACTCCAGCCTGGGCGACAGAGTGAGACTCTGTCTCAAAAAAAAAAAAATTAATTAAAAATAAATAAATAGGCTGGGCACAGTGGTGTACGTCTGTAATCCCAGTGCTTTTGGAGGGAAGCCCAAGAGTTCCAGGCTGCAATGAGCTATGACTATAGCACTGCCCTCCAGTCTGTCTATTCAAAATAATAATGAAATAAGCTTAAAAGCAATAATAATACAAGTTTTAAAAAATTACTGTCACAGTAATATTTCCACACCTCTGAACTGCGAGGCACATTTTTCTCTTCATTTTCCCCACCTGCTGTTTGGATTCTTCTTGCTCGCGCATCTTGCCCACCTGAGTCTTTCTCTATTTCACTTATACAACTACAATCCTGCTTTCACAAGCATTTTGTTTTTGTTTTTGAGACAATGTCTTGCTCTGTTGCCCAGGCTGGAGTGCAGGGGTGTGATCTCAGCTCACTGCATCCTCTGCCTCCCAGGTTCAAGCGATCCTCCTGCCTTGGCTTCCCAAGTAGCTGGGGTTACAGGTGTGCACCACCACACCTGGCTAATTTTTTTGTATTTTTGTAGGGATAAGGTTTTGCTATGTTGGTCAGACTGGTCTCAAACTCCTGACTCAAGTGATTTGCCCGCCTCGGCTTCCCAAAGTGCTGGGATTACAGGCGTGAGCCACTGTACCTGGCCCACGAACATCTTTATAGAGGTGGGAGAACACCTACTTAGATTGTCTGGCCTGGTTTGCTGCCCATAGCTAAGTAAATACTCAAACTACTCCCAACTGGCAGTCAAGGGGCACTGCTTCCCCTTCAACCCCAGGCTTGTAATAATATGAATTTTTGAAGAACATCCAGTTTCTTAGGCCTTCTATCCTTTTATCTTCACATCAGGCCTCCCCTTTGAATCATGCGTGTCACTGTCCCCTTCTTGTCTCTCACCCCCTCCCTGATATTCCTCTGGGTGCCCCTCAGTTTCCTCTGTAGGCCCTTGACTTCATCAAACATTTGTTGAGCCCCAGCTACATGCCAAGCACTGTACTAGATGCTGGAGATACAGAGTCAGTTATGATATGACTCCTGGGCTCGAAGATCTTATGAATGATAGGGGAGACAGAGACAAGCAGACATGCAAGTCGAAGATGACACTGAGGCCGGGGGTGGGTGGCTCAGGCCTGTAGTCCCAGCACTTTGGGAGGTTGAGACGGTGGATTGCTTGAGGCCAAGAGTTCAAGACCAGCCTGGCCAACATGGCAAAACCCCATCTCTACTAAGAATAGAAAAACAGCCAGGCACGGTGGTGTACGCCTATAATCCCAGCTACTTAGGAGGCTGAGGCATGAGAATCGCTTGAATTGGGAGGCAGAGGTTGCAGTGAGCAGAGATTGTACCGCTGCACTCCAGCCTGGGTGACAGAGTGAGACTTTCTCAAAAAATAAAAATAAAAAATTTTAAAAAGTTTAAAAAAGACAACACTGTAGCATGATAAGTGTTGTGACTGAAGTAAGTTCTGGGAACCCAGGGGAGGGATCTGCACAGCAGACCTGGTTGGGGGAAGGGGAGATGCAGTGGAAGAGGCTTTCTGAGGGAGTGCGTGCTTCATGCTTGGACTAATGGAGATTTTTGAAGGAAAAGGAAAACCAGCAGGGAATGTGGGATAGGATAGGAAGCATGGAATCAGGAGGAGTTTTTTTTGGAGAAAGGTAATGAGTTGGACATACTGAATGTGAGGTGCCTTGAGCAACCAAGTAGAGCGTGGTCTAGCAGACACTTGGACACTTCTCCTGTCTGAAGCTCAAGAGAAATGTTTGGGTTGGAAATAGGGATGTGGGCAATGGTGGTTGCATCCCTAGGTTTGGATGAAATGGCTTGGGTGAGGGTGTGGGTTGTGAGGATGCAGCCCTCAGGAGTGAGAGTAGGCTCGTGCACAAAGCCCCTGAGGGAGACAGGAGCCGGCAGAGCAGTGGGGAGAAAGCAGGAGTGAACCATGCGCAGGGTTCCCAGAGGGAGGACCAGAAGCGGGAGGGGCTGGCCAACAGCAGCAGACACCACAGGGAGGTCCCGTCAGATCGAGACTGTGTGGGTGCCAAGCCAGTCAGTGCAGGCCTCGGCCAGAGCAGCTTGGGCAGACAGGCAGGAGGAGGAGGCAGGTTGCAGACCTGGGGTAAAGTGGGCAAAGTGCAGGTAGATGGCACTGAAAAAACTGGGTATGGAGGAGGGAGCTCTAGAGGGGCTGTGGCACAGGGCTGCCAGTGTTCATGGTGCTGCTTTTTATTTTTTAAAGATGAAAGAGTGTACATTGGACCTTTGCTACTAGTGCCCTGTTCCCCTTCAGATCTTCCTTTGTAAAGTTCATTTTCTTGTCAGACCCCTTTGATTAACATCACGACATCTTTCAGCTCAGGGACTCCTTCTAATTCCAGTTCAGTAAACCTCTCCAAACTCATTTTTAGCTTTTTGTTTTTCCGATTATTTCCCTCGATATTACTCCATTTATTCCTAAAGCTATTTTCCAGTCAGAAAAGAGATGCTGGCCAGGCGCGGTGGCTCACGCCTGCAATCCCAGCATTTTGGGAGGCCGAGGTGGGTGGATCACCTGAGGTCAGGAGTTCGAGACCAGCCTGACCAACATGGCGAAACGCCGTCTCTACTAAAAACACAAAATTAGCTGGGCCTGGTGGCGCGTGCCTGTAATCCCAGCAACTCGGGAGGCTGAGGCAGGAGAATTGCTTGAACCTGGGACGCAGAGGTTGCAGTGAGCCGAGATCACGCCATTGCACTCCAGCCTGGGGAACAAGAGTGAAACTCCGTCTCAAAAAAAAAAAAAAAAGAAAAGAGATGCTATTTCTCACACCCACAATAAGAGTACTGGAGGACAGCTCTGAGATTCCCTCTGAAGGCTCAGGGGAGGGCCCCTGTTGGGGAGCCTCTCACTTTTGCTCGGAATCTGCAAAAGATCTGCTCCTCTTTGGCCTCTGGGGATGCTTCAGAAGCCGCACAAAGAACTGCAGCCACCATAGCTGCAGAATTAGGTCTCCTATATTCACTTTGTTTGTTGCACATCATCATGGCCGCTCACGGCACAGCCCAGTAAAGATAAGAGGCCTTCCATCACCGGTACCTCCTACTGAAGTTGAGTCTAGAAGAAAGATTGCACTCCAGGATAATACACATCACAGTAAATAACACTCTGGTGTCATTCTTGACAGTGTGTTCACAGAGACCTGGCCGCCAGGAACGTGCTTGTCACCCACGGGAAAGTGGTGAAGATATGTGACTTTGGATTGGCTCGAGATATCATGAGTGATTCCAACTATGTTGTCAGGGGCAATGTGAGGCTGCTATTTCCTACTTATTTTTATACGGCTATTTTGTGTTGTGTCGTTATCATGGTAAACAACTGCACTCACTGTGGTGCATTTTTGATTTATGGTAACATCAAAAAACCCTCACAGCAGTCTGCTTACTTATGCTTAAAAGGTTTTTCTGCAGCTTCAGGGAATCTTCCATCTATAATAAAAGCTGAGCAAAATAGCATCACATCTGTCCTTGGGCTAGCTAGTCAGAGTAGATCAGTTAGGGGCCTTTGAGTGCAATCCTCACTTTAAAAAACCCAAAATCTCAATACTTGCACTTAGTTCAGTTATCCTAGCTATAAAGTGATGATTGAGTTATGTTTTCAATTATGTGAAAAGCTAATAGTCACAATAAAGCACTTTAAAACATATATAGCACATACCTATAAAATGTTAAAGCTAAATACTTAAATATGAATTAATGAATATTTATCATCCTTTTACTGTTAACACAGGAAGATCTAAAACATGAGTGAATTGGCTGGGTGCAGTGGCTCATGCCTGTAATCCCAGCACTTTGGGAGGCCGAGGAGGGCAGATCATGAGGTCAGGAGTTCGATACCAGCCTGACTAATATGGTGAAACTCTGTCTCTACTGAAAATACAAAAAATTAGCTGGGCGTGGTGGCGTGTGCCTGTAATCCCAACTATTCGGGAGGCTGAGGCAGGAGAATTGCTTGAACCCAGGAGGTGGAGGTTGCAGTGAGCTGAGATCGCGCCACTGCACTCCAGCCTGGGCAACAAGAGCAAAGCTCTGTCTCAAAAAAAAAAAAAAAACAACAACAAAAAAAACAGTGTGAATTGACTTGGTAATGAAAAACTAAGGACAGATGTGTTTACAAAAAGAACTATTAGAAGTAATAGATGACAAAATTGTGTAGTTGAAAATGTGTGTTTTTAAAGAATTACAATACCTGGCTGGGTGCTGGTGGCTCACGCCTTTAATCCAAGGCACTTTGAGAGGCCAAGGTGGGAGAATTGCTTGAGCCCGGGTTCAAGACCAGCCTATGGAACATGGTGAGACACTCAACTGTCTCTATAAAAAATAAAAAACTAGCTGAGTGTGGTGGCACACGCCTGTGGTCTCAGCTACTTGGGAGGCTGAAGTGGGAGGATCACTTGAGCCCAGGAGGTCGAGGCTGCAGTGAGCTGTGATCACGCCACTGCACTCCAGCCTGGGCAACAGAATGAGACCCTTTTTTTTGAGACCCTGTCTCAAAAAAGAATTCCCTACTTGTGAAATAATAATAATATTAAATGCTGACTTAGTGCTTACTATGTGCTAAACATCTAAGTGCTTTATGCATATTAATTCATTTATTCCTCAGAGTACCCACTTGGAAACTGAGGCACAGAAAAGTAACTCGCCCATGGTTACACAGCATGTGGACTTGAACAGGAATAGTCTGAGCCCCGAGTCTGTGCTAACCACTATGTTGTAGTGTTTCCCATGAGGGTTATGCACTTACCTCATAGCGTTGATGTGGGAAAAAGCCAATAAAACCAACGTGAAAGCACCTTGTCCAGGGTGAACATCCAGTAAATGTGAAAAGTCAAATTAAACTGTATTCCCACTAGAAACAAATAATCATCTTAGCTGATTTACGATCTACTCCTACTCATCATAGACTGCTCATATGTAGTCATTCAGTTTCTACCCCACCAGCTGGTTGTCTCTTATGTGGGAAAGTGAATTCCATTTGGAACCACAATTAATTTCTTTAATTAATCAAATTAACCAGACTTGCCTGCATGAATCAATAGCTCATCAGTTTGCATACATTTAAAAGAGGGTTTACTTGGCTGATTAAGCATGTGCTGATTAAACATGTGCTGTGAAGGACTCGTCAACCCATGTAAAAGAAAATCAGTACAGCCAGGTGTGGTGGCTCACAGCTGTAATCCCAGCACTTTGGGAGGCTGAGGCGGGTGGATCACGAGGTCAGGAGTTCAAGACCAGCCTGGCCAACATGGTGAAATCCCGTCTCTACGAAAAATACAAAAATTAGCTGGGCATGGTGGTGCGTACCTGTAATCCCAGCTACTCGGGAGGCTGAGGCAGGAGAACCACTTAAACCAGGGAGTCTGAGGTTGCAGTAAGCTGAGATAGCGCCATTGCACTCCAGCCTGGGCAACAAGAGCGAAACTCCGTCTCAAAAAAAAAAAGAGAAAGAAAATCAGTACAAAGCTCTGCCCCAGTAACCTACCCATCTTGTGTCTTGATTCTAGTCTGAGACTATACTAAGTCAAAACTCCCTTTCATGCTAGTGGAAATTATTAAAGCCACAGAAGCCAGACTGGTATCATTTCTGGAAGTGATGACGTGGGCTCCCCTCCCGACATTATTGTGGATGACATTTCCACTAAAGGTCTTCCCAGAAATGCTGTAACAGAAGATCTCACTAATTCACTAGTACCCACTTACCCCTAGGCAACTGACTGGCTATTCCTTAATGGAAAGTACCTCTTTCCAGTGGAAAGATGGCAAGTTAAACTTACCCATTCCAAGCACAAGCCTTTGTTCGAGAGGAGTTGTAAAGAAATATGCCTTATGTTTTAGGCTAGTATTATTAGAATGTTAATTTGAAAGTGAAAACCTTTCACGTGAGGAATGTGATTTTCTCAATAAGGCATTAAGAGTGGTCTTAGGAAGATGATGCATTTCATCTTAATACAAAAGAAAAGAAGTCATGTCTGTATGTGGAAAATTCACCATCTTATCTCCTCTGGGTTTTCCACAGGCCCGTCTGCCTGTAAAATGGATGGCCCCCGAAAGCCTGTTTGAAGGCATCTACACCATTAAGAGTGATGTCTGGTCATATGGAATATTACTGTGGGAAATCTTCTCACTTGGTAAGTTGGGCAGCTGCTGGCCTCCCTTGGCTCCTGGCTTTGCATCCTCTGCTCTCTCGGTGCCGCCCCACCCCTCCCCCCAACACTGATGGGTCTTACTTGTATTGCAGCCCATGACTTTATGTTTATTTGCTGGTGTCCTTTAGCCTGTCTTCCTCACTGGTCTATAACCTGCTTGAGAGCGTGAACCGTGACTTCTTTTTCCCAGCCGCAGCCCGTGTGCCTGCAACAGTGTCTGGCACATGGCAGATCTCAATACGTGTTTAATTGAATGAATCAATAAACAAATGAAGAAATGGATGAATGGCTGCAATTGTCTAATGTTTTCCTCAGGTGTGAATCCTTACCCTGGCATTCCGGTTGATGCTAACTTCTACAAACTGATTCAAAATGGATTTAAAATGGATCAGCCATTTTATGCTACAGAAGAAATGTAAGTTCAAGTCAGACTGTAATTTGGTTGAAATCAGAAAGGTACAGTCTGTCTACTTCCAAATGCATGACCAAAAAAAGTCAAACTCCTTAGTGCAAAGCGTATAGGATTCTTTTTTTAAAAAATAGAAGTGAGGTCTTGCTGTGTTGGCCAGGCTGGTCTCAAACTCCTGGCTTCAAGCAATCTTCCTGGCTCAGCCTCTCAAAGTGCTGGGATTACAGGTGTGAGCCACCACACCTGGCTGTCTGATTCCATTTTAAAAAGAAAAGAAAACTCTTTGTTTTGGGAGTTTCTGAACAAAGCTGAACCTTTCCTGTCCTCAGAGGCACCTGCTTCCCGGTTTTAATTCCTTTGCTTGAGGGCTCCATGAAGGTCATTCGATTCTATCCACTACGTCATGTTTCTTTAAATGCATTTCTGCCCATCTGATTTCTCCTTTCGGATATGAATTCAAAATCTGGTAGAGGACTTGCCACAAAACAAACATGCTGTAAATAAGCAGCTCCAGAGGAATAAATGGTGCTTCATTATATGGAAAATGATCCATTTTGCTTCATTCAGACTTCTTCATCTTGTTCCTTGTTCTATTGCTTTTACAGATACATTATAATGCAATCCTGCTGGGCTTTTGACTCAAGGAAACGGCCATCCTTCCCTAATTTGACTTCGTTTTTAGGATGTCAGCTGGCAGATGCAGAAGAAGCGGTATGTAGCAGCCAGGACTTTATAAAGCTTTACAAAGGAAATTGGTAAATTAAAACACTTGTTGCTGTCTTCCTGTGAACCAAAGGTACCAAGTTGTCATTCTCATTGCAGTTTTTCTGGGTTGCCCTTTCAAAGTTGTGTGGGGTAAGACTTTATTTATTTGTTTATTTATTTATTTATTGAGACAGGGTCTCGCTCTGTGGCCCAGGCTGGAGTGTGTGGCGTGATCATGGCTCACTGCAGCCTCGACCTCCCAAGCTCAAGCAATCCTCCAGCCACGGCCTTCCAAGTAGCTAGGACCATGGGAGGGCAGCACCACGCCAGGCTAAGTTTTTTATTTTTTGTAGAAATAGGGTATCACTGTATTGCCCAGGCTGGTCTTGAACTCCTGGGCTCAAGCGATTCCCCCACCTCAGCCTCCCAAAGTGCTGGGATCACAGGGCATGAGCTCCTCTGCCTGCCCTAAGACATATTGATAAAAATGTTTTTAGGGAAAAAAAACACCTTTCCTGATTTCAGCCAAATGATTAATAAATTAAAAGCTCTTAAGAGTTCAGTGCAGTGAAGTAGACAACTAAATAAAACTAAATAAAAATAATCCCTGGCCTCCAGAAGCCACTAGCCCTTTCTTATGAAGCATGAGTGTGGAAAAATCACATGACTCAATCATGCTATATGGTAGCCTGGAAAGAGCATTGACCTGGAGTTCTGAGGGTTGAATACCAGCTGTACCACTCTGTCTCCCAATTGTGTCCATTATAGCAAATCACTTTACTTCTCTAAGCATCAGTTTTCTCACCTGTAAAATGGGTTGTTAAGTTAGATTATCTTTTGAGCTTTGAGGACTTGGAATTTCTTTGCTAACGCTTCCCCCATCAACACCACCACCTGGTATAGTGAAAAGAACCATCTCCAGATGAAATAAATAAAGGAGAGAACCTTGGGCTCCTAATACTGAGGTTCAGATCTTGGCTCCATCGTTTACTTGATAAGTCACTTAATCTTTTGGGAAGTCTCCTTCTCAGTTTCTTTACCTGAAATATGTGATTAACAAATCTCACCTCATGGAGTTGTAAGAAGGAGTAAATCAGGTGATGTATGTGAGAAGAGTTAGCACGTACTGGGCACTTGGTATTTACTCCATAAAATGTTAGTTAAATATAAATCTGATTTTTAAGTGGATTGTCTGTCCTCCTTTCTAAATTGTTATGAGTCAGTTTTCAGTTCTGTATTCTCTATATAGACCTGGGTAGATAGTGTGTACTTTCCTACTGCTGTGATTTTTTTGAAAATGACATGGAAACTAGGTTATTGTCAGAGAATTAGGTCAAAAGGCCAGAGGAAATGGAAAGCCCCCAGCAGACTTATAGCCTATTGCACAGATACCTATAAACTGTTCATGACACCATAAGGTAAACTGAAAGAAGAGTTTAGAATGAAACAGGAAGTGAGCTGGTAAAGAAAGAATGTATATGTGCATGTATAGCTGTCTAGCTATACACTTTTTTTTTTTTTGAGACAGGGTCTTGCTCTGTCATCCAGGCTGGAGTGCAGTGGAATGATCTCAGCTCACTGCAGCCTCCACACTGTGAGCTCAAGCAATCCTCCCACCTCAGCCTCCCAAGTAGCTGGGACCACAGGCACACACCACCGGACCCAGCTATTTTTTTTGTATTTTTGGTAGACACGGGCTCTCACTATGTTGCCCAGGCTGTTCTCAAACTTCTGAGCTCAAGTGGTCCACCTGCCTCAGCCTCCCAAAGTGCTAGGATTACAGGCATGAGCCACCACGCCTGGCTAAGAGAGGACTGATTGATGTTACTCATTGCATAGTTGGGTGTGGATTTGTGGGGAACTTGTGAGCTGGATGTGAGGACTGAGTAGCATCTTGTCTGCTGGAGAGTAGAGGGTGAGTAGGATATTCCAGGATGAATGAATCATATAAATAAAAGTCCAAAGTTGAAAAAGTAGAGTGGCAAGTAGATGGCTGTGCCTAATATACAGGGAGAATGGGGGAGTAGAGAGGGAAAAAAAAGTGCAAAGCTCGTGTCGCCAGGATGGAGGCTTCAGGACCACTTGGGTCTTGGTTTGAGCTTCTCCTTTCCTGTCCCCATACTCACAGGATGTCCAGATCCCCTTTCCTGTGTTCAGGGGGCCTGTCAGGTATCAGGAACCGTTGAATGGCAACATATCCATGCATGATTAATCAGCTGAGAGAATCCATGCTTAGGGACAGACGGTTCACAAACTTTTTCTCCCAGTTCCTTCCACTCTGTTCCCTGACCCTCTGTGACCAGTGTCAGAAGCACCCAGAGAAAATGGTAGCTCCTTTAAGCAGGTTAGAAAACAGGCCCCCATGGCCCATTGCAGTGGGTCACACATGTAATCCCAGCACTTTGGGAGGCTGAGGTGGGCGGATCACTTGAGGTCATGAGTTCCAGACCAGCCAGGCCAACATGGCAAAATCCCATCTCTACTAAAAAAAAATTAGCCAGGCGTGGTGGCGCATGCCTGTAATCCCAGCTACTCGGGAGGCTGAGGCAGAAGAATCGCTTGAACCTGGGAGGTGGATGTTGCAGTGAGCCGAGATGGCACCACTGCACTCCAGCCTGGGTGACACAGTGAGACTCTATCTCAAAAAAGAAAAAGAAAGAAAAAGAGAAAGAAAGAGAGAAAGAAGGAAGGAAAGAAAGAGAAAGAGAGAAAAAAAAGAAAGAAGAAAGAGAGAAAGAAAGAAAGAGAAAAAGAGAAAGAAAGGAAGGAAGGAGGAGGGAAGGAAGGAAGGAAGGAAGGAAATGCCCCCCTCCCCGGGTGGGAGGAGTCCAGAGGAACCCCTTACTTAGGGCTCATGCAGCCTGCCTCAGTCTAAGCCAGTCTGAAGGAGGAGAGCTTGGCGTGGGTCTCAGCCATCTTGCCCGCTCTGCTGGGCACTTTTGTTTGGTGCAAGGCACAACCCACACAGCCACGCAGGCAGCCCTGCCCACTCTGCAGAATCCTATCTAGTCCCTTGGTTGGAAAACTGGCCTTGTCACCTTCCCCAGGGTGATCTTCCCTGTTATATCTGTGAAAGGTTTTGTAGAATCTTCTCTCCTCCCCTCCCCTCCCCTCCCCTCCCCTCTCCTCTCCTCTTTTCTTTTTTTTTGAGACAGAGTCTCACTCTGTCACCCAGGCTGGAGTGCAGTGGCATGATCTCAGCTCACTGCAACCTCTGCCTCCTGGGTTCAAGCAATTCTTATGCCTCAGCCTCCTGAGTAGCTGGGACTACAGGCACGCGCCACCACGCCCAGCTAATTTTTGTGTTTTTAGCAGAGACGGAGTTTCACCATATTGTCCGGGCTGGTCTCAAACTCCTGACCTCATGATCCGCCCACCTCAGCCTTCCAAAGTGCTGAGATTACAGGCGTGAGCCACCCCACCTGGCCCTATTTTTCTTTTTAATTTATTTTTTTTAGACAGAGTCTCACTCCGTCACCCAGGCTGGAGTGCAGTGGCGTGATCTCCGCTCACTGCAACCTTCACCTCCTGGGTTCAAGCAATTATCGTGCCTCAGCCTCTTGAGTAGCTGGGATTACAGGCATCTGCCACCACGCCTGGCTAATGCATCTTTAGTAGAGACGGGGTTTTACCATGTTGGCCAGGCTAGTCTCAAACTCCTGAGGTCAAGCGATTCGCCTGCCTCGGCCTCCCAAGGTGGGGGGATTACAGGCATGAGCCACCATGCCCGGCCAGAATCTTTGTTTCTGCATCAAGGACTAGGGAAGGAAAAGGGCCCTCAGAGAACCAGAGAGAAAGAGTGGGAAATGCATGGAGAAAACATAGGTTAAGGCTTTTATGTCTAACCTCAACACCAATGGGATTAGATCAGGGAGATCACTGATTACATGATTACCTGTCTAGGCATTTAGACAGTGGTGAACCGATGAAGATTTTTAGGATGGACAAACATGCTTCAATCTTTAAGAACCAGATCAAATATTCTGTGCTCTGCAAAGCCTCCCCCAATTTCCCTAGTCAGATTTCAGGCTGCTGCTTCTGAATTCTCATTAACACTTTCAGCTGTAACTCCATGTGAGACTCAAATCCTAGTGTAGGATGACTTTATATTATGGGTCTCTCTCTGTCGTCACTAGACTTCATTAGCAAGGGTAAATACTGTTTCCTGTTCATCTTTACACCCCATGGGGTAGTGCTTGCCATGTGATATTAAGTAAATGAATGAAGTCAGCATGAAAGCAAGTTGGAGACCACATCTGTTTGGTTCATCATTATAGACCCCGCTGCTAGCATGATGCTTAGCACGTGGAAGGCGCTCAGCAAACATTTCTGGAATGAGAAAGAAAAAGAGAGCATAAAAGGAAGTTTGGAAAAGCGAGGCAGAAGATGAGATGTCAGGACATCAGTTGAGAGGGGCGGCAGCAGCAAGGATGGGCACGCTGAGGGAGCACACTAGGCAGGGGCTGTGGGCTGATAAAAGGGGGCACATACTTGTCCCCTGTTTCAGAAAAGGGGTCTGAACTAACATCACCTCCCCTCTCCTACTCAGCCCCATAAATTATAGGAAATAAGTTTGTTTTGTTTTAAGAGAAGGGAGGCCAAGCGTGGTGGCTGACACTGATAATCCCAGCACTCTGGGAGGCTGAGGCACAAACATAGATTGAGCTCAGGAGTTCAAGGCCAGTCTGGGCAACATGGTAAAACCCTATCTCTACAAAAAAATTTGAAAATTAGCCAGGCGTGGTGGTGCATTCCTGTGGTCCCAGCTGCTAGGGAGGCTGAGGTGGGAGGATCGCTTGAGTCTGGGGAGCGGTCATGGCTGCAGTAAGCCACGATCATGCCACTGTACTCTAACCTGGGTGACAGAGCAAGACTCTGTCTCAACAGAACAGAACTAAACTAAACTAAAATAAAAGTGAGGCCATAATTGGCTTTGACAGTAAGAAAGAGATCTTTTTGTGGACCAGAAACTGTGGAAAATCCCTGAGACAATGAAAGCAGTTAAAATTGCACTGCAGAGGGAAAACCCACCACAGAGGATGCCTGGGAAAAACAAGGACAAGGGTAACACAAAGGCAGCAAGAAGTCCTGGGACACTGCAGAAGTTCTGAAGCAGGAGCAGCCACATGGTGAAATCAACATAAGATTAAATGTGGGTGTTAAAAATGTAAGAACGATATGGGTGAGATAGAAACGTAACACATAACTTCTGTTTCAGTACAGGGGAAGAAAATGACCATAGAAAACATAATCAGTCCAACAAAATGGGGGAAGAGAAAAATAAAGAGAGTTCATGGAAATAGAAAACACAAAATTAGCTGGGTGTGGTGGTGCAAGCTTGTAGTTCTAGCTACTCAGGAGGCTGAGCTGGGAGGATTCCCTGAGCCCAGGAAGTCGAGGCTGCAGTGAGCTATAACTGGGCTGCTGCACTCCAATATGGGCAAAGGAGAGAGATCCCATCTCTAAAGAATAAAATAAATAAATAAAAATTGAAAATACAAAAATAAAACACAAAATGGCAACAATCAGTAAGCCTACTTAGGAAAGAGAATCTCAGAATAAATAAAGTTGTTAACATGCATTGTTAGTGAATGCCACATTCACTAATCTCAATACAATGTAATAAAAAAATCACCCAACCAAAAAAGCCCCCAAATTTATATACCAAAATTAAAAATCAGCCAGGCGTGGTAGCTCACGCCTGTAATCCTAGCACTTTGGGAGTCTGAGGCGAGTGGATCACCTGAGGTCAGGAGTTCGAGACCAGCCTGGCCAACCTGGTGAAACCCCGTCTCTACTAAAAAGACAAAATTAGCTGGGTGTGGTGGCAGGTAGCTAAAATCCCAGCTACTTGGGAGGCTGAGGCACGAGAAGTGCTTGAAACCGGGAGGCGGAGGTTGCAGTGAGCCTAGACTGCACCATTGCACTCCAGCCTGGGAGTGCAAACAGAACGAAACTCTGTCTCAAAAAATAAATAAATAAAATAAAAATCATGCCTCTTAAGCAAGTCTTTGCTTAAGAAGAAGAAGGGGAAAGAGGGAGAAGGAGCAAAAATGGATATTGCCTATTAAAACCTGTGAGAGTTACCCAAATTCATAATTCTAAATTCATTTATTAGAAAACAAAGAAAAATGAAAATCAATAGCTAACCTTTTTTTCCTTTTTTTTTTTTTTTTTTTTTTGAGACAGGTTCTTGCTCATTGCAGCCTCAAATTCCTGGAATCAAGCGATCCTCCCACCTCAGCTTCCTGAGTACTTTTTAAAAATTCTCTTTTGCAGAGATGGGGATCTTGCTATGTTGTGCAGGCTAGTCTCAAACTGCTGGCCTCAAGCAATCCTCCTGCCTCAGCCTCCCAAAGTGCTGGGATTACTGGTGTGAGCCACCGCACCTAGCCTGATTAACCTTTCAATTTAAGAAGCTAGGGAAAAAACAAACAACAATAAAGAAGAAGGTGGAGAGAGAGAGGAGGAGGAAAATGAACAAAGCAGAAAGAAGGAATTAATAGAGATATAGCCAGATTTAATGACACAGAGGAAGTAGCAACAGCAAAATAATAGCGATGATCAGGAAAACCAAAAGTTGTTTTTTGAACTAATAATGTAATTGCTAACATTTTTTGAGTATTTAATCATAGAGTTTACTAATGTATTAGCCACAAAATTAATAACTCTTAATCCTCACCTCAATCTCCTGAAGTAGGTTCTATTATTATCCCTTTAGCAGACTAGTAAATTGAGGCACAGAGAGGTTAAGTAATTTGCCTAAGGTAACATGGTAAATGTCAGACTTAGGATTTGAATACAGCAGTCTGAGTGTAGTCTATACTGTATATTAATATTGTATATCAACAAAGTATACAAATATACTACTAAAGCTACTATCTTTGAAGTGAACAATTAAGAAAAAAAGAAGTCGGGTGTGGTGGCTCACGCCTGTAATCCCAGCACATTGAGAGGCCAAGGTGAGAGGATCACTTGGGCTCAGAGGTTTGAGACCAGACTGGGCAACATAATGGGACCCCATCTCTACCAAAAATTAAAAAATTAACCAGGTGTAGTGGCGCACACCAGTAGTCCCAGTTACTCAGGAGGCTGAGACAAGAGAATCACTTCTGCCTAGGAGGTTGAGGCTGCAGTGAGCTGTGATTGCACCACTGTACTCCAGCCTGAGTGACAGAGCGAGACCCTGTCTTGAAAAAGAAAAAAGCACAAATAAATAACATTCAGATGAAAAGGAAACGATAACTAAGGAAAAAAGAACCATTTTTTAAAGTATAAGAAAATTTATATACTTCTTTATAATGATACATTTGAAAACCTAGGGTTTGTTTCACAATTTCATAAGGAGAATGTATTTAAAAAGTCATTTAAAGGTCACTTTTATGATGTTATCTGTGAGCCTGTTAAAAACAACAGTGGCTGAGGGTGGTGGCTCACGCCTGTAATCCCAGCACTTTGGGAGGCCTAGGTGGGTGGATCACTTGAGGCCAGGAGTGCAAGACCAGCCTGGTCAACATGGTGAAACCCTGTCTCTACTAAAAAAATATAAAAATTAGCCAGGTGTGGTGGTACACACCTGTAGTCCCAGCTACTTGAGGCACAAGAATTGCTTGAACCTGAGAGGCAGAGGTTGCTGTGAGCTGAGATCATGCCACAACACTCCAGCCTGGGCAACAGAGTGAGACTCTGTCACAACAGCAACAGCAACAACAAAAAAAAAAAAAAAAAAGGAAAGAAAGGTCACTTAAAGAAATGGAAAAGAGTGATGTATTACAACTATACCCAGTAACTAGCTATGGGAGTGGAGAGAGATTGTCAGAGATGGTTCTAGAAACTTCTAGACAGTGAGACTGGATGAAGAGCACATGTTAGTTAATTCAGGTGGAAGATTGGAAGTGTTATTGGTATTTGTGCTACACAAACTTCATGAGGTGGTTAGAAATTCAGTGGTAGAGATGTACATTTGGATTCAACAGGTTCAACAAATGCTAACTAACTGCTATGTCTACTTCACAAAAGGCACGCATGAGTAGTTACTGTTCATCCTTCAGGGTACAAGCAAAGCTGTCATTGTGCAACACCTGGTTCACAATGGATATATTTTGGGTCAAAGGATACACACACACACACACACACACACACACACACACAATTTTCTAGAAAGAAAAGTGAAGTGTAGGAGGCAGTCTGGACAGTTCACATTAAAACTGTCAAAAACAAAGAAAAAGAAGTAGACAGTAACAAGGGCTGTGGGAACGGAACAAATCTATAAAATTTAAATAGAATGCATGATTCCTAAATCATAAAGTTCTTATAAACAAATAATAATAAAAATGTATCACCTTTTAAAAACTTATTTCTTTTAGAGACAGGATCTTGCTATGTTGGTTAGTTTGGTCTTGAACTCTTGGCCTCAAGCAATCCTCCCGCCCCGGCCTCCCAAAGTGCTAGGATTACAGAGTTGAGCCAGTACACCCAGCCTGTATAGCCTTTTATATACATAAAAGGCAAAGGAAATAGGCAGGCTATTCAAAATGAAAACAAATGGACATAAAGTATAGGAAAAAGGCCCAACTTTGCAGATAGTGAAACATATATAGTTAAGGAGATAGAACTTCTTGCTCAGCAAAAGAGAAGAGATGTGGGAGGCTGACATACCCATTGTTCAGAAGGCTCTGGAAAATATAGTTTCCAGGCACCGTTGATAGGAGTAGAAATAAATACAACCTTTCTGCAGGGCAGCCTGGCCTTGTGTATCACAGTTCAAGTGTGCATCCTTTTTGATCCAGCAATTCCACTTCTGCTTATCCCAACGTCAGACTAGATTGAGTGTGCACTTTTCAGTTTGTTTCGTATAACCAGTTGGTCAAAAGGTTAATTATGATGCATCAGTACTATGGAACTCTAGGCTGCCGTGAAAAAAAAATATGTGGCCATCCTTAGTGAATAATGTAAATATGTGACACAGGCAACATATGAGCAGTATAATAACAATATATTGATAATTCAAAATAAGGTTCCAAAATAGAATATATAGCCTGAGCCCACAGACACAAAATTGTGTGTGCATAGCAAGCTGTCTATAATGGCGGGTACTTGTCATGACTTGTAGCCTTTTTTCTTTTTTTTGAGATGGAGTCTTGCTCTGTCACCCAGGCTGGAGTGCAGTGGCACAATCTAGGCTCACTGCAGCCTCCACCTCCCAGGTTCAAGCAATTCTCCTGCCTTAGCCTCCCAAGTAGCTGGGACTGCAGGCGCGCGCCGCCATGCCCGGCTAGTTTTGTATTTTTAGTAGAGACAGGGTTTCTCCACGTTGGCTAGGCTGGTCCTGAACTCCCAACCCCAGGTGATCCGCCCGCCTCGGCATCCCAAAGTGCTGGGATTACAGGCATGAGCCACTGCGCCCGGCCTTCTACGTCTCTTTCTGTATTTCTCAAATTATCTATATGAATGCATGTTAACTTCATATTTGGGAAAGGAAAGTAAATCTCTTCATTTCAGAAAAAAATATTTAAAAGTCGTGAAACTCCAAGGGAAAACTCAAGAATCAGTCCCTTGTATTAACTCCATAATGAACAGATTTCCTTTTGTGGCCTTTCTCTTTTATGATTTTTCTGCATGGTTTTAGGATTTCTAGGGTGACATTTTATATCTGAGAGTAGACTCAATAATGAAATAAAATATTTGACTATGATTTGATTTCTCCATTAATAAAAGGACCAAAATTGCTTTTTTAGTTATATAGAATATCCTCTGAGACCTATGCATAATAAAAGTACTTGTCTACACGTTTCCTGAAAATATGTACATCTATTATATATCAGTTTAAACATTTTAAAAGTGATGTCTAGGCCGGGCGTAGTGGCTCACACCTGTAATCGCAGCACTTTGGGAGGCCGGGGTGGTGTGGGATCACTTGAGCCCAGGAGTTTGAGACCACCCTGGACAACATAGTGAGACTTTGTCTTTACAAAAAATAAAAAAATTAGCAGGGTGTGGTGGAGCCTGCTTGTGGTCCCAGCTACTCAGGAGGTTAAGGTGGGAGGATTGCTCAAACCCAGAACATCAAGGCCACGGTGAACTATGGTTGTACCACTGCACTCCAGTCTGGGCAACAGAGCGAGACTCTGTCTCAAAAAATAAACAAACAAACAACAAACAAACAAAAAAGTAATTGTCTATATAGAACAACTGTTTTTATTTAAATAATTTGTAATATGGGCGCATAACATGTGCATCTACATCAGATGGTAATCAGTGTTCTGTCTCTTTCCCACATTCAGATGTATCAGAATGTGGATGGCCGTGTTTCGGAATGTCCTCACACCTACCAAAACAGGCGACCTTTCAGCAGAGAGATGGATTTGGGGCTACTCTCTCCGCAGGCTCAGGTCGAAGATTCGTAGAGGAACAATTTAGTTTTAAGGACTTCATCCCTCCACCTATCCCTAACAGGCTGTAGATTACCAAAACAAGATTAATTTCATCACTAAAAGAAAATCTATTATCAACTGCTGCTTCACCAGACTTTTCTCTAGAAGCTGTCTGCGTTTACTCTTGTTTTCAAAGGGACTTTTGTAAAATCAAATCATCCTGTCACAAGGCAGGAGGAGCTGATAATGAACTTTATTGGAGCATTGATCTGCATCCAAGGCCTTCTCAGGCTGGCTTGAGTGAATTGTGTACCTGAAGTACAGTATATTCTTGTAAATACATAAAACAAAAGCATTTTGCTAAGGAGAAGCTAATATGATTTTTTAAGTCTATGTTTTAAAATAATATGTAAATTTTTCAGCTATTTAGTGATATATTTTATGGGTGGGAATAAAATTTCTACTACAGAATTGCCCATTATTGAATTATTTACATGGTATAATTAGGGCAAGTCTTAACTGGAGTTCACGAACCCCCTGAAATTGTGCACCCATAGCCACCTACACATTCCTTCCAGAGCACGTGTGCTTTTACCCCAAGATACAAGGAATGTGTAGGCAGCTATGGTTGTCACAGCCTAAGATTTCTGCAACAACAGGGGTTGTATTGGGGGAAGTTTATAATGAATAGGTGTTCTACCATAAAGAGTAATACATCACCTAGACACTTTGGCGGCCTTCCCAGACTCAGGGCCAGTCAGAAGTAACATGGAGGATTAGTATTTTCAATAAAGTTACTCTTGTCCCCACAGTCCCCTTCATTTTATTTTTATTTATTTGTTTGTTTATTTAATGTTTTAGTGACAGGGTCTCACCCTGTCTCCCAGGCTGGAGTGGAGTGGTGAGATCACAGCTCACTGCAGCCTGAAACTCCTGGCCTCAAGCGATCCTCCCACCTCAGCCTCCTGAGTGGCTGGGACTACAAGCACAGGCCACCACGCCCAGCTAATTTTTAAAATTTTTTGTAGAGATAGTGTCTTGCTATGCTGTGCAGGCTGGTCACAAATTCTTGGCCTCAAACAGTCCTCTTGCCTCAGCCTCCTAAAGTGCTGGGATTACAGGTGTGAGCCATGGCGACCAGCCCTCTTTGTCCTTTGAAGCTTAGCACCCTCCATCCTGTAGGCTTATGAACTTGGTTTGTGCCCCCGCCCCGCCCACCTCCGCTTACACGACAGGTGCCACCAAATTCTGCCTCTTCTTTCTCCTCCACCTCCTGTTGCATGTAGTGGTGAGGGACAAGGGATCTGGAACCGGTCAGCCCAGGTTGGAATTCTCTTTTCACCTGGCCTTAGCTGTGTCATTGGGGCAAGTAACTCAACTTCTCTAGCCTCAGTTTCCTTTTCTGAAAAATGGGACACTAATGGCATCTCTTTTATAGAGTTGCTGGAATAATTAGATGAATTAAATATATACGTAGCTTAGAAATATAGAAATATAGAACATAAACATATACATCATGTAGATCAATGCCTGGCACCTCAGTGTGACCTAATAGCATCATTTGTGCCTTCCTTTATAGTTTTAATCCTTTGCCTAGTACCAGGTCACCATAAACTCCCTTAGATTACCAGTCCTTTTAATGGCAGCAGCGGCCCATCTGGAGTGGCCACTGCAAAGATGCCAGCTGCAGTGTGGGAGCCACAGGGGCTGTGCGCTCCGTGGAGCTAGTGGGAGCCCCGCCCCCTTTTGAGATGGCAGGGCGGGAGCCCCACCCTCCTGGGAGCAGCTGCCACCAGACTAGCGGTGGCTGCAGACTTAGACGTCCCTGCGCTCCCGGCCGGGGAAGCCCTTCCTGCCCCCACTGCTCACAAGTGTCTGCTCTTGCTGCCTGGCCTCTTCCCACTCCTGGTGGCACTCAGATTTTTGAGCAAAGTTGAGGCTGAGCTCCCCCACTGTCGCCGCCCTGCCAGGTGTGTGCGCACTTAGGGTGGCGCTGACATGCCAGCTCCCTGCTGCCTTGGCCCCCTCTGGACTTTGGACACCGACCAGCACAGGAGGGAGGCCAAGCCGGGGCTGAGGGTGGCTAGGCATGGGTCTGCAGGTGCCCCTCAGCAGGAACAGTCTAGGCACCGTGGATGACATAATCGATGGTAGCGGGAGGCAGATAGGCTCCTGGGCAGAAGGAGTCAGGTCCCCAGTGAAGCCCCACCTTCAAGCCAGGGACTGCCCGAAGCATGGGGGCCAAGCTGTCAGTTCCGGGTGGGGTCCCCAGCAGGGAGTGAGAAATTCTGGTGCTTTTTCGCTGGCCCATGCACCAACAATCGGCATGCACTTTCTCCTTTCTGAAGCCCATTAACCTCCCCACTCCCCGCACCCACCTCCCTGACCCCCACAACTCAGCCAGATTTGCAGAGACCTCAGGACAACTTGCCTGTGGAAGGGAGCTACCCACTTCAGGTCTCCTGAGAGCTGTTCTGTTGCTCAGTGAAGCTCCTCCCTGCCTTGTTCACCCTCCACATGTGCGAGTACCTCATTCTTCCTGGACACTGGACAAGAACTTCGGACCCACTGAATGATGGGACTGAAAGAACTGTAACAACCTGGTGACAAGGGAAGAAGACGTGGCCCTTCAGGGGGCCCAGACCTCGAGCTCCCCAAGCCAGGGCTCTGACAGCCTCTTTGGGGCTCTGTGGTTCCTGGCGTCTCCAAGCTGCCAGGCCACCGTGTTCCCCTTGTCCAGACATGGATGCCTGCAGCAGAAGCGGCATGTGTTATATCTAACCCAGCTGTAGCCTCACCCTGAGCTGGCACCTGTGCCAGTGCCTGGAGCTGCCCACCCCGCTGCAGCAGCCAGCGTGCCTGGCTGCACACAGTGGTCGGACCCTTGGTCACTAACCCACGCACCCCTCCTGGCTCTGCGCCTGGCTCGCCCTTGGCAGGTGTGGGATCTGGGCCCATATTGCAAGCTGAGCCAGACTGCTGGGCTGAGTGGGTGGAATAAGCCCAGAGGCTGCGAGCAATACTCAGGCAGAAGGCATCGCGAGCCACAAAGGTTTCCAGCTGGCAAAGCAACACCCCAAGGATCCTGTGACTCCTTCCTCACCTAACTCTTCCTCCAATCTCTCCACCATTCAGTGTTTTCTCTAAGCCACTGCCAGGTTCATCTTCCTAAAGTACTGATTTGCATATGTCGCTGCCTGCAGGGCTTCCTGGGATCTAGCAGCTAGTTCCCAGGGTCTAGCAGCAAAAGCCACACTCTCTTCCTAGCACTCCATGCACCCACAGCCTGGCCTCAGCATTGCTCAGCACTGGCTGCTTAGCCTGTCCCTCTAGCGAGTGTGTCTTGAACATTCCCACCTCTGGTTTTCCTCTCCTTGGAATGTCAACTTCTGCTCTTCCTAGTTACATCCTTGCTTCCTGACCAGACTTCAGCTCTTTCTTCTCCTTCAGGTCTTCGCCAGTTTCCGAGCCCATGAGTGACGGCTTCCTGCACTGAAATGTAAGGGCTTCTGGTCTGTATCTCAATGTAGAGCCTGCCTACCTTATGCTGTTATTTATCTTCTTAAGTAAATGTCCTGTCTTCTTAACAGGATTTTAAGAAGTTTGAAAGCAGATATGATTTATGCCAAGTTGTATGCTTAACTCTGATTTGGGTATACAGTCAAGATACAATAAGTATACATAGTCAATCACTTTTTTACCTACTCAAGTAAAAACATAAAATACGCTTGATGTTAAAAATCAAATCATTTTGACCCGGCGCAGTGGCGCAGTGGCTCACGCCTGTAATCCCAGCACTTTGGGAGGCTGAGGCAGGTGGATCACCAGGTCAGGAGTTCAAGACCAGCCTGGCCAAGACAGTGAAACCCCCTCTCTACTAAAAAATACAAAAATTAGCCAGGCGTGGTGGCAGGTGCCTGTAATCCCAGCTACTTGGGAGCCTGAGGCAGAGAATTGTTTGAACCCAGGAGACGGAGGTTGCAGTGAGCCGAGATCATGCCACTGCTCTCCAGCCTGAGCGACAGAGCGAGACTCTGTCTCAAAAAAAAAAAAAAAAATAAACTATTTTTTATTTTTACCTATAATAATAAGTGGGACCTTTTATTTGTACAACCCAAATCCCAAAATACTACTTCGGGAAAACTACTGATAAAGTTTGAGGTATTGGCTGGATGCAGTGGTTCATGCCTGTAATCTCAGCACTTTAGGAGGCGGAGATGGGAGGATCACTTGAGGCCAAGAGTTCAAGACCAGCCTGGGCAATGTGGTGAGAGACCCCCATCTCTACAGAAATTAAAAAAAAAAACGTAAAAACTAGCTGGGAGTGGTGGTGTGTATCCATAGTCCCAGCTACTTGGGAGGCTATGGTGGGAGGATTGCTCAAAGGAGTTCAAGGCTGTGGTGAGCCATGATCACACCATTGCACTCCAGCCTGGGCTACAGAGTGAGACCCTGTCTCTGAAAAAATAAAAAAGTTTGAGGTATATTTCCCCCATCTTCTTGTTAAATATATTTACATGGCAGGGCACAGTAGCTCACACCTGTAATCCCAGCACTTTGGGAAGCCGAGGCAGGTGGATCACCTGAGGTTGG
Organism: Homo sapiens; assembly: GCF_000001405.40. Taxonomy (NCBI): domain Eukaryota; kingdom Metazoa; phylum Chordata; class Mammalia; order Primates; family Hominidae; genus Homo; species Homo sapiens. The sequence goes on along the minus strand of NC_000013.11, from coordinate 27,999,491 downwards.
GAGTTTGAGACCAGCCTGACCAACATGGAGAAACCCCGTCTCCACTAAAAATACAAAATTAGCGGGGCATGGTGGCGCATCCCTGTAAATCCCAGCTACTTGGGAGGCTGAGGCAGGAGAATCACTTGAATCCAGGAGGTGGAGGTTGTGGTGAGCCGAGATGGAGCCATTACACTCCAGCCTGGGCAACAAGAGCAAAACTCCATCTCAAAAAAATATATATATATGTATGTATATTATATACATATAAATATATATATTTATATACATATATATATGTATATACATATAAATATAAATATATATATGTATATACATATAAATATAAATATATATGTATATACATATAAATATAAATATATATATGTATATAAATATTATATATATTTATATGTATATACATATATATTTATATGTATATACATATATATTTATATGTATATACATATATATATGTATATACATATATTTATATGTATATAAATATATATTTATATGTATATAAATATATATTTATATGTATATACATATATTTATATGTATATAAATATATATTTATATGTATATAAATATATATTTATATGTATATAAATATATATAACATATATTTATATATAAATATATATATATTTTTATATATGTATATAAATATATATATTTATATGTATATAAATATATATAAATATATATAACATATATTTATGTATATATAACATATATTTATATATAAATATATATATTTATATATATATAACTGCACACACATAGTTACATATACACACACACACACATCTTTTTTATGTAAATGAAATCATACTGGCTATATTGTCAGACATGCCTTTTATTCTTTACAATGTGTCAATATTTGCCCAATATGTGTATCTGTGAAGGGCTTGTTATGTGCAGGGAACTAGATGTGTGTTATCTCATTTAATCTTCCTAACTACCTTATGAATTAGGTTCTAAACTTATACCAATTTTTTCTGAGGAAATTGAAACTTGAGCTAATAACTTGCTGTCTCCAGTCCCCTGTTAACACTTACCTTGAGATGACTGTTGGGTTCTACTATTATGTGATTTTCTGTATTTCCTTACTTTTCTTTCTTAGCTTTTTGTAATTCTCATTTTGTCTCTTTTTATCATATCTGTCTATTTTTTATTGTGGTAAAAAAACCCACATAAAATGTACAACCTCTTAAGGAGAAATGAAAATCAACTCTTATTAAACCAAATTCTTACCACAGATTCTATTTCAGTTTGGGTCAAGTTTTGTACCTGACATAACTACCTATTTTTAACACCGAGGAGGAATGCAACTTGCTGTTCCTACATAGGCTGTTGCTGCACAAGGGCAGCCCTTTCCACTAGGCCTTTGTAGTAATCTTGCCAGCAGCTGGCGCCCTAGCACTTCTTTAAAAAATTGATCTCAGGCCCTAGGCCTGACTTCGCGACTACGCCCTGCCTGCCCCTGGAAAGGCAGATTTTAAGTAGCAGAATGAAAGAAAAAGCCAATCCGCTGATTCGAAGGAAAACAACCCTCTATGCAGATAGCTTCAATTCATTTCTTCAGTATTCAGTTGGGTTTTAAAAGTTTTATTTTAAACTGACAAATAATAATTGTATCTACTTATGGGGTACAATGTGATGTTTCAATACATGTAAACATTGTGGGATGATGAAGTCAGGGTAATTAGTATATCCATCGCCTCAAATATTTATTTATTTATGATTATTATCATTTTTTGAGATGGAGTCTTGCTCTTTCGCCCAGGCTGGAGTGCAGTGGTGTGATCTCTGTTCACTGCAACCTCCGCCTCCTGGATTCAAGTGATTCTCATGGCCTCAGTCTCCCGAGTAGCTGGGATTACAGGTGTGTGCCACCACGCCCAGCTAATTTTTGTATTTTTAGTAGAGACGAGGTTTCACCATGCTGGCCAGGCTGCTCTCGAACTCCTGACCTCAGGTGATCTAATTGCCTCAGCCTTCCAAAGGGCTAGGATTACAGGTGTGAGCCACCACGCCCGGCCTCAAATATTTATTATTTATTTGTGGTGAGAACATTTAAAACCCTGTGTTTTCGCCATTTTGGAGTATACAATACATTCCTATTAACTACAGTCATTGTGTTGTACAATAGAACACCAGAGCTTATGCCTGCTGTCTAACGGAAACTTTGGACCCTTTGACAAACTTCTCCCCTCACCTCTCCCCCACATCTTGCCCGCCCCAGCCTCTGGTAACCAACATTTGACTCTACTTACATGCTTCAACTTTTTTAGATTCCACACCTAAGTGAGATCATACAATATTTGCCTGTCTCTGTCTGCCTTATTCCAATTAACACAATGTCCTCTAGATTCATCCATGTTATCATAAAGGACAGAATTTCCTGTTTTTTAAAGGCTGAGTAGACCGAGGCTGGTGGCTCATGCCTGTAATCCCAGCACTTTGGGAGGCCAAGGTGGGTGGATCACCTAAGGTCAGGAGTTTGAGACTAGCCAGGCCAACATGGCGAAATCCCATCTCTACTAAAAATACAAGAATTAGCTGGGTACAGTGGTGGGTGCCAGTAATCTCAGCTACTCTGGAGGCTGAGGCAGGAGGATTACTTGAACCTGGGAGGTGGAGGTTGCAATGAGAGGAGATCGTGCCATTGCACTCTAGCCTGGGCAACAAGAGCGAGACTCTGTCTCAGAAAAAAAATAAATAAATAAGGCTAAGTAGTTTCTATTGTGTATACATACTATATTTTAAAAATCCATTCATCTGTTGCTGGACACTGAGATTGTTTTTATATCTTGGCTATTGTGAATAGTGCTGCAATGAGCATGGTTGTGCAGACATCTCTTTCACATACTGATTCCAATTCTTTTGGACATATACCCAGTGGATTACTGGATCATATGGTGAGTCTATTCTTAGTTTTTTGAGGATCCTCCATACTGTCTTCCAAAATGGCTGTATTAATTTACATTCTCATCAACAGTGCATAACGGTTTCTGTCATCTTTTTATAATAGCCGATCTAACAGGTGTAAGGTGGTATTTCATTATGGTTTTAATTTGCATCTCTCTCTTTCTCTCTCTCTTCTTTCTTTTTTTTTTTTTAAGTGAAATTTTGTTCTTGTTGCCCAAGCTGGAGTGCAATGGTGCGATCTTGGCTCACTGCAACCTCTGCCTCCCGGGTTCAACCGATTCTCCTGCCTCAGCCCCCCAAGTAGCTGGGATTACAGGCGAGCACCACCAGCCTGGCTAATTTTTTGTGTTTTTAGTAGAAACAGGGTTTCACCATGTTAGCCAGGCTGGTCTCAAACTCCTGACCTCAGGGATCCACCTACCTCGGCCTCCCAAAGTGCTGGGATTACAGGCATGAGCCACCACACCCGGTCATCATCTCTCTTTTTTTTAATTTTTATTTTTTGAGACAGGGTCTCACTCTGTTGCCCAGGCTGGAGCACAGTGGTGAGATCTCAGCTTACTGCAGCCTCAACCTCCTGGGCTCAGGTAATTCTCCCACCTCAGCCTCCCAAGTACCTGGAACTACAGGCATGTGTCACCATGCCTGGCTAATTTTTTGTGTGTGTATTTTTATTAGAGATGGGGTTTCACATGTTCCCCAGGCTGGTCTTGAACTCCTGAACTCAAGCAATTTGCCTGCCTTGGCCTCCCAAAGTGCTGGGATTACAGGTGTGAGCCACCATGCCCAGCCTGCATTTATCCCTCTCTCTCTCTCTCTTTTTTTTTTTTAATACATTGTTGCTGGCTTGAACTGCATTTCTCTTATAATTAGTGATGTTGAACATTTTTTCATATATCTGTTGGTCATCTGTATGTTTTCTTTTGAGAGATGTCTATTCAAGCCCTTAGCACCCTCCCCCTTTTTTTTGAGACAGTCTTGCTCTGTCTCCCAGGCTGAAGTGTAGTGGCACCATCTCAGCTCACCACAACCTCTGCCTCCTAGGTTCAAGCGATTCTCCTGCCTCAGCCTCCTGAGTAGCTGGGATTACAGGCACGTGCCACCATGCACAGCTAATTTTTGTATTTTTAGTAAAGGCGGGGTTTTGCCATGTTGGCCAGGCTGGTCTTGAACTCCCGACCTCAAATGATCCACCCACCTCGGCTTCCCAAGGTGCTAGGATTACAGGCATGAGCCACTTGTGCCTGGCCCTTCATTTTCTCTTCTTTCATTCTCTTCAGCTTCTCATGAAAGACTTCCACAGTAACAGACTTAGCTGAACTCCTCTGCCACTCCCTTTATATTTTTTTGTCAAAAAGAAATGATCAACTGGGTGCGGTGGCTCACTCCTGTAATCCCAGCACATTGGGAAGTGGAGGCAGGCGGATCACTTGAGGTCAGAAGTTTGGTCTGGTCAACATGGCGAAACCCTGTCTCTATTAAAAATACACAATTTAGCCAGGTGTGGTGGTGCATGCCTGTAATCCTAGCTACTTGGGAGGCTAAGGCACAAGAATCGCTTGAACCTGGGAGGTGGAGGTTGCAGTGAGCCAAGATCACACCATTGCACTCCAGCCTGGGTGACAAGAGCAAGACTCCGTCTCCAAAAAAAAAAAAAAAAAAAAAATCTATCATTGTTTACATTTGATTCTGTCGATGCTGCGGTCACCATCAGCAACAGAAATAAAAAGTGGGAGGAGTTACCACCTAAAAAATACACATCTGTTTTTTAGCTCCTAGGGGGTCCAACATGTATTAAATTCCAAATTATCTTAATGAGAGACAAAAAGGCTTTGGTGAATTTTTTGTGGCAAAATAAACATAACATAAAATTCACCATCTTAACCACTTTTCAGTGCACAGTTTGGTGGTATTAAGGACATTCATGTTGTTGTGCAACCATCATTGCTATCCCGCTCCAGAACTTTTTCATCTTGGAAAACTAAAACCATGTGCCCATTAAACCCCTTCCCACTTCTCCCTTCCTCCAGCCCCTCACCACCGCCACCCACTGTCTCTCTGAATCTGACTACTCTAGGCACCTCTTGTAAGTGGAATCATGCAGTGTTTGTCTTTTTGTGACTGGCTTATTGCACCTGGCATAATGTCCTCCAGGTTTGCTTTGATGAACTCTTTTATTGGTAACATACTCTGTGCTAAAGGCCTCATACAGATTGTCCCATTTAACAAATCATGAGGTAGGAACTTGCTCTGTAGGAGTTTAACAGATGGTGAAACCAAGGCTTAAGGCGGTTAAATCACTTGTACATGGAGCCAGTACCTGCCGGGCATGACCTGGAACCCATGCCTGCCCAGCTCCTGGTGGTCACACGATGTGGCATCCCTTCGGGGCCCCTCCCACCTGTACTTCATCTTGCTTGGCTCAGTCACCCGGCCAGTGAAGGGGTCTGGTAATAGCAGAACAAATGAGTTCCAATTTCTAATTTGCCTCAAACTGAAGATGTATATACCTGGAAGTGATTTGTCTTTCTTGTATCTTATCCAAAAACTATTTCTACATAAGCTCCAATCATGAAAAGTGAATGGCTATAGTTGAGGAGAACAGATACAGATGTATGAAATGTTCTGTTTTGTTTTTTTGAGATGGGATGGGGGTTTCAATCTGTTGCCTGGTGTCGGGTGGTGCGATCATGATGCACTGCAGCGCTGACCTCCTGGGCTCAGGCAATCTTCCTGCCTCAGCCACCACATCTGGCTAATTTTTAAATTATTATTATTTTTTAATAGAGATGGAGTCTCTCCATGTTGCCCAGGCTGGTCTCAAACTCCTAGGCTCAAGCAATCCTCCCACTTCAAAGTGCTGGGATTACAGGCATGAACCACCACACCTGGCCACATGTTGTTTGTTTGTGTATATGTGGTGTTTTTGTGTTTGTTTGGTTGGTTTTTTTTTTTTTTTAGATGGAGTTTCACTCTGTTGCCCAGGCTGGAATGCAGTGGCGCGATCTCGGCTCACTGCAACCTCTGCCTCCCGGGTTTAAGTGATTCTCGTGCCTCAGCCTCCCAAGTAGCTGAGACGACAGGTGCCCACCACCACGCCTGGCTAATTTTTGTATTTTTAGCAGAGATGGGGTTTCACTATGTTGGCCAGGCTGGTCTCAAATTGCTGACCTCAGATGATCTACCCTCCTTGGTCTCCCAAAGTGCTGGGATTACAGGCATGAGCCACGGTGCCCAGCATTTTTTTTTTTTTTTTTGAAGCAGGGTCTTGTTCTTGTTCTGTTACCCACTTACCCACGCTGGAGTGCAGTGGTACGATCGTAACTCACCGTAAGCTTGAATTCCTGGGCCCAAGCCATCCTCTCACCTCAGCCTATAAAAATGCTGATATTACAGATGTAACCACTATGTCCAGCCTGAAATGTTTCAACTAAAAAATGAAATAAAAATTTGATTTTACCTATTTAAGAACTTTCTCTATGTGCTGCTAAAACAGTCTCTTAACAAAATTATAATAAGGTCAAATATATTCAGCAACCATAACATAAGACTCATATATTGTGTGGTTAAACAAAAATTATGAGGCCACATCAGTATATAATTTAGCTTAAAAAACAGTTTTATTGATATATAATTTACATAGCATACAATTGTACACTAAATTATAATGTACAATTTAATAAATTAGCTTTTTGGTTGGATGAAAATTGCTTTACTTCCTGACCACCTTACATTTCTTTGGTCGATTTGGCTGATGAGAACCAAACAGGAAAAGTTAAGCCCAGAGTACATTTGTGACATGGACTGTCAAATTCCACATTAATAATGCATTTGTTTGGTTTTTGTCAATGTTGCTTCTAAACCCATGACTATTTAATTTTGTAACCTTTTGTGTCTTAAAAGTTTCTATGTTAGTGAATCATTTGGAATTCCATTGTTTTGTGATAGATATAACAAAGTAAGAGGAGGTTAGGTGTCCAGTCTGGTGGAGTAGCATCAGGGGTGTAGCCATTCCCACTGCTTGTGCCAGCGTGTCCCTGAGCCAAAGGCGTTTCATCTCACAAATTCAGATGTCTCTCTCCTGCTGCAGACGAACTGAGCCCCCCAGCCCCAAGGTGCAGGCAGGAGCTCTCACAGCCCCAGAGACCCTCAGTGTGTGGAGGAAGTGGGAGGGTGGTTCATGCACAGGGGGTGAGCCTTCAGAAGTCAAAGAGTAGCGGCCCAGGGTCTCTTCATCCTCAGCACTGCTCTGCCTTCCCCTCCCACTCACCACGACCCCTGGGACGAGGGACACCTATGTGGCTGGAGGCCTGGGCAGAGCAGTGGTACGGGCCCCGACACAGATTCTACCTTCCCTGGTCCCACAGGCCAGCCCGCAAATTAACTGAGGCTGGAGGTGGCAGCAGAGGGAAAAAGAAAACAAACAGATACTGGGCTGTTGGACTATATCTGTGGCAAAGCATGCCTAGACAAGGAAAAGAGGATGTGACTCTGCTGGCAGAAGGGAAAAAAAGAAAATCCTGTGGCAGTCCAGCGGAGAGACTGCACACAGAAGATGTGTTAGCCAACACCTATGAAGCGCTCTGAGACAGGAACCGTCTGAGCACTTTGGTATATTAATTTGTTTAATCTTTGCAAAACTCCCTGAGGCAAATAGTATTTTTTCTTTTTCTTTTTCTTTTTTCTTTCTTTTCTTTTCTTTCTTTTTTTTTTTTGAGACAGAATCTTGTTCTATTGTCCAGGCTGGAGTGCAGTGGTGCAATCTCAGCTCACTGCAACCTCCGCCTTTTGGGTTCAAGTGATTCTCCTGCCTCAGCCTCCTGAGTAGCTGGGATTACAGGCACGCACCACCACTCCCGGCTAATTTTTGTATTTTTAGTAGAGACGGGGTTTCACCATGTTGGCCAGGCTGTTCTCGAACTCCTGACTTCAGGTGATCCACCCGCCTTGGCCTCCCAAAGTGCTGGGATTACAGGCGTGAGCCACTGCGCTTGGCCATAAATACTATTATTATCCTCATTTTACAGATGAGGAAACTTATATATAGAAAAGTTCGAGAACTTGTCACATGTCACACAATAGGTGGTGGAGCTGGGATCACAACCCAGGTGGTGGCTCCCGAGTCCAAGCTCACTATGCTGTGCTGCACGGCCAGAAACAGCATACACGCTGCGTGATTCCATATACATATACCTATACCTACACCTATACCTACACCTATACCTATACCTATACCTATACCTATACCTACACCTATACATATACATATACCTATACCTATACCTATATATATACATATACCTACACCTATACATATACATATACCTACACCTATACCTATACATATACATATACCTATACCTATACATATACATATACATATACCTATACATATACCTACACCTACACCTATACATATACATATACATATACCTATACCTATACCTATACCTATACATATACCTACACCTATACATATACATATACCTACACCTATACCTATACATATACCTATACCTATACATATACATATACATATACCTATACATATACCTACACCTACACCTATACATATACATATACCTATACCTATACCTATACCTATACATATACATATACATATACCTATACCTATACATATACCTACACCTATACCTATACCTATACATATACCTATACATATACCTATACCTATACATATACCTATACCTATACCTATACCTATACCTATACCTATACCTACACCTACACCTATACATATACCTATACCTATACCTATACCTACACCTACACCTACACCTACACCTACACCTATACCTATACCTATACCTATACCTATACCTATACATATACCTATACATATACGCACACAGAGGTATACACTGTAGAAGTGTTAACCCTTCTTTCCTTATATTTCAATAGAAGGCCAGTCATGCTGGAACTTCTGGCACCAGATTTATCCCCTTTGAAAAGCAAGTTTTAGCAGCTACTTTTTAAGAGATGAGGGCTCGGTTGGTTAGTCCTGACCCGATGGGCCAGGTAGTCAAGGAGAGGTGCCAGCTGGGGAAGAGTCTGTAGACTTAGGACGAAAATAATGGCTGCTGGTAGATCACATGGGTACGGTTGTTGTTTGCCTTTCACAGACCATAGGAGCACATGAGACTGGTTTATGAATCCTAATATGGTTGTTCTCTCATTGAATTTTTGTTTTTTGAGAGAAGGTCTCATTATGCTGCCCAGGCTGGCCTGGACCTTCTGGGCTCAAGCAATTCTCCTGCCTCGGCCTCCTGAGTAGCTGGGGCTACAGGCACATGCCACCTTACCTGGTTCATTGATTTTTTATTCAAATGAAAGCAAATGTGTAACTGGTATGGCTTTGGGAAATGTTTGCATTTGTAGTTCTAAAGGGAGATAGCAGTAATGTGTTTATTTGTCAATTCTGACCCCTTCTTTTCTTTGACTTTACCTGGCACATTATTTTGTTTTGTGTATACCTGGAAGACATTAGTACGTGAAATCTAATCTATGTGGTTAGCTAACTGGCCAACCAATTCATCCCATAGTGCTTCTTTCATGCCTACCGTAGGCACAGCTCTTGTCAGCCAGGATACAGAGGCAACAAGACACACTGGTCTCCAGGCTTCTGGAATATGTCCCGGCTGAGAACCGACATACAAGTAAATACATACAAGAAGCAACATAGACACAGATATTTTCAAGAAGAAAATAACTCCTAATGGGGTTTGAGAGACTATTGAGAATGGGGCAGAATTATTCCTTAGACATTTTGTCCTGCTTAATGAGCATTTATTAAGTACTTGTTGTGTTAAGCATCTGGCATACACAGACTGAGAAAAACATAGTACCTGTCCTTAACAGCAGCAATAACAATAGTTAGGAAATCAAGTTCCAAGTGGGTTGACCCGTGGACCTGGCTAAATTATCAGGGAAAATGTCCTGCGGTGATGATGACATTAAAGTGTTAATAACAGCCAGACGCGGCTGTAGTCCCAGCTACTCGGGAGGCTAAGGCAGGTGGATCACTGGAGTCCAGGAGTTCCGGGCTGTAGTGCGCTCTGCCGATCAGGTGACTGCACCAAGTTCGGCATCAATCTGATGTCCTCCAGGAAGACCGGAGCCACCAGATTGCCCAGGGAGCGGTGAACTGGCCCAGGTTGGAAAGAGAACAGGTCAAAACTCCACTGCTGATCAGTAGTGGGATTGTGCCTATGAATAGCCACTGCACTCCAGCTTGGACAACCTAGGCAGAACCTATCTCAAATAATAACAATATAATAATTACCTGTAATTCCAGCACTTTGCGAGGCCGAGGCAGGTGGATTACTTGAGGTCAGGAGTTCGAGACCAGCCTGGCCAACATGGTGAAACCCTGTTTCTACTAAAACAAACAAACAAACAAACAAACAAAACCAAAAACATAAACTTAGCTGGATGTGGTGGCAAATGCCTGTAATCCCAGCTACTCAGGAGGCTGAGATAGGCAAATCGCTGGAACCCAGGGGGTGGAGGTTGTAGTGAGCTGAGATTGCACCACTGTGCTCCAGCCTGGGTGACAGAGCTAGACACCAAAAAAAAAAAAAAAAAAAAAAAAGCCTAACAACATGAAAAACAAATCTGGCTCTAATGCTTAGAGTGAAATATGGCCCCTGCTGCCTTTGATTATGGGAATGGTTTGGTTGGAAACATTGACCATGCAGAGATCTCTGCTCCCTGGATTAGAACCTTAAGCCTGTGCTTGTTCATTACACAAGTATTCTGGATCTGCTTCTCCCAAAGGCATTTAAAACACGCGAAGGTGGTGTTGCGTAAACAGCAAGCTCTTGTGTTCAGCAGATATAACCGAGTGAGCCGAGACAGCGTCACTCACTCACCGAGAGGGGAGCTGGACGTCCCGCTGTCTCCAGTGGAATACAAGGAATGGACATTGAGAAGGTCAACTCCATGGACCTTGGAGAATTCGTGGATGTGTTTGGGAATGCCACTGAGAGATGTCCTCTGATTGCAGCTGCTGTTTGGTCCCAGCGGCCATTCTCTGATTTGGAAGATTTAGAGAAGCACTTTTTTGCCTTTATTGATGCCCTTGCACAGTCAGGTAAGGCTTCCGTATCAGACATTCTCTGCAAAGGGATTTCAAATATGCTTGTTAAAATATTTTTAGATACTGGCCAGGAATGGTGGCTCACACCTGTAATCCCAGCACTTTGGGAGGCTGAGATGGGAGGATCACTTGAGCCCAGGAATTTGAGACCAGTCTAGGCAACATGATGAGATCTGTTGCTACAAAAATTGCTTTTAGGCCGGGCGTGTTGGTGGCTCACGCCTGTAATCCCAGCACTTTGGGAGGCCGAGGTGGGTGGATCACAAGGTCAGGAGATCGAGACCATCCTGGCCAACATGGTGAAACCCCATCTCTACTAAAATACAAAAAATTAGCCAGGCGTGGTGGCACGTGCCTGTAGTTCCAGCTATTCGGGAGGCTGAGGCAGGAGAATCGCTTGAGCCTGGGAAGCGGAGATTGCAGTGAGCCAAAATTTCACCACTGCACTCCAGCCTGGTGGCAGAGCAAGACTATGTCTCAAAAAACAAAACAAAAAACAACAAAAAAAGTTGTTTTTAAAAATCTATCTATCTATCTATCTATCTATCTATCTATCTATCTATCATCTATCTATTTTAGTCTAATTCCTTATACTTGATGTGTTTATTGAGTTCTTTCCTTTGGAAGGTTCAGTAAGTTTCCTCAGGTCTAGTCCGTAAGAGTCAAGCACTTGTGTGGTTTAGGTCAGACATGGACTGGAAGAATGCGGTGGCTAAGGAAAGTGGCTGTTAAATATTAGAGCTTTGAGGTCACAAGGAGGAACCTAGCAAAAGACATCAGAGTGATTCGGAGGCTAAAGGCTAGGCTGAGGGCCCACCCTGTCTTAGCCACCCCATCTGGCTTGGGAATGTCCTGTATGTGACAGAGAGGACAGCTGGATACCAGACTATCTCCAGAGCCCAGGGGAAAGGGCAATCGGCTGACTTTTGTACCACAAAGGGCCAGTTTGGACTGGATGGCCGAGGAGAGTGAATTCATTCAGATCAGCAACTCCCTGAGGGATGGAGGGGAAGGAGGAGAATCTGAAGGCATCCCTCTGGAGGAAGGGAAAGAAGTTACTGATTTCTTCTGTGGAGAGAGAGAGAAAATGAGGCACTTCTTGGTGTGGGGTGAGGAGAAGAGGGGGTGACTCCGAATGACACACACAGCTTCACAGAGACCAGGCTGCCTCAGGGGCTGTCCTGGATGCTCTGTGGAGAAACCTGAAATGTACTGAAGGGGTGGCGAGGGGCAGAGAGGCCTCTGTGGACATCTGGGTGGGGAAGGAGAGCCCCTGCTCTCTTCACCAAAAAGGAGCCAACAGACGATGCCGCCTATCAGGATGGCCTTTGACAGCCAGATGGCTTCTGACCGTCATACAGACGTCTCCAAAATAAGGAGCTCCTTTTCATTCATTTGAGGCTTATCTAGGAAGAGCAGAGGATGTCATAAAATCAAATGGACAGGAATGTTGGGGCCATGTGGACACTCACCCACTTCTGGGGGCCTCTCCATAGCTGAGGACTTCAGCTCCTCCACTGGGCTTGGGGGTCATCACTGGAGCTTTCTGACCCTTGACTCACAGGGACAGCCCAGTCCCAGCCTGATGAGTGAAGGGACCACAGCCTCTCAGCTGAACTCCTGCAGGGCAGGCCGGAAGGAGCAGGAGGCCCCGGAGCCCACCCTCTCAATGTCTGACAGGAAAATAGAATAGAGGAGGCAAAATGACAGCCTCACTGGAAAGTAATTTCTTTACAGGAAAAAAAAAGAGAGGCATATCCTTTGATTGTCTTAATACCCAAAGGAGTGGTGAGGCTGAGGAGGGAGCGTGTTGAGAGAGAAAGCTAGGATCGCGTGAATAATTTAGATCTATTGTTCTTGGGTTTGGCCAGTTACTTAACACACGTTTTGGGGGCTTTCTTACTCTGTGTCTGGAACTTTGATAAAAACATAACAATTTCTCCATTTTCATCTTATTGCTCACCAACACTCCCCACAATCCAGCTGGCCAGAGGTTCTAGTTCCGGGTCAGTCCAGTCAGGGCCCTGAGCATAGTGGAGTGTGGGCAGCACTGGACGTGGGCAACCCCCGCTCCCGAGGCTTGTTTTGATGCCCCCGTGACTTGATGAAACCTCTGTCTCCTGGCTAGTGTCAGAATCCCAGATCACAGAGTGAACAGGATGTTGGGACTTAATCAAAGTTTGCTGAATGAATGCATGAAATCGTTTCCAAGGTGATACTGAAAAGTGGGAATTCTGGCATTACCCCCTTCCCCACACATTTTAACTGGGTGACTCAGTGGTAGGTCAGTGGACAAAATGGCTGGAGGGAGTTTGGGCCCCCTGGACGGTTGTTGGTGTCTGCAGTAGACACGGTTCTGGGGAGGAGCTCCCTGTGGTGGAGGCTGCTTCTCGGTTCTGCACTTGTCTGGGAGCAGCTGGGAGCCTCATTGCTGTCTGGCGGCAGCTCCTCATCTTAACATCTCAGTAACAGTAGACAAGTGATGTTATCAATGGTGACAATAACAACAACAAATAGCTAAAATGTATTGAACTTTTACTACTGGTGTGTTTCAGGCACTTTTCCAAAAACTTTGCACTTGCTAACTCATTCAATCCTCTAATATCCCTATAAAATGAGGAATAGTATTATTATTGCTCCCATTCTTACCGATGGGAAAACTGAGGCACACAGAGATTAAGTAACTTGAGCAAGGACACACTACTAGAAAGTGGCAGGACTGGAATTCTAATAACCCTGAGAGTCAACCCAACAGGTTTTGAAGGCTTTTTCCAGACAATGAGAAACAAAGTCTAGAAACAGTTTTTAGGGTTTTCATTCATTTATCCACTAATGTATTTGATTAAGATAAATGCTTGATGTCCTAGACCCCATGTTTTATTGTTTAAATAATCAAATAAAATGATCTACTTCGCAGCTTGGTGACTATAGTCAATAATAATCTATTGTATATTTGGAAATTGCCAAGAAAGTAGGCTTTTTTATTTTTTATTTTAATTGAGGTAGAGGCTCACTCTGTCACCCAAGCTAGAGTGCAGTGGCACCATCTTGGCTCACTGCATCCTCACCCTCCCGGGTTCAAGCGATTCTCCTGCCTTAGCCTCCCTCGTAGCTGGGATTACAGGCACCTGCCACCATGCCCAGCTAATTTTTCTATTTTTAGTAGAGATGGGGTTTCATCATGTTGGCCATGCTTGTCTCAAATTCCTGACCTCAAGTGATCCGCCCACCTTGGCCTCCCAAAGTGCTGGGGTTACAGACATGAGCCACCTTGCCCCACCTTCAAGAGAGTAGATTTTAAATGTTCTTACTACCAAAAAATGATAAATATGTGAGGTGATAGATATATTAAAAAGCTTGACTTCATCATTTCACAATGTATACATATATGGAAAGCATCAAGGTGCACACCATAAACATGTATAATTTTTATTTGTCAAAAAATCCAATAAAATTGCTTTTGTTTGTTTGTTTTTTTGAGATGGAGTCTTGCTCTGTCATCCAGGCTGGAGTGCAGTGGCACAATCTCAGCTCACTGCAACCTCCGCCTCCCGGGTTCAAGCGATTCTCCTGCCTCAGCCTCCGGAGTAGCCGGGATTACAGGCACACACCACCATGCCCGGCTAATTTTTGTATTTTTTAACTAGAGACGGGGTTTCACCGTGTTAGCCAGGATGGTCTCAATCTCCTGACCTTGTGATCCGCCCACCTCGGCCTCCCAAACTGCTGGGATTACTGGTGTGAGCCACCGCGCCCAGCCTTAAAATGGGATTTATTACAGTCTAGCTTTACCCTTTGAATAGTAAGAAGCAAACTGGGTGAAATAGATTATTTGAATCTAAAAAGAAGGTACCTTAGAGAGACGTTCAAGTTACAGTGGTCTACCTAGTCATGTATTTGTTTTGGTGACTGAAGAAAAACCTCCACCATTAACAGAAAACAAAACTGGGTTTCTAGACTAAGGGCGAGTCCATTTAGGTTCTGCTATGATGATTATTGGCCAGTAGGTGGCAGTCCAGGATTAATATTGAGCTCTAGTGCTATTGGGCAAAGTACCTTCTCCAGCCAATCAGTTCCCACAGATTAAAGATGAGGCAAAGGTTTTCTAGGAAAGAGAACGGACAATTAGTAAAGGGAAGAAAGTTGAAACTCACATGCACTAACTGAAGAAATTCAGGACGGATTTGTGTTATGAAATTAAAGAGCAATACAACTTTCATAAGAGTTAATTAACTGTGCATTTCCGCTGGCTATGGTGAATCACACCTGTAATCCCAGCACTTTGGGAGTCTGAGGTGGGAGGATCGCTTGAGCCCAGAAGGTTGAGGCTGCAGTGAGCCATGATTGCACCACTGCACACCAGCCTGGATGACAGAGCGAGAACCCTGTCACAAAAAAAACAAAGTGCATCTCTGTGTCTTTCAGAATTATAGTAATGCCACAATTTATTACTTTATGCTTACTAAACAACATTTTTGTTGAATGAATGGAGTTGGATACTAATAAGTTCCTTATAATACAGGCTATGAGGGTTTTGGATCAAGCTATTAAAATGTGTTTGTTTATTCAGAAAACAAAACAAAACAAAACAAAATGAAACACTCCTTACCAAAAGTGCTGTGTTGGTCAAAAAATATTCACTGAGTGCCCACTGTGCCCCAGGGATTGTTGTGGGCACTGGGAACGGGGTAGTGACCAAGACAAGTCCTTGCCTTAAATGAGCTTACATTCTAGTGAAGAGAGACAGGATTAACATTAAAAATACCATTATTTCAGGTTCTAGAAATTCCCAGAAAAAATATATGTAATATGGCAGAAAATATGTAATAAAGGTGGTCTTTCTTAGGAGGTTAATTTAAGTTTAAGACCAAAGGATGAGAAATAAGTAGCTGAAATCTAGGATGAGGCCACTCATAGAAAAGGAACCTGGCTGGGCGTGGTGGCTCATGCCTGTAATCCTAGCACTTTGGGAGGATGAGGCAGATGGATCACTTGAGGTCAGGAGTTCGAGACCAGCCTGGCCAACACGGTGAAACCCGGTCTCTACTAAAAATAGAAAATTAGCTGGGCATGGTAGCACGCACCAGTAATCCTAGCTACTCGGGAGGCTGAGGCAGGAGAATCACTTGAACCCGGAAGACGGAGGTTGCAGTGAGCCGAGATCGCACCACTGCACTCCAGCCTGGGTGACAGGATGGGACTCTGTCTCAAAAACAAAAACAAAAAAAAAGCAAAGGAACCTGAGACCAGGATGAACTCGACATTTTTGGGGCACAGAAAGATCAAGGTAGTTGGAAAATAGTAAGGAGTAGAGGGATGTGAGGAAGAGGCAGCAAGGGCCTGATCATGTAAAGCTGCTTAGGTCTAATAAGGAACTTGCTTCTCCATGTGCAATGGGTCACTGGGGTTTATGCTTTAGGATGGTGATGTGGGGGCTATGTCAGATGCAGGGGGCCAGGTCGAGGGGCCACTGCAGTAGTAAGAGTAAGAGTTGAGGTTGCTTGGACTGTGGTTGGCGCAGTAGAGATGGAGAGATGCGAATGGATTCTCAGAATAGGGCTTACAGTTAGAGTCAACAGGATTTTTTTAAATGGATTTGATGACAGAAGGCAGATCAGAAACAGAGCTGAATGGTCACTCCTAAGTTTTCAGTCTGAGCCACTGGGTGGGTGGTGGTACCATTTTCCGAGTTGAGGAAGACTTAGAGTTGAGAAGACAGGATGGAGGAAGGAGCTTGCTGAGTCTAAGATACCCAAAAATCATCCAGATGAAAATGCTGACTGCTCAGTTGCATCAAAACAGAGGAGCTTGGTGAAACACTGAGGGCTAAAGTATATCTTGCTGTCATCAAAGAATGGATGGCATTTCAAACCCTACGACTGGCTGAGGGCACTTAGTAAGTACATTGGTGTAAACAACAAAGGGATGAGATGTGGGTACTGAGTCCTGTGGTACTAGTGCTAGTGACCTATCTGGCAGAGCAAGATGAAAGTAGGCAAAGGATGTCTCTGAAGGTAAGTGGTAGTCATTTTTTTTGAGACAGAGTCTTGCTCTGTCACCCAAGTTGGAGTGCAGTGGCGCAATCTCAGCTCACTGTAACCTCCGCCTCCCGGGTTCAAGTAATTCTCCTGCCTTGAGTAGCTGGGATTATAGGCGCGTGCCACTATGCCCAGCTAATTTTTGTATTTTTAGTAGAGACGAGGTTTCACCACGTTGGTCAGGCTGGTCTCGAACTCCTGACCTGGTGATCCACCCGCCTCGGCCTCCCAAAGTGCTGGGATTACAGGCATGAGTCACTGTGCCCGGCCGTTTATAGTCATTTTTTAAGGAGAGAGGGCCAACCAGGTGACATGGTCTGGAGAGGTTGAGAAAGAAGAGGTCAGGCATTGGTCTTTGGGCTCAGGCAAGATGCCCTTAATGAGTGCAGATCAGTTGGTACAGTGGCTCGAAACGTGACAGAGTGAGCCTGGAAAGGGAGGTCAGGAAGTGGAGAGGCCAGGAGACAACTCTAAGGTCTTTTCTGTAAGGAGGAGCAGAGAAATAGGGAGAAACAAGAGAGCAACAGGGAATCAAGGGAGAACGTTAATATTGTTTATGGGATGAGGGATTCTAAGGCATGTTTGCACATTGATAAGGGTAAGTGGTGTGGGGATGGAGAAATAGATATTTGAAATTGCAGAAGCAAAGTCTTTGACAGGAAAGGAGAGCTAGCTTCAAGAACACAAATGGAGGGGTTGGCCTTCCATAGGAAGATTGTCCATCGTACCAGGGGTAAGAACATACCCAGATACCACTGGGTATGGACCAGGAGGCAGTTGGACTGTTACGGGATTCTGAGCTTCCATGGCCACAATTGCCTGCCCTGTTCCTCTCCCATAGAACAATGAGTGTCTGCTCTGTGCCAGGAATTCTTCTAGGTGTAAAGATTCAGGTCCTGTGGTCCCGGCAAATAACACACATCCACACCTACATCTCTAGACGTGACACACCAATGCTTAGGAGGTAAGTCCAGATTTTCAAGAAAGACTGAAGAACGGGCAGTACCTAGATTCCCTGAGAACCACGGGCTGTCTGACTGGCCTGCCTAGCGCCTGGGCTTCCAGGTGGGGAACACTGAGGACTGGAGGCAAGGAGATGGCACCTACTTGCCCAGTATCCAGCCTCCCACTGGGGCTTATGGGCACAGCTTAGGGATAGCATACTGGCGCTGGCAGGGAACTGGGTCCTTGCTGCAGGCCAGTGGACACATAGACACCATTCCCGATGTACTTACTCAAGGGTCCAGTGGTTTGGGGCAATGAAGATTGGATATCTGGCCAGGTGAGGTCAGGCTCTGTTTCTTCCGAGCTACCATCCTCTACCTGATTCCTCACACCTTTTTCTTGTTAGGCGCAGCTAAGAGACAGAGAGAGAGAGAGAGAGAGAGAGGAGAGAGAGAGAGAGAGAGAAGCGACTGAAACAGAGAGTAAATTCTAGTTTCTCCTTTTTAGTCTCTTTTCTTCTGCCCTTTGCTCTGCTAGTTTATCTGCGTCTTTTCTCTTCTCGCGCTGCAAGAGTGGAAAACTCGTGCTCAGTTCTAGGCAAACATTAACCCCGGGCGACGTTTCCAAGCGGGAGACAAACTCTAGAGAGTGAGAAGCGAGATGCGAGGGCACCAAGGGCAAGAAGGGGGCTCGGGGTACGCCACGTTGGCGGGACGCCGCCGCCGCCTCCCTCTGCTGCGCGGCCTGCGCGGGGAGCCTGGTGGGGGCGGCAAGACGACAGACCCCGCGCCCGGACCTCCCACCAGTGACCACCTCCCTCGCAGCTTGGGCTGATCCTCCAGACAGCATGCAACGGTGGGGAGGGAAGTCCCCTGACTGGGCGGGGGACCTAGCGGCTGCTCTGAAACTCCGAACACCTGAAGAGGAGGCGCGGAAGGTCCAGCCGCCCAAGACTCGCACTTTCCCCTCCTCCGCAGCCCGGGCAGGTTACCGTCCTGGGCCTGGGTGAGCGCGGAGGGGATCCGGGCGGGAGCTGAGCTCGGTTCCCCAGGCCTGACAAGTGGCCGCGTGGCACGACCAACCCCGGGCACAGGGCTGGGGCTGCTCCCCCAGGTGGGGAATTTAATTCTCACATTTTCGCACTACCCTGACGGAGCTGGACGCGGGAAGCGGGAAAGACCCGTTCCTGTTTGCAGTGCCCGAGGGGCAGGACACCTACCAGAAGGGCTCTATCACAGTGGTGTTAGGCCGGCTCGGTGGCTCACACCTGTAATCCCAGCACTTTAGGAGGCCGAGGCGGGAGGATCGCTTGAACCCAGGAGGCAGAGGTTGCAGTGAGCCAAGATCGCCCCACTGCACTCCATCCCGGGCGACAGAGCTGTCTTGAAAAAACACACAAAAAACAAAAAACAGTGGTGTTAGAGGGATGGGATTATAGGTGACATGACTTTCGTTTTGAACTTTCCTTAACCTTGCAGGGGCAGCCGTGCCCTGAAAACGCCTGTGATTTGGAGTAGAGGGTCCAGGCGCAGTGTGGTGAGTGACCCTAGGCAGGTCACTAGTTCTTTTTCAGCCTTCACTGAATCCTCTCTTACACGGGGATGTTACCCCCAGTTCTCCGTGTCTTTCAGGGAGAAATTAGTTCATGAGTTAGATGGTGCACTATCAATCATCCTTTTATTAGACAGAAACAATAAGTTTGAGGAAGAGGACGTCTACCTTACAGGGGGTTTAATTTTCAGCTTCTTTGAGATAAAATTCATTGAACGGTGTTTTACGTGCGCGCCTTTTCCAACAGACCCCACGCCTATTCCCAGCGCCAGAGGCGGACAACCGCTTTACTGAGATACAGAGACAGGTACTTCCTGAGGCACTTCAGTCCAGTTCCACTGGGTTTACTACAACTAATAATGACTGTTTCTGTTTACTAGGTATTAGGCGATGTGTTTTAAGTAAATGAATTGTCTCTAATCCTCACAACTCTAAAGCAAGTTAGGCGTCACCCGCATTTTACAAATCATAGCGCCCTGCTCACCATATCTGGAATCTTGCCTCGCCCCGAGGGTTCTAATTTTCACTTTAGAGAGCTGAGCAAGATGATTGCCCAGCGCTAACTCCGTGAAATCCCTGGGACTGAAAATCACAGGTAACTCGCCAGAGTTTTTCAATTTTAGGCCTAGGAGATTATGCAAAGATTTCCTTCAAGTAAACGCTGTTCTCTGGGGCCTCTGGGATCTACAGTCGGAGAAGGGGAATAAGTCCCGGGCCGGTGGGGGATGGGTGGGTGCAGTTTCCTAAATAGAGGAAAGCCACTTTCATTCAAAGGGCTGTGGAACTCTGGCTAGAGGTGGGTTTCTTTGCAGTTAATCATCTGCAAGGCTCTTTGGATGCCTGATTCCAGAAACCCAGAACTCACACTTAGGGTCACAAAATCCAGGGCATTTATTTGCCGAGCCCCATGGATGTTATCCCTATGGATGCACCCCGCCCCTGTCCGTTCTCCTTTGGAGCAGAACGAAACCCATTCCAGAGCTTTTGCAGGAAGTCTTCAGGCCCTTGCGTCCGGCCCCTTTAGACATCAAAGCCCCCCCTGAGAGCAAAGGACTTTGAAAGATAGGAAAAGCTCAGGATCCTTATCGCGTCTCTGCTCCCTCCCGACCTAGTCGTAAATTCCGAGCCTCAGCGGCCGCCCTCTCTCTCCTCCGCTCTTCTTGACCCAAGGTCTCAAAAGACAAACGTGTCACTTCCCGCCCCGCCCCTGGATCCTGGTCCCGACCGAATGTAGTGGGGACCGAGAAGCGCAAGGTCCAGGACTTGTTAGAGGGGCGCGCCAAGGGCGCCCCTGTTCCGCCAGGACATCACCGCCTGGGTACTCTACTTCACCCTCCCGCAGCCTTCTTTGGGGCCGGGCGGGGCGGGGCGGGGCAGGGGGGCCGGGCGCGGCCTACGCGCCCCCTCGAGTGCGCGGTGCGGGACGGGCGCGGTTGACGCGCTCCCGCCGGTGTCTGTGCTTCTCCGCAGGCCAGGAGGGCATCCTGCGCTGCCACCCGGACCTGGCGGGCAGCGAGCTGCAGCGGGGCACGCTCACGGCCGAGTCGCAGCGGGAACAGAGCGGCGCAGGCCTGAGGAGCCTGGGCGCGGACGAGCGGCTGCGGCTGGCCGAGCTCAACGCGCAGTACCGCGCGCGCTTCGGTTTCCCCTTCGTGCTCGCCGCGCGCTTCAGCGACCGGACGGCGGTGCCGCGCGAGCTGGCGCGCCGGCTGCTCTGCCCGTCCGCGCAGGAGCTGCGCACTGCTCTGGGCGAGGTGAAGAAGATCGGCAGCCTGCGCCTGGCCGACCTCCTCCGCGCAGACCCCGCCAAGCTGTAGCTGCCGCGCGGGCCAGGGACCCGGGACGCACAACCGGACGCGCGGGGGCCACGGCCCGGAGCTGTGCGTCCTGGGCGGGAGGCGGACTCGGGCCTGGAACAGCGTCCACACACGTGCACAAAGGAAGTGGAGAATTGAGGCAATCATACGAGTAATGAGTCCTTTTGTCCGCCCACCCACACGCGCACGCGTTGCCAAAATATCCATATTGTTTAGTGCTTTGCCCCGGATTTATCCAGCTCACTGCTTCAATTCTTCACTCCCTTTGCGGCCCCCGACACCACCGGCCTTTGTGGATTCCAAAGCGTTTATCCAGTTCTCCCCAACCCTCTCCTGCTAAGCCCGAACTGCAAAGCAAAACGGACGGAAAAGGAATCTTTTATGCCACAGCGGTTTGTCTGTTTTTCTCTTTTCCCACTTCATTTGCTGCGCCCGACCTTTACATGTGAGCGGAAGCGGTGTTCTCGCTCTTGGGCACTAGGGGAGCAGACTGGGAGCCAGGAAAGTCAAACGCTGGCCTCGGTCCGGCCTGGGGAGCCGGGGAAGCCGCAGGAAGGAGGCGGTGGGCCGGGAAGAGCCCTGCGAAGGGAAGAGCCAACCGAAGGGTTGGGAAGGCGCCCCGTGGGGACGGACGGAATAGTTGCAGCCATCGCTCCTAAAAGGCGGGAGGCGTCCAGCTAAAGATCTCTCCCGGAGGTCGGCTTTGGGGGGGTGGCTCGACTGCCCCGGGAAACCCATCAGTTATTAAAATAGTAACATTGAGCAGCGCTGGGTATTTGGACCCCAGAATGAAGCGAGATTGCAGTGTCGATTAAATGGAGGGAAGTGCCCATAGAAATCTTTGCTTGTCAGCCCTGGAGTTTCAGACCCCTATTAGGCTGGGCAGCTTCCTGTACCAGCAGCCAGACTGTCCACTGGGGGAAAGTACATTAGCATCCTGCGGAGGAGCCCACCACATTCTACCACCCGTCGACACCCCCCCGCCCCCCCCAACACAGGGAAGGTGTAAAGAGCCCCAACAAATACTACTTAGGCTTCTATTGGCAGAGGAGAAATGAAACACCCATGGTCTCCCCAACAAAGACAAGGTAATAGGCGAAGGCCAGAGGTGGCCCTTTTGAAGACAAGAGCTTCTATTAGTCACCAACTGTGTCCAGGGTTAGCAGCAGCAGCAGCAACAGCAGCAAGGAAACCTTTCCATAAAGAGCTGCGTGGCTGCACCCTTGGTTCTGGGGCTGATGTTCCATAGAAATAAATCATTCCTGAAGCACTAGGAATTTTAGGCAAGGAAGCCCTTTTCCCGTTCCCATCTCACAGTGTTTCCTGCTGTGGTAAGGCTGAAGGAAATAGAAGCTGGTAGTGGGGCAGGTGTTAGGAAAGCGGGCTGTGCTACCAGCGTCCCTAGGCTTGTGGCCAGACACCTTCTCTGGGTGTAGGAGCGCCGAGTGCACACCATGAAGAAAGTTCCGTGGCTCGCTCCTGTTCTTTGGGACCCTGCAACAATGGTGGGGTGCTGGGCCTGGGCCAGACACCTGCCTCTCTCTAGCCAGGGTAACCTGGGGGATTTCCTGACACACACAATAACTTGCTGCTTGGTAAAGAGGATTTTCTGACCCAGGACCCAAATACCAAGGCTGGGCCTAAGACTCAGAATAATCCACTGTGTTCGGGGCACCCAGTCCCAAGCCTGGGGGTAAACCCCACGCTTAGATAAACCAGGCCCCAAATGCAGCGTCTGTGCTCTTTATGTAAAAAAGCTCATGTGAGATGCACAGATCCCACCAGGGCTGGGTTCCCCGCAGTTTAGCAAGAGTGTAGATGAGCTCAGAATCTCCCAGACACGACCCCGGTGTCTCCAATTACATAGTTACATTTCAACAGTTCCAAGCTTGTCCGGAAAATGATTTTATTCCTGCGGGAAGGGGTGCAGATGGGGGCAGACGCTGAGTCTGTCCCTTTAGAAGGAGCTGGAGCTGAAGGGACAGAGAGCTGGCTGCGCGGCGCCTCTTCCGAAACACCTGAGCATAAGCAGCCGCAAGGGCGAGCGCAGGACGCGGGGCGTGGACGCCGGGCTGGGAAGAGCCCCGACCAAACCCGCGGGTGGCTCTGACTCTCCCCTTCGGGAGGAGCTCTGCGCAGAGGCCGTGGCTCGCGCGGGCAAGTCACCTGTGGCAGCCTGGCAGGGCAGTTCTCTCCGGCAAATAGCGACATGCTCTCGGTTTCTGTCGGCCTTGGCCTGGCAGAGCCGCTTTCCGCTTTCTGGCCTCTGGTGCGCCCGAGGCGGGAGAGGAGCCCCGGCCGCGTGGACCCTAGCTTGCGCGGCAATCATCGCGCCTTGACTCTAGGCCCGGCTGCTCAGGGAAGGACAGCCCAGGGCGCGCCCAGCGAGCTTCAGGGGGTACGGAAGTGGTTAGGGCAGATTTCAGGGTGAACAACTAATATTTTACTTACCAATTCGTTAAAAACAAAGAAAACAAAACCAATCGCGGTGGCAAGGCCAAGAAGAGTTGGAAGGCAAAGAGCTGATTTCAATTTCTGTAACCCGACGACCCTCCAGGCACAGGCCCTTACGAAGTGGGGGCAGCTTTGTGGATTTTCACTTCCCTTGGAAATGTCCAAGCCCCGGCAGGAGAACGCTCCCAGTAAAGAGACGGGAGAGCGCAGCTCCGGATGAGAACTCAGGAGCCGACCCGGGCTTGTCACTCACCTGTGTAACTTAACTGGGATACGGAATGGGGCCTCCTCTTTATTAACCCAGAAAGGTAGGCATTTTGGTCTGTGTGCCCAAAAGATGTCTACAGACACTAAAATTGGAAGGAAAGAAAGGGAAAAGGGCAACATAAATTCTATACATGATCTTTACCCATTTTAAATATGACACATTTCTAGAGATTAGCCACAGGATATCAGTTCTGACTGATTTTTTTTTTTTTTTGAAACGGAGTGTCACCCTGTCGCCCAGGCTAGAGTGCAATGGCGTGATCTCGGCTCACTGCAAACTCCGCCTCCCGGGTTCAAGCGATTCTCCTGCCTCAGCCTCCCAAGTAGCTGGGATTACAGGCGCGCGCTTCCACTCCCAGCTAATTTTGTATTTTTGGTAGAGACGGGGTTTCACCATGTTGGCCAGGCTGGTCTCGAACTCCTGACCTCGTGATCCACCCGCCTCAGCCTCCCAAAGTGCTGGGACTACAGGCGTGGGCCACGGCGCCCGGCCCAAGAGGAGTTATTCTAAGAAAGTATTTACTGTGAGACAAAAGTAGATGGATACCATCTTTGTCAACTGGAGAAAAATCTGGGATGGAATTTATGGAAAATTCATGCAATAAATGAATAAACCACAGTTATGGGGTGCCTGTGAAAGACATAGGACCTGGAGCATGGTCAGAATTGTAGCAATAGCAGAACCTGATTGTTCTGGTGCTATTTGGTGCAGGGGGTGGGAGTGGGAAAATGGGATTCTCTAATCGTGCTAGTTGGTTTTGTGTTTGGGGTGCCATGTTGCCAGGGTGGCACCAGCAGCTGTAGTAATAATAAACATCTATACAGATCGCTATGGGTTGCAAAGAATGCACATACTGTAGCTCATTTACTTTAAGGGACTTGAACAGCTAGCTGTGCAACTTGGGGAAAATCACCTAACCTCTCTGAGCCTTGGGTTCACCTTTGTAAAATGGAAAGGTTACACAGACTTTAAGACCCCTGACTCCCCTCCAGGGAATGTAGCTAGCCAATGGGACAGTAACTCAAGAGGAGCAGAACCTTTATTTAAGCTCCTTCCCTTAGCCACATGAAACTTACCCTGTAGGACTTCCTAGGAACATATTTTCATGTGGCAAACAAAGGTCATTCCAGGCACGAGACAATGGTGAGGGAACAAATGTTCATTGAAAGTTCTCCACGCCAAAGCCACGTGGTAACAGTTGGCTGGTGCTGCCCGGGGAGCCTGGGCTCCTAGCATCAAGAGGTTTCCTTTGGGGTGGAAGTTCTGGTTCCCAGTAGGGACACCAATCTTTGAGACCTCCAAGTCACTCCCTCTTGTGGATTTAAATCATCCTCTGTCCTCACCCACCACAAAGAATGTGTTATACAATGCCCAGTGTCCACAGGCCCTAGTTTCAGAAGAAAGGAAGAAAATGGGCAACGACTATTTATTTGCCTAACTTTTACCCAATGTACCAAACCAGATTTCTGTACCCAAATATTACCCTTTCTCCTGAGGCTCTTAATTTTCCTTGATCTCTTGGATGTGAGAATATATTTTGGATAGAGAAGCATAAAAAAAAAAAAAAAGTTGTTCCCTGCCTTGGATCAGAAATCTTGGTGGTCTCTTCACAACAAGAGTAAAACAGCTGGCTTTTCTTATCCCATTATCCTGCAGCCTGGTCCCTGAGTGGTAACATGTTAGCCCACAATGACCTCCCAATTAATTCAGAAACCTTTCCTCAGGTAGAGAGGGTCAGACACCCAGTTTGCTTGGGAAGAAAATATGCTTCACTCCACTGGGCAAGGAGACATCTGCTTCTGTGAATGAAGCCTGGGCGGCTGTAGGCAGCTGCGGCCCCTCCCTGCTGTTCAGGATGGACATGTTGGGATCCACTGTGGCCTGATGGGGCTGGACAGGTGGCGGACTCTCCGGAGGCCCTACAGAAAGGACGATGTCATTGATTTCCTTCCCAGAGATGTTAGCTGAGTGGGCTGTGGCAGGGCAAGGCAGGGTTGTTGGGGTCAAACCAACCATTATTGAGCCTTTCTTTGTGTGAGTAGATGGCTGATTGAGTGCAATGGCTGAAAGACTCCCTAAACTCCAAATTAAGTAGAGATTGAGCTGTTTTTCCACATCAGTATAGATGGCCAAGCTGAATAATTTTGAAAGCTGACATTCTCTTCCTTTTCACTCCTCCTTAATTATCCCTGGAATTCAGGTCAATGCAAGGTAAGAGTTTCCTGTGCAAGGTATAGAAGGACTATATTATTTGGATAGTTTTATTTTCCTTTTTTCAAATTAAAAAAATTTTTAGAGACAGGGTCTCCCTCTGTCACCCAGGCTACAGTGCAGTGGCACAACCATAACTCACTGTAACCTCGAACTCCTGGGTTCAAGCCATCCTCCAACCTCAGCCTCCCAAGAAGCTGAGGCTATAGGTGCATATCACCACACCCAGCTAATTTTTCAATTTTTTTTGTAGAGATAGGGTCTTGCTATCCTGGGCTCAGGTGATCCTCCTGCCTCAGCCTCCTAAAGTGCTGGGATTACAGGTGTGAGCCCCTGTGCCTGGCTGGACAATTTTCTTGATCTAAAAAAGATTCAGAAAGTCAACCTACATACTAAGGTGGATAGAGATGGCCTGCCCTAACTGGGTTATGTTAGCCAATGGGCTCCCCAGTTTCCAGGAGCCACAAATATCGGGCAGAGCATGGTCCCCTTAGTCAGAGCAAATATTAGGACCTTTGAACAGGGAGGGAGCTGTGTCAGTGATGTCTGGATTTCAGGAGTTTTTCATCTGCTTGGAGGGGCAGCCCGCCCTTCCAACAGCCTCCTGCTTCCCACCCCCTTTGTGGCCCCTGCCCTTGCCACCAGCCAGGATCCTGCATGCCTGGACCCTCTCTGAAGAATGTGGAATGGCCTCTACTCTGTCAGTAACAGAGGCATCCTTTTGATAACCTGATCGTGGCCACTCCTGCAGTTTTACTGTTGCTTCATTTACCAGGGTCTCTTTTTTTCCCCACCCTTTGCTGCCCTTAGATGTCAGCTCTAGCTCTGGCTCTGTGGGGTTGCAGTTTCAGCCCTAGGCCAACCGCAGGCCCAAGCTTCCCAAACAAGTTTGCCTCTCCCAGAGTGAGTTGCTACAGGCTTCTCTGGCCCAGCAGCAGGACTTACAGGGTAGAAGGGCCCTTCTGGCATCGAGGGTTAGGGATGACCATCCCTGTCCCTTCCTGGGGGCTTCTCAGTGCAGGCCAAAAGGCTCCTAAGAAAGACGCCAAGCACCTGGGGCCTAGGACTAAGAAAGCCCTGCATGGGGCCTTGATGTGGGTGGCTTCTGCCTCCTCCCAGGGACACAGGCCTGCACTTAGAAGCTGGAGAGGCTGCCCCTGAGCAGAGCGAATCTCCAGAGGCCAGTCATGGGGCACCAACCTGCTAGGGGCCAGGGCTGTCTAAATGCCAAGACAACCAGGCTCCTAGAGTTCTGTCAGCCACCTTCTACCCCTCTCTGACTGCTCCCACAACCCTGCCTTTTCAGGGACCCAGCTGGGCCCTCTCCTGGCTGAGAGCAACCAGGATGTATGGGGACGCTTACATTCTAAGAAGCTTGTCCGAGGACATCATTTACCAGCTCCTTTCCCCTCACCGAACAGGTCTAGACCCTGGGACCACAGCTGTGCCATGCCATTGCTAAGGAGACCCATTTTTTGCAATGAGGGAAACATTCGTGTTCACAATGATTTCCTTTCCATGGCTGGAGCACTCCAAGTGAGCCTCGGGCTTCCCTGTGGCTTGGCCTGCTCTGAGGCCTGGCTTGACCTGAGGGGCCAGAGCAGCCCTGGCCACTCCCAAAGCAGTTGGATGAGCAGGCCAGAGCCACGTCTTCAGGGCACAGCACAGAGACACAGCTGGAAAACAGGGACAATTAGCCAGCGGCCGGCAGCCTGGGCCATAAAAAAGCAGGAAGCGGCCACCGCAGGGCGGAGGGAATGGCTGTCCCTAATAAAGCGATTGTTCCAAAGAATGCCCGCATTCCGAAGACATAGGCTGGAGCCTCAGCCTCGGCTTCCAGAGCTCAGGCCTGGGAGCGGGGATGGTATGGGGGATGGAAAGGGGAATTGTGTCTCCAGGAAGAGGAGGAAGATGTTTGCTAGATCAAAAGTTCGAAGTGCCCACCACTTAACCTCCCACATTCCCACCCCATCAGGTCTGCGGACCTCCCCTACTGCCCTTCTCTCAATGATTCGGATTTTGTAACGGGGTTTGCAATTTGCTTCCGGTTGTATTTCTCAGGAAGTCCGATGACACTCGGCTGTCCAGGCCAGGCGCTGGAAGTCCCCCAGGAGGACCAGCTCGGTCTCCCACCTCTTGAGTGCACAGCTCCTTGGCCCCTGAGTACCCCACCACCCCCATTTCCAGCCTTCTTCCTTACAAACACGAAGGGTGGGAGGAACCAGAAAACAGGGGATCCCGCAGCCCTAGGCTAGTTCTGATCGCTTTCAGGTGTCTGCAGAGGCAAGTTGCTGGTTGTCACCTGTAAAATGGGGAGGATAAAAACACCTCCCAGATTTTGTTCTAGATCCTAGGGGGATGTGAGGCTCAAGGGAGATAAAGGACACTGGAGAGCACCCTAGAAATGACAGGATGAAGGCGATGGTGACAAATATCCGAGCGAAACGCTTGACAATGAGAACAGACAAGTGCAGGTCTCCAGGAGTGCCGCGAGCGCCCGCGGGTTCTGAGAGCGCTCAAAGCCGCCG
This sequence comes from Homo sapiens, assembly GCF_000001405.40. NCBI lineage: Eukaryota > Metazoa > Chordata > Mammalia > Primates > Hominidae > Homo > Homo sapiens. Next base: position 27,970,644 of record NC_000013.11, on the reverse strand, counting down.
AGTCAGGCTGCCCAGCCCGCCGGGCCTCGCCGCAGTGATCCTCATTCCCGAATCTGGCAGCGCTGTCAAAGGCTTGTATTAGGAGGTGAACGGCGGCCGCAGGCCCACTCCACGCGGTTGCTGAAACCGAGCTGGGCGCGCGCGGGGGCCGAATCTCGCCGCCTCCGCGCTCCTGTCGGGGCAGCTCCCGATCCCGGGCTGCGCGGCTTCGGTCCCCAAGACGGCCACTTCCAGCCCTAGGCCCCTTGGCCGCAGCGCTTCCCAAACCAAGAGAGATCCTTTCTCAACTCAGAGCTTTTCATTAGCAGTCGTTAATAATGGCCCTGAGTTGCCTTATCATCTCCTGGAAATGAGAAATAAATTTCTTCGGAGAACGTTTCCCTTTGTAAAGGACAGAGAGTTTTAAAGATACAGGTATGATGTAAGACACATAAATACCTAGGTAAGCATTAGCAGAAATTCTCTTTTCCTTATATTTAAGTATAATAAACATACAAGTGTAGCTCAATGAATTTTCACAAACTGACATTCTGTGTAACCAGCAGCCTAAGAAACTGCTTTACCAACGATCCCCTAGCTCGCCTCCAGTTATGCACGCCAATAACCACTAGCCTAACTTCTACCACATGCCCATTACTTCTGTAGTTTAAAACTTCTGATTCTTGAATGTAAACGTTTAACAATAAATCGCTTGAATTTAACTCAAATTTCAAATGTAAGATGAAGTCAGAGATGCAGCCTGAATCTAGGATCATAATTTGTCTTGTGCGGAGGGCGAGTAATTTCCTTGGGCAAGAAAATAACTGGAGGTGACAGTTGTTTGGGGCTGCAGTCGTCCGGGCCAGGAGCACAGGGCGGGAAGGAATGGCCCATCTCTTAGGGCTCTCTGCTTGTCACCTACCAGGTTGGTCAGAAACGTTCTCATCAAAGCAATGGTTCTCTTTTCTTTTCTCTTTGGGACAGAAGGAGTTTCTTGACCGCCCTCTTCCCTGCAAATGCATAAACAACCACTGCTCCTGTCTCCAAGCTCAGATTCCTACCAAGATAGCCTTTTCTCTTCCCCTCTCTTTTGTAAGTCTCTTGATTTCATTCTTTGAACCTGTGATTGGAGGTTAAAGTGCACCAGGTTGGAAGGAGGAAGCTCTTAACAATAAAGGTTTGAATATTTAGCTGTGTCAGGTCGCTGCCCTCTCACGAGCCTCCCTCCCCTTTATCTTTTAAAATGCAAATTATGTTTCGAGGGGTTGTGCGTAGAGTGCGCGCTGCGCCTCGACGTCTCCAACCATTGGTGTCTGTGTCATTACTAATAGAGTCTTGTAAACACTCGTTAATCACGGAAGGCCGCCGGCCTGGGGCTCCGCACGCCAGCCTGTGGCGGGTCTTCCCCGCCTCTGCAGCCTAGTGGGAAGGAGGTGGGAGGAAAGAAGGAAGAAAGGGAGGGAGGGAGGAGGCAGGCCAGAGGGAGGGACCGCCTCGGAGGCAGAAGAGCCGCGAGGAGCCAGCGGAGCACCGCGGGCTGGGGCGCAGCCACCCGCCGCTCCTCGAGTCCCCTCGCCCCTTTCCCTTCGTGCCCCCCGGCAGCCTCCAGCGTCGGTCCCCAGGCAGCATGGTGAGGTCTGCTCCCGGACCCTCGCCACCATGTACGTGAGCTACCTCCTGGACAAGGACGTGAGCATGTACCCTAGCTCCGTGCGCCACTCTGGCGGCCTCAACCTGGCGCCGCAGAACTTCGTCAGCCCCCCGCAGTACCCGGACTACGGCGGTTACCACGTGGCGGCCGCAGCTGCAGCGGCAGCGAACTTGGACAGCGCGCAGTCCCCGGGGCCATCCTGGCCGGCAGCGTATGGCGCCCCACTCCGGGAGGACTGGAATGGCTACGCGCCCGGAGGCGCCGCGGCCGCCGCCAACGCCGTGGCTCACGGCCTCAACGGTGGCTCCCCGGCCGCAGCCATGGGCTACAGCAGCCCCGCAGACTACCATCCGCACCACCACCCGCATCACCACCCGCACCACCCGGCCGCCGCGCCTTCCTGCGCTTCTGGGCTGCTGCAAACGCTCAACCCCGGCCCTCCTGGGCCCGCCGCCACCGCTGCCGCCGAGCAGCTGTCTCCCGGCGGCCAGCGGCGGAACCTGTGCGAGTGGATGCGGAAGCCGGCGCAGCAGTCCCTCGGCAGCCAAGGTAAGCAGAGGCTGCGCCCCTTCGGAGGGTGCTTGGGAAGGCGCGGGTCGAGCCAGTGGCTGCTGCGCGTCGCGCGTCCAGTGCGCACAGGGGCGTCCCGGGCTGTCTGGGAGCTCGGCGCCAGGAGGGGCACGGCCCGGAGACAAATTCGGGGGCCTCTGGCCCGTCGGGGCTTCTCTGACCTACTGAGCCTGGGAGTGAATATTCTGAGTCTCAACACCGTGTTCAGGCGTCCTCTTTCCAAGAGCTCCTCATTCGCAACCCCGGGACACCTTCGGGAAGCTCCGGGGAATGTCGGCGTGAGCACTGCTGGACGCCGGCAGAATCGCGTCCTCCGGCACTTGCTGCGGCATGCATTCCTTGCGTGGCTCCTGGCCGCCGAGGAGAGAGGGAGGCTCGAACCTTCTTGGGCTAGGTCTAGGCCATTTATCTCCGCTCTCTCTTTCCCCATCTGAGCCATCTAAGAAGAGAAGTGACCTGGGGGGGTCGGAGGATGGCTAGGCTGTGTGTGGGACCGGGTTTGGCCACTCGGGCCAATTCAAGGTACAGCGAGCAGGCAGACCAGGGAGAGCTGCTGTCGCTGGGAAGAAGGTGCTAGCCCCAGCTGCTAAGGCGACGGGGGCGCGCCCCGTCTCTGAACCTCTGACCTGTGAAGGGGTCATTTCAAGCAAAAGCTGGAAGGCTAGGGGCAAGAAGCCTAGGGGCAGGCGTCTGCGGAGAGAGCAGGGAGACGGGGAGGAAACCCTGGTGGGAATTAAGCCGCCGCTCCAGGTAGGGGTCATTTCTCCCAAAGCTTCCTTTCAAGGGTGTCAGGGATGTCTGTGAGTGTGTGTGTGCAACTGAAAAAGATCCTAGGTTTGCCGGACTGTGGGGCTCATTGACTCTGGGTCTGCCCCTTCTGGTGTTCGAGTGTGCCTAGAGGTGGCAAGGAAGTGCGGTGGGGAGAGTCCTAGTTGAGTGCCCCTTTTAAAGTCTTTCCCCAGCCCTCAGCGCTTCCGCTTTTCTTGCTTCGCTCCTTGATGCCCCAATTGGGCAGGCACGCTGGTTATGGGCACTTTGCAGAAGTTTATAGCCAATTACAACTGTATAAATCAAAGCGCCCTTTGGGGGCTGTCTCTGGGCATCGGTTTCTGCGTCACTGTGCACATGCTAGGGAGAGTCCTGGTGGGAATGCCGCCGACCGGGGAGAAGGCCACAGATCAGCCTCGGGTGAGCCTCAGAGCTTTGGCTTGGTCCCTTCTCCTAGAGGAGGCGCCTTTCTCCTAGCAGGGGCTCCCAGATCCTGGCTCCCAAAGACCCACTTTCTACAGCCCCTGTCTGGGGCGCGGTTGGCGGGGGTGGCGCACGCCCTAAGGAAGACCTTTGCGTGTCCCGGGAGAGCGGCCGCGGGGTGAGGGCCGGGAAGGGGGCGGGAGGGAAGCCGCCAGAGCCCAGGCCGCGGGGTCAGCAGATGAGAGGCCGCTGTGAAGTCCTGCGCCGAGGTGGCAAGGCCGCAGTCGGCGCCGGGTGCCCTTGTGATGTTAATGTGGGGTGGCCGCAGCCCGCGGGCCGGAGCCGGGCTCCTCTGCGGAGCGTCATCTGTCAAGGTGTGGGGGTGGAGGGGGGGACGCGGCCTGGCTTGCTTTGATATACACCTTCCCAGCCCTGCCATTGTCTCTTTTAGGGCCCGGAAAGAGGGTGGTGACTTTCGCAGTCAATAATGAATTCTGACAAGTCCCTCTCATCCCTCCCCTCCATAGCCCCGCTCCTAGGTTCCCAGGGGGTGTGGGGCGCCTCCAAGGCCCTTGGGGCATGGGTCGAAGAGCGCTCAGGGTCTGGTCATCGCGTTGCCCGGCACGTCCGGGACACTGAAGGGGCAGCACCCGAGCAAGGGTCGCTCCGAGACACTTCCAGGCGAGTCTCCCTCCCGGGGTGTTCGGCTGAGGGAACTGCCCTGCGCCTCAGCTCCGGAGGTGTCCTCTGTGGCTCCAGCCAGGCTCCGGTGCCAACCCCGCCTGATACTATCTGCGTGACCCGGTCTGATTCTCCATTTCCTCATCTGTAAAAAGGGGCGAGTACCAATGGCAGCCTGGAGTGGGTTTGAGGCGGTCACGCGTGTCCGAGCGTCCACCGCGGAGAAAGTCGCGTTAGTTCCCTTTACTTTCATAGCAGGCGCGGGGTCGGGGCCGCAGCCCCATTCAAATGCGCCTGCAGGGTCGTGTTTATGTTAATGCGCCTGGCGGGGAGGGGGATGAAAGCCGGGGCCGCCATTTGCTCAGTAGTGGTAATTCAAACAGAATGTGGTTGTTATTAAGGCATTGAAAGGGCTTTTCTTTGATAAGATCGCCTTGTCCTGCATTGTTTGCGGCTGTGTTGGCCTTTCAGCGGCTCGGGGGAGCTCCCTCTGATCAGGCCTGTATCTTCCCAGGACGCTTTTGTTGTGGTTTGCAAAGGGTTTTACCTGAACAAAGTCAGCCTGCGGGGCATTAAACACCTCCAGGCAACTCCCAGGCCCTTCAGATCTTTCTGTGGGATTGGGCACTGGGCGATTGAACCTGTTCAGCTGCAAGAAGACCCAAAAGTGGGACGGAGCCAGAGAGAACAGCTTCTGGCCAGGGCTCTGCCAAGGGCTGAGCCAAGACAGACCTGGTGGAGACGCCAGGCTCGGGCCTGCTCCAACATTGTGGACACTATTTGTCAAGGCCCTTCAGTAAAACAATCAATCTGGGATTTAATATGTTGACTCAATCCAATGAGCATAGATCACTGGTCAGGATAACTCTGGCCGGATTTGCAGCAGGAATAAATGGAGGATCAAAAAAGAAAAAGTACCAAACGCCAAACCTGGTCTGGGCAGGTATAAAGTGTCCCCAGCAGGAGGGGTTTTCTGCCTGTTCCCTCGGCCAGAGCCCAGCTCAGAATTCCACCTGATGGGCCTGGTGTGTCTGGGGGATGATTCTGGCGACTTGTCAGCTCCTGAGCCCCGCTTTCCACTTGTAGTAAAGCAAAGTAGTAACCCCCACACCCCCTCTACAACATGTGCCCACAATGACAGCTGTTTTCGGGGTGGGCTTCCATCTCTGGTAGGCCTGGAAATCTGGATGCTTCCAGGATCCCGGCCACTTCACCCTGCCCCCTTTCCCTTGGTGTCAAATATATGCCAGTACTGTATTTGGTTTACCGAAAGGGTGGTTACATTCTGCTGTCTTCTGTGTGAATGAGGTTTTCACTTTCCTTAATTTTTAAAAACCACTTAATACCAAGGTTAGTTTAGTTGCCTCCACTAGCCTCATACCCTCCCCCCACAGGACCCTCTGGGGGGTCTTGTCAGACTTGGCAGGAACCAGCCAAACCCGGGCCCCCCAGGGTGGTGGAGGAAGAGAAATGTCCCTGGGTTAGGGAGGTTTGTCATTACCCATGACTGATGGGCTGCCTTGCAGTTCTCAGCCCTCACTTCTCCTTCCTCCACAGTGAAAACCAGGACGAAAGACAAATATCGAGTGGTGTACACGGACCACCAGCGGCTGGAGCTGGAGAAGGAGTTTCACTACAGTCGCTACATCACCATCCGGAGGAAAGCCGAGCTAGCCGCCACGCTGGGGCTCTCTGAGAGGCAGGTGGGGACCGCCTAGCTCCCTCCGGGCGGGCCACTGCCTGGCAGAGGACCATGAGAGTTAGAAAATCTGGCTGCAGGGGCCATCTAAATCTGTGGAGAGACTGAAGCAGGAGGATGCAAGCATTCGTCTTTGGAGTCCTTTTTTTTTTTTTTTTTTTTTTTAAACAGAGATGGGGTCTTGCTTTGTGGCCCAGGCTGGAGTGTAGTGGCACAATCATAGCTCACTGCAGCCCTGACTTCCTGAGCTGAAGGGATCCTCCTGCCTCAGTCACCTGAGTAGCTTGGACTACAGGCTCGAGCCACCATGACTGGCTAATGTTTAAATTTTTTGCAGAGATGGTCTCACTGTCTTACCCAGGTTGGTCTCAAACTCCAAATGCTCCTCCTGTCTTGGACTCCTAAAGTGCTGAGATTACCGGTGTGAACCACCATGCCTGGCCTGGAGTACATGCCCCCCCACCCGCCACCGTCGAAACGCAGTTTCACTCTTGTTGTGCAGGCTGAAGTGCAATGGCGCGGTCTCAGCTCACTGCAACCTCTGCCTCCCGGGTTCAAGCGATTCTCCTGCTTCAGCCTCCCAAATAGCTGGGACTACAGGCATGTGCCACCACGCCCGGCTAATTTTGTATTTTTAGTAGAAATGCGGTTTCTCCATGTTAGTCAGGCTAGTCTCGAACTCCTGGCCTCAGGTGATCCACCCGCCTCGGCCTCCCAAAGTGCTGAGATTACAGGTGTGAGCCACTGTGCCTGGCCCTGGAGTACTTTTTTAAAAAGCCTCCTTCTACCTTTAGTCCTCTTTTTTTGATGTTGTTGATTTTTTCTGTCTCTCTCTTTTGAGGGATATAAGAAGTGTGAAAAACAGCCAAGGGTATTAGTTTAATCCAGAATTCCATTTGGGTCTATAAAGACATATTAAAGACCTATTCTCTTTGTTTCCAGCACTGTACCTAAGAAAATAAACTGAATAAAGTACTCAGTCTCTCACAAAAACTAGAGGGACAAGACTTGGTTCATGAACATTTTATATATATAGTCTAGAAAAACAGGCCAACTTCACAGCCAGGAAGCCACAAAATTAAATCTCATTTTCAGCTCTAAGGTGAGGAAAATTACGTTTTAGTTTAGCCTTGAGGGGCCAAAGGTTGCCATTTGAAGTATACCACCCAGCACTGGCCTCCCTTTGCTGTGTAGAAAGGGCCTTGCAGTTTCAGTTTTCCTTGGTTCTGAGACTTTAAACTTTTGCAGTAAATACGTAGATAAAAGTTGCTTTGAAAAGAAACTCAGGGAGCAAGGAAGGAGGAAGACTCTTCCCCATGAGGCTGAATTGGGCCTAAGAATGGATCCAGGGTTGGGCTGTTATGGGGATGCCCGAGGAAAGCTTCTAGAAGGACTTGGAGTTCTGTAGCTGGAGCAGAAGATGTTGATGATACTGCTGGGTACTGTTCCTCTTTTCCCTCACATCTTCACCACAATGTGCTTTTCTCCACCTTTCCATTTCTAGGTTAAAATCTGGTTTCAGAACCGCAGAGCAAAGGAGAGGAAAATCAACAAGAAGAAGTTGCAGCAGCAACAGCAGCAGCAGCCACCACAGCCGCCTCCGCCGCCACCACAGCCTCCCCAGCCTCAGCCAGGTCCTCTGAGAAGTGTCCCAGAGCCCTTGAGTCCGGTGTCTTCCCTGCAAGCCTCAGTGCCTGGCTCTGTCCCTGGGGTTCTGGGGCCAACTGGGGGGGTGCTAAACCCCACCGTCACCCAGTGACCCACCGGGTTCTGCAGCGGCAGAGCAATTCCAGGCTGAGCCATGAGGAGCGTGGACTCTGCTAGACTCCTCAGGAGAGACCCCTCCCCTCCCACCCACAGCCATAGACCTACAGACCTGGCTCTCAGAGGAAAAATGGGAGCCAGGAGTAAGACAAGTGGGATTTGGGGCCTCAAGAAATATACTCTCCCAGATTTTTACTTTTTCCCATCTGGCTTTTTCTGCCACTGAGGAGACAGAAAGCCTCCGCTGGGCTTCATTCCGGACTGGCAGAAGCATTGCCTGGACTGACCACACCAACCAGGCCTTCATCCTCCTCCCCAGCTCTTCTCTTCCTAGATCTGCAGGCTGCACCTCTGGCTAGAGCCGAGGGGAGAGAGGGACTCAAGGGAAAGGCAAGCTTGAGGCCAAGATGGCTGCTGCCTGCTCATGGCCCTCGGAGGTCCAGCTGGGCCTCCTGCCTCCGGGCAGGCAAGGTTTACACTGCGGAAGCCAAAGGCAGCTAAGATAGAAAGCTGGACTGACCAAAGACTGCAGAACCCCCAGGTGGCCTGCGTCTTTTTTCTCTTCCCTTCCCAGACCAGGAAAGGCTTGGCTGGTGTATGCACAGGGTGTGGTATGAGGGGGTGGTTATTGGACTCCAGGCCTGACCAGGGGGCCCGAACAGGGACTTGTTTAGAGAGCCTGTCACCAGAGCTTCTCTGGGCTGAATGTATGTCAGTGCTATAAATGCCAGAGCCAACCTGGACTTCCTGTCATTTTCACAATCTTGGGGCTGATGAAGAAGGGGGTGGGGGGAGTTTGTGTTGTTGTTGCTGCTGTTTGGGTTGTTGGTCTGTGTAACATCCAAGCCAGAGTTTTTAAAGCCTTCTGGATCCATGGGGGGAGAAGTGATATGGTGAAGGGAAGTGGGGAGTATTTGAACACAGTTGAATTTTTTCTAAAAAGAAAAAGAGATAAATGAGCTTTCCAGATTTCAGATTCTGTATTTATCTTCAGATTTTGTCTGCAACTATTTTTTATTTTTTAAAGAAATGAAATATCTTCTCTGCTTGCAAGCTGATTTGGAAAATTCAGAGAGGGAGTGGAGATTATCTGGACAGCCTCATTTTACCCCAGAGCATCAGAAGCCTGAAAGAGCAGGTTCTGAGACCTTCCCTGCCCCCAAGCCTGAGCCCAGCCTTGGAATGCGTGGCTCTCCTGGGGGTGCCTTTGGGCAAAATGCACATCTGAATGGCCAGGTGCTTCCCAGCAGTCAGAAATTATGGGGGGTGGGGGTGAGAGGGCCCCCTCATAGCATCTCACCAAATCCACATGGAGGCTTTTTGCAAACAGCAGGCAGTTCCCTTCTGCAGTGACTCCCTCCTAAGGACGCCCCACAACCCAGCTAGTTAAACGTGAGCATTAAATTTTTTTTAAAAAAAATCCCCCTAGTTTCCCAAGACAGCATTTCCATGAATTTAGTCTTCTGTAAATCACTGGGCATTTCCGTGAGCCCTTTCTGCCTCCACTCTCTTCTCTGTCTTTGCAGTTTCCTTATCCCCGACCGCGCCCCCCCTTCCAACCCAATCACCCCACAAACAAGATTTCTAGACCCAGTATAAAATGATCCTTTTAGTGACAGTTTCTTGTTATCTGGCCGATCCACTGGGGACCGGGCTGCAGCCTTTAAAATTTTTGATCCTGGAGGCCGCCGAGCTGAACTTTCCGGCAGGACCCGGGCGAGGGGGGCTTAGCCCTTCGTTTCGATCTTCCCACCAACATCCGAGAGCCTAATCAGCGCGCCCACGGAGGCGCCTTAAGGGCAGTTGGGGAAGATGAGCAGAGCCGGGAAACAGCAAGAGGTATAGACCCTCTGCAGCACCTCTCCAATTCCGCGGCCCTTCCGGGTGGCGTATACAGCTCCAGGATTGGGAAAGGGGCTCCGGTGGCCCGGCCCGCGGGCGCCTGGCCTCGAAGCCAGAGGGAGGAGTGCGGGGCGTGGGGTCGGGGGGTGCCGGGCAGAGGAGGAAGCCGTGTCCGGGTCCGCTGGGCGAGGGGTCCTGGGTCAGGGGTCCTGGGTCAGGGCCGGTCTGAGCCCCGGTGCCCCGCAGGTCTCCCCGCGCCCCGGCCGCGCCCACAGGCCCGCCCCCTAGCCGCCGGGGTTGCTATGCGTTGCCGTGAAACGCCTGTCAATAAACCCTGTTTGGACAGTGGAGCAAGAGCACATGGGTTGTTTGCTTAGTGGTTAGAGGTTCAAAAGTCGACATTGTCCCGCTGCAAGCGATTACAAGTTCTTCCCCTTCCCGGGGCTCGGTCCCCTTGCACGCGGGTACGGGGCCAGGGAAGGGAGCTCGGCTGCTCTCTGAGATGCAAGCACCCGGCTCGCTGCTGCGAGCGCCTGGCAAGCCTCCCGGGCCACGGAAAAAGGCGCAAAACCAAGACCCTCTCCGGCAAGTGAGGCCACCGCGCTTCTAACGCCAACTGTGTCACCCCCGAAGCAATACCTACGGAACAAGGGATGTGGCACGAGTAGGGAGCGCAGCTTGAGGAGTGTAGGGAGGCCTGCACAGGGGCGCCTGAGGTTGAGACCGGATGACCTCGCGGCTCCTGACGCCTCCAGCGCAGAGCTTGGGGTCCCGGCCTCCGAATCCCACGCCTCCACCGCGTCCAGTCGCCGGTTCAGGCGCCAGAGGGCGCGCGCGCTCTGGGAAGAGATGGGGCTTGGGCTCGTGAACCCGGAAAGGTTCCAGTTTTCACCCAGTTGGGAGGTGCAAGCGCCTCTGCCGACTCCGGCTGAGCCCAAACCCGGGCGCTGCAAGATTTTTCTACGTTGGTCGTGGGCCTGTTGAAACTAAGTTAAAACTAAGTCAGGCAGGAGAGATTCTTGGGTTTGTTGAATGTTTAAGAAAAACAAAATTGGGGGAGAGGGACTATACCATTCTAAAAGGGTCATTTTGCACACGATGTTTTCTTTCTAAAAATTACAGTAATGTGGGCACAGTATTAATATATGGTAATACTAGAAATTTAGGATAAATATGAGAATAAAACCTGTCAATATTGTGGAACAGAGGTTTAAAAAAGTGTCTATGGGCCGGGCCGGGCGCAGTGGCTCACGCCTGTAATCTCAGCACTTTGAGAGGCAGAGGCGGGCGAATCACTTGAGGTCAGGAGTTCGAAACCAGCCTAGCCAACATGGCGAAACCCCGTCTCCGCTAAAAATACAAAAATTAGCCGGGCGTCGTGGTGCGCTCCTGTAATCCCAGCTATCGGGAGGCTGAGGCAGGAGAATCACTTGAACCCGGGAGGCGGAGGTTGCAGTGAGCCGAGATCGAGCCACTACACTGCAGCCTGGGCGACAGAGAGAGACTCCGCCTCAAAAACAAACAAACAAAAAAGTATTTATGGAGAATGAACAGCCTGAGTCTTCTCCCCCACGCCCCGCCGTGAACAATTCGTGGCTTTATCATATTCATCCAATAAAGTTAACACGATGGACTGCCAATGAAAGCAACGAATATTTCATTGCAATGTGTTTCATTTCTTTCTAATAATATCCAGAAAGATGCCTACGTCAGTGAAGAAAATATTAAATAACAATCTAAAAACACACATAGCAATATTCTTGCTGTTGTTGTTCACAACCACTCGGAAAAAAAAAGAGGCAACAAGCAGAAATGAAAGAAGTCTCAGCTACAGAATGGCAAGAAAAGTTATTTTATTTATTTATTTTTTTCTGAGATGGAGTTTCACTCAGTCGCCCAAGCTGGAGTGCAGTGGCATGATCTCAGCTCACTGTGACCTCGCCTCCTGGGTTCAAGAGAGTCTCCTGTCTCAGCAGCAGGTGCACGCCACCATGCCCGGCTAATTTTGGGTCGAAAAGTTATAGATATATTTTAGGGCCACTCTTTGCACCTCGTTTTAGACAGGTTGCTATTTACTAGCCTACTGACCTTGGGAAGGCCCCAACCTCTGAGCTACCACTTCCTTATTTGTAACATGGGGATCCAATGGGGAGCCAATGTAGCATTGTATGCTTATGACCAGACCCCAGTCATGATATGAGCAGCTTCTTGTACTGTATTCTGCAAAGTGCTGGAGAGTCCTTACAAAGAGCTTTTGAGCAAGAAAATTTCTCAAATTATGATAGAATAACCCTTTCCCAGAATTTTTTTTCTAATGCATTCAGCTTTGCTTACTTTGTCAAAATTGCCTGAAGTCTGTGTTCCTTGATTACCACTTCCTAAGCATCTGCATAAAATCTTGAGTGGCAAGGCACTAAGTAGCATTTCAGATGTGGCGACAAGTTGCTGATCTGTATAGCTCACTTGCCCTTTCATTTACTAGAAGACATGTTCCCAACTAGAACATCTAGTTTCTAGCTGTACTTAGGAGAATAAAGATTAGTTGAGGATATAGTTGAGAACCTTCTAATAATCCATCAGCACACTCTTTTTTTTTTTTTAAGACGAATTTTTGCTCTTGTTGCCCAGGCTGGAGTGCAATGGCTTGATCTCGGCTCACTGCAACCTCCACCTCCCAGGTTCAAGCAATTCTCCTGCCTCAGCCTTCTGAGTAGCTGGGATTACAGGCGACCGCCACAATGCCCGGCTAATTTTTTTTTGTATATTTAGTAGAGACGGGGTTTCACCATGTTAACCAGGCTGGTCTTGAACTTCTGACCTCAGGTGATCTGCCCACCTCAGCCTCCCAAAGTGCTGGGATTACAGGTGTGAGCCACTGTGCCTGGCCATCAGCACACTCTTAACCCAAAAGGAGCAGACAGGCAGATACTCTAACTAGATGGCATTAAAAGTTTCTTTATTTTGAGATAATTTCTACCTCAACACCTCAATATTAATTCTGTACTCTTCAGGAGCCACCCCAAGAGTACAGATTTAATATGAGGTACAGGTTTAACATATTAAACCTGTACCTCAGGCTGCTGAGGATTAAATTCTCTAAGGCTGATTCATCCTTAGATGTTGTTTTAAGAAAAATGTTTTACTCTCATCTCCAGAATTCTCCCTTACAGTAAAATTATGGCAGCAGATCTTGCATTAAATTGGTTTTGTTCAGAGTATAACAAAAACATTCATATCTGAGTAATGTAGATTAATTTGTAAATATTTAACTTATCCTCTTAATCACACTTAGACTGCACAAATTTTCAACCCCACAACTCCTACATTCAGTCAGTTTTCCTTTGCCTTTTTCCTTTTGCCTCCTGCTCTTCTTGGAGTGGGTGCACTATGATTTTAACAAACCAAGCAGGTTTTAGAGATGTCTGTGGGGCTAGCTGTGTGACACTGGGCCAAAAGAATCACCTGCTGTCTTTTTTTTTTTTTTTTTTTGAGACAGAGTCTCGCTGTCACCCAGGCTGGAGCACAGTGGCGATCCCGGCTGACTGCAAGCTCCGCCTCCCGGGTTCAGGCCATTCTCCTGCCTCAGCCTCCTGAGTAGCTGGGACTGCAGGCACCCGCCACCATGCCCAGCTAATTTTTTGTATTTTTTAGTGGAGACGAGGTTCACGGTGTTAGCCAGGCTGGTCTCGATCTCCTGACCTCGTGATCCACCTGCCTCGGCCTCCCAAAGTGCTGGGATTACAGGCGTGAGCCACCGCGCCCGGCCTCATCTGCTGTCTTCTTTCTTTAGTTACAAATCAGAGGAATACATATATATAAATAAAGATAGAGATATTTTATATTTAGCTACAAATCAGAGGAATACTATATATAAATAAAGATAGACATATTTTATACATATTTACACATATATAGACATATATGTATAAAATATCATGACTTTCTAGAAGGTTATGACATTAGATTTAGAAAAAAAACCTCTCAAATTCCAGATAAAGAAGGTAGACTCTGTGAGTTCCGGAGATTATACCAACGTTTACCTTGACATTCTTCCTGGAGGAATCAGTCCAGAGAAGGTGGGGGCAGCACTTAGGTGACCTTTTGGCTCCTGCATCTTTAGTGCCCAAACATTACATTTGTTTTAACAACAGCTTTTCCCAATTGGAATTTGTCATTAACCACAGCAGATATAGATAATATCAACAAGGTTGCCAGAGCCCCAAAGTTAAATAACCAGTAAAGCAGGATCCTGGTGATTCTGTGCTAGAGATGTAATCCATAAACCACAACACAACCAGTTTTGATCCACGAAAAAGACTTCCCTGAGATGAAATGATTTTCAAACCATCCCCTCACACGCACATTTACTTAAAAATAATATTTATATCACGTACTGGGTTTATGTGTCCAGTATTTTATTGGTAAGTAAAAACCCTGGGCAGTTCATGCACTTTCATATTTGAGTTTTAAGTTCAAAACTAAAAAGGAATTTTTTCCTAATTGCTCATGTGTTATCTCAGAACTTTCAGGATTAACAGTCTGCTATCTCAAACTTAGTATCTGTAGTATGATGATAATAGGTTTTATGGAAGTGGTAGTTGATAAGTTCCTCTCCAACCTCAGGGAAGCAAACAAGGAAAAACAATGCAGAGCTAAAGTCATTGTAATACAAACTTATGATGGCTTGTTATGTGGCACTTAAATAATTTTAATTTATTGATAATTAGTAGAATCAAGAACAAGGATTATATACCTAAACCACAGATTAGGAGTTGTTAAAAATGACCAGGGCAGGCTCTGTTTCCTACTCACGAAATACACTTCGGGTATTGTTCTTTCACTCTGTATAGCTAATATTTAAAAAACAACAGCTACAGCAAAACTTAACAGAACTAGATTCTGTTTTCAGTCTTCACTCGGCCCTCTCTTTTCTTTTCTTTCATTTTTCTTTTCTTTTCTTTTTCTTTCATTTTTCTTTTCTTTTCTTTTTCTTTTTTCTTTTTTTTTTTTTAGATGGAGTCTCGCTCTGTCTCCAGGCTGGAGCGCAGTGATGCGATCTTGGCTCACTGCAATCTCCGCCTCCTAGGTTCAAGCGATTCTCCTGGCTCAGCCTCCTCAGTAGCTGGGATTACAGGCGCGCACCACCACACACAGCTAATTTTTGTATTTTTAGTAGAGACAGGGTTTCACCATGTCGGCCAGGCTGGTCTTGAACTCCTGACCTCATGATCCGCCTGCCTCGGCCTCCCAAAGTGCTGAGATTACAGTCGTGAGCCAACGTGCCCTGCCAGCCCTCTATTTTCTAGACAGAAGCAGCTCATGTCATGACTGGGGTCTAGTCATAAGCGTACAATGCTACATTGTCTTACATGACTTCACTGGATCCTCAGGTTACAGATGAGGAAGTGGTAGCTCAGAGGTTGGGGTCTTCCCAAGGTCAGTAAGCTGATAAGTAGTAACCTGTCTGTAAAACGAGGTGCAAAGAGTGGCCCTAAAAAACATATAACGTTTCTTGCCATTCTGTGGCTGAGGCTTCTTTTATTCCTACTTGTTGCTGCTTTTTTTTCTCAGTGGTTATGAACAACAACAGCAAGAATATTGCTATGTGTATTTCTTATTATGTGCATTGCCAGAAACAAATAGAAAAAAATACATAAATAAGTCAGAACCAGACATCACTGTCTAGTAACAACATAGAAATGTAGGAGAGTGCAGGAAGAACAAAAAGAAAGAATGCTTGTCTGGAATCCGCACATAAAAACTTAAAACATTATTTTTCCCTTGGACCACTTTGTTAAAAATAATGCGTATTTTAGAAATCCAGATTCTTGTATTTATTTTCATTCATTCCTATTATTTTCATCAAATCTATGAATTTTACGTAAACATCTTTACGCTTTTAGATCGCTGTTAGTGATATATTGTTATATACGTGGCACATTAGACAATGATTCAGATTCTGGTAACTGGAAAATGACAGTTCCTGGGCGTGATCACAAGTCTACAGAAAACCAACAATCGACATTTATTTCTCATTTCTACAGAGAAGTGAGAGTCTTGACATGCGTTAATACATCCAGTGTTATGATTGGTTCTCTTGGGTGGATATTTGTCCGGAATGGGAAACTAAAAAGCGATTCATCAAATGATCATGCCATGTGAAGCTGGTGGGTAAGTTTCTAGGAGGGCCTGGTATTACTGAGTAAAGCAGGGTGCTCCTTTTGTAAATCTATAGTCAGACAAAATAGACAAGAAACAAGCTCATTACCCCAACTTTTAGTTTATTCCCACCCACCCCCCACCCCCAACACTTCTACCTCAGAGAAACTATTGTCTAGATTTGAGTCTTTGAATGTTTTAGACAGAAAAATGGATGAAATTTGTTCTTTGCACATGCTCAAATGGGCCCGTTGTCTACAACACGCCTTGGGGAAGCGTTCGGCCTGGTATTCAAGTATCTCCGCGGATCTACCCCAGCCATTAGAGCAGATAGAGCTCAGGCAGCGCCGACCCGCCCCTTCCCCTGCGGCCGGCGCGGACCAGTCGCGTCCACTCCCGGCCGCCGCGGGGCCCGGGCTCCTTGACCGTCCTCCAAGGCCACTCGGAGCGCAGCTTCCCTGAGCCCAGAGCCTCCCCGCGCTCCCAGCGGGCGCCCGGGGGCTCGTGTCCCGCTGCTCTCGCCCAAGACGGCC
Organism: Homo sapiens; assembly: GCF_000001405.40. NCBI lineage: Eukaryota > Metazoa > Chordata > Mammalia > Primates > Hominidae > Homo > Homo sapiens. Next base: position 27,954,575 of record NC_000013.11, on the reverse strand, counting down.
GGTCTCGGCCTGCTGCCGGTCCTTGCTGGGTCTGCGCCGCTGCCCGGGATTCCCTGGAGAGATTCGCGGCGTCTCCCGAGAGGTGGCGCGCGGTGAGGGCAGGCGAGGTCCCGGCGCCGCGGCCTCCTGCCGGGTAGGAAGCCCGGGGAGCGCCTCTCCGCCGCCGCCCGTCGCCCCGGAAGTCGCGCCCTGAGATTCCGGGCACTTTCTTTTTCTTCTTTGGAATGGTGTGATGTCCGCGGTTGTTTTTGTCCTTATACCTGAAGACGCCAAGCTTTTCAAAAGGTGCGCGCAACTACGGCGCGGAGGTGCGGGGAACCTGGGCCGCAAGCGCCGAAGCCACTCGGTGAAGAAGGCCTGGAGCACTGGCCTTCGACCCGTCGTCGAAGACCTGGGCTGAGCGATGGTGGCACCAGGCCCAAGGGATTTGATTTTCAAAAGGCGGAACGGGAGCGCTGGTGTGTTCGGCCCGTCAAAGCTGCAGCCGCCCGCGGCCTCCGGCGTCTGGCCTGTCTCGCCTGCGCGAGGCCCCCGGCAGGCGGCGCTGCTGCTCCGGCTGAGCGGGCGGAACGGCCTGGACCCCGCGGCCTCTGTTCCCAGCTCTGCGGCCGATCTGAGAGCTGGGACTCCGGGCGGGGAGCGGGAGGCTGAGCAGGGGCAGCCGGAGCCGCCGCAGGAGGGGCTGAGGGGTGCCCCGCGGCCCCTTTCGGCCGCCTCGGTGGCTTTCCGGGCCTCCTGGCCAAGGGCGCTGGGCTGCGGGTGGGTCTCGGGGGGAGTCGCCTCGCATAGCAGGCGCGAGCTAATCTACTCCTTTCCACTCTCTCGGTGGCGCTGTGGCTCTTAAAACCCCCGCTCCTTCTCTTCACAGCCATCAGAAGGCGCGGCCTGCCACCTGGACAAACGCGGTCTCCCCCAGAGCCCGGTTGCGCCCCGAAGCCGGGTTCCGTCCCATCTCCGACAAAGACACTTCCTGATTTGCCCCTCGCCAGACTCCAGCAATTTTCTGGGTCCCCGGGAAGCTGATTTCGCCTCTGGGCTTCCATGATTAGTGGCAGCTGGAGCGCTGCTCCCCAACCTGGGCCCACTTTAGGGTGTGTGGGGCAGGGAGGAGGGTGGGGTCACTCTTAATCTCGTGTCACAGCTAAATAATTTACTCAAGGTCTTCTCTTCCTGCCAGTTCCCTTCCCTGTTCCACTGCCCTTGACTTCCTGCTTTGTGAAGCCCCGGGGAAAGGCCAACTCTTAATAAAAGTTAATATTAATAGAGGCCCCGTGCGCCGGGCTTCTCCAACACCTCATCTTCCCCTCTCACCTCCACCCACTCCACTCAAGCCCCTTTCCTCGGGGAATTCTTTCAAAACTGGAGATGGGACTTGTACTTTGGGGTATATTCAGGAAACAAGGACGCTTGGGCCACATTGTGTCTAAACCACATCCTCCTCCAGTTTCCATCAGCGCGGAGGGTGGCAAAGGTCGAGCGTGCACTCAGTAGCTGCCACACAGAAGCCGCGCTGGTTCCAAAGCAGTCCAGAGATAAGGGCGGGGGCCAGCCAGCAGGTTCTGCAGGAGAAATACCTGCTGGAAAGAACAGGTCGAGCGATTACCAGAGAGGCGGGGAACAAAATTTACCAGTGTTCAACAGATACTTTAAAAAAGGCAACAAACCAATATTGTACAAAGAATACGTAACAGTATCAAGGTCACTGTTCCCTGATGTGTGTGCGAATTCGAGCCTACTCATTTTCCCATAGCAAAGTCTAGTTTGGTTTGAGCTAAGGGCTTGGACAAACAATTCCTTCCAAGAAGGTTAAACAACGCAGAAATGTGAAAAGAAAAAAGTAACTTCTCCATCCTTTCAATTCCATCCCTCTATTAACAATGTTAACACTGTTGGATGTCATTTCGAGAATTTTTCTGTGCTTACACAAATACGTATTACATTTAAAATCTTGTTCTTTCTTTTCTGTCCTTTAAAAAAAACAAAAATGAAGTCACACTTTACTTTGTGACTTGCTTTTATCATTTAATAATATATCATGGATATTTCACCAGGTCATTACACATAAATCACATCAATTTTTAAAATGTCTATTGCATTATGTAAACAAAGATATAATTTTATCTATTTATTCAATCATTTCTTTTGAATATTTACTATGTTCTAAGTGCTGGGAAAACAGCAGTAATCATCACCATTAAAAATCCCTATTCTTGGGAAACTTAATTCTAGTGGGAAAAAATTTTAAATCAATTTATTTAACGATTTCCTTACAGATGAACATTTAAGTTGTTGTCATTGTTTTGCTATTACAAACCATACGAAGGTAAGCTTTTTACATATACCCTTTTGTAGTTTTGTATATTTAAAGGATAGATTTCTTAAATTTGAAATGGTAGGTCAAAAAAATGTACATTTTAAAACTCTAGTAAAGATAGCCATTGCTTTCCAAAAAACTTTAGCAAGTCACACAATTCACAGTCCCGTTGAGTGAGTTTCCCTTTCTTCATATCCTCTTTTACCCTAGACATTATCTCTTAAATTTTTGCCAATATGATGGACAGAAAATGGTAACCAATTTAATTTTTTATTCTGAAATTATTAAGCAGGTTGAGCATACTTCATGTTTATTGGGCATTCGCATTTTGTCTTCGATGATTTTTCTTTTCTAGTAAACAGAACCAAAAGAAATGGAGTGAGTATCCCAGCCTTCATGCTTGATTTTTAAACTTAAATTATTTTATTTAAGCTTTAAAACAACCAGCATTCATTTCTATGAGACAGATTCTAATCTAGGCCTTTCTGACATCAAACACTGTGTTATTTCAAACATTATTGAGTCTGCTCTCTGAATAGTGTAGACTTTGGGCCAGGCGCGGCCGCTCACGCCTGTAATCCCCGCACTTTGGGAGGCTGAGGCAGGAGAATCACTTGAACTCGGGAGGCAGAGGTTGCAGTGAGCTGAGATCACACCACTGTACTCTAGCCTGGGTGACACAGCAAAACTCCATCCAAAAAAAAAAAAAAAGTGCAGACTTTATAAGTATAAAGGAAGAGTGAGAAGTGACAAAGAAAACAGTAGATAGCAATTAAGGACATCCTATCTGAAATTTAAAAACAAATAACAGAACGATGAAAAGTATTTGCTACAAAAATGCCAGAAAATTGCTAACCTATAAAGAATCCAATACAAAATGAGAAGAAAACATAGACTTTTTTTTTTTTGAGACGGAGTCTCGCTCTGTCGCCCAGGCTGGAGTTCAGTGGCACGATCTCAGCTCACTGCAAGCTCTGCCTCCCGGGTTCATGCCATTCTCCTGCCTCAGCCTCCCGAGTAGCTGGGACTACAGGCGTCTGCCCACCATGCCCGCCTAATTTTTTGTATTTTTAGTAGGGGCGGGGTTTCACTGTGTTAGCCAGGATGGTCTCGATCTCCTGACCTCGTGATCCACCCATCTCAGCCTCCCAAAGTGCTGGGATTACAGGTGTGAGCCACCACGCCCGGCCGAAAACATAGACTTCTAAAGAAATATTGGCAAGGCCGGGTGCGGTGGCTTATGCCTGTAATCCCAGCACTTTGGGAGGCCAAGGCAGGTGGATCACAAGGTCAGGAGTTCGAGACCAGTCTGGCCAACATAGTGAAACACAAAAAAGTAGCCGGATGTGGTGGTGTACGCCTGTAATCCCAGCTACTCGGGAGGCTGAGGCAGGAGAATCACATGAACCTGGGAGGTGGAGGTTGTGGTGAGCTGAGATCACGCCATTGCATTCCAACCTGGGCAACAGTGCGAGACTCCGTCTCAAAAAAAAGGGCAAATAATAACCAAAACTAAAAAATCCAGTACTCAGTGCTGGTGAGGATATGATGAAACAGGCACCCCACAGGAATAATAAAATAATACATTAATATGTATTTCTAAATGGCAATCTGGCAATATAGTCACAAGTCATAAACTGCTCACACTCACTAAGTTCCATATGTAGAATCTAGTCTCAGGAAATACTAAAAAAATAGGGAGTTGGAAATAAGTATCCAACATTAAGGTTTTGGATCACAGTGAGGTATCATCTCACACTAATCAGAATGGCTATTATTAAAAAGTCAAAAAATAAGAGGTAGCGAGGTTGTGGAGTAAAGAGAATGTTTATACACTGCTGGTGGGAATGTTTAGTTCAGTCATTATGGAAAGCAGTTTGGAGATTTTCAAATAACTTAGAACTACCACCTGAATCAGCAATCCCATTACTGGGTATATACCCAGAGGAATATATCATTCCCCCCAAAACACAAATACACACGTATGTTTACTGCAGCACTATTCACAATGGCAAAGACATGGAATCAACCTAGATGTCCATCAATGGTAGACCGGATAAAAGAAATATGGTACATATACACCATGGAATACTACACAGCCATAAAAAGGAATGAAATCATGTACTTTGCAACAACACAGATACAGCCAGAGACCAGGAAAAGAAAACTAAATACTGCATGTTTTCACTTATAAGTGAAGCTAAACATTGAGTACACATGGCTGCAAAGAGTGGAACAATACACATCAGGGCTTACTTGAGGGTGGAGTGTGGGAGAAGGGCGAGGATCAAAAACTACCCACTGGGGCTAGGCTTGGTGGCTCATGCCTATAATCCCAGCACTTTGGGAGGCCGAGGTGGGTGGATCACTTGAGGTCAGGAGTTTGAGACCAGCCTGGCCAACATGGTGAAACCCCATCTCTACTAAAAATACAAAAATTAGTCAGGTATGGTGGTGCATACTTGTAATCCCAGCTACCCAGGAGGCTGAGGTATGAGAATCACTTGAACGGAGGTTGCGGTGAGCCAAGATCATCACTTTAGCCTGGGCGACAGAGCGAGATCCTGTCTCCAAAACAAAACAGAACCTATCCATTGGGTACTATGCTCACTGCTGCCTGGGTGATGAAATCATTTATACACCAAACCCCAGCAACATGTAATTTACCCATGTAGCAAACCTGAACATGTATCCCTTGAACCTAAAATAAAAGTTAAAAGAAGAAAAAAAAATTAAGGTTTTGGATAACTAACTTATGTTACATTCACTCAATAGAATATTACATAACCATTAAAGTTTCTGTTTTCAGAGTATGTAATGGCATGGGAATGCTTATTTTGGCTCATACATTTAAAAAGGCAAGATACAAAAGAATATATACAGTGTAGTATTTTGCAACTATGCAGTGATAGCAGGCTGAAAAAGGGCACCCCAAAAGATATCCATGTCCTAATTCCTAGAACTTATGAACATTACTTTGTATGAGAAACAAAATAAACAAGCAAGCAAACAAACAAAAAATCAAAATCCAACTCCAAAGAGTCTTTGCAGGTATGATCAAGGATTTTGAGGCCAGGTGTGGTGGCTCACACCTGTTATCTCAGCACTTTGGGAGGCCGAGGAGGGTGGATCGCTTGAACTCAAGAGTTTGAGACCAGCCTGGGCAACACGGTGAAACCCTGTCTCCATAAAAAATACAAAAAATTGCCAGGGATGGTGGTGGGCGCATGTAGTCCCAGCTACTTGGGAGGCTGCAGTGAAAGGATCATTTGAGCCTTGGACGCAGATGTTGTAGTGAGCCGAGATTATGCCATTGCACTCCAGCCTGGGTGACAGAGCAAGACTCTGTCTAGGAAAAAAAAAAAAAGGATATGGAGATGGAGAGGTTATCCTGGACTGTTCATGTGGGCCCTAAATGCCATTGCAAATGTCATAATAAGAGAGAAACAGAAGGCCGCTCATGCCTGTAATCCCAGCACTTTGGGAGGCTGAGGTGGGTGGATCGTCTGAGGTCAGGAGTTCCAGACCAGCCTGGCCAACATGGTGAAACCCCATTTCTACTAAAAATACAAAAATTAGCTGGGCATGATGGCTGCATCTATAGTCCCAGCTGCTTGGGAGGCTGAGATAGGAGAATCCCTGGAACCCAGGAGGTGGAGGTTTCAGTGAGCCGAGATCATGCCATTGCACTCCTAGTTGGGCAACAAGAGTGAAACTCCGTCTCAAAAAACAAACAAACAAACTATATATATATATATATATATATATATATATATATATATATATATAGGGAGAGAGAGAGAGAGAGAGAGAGAGAGAGAGAGAGAGAGAGAGAGAAACAGAAGAGATTCCCTGCAGCCTGTCTCATCTTATGCACACACACACACACACACACACACACACACAGAGACAGACATGCACACACACACTACATGAGAAAGCAATGTGAAGAAGGAACAGAGAGAAATTTGTAGATATTGGCTTCGACACAAGTCAATGTCAGCAACCACTAGAAGCTGGAAGAAGCAAGGAAGGGGTATTCCCTAACAGTCTCAAGGGGGGTGTGGCCCGGCTAACACCTTGATTTTGGCCCAGTGATAACAATTTTGGACTTCTGGCCTCCAGAACTGTAAGAGAATAAACTTCTGTTGTGTTAAACCACCAAGTTTGTGATAATTTGTTACAGCAGCCACAGGAAACTAATATAGCAGTATTCCTGTTATTACTGTCAAACAACAAACAACTTCAAACTTAATGTCACACAACAACCATCTCATTATGTTCATGGATTCTGTGCGACAAGAATTCAGATAGGGTATGTAAGAATGACTTGTCTCCATGCTACAGCGTCTGGAGCCTCAGTTAGGAAGAATTGAATGGCTGGGGCTGAAATCACCTAGAGGGTTCTTTACTGGTATCTGGGCTAAAACAAAGTTGAAATTTGAGCTTACTTTGGGTTGTTAACCAGAGTTCCTCCTCATTTGGCTTGGGCTTCCATAGGGTTGTGGCTTCTAACATTAGTGGTTCAGCGCTCCGAGAGTCAGTGTTCCCTGTAGGCAGGATGGAAGCTATATGTACTATTCTGACCTAGCTTCAGAAATCACATGGTGTCACTTCCACCACCACTTTCGGTTGGTTGAAGAAGTGACAGGCCCTCCCAGGTTTGAGAGGGGGAGACATAAAGCCACCACTCCATGGGAGGAATATAAAAAAATTTGCAGCTGTGTTTCAAACTTCCAGTTTGCCGCATGTGCACAAATTATTTACGTTCTTCCACATCCAAGCTCTTTCCTCCCAAAGTTTCATCTCATTAAAGCACCGGGCTTATGCTCAAGGTACAGGGTCTCATGATATAAATCAGGTCCAGGTGCAGATTAGGCTCCTTCAGTTAAGTTGCTTGAATATGGTCCTCTTGATCTGAAAACGTATGAAATAAGGTTTTCTGCCACTCTTCCCCCAAATAAGCCCAACACAAAGTGATATAGGTATAGGATAATGTGTATAAATACCCTTGTTCTAAAGTGTGGAAAATGGAAACAAGTAACAATCATTGGTTTATGTTAATTCTGAAACCTATCTGAGCATATGTTGCCCATGTATTGGTTAGGGCCCAGTCCTGCTTGTTGCAAAGTACTCTCCGGAAATTTTTCCTCTGCTTTGTAGGTCTTTATTCCCATTTTCTGAGTTATCCTTTCTTCTCCATAAAAAGTAGCCTGTGTCTGGCTGGGCACGGTGGCTTCCACCTGTAATCCCAGAACTTTGGGAGGCCGAGGCAGGTGGATCATGAGGTCAGGATTTCAAGGCCAGCCTGGCCAAGATGGTGAAACCCCATCTCTACTAAAAATACAAAAATTAGCCGGGCATGGTGGCGGGTGCCTGTAATCCCAGCTACTCAGGAGGCTGAGGCAGAGAATTGCTTGAACCTGGGAGACGGACATTGCAGTGAGCCGAGATTGTGCCACTGCACTCCAGCCTGGGTGACACAGCAAGACTCCATCTCAAAACAAACAAACAAACAAACAAACAAACAAACAAACAAAAAGTAGCCTGCGCAGTTTCAGCCTGCTTTCTGACTAGAAGTCTGGGGAGCCTTATTTTATTTTGTACTATCTGTTCCTTTTGAACAAAGCTAATATAATTCCTTTAACATCTTTGTGGGTTTCTTATGTATCAGTTTATAAACTCCATGCCATTAGATAAGGCTACACCCACAAATCTCTTTGTGATAAGCTCTTCTCTACCTTGAGCTCCCCATGAAGCTGTAGTGCAACAATGCCTGCAAGATTTTCAGAAGCCCTACTGTTAGACAGAGGCTGTTTGAAAGGCTTCCGTAGAATCCTTAGGAGGCCTTTTGTCTACTTGAAAGAGTCTACAAAGGACCACCTTATACCTTTCTTAGATCTCAACAAGGAGCTTTAAAGTCATATGTTTGTCTTCATTTTTATTATGAGAACACATTTTCTTGACTGTATCCTAGATTTGATCTTCCCTAGAGGTCTTTTCTTGCCTTGAGAATCTCCTGCTGGATAAATTCAGCTGAAAGCCCTCTATGTGTCCTCTTAATTTGACGTGAAAGCTGATCATCATATTTTTTTATTTCATCTTCATCATTTCAGATTTTACACAGGCAGCTATAAGAAGCTGGTGGCACCTTTAGTATCCTGCCCAGAAATCTCCTTGGCTGGACTACTTGAGCTTATTAAGTACGCTTCCGGTTTTCCGTATTATCTCAGATGACAGTGTTGCCAAATTTTCTGCCAATATATAATAAACATTTTATTTTCTCCAGCTTCAAATACTATTTTTTCTCACTTTATTCAAATACTCACCATCAGCTTACCCCAATGCCTATCTGGCTTCTTCCTGCCACTCAGTCCTCAAACTACATGTTTTAGTATTGGCTAATTAAATATGGTAGTCATGTTTTAGGTGTTTAAGGTGTTTAAGCAGTACCTTATTTCCAGGCACCAAACTCTGTTCCTACTATCCATTATTATTTAACAAACCACCTCAAATCACAACTATTTTAATACCTTCATGGCTTAAAATGACAAGGTTTATTCTCTTACAGTTCTGGAGGCCAGGAGTCTAAAATCAAGGTGTTGGCAGGGCTGGTTCCTTCTGGAGGTTTCTGGGAGAGAATCCATTTCCTTGCCTTGCACTTTCCAACCTTTTTTTTTTTTTTTTTTAACAGTGAACCATATTTCAATTTATTGACATTGTCAATTTATGAACAAGACAGGATTTTTTTTTCCCATGAAATGAGATCCTTTTCAATCTGCCATAACATGTGCCCATACATCTTCACCTTGGAAATGCAGCATTTCAAGCTTTAGTCAGGGTAGATTATTCCTTCTTTACTTTCACAATTTTTACGCTGTTGCCAGAAGTCTTTTTGGCATTTGCTTTGAATTCTGTCTTCAGTGCATCTCTCACTACTTTTGCACAGATCTGGGAGTATCGGATGTAGCTGAGTCCAGCCTGTCTCCAGTAGGCCACCATGCTGTAGCGAAAGCGGAGCGCGTCGGGCCAAATCGCCAAGACTCTGGCAATGTCCTTTTTTTTCTTTTTTTTTAGACGGAGTTTTACTCTTGTTGCCCAGGCTGAAGTGCAGTGATGTGATCTTGGCTCACTGCACCCTCCACCTCCCGGGTTCAAGCAATTCTCTTGCCTCAGTCTCCCAAGTAGCTGGGATTACAGACATGTGCCACCACACCCAGATAATTTTTTTTGTATTTTTAGAAGAGACAGGGTTTCACCATGTTGGCCTGGCTAGTCTTGAACTTCTGACCTCAGGTGATCCACCCACCTCGGCCTCCCAAAGTGCTGGGATTATAGGGGTGAGCCACCACGCCCGGCCACCCTTTCCAACTTCTAAAGGCTGCCTGCACACCCTGGCTCATGGCCTTCCCTCCCATCCATCACCGCAGTCTCTTGCTCCCATCGTCATCACATAGCCACATTCTGGGGTCAAATCTCCCTGTGTCATTTTAAGCCACGGCATTTGTGGTAATTTGACAGCAGCAATTCAAAAGGAACACAGGGATTAGGTGTGGGTGCCTTCTCTGTGCTCTTTCTTGCTTCTGCATCTCTGCCCCAGGTGTTCTCTGGGCCTGGAACTCCCTCTCCCAGCCACCTTCCTCCAGGCTGCCTACTGTACGAGAAACTCTGCTAAGACTCACTGAATCCTTCAGGCTTGATTTTTCTTTCCTCTGCGTTCCTTGAGAGGAATAAACCTGTGTTATATCACTTGTCTTGCTGTGTTATAATTTATCTTTTCTACCTGTCTAATTTTTACTTTTGATGAGAGACTTCTTGGGGGCTGGGATCCTATATTTTGCCTCTTTCTATCCCCCACCAAGCATGAGCACAGTGCTTGGTAAATAATAAGCAGCTCACACAAGTTAATGGAGTGAAAGCAAACAGAAAACCACAATAAGCAGTCACACCATATAAAGAATCCCTTAACAACGGTCACTTGCTCTGCAGTACCTGGTATTCCTCAGCCTGGTTCTGATGGTGTCCACACTCCACGCCCCAGGAAAACTCCCACTCCTTTCCCAGTCAGTCTGACCTTGAACGGTGAGGTCTGAGGGCCTGAAGGATCTGAAGTCAGACAGCCTTCCCAAGCCCTGTGCAGTTTGACCTCATGCCTTTATTTCTGGTTGCTGAGTCTCTATAGGTCAGCCAATGATTAATGAGGTGAAGAAGGGTTCACAGACTTCTAAGAGCCAGACCTACGTGTCACTTGATACACTTGTTGCACTTTCTGCAGAAAAAGTGTCAACAATGTAGTCGATGTTCTTTTAAATAATGGTTATTTTTCTCAATATAAATATTCAAATAATAAAAAAAATCATCTGTAATCCCTCTACTCAAAGTTAATCATTGGTAATATTTACAAAGTTTGCTTTTTATTTATTTATTTATTTTTGAGACGGAGTCTCACTCTGTCGCCCAGGCTGGAGTGCAGTAGCGCGATCTTTGCTCACTGCAAGCTCCGCCTCCCAGGTTCACGCCATTCTCCTGTCTCAGCCTCCCGAGTAGCTGGGACTATAGGTGCCCACCACCGTGCACGGCTAATTTTTTGTATTTTTTAGTAGAGACGGGGTTTCACCGTGTTTGCCTGGATGGTCTCGATCTCCTGACCTCGTGATCCACCCGCCTCGGCCTCCCAAAGTGCTGGGATTACAGGCGTGAGCCACCACGCCAGGCCACAAAGTTTATTTTTAATTTTAAAATCAATACATTCCCATTGTGAAAAATACAAACAATGCAGCACATAAAGTAAAATAAAAGGAACAGCCAGTCGGACTCCCCAGAGTTCACTACTACTATTAATGCTTGGTTGTAGCTTTGTCTAGTCTTTTTTTTTTTTTAAACTATAAGCAACTGTTTGAAAAAGCACCAAATCTCAACAATAGGAATGGAAACAAATAAAAAACATTCCACTAACCCTAGCAAGATCAACTAATTTCTTTTTTAAAAAAATCCTAGTGTTTGGTTTATGAGTGGCTAAATGGATTGTGTGGGAGATATGCTTAGCAAGGGGAACACACCCTATAATTACACAAATCCTGTCATAGATTTAGTACAGAGCAGACAGGGATAACTGTAGTGATGAGGACTCAGCACTTTATCAGCATTGTTTGGTTATTTACATAATGCCTGTATTTTGTAAATGGCAAAACTAATACAGCTGAAAATGAGATTGTGACAGCCTTTACAAGTTAATTGCTGGCCTAAGTAAAGAACACTGGACTCTCGAGTTCCTATTTCTGGTCTCTATTCCACTTTTTCTCATCACTGAGGATTGAGAGCTATGTGGTGCTTTAAGTAATAGCTGGGAAAATAAATAGTATGTGTGAATAGCAAGGGGAAGCCATAGAATTTACCTGTCAAGATGGCCTTAGTTGTGTCTATTCTCAAGCGTGTAGACTGTGTCTGAGTTCTTTTCTTTACATATGCTTTAGGAATGCTTTCTTGACTCAGCTACAGGGCTGACCTTGGAAAAGCAGCCTTATTATTTCCTGGAGAAACAACTTACATTTGCAAAACATGTTGAAAAGGTTAACATCTGAGATGGATTCTGTATTTGCCTATTTACTTTCATGAGAGAGTGAAAGACAAGGGCTCCACAGATAACACTGAGAATCTTACAAAATTCATACTTGTATCCCACTGCTCTCACAACTCAGCTCTACCCCTGGATTTTGCTTTTTGGAAATACCATTTATTCACCTTTGTCTTCCTAGCATCTAGGATAGGAGGGGACTATAATTGCATGCTACACTACCTGATGGATAACAAATTAATTTGTACATTCATCAATTCATTCAACAGGCCTATCAGACTTCCTACTTATCAGAGCTTGTGTTAGGGCTAGGGATTCAGAAATGCACTACATGCTGTTAATCGGCCCTTATCATCCATTTCTCACTCCATCTATATTCTCCCCTGTATAGAATTAACTGGAATGCTGAAAGCTATAGTTTCTGGAAGGTTTCTTTCTTTCTTTTCTTTTTTTGAGACAAGTTCTTCCTATGTTGCCCAGGCTGAAGTGTAGTGGTGTGATCATAGCTCACTATGGCCTCAAACTCCTGGATTCCAGTTATCCTCCTGCCTCAACCTCCTGAGTAGCTGGAACTACTGGTGTATGCTGCCAAGCCTGGCTTTTCCAGACCTTTTAGCACAAGACTTCTAGGTGCAATGAAGGTTCTGTCAATTAGATGAATTCATGAAATATCTGGAGGACAGAAAGAAGACAGAAGTCATTGTTCTTGTCATAGTGGCTGGCTGGTTCTGGCAGATGTATTTGCATGGCCAAATCCACATTCCACTGTCCGGACATCATTTTCTTGGATATAGGGCAGAGCTGTGGTAGTAGCAGCAGTTTTTAGACCTATGCATTACAACCATGGTGATATGACCTTGAAGCCAAAAGCCTCGTGCTGTGCCTTTCAATAATCTTGTGAATACCTAATCTCCTTTTGCTTGAAATGCCTTGAGTGGTTTCTGTTTTCTTTACTGAACTTTTTCTGATAAAATAAATAAAGATGCAATCACCACCCTTTAGAAACTTGCCATCTCTTAGGGGAGACAGACAATGCAACTTGAGTAAGAATATGATAGAGGTACAAAGGGACAAGGTGTTATGGGATTAAAGAGTAAGAACATAGAACAGGGAAGGGGCATTTCAATTATCTGTTACTGCATAGCAAACCACCTCCAAAACTTAGGGGTTAATTATCTCTCACATTTTGTAGATTAACTGGGTTCAGCTGGGCAGTTCCTTTGCTGGCTTCATATAATTGCAGTCAGATGATGGCTAGAGCTGGGATGAGATGCTGGGATGAGATGCTGGGATGCCTGGGCCTCTCTTCTCAGGTGTTCTCAGGGTTTCTTTTCTCCATGCAGTATCTTCCTGTGAGGACATCGTGATATAGTCTCTCCAGCGAGGCAGCTGGGTTTTTTTATTATTTTAACGTGGTGGTCCAGGATTCCCAAAGCACAAATGTGGAAGATATGAGGCCTTCTTTGATTTTAGGCTCAGGCTGGGCATAGTGACTCATGCCTGTAATGCCAGCACTTTGAAAGGCCAAGGCAGGTGGATTGCTTGAGCTCAGGAGTTTGAGACCAGTCTAGGCAACATAGTGAGAACCTGTCTCAACAAAAAAAGAAAAAAAAAAATTAGCTGGGCATGTTGGTGTGTGCCTGTGTTCCCAGCTACTTGGGAGGCTGACATAGGAGGATCACTTGAGCCAGGGAGGTCAAGGCTTCAGCGAACTGTGATTGCACCGCTGCACTCTAGCCTGGGCAACAGAATGAGACCTTGTGTCAAAAAAAGAAAAAAAAGATGTTAGGCCCGGAAGGGGCACAGCATCAGTTTTGCTGCAGTTTACTGGTTAAAGTGAGTCACAGGCTCAGCCCAGATTCATTGTGGGAGGGGAGGACATAAAGGTGTGGAAACCAAAAGGCACAATTTATTGGGGGCCATCTTAGAAGGTAGACACCACAGAGGGGTACTTGGGATGTTTGGGAAGTTTCACAGAGAACATGAAACTCATTGGTTCCATGGTTGTGTGCTCACAGACTTTACAGAGGACCCAGAGCCCAGTCCAGATCCTAGTACAGTTACTCAGTACATTTTATTATTATTATTTTTTTGTTACATAGATGAGAGGTTTCTATGTTGCCCAGGCTGGCCTGGAACGCCTAGCCTCGCCTCCTTATGCACCAGGACAACAGGCCTGAGCCACTGCGGCTCTCCACTCAGTACATTTTAAGAGAAGGCAAGACAGAAGAAAAAAAAGGCAGGCAGGCAAACATAGGAAGTATAAGCTGGTAGGCCCTTCCAGTCAGAGGCACTAAGGCAGGGGTGTCCAATCTTTTGACTTCCCTGGGCCCCATTGGAAGAAGAATAATTGTCCTGGGCCACACATAAAACACACTAACACTAATGAAGCTGATGAATTAAAAAAGAAAATTGCAAAAAAATCTCATAATGTTATAAGAAAGTTACGAATTTGTATTGGGCCACATCCAAAGCTGTCCTGGGCCACATGTGGCCACGGCCAGGGATTGGACAAGCTTGTACTAAGGCATCAGGGAGTGATTGCAAAATGCAGCTACCAGCCCCCAGGGCTGAGGCAACAAAATAAAGAGGTTGTAAATATGAAAATGTAGAAGCTTGAAGGAGGGGCTCCACAGAGCTGGGACTCACACCGCTGAGAAGGGGTTGCTGGCCAACTGGTGTTGATATCTTTGAGGTGGTGCCGATTCGGAAGAAACTGCAAACCAGAATAAACTGCTGCTAATGGAATAAATTGCCACTACCGGGAGAAACACGGCCTGGCTCGCAACTGAAGCGAACTGGAAGCAGAAAGGAAGAAGCAAGTTCTTCCACTGGCCTTGCACCTTGAAGCCTCCCTCCTGGCCCGTGCTGAGTAGCAGAGCCTGACCAATAGCCCGTTGCCAAAGGAGAATGTCATTTTCAGCGCCTCAGCCCACTTCCAGCATCACAAAGAGTGGAAGACTGACTCTGAGGCTGAGATTAAGAGTTTAACAATTAGGTTGGGCGCGGTGGCTCATGCCTGTAATCCAGCACTTTGGGAGGCCGAGGCGGGCAGATCACGAGGTCAGAAGATTGAGACCATCCTGGCTAACACGGTGAAACCCCATCTCTACTGAAAATACAGAAAATTAGCCTGGCGCAGTGGCGTGTGCCTGTAGTCCCAACTATTCGGGAGGCTGAGGCAGGAGAATCGCTTGAACCCGGGAGGCAGAGGCTGCAGTGAGCTGAGATTGCACCACTGCACTCCGGCCTAGGCGACAGTGAGATTCTGTCTCAAAAAAAAAAATAAATAAATAAATAAATAAAAGTTTAACAATTATATCTTGTTTGAAAAGCATTTAACATGAGTTTTACCCTGGCCCTCAGTCTCTCTCTCTCCTAGCTCAACTTTCTCTCTCCAAAATAGATGTGAGTTGGTTTCTAATAAAAGCACATGATGAATAGAGCGCTAAAAACAAAACAAAAAACCAAATGTTTAACACAGATAAAATGAAGATCACACCATTCCAAGCAGTGTTTTTAAAGCAGTGTTTTCAAAACTTTCTAACAAAGTTACAAAGTCAAAATATATTTTGTATTTTGATCTGTTAGGCATATGCATGTATAACTAAAAAAAGTTACATGAAGCAATCTTTATCCTCGCTGTGCATAATGCACTCTGATATTTTCTATTATATTTTATCTAACTTAAAAAAATCTGGTAATAACCCACTAAGTTGACTTCATTGACTAATCAGTTGCAACCTACTGTTCGAAAAACACTGACTTAGAGGAAGGGAAGATCCAATGTTTTATACATTTCATATAAATGTATAAATGTTATATGTTTTAATTCTATAAATACATGTATAGGGCTCTTTTTCATCTCAAAAAGTATCTTTCACATACCTTATTTAACCCTCATAACAGTCCTATGAGGTTGATATTTCTCCCAATTGACTAATAAGAAAAATAGACTGTCAAAGACACTAAGTCATTTGCCCTAGTTCAGAAGGGGCATAAATGGTCAATGCAGAACTGGAAGCCAATGTTTCTGATTGAAAATCTCGGCCTTCCTCAATAGCCTATGCTAGGATGAGACACATAGTTGAGTGTTAATTGAATACTAACTTTAGTTCAGAGTTGTCTGATAGAAAAGGCTAACACTGGATGTTGTATCATGTACATCGTTTGATGAAAGCACACAAGTTTGTCTGAACAAACTTCCTTCTAGAATTAAATTCCAGGACATGGGCTTCATATATGGCTGTTGTATAATAATGAGTATTGTTTTCATCTGTGGCTTTTCAGAAAACACCAGATTATTATAACAATTTTTTTTTTCTTTTAAGATGGAGTCCTGCTCTGTCACCCAGGCTGGAGTGTAATGGCGTGATCTCGGCTCATCGTAACCTCTGCCTTCTGGGTTCAAGTGATTCTCCCGCCTCAGCCTCCCAAGTAGTTGGGATTACAGGCATGTGCCACCACGCCCGGCTAATTTTGTATTTTTAGTAGAGATGGGGGTTCACCATGTTGGCCAGGCTGGCCTCGAATTTCTGACCTCAAGTGATCTGCCTGCTTTGGCCTCCCAAAGTGCTGGGATTACAGGCGTGAGCCGCCACGCCCTGCCTATTAGGACAATTTTTTATATAGATCCTTGGTAACTGTCATGGAGGCTGCTAGTTGTCCCCAGTATCCACTGGACACTTCCCTTTTTAGTGATGTACTTCCTCCCATTTTTCATTAGACAACTGGTTGTCCAGAATAAAGGCTACATTTTCCCACCTGCTGTGTAGCTAGATGCTTTCATGCAGCTAAGTTCTGTGAATGAGGTGTAAGCAGGCATCGTGTAACTCCAAAAGTGTCATTCAAGTAAAGGAAACTATATTCATTTTCAATTGCTGCAATTACGAATCACCACAAATGCAGCAGCTAAACACAACATGAAATTTATTTTTTTCGTTTTTATTTTATTATTATACTTTAAGTTCTAGGGTACATGTGCACAATATGCAGGTTTGTTACATAGGTATACATGTGCCATGTTGGTTTGCTGCACCCGTCAACTTGTCATTTACATTAGATACTTCTCCTAATGCTGTCCCTCCCCCAGCCCCCCCACCCCCCTACAGGCCCCAGTATGTGATGTTCCCCACACTGTGTCCAAGTGTTCTCATTCTTCAATTCCCACCTATGAGTGAGAACATATAGTGTTTGGTTTTCTGTCCTTGTGATAGTTTGCTGAGAATGATGGTTTCCAGTTTCATCCATGTCCCGGCAAAGGACATGAACTCATCCTTTTTTATGGCTGCATAGTATTCCATTGTGTATATGTGCCACATTTTCTTAATCCAGTCTATCATTGATGGACATTTGGGTTGGTTCCAAGTCTTTGCTATTGTGAATAGTGCTGCAATAAACATACGTGTACATGTGTCTTTATAGTAGCATTATTTATAATCCTCTGGGTATATACCCAGTAATACCCCAGTTGAGTCAAATGGTATTTCTAGTTCTAGATCCTTGAGGAATGGCCACACTGTCTTCCGCAATGGGTGAACTAATTTACAGTCCCACCAACAGTGTAAAAACGTTCCTATTTATCCACATCCTCTCCAGCATCTGTTGTTTCCTGACTTTTTAATGATCGCCATTCTAACTGGCGTGAGATGGTATCTCATTGTGGTTTTGGTTTGCATTTCTCTGATGACCAGTTATGATGAGCATTTTTTCAAGTGTGTGTTGGCTGCATAAATGTCTTCTTTTGAGAATTGTCTGTTCATATCCTTTGCCCACTTTTTGATGGGGTTGTTAGTTTTTTTCTTGTAAATTTGTTTAAGTCCTTTGTAGATTCTGGATATTAGCCCTTTGTCAGATAAGTAGATTGCAAAAATTTTCTCCCATTCTGTAGGTTGCCTTTTCACTCTGATGGTAGTTTCTTTTGCTGTGCAGAAGCTCTTTAGTTTAATTAGATCCCATTTGTCTATTTTGGGTTTTGTTGCCATTGCTTTTGGTGTTTTAGTCATGAAGTCCTTGTCATGCCTATGTCTTGAATGGTATTGCCTAGGTTTTCTTCTAGGGTTATTAAATTTATTATTTCACTGTTTCTGTCTGTCAAAGTCCCCCTTGGCTCAGCAGTTTCTCTGGTCCAGTGTTGGAGAGGCCACGTCCTTGTGGCTGCCCCCAGTTTCCTTGCTGTCTGTCGCCTGGGGGTGGTCGTTAGCCCTTACCAGCCTCTCTTGGGTCCTTGTCAATGGACTCCCTCATCTCAGAGGCAGCAATGGCTCAGTAAAGCCTCCTCATATTTGGAATCTCTTCAACTTTTCTTTCTGCTGTAGCTCTTGAATTCTAGCTAGAGAAAGTTATTTGCTTTCAAGGACTTGTATGATTAGATTGGGCCCACAAGGATAATCTAGAATAATCTGTTTATTTTAAGTACCTAATCTAATTATATCTCTAAAAATCCCTTTTGCCCTGTAAGGGAACATAGACACAGGTTTCAGGAATTGCAATGTAGACACCTTTCAACTTTTCAGGGACCATTATTCTGTCTACCATAGATGCATATCCTTCTGATTTGTCTCTTTTCCCCTGCTGCTGAGAAAGTAAGTGTATTGGCTGGAGTGCTCTAAGGGACTAGGGAGGTCCACAACACTTAGGGATGGCAGAATCAAATGTCAAAACCTCTTGGGTTCCACATATATATTTTTTATATACAATAAATATATATATATATAAAATAAAAATCTGGTAACAACCCACTAAATGGACTTTTTTTTTTTTTTTTGAGATGGAGTTGCCCAGGCTGGAGTGATCTTGGCTCACTGCAACCTTCACCTCCTGGTTTCAAGCGATTCTCCTGTCTCTGCCTCCTGAGTATCTGGGATTACAGGGGCGCGCCACTACGCCCGGGTAATTTTTTTCGTATTTTTTGTGGAGACGGGGTTTCACCATGTTGGCCAGGCTGGTCTCGAACTCCTGACCTTAAGTGCCTCGGCCTCCCAAAGTGCTGGGATTACAGGTGTGAACCACCGAGCCTGGCTAACTTGACTTTATTGACTAATCAGTTGCAACCTACTTTTTGAAAATATATAATATATATTATACATATAATATATATTATACATAATTATGTATAATATATATTATATGTATAATATATATTTATGTATAATATATATTTATGTGTAATATATATTTACATAATATTATATAATTACACATATATTATATGCATATATAATATATATAATTACATATAATATACATATATATAATATAATATACATATAATATATATAATTACATATATATTATACATATTTATGTATAATATATATTATACATATTTATGTATAATATATATTATACATAAATTATACATATAATATATATTATACTTATAATATATTATACATATAATATATAATATATAATATATGTATTATATATACATAAATATATTACACATATAATATATTATACATAATACATAATATATTATGTATTATATATAATACATAATATATAATATATTATACATAATATATAACATATTATGTATTATATATAATACATAATATATAACATATTATGTATTATATATAATACAAAATATATAACATATTATCTAGACCCCCCCTCAAAGAATAGGAGATTGTTCCAAGACCTTCTTAGTAAGTCATTTCCTTAGATGTTACTATATTGATTAGTATCAATATATATTATGTATAATAATATGTATTATATAAATATATTATACATAATACATTTATATATAAATATGTATTAATCATATCAATATGTATCTATATATTTTGTATAATATGTATTATATAAATATATATTATACATAATGCATTTATATATAAATATATATACATAAATATATATTACACATATAATATATATAATACATAATATATAACACATAATACATTATATATAATACATATATAATACATAATACATATAATATATAATACATAATATATTATATACAATACATAATATATAATATATTATATATAATATATATAATACACAATAGAATATTACATATTATATGTATTATGTATAATACATAGTAGGAATTTTTAGGGATCTCTAGCCCCTCCTCAAAGAATAGGAGACAGTTCCAAGACCTTCTTAATAAGTCATTTCCCTAGATGTTACTATATTGATTAGTATCAATATATATTACGTATAATAATATGTATTATATAAATATATATTATACATAATACATTTATATATAAATATGTATTAATCATGTCAATATGCATCAATATATATTATTTATAATAATATGTATTATATAAATATATATTATACATAATACATCTATATATAAATATGTATTAATACTAATCAATATAGTAACATCTAGGGAAATGACTTATTAAGAAGGTCTTAGAACAATCTCCTATTCTTTGAGCGGAGGCCTAGAGATCCTTAAAAAAATTCTAGTTTGTCAAGAGACTTTCTATCTTTGGTCATCAGACTATCCTTAAATTGGCTGAAATGCTTGTGCCTTACAAGTAAAGCTAGTTGCATGTGGGTATCAATGCTGTTTGACGTGTGACTTCAGTCAGTACAGCTGGCTTTTGCCTCTCTGCTTTATACAGTGGTAGCTTATTTTTGCTCCTACCTGGTCAACTTCAATGTGACTTTGCAGTCCAGAAATTCTCTTGTGAAGAGCCAGGACAAGACCTAGCTGTCCCCATCTGAGGGAGGACTCCAGGGCTCCAGGGAAAAGGGCATACATTCAATTGGTGTGGCAGTTGTTGCCTTCCCTGAGGTCCATTGAGCAAAGAGCTGTCTGTGATTTAGTAGGGCAAGAAAGACCTCAGCTTCTGGAAAAACCACATCCTTCTAAAGGGCTCCACTCAGCCAGGTGAGGTGGCACTCAGCCAGGTGAGGTGGCTGTCACCTGCAATCCCAGCCACAGGAGGCTAAGGCAAGGGGATTGCTCAAGCCCAGGAGTTTGAGACTAGCCTGGGTAACTTAGCAAGATCCCTATGTCTAAAAAAAAAATGTAAAAAGCTGGGCTTGGTGGTACTGGCCTGTAGTCTCAGCTACTTGTGGGGCTGAGGTGGGAAGATTGCTTTGAGCCCAGGGTTTGAGGCTACAGTGAGATGATAGGACCACACCACTGCACTCAAGCCTGGGCAACAGAGTGAGACCTTGTACCTAATAAATAAAAATAAAGGTTTCCACTCACCCAAGTATGTGCTCTTCACATACCTTATCTTACTTAACTCTCACAATAGTCACATGAGATGGGATTATCCCTAATTCACAGGGGAGTAGACAAGCTCAAATGGATCAAGTTATTTGCCCTAGTTCAGAAGGGCAGTAAATAGGGAACACAAAACCGGAAGCTAAACCCTGCCCAAGGTAGTGAAAAACAGCACTTTCAATTTGCACATTTGGCCAGGGATTGTTCCTTTTCTCCTCCACTGGACTGGAGGACAAAGGGTAGCATGAATAATGCCTTGTGCTTTATACAATCTCTGTTTGTGTTTCTGTGGAAAGGCCCAATCATCCACAGGAGAAATTATCCACTCTCCTGTCCTTCTGGCCTAGAAACGTAGTCTTTCAATATTAAATAAAAATAAACCACATGTTCATTGATTGCAATAAATCCAATTATATAATATTTTATATTTATTTATTTATGTATGTATTTATTATTTTTTGAGATGGAGTGTGGCTCTTGTTGCCCAGGCTGGAGTGCAGTGGTGCGATCTCGGCTCACTGCAACCTCTCCGGGTTCAAGCAATTCTCCTGCCTCAGCCTCCCTGCTAGCAGGGACTACAGGTGCTCGCCACCACGCCTGACTAATTTTTGTGTTTTTAGTGGAGACAGGGTTTCACCATGTTGCTCAGGCTGGTCCCAAACTCCTGACCTCAAGTGATCCGCCCACCTCGGCCTCCCAAAGTGCTGGGATTACAGGCATTAGCCACCCTGCTGGCCAATTGTTTATTTCTTAGAGATTATTTTGAACATTTAAAAATGCTTTATTTAGAGACAAGGTATTGCTCTGTCACCCAAGCTGGAGTGTATTGGCACAATCATAGCTCACTACAATCATAGTCCTAAACTCCTAGGCTCAAGCAATCCTCTCTCCTCAGCCTTTCAAAGTGCTAGGATTACAGGCATGAGCCACCTTGCCCAACTCTATTTTGTACTTTTGTTTTTGTTTTTTGAGACAGAATCTCAATCTGTGGCCCAGGCTGGAGTGCAGTGATGTGATCTTGGCTCACTGCAACCTCTGCCTCCCAGGTTCAAGTGATTCTCCTGCCTCAGCCTCCCAAGTAGCTGGGACTATAGGCACCTGCCACTAGGCCTGGCTAATTTTTGTATTTTTAGTAGAGACGGGGTTTCCGGGTTTCACCATATTGGCCAGGCTGGTCTCAAACTCCTGACCTTGTGATCCACCCACCTCGGCCTCCCAAAGTGCTGAGATTATAGGCATGAGCCACAGTGCCCGGCCTTATTTTGTACATTTTTTTTTGTTTGTTTCTAGAACTATGAAGTGGAAATAATTCCATGTAATATGTCGATTTCAAATCAGCAGTATTTCCAGACAGATTTAGAAGTGTGGGACTTCTGAATTTTCTAAGAGCATATGTAAATAAGAGAAATTACTTTCAAAATGTCATACCTTTTGGAAATCAGGCTCATTGAGAATTCTGAAAGAGGAGAGATAGAATTTATTCAATGATGTAAATAATTAGCAGCAAAAATATTGTTACACATAAATTTTTTTAAATTGACAAGTATTACTTGTACATATACATGGGGTACATAGTGATGTTTTACTCCATATTATGTGTGATGATCAGATCAGGTTCTTTACGCTTTTTAGATGTGTAATTATCATTAGAAGTGAGATTTCAGAGTATTCCACAATGTAGACAAGAATCTTGAATGCGTGCTGATGATATGGCATATATTTAAGGTTTCTATATGCTCTATGTTCAGGGAAGGACTCCAAGGTGTTCAACTTGAAGTTGAATGATAGAATACTGCTTAAAGTTAGAGCTATTTATGCTTTCAAAAGCCATGGGATCTCATTTACAGAGGAAATAATTTTAATGAAACATCAGGACTATGATTTTTTTTTTTTTTTTTGAGGCAGAGTTTCACTCTTGTAGCCCAGGCTGGAGTGCAATGGCACAATCTCGGCTCACTGAAACCTGTGCCTCCCAGGTTCAAGCGATTCTTCTGCCTCAGCCTCATGAGTAGCTGGGATTACATGCATGCACCACCACACCTGGCTAATTTTGTATTTTTAGTAGACACAGAGTTTCTCCGTGTTGGTCAGGTTGGTCTCGAACTCCCGACCTCAGGTGATCTGCCCGCCTTGGCCTCCCAAAGTGCTGGGATTACAGGCATGAGCCACCGCACCTGGAAGGAATATAATTTTATCATGTGCATTCCATCTTACAGATGTGTAAATATACCATACTTTAATATGGGAATCTGGCATTGACAGGTTATCACTAGGTAACCTATGAGCCTCATCCCTTTCAGCCAGCCACTTTCACTCTGAAATCACCTATTTTTAGCTGCTATTATCTGCAGACCTTGACCTCCCCTTCCTACCCAGTGTTTCCTGCCAGTCTCTTCCCACTGCTCAAGCTGACCATGGGAAGCAATTTCTTGATGGCTGGCTGCCAGATAAGAGGATGCATCATTCCCATTTCTTTTGCAAGGAGGCCTTCTGCTTCCTGCTGCCCTGCCTCAGTTTCCCATTAGGTTTATTGTTCCCACATCTAGCCTGTTAGAGCTGGGTTGGAGTAAAGCTTGATTCAATATCAACTCAGAATTTCCTTCTTCTGACATTTGTAACTACTTAATTTTCAGGAGGCTTTATAGGTAAATTTGTTGAAGTCATGAAATACCTTAGTTGTGAACTTCTTTTTTAGACAGAGAAGATTTTAAAGTTCCTTATGGTAGTACTTTAGCAATCTGTCAGCTTCTACCAAAGTTTCAACTTTGTGTTATTCTAAAGACAGCACTTCTTGCCTTCTAACGTTGTGCCAATTCAAAGAATTGAGACAGTAACCTGAGCGGACAGTTTTCATCATCAGCAATGCCATCAGACACCTGTGAGATGGCTGTGCTGTAATCCAAGCACTTTGGGAGGCCAAAGTGGGTGGATCACTTGAGGTCAGGAGTTCAAGACCAGCCTGGCCAATGTGTCAAAACCCCATCTGTACTAAAATACAAAAATTCACCAGGCATGGAGGCTGGTGCCTGTAATCCCAGCTACCCGGGGAGCTGAGGCAGGAGAATCACTTGAACCTGGGAGGTGGAGGTTGTAGTAACCCGAGATCGTGCCACTGCACTCCAGCCTGAGCGGCAGAGTAAGACTCCGTCGCAAAAATAAACAAGTAAATAAATACACACATAAAACAAAAAGTATATAGGAAGGTTTCCTTGGTCCCTAGACACAGCTGATCATTATCACTATGGCAACCCAATAAGACCACCCTAAACCCATGCACACAAACACACATAGGCACATAGGTTACACAGGCATCCTCAGAAACACAAAGATGGGGAGACTCACCCTCAGACACAAACCACACCTACAGAGAGAGAGAGAGAGAGCAGACAGAGAGAGAGAGAAAGAGAGAGAGAGAGAGAGAGAATGAGACAGAGAATGGGTGGTGGGGAGATGAAAATAGAACAGGTAGATTCACCAATTTGAAAAGGAAAGTACAATACTTAAATTTCAGTCAAACTTAAATGCATTGAACTGAACTGGTTGAAGGAGAGGATATGGAGAGGGTGGCAGTGCTAGACTAAGGAGGCCAAAATTAAGAAATGAAATGCCCTTGTTCAAAAGGAGCATTCATTTTGGGGAATCATAGTGACTTCTGTTTACTCTGGTAAATTCAGTCACTGATAATCAATTCAATCTCCATGACGGTATTGACCATCAAGTGGGAAGATGTGATTTGTCTTGTAAAAACTGTGAGTGCTTCCAGGGCAAGCACTGTGAGGCTTCCTGCGTGCCGCAGCAAAGCAGGAATCCAACATATGTTGCTGAATGCGTTCACGCCCCAGTACTGGAGCGAAGAGCAAGTTATTTATGGACATCATCCCTGTTAAAAACAATATGCATGACCCGAAATCATCACCAACTCTCAGATATTGTATGGTATGGATTTAGCTCTTCAAGGTGAGAACTTCTTCAGGTACTATGTTAGCCCACCTACAGGAAAAACTATATTGCGGAAGAAAATGAGAGGTGTTTTTGTTTGTTTCCCATGCACTATTTTTTGGCACTATGCGATCCGACACTACGAGTCCCCTACGCCGGCAGGAAACAGAGGGACCTGGAGGAAGTCCCATAGCTCAGGCCCCTCGGCACAAGCGTGCTCTCCCAGATACTCCACCAGGGTTCCCATTTTCAATGATTTCCACGTGATGGTGTAGGGTGAGAAACAAGTGCCGGATTTCCCGAATCGCGGGACTCAGCAGCTTCGACAGAGCCAGGAACACGATCCGAGAGATGGGGGCGCGCACGGAGCGCTCGGTAGGGTCGCCGCGCGTGATCCCCCCCGGATCCTGCGCATCGCTGGGCGGTGCTCGGTGAACTTACCTTACCTTGGGGTTGAAGATTCCAAGAGGAATGGAGGGCTTGTGGCTCCAGCTCGGACGGTCTCTGGGGCAAGGAGGTGCAGGAGGCTGCGCTGTTGGATTTCTCCTCGGGGTGAGCAGGGCCGGGCTGTCCTGCCGGCTCTGGAGCGCATATGCCGAGCCAGCGCGCACTTGGGTAGGGCTAACTGCGTTCAGCTTTGGCAGGAGCTCTGCTCTTCCTCTGCACCCAAGGCCACTTCCTCCGTTCCCCCACCCCAGACCTTTTGAAGGCCACTGGTGTCTGTCCATTATGAAAGGAGCGCGCCAAGCCCGAAGAACAGAGGAGAGCTGACAGCTCCCGGAGAAGTCAGGTACTGGGGTCAACCCTGGAGTTCTGGGACCAGATCACTTCCTTTGCAGAAAAGTCTTTCCCGAAGCCCAACTGGCTGCTTTTTTCGGCTTCCTTGGAGATCTCCTTACGGCCCCCTCACTCTGGAGAGCCCGGCACCGTGCACAGGCATGCAGTTCCGAGCGCCCTCGCCCCTCAGGGCCCACGATTCGCATCCACTGGCCAGTTGGCTGAGGGTGGCCGCTCAGAGTTTGAAGTACACATATCGGGCCCCACGCGAGTCTTCCTGTGGGGTCTGATCCAGGAGGTATCGGTCCAGCTGCCTAAGGGGTCGGGACGGAGCCCACCGTCCCGCCTCCGAGGCTTGGGTGGAGCCCAGAGGGGCGCTCCGCAGCATTCATTCCTTTCCCCATACTCTCCTCGAGGTCTCTCCGCCGAGCAGGACTTCGCTCTCCGCTGCCTCCCTGGGCCTCCCTGGAAGGTCGGTTTCTCCTGTTAACAACGCATCACCTCCGCCACCCCCACCAAGCGTACGGGAGACACCAGGTCCTGTCCTAAACTCTTCAAAGACATCATCATCTCCTTACCGCCTCCTTATGAGCCCACTGTATAGACAAGGAAATGGAGAGTTAAATGATGTAAGCAAAGCCACGAGTAGTAAGGAAGGACTGAATTCAAGCCCAAGGCGGCGCGACCTCCGGAGTCCGAGCTCTTCCCCGCGGGAGGCTCAGGCTCCGGTTGCCCGAGTCTCTGCCACCCAGAGAACTTCCAAGCAAAGCTCTGATCCCGGGCCCAACCCTGGTCAGTCGGAGGCCACACGCCTGCCCGAGTCATCCCGCGCCCTCGGCTGCCCGAAGACCAGTCTCAGGCAGCCTGTGCCTCTTCTCCTCTCCTTGGCGAACCCTCGGGTCTCGCGGAAAAGCAGCGGCTGGCCCAATTCGCAGAGCGAAGTCGGGGCCGGAGCCTTGGAGAGGGCGGCGGCTTCTGCGTGGGGTCCGAGGACAAGTTTCTGCGCCTCCACCAACTAACTGGTCGGCGGAGCTGCAGTTCTTTGCCTGGTGAAGTTTGCTGTGGAAAACCTAGGGAGTTTATTTATGAGGAAGGGCATCCTGAAACTAGGCAGTGTTCGGGAAAGATGAGTGGGTAGAGGAATAAAACTCATATCAACAGCGACAGTGTGGGGGTTTGCCAGAGGGGAGGGGCTGCCGGGGGACTGGTGGGGGACTTTAGAAACTCCACAACAGCAGCTCCCGATTGCCTCTGACGACGACGACGATGACAGCCTAAAACAATAGCTACTGTTTGTGGAGGGATTCCTAGATGCCGAATTAGCATTTTACAGGTATTTCTTGGTTTAAACCTCACAGCAACTCCATGAAGTAGTATTTGCCTCCACTTTCTGGATGAAGAAACTGAGTCACTGAGAGTTCGAATCATTTTATCAGGACTTCGGGCTGGGCCAATATTTGAGGGACCAAGGATGCGAGCGCAGATTTGCCCCACCCCAGAGCCCAGGCGGGTGTGGAGAACCGCAAGGAAAGAGCACTCTCAAGGATGCGCAAGTTCCCCTTTCTGATCCAAGGGACTTAATTTTATCCCGAGGGACTCGATATCTCTCTCCAGTAAAACAAAACAAAACAAAACGGCAACAACAAACAGCGTCTATCTTTGCAAAAAGTAAAAGAAAAGCAGCGACGCCTGGGAGTGAGGTACTGGTACTGAACACAGGGAGCGCCGGGGAGGGCCGTCGGGTGCACCACCGGGCTAAGGCGCCCATCTGAGAGCTTCCTGCAGGGAAGAGCAAAGTGGTCCTAGGGGTTGGAAGCCCTCTAAATCCGGGCATCTTTGCCTCTAACATAAGACACTTTTGGCCCTCGGCCTCCGGGGACAGAGACTCATCCAAAACAACGCTTCTTTTGGAAGGGTCACAGAAAACGGCCTCGCCTGCGTCCTCAGCTTTGGGAGGAAAGAGGAGACCTGACCATGGTGGGAGCCAGCGACGGGTCTCACCACCCGCAGCACTGAGGCGTCAGGTGGGCGGCGCTTGGCTCTGCCAGGAAGCAGTATTGGCCAGCAGTACTCCGAGCTGTCTCCCACGCTCTAGACTATATTACCCGAGAAAGTCATCATGAGAAGATATTCTTAAATTAAAAATAAAACAAAACTGGATATTCATCCCCTCACAGGGTGCTCCAACTCAAAACTCAAGTGCACTATTTCTTAATTACCTGATTTTTCCTGATTAGTACCGAAAAAAATAGACCCTGATCAGCCTGGCCATCATGGCGAAACCCTGTCTCTACTAAAAATACAAAAATTAGCCGGGCGTGGTGGTGTAAGCCTGTAATCCCAGCTACTCAGGAGGCTGAGGTAGGAGAATCCCTGAAAAAAAGAGGAACCCAGGAACGACAGAATGAGACCCTCTCAAACAAAAACAAAAACAAAACAAAACAAAACACGCTAATTTAATTTTAAAAGTGAATTCGAATCATCCCACTGCCAGAAAGGTTTGAAACAAAGTGAGGAGAATCAGTTTTCATCTCTTCCCATATTATCAGTATTTATTAAGCATTTCCCACAAACATAACCCGAGCACAAGGCCCAGACCTTGAAAAGAAGACAGACCTGGGATGCACAGACCTGTTTGTAAATAACTGTTAGGTAATTTTTAAAATGTTAAATAAGATAACTGGTTTTCCAAACCCTCCAATCACATACGTTTTCATAATTTCTAAAGATGTGAAGGTCATACTGGCTCGTGAATAGTTGTTGGTTTCCAAGGCGCACCAGGCCACTGTGCTTGTCTTCAGCACAGCCTCTACCTCGGAACAGGAATTACGTCCACATCCTAAATAGAAAGTTCCGAATATCTTTGGTTTAGTGGTCACCCAGGGGTCCATCTTTCTCCCTCACCCCCAGATCCAGGCCCGTCCCCCCTTGCCTTCCCTGCCAGCAGTGTGGAACTGGAGCACAGGGACTCTTGCACTGCTCCTAAGCCAGCCCTGCCGCTGCTCGCCCTGCCTTGCAAGATGTTCTCTTCCTCAGAAGAAAGGGGTGCAAGTTATAAGATGTGCAGTAGTGAAGTGTGCAGCTAGAGAAGAGGAAGAGGAGGGATGAGAAGGGGAGGTAGAAGGAGGAGGAGGAGAAAGAAAGAGGTCAGGAAGAAAGAGGAGGAGGAAGAGGAGGGAGAAGAAGAGGAGGAGGAGGAAGAGGACGGGGAAGAAGGGGAGCAAGAGGAGGGGGAGGAAAGGAGAGCACGTGGAAGAGGAGGAAGAGGAAGAGGAGGGAGAAGAAGAGGAGGAGGGAGAGGAGGGGGAAGAAGAGGAGGAGGGAGAGGAGGGGGAAGAAGAGGAGGAGGAGGAGAAAGAGGAGGGGGAGGAAAGGAGAGCAGGAGGAAGAGGAAGAGGAGGGAAAAGAGGAGGGGGAGGAAAGGAGAGCAGGAGGAAGAGGAAGAGGAGGGAAAAGAAGAGGAGGAGGAGGAAGGGGAGGGGGAAGAGGAGGAGGAGGAAGAGGAGGACTCACTGTATTCCACTGGCATCAATTTCACGGGATCTTTGAAAACTCAAACATTTCCTTTCAATTATTTCTAAACTTAAAGGGGTCGCCCGAGTAAGAATGGCTTTATGGCAGATTAAGGTACTCGGCCCAGCTTCCCCGCTGTGTGTGTTAGGGAGCCTTCCAATGTGTATGGTACAGTTTCCATTGTCTTTGAAGAGCCGGCTTCTCTAAACAGGTCCCAAGGTGGAGTGCTGTAGGAGGGCAGGGATGTGCGCAACAGCCACAAACAACGCCAATCCAGTATCACTAAAAGAGGGCCCCAATACTACAAAAACCAATGGCTCTTTTTCTTCCGGAAGGCCTGCCGGCATCTACCCGCGGGGCCCCAACTGGCACATGCGCCTGAGAGAGCGGGTTTTCCCCTTCGGTCTAAGGTGGGCCCCGCAATTGCCGCCCCATTCAACTGCCAGGGCGGGTGGTCCACGCCCGGGGTCCTCCTAGGCCCTCTGCTCCTCCTCGGCGAGTGGTTGAAGCCCCTCAGCCAGGAGCAGCTCCTGCCTCTCATCGTGGTTCCTGCGGCCGCCGAGGCGCGACGCTGGAGGGCTGTGGCGACGCGCTAAGGCCAGGCGGCAGGCGGCCCTCTCGGGCGGCAACGGGGGCAGCGGGCGGCACAGCACCTCCGGGGGGCGGCGGCGGCGGCAGCGCCAGAAGCTCCTCGCCGGAGGTCACGGCGCAGTCCTGCTCAGGCTCCGCGACCCCGCCACCCCCGACAGCTGTCCCGCCGCCGCGCTTCTTGTCCTCCTCCTTTTTCCACTTCATGCGGCGGTTTTGGAACCAGATCTTGATGTGTCTCTCGGTCAAGTTCAACATGACAGCCAGCTCCACCCGGCGCGGCCGTGAGATGTACTTGTTGAATAGGAACTCCTTCTCCAGCTCTAGCAGCTGTGCGCGCGTGTAGGCCGTGCGCGTCCGCTTGTTCTCCTCCGGCTCCGCAGCGTAGGCGCCGCCTGCGGGCGACACAGGGCGTGAGTGTGGCCCCCGGAGCCCCGCACAGCCCCCACCCACGCAGCCCAACCCCTTCAAGGGGGGCCAGGGAGCCCTAGCCCTACCAGCTGCTCCCGCCGGAGCCACCAAGCCCCAGCATCCCATTTCAGCGCCTAGTGTAGGCGCGCGAAGCTCTTCCCTAGTAACTCAAGCCCTTCCTAATAAAGATAGCCTTTTTATTGGAGACCAAACTCGAGTCAGCTCTCGCCGTGAGCCTAAGCTTGGCTCTGCCAATGAGTGGTCCTTGAATGCGCTCATATAATCGGTGTTAATCAACTGATTGATGTTGATTTAAATGTATATAATAGTTAAACCGGCTGGATCCTACAAAGGCAATAAAACGCCTTTAATCCAGGGCTAAAAAAAACCTCCTGATGGTGACCCACAAATGTGAGAAATACATTTCGGATCGTTGTGTAGTTCACACACGGACACTGCAGGTCAGTTATACTGACAAATCTTAAGGACATAAAACAAACGTTTACCACGTATGATGCTATCTACTTTTCTCTCCATTATCTGCTATTTCGTTTAAAAAATACTAATCTCAACCTAGTAAATTGATTTTATGACCTGCGAATGGGTGCAACCTGCAGTTTGAAAATCTTTGTGCTAATGGAGACTGTGACACATTTTGTTATATCTGACCATGTGTTTCCTCTCTCTATAGTTATATCGTAATTAGTCCCAACCTGAGAGCCAGCAAATTCTCCATAATTGTTTTAACTTCAGCCGGACTTCTGCCCGCGAAGTGAAGGAATATTGTTCTGGGGGTCACGTTGGCCAGGGCAGAACTCTGGCAGCTCCAGACTCTACGCCCTGGATCCCAAATGCCCTCAGAGGTGTTGAGGGGAGACACAGGGGCCCTAGCCCAGCTGCAGAACCGACAGCCCTACGGAGGAGGTGGTAGTGGTGCAGAAACAAGCCTCTCGTGTCTCCAAGAGGCAACAGGACGCCCTGGCCCAGGAGGTTGGAGACCCACATTCACTGTTTGCCGCTGCGCTCAGCCAGGTCCCAATCTTTTCTTTTCTGTGGAAAATACTGACTGCACCCAGGCTGTGGACGCTGGCGCGGGAAGTTCCACCAAAGTTCCGGGGAGAGGCTTGTCTTAGAGCAAAGGCAGGGGACATTTCTCCTGTGAATGTTGGCTAAGCCTTAAGGAATTGAAAGGCGAGTGTGTGTGTGTTGGGGGCGGGTTTAATTTCGCGATGGAACCCTACTGGGTTTCCCCCCAGGTCGAGAAGAGGCGCCAGAAGCTGAAGCAGAGGCTCAAACCCTAGTCCAGGGAGAGTTCTACTCCCTGGGGGCATCCCCGAATCTACCTGGCATCCCACGCCTGGGAGAGAAGCGAGACGGGCCTTCAATAAACATTTTGAAAGGCTCTCCAAAGTTTTTACATTAAACCGACATGTCTCTGGGTTCCTGCCTTAGGCTGCGGGCTTCGTATAGTCCCTGCGAGAGGGCTTCGTGAAGTCCCTGCGAGAGACTGCTCAGGGAGAGACTTCCTGGGGTGCACTATTCCCGGGGGACCTGTGCTCAGCGCGACGCGGCAGGGGTGGAGGTTGAGGATGGTGGGAAAAGGTCAAGGTCGCCAAGCCTGGGCCCTTCCCCAAGGCGCAGAGTGATGCAGTTTAGGTGCCAGCTGGACAGCGCTGCTGAAGCATTTGGGGGTCAATGTTTTTCAAAACCTCTGTTGTCATTAGCATTCAGATTCGTACTGCCAGTGAGAGCCCTTTTGTCACTTCGCTCTTCCCAGGGGCAGGTGGGTTTGCAATTTTTGAATTTCGGCTCCATCGAAGTTTCCCCTAGAGGAACGCGGGGATAGCAGCCGGCCCCGCAGACGGCTTCCAGGGGAAGAGAGGGGAGGTCGTCTCCTTCCCCGAGAGTCGAGCATGCAGCGGGTTAGAGGGCGCCAGCAAAGGCCTGGGGCCAACTCCAGCCCGAGAGTGTCGCCCTCCTTGGGTCCCCGAACCCTCGCCAAGGCTGCTGATTTGCCTTCTGGTTTTACTTTCTGGCTTCTTGGGTCAGCCTAAGCCCAAGTCCTCCAGAGCAGAGGTATCACCCCTTGGGTTGGGATAGGGAAGTTACTCCACCTCACAAATCCTCTTTCGGGACCCTGATGTCGCCCATTTCCTGAGGAAGGCCCAGGGTGGGAAAGCAGGAGCTCCGAGGGCCTAGGAGGCCAGAAGAGAGGTCTGGAGGGGAGGCAGCCCTGGAAGAAAACTGGGTGAGGACGAGGAGCCCCCCACCTTTGTTCGAGGGACTGTCCTCCCGCCTCCTAAGAACCCCGCATTTCCGGAGACTTCAAGGCCTTTGGCCCGGGCTGCGCGAGCTGGATAAATTTGCAGAGGCGCCGCGGCAGCTTCTGGCGCCCCTGTCAACTGGGTTTCGCTGGAGGTGGGGACGATTGCAGCGCAGTTCAGCCCTCGTCCTGCCTCAGGACCTTCGCCTTAGCAAGAAAGTGAACTAGGAAGAAGAGAGTCCCGTGGACCCCAGGCAAGCTGGGGTCCCCCTCCCTCTCCCGCACAAAGCCCCTCCTGGCTGCGCCTGGGGTCAGTGTCAGGCAGGGCTGGCCAGACCCCGCAGATGGGCGCTGAGGATTTTCGGGGTGGGCCGGGGGACGCCGGCTCGAGCTGCTTCCCCCTACTCCCGGCTGCCAGTTGAAAGGAAAAGGCAACTATTTGCGGTGCAGGTGTGACCAGAAGTGGCTGAGGCACGGCAGCGATGACAGTGAGTAGCGGCGACGACACAGGCCGCGCCGGAACTTGCCGCTCGCGCGGGGCCGCAAAGGACCCGGGGGCTACCCCGTGCCTCCGGCTCCCGGCTCCGGGAAAGACCTTCTGTTCTCTGCCGGCGCGGAGGGCCGCAGGAACCAGGCCTCTCGCCTCCCCACCAGCTAGGCAGGGAGCGCCCATCTCCTGAAAAATTACTTCCTGGGAAGCGGTGCGGGGAGACAGCTTCAATTGCTTTCGGTTGGTGAAAAACGAATTCGCTTCTCAGATTGCTCTCCTAGCTGCCAGGCTCTGACGTTGAGAGGCCGGCTTTCAGCCTCGCGGTGAGCCCCCGCCTTGCCCCAGCCCCTTCCTCTTTACTCCTATCCTGTTTCCACAACCAGGGCAGCCGGACACTGCTGGGTTGGGTGCAGTTTCCTTTCCCTCCCTGCCTTTCTGCACCTACCTGGCGCCCCTAGATGCCTGCCCTTCCTTAACGAAGCGCGGGAAGTGAGGGGCTCCGGGGCTCCGAAGGCGATCTGGGGCCTGGGTCCGAGGCACCCATGTCCCTACTCGGCTTCCTCGATGTGCACTACCAAGGAGTCCTGGGTTCCCGGATCCCCTGCTGGAGGAGGATCTGTAGTGTCCGAAGCCCTGAGCAGGACTCAGCCTCGGCTCTCTAAGGATGGCGCTGGGAGCGCGGGCTCCTGGGGCGAAGATGGGCTCAGCGAACAGGGAAGGAAGGAGTGTACACTCCCAGGAGAGCTGGGTGGGAAAGATGCTTCAAACTGGACTAGAGAAGCACTGCTGTGAGGGATGGGCTCGGTAGCTCCCTGATGTAGTTTAGTCCGACCCGGGATAATCCAAGGCGCCGGGAACAGAGAGAAGGCTCCTGGGAGCGCTTGGAGGTAAGGCGGCCGGGTGAGAACCGGAAAGGAGAAAGGGGTGGGGAGCCAGGCTTACCTGCCCACTGGCCTTTCCACGCGTGAGCTTTGGTAGACTTCATCCATGGGAAAGGCAGCTGGACGCGGTTGGGCTCCTCCAGGACGCCCGGCTCGGCTCCCTCCGGGAAGGGCCCGGCGGGCGGGTGGGGGAGCGCGAGCTGAGCCGGGAGGTGGTGGTGAAGGTGCGCCACCGCGGGGTCGTCGGCGAGGGGGGGCACCTCGTACGGGGAGATGTCCGGGGGGCTGCCCTGCTCCAGCGCGCCCAGGGCGCCAGGGAACGGGTGCGGCGGCGGCGGCGGGGGCTGGCGGCCCATGTACAGGCACGCAGGGGGGCTGGCGCTGAACTCCGGCGCCGGGCCTCGCTGGAACGCGCATGGGTCCTTGTAAAGCTGCGTGGCCGCGTAGTACTGCTCCTCGCCGTTCATGGCTGCGGCCCGGGATTGGGCACCGGGAGCCGGGAGCCGGGAGCCGGGAGTCGGGAGCTGGAGCCGGGGATTTGGCACTGTGTGGCGTTCCCACTCCCGGCGCCACCCCTGCTCGCTTTGACAGCTCCGCACTGATCTCAGAGGGAACCCACAGCCAGCGCGGACCGGCGGGCCGGCCGCCGCACCATAGGCTCCGCGGGGCCCCACGTGGTTCAGCCGGGGGCCGTGATTGGCCTGGCTGGCCGCACTAAGAGGCTAGGCCCAGGTACCCGCGAGCACCTGCTTTTGTTCCAATTTTCTCTCTCAGCTGAGTTTGCTGCACACTCCTGAACGGGCAGCTGGCGGTGCTCCCCAAAATGGGCGCTCACGAAAACATTAGAACCACTCATTTATAGAAACATTTTCACCGTGGCTTAAAAGTTTCTATTTTCCTATATTTTTCTATTTTCTATTTTCCTATATTTTTTCTATTATATTTGATAATGGACATAGTGTGTTTGTTAATTGATGTAGTTTACAAGGAGACATGTTGAGTTTTTAATTTTTTATTTAACTGTTGCGGAATACGATAAAAAAAAAGTTTGCAGACCCAGCTCTCTAGGTCAGAAGCATTTGATTCTATTTTATTTATGAAGTTTGTTCACAGCCACAAAGATGTCGGTTAAAAAACACACGAAACTCTGGCATTCGTTGTGTGTTTTTACTTGTGGATGTGCTGCAAGTACTTCTGGGGTGTAAACGGTAACTTCTGAAGCATTCACAGAGACTTTTTTAAATTCTTTTTTTTAAAAAATTGAAGGGTATTACAAATTTGGGTTTTGGAAAATTGGGGCCCATTTGGCCAGCCCGGAACGTAGCTTCCCAATACAGCGAGGGGGAAAGACGCGGCCTTCCTCTTGGGGCTGCGAAGCAGGGGCAGGTGTTGGCACGGGGGTTCCAGACCCTTGACGACTCTCTACGGGCCGGGACCCTGGCGGAGTTTGCCGGCAGAGAACACTCACTCTCTTCTGCTTGCAATTGAAATAAGGCAAGCAGGAGAGGGGGAAGTGGAGGAAGAGTTACATATTTAGAAAAAGAAATAAAAACGCTGCATTTTCCATGATAACATCTGTGCTTGGCTTCAAACCATTCAGTAACTTCTGGGCATTCTGGGGTCCTGACTTAAACAGGGCCACTTTTTCTGCACCCACTGACGCGGATGGATGACCTCCGGGTGGCGGTGACGTCCAACCCCCTGCCTGGGCATGATCCGCTAGGCCTGGCGGCCTGACCAGCCTCTGACTGGATACTCCCGAAATGAGGACGTTTCTCGAAACGCCACCGTGGGTTTTAGAAAAACTAGACAGCTTTGCAGAAACGTCTCAGCAAGAGAGAGCTTGAACCACAAAGAACCAAGCCAGAGAAAAATCACTGCTCCGCCTTTCCTAAACAACGCACCAACATCCAGACCTTTGAGAGTCAATCTTAATGTATTTCTTTCTTCCTACTGGAAATATTTGTGTTTTAAGTGCGGATTGAGTGCTCTATTCTGAGGACTCTTTATTTTTATTAAAAGACAAAAAAGCCAGTCGGGAATGTGGACTTCTCTGCAGATTCCTTCTCTTGCGGGAGGCCGGTATAGTCTCAGCATTTGCTTCGATGTGTGAGAACTCATGTGTGTGGCTTCCTGGCCTGTGGCCTCATGTGTGTGGCTCTGATGTGTGGCTCCCTGGCTTGTAGATGCCCTTGCTGTCACCGAAGACAGGCCAAGGGAAGCACGGCGGCGGGCGGGGAGAGTTTCGGTGATTTCTTCAGGGAAAAGTGCCACCTGCAGTTTTGGTGGGGGCAGAGAGTGAAAGGCCGTGGGGCCCGGGCACCTAATCTCTGTGCGCCCGCGTCAATGAGTCCATTGTCTGCGGCCGCGGAGAACTCTACCCTATCACCCTGGCCGCGAGTGACCACATCGATCAGGAGGGCAGGCTGGAGGGGGTTGCCTGGCCGCGGCGTGTTGACCCTTGGAGATAATCTGCCGAGTCGCCGAGGGTTGACTTGGCGACGCGGTTATGAGCGGACGGCAAGCTCCGCTCAGGACAAAGATCGGCCACTTTTCCCCTCCCCCTCCTTTTCCTCCCCCTTCCCCTCCTCCCTGGGCACCCCTACACCCACTCTGGACTCAGTCTGCGCCCCACTCTCCCTCCCCTGCTCCCTGCCTCGCCTGCCACCCCCGGAGTGTTTACTTTGCACTTCTCAACTAATTGCACATTTCTGTAAATTGGTCTCCATTTCGATGCTTCATTTGCTTCCATTTAATATTTTTGCTCGGCCCTGCAGAAAGAAAAGAGGCTCTCAGCAGAAAGCAAATCCGCCGGTTGCGGTCGCCGGCAAAAACCCGGGTACCCGCGGCTGTGGGGGAGGAGGAGGGGATCGCCGGGGGTATTCCATGGAGGCGCGTTCTCACTTTCACAATTAGCATTTTCTGCTGCCTGCGACCTATAGAAGGGACCCAGGGAGCAAAGGTCAAACAACCATTTATTATTGTTATTATTATTATTAGATGAAACAAAGTTATCTGGAATTTTATCACGTACAGCCGTATAAAAAACGCATCAAGCGGAACCCTCCGCTTAGTAAGGTCGTGTGTTGTACTTCCCCGTGGATCTAGCTCCTGGTATCGTAAAATCGCCGAGTCCATTACAGGCGAAATGCGTTTCCGCTCTGAATCCCCGCTGACGCCTGCGCCCCCTCCAAGCCGCCTCGCCCACAACAGGCCCGGCAGCGATACCGAGCCATTAGGCGAGCACCTTCCCGAGCCATTTAACAGCAGCTCTTATGGATAAATAAACAAAAAAGGCTGTAAACCAATTAAAGTGTGGACAGTGAAAAAGTCGTTTATTAGCTGGACGTCCTGATAGTCCTCGCTGATACTGGAGGTCCTTGCCGGCCCTCTTCCCCCTTTCCCTTCACAGAGACGCGGTTTACACCCGGGAGAACACAGGTTACCTTGTTCTTGGTAAGTGGCTAAGTCTTCCTCGGTGGTTTCAGAGGCATGCTAAGGGCTGAATTTGGCTTGGTGATAGGATTTTTAAGCCACTGCATCCCATTATAAATGAAAAAAACAGATGAATCCCACTTAACTCCAAGGTATACATCATGAATGCACGTGGAATTTATATTCATTTTATAATTAAATCTCTGTTGAAAATAAAAATTGTTTCTTGAGTTGGAAAATTCTGTAAAGCAAACGATGTGATGTGTGGAATGAGAATACTTCTATAATTGATTGCACTTTAGTTCATTAGCATTTCCTTCAATGAGCACTAATGCAGGCAGGTTTTCATTTTCCTAAGTCGAATCAATGTTTCCCTCCTGCTGGTTTATGAATACCCAGAATTGGCCGAGGGCGGTGGCTCACGCCTGTAATCCCAGCACTTTGGGAGGCTGAGACAGGCGGATCATGAGGTCAGGAGATCGAGACCATCCTGGCTAACATGATGAAACCCCGTCTCTACTAAACCTACAAAAAAATTTAGCCGGGCGTGGTGGCGGGCGCCTGTAGTTCCAGCTACTTGGGAGGCTGAGGAAGGAGAATGGCGTGAACCCAGGAGGCGGAGCTTGCAGTGATCCGAGATCGCGCCACTGCCCTCCAGCCTGGGAGACAGAGCGAGGCTCCGTCTCAAAAAATTAAAAATATATATATATATATAAATAAATACCCAGAATTTGGTATCCAGGTCTGAGAGGGGCCAGGGAAACCCAGCTTGGGTTGTGGGGATTGGAGAGAGGAAAGGACCTCAGACTTTGAATGAAGGGTTTTCCAATATTCCTAGGGCTAAGCAATCTAGTGAAAATAAGCAGAGAGCTGAAATTATTTTCCAGATGATTCAGTGATCCCTGAACTGTAAAGATAAAAGCAGCTTAAAAACCGAATTGAATTGGGTAATTGTCTTATTCCCTACCTTGTTAGCTCTCTCTGGTGTAAGAGGAGTAGAAGGGCAGGAGGGGGGACTCCGTGTGCCCCAGAACTGTCTGCTGCTTCCTCCAGCCACTGCTCAACGCTTCCTCCCTGGGAGTGGGGCCCCCAGGCACGAGCTCTTTCCACTTTTGGTTTAATCCTTCCGTGGTCCTCAGTTCACTCTGCTGATGAAAGGAAAAGTATGAAAGGACTTTCAGGCTCCAAAGGATCTGAGGTCAGCTGTTGCTCCCCACTCCTGGTGTTCCCGGTGGCTCACCCCCTACAGCTCTGGACTCACCCCTTTGGTTGTCTCATCTCTGGTTCTACCTTCCAGATGTGCAGTCTCCAGAAATCCCTGCTGCTTCCCTTCTGAGCTTAGTCCTAGGTAACCAGCTCCTTGCTTCCACACAGTTCCTTTTCTTTGCCTTCCACCTCCTCCTCCCACCACCATTTCCTATGACTAATCCTTTGTTCTCCTAGGAGCCTCTCCTTACCTCCAGGTTCCTGCTGCAGCCTAAAGAAGGCTTGACCCACACTACCCTCCAGCTTCCTTCCTCAACCATCCTACATTTCACATGGTTTATGCTTTGAAGGACCCAGATTTTCGGTAACATATACTGATCAAATGCCTGTAGATCTCTCACTGTGCACCTGCCTGCACACTCTTTGAGTAACCAAAACTCATTGGTAGAAATATGCGCTGGCTTTGGCGGGCCATAGAAAGGTCAGGAGCTGCATACACCTGTCCTCCACATCAGGCTCTGCCCTGCACAAGCTGTGTGTCCCTTGCCAAGTTACATGACTTCACTAAGCTTCCCTGCCCTTATTTGTAAAATGGAAATACTAGCACTGTTCCATAAGCTGGCCCCGTTGCACATAGTAATCGTAATGGCAAATGCATGGAGCCAGGCGTTGTTTAAATATTTTCCAATGTTAACCCCATGAGCCAATTACTGTTATCCCATTTTCCAGTGGAGGAAATTGAGGCCCAGTGATGGTAAGTTACTTGCCTAGAATTATATAGCTAGTAAGTGGCAGAGCCTAGATCCAAGCAGAGATGATGTGGCTTTTTTTTTTTTTTTTTTCCAGATAGAGTTTTGCTCTGTCGCCCAGGCCAGAGTGCCATGGCATGATCTTGGCTTACCGCAACCTCCACCTCCTGGGTTCAAGCGATACTCCAGCCTCAGACTCCCAAGTAGCTGGGATTACAGACATGTGCCACCATGCCTGGCTAATTTTGTATTTTTAGTAGAGACGGGTTTCACCATGTTGGTCAGGCTGGTCTCGAACTCCTGACCTCAGACTATCCACCCACCTTGGCCTCCCAAAGTACTGGGATTACAGGCCACCATGCCTGGTTTTTTGTTTTTTGTTTTTTTTTTTTGAGACTGAGTCTTGCTCTGTCGCCTAGGCTGGAGTGCAGTGGCATGATCTCGGCTCACCGCAACCTCTGCCTCTGGGGTTCAAGCGATTCTCCTGCCTTAGCCTCTCTAGTAGCTGGGATTACAGGCACGCACCACCATGCCCGGCTAATTTTTGTATTGTTAGTAGAGACAGGGTTTTTCCTGTTGGCCAGGCTGGTCTCGAAGTCCTGACTTCAAGTTATCTGCCCACCTCGGCCTCCCAAAGTGCTGGGATTACAAGCATGAGCCACCACACCTGGCCTTGATGTGGCCTTAAAATCCATTCTGTTGGCTGTGACACTGTACTATCTTACTATATAGTAGGCACTCAAAAAATATTTTTTATTGTTTTTGTGAGGATTTAATGAGACAAAACATCTAATGTTTTTGGCACTTTGAAAGCATTCAATAAATGGTCATCTCTTCCTTTCTCCCCCAGCATTGCTTTTAATGTGCATATAAACATTGAACTATTGGCTATTACTGCATCCAGAAGAATGACAGACTATCACCATGAGCTGATGTCTAAAGATATTTCCAGATGGGTAGACCTGGAAAGGTATATTCAGGAACACTGGGAGGAAGTACTTAGTAGGTATATTACTCAGTGTTTTAGGGGAATGTGCCCCCAGGTACAGTCCTGCTTAAAAGGGCTGGAGGAGGTGGATTGCTGGAGAACTCTCATGTCCGCCATCAGCACACCACAGAGAGACCCCACAGGTGTGGAGAAGGGGCAGGGCCTTCTTTTTCACAGCCAGGAAAGCCAAAATAAAGACTTGAGCAGGTGAACTAATCACAACTCAAAATGCCTTAGCTATCCCAGTAGGTGTGGAACCCAGCATCTAAGTAGTGTGTTCTGGCCAGAGAGCACCCCCACTAGCATTGTCTGTGGTTCTTGCTTTCGTGGGTTGGAGATGAAGCTGTCATCATAAACTCAGAGGAAACCTTAAAATGTCTAGGGAGGGAAAGGAGTCATTCTAGTCTCTAGGCCAGAGCAGAGCTGGAATCCTGCCCCATTCCTGCTTTTTCCACATCAGAAAAACGGTCATGGTCAACCCTGGTTGTCTTTGTGAGGGTGCAGGAACACTGCCGTCAAAGTGATTCCTCTGTGTGTCCCCCCAAATCAAATCCACGTTAAAATTAGAAATCGATGGGGTTAAGATGGGAGAGTCAATGCTAAACTCAGAGCAGCACAAGTGAAGCCTTCTCTTTTGACAGCCTAGGCTAGGTCCACAGCCTCTCTTGCAAAGATTAAAGTAAAAGGCTAACTGACTGTGGTCTCAACTTTATCATATTTGCCAATTAGGAATTCTTCCTGTGGTAGATATCTCTTAGGAGTGTATTGTTGTGAACAGAGACACAGTATTTGGATACATTTATTTTTTATATTTTCTCCAGTTACATATTGCAACACATTTACCTTCAGGCAAATCTCAGAAAAATACAAACTCTTACTAATCAATGAAGTAACATGGATTTATAGGGAAGTGTTCCTGGAAGTGTGACTCATGAACTGTGTATATCAAGAATCACTGGGATGCTTATAAAATGAAAATATCTGAGCCCAACCCCAGACCTTCTGAATAACGATATGGGGGTGAGTGAGACTGGGGAGTCTGCATTTTAAACATGTACACAGTCATTCTTTTTTTTGTTTTTTTTTTTGTTGTTGTTGTTGAGACAAAGTCTCACTCTGTTGCCTAAGCTGGGGTGCAGTGGCCCAATCTCGGCTCACTGCAACCTCCACCTGCTGGGTTCAAGCAATTCTCCTGCTTCAGCCTCCCAAGTAGCTGGGACTACAGGCACATGCCACCATGCCTGGCTAATTTTTTTGTATTTTTAGTAGAGATGGGGTTTCACTATGTTGGCCAGGCTGGTATTGAACTCCTGATCTCTTGATCTGTCCACGCTGGCCTCCCAAAGTGCTGAGATTATAGGCGTGAGCCACTGCGCCTGCCCACAGTCATTCTTATCAACATTATAAATTGAGAACAACAATAGACACCTCAAGCATAATTTATTTGTTATATAGAGATTTATATACTCTCTTAAAGAACTCATGAAGCATGCACTTTCAAATAAAAATATACCTGTGCATCATGAGGTTGTGGTGAGGTCGAAATGAAGAAATCTTAGAAAAATGCCTAAGTCAGTGCAGAAAGCAGAAGTTCAATAGATGTTATTTGAACCCCTATATGGACAAGATGCTTATCAATCCTCAACATTCTCATAGGTTTGCCTTTCTCTCTTAGACATCACCCATTTTAAAATTTATTTATCTTCTTAATTGAGACAGGGTTTCCCTCTGTCACCCAGGCTGGAGTGCAGTGGCACAATCTTACCTCACTACAGCCTCAACCTCCTGGGCTCAAACAATCTTTTCTCCTCGGCCTTTGGAGTAGCTGGGACTACAGGCATGCTCCACCATGCCCGGCTAACTTTTTCTTTTTTCTTTTTTTTTTGTAAAGGCAAGGTCTTGCTATGTTGTCCGGGCTGGTCTTGAACTCCTGGCCTCAAGCGATCCTCCCACCTAGGCCTCCTAAAGTGCTAGGATTACAGGCATAAGCCACCTTGTTCAGCATCCATTCTTTGTGACTAAGTATTAAGGGAGGATCAGCATGATCTTACTTTGCTACTGTGTTTACTTGGACTGAGCTCTTTAGAAAGAGTGGGACTCTCCTTGAGATGTTAATGTGGCTCTGACATGGGCTCTGTGAACCTGAGCTGAGCATTTCCAGTCACAGTAGCTACCACATAAGAACAAATAAAGGGAGGTAATAAAACCAAAGCAAATTGATTCATCTCCAGGCAGTACCATTAACTTGTGTCTTAATGCAATGCTCTGTCTACACTGAACATGACCAAATAGCTTCCTTTAAAGGTAAATGAATTTTATATAATTTGCAGCTAATTCCATTTAATTCTGCCCACATGAGCATGTGATAAGGGAATGTTAAACTGGTTAACAACACCAGGCTAAAAGGGGCGTTCAGGAGGAGCCAATATTTGATTTCCAAGTGCTGTGGCTCAACTCTGAGAAATCCAGATTACTGAGTGTGTTGGTTTCTTGGTTATTTGCTTTCTGTTCTCCTAGCTCCTGAGTAAAGGGCAGCGAGAAAACACTAGGATCCCATCTGTCACAATGAGGCCAGTTACAACAATAGCAACTACTCTTTTTTTTTTTTTTTTAATAAAAATCACTCCTGGTCTGACAAACTCCCTTTGGACTGCAGGGAATCAGGAAGAGTAAAAATACTAGAATCAATAACAACTTTGTTATCTAGTAACTTAAACAACCCTTGCCTGCTGGGATGGTAGAACAGGCTTTCTTATCTTGGAAACAGGAAAACTTTCTGGATAGTAAATTATTTTTCACCAAATGTTTCTAACTGCATTAGGTTCCTAGAGAAAGTGCCTAAGGTAGGAACCATGCAAAATTGTAATCACTTAGACATGTTATTTTAAAACATGGGAAAGAATTAGGTCTTGAAACCTAATACATATTGTTTCCTCTTTCTCTTCAATAGAATGTCAGCTGGGCACGGTGGCTCACGCCTGTAATCCCAGCACTTTGGGAGGCTGAGGTGGGTGGATCACTTGAAATCAGGAGTTTGAGACCAGCCTGGCCAACATGGTGAAACCCCATCTCTACTAAAAATACAAAAATTAGCTGAGCCTGGTTGCGTGCGCCTGTAATCCTGGCTACTGGGGAGGCTGAGGCAGGAGAATCTCTTGAACCTGGAAGGTGGAGGTTGCAGTGAGCCAAGATCACGCCACTGCACTCCAGCCTGGGTGATAGAGTGAGACCCTGTCTCAAAAAAAAAAAAAAAAAAAAGTCAACAGTTGTATAATTATTTGAATACTGAAAACTTTGATTGGGAAGTTCTTATTAAATGTCTGGATCATCTGCTCAACTTGATCTTCCTTCTTGTATCAGCGCTTGCCCCATGCTGTGCTCTCCTGAGAGCCTTCATCATTTGCATTGGAGTCTTGAGACTCAGGAAAGCTCTCTACTGAACAATCTACCTAAAAAGCAGCAGGGAGTGGGCCTAGTTTGATTTGGGTGTTGCACACTTATTTCTTTGCATGTAAGTAGTGATGATTCAGTTCAAGAGCTACGAAATATGCTTTATTTTGAAGAGAGCCATCTTTCCTATAGTGCAGCTGCATGCAACAGCAACTAACTACATTATGCACACACCCACCAAAGAGATTATTGTGACCCGATTCATTTAGATAATTGAAGGGAAAGTAGAGGCTGAGAAGCTTTAAGGATCAAGTTTGTCTTTACTGCTCCAATTTGCCCCCATGGTTGTCAACTGTTTGCTGAGCTTTCAGTACAAACCCTATCATTTTGTCGGAGGTGTTTGAACAAGAGCAACTCCATCTTCAATAGCGCCTGGGTAAAATGAGGCTGAGACTTACTGGGCTGAAGTCCCAAGAGGTTAAGGCATTCTTAGTCACAGGATGAGATAGGAGGTCGGCACAAGATACAGGTTATAAAGACCTTGCTGATAAAATAGGTTGCAGGAAAGAAGCCGGCCAAACCCCACAAAAGCCAAGATGGTGACAGGAGTGACCTCTGGTCATCCTCACTGCTACACTCCCACCAGCGCCATGACAGTTTACAAATGCCATGACAACAATAGGAAGTTACTCTATATGACCCAAAAAGGGGAGGCATGAGTAATCCACCCCTTGTTAGCATATAATCAAGAAATAATCATAAAAATGCAACCTGCAGCCCTCAGGGCTGCTCTGTCTATGGAGTAGCCATTCTTTTATTCCTTTACTTTTCTAATAAACTTGCTTTCACTTTACTCTATGGGCTCACCCTGAATTCTTTCTTGGGAGAGATCCAAGAACCTTCTCTCGGGGCTGTATCGGGACCCATTTCCAGTAACAATTTCACATTAACACATAAGAGATGTGTCTTTAAAGTCAGCACAGGCAGCTGTGTATAATATCAACAATATCTTCCACATATACAAA
The DNA here is from genome assembly GCF_000001405.40 of Homo sapiens. Classification (NCBI taxonomy): domain Eukaryota; kingdom Metazoa; phylum Chordata; class Mammalia; order Primates; family Hominidae; genus Homo; species Homo sapiens. The sequence continues at coordinate 27,909,812 of NC_000013.11, read as the reverse complement.
ATTAAATAGTATTATCTTTGTTTCCCAGATTTTATGGCCAGCCTATATATGTAAACTGACCTAATTTCTATTGGTTTTTCTTGGGAAAGAAGCATACGTGGAACTAAAATTCAACTTAGGGGAAGAAAATTTTTTTTTCTTTTTCTACCAGCGGTGTATTGTAAAACACAATCAATCAGTGTCGCCTACTTCATTTGCAAAGCAATTTGTTAGACTCTGCCAACATGGTCACAGTCAAACCTTGAAGTTTCTAAAAGTTAGAGATTGCCATGAATCCAGATAAACAGCAGTGTTTTCTTACCTTCCCAGCAAATTGTGACAGGTGATAACAAAAAGGCAAACAAAAGTTGCTAACCCCTAGCCTGGTGTAATCTGTCTCCTGCCCTGTAATTACACAGAATTGGGATTTTTCTCAAGAAAGTAGAGTGACGTTATTTACCTTTTTGTATTTATATGACTGGTAGCCAAATTTAAATATAGTAGCTAGAGAAATTCAGTAAGGAAAAGTACTGGGAAACATTAGAATTTTCCCCTCTTCCCCTGCTGTGTTTCCTTATGAACCTCTTCCCTGCAAGCCCCAGGTCATTTTTTAAGAGAAAACTGATCTTATGCCATCTACTATTTATAATAGTCTAGGATTTTGGTTTTGATTATTGCTTGATATGAGGAGAGAAAATAACTGGAGATGTTTTCTGTATATTTCAGCTGAAAAAATAATTTAACAAAGTTGATGGTGTTTCAAGAGAGTTTTTTTCAGTATGTTGGGTGAAGAGCCCTGGAGAGGTCTTGAAAACTAGACAGCCACATGGCCTGACCTGTTCCTCATTCTCATGTAATTCAAACTCCGTTTTTCTACAAAGACATACTCAAAAAGAATCAGTTTTGTTCAACTTCTAAGAAAATCAGTAATTAGAGCGATAGAAATAACTAGCACCTTAGCACCAAATTTTGCCTGAAACTCTTACATCTGTCCAGTTCCTAGGTGTTTCACAAATTTTATATCCTTTCTCTTGCTCTCTCCATCCATACGGAGCCTTGCAGCCCACCTTCAGTTTACGGCAAGGAGTCATTATAGTTCTTCGTCATTTGGTGCCCTGCAGAAACACGTTCTTTTCCAACAGATGAGCAAAGGTACGGCTGACTCTCCATATCCCCAGGGGATTGGTTCCAGGACCCCGTCCCACTCCCCCAAAACACCAAAATCCGAGCAGTCGCAGGTTGAAAACGTGAGCTTGGCTCTCTGTATCCTCTGCTTCCGCATCCTCGGATCCAGCCAACTGCAGATTGAAAATAATATGATTGGTTGGATCCCCCCAATGCAGAACCTGCGGATACGGAAGATCAACTGTACTAAAGTCACAGTTATGACTTCGTTGTTTTAGGTAAGTAGCCCTTTGAGATTATAGTGAATGCTATGAATCATTTCTCCAGAAAAACACACACGTGTCTAAGTACACAATATTCTGCATGAGATTTTGGGGAATTCATAACCCCCACCTTCCCTTCCACAGTCCGTCTATCACCTGGAACCAGTCTGTGCCCAGCTTGTACTTTTCATCTCTACTTGTGAATTTTTGGTTGCTGCTACTGTGCACTCCCTGGAACTTTATAACAGTTGCTCCCTTGTAAATATTCACAAGGATCGTTTGTTTATTGGACTGGGGATATTTGTGCTGTACACAGGGGACTTATATGTTGGATAATTGTCGCTCAGTTTTCTTACTGTAATCACCTGCTCCACAAGGGTAATAAACATACTGAAGGTCAAATAGTGAGTTTGGAAGATATGAAATAATAATTCTAAGATTAATTAGAAATTCATAGGCTTACAGATGCTTTGAACTGTGACATTGATCTGTTGCCATAAGTGGTAGTTTGGCTTAAGATTGTTTTTTCCTTCCTTCCCTTGTCTAAATATCTACTCTGTGCCAGGCACTGTTGCCAGGCTTTGGAGATTTAGGAGAATCAGACATGATTTTTACCCTAGGGGCCTTAGATTCTTGTAGTGGGAAGAAAACAAGCAAACACACACACACAGACATACCCCACACAAAGCACACCACACATGCACCATACACATACAACACACACACATCACACAGACACCACACACACAACACACACACAGCACAGCACACACCACACACACCACACACAGCACACACACAACACACACACAAAACACACAGCACACACAACGCATATACAACACACATCACACACCGCACCAAACACACACCACACACATACACACACCATACACACACACCACACACACCACACAAAACACACACACATCACATACCACACACAACACACAACACACATGCATGAACATACACACACAGTAAAAAAACTCTAGATGCCCCCAAAGTGTGGCCCTTCCACCTCTGACTGGAAGCTGGTGAACACGTTACTCACACAGAGGCAGTCTGTCTCCCTTGCGGCCCAGGTTCCAGTTATTTCCTGAAAGCAGTGAGGGTATGCTAGGGCTTCATCACACACTCATAGTTTGACTTTGGACTTTTAGCTGACCTGTGTTTCCAATTTCGCATCTGCTGAATGTCAGCGTGGTAAGTGGTTAAAAGGATGGTCTCTGAAGCTGGCCTGTTCTGGCTTGAATCTTGGCATCACCATTTATTAGTTGTGTAGCCTTGGGGAAGTTTCCTTAACAAAGTTGTTAGACTTTGTTTGGCCTTGGGGAAGTTTCCTGATCTCTTTGTGCTTCAGTTTCCCCCTCTGTAAAGTGGGGATAAAGAAAAGTCTTCCAGCCGGGTGTCAAGGCTCTTGCCTGTAATCCCAGCATTTTGGGAGGCAAAGGTGGGAGGATCCCTTGACCCTTGAGAGTTCAAGACCAGCCTGGGCAACATAGCAAGGCCTCTGTCTCTATTAAAAAAAAAAGATTCGGCCGGGCACAGTGGCTTACGCCTGTAATCCCAGCACTTTGGGAGGCCGAGGCGGGCGGATCACAAGGTAAGGAGATCGAGACCATCCTGGCTAACACGGTGAAACCCCGTCTCTACTAAAAATACAAAAATTAGCCGGGCTGGCGGCAGGCGCCTGTAGTCCCAGCTACTCGGGAGGCTGAGGCAGGAGAATGGCGTGAACCCGGGAGGCAGAGGTTGCAGTGATCCGAGATCACGCCACTGCACTCCAGCCTGGGTGACAGACTGAGACTCCATCTCAAAAAAAAATTCGCCAAAAAAAAAAATTTGCTTGATTCATTGGTTTGCGCCTGTGGTCCTAGTTACTTGGGAGGCTAAGGCAGGAGAATCCCTTGAGCCCAGGAGGTGGAGGCTGCCATGAACTGTAATCGTACCACTGTATTCCAGCCTGGATGAGAGAACAAGACCTCGTCTCAAAAAACAAATGCAGAAATGTCTTCCACATAGAGCTGTACTCCATGAGTTAATATGCGAAAAGCACTTTGAAAAGAACATGTCTAGCACCATGCCAAACTCTTCATTTATTCACATTGGACAAATCTTTGTGTAACACCTATTCTGTGCTAGGGATAGGGGATGCCACGGTAAACAGGTCACTTCTGTTTTAAAGACACATCTCGTCTAGTGAGAGAGTCAGACAACTGGAGAGGAAACTTAATGCAACAAGCTGGTCTCTGTGGCAGAGGTAATGTAGGCTATCATGGGAACACCGTGGCAAGGGTGCACCCCGTAATACGGGAGTGCTTTCCTTCCTGCTTCATTAATTCCCCAGCCTTCAGCTCCTTTAGGATTTTCCTCAGAGAGGTGTTTTTTTTTTAAACAACTTAAAAAAATTTAATGTGGTTAAAAAAACAAACTTTATCATTCTAACCATTTCTAAGTGTGTAGTTCAGCAGTATTAAGTGTATTCACATTGTTGTGTAACCAGTCTCCAGAACTCTTTTCCTCTTGTAAAACCGAAACTCTGTACTCATTAAACTACAGCTCCCATTCTCCCTTCCCCCAGTCTCCTGGCAACTACCTCACAGGGTTTTATAACTTTCACACATGTTCTTCATCACATTAATTTCTCTCATGGGTTCCGCCTGGCTGGAGACTTCCCTCTGGAATAATCTGCCTTTTCCCTTCCTGTGGTTACTGCTATTTTCTGGAATCCTATGAAATCATGAATTTTGTATCTTCTAGAAAATAAACTGCAGTAAATTGAGCAGTGTTCTAGGAACAGGCATGTCGATCCCAGGGCTGATGGCGTTGGCTGAGTGCTCACTGCTTGCCAATCCCTGTGCTCTGCTACGAGGAGGACACTAAGGGGCTGGAAGGCATCAAGAAAGGCTGTGTTTCATGTAAGTTACAAGAAAATGAGAGTGAGGAAGCACACATATACACGTACACACGTCTTAGAAATATTCATATCAGTACCCAACTTGTGCACATGAAGTGCGTCTAAGAGGAGAAGGCAATGCTTTACGAATAGGAATGTGGCTTTAGGAATAGGAATATGGCAACATGAACTATTAACCAGCACATGAGAGAATAAGGTTGTTAGACCAGTTCAGAGGCTGTTAGCATAACTGAGGTATGAAAACATGTAGTCTAGACTCATCATGGAAATGGAGAAAAAGGGAAAAATCCAGGATTTAGTAGGAAGAGACTAAAGGACTTGGCGACCAGTTGAATAGGAAGCAGAGGAAAAGATGTAGATGAGAACCAGTGTTACTTGATAGCTGACTTTGTGCTGGGCCCCGCTCTGGTCCATCAGCCCTTAGGATCTCACTGATATTCTGTAGCATTCTTCTGAGTTAGGGACTATCAACCCCATTTTCCTATTGAAGAAGCGGAGGTTCAGAAAGGTTGATTAGCTTGGCCAAAGTCATCTGATGAGTAGTTGGTTGAGTCATATATTACCCAGAATCTGTCTGACCCCAGGACACATGCTCTTTTATTACTTAAGTGGCTTCAAGGTTGCTAGCCTGGAAGACTGATATGTGGACAGTAGAGGCATGTTGATAGAGGGGGCCAGTTGTCAGGGGAGGGTCATGGTTAGTCCTATTGAACATGCTGAGTTTGCAACGCAGGTGAACAGTGTAAATCCAAGAGGCTCACGGGCATTTGGAAATGAAGGACTGGGGGAGAGAACACAGGGCAGGGCATGTAGACAGCTAAGTGTTCATTCTGTTATTGAAAGACTAAGTGCAAAAAGAAAAGAGAGTGTGGTGGTTAATACTGAGTGTCAACTTGATTGGATTGAAGGATGCAAAGTATTGATCCTGGGTGTGTCTGTGAGGGTGTTGCCAAAGGAGATTAACATTTGAGTCAGTGGGCTGGGAAAGGCAGACTCAACCTCAATCTAGGTGGGCACCATCTAATCAGCTGCCAGCACGACCAGGATATAAAGTAGGCAGAAAAATTTGAAAAGACTAGACTGGCTTAGCCTCCTAGTCTACATCTTTCTCCTGTGCTGGATGCTTCCTGCCCTCGAACATCAAACTCCAAGTTCTTCAGCTTTGGGACTTGGACTGGCTTCCTTGCTTCTCAGCTTGCAGATGGTATATTGTGGGACCTTGTGATCGTGTGAGTTAATACTCCCTAATAAACTCCCCTTTATATCTATCTATCTATCATCTATCTATCTATCTATCTATCTATCTATCTATCTATCTATCATCTATACATCATATTATTTCTATTCCTCTAGAGAATCCTGACTAATACAGAGAGTGATGTGTAAATTCTTGAGGATATACTCACCTAGGGGGCAGAAAGGAGAAAGAGGACTCTGTAAAGTCAGTAAAGGACAGTTCACAGGACTGTCATTTGGTAGGAAAACAGTACATCTGCTTCAGTATGAAAAAAATGTGGCTGTAGGGCTCCAGGTTCCAGATTGTCAGCTATGACTCAGAAAAGTCATTTAAGAGTTCTGAGTAGAAGCCAGGTTGAGGCAGGAGGATCACTGGAGCCCAGCAGTTCAAGGCCAGCCCTGAGCAACATGGCGAGACTCCGTCTCTATTTTTAAAAAGAGTTCTGAGTAGAGCAGTACACGTATCTAATCTCAGTGCAGGTACCACTGTTCACCTCATGTCCTCGACCTCTGTCTTATACTCACATCCTTTAGGTTCTCATTTCCTGCCCATGTTTCCGCTTAAGTAGCTCTCGAACCAGCCCTCCCTTAATGCCCTGGGCCACTGCATTAGTGCAGACTGGGTCTCATCTGGGCTGTTGTGACAGGTGTCCATCAGGCCGCCCGGCTGCCTGCTTCTACTTACCTTAGCACTTGTACTTTTTCACCATTTTTCTTACAACATGTTCTCAATGTAATGATGTTCTCAATCTAAAAATTGATTTTCTTCTACTACCTGGAGAGTAAAGTCAAACTCTTAGCAAAGCTCATCGAGTCCTTCAAGTTTGGGCAGCAGCTCAGCCCTCAGGTGGCTCTTTCCACAGATTCTCTGCTCCCCCAAGCATCACATACTCCAATCAAACAGCCATTCTCGGCATCTCCCAGGGCAGCCTGTCCCCTCAGAAGCCCCTGCCGCTGCCTGGATTAGCATGTTTGATCCTGGCAAACTTCTGTTTGTCCTTCAAAGGCCAAGAAAAGAGCAAATGGGAATGGAGCAGAAAATATTACCCGGTTCAGATTCAGAGCCAAGAAAGAGACACTCATAATCCAGGCAGTTATGATTATTGGAAGATAAATACATAAGAGGAGCCACTTTTTAAAAAACATTCTCTGGCTGGGTGCAGTGGCTCATGCCTGTAATCCCAGCACTGTGGGAGGCCAAGGTGGGCGGATCACCTGAGGTTGGGAGTTCGAGACCAGCCTGACCAACATGGAGAAACCCCATCTCTACTGAAAATACAAAATTAGCCAGGCATGGTGGTGCATGCCTGTAATTCCAGCTACTTGGGAGGCTGAGGCAGGAGAATCACTTGAACCTGGGAGGCCGAGATCATGCCATTGCACTCCAGCCTGGGCAACAAGAGTGAAACTGTCTCAAAAAAAAAAAAAAGTTCTCTTTTGATTTCTCAGTTTGTATTCACTGCTGAGAAGCTGATGTCCACAGAAGAGTTTTCCCCTGTTTCCATTGTCCTCTCACCTGAGAAAAAAAACTTCCTGCTGTCATATCAGTTGTCATCCTTATCCATTGCTCAGGACTTTGTCCACATGATGACATTCTCTGAATAGGACAGCATTCTTAAGGCCTGCATGGTGGATAGGAAGAAGGTTGCCATTCAGTTGTATCCTAGAGTGCAGGATGGGTGGTTAAGATAGGTCCCCAGAAGGCCAGCACACATGGCATGGCGCTGAGATTGAACTCGAAAAATCTGAGAACACTGTGAAAAGCAGAAATGGCCCATCACACTAAGAACCAGAAGATCTGCATTTCAACATTGGCTCTGCTAATTAGTCACTGTGATCAAAAGAGAAGGTGATTTAAAGGTGAGAGTTTGTGTAACATCTTGGACATATAATCCAGCAGCAATTTCTCATGTGGCATCTGGTGAAAGACTCTCCTGACTCCTGAAGAAATGACTTGAAACTCAAGAACCTGTGACCTTAATGAAGAATTAGTTAAGACTGTTGCCCATGGAGATGTTGCTAAGGTGAGAGACTTTGCCAAAAAGAGGGCATGTGGCTGGAGCTATGCTTCCAACTTTAAGCAAGAGGAAGAGTGGGATGGATGCAGGGTGAGATGTCATCAGCCTACCACACTCACACTGGTGAGGAGTGGCTGGGTAAGAGGCAGTGAGGACCGGGAGAAAGAGAGCAAAGAGAGCACGGGTTACAGTGACCTGGGGCCTCTGTCTTGTCTAGGAAATCTCCTTGATTCTTGCAAATGGAGCTAAGTCCCTTCAGCACCATCAGCTGTAGATCCCATCAATTTATAAGCTATGCCTAAAATAAATAAGTAAATAACCAACTATATAAATAAAATGCCACACCTTTGCAATTATGTTTCCTCAGTGCTCAGCACATAGCACGTGCTCAATGTTTGTTGATTCTCCTTCCCGCTTTCTCTTTCTTTCTTTTTATTTCTTTTTCTTTCTTTCTTTCTTCTTTCTTTCTCTTTCTTTCTTCCTCTTTCTTTCTTTCTCTCTTTCTATCTCTTTCTTTCTTTCTTTCTCTCTTTCTTTCTTTGTTTCTTTGTTTCTTTCTTATATTCATAACTTCTGTGTGTCATTCACTATTGTGTAAGTACTGGGGATTTGAAGATGAATTAGACACAGTCACTGTTATTGGTTGTTTTACTGTTTTGAAAAATTATTGTAAAAATGTGATTTATGTACTCATTGCTACTTCCCCCACACATTTTATCCCCTGGGGCAAAACAAGTGCTAGGCTCTGAGGATTGAAAGGGATTTGAAGATCCAAGGTTTAACGGGGGTGAGGAGGCAGGGTGGGGAAAGAAGAGAGAGAAGCAGGAAATAGCTTTTCCAGGGATTGATTTTTAACACCCCCAACCCACATCAATAGATCCTTCAGAGAGCTGGTTAATTATCAATTTTTGTGAGAAAGCAAAGCTGCTTTATTTTTTTAAAGTACTTTGAGCACAAAGCACAGATTATACATGATTTGCCTTCAGTTCACGGAAACATTTGCATTTTGCTGAATCAAATGATTCATCCAGGTCTTCTGCAAGCTCTGTGTGCCCTAATGGTGCAACTGATTTTTTCTTTTATCTTTATCATCTTTTTTGCTTTGTTTCTCTTCCCTCTTTTGTTTTTTATTGGCCTTATTTAAAATTGATGAATATTTCTGTATTTTCCATTTCCCTTCTATGTAGAATTAGAAACTAAAGACTAAACAGCTGCTCTTTTAGTAGTTTCCCTAAATTTCTTTCTTTTCTTTTTCTTTCTTTTTTGAGACAGAGTTTCACTCTGTGGCCCAGGCTGGAGTGCATAAGCCAAGTGCGATCTTGGCTCACTGCAACCTCTGCCTCCTGGGTCCATGCTATTCTCCTGCCTCAGCCTCCCGAGAAGCTGGGACTACAGGCGTGCACCACCATGCCCAGCTAGTTTTTGTATTTTTAGTAGAGATGGGGTTTCACCGTATTGACCTGGCTGGTCTCGAACTCCTGACCTCAAGTGATCTGCCCACCTGGGCCTCCCAAAGTGCTGGGATTACAGGTGTGAACCACCATGCCCAGCCCCTAAATTTCTTTTAGCATCCATTATGATTACAAAGTTTCTAATGGAGTCTAAAGTTACCCAAGACTGCTTCTCTTTCTAGAACAAGACGGGAGTGGTATTACACCTTGCTCATTGAACCAATCACTCTGTTCTTTGCAATTTTTATCTAGAGATTGAGTATCATCTTTTTTAAATCCCAGAATTAGGTTTTTTGATGGTTGATAAATGTTTTGTTGAATATACCAACACATCTTAGTGGTTTCCCATCTCACTCTCTTGCTTTTCTACCCTCCTCTCTGGGGTTACTGTTCTTCAGATGTTCTTTTAATAGTTGTGTGTTGGCCAGGCGCGGTGGCTCACGCCTGTAATCCCAGCACTTTGGGAGGCCAAGGCGGGTGGATCACAAGGGGTTAGGAGTTCAATACCAACCTGGCCAAGATGGTGAAACCCTGTCTCTACTAAAAATACAAAAAAAAAAGAATTAGCTGGGCGTGGTGGCAGGTGCCTGCAATCCCAGCTATTCAGGAGGCTGAGGCAGAGAATTGCTTGAACCCAAGAGGTGGAGGTTGCAGTGAGCCGAGGTTACACCACTGCACTCCAGCCTGGGCGACAGAGTGAGACTCCATCTCAAAAAAAAAGAATAGTTGTGTGTTGGTGTGTAAATGCCCTTAGTCTCTGTAGATGTCAACGTGTTTTGATTTTTCCTTCACAGAATAATGGTCATTGTGCTGGATAGTCTCTGCATGCCTTTCCATATCTGCTTTTCAGCCTTCTCTTTTCTGTCCTGTGCTCTGGGAGGCTGCCTTCATGTCTTGCATTGACAGCCTCTTTCACTTTCTCCTTTACAGTAGGATTTAGTCAATGAGAGGCACCACAAGGAGATCAGATTTGCAGTTGAGATGGTATGGCACACTCATTCCTCTCTGCTCCTCCCCTCTAAGCAGAACTATAAACTCTAGAAACCATATAAGAGACACAAAGGACACCTATGAAAGGTGGAAAGAATACAGACTTGTTGGAGACCCCAGGACAGGAGGAACAGCATAATGGCAGGGCATCTTATGGCTACCCAGCAGAGAGAAAAATGTGACCCAGGCCCTGGAGTTTCCTGACCATTGTTTAGCAACAGAAGGCAGCCCAGGCAGCCTCATTCCTGTGCTGGATCAAGTGGGAGACCCACTGACAACACAAGGTGAGCCCAGAGGCATTAGCAAGTGGGGTAAATCAGAAAATCTACTGACAATAAGTGGCCAGGGGACATGCTCTTCCTTGCTAGGCCAGAGACTCTCCTCACCCACTGAGAGACAGCAGGAGGCAGGACATCTCTGGCCAGGAAAATCTCATCGCAACAAGCAGGCAGCTTGGGAAGGCTTATCATTCCTCTGGGCCTGAGACTTCCCTCCTCAAGGTGGAGGTACCAGGTGGCCCAGTCTAGGGAAGTACCTTCCACCCTTTTAGGCAGCACATACAGAGACAAGCAGAAGTTCTTGTAGCACTAGAATAAACCAAATAGATCAAAGTAACACTGTAAAAGCTCGAAAAATTAATTTGTCCTTGGAACCAAAACCCATAAAAGTAGGTCAGAATCTGTGTGCTAAATCTAAACAGGGTGACTGATTGCTAAAATAAGAGATTTATTATTAATTAATAAATGATAACAATTTGTTAATAAGACCCAGAGATTTATAATATAGATATCAAATGTTAAGGATATATATATATCCTCATGTCTGTATCAGAAGGGATATAATTTTAAAACCACCCATCACGCTAAGAACCAGAAAATCACAACTTGAATGAAAACAGACAATCAACTGGCACCAACACTGAGATGAATCAGATGCTGGAATTATAATATCTGTAAGAATTGTAAAGCAGCAATCATAAAACATTCAACAACGAATTACAGATTCTTTTAAAACAACTGAAAAAACAAAAATTTCATCAAAGAAGTAATTGAAAAAGAACAAACTGGTAATTATATAACTAAAAAACAAAATAATTGAGATAAAAATCTTACTCATTTAACTCAATAGTAGAAGACAGATGACAGAGGATAGAAGGAGTAGAGGACAGACCAATAGAGTTTACATAATCTGAGCAGCAGAGAGAAGAGACTGAAAAGAATGGGTAGAACTTCCAAGACCTGTGAGGCAATAATAAAAGATCCAACACTGGAATCATCAGAATCCCAGAAAGAAAGGAGAAAGAAAGTGGGGCTGAAAGCGTGGAGCTTGAAGAAATAATGGCTGAAAACTTCCTAAATTTGGTGAAATACATAAACCTACAGATTCAAGAAGCCAATTGAACCTCAAATAGAATAAAGTCCCTGCCAAGACACATCATAATCAAACGTCTGAAAACTAAAGACAAAAGCATCTTAAAACCAAAGGAACAAAATGAAAAAAGACATTAATTATAGGAAAGCACCCATTTGGATTTCTCATATGGAACAATGGAGACCAGAAGGAAGTGGTACCACATTTTTCAAGTAAGTGCTGAAAGCAGAGGATCATCAGCCACGAATCCTGCGTCTGGTGAAACTACACTTCAGGAATGAAGAGGAAATAAATGCATTCGCAGATAAAGGAAAACTAGAAGAATGAGCAGATCTACCTTAAAAGAATGGCTGAAGGAAGTTCTCAAGCAGAAAGAAAATAATAAAAGAAGGAATCTTGGAATATTAGGAAGGAAGAAGGAACAATAGAGGAAAAATATGGATTCATCCAATTGACTATTCTTCTCAGGAATTTCTGTTTATTTGTTTATTTTTTTGAGACAGTGTCTCACTCAGTCACTCAGGCTGGAGTGCAGTGGTGCAATCGTAGCTCATTCCAGCCTCAAACTCCTGGGCTCAAGCGATCCTCTTGTCTCAGGCTCCTGAGTAACTAGGGCTACAGCTGTGTTCCACCACACCCAGTTAACTTTTCATTTTTTGTAGAGATAGGCTCTCCCTATATTGCCCAGACTATTCTCGAATTCTTGGGCTCAAGTGATCCTCTTGCCTTGGCCTCCCAAAGTGCTGGGATTGCAGGTGTGAGGCACTGTGCCTGAATCTTCTTCTCAGGAAATTTATAAATCATATTTGATGCTTGAAACAGAAACATAACACTGTCTGGTACTAGAGACAATAATATTTAAGAGTGTGGAAGGGAAAGGAACTTAAATGGAAGAGTGGTTTTCATACCTCACTCCAAATGATAGAACAGCAGCCCCAGCTACTTGGCAGGCTGAAGCGAGATCACTTGACCCCAGGAGTTTGAGGCTGCAGTGAGCTACGATTGCACCACTGCACTCCAGCCTGGGTGACAGAGTGAGACACTGTCTCAAAAAAATAAACCAATAAACAGAAATTCCTGAGAAGAACAGTCAATTGTATGTATCCATATTTTTGCTCTGTTGTTCCTTCTTCCTTCTTAACACTCCAAGATTCCTTCTTTTATTATTTTTTTTCTGCTTGAGAACTTCCTTTAGCCATTCTTTTAGGATAGATCTGCTAGTTCTTCTAGCTTTCCTTCATTTGCTAATGCATTTATTTCCTTTTCATTCCTGAAGGGTAATTTCACCAGACAGAGGATTCATGGCTGATGAGCCTCTGCTGTCTGCACTTGAAAAATGTGGTGCCACTTCCTTCTGGCCTCCATTGTTTCAGACAAGAAATCCAAATTGGAGTTTTCCATAGGTAATGTGTCTTTTTCTTCCTTTGTCTGGTTTCAAGATTTTTTTTTTTAATTTTACTTTTCAGAAGTTTGATTATGATGTCCCTTGGCCAGGACATCTTTAGATTTATCCTATTTAAGTTTCAATTGGCTTCTTGAATCTGTAGGTTTATGTCTTTCACCAAATTTGGGAAGTTTTCAAACACAGCTTGATAACATAGACATCATAGTGAGATCCTGTTCTAAAAAAATAAAATAAAATAAAACCAGGAATGATGTCACACACCTGTAGTTCCAGCTACTCAGCAGGCTGAGGCAGAAGGACCACTTGAGCCCAGGAGTTGGAGGCTACAGTGAGGTATGATTGTGTTACTGTACTTTAGCCTGATGGCAGAGTGAGACCCTATCTTAAAAACAAAAAACAACAACAGAAAAGTAAAATACTGATACCAGTGGAGAGTGATGACTCACATATGTATATTGTAATACCCAAAGCAACTAATAAGAAAACTATAAGAGAGATATACTAAGAAATGCTGTAAATAGAATCCTAAAGATGGAATATGAAAAAAATCTTCAAGTAACCTGTAGAACAAAAAAAAAAAAAAAAAAAGAAAAAGGAAAACAACAGAAAATAAAATAAAATAGGAAAATAGGCCGGGCATGGTGGCTGACACCTGTAATCTCACTGTTTTGGGAGGCTAGGCATGAGGATGGCTTGAGGCCAGGAGGTCAAGGTTACAGTGCACTATGATCATGCTGCTACACTCCAGCCTGAATGACAGAGTGAGAAAAACAAACAAATAAAATGGCAAACTTAAGTGCTAATATATTAATAGTTACTTTAAATGTAAATTGTTAAAATTCATCAACTAAAAGGTATAGATGGGCAGAGTGAATTTAAAAAATCACTAAACTATATGTTGTTTACAAGAAACTAGCTGAAAATTCAGCAGCACAGGTAAGTTAAAAGTAAAAGGTAAAAAAAGATACGATGCACACGTTAATAAAAAAAGAAAAGAAGATATAGCTCTATCAATATCAGATAAAGTAGACTTCATAATAAACTACTAGAGACAAACAAGGATATGACATAATGAAAAAGGATCAATACACTAAGAAGAGACAACAATCCTGAATTACACGCAGCAAACAACAGAGCCTCAAAATACAAGAAGCAAAAACTGAGAGAGCCTAAAGGAGCAACAGACAAATCCACAATTATAGTTGGGGATAGTAACACCCTACTTTCAATAGCTGTCAAAACTACCGGATGGAAAATCAGCAAGGTATAAAAGATAAAATATGGGCTGGGCACGGAGGCTCACTCCTGTAATCCCAGCACTTTGGGAGGCTGAGGCGGGTGGATCACCTGAGGTCAGGAGTTCAAGACCAGCTTGGCCAACATGGTGATCAACCCTGTCTCTACTGAAAATACAAAAATTAGCCGTGCATGGTGGCGGGAGCCTGTAATCCCAGCTAGTTGGAAGGCTGAGATAGGAGAATCGCTTGAACCCGGGAGGTGAAGGTTGCAGTGAGCTGAAATCACGCCATGGCACTCCAGCCTGGGCAACAAGAGTGAAACTCCATCAAAGAAAAAAAAGATAAAATATGAACAACACAGTAAACGGGTTATCCACTGTATAATTCCATTTGTATAATATTTTTAAAATAACAAAGTTATAGAAATGAGATTAGTGGTTTCCAGGGTTTAGGAGGGTGAGAGGGGTGAGATGCAGGGGAATGTGGTTGTAAAAAGGCAGCAAGATGAATCCTTGTGGTGTTGGAACTGTTCTGTACCTTGACTGTGGTATTGGATACACAAAGCTATGTGATAAAATTACACAGACATAAATACACAAGCGCACACACACATACACACACACGACAAATGAGAAACATAACCAGAAGAATTTGAACAAATTTAAATTCTACTGTGAAATTAAAAGTTTAAATTTGAAAAGGCAATCAGATTGAGAGATTGAATAGAGGATACTTATTTTTCCTTGCTTTGTCTCAGTGGATTGCTGAATCCCTCTAAATGGTTATACTTCTTTTCCTGGAGTTGACTCTCTCTTGTAGTTTTTATTTGGGTTCTTTTTTTTTTTTTTTGATGAAGTCTCGCTTTTGTCGCCAGGCTGGAGTGCAGTGGCATGATCTCGGCTCACTGCAACCTCTGCTTCCTGGGTTCAAGTGATTCTCCTGCCTCGGCCTCCCAAAGTGCTGGGATTACAGGCGTGAGCCACTGTGCCCAGCCTTTTTGGGTTCTCTTTAAGCCTAGAATTGTTATAGCTTCTCATTATAGCTAACTTTGCACTGCTGTATCGTCCCTTGTTGTACATCTTTAGTTAAATTTATTCTCAGTTGATTTATTGATGTTTGTTGCTATTGCAAATTGCATCTTTTTAAAAATCCATTTTGATTGCTGTTACTGGCTCTTGTACCTCTCTATTTTATGGTGCTGTGGATGTAATAAATGCTTGATACATTTTTGTTTATTCAAAAATTTATTTCTAGAATTTTTGAACAGTATTAGAAACCATTTACTAATCAAAGTGCTTTAAGAAAGTGAATGAGAGTGGATAAATTTTTAAATTCTGGCTATAATGTGGGAATTAGATTCATATACAAAGTTAATGATATTTCTTTGTGCTGATTCTTAGCACAATAGAGAAGAAAAGAAGAATAAATCTTTTCTTTTCTATCTAGAAATAAAATAGGGTCACTGTATGACATGGCTCATCATTATATTTGCTCAGAGAAACTACAGGTCAAAGTTTACCTCCCAGAATAGTGTCTCAAGACTCATTGTTAAGACACACTGGTGTGGCTGGGCATGGTGGCTCACATCTATAATCCCAGCACTTTGGGAAGCCAAGGTAGGATGATTGATTGAGACCAGGAGTTTGAGACCAGTCTGGGCAACATAGCCAGACCCCATATCTACAAAAAATTTTTTTAAAAAATCCAGGTGTGGTGGTGCATGCCTGTGGTTCCAACTTTACAGCAGGCTAATGTCGGAGGATCACTTGAGTTCAGGAGTTTGAGGTTGTAGTAAGCTGTGATCATACCACTGAACTCCAGCGTGGGTGACAGAGTGAGACCCTGTCTCAAAAAAAGACACATTGATGGGTCTCAATTTTCTTATAAAGTCACTCTCACTTTCTTGATTTTTAGTGTGCCTTAACAATGAGAAAATTCTTTTGCCTTAAATTGCACGTAACACTGCATGTTCTCAAGGGATGCATATTCTCATTGTGTCATGTATATGAATATTATAAGTCTTGTGTGTCACGGGATGGGGGGGAGAATATTCTGTGCAAAGAGTAACCAAAAGAGAATAAGGGAGTCTATATCAAAATCAGGCAAAATAGACTGTAAGTCAAAAAGTTATAAGAGAAAATGAAGACATAAAAGTTTCCATACAGCAGGAAGGTATAACAATTATAAAAATTTATGTACCTAATAACAGACCATCAAAATATATGGAGCAAAAATTAACAGACTTGGAGGGAGAAATAGACAGTTCTACAATAATGGAGACTTCCATGCCATACTCTCAGTAGTGAATAGGACAATTAGGCAGAAGATAAGTGAGAAAATAGCGGACTTGAATAGCACAATAAACCAAGTAGATTTAGCAGATATACAGGACACTCAATCAACAACAGAATATAAATTCTTCCCAAGTGCACATTGAACACTCTCTAGAACAGACCATAGGGTAGGCTACAAATTGAATCTCAATAGATTTTAAAGGACATATGTCATGCAAAATATCTTCTCTGACCACAATAGGATGAAGTCAGAAATCAATAACAGTAGAAAAACAGAAAAATTCACAAACCTGTGGAAATAAAGCAACATACTCTTAAACGTCAATGAATTAAAGAAGAAATCACAAGGGAAACTAGAAAACACTTAGAGATGAATGAAAAATGAAAACACAACATAGCAAAAATTTATAGGATAAAGTGAAAGCACTGCTAAAGGGAAATCTATAGCTGTAAATATTTACATTAAAAAAGAAGGAAGATCTCAAATAAGCAATGTAACATTAGAAAAAGAACAAAGTAAACCTAAAGCTAGCAGAATGAAGGAACTAATAAAGATAGAGATAAATAAAACAATTAACAGAAAAATAACAGATAAAATCAAGAAAACCAAGGGTTGGCTCTTTAAAAAGTCAACAAAATTGACAAACCTTTAGCTAGACCAACCAAGAAGAAAGAGAGAATAGTCAAAATTACTGGAATCAGAAATGAAAATGAGGATATTACTACTGATTTTACAGAAATAAAAAGGATTGTAGGAGAACAACTGTATACCAAGAAATTAGATAACCTGAATGAAATGGACAAATTCCTAGAAAAACACAACCTACCAAGGCTAAATTAGGAAGAAAGTCTGGATAGACCTCTAATTAGTAAGGAGATTAAATCAATAATTAGAAATTTACCAAAAAAAGAAAAGTCCTGAACCAGATAGCTTCGCTGGTGGATTCTACCAAATATTAAAAAAAAAAAAATCCTTCTCAAACTCTTCCAAAAAGTTGAAGAGAAGGGGACACTTCCTATTTCATTCTGTTAGGCCAGCAAGACCCTGATACTGAAGCCAGCAAATCCACTACAAGAAAAGAAATCTATGGACGAATAACTCTTATGAATGTTGATGTTAAAATCCTCAAAAAATACTGGCAAACTGAATTCAGCAACATATTAAAATACTTATATACCATGTGGAATTTTTGGAATGCAAGGATGGCTCATTTCATTAATCTGAAAATTAATCAGTGTAAAACACCGCAGTAACAGAATAAAGAGAAAAAAATCCTACGATAATCTCAATCAACGTGGAAAATGTATTTAAAAATTCAACAGACTTTCATGATAAACACACTATAAAAACCAGGAATAGAAGGAAACTTCAATATAATAAAGGCCATATTGAAAAAAAAAACCTCACAGCTAATATCATACTCAATGGTGAAAGACTGAGTGCTTTTCCCTTAAAATCAGTAATGAGGCAAATATGCCTGCTTTTGCCACTTCTATTCAACATAATATTGGAAGTTCTAGCCAGAACAATTAGTCAAGAAAAAGAAAGAAAAGCCATCCATTGAAAAGTAACAAGTAAGATTACCTTTGTTCAGATAGATAGGTCGATGACATGATCTTATATGTCATTCCTCAAAAACACTTTCTGAGCTAATAAATGAATCCAGCAACATTGCAGGATGCAAAACCAACACCGAAGAAAGAAGTTTCATTTCTAGGCACTAACAATGAACAATCCAAAAAGGAAATTAAGAAAATAATTCTATTTACAATAGCATGAAAAGAATAAAATATTTAGGAATAAACTTAAGGGGCAAAAGACTTGTAAACTGAAAACTACAAAACATTGCTGAAAAAAATTAAAGAACATAAATAAATTGAAAGACATCCTATATTCATAGATTGGAAAACTTACTATTATTAAGACAGCAACATGACATAAAAGCGATATACAGATTCAACACAATCCCTGTCAAAATCCCAAGGAAGATTTTTGCAGGAATATAAAAAGCCATCCTAACATTCATATGGAATATCAAGGGACCCAAATAGCCAAATTAATCTGGAAAAAGAACAAATTTGGAGGACTCATTCTTCCTCATTTAAAAACTTACTATAAAGCAACAGTTATCAAAACAGTGTAGAACTGGAATAAAGACAGATATATATACCAATAAAATAGAATAGAGAACCCAGAAATAAGCCCTTGAATATACAGTAAATGATTTTTGATGAGAGTGCCAAGATTATTCAGTGGGAAAAGGACAGCCTTTTCAACAAACGGTGCTGGGAAAACTGGATATTCATGTTCAAAAGAATGAAGTTAGGTTTTTACCTTATATCATATAAAAATTAACTCAAAAAGAATCTAAGACACAAACAAAAGACTAAATAAACTAAAGAGCTAAAATTGTAAAACTCTTAGAAGAAAACATAAAGGGAAATCTTAATAATATTAGATGTGATAATGATTTCTTGAATATGACACACAAAGAATAGGCAAAAAAAAGAAAAAAATAGATGAATGTGACTTCATCAAAACTGAAAACTTCTGTGCATCAAAGGACACTATCAAGAGAGTTAAAAGTCAACCAATAGAATGGGAGGACATATTTTAAAGCATATAGTAAGGAATTAATATTCATAATATGTGAAGAACTGCAACTCAACAACAAAAAAACCATGCAACTCCTTTCAAAAATGGGCAAAGGACTTGAATAGACATTTCTCTTAAAAAGATATACAAATGACTAACAAACACATGAAAAGATGTTCAGCATCATTAGTCATAGGGAAATAAGGGTCCAAACCATATTGAGATACCACTTCACACCCAGTAAGATGACTATTATATATACATGGTAAATGGAAAATAACAAATGTTGGCGAAGATGTGAAAAAATTAGAAAATTTTTGCGTTAAGGGTGAGGATGTAAAGTGGTGCAGCCTTTATGGAAAACAGTTTGGTGGTTTTTTAAAAAGCAAAACGTGGAGTTACCATATGATCCAGCAATTCCACTTATAGGTATACACCCAAAGGAATTGAAAGTGGGAACTTGAACAGATACTTGTACACCAATGTTCATTGTACCATTATTCACAATAGCCAAAAGGTGAAAATAACCAAAATATCCACCAACAGATAAGTGGATAAACAAAATGTGCTGTGTGCATGCAATGGAATATTATTCAGCTACAAAAGTGAATGTAATTCTAACACATGCTATAACATGGATGAACCTTGAAGACTTTATGCTAAATCAAATAAACCAGACACAAAAGGACAAATATTGTATGATTCAATTTATATGTGGTACTTAGAATAGGCAAATTCATAGAGACACAGAATGTAAATTAGAGGTTACAAGGGGGAGACTGGAGACGGGAAGTTATTGCTTAATGGTTACAGAATTTCTGTTTGGGGTAATAAAGTTTTGAGAATAGATAGTGATGATGGTAAAAAAAAAAAAGAATTCAATTGTAGAAATATATGCTCAATTTTGGTGTACATTTATTTGAATGAAGGAAAATAATTCTTAATTCAGAAAACTACTTAGGTCTCCCTTTATATTTTAACACTTGTTTGTTATGTCAGGGTTCTTATTGTTAGAAATAGTAACAAACTCTAGCTGATTTAAATAGAAATAAAAATAAATTTTATTTAGTTGATCTATGGGGGCTTAAGAAAACCTCAAGAAGAGCTAAGATATTTGGTTCAAAGGTCATCCATCTAGCAAGGAAAAAGTAGCCCAAATCTCTTGGTCTGGTGAGAAAAATGTTGGCCCTGTAAATACTAGGTGTTGCTCTTTGTACCCCTGAAGCCATTGTCATGGGACCAGAGCGCTAACATTACCACCTCTCACACAATAGTTTGGGGAACTTTGATCTTGTAGCAGCCTCACTGATACGAGAAAGATTTTCCTCTCATTCCCACTAGGCAGTAGTCTCTAATTCAAAATCTTCAGTGAGTGTATTTGATGGATGAAGTCAGAGCACAAACTCGTGCTCCAGCTGCAAAGGAGGGTGGAAAATAAAAACGTCGTATTGTCAGCTTTGCCTTCCACCAGAACTAGGAGAACAGATATTTCCATCATAGGAGAGGAATTCGGATACTAGATTTCTATAAAAGATGATAAATGTCCACCATAATTTTATTATTTACTGCTATGTTTTTACTTTTTGGTGGGGGGGGGGATGTTACTAAAGCTTTCAAGTTCTAAAAACAGACATTAAAATTTTAGTATAAATCTAGTTTACAAAATTATATACCTCTTGCATTACTGTTTTTTTCTTCATATAGATCTATAATCCCTTATCTGAGGCCAGATACAATTTGAAATTAAGAAACTTTTGGTTTTCAAAATTGAGAATAAGAGATAAGATCTATAATATGGTAGTAAAGTTTCACAATTCTTGTCTGAAACTCTTTGGCTTTTGTGGTTTTTTGTTGTTGTTGCTGCTGTTGTTGTTTTTTGTTTGTTTGTTTGTTTTTTCTCTGTTGCCCAGGCTGGAGTGTCACTGCAACCTCCACTTCCTGGGTTCAAGCTATTCTCCTGCCTTGGGCCCTCGAGTAGCTGGGATTACAGGTGTGTGCTACCACACCCGGCTAATTTTTGTGTTTTCACTAGAGACGGGGTTTCAACATGTTGGCCAGGCTGGTCTTGAACTCCTGACCCCAGGTGATCCACCCACCTCAGCCTCCCAAAGTACTGGGATTATAGGTGTGAGCCACCACACCCAGCTGGCTTTTCATTTTAAAGTGTTTCAAATTTTGGAATTGCTGGTAAAGGGGTCAAACACTTGCACATTTAGTTGTTAGTTGCATATAGCTTTCTGTTTTTATATTTTTTTATCATTAAATATTCCTTCTTTGATGTATTTAATGGTTTAAAACTCCAATTCCATTTTACCTGATATTGATATTGCTACTTTTGGCTTTTTTAAAAAGCATAGACTCACAGGAAGTTGCAAAAGTAACACATCGAATCTTATGAACGCTTCATTCACCTTCCGTCCCCCAAAGATGAAATCTTATGTAACTGTAGTACAATATCAAAACCAGGAAAGTGACATTGGTACCACTTTACTGCTAACTTAACTACAGATGTTATTCAGATTTTGCCAGTATTTACTTGCATTTGTGTGCATGGGTAGTACTATGCAATGTAACCCACATGCAAATTCATTTAATCACCACCACAATCAAGATGCAGAACTGTTCCATCACTACAAAGGAACTCTCTTCTGCTATACTTTGTGTTTTCTTTTTTGACTTTCATTTTAGAATAGGGGGTACATATGCAGGTTTGTTACAAAGGTATATTGTATGATGGTGAGGTTTGGGGTATGACTGACCCATCACCCAGATAGTGAACATAGTAGCTGATAGTTTTCCAGTCTTCCCTCTCTTTCATCCCTACCCCATTTTGGAGTCCAGTGTGTATTGTTCCCATCTTTATGCCTATATGTACCCCATGTTAGTGCCCACATTTTTTTGTTTTTTTTGAGACAAGGTCTCGTTCTGTCGCCCAGGCTGGAGTGCAGTGTTGTGATCCTGGCTCACTACAACCTCGACCTCCCAGGCTCAAGCGATCTTCCCACCTTAGCCTCCCAAGTAGCTAGAACTACATGTGTAGGCCACCATGCCTGGCTTATTTTTTGTATTTTTCGTAGAGACGGGGGTCCCCCCATGTTGCCCAGGCTAGTCTTGAACTACTGGACTTAAATGATCTGCCCACCTCGGCCTCCCAAAATGCTGGGATTACAGGCATGAGCCACCGCATCCTGCCCCTTCCACTTATAAGTGAGAACATGCAGTATTTGGTTTTCTGCTTCTGTTACCCCAGTTTACTTAGGCTAATGGCCTCCAGCTGCATCCATGTTGCTGCAAAGGACATGATTTTGTTCTTTTTTATGACTGCATAATATTCAACGGTGTATATGTCACATTTTCTTTATCTAATCCACCATTGATGGGCACCTGGGTTGATTCTATGTTTTTACTACTATGAATTTCTGCTATCCTTTCACAATCTCACCCATATCTCTGTCCCTGGCAGCCACTAATTTGTTCTCATCTTTATACTTTTGCCATTTTGAGAATGTAAACTGAAGTCACACAGCATGTAACCTTTAGAGACTGACTTTCTTTAGTAAGTGTAATGCTCTTGTGGTTTATCTAAGTTGTTGCAGGTAGCAGCAACTTTTTGTTGATGGGTAGGTATTGCATTGTATAGCTGTATCAGAGTTTCCTTAGCCATTCATTCATTGAAGGACATTTGTGTTGTTTCTAGCTTTTCGCTATTATGAAAAAAGCTGTAATAAACACTCCGGTACAGGTTTTTGTGTGAGCATATGATGCCATTATTTTCTGGGATAATTGCCCAAGAATGCAGTTGGTGAGCCATGTGGTAATTATATATTTAATTTTATAAGAAATTTCCGAACTATCTTCCAGAGTGCCTGTACAATTTTACATCCCCACCAGCAATATATGAAAGATCCAGTTTTTCTGTATCCTTGCTAGCTATTTTAATAAGTGTGTAGTTAGTCATGTCTCATTGTGGTTTTGCATTTTCCTTATGGCTGATGCTAAAAAACGTATTTTTTTCTTTCTGTTCTTTTTTTTTTTTTTTTTTCTAGACAGAGTCTTGCTCTGACACCCAGGCTAGAGAGCAGTGGCGCAATCTCGGCTCACTGCCGCCTCTGCCTCCCAGGTTCAAATGATTCTTGTGCCTCAGCCTTGCAAGTAGCTAGGGACTACGGGCATGCTCCACCATGCCCAGCTAATTTTTGTATTTTTAGTAGAGATGGGGCTTCACCATATTGGCCAGGCTGATCTCGAAGTCCTGGCTTCAAGTGATCTGGCCCCCTAGACTTACCAAAGTGCTAGGGCTGCAGGTGTGAGCCACCGCGCCGGCCCCTAAAAATATATTTTCATTTGCTTTTGCCATGCATATCTCCTTTTTGGTGAAATGTCTGTTTATGGTTTTGCCTACTACTGGTTTTCTAATTGGATTTTTAAGAAAACTGTCAAGTTTCGTGAGTTCTTTACATATTCTAGATTCAAGTCTTCTATTGCATACGTGGTTTACAAATATTTTCTCCCATGTGACATGTCTTTTCATCCTCTTTAAAATATGTGTATGTACACACACAAACACACACACACACACACACACACACACAGAGATAGAGTTTGGCTCTTTGTCTCCACCTAAATCTCATCTCTAATTGTAATCCCCACGTGTTGAGTGAGAGAGGTGATTGGATCATGGGGCTCGTTCCCCCTACACTGTTCTCATGATAGTGAGTGAGTTCTCACGAGATCTGGTGGTTTTATAAGGCAGTTTGCCCTGCCCTTGCTTCCTCTCTCTTGCCTGCTGATGTGTAAGGCATACCTGCTTCCCTTCCACCCTGATTGTAAGTTTCCTGAGGCCTCCCATCCATGCAGAACTGTGAGTCAATTAAACCTCTTTTCTTTATAAATTACCCAGTCTCAGGTATGTCTTTACAGCAGAGTGAAAACGGACTAATACAATATATATATATTTTTAATGGAATATATTTTATTTTTTAAAGAAATATATTTTTTCTTTTAAAATAAATATATATTTATTTTTCTTTCAGAAAATAGCTCTGTTACCCAGGCTGGAGTGTAATGGCATGATCATGGCTCACCATAGCCTCTAACTCCTGGGATAATGGGTTCCTCTCGCCTCAGCCTCCTGAGTAGCTAAGACCACAGGCATGTACCACCATGCCTAACTAATTTATTTTTTTTAAAATTAGTTAACTATTTAACTTTTTGTTTTCTAGAGACGAGGTCTCACTATATTGCCCAGGCTGGTCTCAAACTCCTGAGCTCAAGCCATCCTCCCACCTTGGCTTCTCAAAGTGCTGGGATTATAATTAATTATTTTAGACATGAAGTCTCACTATGTGGCCCAGGCTGATCTTGAACCCCTGAGCTCAAACAATCCTCCCACTTCAGCCTCCTGAGTAACTGAGATTACAGGCACAAGCCACTGTGCCCAGCTCTTTTCATCTTTTTAATAGGATCTTTCACAGAGCAAAAGTTTTACACTCTGATTAGGTTGAATTTATCAGGTTTTTTTCTATTGTGGATCATGGCTTTTGGTATGAAGTCTGAGAACTCTTTGTCAAGCCCTTAGTTCCAACGATTTTCTCTAACATTTTGTTTTAAAAATTTTGTAGTTTTACATTTAAATCTACAATGCATTTTGAGTTGTTTCTGTATAAGGTGTGAGATTTTGGTAAAGTTTCATTTTTTTCCTTATGGATGTCTAATTGCTTCAGTGCCATTTGTTGAAAGACTGTCCTTTTTCCATTTAATTATTTTTGCACCTTTGCAAAAAAAAATCATTGGGGCATCTTTGTGTGGACCTATTTCTGGGTTCTTTATCCTATCCCATTGATCTTTGTGTCTTTTTCTACCAATAACACACACTCTTGGTTCATGCAGCAATAGAGTAGGTCTTAAAAATCAAGTAGAGTGATTCCTCTCCCTTAATTCTTTATTTTCAAAATTGTTTTAGCTATTTTAGTTCTTTTTCATTTCCATATAAATTTTAGAATAAGCTTGTCCATTCCTACAAAAATATGTAATGGCATATTGATAATAAATGTGTTAAATCTATAGACTGATACGGGGAGAACTGACATCTTTGTTATGTTGAGTCTTCTAATCCATGGACACAATGTGTCTCTGTCTCTATTTACGTAGGCCTTCTTTGATTTCTTTCATCGGCATTTTTTACTCCTTTGCCTTTTAAAAAGTTTACCTTTGTCTATGTTTTTGTTCATCCTTCAATTTTCAGCCATCCTTCCAACTTCGTATAAAGTATATTTCTTATAAATAAGATGTAACTGAGTCTTTCTTTTCTTCTTTCTCAACTGACCCTCCTTGTCTTTCACTCCCTACCTTCTACTTTACTTTTTCACTTTCTTATTTTACTTTTTGTTTTTTTAATTTTTGCTGATTGATCCAGTTATTATTATTATTGTTATTAAATAGAGACAGGGTCTTGCTCTGTCATCCAGGCTAGACTGCAGTGGTGTGATCGTAGCTCACTGCAGCTCCAAACTCCTGGGCTCAAACAATCCTCTCGCCTCAGCCTCCCAAGTAGCTGGGACTATAGGCATATGCCACCATGCCCAGCTATTTTTTTAATTTTAATTTTTGTGGAGGTAGGGTCTTGTTATGTAGCCCTGGCTGGTCTTGAACACCTGGGTTCAAGGGATCCTCCTGCCTTGGCCTCCAAAAATACTGGGATTACAGACATGAGCTACCATGCCCAGCCCATGACCCAGTTATTTTCTATTCTCTTCTCTCTCTCATGTTCATTTGGAAATTTGGCTATACTTTTCCATTGCACGTTCCTATTGCTAATCATCATTCTTGAATACACGCTGCTATGCTCATATCCAAGATGATGTGCCAGCCACTATTATTTCTTCAAATGCTCTGTTTCCCCAGTGTTCTCATCTTCCACAAGAAGGACATTTAATGTCCTTGCTCCTTTATATTATGCCCATCCAATTTCCAATGCCTAGATTTGCTAAGATGAATAGTACTTCTAGTTCCAGACTATTATTAGATTCTCTCTGGCAGTATTTCTCATACTTAAAGGATCCTTAGTGTTCATAGTATGTATTCCCAGCCAGTCTATCATCATTGATTTAGATTACCCATACATATTGCAAAGTTCTTCACCTACCACTGACTTCTTTTCTGTTTCCTTCCTTTACAAAATTTCTTTTCCTTCTCCTTGCCCCAACTCCTCTCCTTCTTTTTAAGAGTACTTTCTGGAAACTTTTCCTTAGGTGGGTTATGTGGATGATGATCACTGAATCCTTGCGTCCTAGAAAATATCTTTCTTTTACCTGAAGAAGTGGATATTATCTTGACATGTTGTAGATCCTTGAGCCCTTTTCTCTTAGTAATTTGTAACCATTATTCCATCAGTCCATTGATTTCTGGTGCTGCATATGAGAAGTCCAGTGATTTTTTTTTCTGGATCTTGGGTTTTTGGTCTAGAAGCATGCAAAATCTATTTTTAACCTTAGAATTTTTAGATTTTACCATGATATGCCTAGGTATGTGTCTTTTTATTACCTCTCCTATACTGCATAACTAAAGGCCACAAACAAGCAAACATTTCCTTGATCATCTTGTTATTACTCCTTCTTCTATCAGTTACTTTTTTCCCTTCTAGCATTCATATTACTTGCTTATTGGGTCTCCAGGATCTGTCTTTATGTATCTTTTTTCATTTACATATTTCTTCTCTTTGTATTTTTGTTCTAGGTTTTGAAATTATTTCTTCTGCTTGGTTTTCAATACCGCAATTTAAAAAATCTCTATAGTGGCAAATCTGTCATTTAACGTGTCCATATAATTTTTATATTTGCAAATAATTTTTGAAAAATTTCTAGAGAGTAGGTTTTATGATGTAACTAAATGTCTTTAAGTGTTCATTAAGATAACATTAGTTACTGTAGTAGATAACTCTTAATTCTCATTGCCTATGGCAGAGAGAAGGGTCTGTTCCATATCGTCATTTAGGGACCCAGGCTGACAGAAACTCTGGCATCTTTAATATTTAGTTTAAAAGATAGCTGGAGACATTATGAAAAAAAAAAAACACCTGAAGCCAGGTGAGTAAATTTTAGGAATAATTGTTATTGGAAGAGAAGTAGAAGTGAAGATGTGTACCACAAAACATGGAGATAATGTCAAATAAATCCTTGCCTGGCTCTTCTACCTTCAAATGGTGTCTATGAATCCAGGTTCCCATCTGACTCAGAGGTAGACAAAGTCTTGCTTCCACTAGATGTTTCCCAAAACTCCCTATCTGTCCTTTTTCTTTTCCTACATTCTTCTACTGTGGACTACAGTATAGCATGGTGGTTAAGAGCTTGTGCTCTGGAGTGAAGACAGACCTAAGTTTAAATCCAGGCTCTGCCACTAACTAGTTTTGGGTTTTCTAACTGGTCATTTAACTTTGTAAGCCTTGTTTTCTTTAACTGCAAAATGGGGTAAAAATAATTGTGCCTACCTCATAGAATTTATTTTAGGATTAAATACAATTATGCAATTACCATACTTTAGCATAATGCTTAACTTGAATAAGCGGTCAATATATGTTAGCTACCATTAATTATTATGAGCAGCCAGTTGCCTGAAGGCTTGAATTATATTTTTTCTGCTGATAACTCCCAACCAATGTCCCCCGCTCTAACTGCTCTCCTGAGATGCCATATAACATTTTCCATATCCACCGGGACACTACTACTTGAATATTCTGTCAGAATTTAAAGTCTTCCACTGACTACCTCGAACTCGCCTTTTTAGTCTTAGCTCCCAGTCTGTTCCTGTGAACACACTCTGGCCAGCGTGGACACTGCTGACCACCTCCCCTTTGTTCCTTCCACCAGGAATCTTCTCTTGCCCGTTTCTGGTTATCCAGATTTATCTCATTCTTTTAAAACAGCTCAAATGCCACTTTTTCCTGTCTTCCTTAATAAAGGAGAACTCTCTTAACTCTTAATTCTTGTAAAAGCCTGTTTTATTCTTCTTGCTACTCACAGTGCAACTCATGACCATTAGCTCCCTCTGTCAGTCAGGACCCTCTCTGCTGCAAGAGACAGGATCTCAATGCAAATTAGCAGAGGGGAAGGTGTGGGCTCAGAGAACCTGGAACATGGAGGAAACGTCAGGTACAACTGGATCCAAAGCCTCAGACCAGGTTATCAGGGCATGCAGCCTTTACATCTAACTTTTGCTCCCTTTTGTGAGTTGGCTTAATTGCTACCTAATGCTAACTTGTTTCCTCTATGGAGGGAAAGTGGGCCTTACTTTGCCCAGTGCCATCTTTACAGCTTGTGCCTCAAGTGCAAGAGAAACATCCTGTCTACCTCTAGCAGAAAAGTCCCTGGGGAGAATGCTGATTGCCTGGCTTTGGTGGTGTACCATTCCTGTATTATTTAGGGGCCAGTGAGATGGAAGGGTCTGATTTTCCAAGTCTGTGTCCTGTGCCAATCCCCAGATGAACATGGGAAGGGCAGGCTTGCTGGAAGGATTAGAGGACCAACTAGTACAGTTCACTAGCCTCCTGCACTGTGATATTCCTGGAAGCTAGGAACTATGCTTTATCAGACAGCCCTGAGAACAATGTTTAGGAGAATGCTTAGTAAATTTTTACTGGATACATTTTACTAAATAAATAAATTATCCTATCACTGCATCTGGAGGTTCAGTTGGCTGTTTTTGGAACACAGTAGTCAAACTTTGGAAGAGAATTTAAAGTTCTTCGACATATGCATTATTCATTGGTGGATAGCGTTGATGCATAAAACCTAAAGATAATAACAAAGCCTTTAAAGGCAACCATCAAAAACTCTTTTTACTTATTTGCAAATAGAAAAATTAACTTGTTCTCACTTTTAGGTAAAATTTCCTTGTTTAGAAAAATTTGTACACTGAGAGAAACTTAGTTGTATCCAGATCAGGGATAAGAATGTAAAAAAAAGGATTCAGTTATGATGATATTTGTACTACTAATTTTACTACAACAACGTGCCCTGAAAATGTAAATATGTCCTTCCAGAGGGAGGCGTGGTATGAAATGGGGGCATCAGCTGCTTTTCTTGGAGCACACTCTTTGACGGAGAGGATTAATGATTAAGAAGTAGTAAACTTGCATGACAACTGCGGATTCGGGAAGCATGAAGGGTCGAGATGGTGAATGCAAGGGCAGGAGGTATGCCCAGGAAAAGGGTAATGTGAGGAGAAAATAGGGAAGCTGCCAAGTGTAGGTTCAGGTGGCCACAGGGAGCCAAGGGGGAGCATTTCACTTCCCAATGATCTAAAGAAATAACTTGGAACTGAGGATGGATAAGGGTGACCTAGAAAGTAGAGAACTGGAGTAGGTCATCAAGATACTGATTGTGCTAATGCCACAGTAACTTGCTCATTAGTTATTTAATTCCTTCTTTCCTTCACCCAGCAAGCACTTATTGAGTGCCTGTTATGTGCTGCGTGCTGAAGACACACATACATACACTTTTTTTTTTTTTCAGAATCATTTGAGGATAAGTTACAGGTATCATGGCCCTTTACCCTGAACTACTAACTACTAAATATAAGCTACTAAATAATAACTACTTCAGTTTGTATTTCTTAAGAATAGGAATATGCTTTTACGTAGCCACAGTGCAGTTATCAACTTAACTTTACTGATACAATATTTTAATCTACTGCTCATGTTCCAATTTGGTCAGCTGAATGAATAATGCTTTTGATAGATTTCCTCTCTCCAGTATGGGATCCAATCTAAGGTTAGGTCTCTGTCTCTTTAGCCTCCTTTAATCTGAAACATTCCCATAGCCTTTATTTGTCTTTCACTACATTGGGACTTGTAAAGAGTATGATCCTCCTCTCCCATTTTCCTAATAGAACATTCTTCATTTTGCATTTGTCTGATGTTTCCTGTGACCTTCTCAGGGTGTTACCTCTGGAGAGTCATGGTGTCCACCTATCCCTCATTAGTATTGTTCATTTCTATCCTCTGATGAAGGTGTTACCAGATTTATTCACTGCAACTAATAAGCTGTCTATGCGGAGACAAGTCAAAACTGTGCTTTCATCAAAATTTCCCTCTGGGTTTGGCATCCACTGATGATTCTTTTTTAAAAATTTTATTTTTAATTGTGGTAAAATACACATAACATAAAATTTACCATCTTAATCATTTTTAAGTGGACAGTTCAGTGATATGAACTACATTCACGTTGTTGTACAATTATTACCACCATCCATATTCAGACCTCTTCATCTTGCAAAACTGAAACTCTATACCCATTAAACAATCACTTCTCATTTCTCCTGCCTTCCCAGATATTGGTAACTGCCATTCTACTTTTCATCTCTATGAATTTGACTGCTGTAGCTACCCAATATAAGTGGAATCATAAGGATTTGTCTTTTTTTTTTTTTTTTTTGAGACAAGGTCTCGCTTTGTCACCAAGGCTAGAGTGCGGTGGTGTGATCTGGGCCCACTGCAGACCTGACCTCCCAAGTCTCAGGAGATCCTCCCACCTTAGCCTCCTGAGTAGCTGGGACCAGGCGTGTGCCACCACTCAAGCTAATTTTGTATTTTCTTCAGCTAATTTTTGTATTTTTTATTTCATCATGTTGCCCAGGCTGGTCTCGAACTTCTGAGCTCAAGCAATCCTTCTGCCTTTGCCTCCCAAGTCCTGGGATTACAGGCATGAGCCACCATGCCCAGCGGTGTTTGTCTTTTTGTGACTGACTTATTTCACTTAGCATCGTGTCCTCCATCTTCATGCATATTGTAGCACATGACCGAACTTCCTTCCTTTTTCTAAGACTGAAAACTACTGTGTTGTATTATGTACTACATTGGTTTATTTGTTTGTCCACTGATGATTCTTGGCTGATTGGATCTTTACCCTTGTGGTTGCAAAATGGTGATTTTACAACTTTGGAACACTCCAGTCTTCACATTTACCAGTTGGCCCTCAACATTCCCCTGTAATCAAGAGCCTTCCTTCCTTCCATTTATTAATCGATGGCTCATGAAATCATGTTATGGCTGATGAATTTCCATTTTTGATGTTCACATTTGTGTAAGAAATTGCTAATTTTGGTGATCAAAATTGTGCCAAATTTGGCCGGTAGGAGTCCCTTAAATCTTGCTTACATGGCATGCAACCATTGTTTTAAAAAAGTACTTCTTTACTTTCTGGAATAACACGATATTCTAGACTCATCTTACATCTATCTTGTCAAGCCCTGGAATTAGCCATTTTTCCAAGATGTCCTAGTTCGTTTTAGTGTAAAATGGTAAAGAAACCAAGTTATGGGTGCTAGGGTGCTATTACTACTGGGGTGTCTTTGCTTCTTAGCACTTTCAGCAGACAGACCTGGGAGATATAGACAGGTAGTTACATATGTACATACACATACGTATAAATACATGCACCCACGTGCACATGCATACATAAACACGTGCACATAATCATGCATACACGTATTTTAGAGAAAGTGAGTTCACATAATATCATTAATTCACACAGGATTATTTCTAGGCTTCTCATATTCCAGAGTGTATGTCCCCTCTTCTACTGTGAGAACTGGCTCCAACAACAGTAATACTTTTACTTATTTGCTTGATCCTATAATCTATCTAAAATACTTTCACAGTTGTTTTGCCCATACTATTGTCAGACATAAACTTGCTAAAAAGAGTTCAGGATTTGTTTGAATAGGATTTGTTTGTTTTTCATCCTCCCCTGCACCCCATACACTTACTCTGTTACAAATCAAGGGTAGATGGTCAAATACTATGTTTATAGATTACTTGCATTAACTCCTCCCTCCCCCCTTTAGTGTTGCTATGGTATTCCTTTGACTAATTATTAGGTTCATTTGTTTGTTGGCTTTCAGCTTTAACTTTTTATTTCCTGTAAAGAGGCATTCCTATAGATTTACTTTTACTTTTGAATAATAATAAATTCTCATTGATTTAATTTTGCTTTTGAATGCGTAGAAAATTAACATGCTTTCAAAGCCAAAACTATACAAATAATTATATTTAGAGAATTATCATTCTCTCTTGCATCCTTTCCACCCCTTTGGGTAATTGACTTCACTGTTTTTTTATCCTGTGTTTCTTTTTGTAATGATAAGCAGATACATGTATATTTTCTAATTTTTCCTTCTTTCTTACAGAAAAAGTAGCATACTATATATGCTTTTTTCTACTTTATTTTATTTTTTTTTTGCTTAATAACATTTTCTGGAAGTCACTCCATGTGAGTTCATAGAGATATTCCTCATTCTTTTAAAACTTCGAGCTTACAGATTCTTTCCTTGGCATGTCCAGTCTATTAATGAGCCCATCCAAGGCGTTCTTCATTTCTGTTTATGTATTTGATTTCTAGCGTTTCCTTTTGATTCTTACATAAGATTTCCAACTCTTTACTTACATTACCCAACTGTTCTTGCATGTTGCTTATTTTTTCCATTAGAGTCTTAAGCATATTAATCATAATTATCTTAAATTACTGGTCTAATAATTTCAAAAATCTCTGCTATATCTGAATCTGATTCTGATGCTTGCTTTGTCTTTTCAGACTGTAATTTTTGCCTTTTAGCATGCCTTGTAATTTTTTGCTGCAAGTTGGTCACGATGTATTGAGTAAAAGCAGCTGAGGTAAATGAATATTTTATTTTATTTTATTTTATTTTATTATTTATTTTTTTTGAGACAGAGTCTCACTCTTGTTGCCCAGGCCAGAGAGCAATGGCGCAATCTTGGCTCACTGCAACCTCCGCCTCCTGGGTTCAAGTGATTCTCCTGCTCCAGCCTCCTGAGTAGCTGGGATTACAGGCACCCACCACCATGCCCAGCTAATATTTTGTATTTTTAGTAGAGACGGGGTTTCGCTATGTTGGCCAGGCTGGTCTCGAACTCCTGACCTCAGGTGATCCACCTGCCTCAGCCTCCCAAAGTGCTGGGATTACAGGCGGGAGCCACCACACCTGGCAAATGAACCTTTTAGAGTGAGGTTTTATGTTGATCTGTGCTTACTCCTTGCTGTGATTGTGGTGTCCAAGGCTAAAATTTCCTCTAATGTCTTTGTTTTTGTCTTCTCTGTTGTCTTTGGGTTTCCCTAGAGAGTTCTTCTTAAATAGGTTCTGAAGTTTGCAGTTCTTTCAGCTGTAATCTCCTGCTATTACACAGAAGTCCTACTGATGTAGTTGTAAGGTGTTGGGAGAGTAAAGCCATTATATACAGTCCTGTGATCAGGTCTTGGTCTCTTAGCGGCCTGTGTTCCTGTGCTGTGACCTTCACAAGGGCTTCTCAGTGCCCCTGCTTAGGCAAGACAAGAAAGCTACAGGGGGCTGGAGCTTGGCATTTCTCTTTCTCCAGGTGTGTTAGGCTCTGATAAAACCCAAGTAGGTTAGACTCTGGTAAAACATTTTCTCTTGAGGCAGACCATTGTTAAGGAGAACAGAGTGCTCTAGGCTTATTTCAAAATGGTTCTTTTCCCCTTTCCCGCTGAAAACCTTGTGGGACCCCTGAAGGCACAACACAGGACAGTATGGGGGCACCCCTGAACCTGGGCTTTCAGGAGTTTTATCTCTCAAGCTAGTTCTTGCTCAGTCTCCAGCAATTAGTCCTTTACCCCGTAAGTGTTGCTACCAGCTCCAGCTGCAGCTTCTGCTCCCTGTAAGGTATGGTTTTCTGTGTCTTCCTGTCTGCCTCTCTAGTTTTCAGGGTAGCAGTTTGTCCTGGGACCTCAACTGTCTGAAGAATTTAAGAAGAGTTGTTGGTTTTCCGTTTACTCAGCAACTTTCTTTTCTTTTCTTTTCTTTTTCTTGTTTTGAGATTGGGAGTGATGAGTTCTAAGCTCTTTACATGTCAGACTGGAAGCTGGGTGTCAGTGCCATTGATTTTTGCATGTTAATTTTATATCCTGCTATCTTATGAAATTCTTTTAATGTTTGGATTGTTTTATTATTGATTTTCTAGGGTTTTCCAGGTTTGCTATTATGTCATCAGCAAATAGAGAGAGTTTTAATTTTATTTTTTTCCCTTTTATGTTTAATTGTTTTCTCTACTCTAATTGTATTGAGTAGTACCTACAGAACAATGTTAAACCGTTGTGGAGACAGTGAACATTTTGCTTTGCTTCTGACATTAATAGGAATAGCTCTTGGGTTTCCCTATTAAATAAGATGTTGACTTTAGGATTGAATTTTGTGTATTTTGACACGCGTTTTCAAATGTGGTTTTAATTGTTTTTTACTATGGCAAGGTCAATAGATCAGGAGAAGACTGCCATTAAAAAGACAGTGTGGACCAGACACAGTGGCTCACACCTGTAATCCCAGAGATTTGGGAGGCAGAGGTGGGAGGATTACTTGAGGTGAGGAAGTCAAGACCAGTTTGGGCAAAATAGTTAGACTATGGTGCTTTAAAAAAAAAAAAATTAGCTAGGTGTGCCTGTGGTCCTAGCTACTCAGGAAGCTGAGGGGGGAGGATCGATTGAGTTCACCACTCCATTCCAGCCTGGGAGACCCTGTCTTTTAAAATAAATAAATAAATAATAAGAAAAGAAAAGAAAAAAATTATATCCATAGATTGCAAAAGGATGGGGTACACTATACCACACGGGAAAACACCAAGCCCAGACAGGAGGCAGCAGGGGAGGAGGAACTGTGGGCTGGAACCTTTATTGTGGTTTCTATGAGAAGGAATGGACAAGGCAGGGCAAACAGGCTGAGGCTCAGGATTGGCTGGTTTGAATAATTGTACCCTGAGGCATAAGGGCTGCCCCTAATTGTCTGGTACTTGGCCCTGGGGTGATTAGGGCAGGTGGATGGTGGCCCAGAATGTGAAAGCCTGATAAAGGAGGAGGTCTTGCAGGTGAATTGTTAGCTATGTCTAAGAATTAGCTCACCGTGGAATGGGTAGTGCCTCCAGGGTCAGCAAAGCTCCAGATGTCAAAGCATGAAAATAAAGCAAATAAAAATGATGAGTTCATGTCCTTTGTAGGGACATGGATGAAGCTGGAAACCATCATTCTCAGCAAACTATCGCAAGGACAAAAAACCAAACACCGCATGTTCTCACTCATAGGTGGGAATTGAACAATGAGAACACATGGACACAGGAAGGGGAACATCACACACTGGGGACTGTTGTGGGGTGTGGGGAGCGGGGAGGGATAGCATTAGGAGATATACCTAATGCTAAATGACGAGTTAATGGGTGCATTATGTATACATGGCACATGTATACATATGTAACAAACCTGCACGTTGTGCACATGTACCCTAAAACTTAAAGTATAATAATAATAAAATAAAAAAGAAAATAAAAATAAAAAAAAGAAAAGAAAGCAAATAGAAAGGAATGGTTAATGTAGCAGGTTAAGGAAACATTATTCCTTTTCTGTTTTCTCAAGAAGTTTTATGAATGGGTGTTGAATTGTATCAAAGTTTTTTCAGCATTTATTGAGATAATCAAATGCTCTATCTTCCTAGATCTATTAGTAAATATTATGAATTAGATTAAAATATTTTCTTTCTTTCTTTTTTTTTTTTAAAATTTGAGATAGAGTCTTGCTCTG
Source organism: Homo sapiens (assembly GCF_000001405.40). Taxonomy (NCBI): domain Eukaryota; kingdom Metazoa; phylum Chordata; class Mammalia; order Primates; family Hominidae; genus Homo; species Homo sapiens. Next base: position 27,874,334 of record NC_000013.11, on the reverse strand, counting down.
TCACCCAGGCTGGAGTGCAGTGGCATGATCTTGGCTCACTGCAACCTCCACCTCCCGGGTTCAAGCAATTCTCCTGTCTCAGCCTCCCGAGTAGCTGGGACTACAGGTGCACGCCACCACACCCACCTAATTTTTGTATTTTTAGTAGAGACGGGGTTTCACCATATTGGTCAGGCTGGTCTCGAACTCCTGACCTCAAGAAATCCACCCGCCTCAGCCTCCCAAAGTGCTGGGATTACAGGCATGAGCCACCACACCCAGCTGATTAAAATATTTTCTAATATTGACCCATTTTCTGTTTCATGGAATAAATTTGGTCATACGGTATTAATTATTTTAATATGTCCAGACCCACTTTTTATATCAATGTTTTGCAAGGCCCGCTTTACTATTGTGAAATTATATTTACAGACAATATTATCTACCTGTATCTCAATAATAATACCATCAAAATATATTGCACTAAATTTAAGAGGGAGGATAAAGAGAAACTAATTTGTTATGAACTGACATGTAATTTTATAAATGTTTTTATAAACATTCTGTAAATGCTTGAGCATGCCTACACTAGAAGATTCCATTTTTTAAGCCAGATTCTTGCACTTGTTCTTAGAATTATTATGAATGGGACAGCTACAAAAACAGATGGGTAATGATGTGTTGTATTGGCAATGTCAATGGCGTAAATATGTCACCATCGGTGACATTGTTTTCCAAACTGTTGAACAATTCTTGTTAATATCCAAACAAATCAAAGTGCAATTTTTGCCTTAATTTACACTATAGTTGCATGCCTAGAAATCTCAGTGTATATCAAATTGATGCAAAAATGTGTACATGTCTGGAGGAAAGAATTAGGTTCTAAACAGAGAAAACTGTGAATATTTTCCACTCACATAAATGTTCAGTATGACATTCATCATAATGCAAGACTGTCTTATGATTTATAAGACATCTGGCATCCCTGGCACTCCCCCACCAAATGCCAGTAGTAGCCCCCTCACCAATTACTTCAATCACCAAACATGCCTTCACCTTGCAGACAATCACTCAACTAGATCACCTCTGTTGGCTCAGTCAGTGGTATTTCAGTTCTGCAAATACAGTTTGTGTCAGGGACATGTCTTTTATGCAGATGACTGAAAAATAGCTGAAACTTATGGACAAATGTTCATCTTCACAGGTAGTAAAAAAAGTAAATAAAAACAAAAACATACTATTTCCCTCAAACCAATTAATTATTGATCTACAAAAGTAACACTGGATAGTGCAAGGTATGAAATGGGCACTCTCACTTATTTTAATTGTGATTTAAATTTTAAAACAACTTGGCAAAAGTTATTCAATGCATCCATAGTCTTAAACTAAGTTATTCCATTTCTTGGGGTCTTTCCTAAAAAGACAATTTAACAAATACAGAAACTTATGCCCAAAATACCATTACCAACAATAAATGGTTAGGAATATAATTTTAAAAATTATCCCACATACGACTATTTAAAAAATCTAGGGGCCGGGCGCAGTGGCTCACGCCTGTAATCCCAGCACTTTGGGAGGCCAAGGCGGGCGGATCACGAGGTCAGGAGATCGAGACCATCCTGGCTAACACGGTGAAACCCCGTCTCTACTAAAAATACAAAAAATTAGCCTGGCGTGGTGGCGGGCGCCTGTAGTCCCAGCTACTCGGGAGGCTGAGGCAGGAGAATGGCGTGAACCTGGGAGGCGGAGCTTGCAGTGAGCCGAGATCGCGCCACTGCACTCCAGCCTGGGCGACAGAGCGAGACTCCGTCTCAAAAAAAAAAAAAAAAAAAAAAAAAAAAAATCTAGGGATAATTTTTACAAGAAGTATGCAGGACCTGTAGGAAAAAAAACTAAAAAACTCTTGAAGAACTTTAAAAAAGATTTGAGGCCAGGCATAGTGTCTCCTGCCTGTGATCCCAGCACTTTGGAAGGCTGAGGTGAATGGATCGCTTGAGCTTAGGAGTTTGAGACCAGCCTGGGCAACATGGAGAAACCCTGTCTCTACAAAAAAATACAAAAATTAACCAGGCATGGTGCCTGTAGTCCCAACTACTCGAGAGGCTGAGGTGGGAGGATTGCTTGAGCCCAGGAGGTCGAGGCTGCAGTGAGCCATGATCGTGCCACTGTACTCCAGCCTGGGCGACAGAGTGAGACCTTGTATCAAAAAAAAAAAAAAAAAAAAAATTTGAATAAAAGTTTCTGGCTATGGGGAAACTCAATATTGTAAAGCTGTCAAATTTTCCCAAGTTAATATGCATATATAATGACACTTCATTTAAAATTCCAACAGAATACTTTTTTTTAGAGAACATTATTGTATGTTTCTAAAATTTATCTAGATAAATACATGGATTAGAATATTTTTAAAGTTTTTGAAAAAAATTTAACCAGGGGAAATTTGCCCTAATAGATGGTAAAACTTGTCATATATTTACAATCAAACAGTATGATTCCAGGGCCAGAATAGACAAACAAATAAGTGGAATAAAATAGATATCCATATACAAATCTAAGTATGTTGTATTTACTATATGATGAAGATGACACTTTAATTGGGTTGAGCGACTAATAAATGGTGTTAAGTGGGTAAGCATTTGGTAAGAAAATAAAAATGTAGATTACTGCCTCATTCCTTGTACCAAATAAACTCCAGGTGTATTAAATATTTTAAAAGAAGTAATTTTAAACTAGAAACAAATATAGATAAACATAGTATTGAGGTAGAGAATTCCTTCCTAAGCATGATATCACAAGTAGAAATCATAAAAAAACAACTATCTAAAAACTGAAAACTTCCAATACATTGAAAACCTCAAAAATCTCGACACATAAGACAAAGAATTAATGCCTTTAAAATACAAAGAGTTCTTACAAATAAAGAAAAAGACAAAAATGCTAGTAGAAAAAAGTTTAAAAATTGAATAGAAAATTTATAAAAGGAGTAATATAAACTATCATCAAGCATATGAAAGATGATAACTCTAACTCATAAGGTAGACAATAGGGAAGGCCGAGCATGGTGGCTCACACCTGTGATCCCAGGACTTTGGGAAGCTGAGGCAGGAGGATCACTTGAGGGCAGGAGTTTGAGACCAGCCTGGAGCCTGCTGCCTAGACTGGTCTCAACCCTCTCTTTACAAAAAAATTTTTTAATTAACCAGGTGCATGTGTCTGTAAGTCCTAGCTACTTAGGAGGCTGAGGCAGGAGGATTGATTAAGCCCAGGATTTCAAGACTGTAGTAAGCTATGATCATGCCACTGCACTGCAGCCTGGACAACAGTGACACCTTGTCTGTTAAAAAAGAAAGAAAGAAAGAAAGAAAATAGAGAAAAACTCCAGATAATAAGCTTTGTGTATCATTTTGGCAAATATTTAAATGATTCTTTTTTTTTTTGAGACGGAGTTTCGCTCTTGTTGCCTAGGCTGGAGTGCAGTGGCGCGATCTCAGCTCACGGCAACCTCCACCTCCTGGGATCAAGCGATTCTCCTGCCTCAGCCTCCCGAGTAGCTGGGATTAGAGTCATGTGCCACCACGCCCAGCTAATTTTGTATGTTTAGTAGAGACAGAGTTTCTCCATGTTATGCTGGTCTTGAACTCCCAACCTCAGGTGATCCGCCCGCCTTGGCCTCCCAAAGTGCTGGGATTACAGGCGTGAGCCACCACTCCCGGCCTAAATGATTCTTAATATCTAGTTTGTTGGAGATGTGTAGAAGTGGAAATTTTTATATTTTATTGGTGGGTTTGTAAACTGATTGAACCTTCCTGTAGGTTAATTTGACAACTGATGGCAAAGCCTTAAAAGTCTGTATATTCATACTCAAAATTAAAAATTTGGTTTAGAAAGATTTTTTTGTAATATGAGAAATAATTTTGTTAAAATGTCAGGTGAAAAAAATTATATATTATGAAGGGCTTGGTACGGTGGTTCATGCCTGTAATTCCAGCTCTTTGGGAGGCCAAGAGGAGAGGATTGGTTGAGGTCAGGAGTTTGAGACCAGCCTGGGCAACAAAGCAAGACCCCATCTCTTTAAAAAAAAGAGTTATATATAAAGAGGTTTAAAATTCAGGTTTAAAAAAATGTAGGGAAAAATTTTAGATTGAAGTATAGCACAATGTTAATAGCAATTATCCTTGGATGGTTGCATTATGGCTTTCTCATTCTCCTTTCTAAATTTTATAGTGCTGTACAAGTATCTTTATAACTAAAAAATAAAACTCATTATGTTTTAATAGATGCTGCTTAATGTAAGGGGGCAATTAATAAATGTTTGTTAAATCAAATTGTTCCCTGACTACCAAGCCTACCCACTTTTTAAAAAACATTTAGAATTCTCTCCTTCCGGAAGGGATTTAAAAACTGGTTCACTTAACACTTAATCCCTGGGTACATAGGAGTTGAGTAATTCATTAATTACCTAGGCTTTGGACTTCCCAGGAACAGAGAGAGAATTTAGACATCCAGGCAGCCTCCATGTTCTCTTGGCACCAAAGTCAAGTTTAAAAACTTCGTATATCTGCAGATATTTCTAAACCACCTGTACTTAGGTTCCATAGTTTAGAAGATATGTAGGTATTTTTCTTACATTAAAGTATAAGGAATTTTTATACTTAGATTATTTTAAGTCTGTGCACGGTTTTATTGTAATTTCACAAGATGCCAATTTACACAAAGCTTTTTCTAATGAACACGTTAACGTCTAAAATTAACTATGGAAAGGGTTACTGACCCCACACAACGGTATAAATTAAACTCTGGTCCCTAAAACTTTCAGAAAAGTACTTGTCAAAAAGGAACTTCTCATGAGCAGCTAGATTTTCTCACAGGGGCTCCTTGGGCAGTACATCTTTTTCCAGGTACCTAGGTAAGTATTTCATTTAGTAAGGTTGGTTTTGTGATCTAAATACCCCTGTGTCTTGAGTTTCTTTTCTCAACTATCTGGAGATTTTTCTTTCTTCAGCTCATAAACAAAACATGGCGCCACCTACTAGCGTTCTCTAGTATTACATTTCACCCAATTTTTTGAGTTTTTTTAATTTACCAAACACACACTTTTTGAACTCCAATTGAATCTAGCATTAACGTTAGAACTCTGAAGATAAGGCAATAGTCCCTGCCATGAGCAAATTTTTAGTCTAGCTAAGAAGACAGACGTTACCAAAGCGTATTTGTGGCGTGTGGTGCTGGAGGAACGTGTAGTGAGAATATCTTAGCCCTGGTATTCCCCGTGGACATTAGGGAGACCAGACTCCAGACCAGAGGACTAATTAGGAGGCTGCTGATAAAATAGCCTCAACAATCCAAACACAAAATTTCCTTTTTAAATTCAAAAGTAGTATTAATTGTTTAGTCATTAAATAGTTGGAGAAAAACTACCATATTTGACATTTGTTACCTGTCTTCAGCTCAACTGGAGATATCATATCAAACTATTCATTTGAACAAATATTCACAGTTGAGAGTCCAAAGATTGTCGCACATTATGAGGTCATCTTATTGGTGGCTGCTGCCAAAGGTTTTTAGCTTCCTAATATAACCCCTTATGAGTAAACTTAAATTCACTCTTGATTTCTACTTTTTTCTTGTTTCTGACAACTATAAGAGGATCTTGTTGCACTTTTTTCACAGGTCAGCAGAAGACTCAAGGGGGATGGATCACAAATTAAGTACCAGTGATTACAGTCGAAAGGCTGAGCGGTCAGTTATAAATGGGATCATCTGGATTTTGCATTAAGTGTCCGTTTCATTTTTTCATCTCTCCTCTACAGGTCTGACCAGATCGTTAGCCCATTCACACTTTCAGAAGCCTTAAACCTTCTCAGTCCAAAGGATAGACTCTAAGATTTCTTTCTCTCATTCAGAGTTGTTGAAAAGATGTAAATAGGTAAATTTCCCAGGAGAAACTTTTTTTAGAAGAAACCTATTTAACCATCACCTTTGATGCTTCTTATCAATCTTTTAATCATTTTTAGTTAAAGGGTCCAGGGGTGTAGGCTATGTTCCTGATTTATGCTGCATTATATTTTTGAGGTACATTCCTATTGCTATAGATACTGTTTATTCATTTTAACTGCTGTATTGTGTTCTGTTGTGTGACAGCACCATAACTTATTTTTTTGTTGTTAAATATTTACCCTAGCTGTTGTTAAGAACCACGTTGCTTGGTGGATTATTGCTTTTATAATATAAGTTATCCTTATATTCCTATTAATGCAGTATAAGTTAGTAGCTAAGAATCTTGATGGTGGAGCTAAGACTGTCTGGGTTTGCATCCCACCTGTGAATCTTCAGAGTTGGATCTTGGATCCTGGAATTTGGAGAGTTACTTAACTTACCAATATCTTAGTTTACTTACTCCTGCATAGATATTAATAGTACCTACCCAGTCATTTCTCTCAGTGCTTTGAAGGTATTACCTCATTACCTTCTGGCATTTACTGTTCTGATAAGAAGCCTATTGAAATTCCTTGGTAGATAATATATCTTTTTTCCTATCATGGTTTTGAGGATTGTACCTTTATCCTTAATGTTCTCAAGTTTCACTATAAGTCTTTGGGTGTGCAATTTATTATTATTTTTTCCTGCTTAGTACACAACATGTATGAGAATGTGTTTCTTTAATTCTGAAAAACTATCTGTGATTATTTCTTTAAATGTTTCTCCTCTGTCATGCCCTCCCTTATTTTATTTTGGAACTCCTGTTAGACAATTTTTGGAACATCTCAATCGTACTTCTAAGCCTTTTTAGTTTTCATTGATTTTTTAATTGCCTCTCTGTATTGCATTCCGAGTGAATTTCTCACTTTTATTTTCAATTCAGCAACTTTGTCTTTGACTATGTCAGGTCTAGAGCTTATTCCATTTGTTACACATTTTATTTCTATGGTATTTTTTATTTCTAAAATTTTTAATGACTTCTTTTAAAATACCATCTATTTTTGTTTTATTTCTGGTAGTTTTTCATTTTTAATTGAAGTTGTATCTTCATTTTCCTCTAAAAATCTAAACATATTTATATGTGTTTTTGTCAGGCTATTCTATAATATTAATTTTATATGGAGTAATTTTTTTTTTTGAGACAGTCTTACTCTGTCACCCAGGCTGGAGTGCAATGGTGCAATCTTGGCTCACCACAACCTCCACCTCCCAGGTTCAAGCGAGTCTCCTGCCTCAGCCTCCCGAGTAGCTGGGATTACAGGCGCACACCACCACACCCGGCTAATTTTTGTGTTTTTAGTAGAGACGGAGTTTCACCATGTTAGTCAGGCTGGTCTCGAACTCCTGACCTCGTGATCCGCCCACCTTGGCCTCCCAAAGTGCTGGAATTACAGGCAGGAGCCACAGTGCCTGGCCTGGAATAATTTTTTATTCTGATTTTGTTTGTTGCTTTTCTTTTTCTTTATTTTTAATGACAAGTTTTTCAGGGATTGATTGATCAATTATTTGTTTATTTGAACTGGTGAGAATAAACCTATTAGAAAATAAAAGTTGTGCTGGGCTCTGTGGCTCACATCTATAATCCCAGCACTTTGGTAGACTGAGGGGGGAGGATCACTTGAACCCAGAAGTTAGAAACCAGCCTGGGCAACATAGCAGACCTCATATCTGGATGTGGTGGTGCCTGTAGTCCTAGCTACTCAGGAAGCTGAGGCGGGAGGATCCCTTAAGCCCAGAAATTTGAGGCCGCCATGAACTATGATGGTGCTACTGCACTCCAGCCCGGGCAACAGAACCCCGTCTCAAAAAAAAAAAAAAAATTAATTAAATAAATAAAAGAAAGGTTGTTGGAGAATGACACTAATTTAAAAAGGATAGAATATGATTGCTTTAAGCCCACAGATTTATTTCATGTTTTGATATGAAACAGTTTAATATGAAAAAGCAAACAATGCATTGTGCCTATGAATATTCACAGGATATTTAATGGGCCAGGAATGAGAGGAGGCAGGGAGGGAGGCCTGGAGCAGTGCATTAGGTATTAGTGAGTACTGTACTATGGCAGTCTGACATTACTGTTGCATTTTCTTATTACAAATCCATTATTGTCTCTTGGATTAAGTGAAAATTAATGACTTTTTCCTTCTATAGACACCTTCTGTGTGCTGCCGGGACTCAATATTTGGATGTCTTCATTTCATTTTTAACATTTTAGAACCATTTTGACCTTCCACCATCAAATGAATATGCTTATGTTCCTCATTCATGGTTTGGCATCTTTCCTCTTTTCATCTTTCCTTGTTTTCAGTTTTTACTTTTCTCCAAGTTATAATGCACACAAGAATAAACCAACTCCACAATTTTGTTGAGAAACAACAGTCCTGTGCCCCCGCCTTTTTCCCTTTTCCTCAGTGGCAACCACTTCACCTCCTAGATAATTATTTTGGTATTTATGTCCAGGTCTGTAAATAATATAATTGAATGGTTACTTCTTGATTTTTTTTTTTCAGTTTCAGCATTCTCTGTTGGTTCTCCACCGTGATAAATAATAATAGCAATCAGTTACATAACACCCAGCATGTGCTAGGCACTCTATCGGGTACTGCCCACATATTAATTTATTTAATGGCCATAACAGCTCTGAGAGGTGGATATTATTATTATTATTATTATTATTATTATTATTATTATTTTGAGAAGAAGTCTCGCTCTGTCACCCAGGCTGGAGTGCAATGGCATGATCTCGGCTTACTGCAACCTCCAACTCCTGGGTTCAAGCAATTCTCCTGCCTCAGTCTTCCGAATAGCTGGGACTACAGGTACCTGTCATCGTGCCCAGCTAATTTTTGTATTTTTAGTAGAGATGGGGTTTCACCATATTGGTCAGGCTGGTCTCAAACTCCTGACCTCAGGTGATCCGCCTGCCTCGGCCTCCCAAAATGCTGGGATTACAGCTGTGAGCCACCGCGCCTTGCCGCTGGGAATTATTATTAACACCATTTTACAAATGAGGAAACTGAGGAGCAGAGGGATTTGGTAATGTGCTCAAGATCATGCATGTGAAGTGGCTGAGTTGGGATTGAGACCCAGGTGTTTAGCTCCACAGCTTATGTTCTCAACTACTATGCTACTCTGTCTCCGGAGTAAGGATTCAGCTTTCTTTCCTTCCCCTTCCATCCCCTCATTCTTCAAATATAGTTATAGTGCAATTTTGCTTACATCAATATTCAGCATTTACGTATGAATCAGAGCCTCACTGTGACTTGCAGACCCAGAGCCTGAAGGAGAGTCATCTCCTTGCTTATGTGTCTATAGATTAGACACATAAGAAGGATACAAATGCATAACATGTATGTCTTTGAGGGCTTGTGGTTGTTCTTTATGCAGCAAAAGCTCGCTGAGACGTGTCTGAAAAGGCTTTATTCTACCTCCACACTTTATTAATAATTTGGCTGGGTATAATAGTCTAGGTAGGGAGTAAATTTCAGAATTTAAAAAACATTGCTTCATTGTCTTCAATCAATATTTGAGAAACCTAAGGCCATTCTGATCTCTAATCCTTTAGTTTTGATATAATTTTTTTTTCTCTCTGTGGGATGTTCCTTTATCCTCATGATAATGTATCTTGGTGTGAATCTATTTTCAACTATTGTTGTCTCATGTATCCAACAAGCATTTTCAGTCGGGAAACTCATGTAGTTCTGGGAAATTCTCTTGGATTATTTTATTATTATATATTTTTCCCTCTGTCTCCTTCTCACTCACCTCATCCACCAGAAAGTACATTATTAAGGTGTGGTACCTCCTGGTCTGGTTATCTAATTAAAAAAAAAAAAACTATTTCTTTGCCTGATTTCTATATCTTTAATTTTTTGGTCTTTTTTGAGGAAAGAGTTCCTTAGCTTTGTATCCATTTCTTCTATGAATTTTTCATTTCTGTTGTCGTATTTTTTAAAAATTTTCTTTTTGTTCTCTGTTTTTTTCTTTAGAATTGGCATTCTCAAGGTCAGGTGTGGTGGCTCACACCTGTAGTCCCAGCGCTTTGGAAGGCCCAGGTGGGAGGATCACTTGAGGCCAAGAGTTTGACACCAAGTCTGGGCAACATAGCCAGACCCCATCTCTAAAAAAAATTTTTTTTTTAAGTTAACTGGGCATGGTGGTACACACCTGGTGTCCTAGTCTGAGCTACTTGGGAGTCTGAGGCAAGAGGATTGCTTGATCCTCAGAGGTGAAGGCTACAGTGAGCTGTGATTGGGCCACTGCACTCCAGCCTGGGTGACAGAGTGAAACTGTATGTCTTAAACAAGCAAAGAAACAAACCAAAAAACTAAAGAGGGAGAGAAATAGCATTATCCTCATCTCTTCTTATTTCTTGGGTGCAATATCTTTTATTTTTCCAGGAAAACTCATGGTAGAATTTTAAAACTCCTCCTGCATAAACCCTGTTTCCTCTAAGTTGATTTTTTTCTTCTTTATTTATTTTGGTCTATATACTTCAGGTTAGAAGATTTCCTCAGGTGAATGGCAATTTGACTGCCTATATTGAAGAATGAAAAGCTAATAGCTGATGGGAAGCTTCAAGCAATTAGGTAGAGTGGATTCGCCTTAAGATCATCTGGCTGGGCCACTTTTTTGTGGATTATTTGGTGTCAATATCTTTAGAGTTTTCTTCTTGAAATGGACATGGACATTTTCTCCAGGGAAAGTGTTCCAATCTCCTCCTGGCATCTCAGCATGCAGTAGGCACTTATTTATTTAATCTACCTCTTTTCAATACAATATCCGCATCCTCAATCCTGCCTAATATGTTTCAGTCCAAGATAGTCTGTTTCACTTTCTCCAGAGAACAAACCTTAAGTTTTTGACTGGGATGTTGGGAGGGCTGTTGAATAGCTTTGTAAAGTAAGGAAGAGCATTTTGGTGACAGGTTTCTTTTTTAACACACTTTCAACAGTCTACTCTATTTGAGGTATTCACCTATGTGCACCCTGCACTTCTCAGGTTATAGAAGTAGCCAATTTCTGAGCCTTTTTGCAATGTGTGATTTAAATCATGGTAGTTTCTGGATTTCCTCACTATTGGCTCAGGCCTTGGTCTTATTTTTTAAGTCTCTGAGTCCTTTCTCATTCTGCCTTAGAAATGCTGAAATTTTGTTCCTTGTCATTTCTCCCATTTTCTTCATCCTTATGGATTTACGAGTTCATAAAATATTATCTTAATGATGTTTAGAAGGAGGAGAAGCTGGGGTTAGACTCCGTCCTCTATCTTGAACCTTAAACTCTTGGCTGCTTTCTGGGCATTAGATTTCATCATGCAGTTTGATTTTTATTTTTCAGATGCACTTGGAATAAAAAGGTTTTTTGTTTCCCTTTTATTCTTTTTCTTTCTTTTTTCTCCATTTCTTTCTTTCCCCTCCCTCCCACCCTTCCTTCCTTCCTTCCTTCCTTTCTTTGAGATGGGTTTTGCCATGTTGCACAACAGGTTGGTCTCGAACTCCTGGGCTCAAGTGCTCAAGTGATCCTCTTGATTCAGCCTCCCAAAGTGCTGGAATTACAGGCATGAGCCACTGCACCTGGACTTTTATTCTTATTTCTTAGAGCAGTTGCTTTAGAACCCAGCCACCATGCTGTGAGGAAGTCACTTCACCAAAAGGCCCACATGTAAATGAGCCAACCTGAAAATGCCTCCTCTAGCCCCACTGAGTCACCTCAGCTGACACCACGAGGCATCCCCATTGAACCTTGTCAAATTGCAGACTCATGAATAAAGAATATGAGTATTATTTTAAGCCACAGTGGTTTGAGGTGGGTGCTACACAGCAATAACTGACTGAAACATCATTCCCTGCCTGGAATTTTTGTGACTGCCTTTCTCTGACCCTCTGGGCCCACAACCCAGGGGTAGCCTCTCTAATACTCTTTGCATAGATCCAGCAAGCGATTTGGCTCAGCTGCTGAAACAGGCTGGATCTGTCTCCCTCCTTTCCAAAGCCTGCACTTCTCCAAAAGCAGCGTCATCTCAGGCAACATTTGGTAGCAGCAGGGGCTCCAGCCCACTCCTGTTTTTATGAACTAATACTTGCCCCAGTCCTCCATTTTATGTACCACATGTTATTTAATTTTTTTTATTTTTTATGGATACATAATAGTTCTACATATTTATGGGGTACATGTGAAACTTTGATACAAGCATATAATGTGTAATGATATCCATCACCTCAAGCATTATCATTTCTTTGTGTTAGGAACATTCCAATTCCATCTTTCAGTTATTTTGAAATATGCAATAAGGCCATGCATGGTGGCTCACGCCTGTAATCCAAGCACTTTGGGAAGCTGAGGCGGGCAGATTGAGCTCAGGGGTTTGAGACCAGCCTGGGGAACACGGCAAAACCCCATCTCTACAAAAAATACAAAAATTAGCCAGGTGTGGTGGCATGTGCCTGTTGTCCCAGCTACTTGGGAAGCTGAGGAGGGAGAATTGCATCAGTCTCCCTTGCCAGCTTGCTTCTAGCTGGGTTTGGCCAGTGGGAGACAACAGCAGACATTCACAGGGCAGGAAGAAAGAAAGCTGGGGAGTTTCTTCCCTCTCCCTCACTGATTTGGGTTGCAATTGTTAGTGGATTCATCCCTCTACAGCTACTACTGCATGATAACTCATTCTGCAAAACTGGAGCTCTCTCTGAATTCTGGTGACACCGTTTCTTCCTCTTCAAGCTAATTAATATTATAGAATAGCCTGACAAAAACATATATAAATGTTTAGATTTTTAGAGGAAAATGAAGATATAACTTCAATTAAAAATGAAGAACTACCAGAAATAAAACAAAAATAGATAGTATTTTAAAAGAAGCCTCTCCAGGAATGGCGCTTACATCTTCACTCTCTTTCTCTCCATTGGCTCAGCCTCCTGTCCTGAGAAGGAACTTTCCCTGGAGAGGCTTGGTTTGAGGAGCTCAGAGGTTCCGAGCCTTGGGCAGAGGGAAGCGTGATTTCTGCTCTGACACTAGGGGGAAAGAGGGGCCGTAGGTGTGGCCATGAAGAGGATGGAGGATGTTGCCCCCAGATGAAGTAAAGATATTACTTCCTTAAAAACCAAACCCAGGACTTCATGTCAAGATGGACAGTTGGATCATACTCCAAACAAAAACAAAAACAAAAACAAAAACAAAAAAAACCCCTCTGCTCCAAACACACAACAATATGCGTAAGAGGTAAGAAGAAAAAAATCAAGTCAGCTGGGCTTATTATCAAGGTAAACATCTCCTTTCATTAGAATTTCCCAGTAACAGGTGGAAATGGAGGTGAAAGGGGGGGAATAGTACAAATAAGGGAGATTAGTTGAAAGTCTGCTTAAGAAAATCTAATCCCTCCAGTCCTCCTGCGTTTGACTTGCAAAGTGGGGAGGGTAACCAGAGCTGCTGGGTTCCAGCTCGGAAGCAGGACAGCAGCAGGAATTCCAGCACTGCGAGATAACAAGGGCCTTAAACGTGGTACATTGTCAAGTGAAACAAGACAGACATAGAAAGACAAATATCGCATCATCCCACTTATGTGGGAGCTAAAAATGTGGCTGTCATAAAGATAGAGAGTAGTGGTGGTTACCAGGGGTGCAGGGAAGGACAGTGGGGAGGGGGTGCTCAGAGGAGTTGGCTAATGGGTACAAACATACAATTAGATTGAAGGAATAAGATCTAATGTTTGGTAGCACAATAAGGTGACTATAGTTAGCAATACTTTATTGTATATTTCTTTTCTTTCTTTCTTTTTTTTTTTGAGGCAGGGTCTTGCGCTGTTGCCCAGGCTGGAGGGCAGTAGCAACACTGTCATTGAAGTCAGCAGCACTGAGTGGGGTGTAGAAGGCTGGAGAGCTGATCTGGGGGATGGCAAGTGGAGGACAGCCAGCAGGGTATCTGACCCGGGTTTGGCCAAGCGTGGTCTCTATCGTCTTTTCCACCATGATCTCTATCCTCCTTTCCAGCATTATTTGTTAAGTGTTGGGCATATGATCTAAACTGGTCTAAATAGAATCCTCCCTGTGTCTTTTCCTATAGATCAGGATTTCTGGGATCAGGTGGTTTAAGAAGCCAGGGAACAGCTTGGTCACAAGTGGCTAGAGCTTGTATGTAAATTAAGACAAGCAGAGGCAAGCTGAGCTGAAAGGACAAGGAGAAGCAGAATTGTTGTAAGAGAGCATATCATTCTCTCTCTCGCTCTTTATACGTTTGTACTGAACTTGTTACTTGCACAGCCAAAGAGAATCCGTTTTCAGATCACTTTCTCTCTGAACCAAGCAAATGCTGATCTCATAGAGAGTTTTTGTTAAGCTTGGATTTTGGGGGTTAGCTGAGTGAGTTGTTGCTGATTTTCTGAAGAGGGGAGTGGCACTGAAGTCTCTGGTCACTGAATGATAATGGTGGCTTTAAAACTGCTTGTGTGGCTTCTTCATGGCTTGGGACTAGGGCTAAAGAACAATCTCTCTTTTTCAATCTTGAATTTTTCCCCTCAGAATTCTGATGATGTTTTTTTGAATCTGCAGATTTGACCATATCTGTGCCATCCCTTTGATTTCACAATAACATATTCTAATAAACTCATCTCCCCGTTTTACTTCTTTAAAGTAGATTTAGTTTGGTTTTTGCCCCCCTTAAACATTTTTCTCATTATTTTTTGTAGAGACAGCAGGAGTCTCACTATGTTGCCCACACTTGTCTTGAACTCCCAGCCTCAAGGGATCCTCCCACCTCAGCCTCCCAAAGTACTGGGATTACAGGTGGGAGCCAGTGCACCTGGCCAGTTTCTGTCCTTCTCATCTGAAAGATGAGTCTATCATCCATTCTGTGCCTTCAAATGCACCTTCTGAAATGATGACCCCAAATCTACATTTTCAATACCACAGCATCTCTTGAGAACTTGACACATCTTCAATTTCTTGCTGAAATCTCCATTTAACTATTTCTGGCATTTCTACCTCAACAACCCAAGGTTGAATGTATTTTCCTTCCCCCAAACCCTCTTCTTCCTGTAGTCTGTATTTTGGTGAATCCAGTCACCCAGCCTAGCAACACAGACTCATCCTTCACATCTGTCTGTCCGTCCCCTCCCTGCCTGCCCCTGTCAATCACTGAATCCTATTGATGTTATTTGACTTCTTAAAAACTTTAAACGTTTTTAGTGGATAGAGAATATATTCATATAGTTCAAATTCAAAAGGGCAAAGAATGGAAAATTTTTCTTTCTGCCTCTATTGGCTATCCATCTAGATCCCCATCCAGGAGGTGACCAATGTGATCAGTTTCTTGCATAGTGGATGCACTTACATTTCCTAACTAATTGCCAATGATGGACAAGGCCTATAGGTTTTGTTTTGTTTTGAGAAAGAGTCTTGCTCTGTCATTTGGGCTGGCATGCAGTGATGCGGTCTCAGCTCACCACAACTTTTGCCTCCCGGGCTCAAGCAGTCCTCCCACCTCAGCCTCCCAAGTAGCTGAGACTACAGGCAAAGCTAACTTTTTTCTACTTTTTACTACAAGCCCAGATAACTTTTTTCTTTTGTTTGTTTGTTTTTTTTTTTTTTCAGAGATGGGATCTTTCTATATTTTCCAGGCTAGTCTCAAACTCCTGGCCTCAAGTGATCCTCCCATTTTGGCCTTCCAAAGTGCTAGGATTACAGCACTTTGGAAGGCCTATGGGTTTTGCTCTGGTGGGCTGGGTGGTGCTGAATCTGCCTCTGGTAATGTAACTGCCCGTGATCATGCAAGTAGTAAGAGTCAGAGCCGAATCCAGGTCCATCCCAGGGCCATTGCCAGCCCTGAGGAAGAACCTGAGGGGTTAGCAGTCAGGTGAGGTGCAAAGAGCCCATGTCCTAACCCAGAGTGAGGGTCGTCCCCATCCTGGGTGGGGCTTAGGCCCTTCCAGGCAAAAATCACTTTGGAACGAGATTTACCTTGGACCCCTGGGTGTCTTCTGAAGGAGTGGAAGCCTGTTGGCCTTATCTGATGCTGAGAACTGAGTGAAATGCTGCAGTTTGAATTAGGGCCCGGGGCTATGTTTGAAATGTGTGTGAGTAGGTGGCTGGCTTTGAGCAACAGGCTTTGAAAAGGCTCCATCCCTCAATGTGTCTGGTCATACCAACCAGGTTTAAGCTGCCAGACTCCTGCTTTCCTGACAATGCCCGAAAACAGTCAGCCCGCACCAGCTGAGCCTTTTACTCAGGAGAAAGAGAGGGCCATTGCCTCTCTGTAGGACAGCCTGAGGCAACAGGTACACACAGCCGGGGTGGATGGCAGGGCAGTGCCTTCTCTGACCTGACCCTCCTCCCTGGCCAGCAGTTGTGGAACTCTGGTAGAGAGAAATAATCTCTCTTTACGTCCCTCTTTGCCTTTCATTCCCATTTTTCTCTTTCTCCTGGGTCTAGGGAAGAACGAGAAGGTGCACTAAAGCATGTTGTGTCCCTGCTGCAAAATCCACTTATCACTCAAACCAGTCCCCCATCAGATTAGTACAGGAGAGTACCGTGCATTCATCTCATTTCCTACTGTGCATCAGAACCCGGTGGGCATCCTCTCAGTCCTCTCTCTGGAAAACCAATGGCTGGATCCATTTTCTGGCCTGATTACTTGGAGCCAGTTATAGAAGCTGAGGCTCCTAGGACCCTAGCCATTGAGGAGGCTTCCAGCAGCAAAGCTCGGGAACCGATCACGAGCCAGACATCTGCCTGGGCACTGAGGAGTTGCAGGGAAGTAACAAGACACAGCCGGGGAATCTGCAGGCAGCAGGAGAGCAAGCAGCTGCTCCGTATGCTACCAGCGTGCTCCTACAGACAGGTGCAGCTGGTGGGGGAGCCAGCAGGCTGCTCAGCCAAGCCTGGGCCTCACCAGGGTGCTCCAATCAAAGCCAGGGAGGGTGTCTATGAGTTGGCAATGATACAGGATGGGGCCAGAGAAGAGCTGGGAAAGGAAGTGCTGGGAAGGGAAGGGCGTGGTCCTCTTAAATAATAATAAGGGGGAAGGGCGTGGTCCCTGGCAAGCTCCACCCCCCCCGCCCCCAGCCAGGCTCCTTCAACCGCACCCCCTAACCCCGCCAGCCTGTGACCATGGACCTAGGTGAGGACAGGCATTTTTTATTTTATTTTAGTTTTTGAGACGGAGTCTCACTCTGTCACCCAGACTGGAATGCAGTGGCACAATCTCAGCTCACTGCAACCTTCGTCCCCTGGGTTCAAGCGATTCTCCTGCCTTAGCCTCCCTAGTAGCTGGGATTACAGGCGCCTGCCACCGTGCCTGGCTAATTTTTGTATTTTTAGTAGAGACGGAGTTTCACCGTCTTGGCCAGGCTGGTCTTGAACTCCTGATCTCGTGATCCACCCACCTTGGCCTCCCAAAGTGCTGGGATTACAGGCGTGAGCCACCGCGCCTAGCCAAGGACAGGCATTTTTGTTTTCCTGCCCAAATGTTGCTTTTCCCAAGACCACCGTAGCCTGCCACACCCCCATCCTGTGCCTGTAAAAACCCTGAGCGGCAGACACACAGGCAGCTGGTCTTCCAAAGAAGCACATCAGCGGAGGAGCACACGGGTGGCTGGACGTCGACAGGGGAGGAGGAGAGGACCGTCGGTAAGCTGAGCACGCTGGCAGGCCACCGACCCGCAGAAGTCCGTAGAGTTTGGCTGAGGCAGTCGGAGGAGAGTCCAGGCTGCCGAGTGGCCCGACTCCAGGGAAAACCTTCCCACTCCATCCCCTTCTGGCTCCCCCATCTGCTGAGAGCTATCTCCACTCAATAACACCTTGCACTCATTCTCCAAGCCCACGTGTGATCCGATTCTTCCCGTACACCAGGGCAAGAACCTGGGATACAGAAAGCCCTCTGTCCTTGTGACGAGGTAGAGAGTCTGACTGAGCTGGTTAACACAAGCTGCCTATAGAGCACCCGGTAGCACACGCCCACTGGGGCTTCAGGAGCTGTAAACATCCACCCCTAGACACTGCCGTGGGGTCGGAGTCCCACAGCCTGCCCGTCTATGCTCCCCTGGAGGTTTGAGCAGCGGGGCACTGAAGAAGCGAGCCACTCCCCCATCGCACGCCGTGCGAGGGGGACAAGGGAATTTTTGCCATGGCAGCGAGACAAAGGTAGGGAGACGCGGGTGGGAGGCAAGAGCCCATCTTCCTAAGGGCCACCTGCGCCATGTCCCTACACCCTGCTCTGCAGGGATCAGGCTGCACAGAGCTGCAGGAGCAGTACCTGCTGACGCTGGCTCACTCTCTGCTCTATTTTTCTACTTTCCTCTTAGTGGAGTTCGCTGGTCTCTGGACCAAGGCACAAGGCCTCTCTGTGTACTCAAATGGTGGCTTAGATCTGATGATGAAATAGTTGGAGACACTTTGTTATTATTATTATTACCATAGTTTTAGCCTAAAGGTAGGGGTTAAGGGGTGGAAAGAGGCTTATAGTTTTCATTAGATATTTCCAACATATTTAGTCAATGTTCCTCTTGTGTAGATGTGGCTTTTGATAGAGATTAGTGGTGAATAAGTTTTTATTTTGGTAGTAGTTAAAGCTTTTATGAGACCATCGACTTTCCTCCCTCTGTTCCTTTATAAAGGGTAATATCAAAATGAATAACCAATAGCTCCTTTCCTCAAAGGAGCTGTGGATTCAGGAGAGGAAACAAGAGGGAATGCAGATGACTGGAAGGTGGGGTTCCCAGGAGGGAGTCAGCAGCCTCAAAGTTCCAATCTAGAACATGGGTCGATGGTTATAAGGGCCTGTCTCTTCCAAACGAAAGATGCAGGTGCATGTCTGACTGTAGAAGAGGGTTGCTCTATCAAGGCTGTCTTGGAAAATCTGGGACAAGTGGAGACCGTCGTTATGGTACCACTAGAAACCCATTTCTAGCCAGTTGATGGAGGTGGGCAGTCTCTTTTGTATGTGTAAAGCGCTGTGGGTGGCAGGGGCTGGGAACCTGCCCCCCACACCACTTTACAGCCACAAAAGAGGGTGA
Source organism: Homo sapiens (assembly GCF_000001405.40). Classification (NCBI taxonomy): domain Eukaryota; kingdom Metazoa; phylum Chordata; class Mammalia; order Primates; family Hominidae; genus Homo; species Homo sapiens. Next base: position 27,855,377 of record NC_000013.11, on the reverse strand, counting down.
GTGAGGCAGCTCTGGAGCGAGGCTGCCTGGCTTTAAATCCTGACTCAGACACTTAGCTGTGTGATCTGGTGTAAGTTACTTAACATCTCTGGGCCTTAGTTTTCTCTTTTATAAAAAACGGTCATGAGGGTTTGTGAAGATTAAATGAGATAACACTGAGTAAGCACTTAAAATGTAATGTTTCATCATTATTAATATAGTCTTTATTTTCTCTGATGATTGGCCATGTACATAAATGTGAGCCAGACATACATTAAGTGGAAGCTAATTTTCACTCATGTTGACAAAAAATAAAAGAAGCAAAAAATAAAGCAAAGTTCCCCCAGAGTCAAGAAGTTAGGAAAAACTGGGGACAAGATAAGATGTTCAAGTGGCCATTAAACTTACAAAAAGATGCTTAACATCAATAACCTTTAGAGAAACACAAATCAAAACCAGGATGTTATACCAGTACACACCTATCAGAATGGCACCAGGAGGAAGACAGACCATACTGAGTGCCGATGAGATGGGATATGCATTGATAGAACCACTTTGAAAACCCTTTGGCAATGCCCTCTGAGGCTAAACATGCACACCCTATGACTCAGCACTTCACTCTTGGGTCCAGTTCATCAAAAGACACACACTAGATTGTCCTTAGCTGTACCATTTGTGATAGACCCAATCTGGAAACTACCCAAATATCCAAAAACAGCTGAAGGGAAAAATAAATCCTGTTTTATTCAGACAAGTGGATACTCTCCTCATTGTGGATGGATGACTAACTCAGCTACCTGCAAAAATGTGGATGAACCTCACAAAGACGGTGTAGAGCAAAGGAAGGCAGAGACAAACTTATAAAGTTCAAAAACAGGCAAAGGTGTTTTATATTATTCCAAAGTAGGATCGCGGCTATATTTGGTGGGGAAAGGGTGTGGTGGTTAAAACAGAGCCTGGGACGGCTTCTGGGGCGTGTTCTGCTTCTCCATCTGGTCGCTGGTTACCTGGGTATGGACGTCTGTCTGCTGGTGAGTGGTGCCCTTCTCAGCGTATATGCTAGGCTTGAATAAAACATTGAAACCACGTGTGCCCTGTTATCCCCAGGCCTGAAACAGTTCCCTCACACACAGTTTCATCCTGGGCTCTGGAAACAACAGCCATTCCTTCCCTGCTCTGCAAAGAGTGCATCTTAGGCTCAGCCCAGGGAATGAGGCCTCTTGGGGCACTGGTTTCTGTGGCTGGCGATTGGAATGATGGCCTCATTCACCATGGAATCCTTAATGGCCAGCCAGAAGCTGGGCACAGAGTGATGCTCACTGAATCACTGTGGAAGGAAAGGAGGGAGGGAGGGAAAGGGTGTTGAGTTGCAGCGGGGGAGTGGAACGCAGATTCTCCTGCTCGCACTGGCCTTGGGGTTTGGTCCAGCCAAAGCAGCGGTCTCTGGGCATCTACATGACGCACATCAGTCAGTGGGGGTTGCCATGCACAGGGCTGTCGTGTAGGCAAATGTGCAGTGTGTCTGTTTGTCCTGTATGAGACCTAAAATGTCATTCGTTTAACTCATTCACGAAGCCTCAGTTCAATCCTCACTTTGTGCCAAAAAGGCACAACCATTGGCCTTGAGAGGTGTGCAAAGTTGTGGCGGGGGGCTTCATTTTCCTTGAGGGGTCTGCAGGGTGGTGGGGTGCTTCTCTGCCCTTGAGGAGTCTGCAGGGGAGTGGTGGACTTCATTTTCCTTGGGGGGTCTGCAGTGGTGCTGGAGGGGCACAGCAAGGTTGCATTCCCGCCTACGTGACCACCTGCCAGCGCACGCCCTTCTCCTCCCGCTGGCTGGAAGGGAGGCCCTGCTGAGGAAAGGTCACTCTGCCGGCAGAGGCAGGTGTGGTGATGGGAGGGGGCAGATGAAAGGAGGGTGTGGACGGAGGGAGGTCCAGGGTCCTTCCTAAGGTGAGTACGTGAAGAAATATGCAGGACTTAATTGGAAAGAAAATGAAGGAGGGAAAAGCCACCTATGGTTGTTTTCGCTGATGCACAGAACAGGCGATTGCCATGGGGAAAGCCAGCCTTTAATTCATCATTTCCTTCAGCTGCCACCTCAGCCCCCTACCTCCCAGCTTTTCCCTTGTATCTGTGTTTTTTCTTATATGCGCCTGGTTGCACTCTTTTTTTCTTTACAGGCGTGTACACCCTCTTGTGTCCTAGGGAAACTGGTTCGGTAGCCTCGGATATCAAGAGCATCAGGCTAGTCTGACAAGGCAGAAGAAATGGTGATCCTATAGAGTGTGGCTTAAGGGACGCGGGAAAGTCCTTACCACAAACAGAGCAGGTCCGTGGTATGCCCGGAAAGGCTACCTGCCGTTCCTGACCTGCTCGGTTGTGTTAGAAATTGTTCTGTCCCTCCTGTTTTCTGTGTCAGTGCCCCTTTGGAAAGGATTGTGACTGGAGGTGAGAGTGACTATCAGAACTCTGCAGGTGGAGATGTGGACAGTGAGAACATCCCTCTGGGATCCCAAGACTTGGGAAAGTGTGTGTAACCCAGTGGTGGGAAGAGCAGAGGCTGAGACCCGGTGTTGCTTAGCTTGATACTTCAGGTGAATGTCACAGGCCATGGCAGTGGTCTCAAAGTGTGGTCGCTAGACCAGCAGCACCAGCATCACCTTGGAGCTTCTTGGAAATGCAAATTCCAGGCTCCAGCGCAGACCTGTGGAATCAGAACATCGTGGTGGGTTTAGTAATCCATGTTTGAACAAGCTCCCCAGGCAATTCAGGTACCTGTCAAAGTTTGAAAAGCTCTAAAGGAAGGGCCATTTTCTGAACCAACTCTCCTTCACCACCAATGTTCTCTCTCCTTGGAAGAGAGACCAAAGCAGTGGTGTTGGATTGAAGCTCATGAACTCAGGACGTTTCCTGGGGCTCTTTGCCACTGGCCCCATCTAAGGAAGCCCGGGTCAGCCTGTCACTGTAAGAGCCCAGGTTCTGAAAACACGCTGAATTTGGTTTGTCATCCTGGCTCTGCCACGTCCTGGATGTGGGAACCTGGACAAGTTACTTAACCTCTCTGGCCCTCAGTTTTTCCACCTGTAACATGGGGCTCAGAATAGAGCTGACCTCACCAGGGTGTCACAGAGGTCCTAGTCCCATACACATAGTGGGTGCTCAGTAGATGGATCTGTTATTTATCGTTCATGCAATTTCATCTAAAGTTGAAGAAATTACTAGATCTCAAGGAAATCGGCCTATAAGCCTGCCATGGTGGAAGGGGGTTGAGGGACCAAACAGCAGTGCTGACTGTGCGTCTTCCAGCTCCAAGACAGCAGGTGCTACTACTCCCGATGGCTCTGAACACTGTGGAAAGAAAAGCAAATATTAAACTATCTTATAAACAAGGCCAGGAGGTTTGAAGGCTAGTGAATTGCTTCTGCCCGTCTGCCAGGGATATGATGCAGCAGAAGGAACGGTGGGCACTCGGTCCCCCGGCCCCCTGTCTGGTGGGCCAGCAGCCCACACTTGTTCACTGAATGAAGAAACACACCTGGCTGGCAAGCGTACAAACAGAGCTTCCTCCCTCCCCCGATTCCCTACCCTCAGAATGATTTACGGTCATTCAGTTTCCATTAATAAAACTGACAGTATTCCAACTGATAAATATTGATATATGCGAAATTCATCAGCCGCAGGATAAAAGCCACTGGCCCCGTGGCGACATCTGGCCGCCTTGGGCAGACGTCATCCGCTCGCCCTTCACCCTATGGAACGCTGACTGCTCTTAGGTATAATAAAGTGTGTTTAAGGTCCACAGGATGATGACAATAGGGTTAAACTTAGCTGATTCCACAGCTGAGGGAGATCCCGCTAGAGACATTTTGGATCACACTTGTGAAGACGTCCTCTGCAGTGAGGTCCTTGCACAGCAGCATGGGATGGGAACAATAACAGGATAACAGATGACAGGCAGTCATTTGTAGACAGTCTGCAAAAGGGGTGGCTGAGATCTCTTCACAGAACACTGTCTGTGACGACAGTTCAGGGAGGGAACAGGGCATTGCCTTTTATCTGCAGATTTCAAAGTTCTTGACGTGAGTCAGTCTTTCCCAATACCTTGTAGAAGGCAAGAGTCCCCATTACTCCAGACAGGAAGCCTGAAGGGCACGTTGGGCAATGGCACCATGAGTCCCAGAGGGACTGACCAAGGCTAACCTGTCCCCAAGCGTGTGTCTTGGCTGCCCTGTGTCTGGGCCAGCCGCTGGCATGGGGCAGGGAGCACCAGGGAGGAAATAGGGCCTGGCAGCAACCAAGCACACAGTTCTCTGCACTCTGGTTCCCAAATTTGGGAACTGCACCTGAATCACTCATCAAGTATGTTAAAGATTAAGATTTCTGGTTCAACTGGTTTCTCTCTTCATAATTTTGGTTCAGTAGGTCTGGGTTAAAGTGGGGACTAGAATTTAACAAATTCCACAGGTGACCATGCTACACAACCAAATTTGGCTCTTAAGGGTCAACAAATAAGGGACTCTGGAAGGAAACGGGATTGAGGGGGCTGGGGCCTTTGCAGAACCTGAATCCCACCTGCCACCAGCACACATGGTCCCGGACAGCTCCACTCCACTCTGGCTGAGGATGGTCACAATTGTTCCTGCTTCCCTCAGCACAGTGGTTGGCAAGCTTTTTGGGGTCTTATGCTCCTTTGAGATGCTGATTTAAAAGAACCTCCCTGCAAAACATTCACATGCCTACACAATTTATTTATTTTTATTTTTAAATGTTATTTCAATAGTTTTTGAGGAACAGGTGGTTTTGGGTTACATGGATAAGTTCTTTAGTGGTGATCTCAGAGATGTTGGTGCACTTGTCACCTGAACAGTGTACACTGTACCCAATATGCAGTCTTTTATCCTCCCCACCTCCTCCCCCGAGTCCCCAAAGTCCATTATATTATTCTTATGCCTTTGTGTCCTCATAGCTTAGCTCCCACTTATAAGTGAGAACATACGATATTTGGTTTTCCATTCCTGGGTTACTTCACTTAGAATAATGGCCTCCAGCTCCATCCAAGTTGCTGCAAAGGCCTCTATTTCATTCCGTTTTATGGCTGAGTAGTATTCCATCGTGTATATACACCACATTTTCTTTATTCACTCATGGGCATTTAGGCTGATTCCATATTTTTGCAATTGCGAATTGTACTGCCATAAACGTGTGTGCAGGTGTCTTTTTCATATAATGACTTCTTTTCCTTTGGGTAGATACCCAGTAGTGGGATTGCTGAATCAAATGGTAGATCTACTTTGAGTTCTTTAAGGAATCTCCATACTATTTTCCATAGTGGTTGTGCTGGTTTACACTCTCACCAGCAGTGTAAAAGTGTTCCCTTTTCACCACATCAACACCAACATCTATTGTTTTTTGAATTTGAAATTATGGCCATTCTTGCAGGAGTAAGATGGTATCACATTGTGGTTTTGATTTGCATTTCCTTGATGATTACCGATGTTGAGCATTTTTTCATGTTTCTTGGCCATTTGTATATCTTCTTTTGAGAATTGCCTATTCATGTTGTTTGTCCACTTTTTGATGGGATTATTTGTTTTTTCTTGCTGATTTGTTTGAGTTCCTTGTAGACCCTGGATATTAGTCCTTTGTCAGATGCATAGTTTGCAAATATTTTCTCCCACTCTGTGGGTTGTCTGTTAACTCTGCTAATTATTTCCTTTGCTGTGCAGAAGCTTTTTAGCTTAATTAGGTCCTATTTATTTATTTTTGTTTTTGTTGCGTTTGCTTTTGGGTTCTTAGTCATAAATTCTTTGCTTAAGCCAATGTCTTCAGGATTTTTTCTGATATTATCTTCTATAACGTTTATGGTTTCAGGTCTTAGATTTAAGTCTTTGATCCATCTTGATTTGATTTTTGCATAAGGTGAGAAGTGAGGATCCAGTTTAATTTTCCTACATGTGGCTTGCAAGTTATCCCAGCACCATTTATTGAATACAGAGTTCTTTCCCCACTTTATGCTTTTGTATGCTTTGTCAAAGATCAGTTGGCTTGTAAGTATTTGGCTTTATTTCTGGGATCTCTATTCTGTTCCATTGGTCTATGTGCCTATTTTTATACCAGTACCATGCTGTTTTGGTAACTACAGTCTTATAGTATAGTTTGAAGTTGGGCAATGTGATGCCTCCAGATTTGTTCTTTTTGCTTAGGTGCCTACACAATTTAGGCTGAGACTTCAGAAGTGTTGTGGGAGGCAGACTGAGCAGTGGGGAAAGAGGTTCAAGAACTTAGCCAAAAATGAATGGAAACTGAAAAAAAATTTTTTTAAGTAGGTCTCTTTTCATCCTACTATCACTAGTGTTTCTCAAAGGCTGCATGGCCATTTCCAATTTTTGAGTTCCCTAGTATATTAAAGAACTAAGAAATGTGGGCCAGGTGCAGCGGCTCACACCTATAATCCCAGCATGTTGGGAGGCCAAGCTGGGAGGATCACTTAAACCTAGGAGTTCGAGATCATCCTGGGAAACATAGTGAGACCCCATCACTACAAAAAATAAAGAAAATTAGCCAGGTGTCATGGTATGTGCCTGTGATCCCAGCTACATGGGAGGTTGAGGTGAGAGGATCACCTGGACCCAGGAGGTTGAGGCTGCAGTAAGCCATGTTTGTGCCACTACACTCCAGCCTGGGTGACAGAGCAAGACCCTGTCTCAAAACAGATAAAAAAAAAAAAAGAAAGAAATTATATTGATAGGGTTTGGATATTTTTAATTGGCACTTGCCATCCTCTTCCATCTCCTTCTAGTATTACCTTTCTGCATCACGGGGCTGGAAAGTGAAAAACCTTACTTTCTATGCTTCCTTCCAGCTGGACCTTCCACAAGTGTTTGCACATGACCTGGAAGACAGTCAGAGGCAGAAGTCCCTGCAAATGCTCCTGGCTACTTCCTGCAGGCAGCTCATGCTGCTGCAGCAGAAGACTTTCCTATGTCTAGCTGCCAGTATTCTGGGTGCTGGGGGCATCCTGTTCCTAGGATCACAGCCATGGTGGTATGTTCTAGAACTCAGAAATTTACCAAATCACTGGATGGACCAGAGGAGTGAGCTCCAGGTTGGGTTTCCAGAAGGGACTCCCAGAACTCTTCCACCATACAGGCCTCTCAGGGAGCTGCTCCCTCTGCCATGGTCAGTGAGAGGGGGAAGCAGGAGCCGCCATTGGGGTTGTTGAGTTCGTGGCTGCAACCCAGGGATGAGGAAGCTGCTGCTACACACCCATGAAGCTGATGCCTGGACATAAATCCCTACTGATAAGTGTTTACGACATTTCCAGCGTGGTGCCGACACTGCATGGAAATGCTGCATGGAAAGTCCTTATACATCTATCTTTGTGCATTTATGTGAGTATATCTGCAGGTATTGAACTGCTGGGTCAAAGGGTATGTATACCTTGATAAATATTGCTAAGTTACTCTCCAAAATTTTTTTAGAGACACTATGTTGTCCAGCCTGAACAAGTGACCCTCCTGCCTCAGCCTCCCAAGTAGCTGGGGCTACAGGTGCAGGCCACCGTCAAAAGTGTTTTAATTCACACTACCACCAACACCTGACCTCACCTCTACTAACACAGAGTATAACCCAGGTATGGATTTTAAAATACCCACTAGATGGTAAAATAACAACTAGCCAGGTATGAGTACCGAAGACCAGAGACAACAGAAGCCCATCAGCAAGAGAGACACACACCCCACCCATCCAGCAGACACCTGTTGGATGAATGCTTATATGTTGAATATCAGCTGTAGCATAAGCAGTGTTTTTAATCTTTGGCAATATGAGAGGCTCATTGTTGTTTCTTTTATGTACATTTATGTTTCTTTGAGTATTAATGATGTTGAGAAACTTTGCTTGTGACACTTTTAAATCTCTCTTCTGAATCTTGAATTTTAAAAAGTTACACGAACTATTCTAGAGTTTAGTTTCAATGCAATGCTTTAAGAGATTACTATGGTTCAAGGCTTCTGCTGGGTTCTGGAGATACAACAATTAAATAGATTTCTCACTTACTCTTGAGTGTATGGCACTGCAGGAAAAGAGAGGCATACATACACACATACACACACACGGAAGTTCATTTCAAAGCAAGGAGCACCAGGATTTCCAGGAGGAATTGAAATCATTGAATACTTTTTTAATAATACATGGGGGAAAGTAGAATGAACAGAGTTATCAAAGAGGAAAGCCAATTTGTAAAGCCTATAACTTAAAAAATAGTGGAGAAAATTGTTCCCGGGCTGTACAGAAATGCCTTATTTATTCCAACTGATATGTTTTGGTGAGCACGATGTGCAGGGCAGTTAACTGTTGCTGTGTGATTTCTTCTTTTTCCATGATAAATTTAGTGCTAGAAAGTGTCCCTTATGAAGAGACTGAATAGACACAAGAAAGGCTCCTTCCTCCTCCCCACAATGGTGGTGTCAGTGAAGGACTGTTAAAATAGAGATTTAAATAAGATTAAGAGTCCTATACCATAGTACCCTAAATGTCCGGGATATAGTTGAAAATTACTCATCATACTAGGGACTGGGAAACTAAGATCCAATATTAACTTGAATGAGAAAACAAGATCAACAAACACCATTAGGTACATGACACAGATATTGGAATTACCTAACAAGGACTTTAAAACAGATATTATTTTTTAAAATATATCAATGGACAATTTTTTTTTTTTTTAAGGGAGACTTCTTGCTCTGTCACCCAGGCTGGAGTGCAATGGTGCAATCTCTGCTCACTGCATCCTCCGCCTTCCGGATTTAAGCGATTCTCCTGCCTCAGCCTCCGAGTAGCTGGGGTTACAGGCGCCCACCACCATGCCTGGCTAACTCTTTTGCATTTTTAGTAGAAACAGGGTTTCACCATGTTGGTCAAGCTGGTTTCGAACTCCTGATCTCCAGTGATCTACCCGCCTCCGCCTCCCAAAGTGCTAGGATTACAGGCGTGATCCACTGCGCCCGGCCCCTCAGTGGACAATTTTGATCAAACTTAAAATAAATAAAAGAACAGAAAGTCTTAGCAAAGAAATAGAAAGTATAAATAAGAACCAAATATAAGAAAGACATGTAAGAAAGACCTTTTATTAGGGGAAAACTTTTGGGGTAAGAAAAAAATCCTTCTGCTGGCTTCCTGTTTTTAAAAGTCTTTGCGGAACTATACAATCTCCTTAGCTAACCACAGCTTCATGAGGCTTACCTTCAGAAAACTTGCTCTGCTGAATCCAAATCCCTGCTGTCCTGGCATTCAAGCACTGAGACAGAGGCCGTGATGTGTGCATTAACAGTAGCCAGGCAGCTTGGAGGCCGATGCTAGGACTCATCATTTTGAGATGCAGAGCCAGTACACAGGGCCACCAGGGGTCAGACACTGGCTTGTCCATTGTGGCCACCTGCCCTGGACAAGGTAGGGCACTCAGGACTAGTGTGCTAAAGGGCCTTCATGCCCCCTTTCAGGCATAGTATTGTGGGAGGCCTCCTTCCTATGAATGATTGCTAATAATACAAAAGTCTTTCAATATCTTAACCATTGGAACAGCCATTCTGGTATGCCTTGGCTGAATATCAGACTTGCCTGAAAGAAAGGTTAAAGATTTTGGTCTTGATTCTAAGAGCAATGGGAGCCACTGAAAGGTAGTGAGCAGGGAAGTGACATGAGTAAATTTGCATTTCAGAGGTCACTGAGGCGGTGGGGAGGAGAAGGAGTGATCAGAATGGACATGGTCAACCATGAGGAGTCCTAGTCCAGGCAGGAGCAGATGGTTCAGACCATGGACCCTGGTGACTGTTTGGGATGCAGAGAATCAACAAAGTCAATGGTGTTGCATTGGAGGTGGTGGAAGGAGACGATGACCTCAGGGTTTCTGGCTTTCCCATTGCGGTTGATAGAGAGAAGTTAAATCAACTGAAAAAAGGAACAATGGAGGAGAACTGGGTTTGGTGGGGAGAAGATCATATGGACAATTTTGGAGATGTTGAGCTTAAAAGGACTTTGGACATTGAAGAGATGTTAAGTACACAGCAGTAGGTCTACTTATCATAGGTTTGGAGCTCAGAAGAGCATTCTGGGCTAGAGTTGTGAACTGATGAGATGTCAATAATCAAGTCAAAAATGAAGAGGTGGACAGGATGAGATCAAGTATGGAGATGGTGGAGTGAGAAGATGAGAGAGACTCCAGGCCTGAAGAACTCCAAAAGTCAGTGGCTGAGCAAAAACAGGGGCAGATATGGAACATTTTTCCTGTATTTCCTCTTAGGAATTGAAATTTTAAAACATTACAAATACCACAAACATAAAATCCAGAAATTAGCATAATATTTTCATTAATTATTTACCTTAAACACTTCTATAATACTTTTCCCAGTAATTCTGGCTGCATGATCTTATTTTTTTTCTTTTCTTTTCTTTTTTTTTTTTTTTGAGACGGAGTCTCACTCTGTTGCCCAGGCTGGAGTGCAGTGGCGCTATCTTGGCTCACTGCAAGCTCTGCCTCCTGGGTTCACACCTTTCTCCTGCCTCAGCCTCCTCCCAAGTAGCTGGGACTACAGGCGCCCGCCACCACGCCTGGCTACTTTTTTGTATTTTTAGTAGGGACGGGGTTTCACCGTGTTAGCCAGGATGGTCTCGATCTCCTGACCTCGTGATCCGCCTGCCTCGGCCTCCCCAAGTGCTGGGATTGGGTGCATGATCTTTATTTTGTCCAATTTATTGAGGCATAACTTATGTGCAATAAACTGCCTGTATTTAAAATAAGCAGTTTGATAAATGTTGGCAGATGTGAACATGAAATCACTGTCGCAATGAATATTCAGAATATTTCCATCAGTCCCAAAGCTTCCCTGCACTCCTGTGCAGTCTCTTTCTACCCTTGACCACGTATCTAGAGTTTTACACAAATGGAACCACACAGTGTGTACTTATTTTTGTCTGGCTTTTTTTCCCTCAGCATAATGATTTTGAGATGCATCCATATTATCATGCATGTCAATAAGTCACTCCTTTTTATTACTGATTAGTATTCCACTGTATGGAAACACCACATTTTGTTCAAGCACTCACTTGTTCATAGACATTTGGGTTGTTTCCAATTTTGTGCTACTATGAGCATTTTTATCATGAGTGAGTGTTGAATTTTCTCATATGCTTTTTCTGCAGTTATTGAAATAACCACATTGTTTTTCTATTTTATTAACATCCTGAATTACAGTGGTTAATTTTCTAATATTGAACCAACTTTGAATTCCTGGAATAAACTTTACTTTGTCTTGGTACATTCGATGTAATTCTAGTTGTAATTATAGCTACAGTTGTAGATAGATCAAGAGTTGGATTTGATTTGCTATGCCCACTAGCAGTCACTTCCCATTCCCCTCTTCTCCAAGTCCCTGGCAACCATGAATCCACTTTCTATCTCTGATTGACCTATTCTGGGCATTTTAATAAATGGAATCATAGATATGTGGCCTTTTCTGTCTGACCTTTTTTATTTATCATGCCTTACAACATGATATAAAAGGTTTGCCCATGTTGTAGCATATCAGTACTTCATTCCTCTTTATGGCCAAATAATATTCCATCATGAGGATATGCCACATTTTATCTTTCTATTCATCAGTTAATGGATATTTGGGTTGTTTCCACTTTTCAGCTACTATGAAAAATGCTGCTATGAACACTTTGTACAAATTTTGTGAGGAGGCCAGGTATAGTGGCTCATGCCTGTAATTCCAGCACTTTGGGAGGCTGAGATGGGAGGATTGCTTAAGCCTGGCGGTCTGAGACCAGACTGGGCAACATAGTGAAACCCCATCTCTACAAAAAATTTAAAAATGGCTGAGAGCAGTGGCTCATGCCTGTAATCCCATCACTTTGGGAGGCCAAGGTGGGTGGATCACCTGAGGTCAGGAGTTAGAGACCAGCCCGGCCAACATGGTGAAATCCCATCTCTACTAAAAATACAAAAATTAGCTGGGCCTGGGGGCACATGCCTGTAGTCCCAGCTACTCAGGAGGCTAAGGCAGGAGAATTGCTTGAACCCAGGAGGTGGAGGTTGCAATGAGCTGAGATCGTGCCACTGCACTCCAACCTGGGCAACAGACTGAGATTTCATCTCAAAAATAAATAAATAAATAAAATTAGCCGGGTGTGTTGCCACTTGCCTATGGTCACAGCTACTTGGGAGGCTGAGGCAGGAGGCTTGCTGGAGCCCAGGAGATCGAGGATGCAGTGAGCCATGACTGTGCCACTGCACCCCAGGCTGGGTGAGAAAGTGAGACCCTGCCTCAAAGAAAAAAAGAAAAGAAAAAACAAACACAGTTGGTTTTCATGAGGATATGTATTTTCAATTCTCTTGGAAGTAGAATTGAAGTAGCTCTACTTCCTTGGAAGTAGAGCTGCTGGGTCATATGGTAATTCTGTGTTTAATTTTTTGAAGACATTTCAAACTGTTGTCCAGGGCAGCAGCACCATCTTATAATCCTACCAGCAATGTGTGAGGGTTCCAATCGCTCTACATCCTTGCTAACTCTGTTAGGATGTGACTTTCTGATTGCAGCTTTCTTAGTGGGTGTGACGTGGTATCTCATTGCAGTTGGTTTGCATTTCCCTAATGACTCATGATGTTGAACATCTCTTCAGGAGCTTATTGCTCATTTGTATATCTTTCTCAAACTTTTGTCCATTTTAAAACTAAAATGTCTTTTTATTGTTGCCTTGTAAGAGTTCTTTATATATTATGGATACAAGTCTCTTATCAGATGTATGATTTGCAAATCTTTTCTCCCATTCTGTGGGTTGTCTTTTCACTTTGTTGATGGTATCCTTTGAAGCACAAAAGTTTAAAACTTTGATGAATTCCAATATATCTATTTTTTCTTTTGTCACTTTTGTGTCATATCTAAGAAGCCATTGCCTAAGGACCCAAGGATTTACTCCTATATTTTCTTTTAGGCATTTTATGGATTTACCTTGAAGACACTGCTCCATTTTGGCTTATGTTTTGTATATGGTGTGAGGCAGTGGCTCAGCTTCTTTCTCTTGCATGTGGATATCCAGTTGTCCCAGCACAGCTAATTGAAAAGACATTTTTCTCATTAAATTGTCTTGGCACTCTTGTCAAACTTCATTCTCTTTGCTAATTTTCTCAGTTCTGTGTTCTTTTTCTGCTCTTATCTTTATTATTCCCTTTCTTCTAGTTACTTTGGGCTCACTTTGCTCTTCTTTTTCTAGTTTCTTATTGTGGACTCTTAAGTCTCTGTTTTTGTACACCCTCCCACCACCTGACCCAGTATAAGCACTTAAAGGTATAACTTTCTCTCTAACCACTGTTTGCTTACATTCCACAAATTTTTACCTTTTTCATTATCATTTAGTTCCAAGTATTTTCTAATTGCCGTCATGATTTCTTCTTTGACCTATTGATTCTCTAGAAGTGAATTGTTTCATTTCCAAATATTTGGTGTCTACTTATCTTATTGTTTTTAATTTCTATGTAATTCTGTTTTAATCAGAGAATAGGCTCTATAAAATATAAATCCTCTTCAATTTATTGAACCTTGTTTTATGGTCCAGCATATGGTCTATTTTGGTCAACAAACCACATGTGCTTGAAGAGAATGTGTATTCTGCAGTTGTAACTGGTAGATATAGATTCTATAAATAGCAATTATATAAAAGTGGTTAATAGTGTTGTTCAGTCCATCTATCTTTTTCTTGATTTTTTTCTAGCAGCCCTATCCTAAGATATTCATATTCATATTCATCTATGATTGTGGATTATTTCTGTCAATTTTTTCCTCAGGGATATTTAAGCTCTGTTACAAGACACACACCCTCATAGGATTCTTTGTCTTCTTAGTATATTAATGCCTTTATCCTTATAAAAGATCCTTCTTTGGTAATTTTTTTTCTCAAAGTCCATTTTGTCTGATAACTAGATAGTGTGGGGTGGGGGAAAGGGAGAGGGTCAACAGAGCACCCTTCATCCCCACTGAGCGTAGAACCAACTGAGAGGTAAACCTAGCTGTGGGCAGATGGAGATTAAATGTCAGCGTTCGTGCTGATGAAGCCAATCAGAGGCTGTGGCCCTAGATTTGTGTCCAGATGGGCCTGTTAATACTTCCCTCAAAATTAGGTGGCCTTGCACATCCGGTCACTGGCCCAGATGGACAATAGTCAGCCTTTTCCTTTCACCCTCATCCAGGGCAGACAGCAGAAGGCAGAGGGCAGGTAGGTGGATGGACTTCTGAGGCAGAGTGAGGGGCCCAGAGGAGCCTGCCCAATTCTTCCTCTAAAGACCACCAGTAAGTGAAATGAAGAGGCCAGGGGCTGAGGGAATATTCTAGAGAGGGTTTCCACATAGAAACAAGGAGAATGTGCCCCTTCTAAAAGGTCTCTACAGCTATGAGAGCATGTGAGCTTACCCAAGAAGAGTGAAGGGTGAGGAAGGAGAGGACCTGGACCGAGCACTGGGGGCCACCAGCATTCAGAGGCTGGGCTGCGGAGGAAGGTCCCCTGAAGGATATGGAGAAGGGGTCCCCAGGGATGTCATGGAAGCAAAGGAAGGCATTTCAAGGCGGCATTGCCAGCTGCCAAGAGGCTGAGAAAGTTGAGATCCCCTCATGAAAGCCCAGGCTTGTCCACTGGGGTAGAATTTTGGCAAAGAATCTTTCAAGCCACACACTGAGCACACTTCTGACTTCCCCAATTATGGTAGAAAGGAGAATTATTTACCCTGACCTGGGAGGAAGATTTATAGGTTTATAGGCCCTTAAAGTCACAGTACTCAGACTCTGTTTTCCTAATGGTGAATGGCAAAGAAAACAGCGTTCAAAAATAAACGCCGGTAAACGTGGAAGGCTAGACTCCTTCCTGTGGCTTATTTTAACTTTCATATAAGAAAACATAATCGTTGATTACCTTGGCAATATACCATGCCTTATCAAAGGGCTTTAAAGCACTCTCATTAATCCTTTCAATATACTTGGATAAGAGGTGAAAACAAATATGTGTATTTTGGCCTCATCCTAGAGAAAAAGGAGAGAGTTGGAGAGAAGTCGAGGGCTTTTCTCCCAAAATCCTGGGGGATGACGTGGCATCAGCCGTGGCCTATAGTGCACAGGCCAGAAACTGCCCCCTGCAGCTAAAGCACTGGAACAGAAACGAAGAAGATTCATGACTCAGCTGAAGAGAAGTGAAAAGGTGAGCAATTATATAATGAACAGAATATGCGTCATAGAGTCCTCAAATAACAAACTCACATTTCAAACTCTTTCAGGGCAGAAATAATATTTTACCATTCTTTTCATTGTTGACAGTCCCTAGTACAGGCTAAGACCTCAGCAAATATTTCCTTCCTGGCTGATGACACAGGTTGTCTCTCTGTGTGTATGGGAAGAGTATAGAGGGATGTGAATCTTATTCAGTATATAGAATAAGTAGTTTTCTAAGATTTTGTCCATGGAAGTGATGCAATCAGCTCAAATTTGACCAAAATGGTCTAGGCCCGCTGTGGGTTTTCGGAAGGAAACCTAGTAGAAATGAGTGAGATGAGCTTAAAGTATAAAGGAGCTGAGAGCAAACAAAATAAAAGGCTGGAGTCTGTTTACTGCAAAATTGTCTGTTTTTGCATGAAAGTGTATTTTGGGGCACCCATTTGTGCACTCACCCAACAAATATTTATTGAGCACCTATTATTATATGTCATCGTGCTGGGTGCTTGGCAGTTACAAAGATAAATGAGATGGATTTTCTACCTTGAATATGTCATGGTCAAATGAGGATACCCTGTAGATGTTCTTGACCAAATCATACTTTTTTATTTTATTTTATTTTATTTTATTTTATTTTATTTTATTTTATTTTATTTTATTTTTGAGGAGTCTCACTCTGTCACCCAGGCGGGAGTGCAGTGGCGCAATCTCGGCTCACTGCAAGCTCCGCCTCCCGGGTTCATGCCATTCTCCTGCCTCAGCCTCCCAAGTAGCTGGGACTACAGGCGCCCTCCACCACACCCGGCTCATTTTTTTGTATTTTTAGTAGAGACGGGGTTTCACCGTGTTATCCAGGATGGTCTCGATCTCCTGACCTTGTGATCCGCCTGCCTCGGCCTCTCAAAGTGCTGGGATTACAGGCGTGAGCCACTGCACCCAGCCTTTCTTGACCAAATCATACTTTGGATGTTGGATGGAAGCAAATCAAAATGCTATAGCAACCTAGCAAGGTTTTTTGTAGACATAGACAAACTTATGCTAAAATGAATATGGAAAGGCTCAGGATCTAGAATAGCTGAAATAATCTTGTAAGAGAAGGAGAAAGGTAGGCTGAGCACAGTAGCTCACACTGTAATCCCAGCACCTTGGGAGGCCAAGATGGGAGGATTGCTTGAGGCCAGGAGTTCAAGACCAGCCTGGGTAATATAGGGAGACCTCATCTCTACCAAAAAAAAATTTTTTAATTAGCTAGGTGCGGTGGCAGGCTTGTGTAGTCGCAGCTACCTGGGAGGTTGGGGTTGGAGGATTGCTTGAGTCCAGGAGTTCAAGACTGCAGTGAGCTATGATTGCACAATTGTACTCCAGCCTGGGTGACAGAGCAACATGCCTCATTTTAGAGCTGCAATAGTCGAGACAGCGTGTTATTGCTGAGGGATAGACCCCTAGATTCATGGAAGAGAACAAAGAACCAATAAATAGATGCACACAATATAACCAATTTTTGAAAAGGTGCAGAAGCAATTCAATGAAGGAGAGACAGCTGTCTTGGTCTGTTTTATGTTGCTATGACAGAATGCTACAGACTGGGTAATTTATAATCAACGGAGATTTATTTGGCTCACGGTTATGGAGGCTGGGAAGTCCGGGATTGAGGGGCCACATTTGGTGTGGTCCTTCTTGCTGCATCATCACGTAGGCAGAAGGCATCACATGGCAAGGGAGAGACAGTGACAGGGGGCCCAACTCGCTTTTATGACAAACCTATTCTGGCGATAATGACATTAATCCATTCATGAAGGCAGAGCCCTGATGTCTAAAGAGCTCCTATTAGACCCCACCTCCCAGCACTGTTGCATTGGGGATTACGTTTCCAACAGACAAACTTCAGGGGACACATTCCAACCATAGCAATAGGCTTTTCAGCAATGATGCTAAAGCAATTAGACATCCACAGGCAAAAAGAAAACAGGAAAAAAGAAGAACCTTGACCCAAGTCTCATATCTTATACAAAAATTAGCTAAAAATGGAGCACAGTGTGCATTGGAAAAGGTAAATCTAGAAAACTTGTAAAAGAAAAACATTAGAGAAAGTTTTTGAGACCTAGGTCTAGGCAAAGAGTTATTATACTCAATTCCAAAAGTGTGATCCATAAAGGAAAAATTGGTAAATTGGATCTCATAAAAATTAAAACCTTTTGCTTTATGAAAGACCCTATTAAGAGGATGCAAAGACAAGCTACAGATTGGGAAAAATATTTGTAAACCAAATATCTGACAAAGGACTCTCATCTGGAATACATCATGAACTCTGCAAACCCCACAGTTAAAAAAAATCCATTTAGACCATAGGCAAAAGAAAGGAATAGGCGTTTCACTGAAGAAGATATAGAGATGGTAAATAAGTACATGAAAAGATGTTCAGTACCATTGGCCATTGGGGAAATGTAAAGTCACAACGACATACCGTTACATATCTGTCAGAATAGATAACATAAATGTCTGTCTATCCCCACCAAATGGTGATGAGGAGAAAGTGGGCCTCTTACCATTGCTGGTGGGAATGTAAAATGATCCTACCACTCTGGAAAATGGTTTGGCAGTTTCTTAAACAAATTAAACATGCCTCTACCACACAATGCAGCAACTCTACTCCTGGGCATTTATCCCAGAGAAATGAAAAACATATGTTCACACAAAAATCTGTACCTGAGGTTTTATTTGTTATAACTGGAAACAACTCAGGTGTCCTTCAATAGGTGAGTGGGTAAACAAACTGTGGTACATCCATGCCATGGAATGGTGCTCAGTAATAAAGAGGAACAAACTGCTGATACATGCAACAACTTGGATGAAGCTTAAGGAAATTATGCTAAATTTAAAAAATAAAAAATTATGCTAAATGATAAAAGCTAATCTCAAAAGGTTGCATACTGCATAGTTCCACTTATATAACATTCTTTTTTGGTATATTAATTAATATTTAATGTGTCATAAACTGAAACAGAGCTATTTAAAACTATTTAATTCATTTGAAAACAGCAACATAGCCAATGCAAACTAATACAAATAGCATATTTTTATGAAAACAACTGTATTTTCTAAAACAAAGAAAAATTAGTGAGAAAAGTGGAATTGTTTTGCATTTTTCAGATCTCTAATATCTGGCTTAATGGAAGACAGCTGATTCTCATATCTGCTTCTGCATTCTATCTCTTACTATATGTTAGTTTAGTTGAAGTATCTGAAGACAATTCAGCCCCACTTAGATGTGTAGTTAAAAAAGAGAAGAGTATTTTAATGGTCTTTTCAAATATGTATAGATATTCCTTTTTAATACTACACCAAAACTTGACAGGTGACGAGAGTTTTTAGAGATTAGTTGCAATATGAAATCTAAAAGTCTATTAGTGAACCTTTCTTACTCTGTTATACTAAAATCCATTATCTATCTTGAAGTTTTCAGGGAGCTTTTATTCACACTTTTGTTTGAAAGACCATTCAGAGACTGCACAAAGAAATGATTAGAGGCAGGGAAGAGGCTTCCCCAGAAGAAGTAAGGTGAAGTACGATAGCAGGAATAGGCCGGGTACGGTGGCTCACGCCTGTAATCCCAGCACTTTGGCAGGCTGAGGCGGGCGGATCACGTGGTCAGGAGATCGAGACCATCCTGGCTAACAAGATGAAACCCCATCTCTACTAAAAATACAAAAAATTAGCCGGGTGTGGTGGCACGTGCCTGTAGTCCCAGCTACTTGGGAGGCTGAGGCAGGAGAATCGCTTGAACCTGGCAGGGGGAGGTTGCAGTAAGCCGAGATCGTGACACTGTACTCCAGCCTGGGTGACAGAGTGAGACTCCATCTCCAAAAAAAAAAAAAAAAAAAAAAAAAAATCAAGAATATATGGTAGAATAGTAGAATACACGGCCTTGCCTCATTGCTGCCTATATGGCATTCTTGAAATGATAAAGTAACAGAGAACACATTAGTGGTCACAAGACTTAGGGACAAGATGCGGGAGAAAGGTGAGAGGTGGGTGTGGCTATAAAAGGGCATCAGGGAGATCTTTATGGTGATTGAACTGTCCTGTATGTGAAATGCATCAACGCTGATATCCTAGTTGTGATATTACACTACAGTTTTGCAAAATGTTACCAATGGGGGAAACTGGGTGAAGGGTACAGTGGGTCTTTCTGTATTATTCCTCACAACTGCCTGTGAGTCTGTAATTAACTCAGCATAAAGCATGTAATTTAAAAAATTTAGTAGATTAAATAGGTTGTATCTATTTACATAAAATATGAAATATACACAGCAAAAACAGATGCAGCCGAGAGGAAAGAATGAGAAACTCAGTCTGGAGTCAGGGAGGGACCCTCAAGGGAAGCAACGTTTGAACTGCACTTTGCAGAGCTCTTAGAAGGTACTATTTGCAGATAAGCTCTTTTATTATCATTTTCTCAGAAGGTAGGTGGTTAATAACTCATGTTCCATTTGTTGGGCTAAGATACAGAATTATAATGATAGCAAACACATCGAGCCTTTCCCATGGTTCAGACACTGTTCCAAGTGCTTTGCATATATTCATTCATTCATTCCTCAAAGTAACACTGTGATTATCTATCTATCTATCTATCTATCTATCTATCTATCTATCTATTCGTCCATCTATCATCCATCCATCCATCCGTCTATCTATCCATCTATCCATCCACTTATCCATCCACCTATTCATCTATCTGTCTATCTATCTGTAATTGGTTTTACAGTTAACTTTTTTATAGGTAGAAGGAGTACACTCTAAAATAATAATAAAAAGTATAGTATAGCAAATTCATAAGCCAGTAACATAGCTGTTTGTTATAATGATCAGGTATTATGCACTGTACATAATAGTATGTGCTACACTTTTACATGACTGGCAGCATAGTAGGCTTCTTTATACCAGCATCACCACACACACATGCTAGGGATGCATTGCGCTATGACACTATGAAGTTACTAGGTGATAGAAATCTTCAGTTCCATTATAATCTTATGAGACCACTACCATATTTGCAGTCCCTTGTTGACCTCAATGTTGTTATGCTGAGTATGACTCAGTCAGCGCTCTGTAGCCATATCCAGGAGTTCCTCCACCATGGATTCAACCAACCTCAGATTGAAAATATTTTAAAAGAAATTGTGTCTGTACTGAACATGTACAGACTTTTTTCTTGTCATTATTCCCTAAACGATACAGTATAATAGCTATTTTCATAGCATTTACATTGTATTAGGTATTATAAGTAATCTAGAGATGATTTGAAGTACATGGGAGGGCCGGGCATAGTAGCTCATGCCTGTAATCCCAGCACTTTGGGAGGCCGAGGGGGGTGGATCATGAGGTCAGGAGATGGAGACCAGTCTGGCCAACATGGTGAAACCCTGTCTCTACTAAAAATACAAAAATTAGCAGGGTATGGTGGCATGCGCCTGAAGTCCCAGCTACTCAGGAGGCTGAGGCAGGAGAATCGCTTGAACCCAGGAGGCGGAGCTTGCAGTGAGCAGAGATCACACCACTGCACTCCAGCCTGGGCGACAAAAGCAAAACTCCATCTCAAACAAACAAACAAACAAACAAACAAAAAAACAAGTACATGGGAGGATGTTTGTAGGTTATATGCAAATTCTATGCCATTTCACAGCAGGGACTTGAGCATCCATGGATTTTGGAATCCGAAGGAGGTCCCGGAACCAATCCCTTTAGATACTGAGGGACGACTGTACATGCATGTGTATATATGAGACAACTCACTGGGGCACAAAGAGATAAGCAGCTTGCCCAAGGTCACACAGCTGTAAGTGAAGCTGCAATTTGATCTGCTTGTTTGGCTCCAGAAATCCAGGCTTTAAGTACCGTGCCGTACTGCTCATTTTCTCTTGTCCCAGATTGTAGCCTTCACTTCGCACTTTCAAGGCACAGAAGAACTTTTTCTCTTTTCTTTCTTCTTTTTAGTGTGAGCACCTACTATGAGTAAAACCTGGGCTGGTGGCTGGAGAAACATGAAGATGAGTAAGAGCCAATTCCTGTTCTTGGGGATTTAATAATATATTCAAGGGAAAAGACACAAAATAACCATTTCCAGGTAAACTCTGGTGGGGAGGGTGGGAGGAGAACCGTGGTTTGCTTTTGTGCCCAACACTTCACATTCCTTACCTCTTTCTCCCCACCGAGACCTTGAGGAGCAGCCTGAGCCAGAGGACCAGCATCCTCATCTTCTCTCCACCTCTTACTAGGGGGGTGGCTTTGGGCCAGTTTCTTACATTCTTTGGGCCACTTTAGTTTCCTTATTGAAAAATGGGGATAATAATAGTGGCTACATCTCAGTGTGATTCTGAGGAAACCAGAATTGTACATGCAGAGCACATGCACAGAACAGTGCCTGGCACAGTCAGTAATTGATCAATGTGCGCTATTGTTGTTGTGTATATTAGTTCTCCCCTGATACAGATGAGAGCTATCTCTAACTCAGAGACTTGCCACATCATTAAATTAGGAGTGAGAACTGAGCCTGGATAAGGAAGAGGAACAGGAATTCAACACAGTGAACACAGCAGGAAAGGCTTGTGCGAAGGCTCTGGGCTGGAGATGTGTAAAGCATGTCTGGAGATGGGGAAGGTCCATTGGGCCAGGAAACCACAGGCTCTGCTCTCCTGGAGCAGGTGAGGAGTGCAGCAGGCCTCAGGGTGAAAGGAAGAGGGAGAGGAGTGGCCGCGCTGTGGAAGACTTTTCGGGCGGGTGTTCATCCTGCATGTACAGGGAACCAGGAGATATTCTGAGCAGAGTGCCATCAGCCCATTCCTGTCTGGGGAGGATGATGCAACCTGTGAGAGGAGGGAGGGAGAGAGACGGAAGGTGAGGGTGGGGACCGAGCAGAAGAAATGTGGGTAACTCATACATTTGGTTGGTAGGAATGGGTTTCCAATGCCTCAGATGGGAATATGAACCTGAAATGTGTCCTGGTGACTCATGGCATCTTCCTAGATTAAAAACAAACTTTCAGAGACCACGGCTTCTGCTACAGTGTTCACCCCCTCACTGCTTAGGCCTGTGAAATGGTGATGACCCTGGATATAAGGACAAAACAGAGGAGACGAGTTCGAAGGCACTGGGAAGCCAGAGGCTGTGCTTTGAGCATTTTCCAAAGGAGAAGGGATCAGAGGGGGCTTTATCTATCACAAAAGACTTGATGCTTAGGAAGGGAACTTAAGAACCTTCAATGAGACACTATGCCTCTTTCTTTTAGAATTTTGTTTTTAATTGTGGTAACACATGCATATCACAAAGTTTACCAACTTAACCATTTGATGGACAGTTCAGTGGCATTAGGTACATTGTTGTGCAACCATCACCACCATCATCTCCAGAACTCTTTTCATCTTGCAAAACTGAAACTCCGCACCCATTAAACAGCAGCCTCATCCCCGCCACCTCCTCCAGCCCCTGGAAACCATCATTCTCCTTTTGTCTTAATGAATTTGACTGCTCTAGGTATCTCATGAGTGGAATAATACCATATTTGTCCCTTTGTGACTGGCTTATTTCACTTAGCATGATGTCTTTAAAGTCCATCCATGTTGTAGCAGGTGGTACGCATTCCTTTAATTTTAAGGCTGAATAATATGTCATTGTATGTGTATACCACATTTTGTTTATCCATTCATTCACTGATGGACATTTGGGTTATGTCCACCTTTGACTATTGTGAATAATGCTGCTATGAACACATACAAACATCTCTGCAAGTCCTTGCTTCCAATTCTTTTGCGTATATACCCTGAAGTGAAATTTCGGGATCGTATTGTAATTCTGTTTAATTTTTTAAGAAACTGTCATTCTGTTTTCCATAGCAGCTACACCATTTTACATTCCCACCAATAGTGTGCTCCAATTTCTCCACATCCTTGCCAATATAGACTTTTCTCTTTGGGCTAGCATTAAGCTATATGACCAGAACATAACAAGTAGCTGAAGAACCCATCCACCATTTACGTTTATCATTATTTTTTCCTCTGGATGAATTAAGTTAGAAAGAAAGGAGATATTGCTTTAGCTACTAGAGTTTAGCACTTAAACACTTCTTCATGAAATCCAGTTACTCTCAATCAGAGTAAAATAAAACCATGAGGGTTATTTTGAGCCAATCTTCAGGGTTTGAGGTAATGATAGTAATATTCTAAGAGTTCACATTTATATAGGACGTGTTTGTGCTTGGCACTGACCAATCACTTTCTATATATGACCTCATTGAATCCTCCCAACACCCTTAGGAGACAAGCACTATGATCACCTCCACCTGAAGATGAGAGAATTGGGGCCTAGTAAGGTTGTGGCTTGTGTAAAGATGCAGAAAGTTTGCAAGGCAGTGTCCAAGCCCAGCCTACACCATCACACTGCATTCCTACAAAAAGCCACACCCATCAATAGGTGGACATTACCTGTGCAAAAGATGTACGGACAAGAATATTTAATGCAAATGTGTTATAAAAGTTTAACATTGGGCCGGGTGTGGTGGCTCACTCCTGTAATCCCAGCACTTTGGGAGGCCGAGGCGGGCAGATCACCTGAGGTCAGGAGTTCTAGACCAGCCTGGCCAACATGGTGAAACCGCGTCTCTGTTTAAAATACAAAAATTAGCCGGGTGTGATGGAAGGTATCTGTAATGCCGGCTATTCAGGAGGCTGAGGCGGGAGAATTGCTTGAACCTGGGAGGCAGAGCTTGCAGTGAACTGAGATCATGCCACTGCACTCCAGCCTGGGTGACAGAGCCAGACTCCATCTCAAAAAAAAAAAAAAAAAAAAGTTGAACATTGGAAAAAGCTTATATGCCCATCAATAAGGGTTTGATTAAACTAATGAAGGTGCACCCATTGAAGGGAATAGTTATGCATCTGTTAGAAATTATGATGTAGATATATATTAGTTGACATGGAAAAGTGTTCAAGCTATATTGATGATCAAAAAAAAAAAGTAGTTGCAAAGCAATAAGGATGGTGTAATCCAGTGTTAGTAAACTGATATAAATTTGTATTGATACAAGTTTTGATATATAAGTTTAAAAGGCTGGAAAATTATAGAGCAAAAATATTAACAATGATCGCCTTGATGTGGGAGGATTTCTGGCAATTAAAATAATGGCATCTTCTCAATTTTCCTTACAATGTTTATATAATAGAGAATAGAATGAAAGCTTAACAACACACACCACCAACCTTTCACTAAAAGTTTCCCTTGTGCCCCAGACTGGAAATCAGCCCCACTGCATTCAAAGGTGCTGTGACTTTGGACAAGTTCCTTCTCCTCTTTGGGCCTCCTTTTTAATCTAATAATAAAAAGGCGGTTTAATTTCAAAAGTTTCTTCCAGCTCTAACGCTCCTTGATTGAATGACTCCCAATCCCGGCGGAGGTTCTTTAAAAAACGGCCTACTGGGATTTACATGTGGGTAAATGGTCTCTTCAGCCCGTTTTCTTTGATCTAAGTTAGTGCATTGCACCAGTGTTGTGTCAAATCATCCTGGGAAAAAGTAGCTTTTCCCAGAAAGACAAATTTTAACCAAAGTAGCTTTTCCCAGAAAGACAAAATTTAACCTAAGACATTAAAAAAACCAACCAAACAAACAAAAAGCACTACACACTGAACGGACTCCACAAGCCAAGCAGAAAAACAAAAAACAACGAACCACATCCCCCTTCCCACCCTTACCCCAGACTCTTAGCTTCTTTCTGAATATCGCATGTCACCTGTACACCTGAATAGTCATAGTAGCTGGCATTTATTTTTACGGATGTCCATAGAGTCACTTATAGCATTTTCTCCCACAGAAGCACAGCGAAATCACAGCCGAGCAGAGGAGGGCAAGGGAGAGGGCCGCCCCAGTCTGAGAGCTGCAGGGTCTGGCTGGAACTGCTCCCGGCCAGCGGACTTCACCCGGGCGCGGGGGCCGCACCTGCCGGGCGCGGCCTGCTCTATGGCGCCCTCTGCTGTTAGTCCGCCCCAGGCTCCGCGCCGGCCTCTCCTGGGTCCGTGGGGCCTGCGGGCTGCGGGGATCACCGAGACCCACATTCCCGTGGCCAGCAGCCTTTCGCTCTGCTCAGAGGAGAGGCAGAAGGGCATATTGCTGTTTCCCAGTCGCTTTTTACACCTGCCTTCTTCGGATAAACCCAAAAATCTTCCTTCAGAGAAGACGGCCCGTATTTCCCGTTATTTGGGGGTGGAGGTGGGGCTAAGGGCGTCATAGGGAGAGCCTTACTTTCAACATTCTGCATTATGAAACCAAGGGAGACTTTTTTTCCCAACAAGTGTGAACATTTTTTTTCAAGAGAATTAAATCGTTTATTGATTACACATGATAATGGATGACACACAAGCTTCATTCCCATCTCTAATTTTATCTGGTACCGTTATTCAATTTAGATATATTGCATAGGATGTGCCAACAATCACTTTTATCACCAATAATTCCACGATTTTGCTTGAGTAATCCCTTTTAATGGTGAACTTCAGGTCACAACAGTAACTATCAGTTCAACTACACCAAGGTTTCTGAAGACAATGGCTTCTCCGCCCAAGCAGGTTGCATATAAATTCCAAATAGAACCTGGCATCACCCTGAAGGAATTCTAACTTCACACTGTTGGGAAAATTTACCGAGATGGCTTCAGAGTAGACTAACTTTACACAGCACATTTTTTAAAAAAGACATTTATTCAGCGTCACGATCAGACTATTACATTTAGCAATCAACAGCATGGGTGAAAAAAAAATCTACATTAAAACCCTTTGTTGGAATGCTTTACACTTTCCACAGAACAGAAACTAAAATAACCTCTTATACAATTAGTCACAAATACAGTCCTCAAGTTTTTTGCCCATACACGAGTATTTGTCTAAAACATGACTTGTTTGTAGCAGCTAGGCCTTGCCACCACTGTGCTTGGCTGAGTTCACAAACCTCTTGTAACCTGTAGCTTCCTTGTCACTTCTCTGGCTCTCCCTTCCTGCTAAGCTTTGTTTACTAATTAAAATCTTCTGCCAAAGCCATAGCTGCTGCTGCTACTGGATCCACCATAGCCACCTTGGTTTCGTGGTTTGGCAAAGTATTGGCCTCCACCACCACAGGGGCCAGAGCTTCTGCCTCCAAAATTTCCTCCCTTCATGGGTCCAAAATTTGAAGACTGATTATTGTAATTGCCAAAATCATTGTAGCTTCCACTACCTCCAAAATTGCTTCCACTAAAAAATATGGAACGCTTCACGAATTTGCATGTCATCCTTGCACAGGGGCCATGCTAATCTTCTCTGTATTGTTTCAGTTTTAGTATATGTGCTGCCAAAGCTAGCACAAGTGTGAACATTGACTATGCTTCTCACATATCTTTACAGCCCCACTCTAAGGGGACTCTGTCTTGGAGAACCAACTGTTCTAGAATTTTCTAACCTGCCTCCTGCAGCCCCTCTCCCCATTTCTTCTCCTAGGGAGTCTTCCAGATGGTGCAGTTCACCTAGGAACTGCATGTCTGCTTGCTGAGGGTGTGGCAGGAGTCAAGTCACTAAACCTTTATGAGTGAATACTGTCAACCTTATACAGCCCATTCATTTCTTCACCAATTCCATCCATGTCAACTCAACAACTACTCCAGCTGACCCTGGAGCTTGGTACTGGGGATACATCTCATACAAAAGGATGCTTTCCTTCCTGTCCCAAAATGTATCAGCCCCCGAGGGATCATACACAATAGATACACAAATGGTTGCATGTAAATGCAAAGAACATGTTGCAATGAGAAAGAATAATATAGGTTGTGAGCTCACAGGAGGAACATTAAAGCTGAGCCTGCAGGATAAATAAGAATAAACCAGTGAAAAACGCTGAACCATGACTCTGAGATGGGAAGGTGGCATAAATTCCAGGAGAGGCATGTGGCTGGATCATCAGGAATGGGGAGAGCAGAAACCCCAAAGAAGGTTGGAGAATTAGGCAGAGGGCGGATTAGGTGAACCCTGGAGGGCCAAGCTAATAATTTTGAGTCAAATTACAGAGTGCAGTGGAGAGCCCCTGAATTTATTTTTAGTAATTGACATGATCTGAGGTGGGGTTTGCAAGGATCCTTCTGGCTGGTGTGACAGGAGGGAGGCAGGGTGAGGGTAGGAGCCTTGGAGCTGAAGATAGATGGGAAATTGGTTCCTGGTGGTAGCAGTCCAAGTGGCAGGAAGTCGCCAGCCGCAGAGCATGCTTTGAAGGCAGAGTGGAGGACAGGCTGGCATGTTGCCTGTGGGGCTAAGGAGGAGAGAAGTGTTATGGATAGCTTCTCCATCTCCATCCCTGACAGGCAGAACTCAGGGAAGAGCAGTTTCAGGGAGTAGCATTAACTTGCATATAAAATTATGGAGGTGAAATTAGCCTGCCAGGGCCTGCCTGAATCGGAAGCTCTGTCATAAGTGGACTGTTGATCCGTGGACACAGAAACGTTGCTGTCTAGGGAGACGCATCTGATGCCAACTGGTGTATTCATAGCACTTGATGAGGGTGTTTATTGAGTAGTACTGTTTTGATGTTTGGGATATTTAAAAAAAGAAAATTGAGAAGTGTGTTTTCATGTGACGACTTTGCATTTTAATTTTATTTTTAAATGTAAAGATTAAGGAAAACATGCATCTAACTCTGGTAGAAGAACTAAAGTGAAAATGGAACCTAGGAATGGGATAGTGGGTGGAGGAGGGAGGAGGCTTGTCCAAGCCAAGTCAGGAATTGGGCCAGATTCATTACAGTAGCCTTTGGAAATCGTAATCAAGTGACAGTCTCTCACGCTTTGGCATCAATACAGCACTACTAGGGCCATGAAGTAAGAGTAAACACCGGATGCATATGAGTCATGGCAGCTTGCACTAATCTTTGAGCAGTAATTGAGATGATCTCAATAAAGTGAGAAGACCGTAATGTAATATAACCGAGATGCCTATAATAATCGCCATGCCACCATGACAGCATCCAGTCAGCTGAGGTCGGCGACAAACAGAATCAGCCGGAGCTAAGGGGGGCAGGGGCTCAGGCCCACCTGCAGCCCACCCATCAGCACCCCTGTGTGGCAGAAGCTCTGGGGAGAGCCTTTGTCCTTTGCTAGCTCCTGGGATTTTAGGTAGGTGGGGGAGCAGGAAGGGAAGAAAGAGCAGGGACTGCTGAGTTCCAAATAAGTTCCAGGTCCCCATGGGAGCAGAGCTGCTCTTGGATGCCTGTGCGAGGTTCTCCCGGCTTTGGGGGAGCCTCCGGAGCTCCTTGGGGAGGGTCCTCCCGACTTGGGAAGGCTTCCTAGCTATGGCGGCCACGCACAGGCAGGGGGCGCTGCGACTTCACAGTTTCAAAGCCGGACTCCTATTCAGCGAACGCCTTGGTGAGTTTCCTGAGTTCTCCGAGGAGACGCTGGGAGCCTGCACACCCAGGGTGTAACTGCCAACGCCTGCAGAGAGGGAACCTCCTCGTGCCGTCCGTGGAGCCCAGAGCTGGGCTTTCCTCGGCCCACTCACCCCTGCCTGGCACTCTGTCCTAAAGCTTCCCCTCAAGGAGACAAAGACATTGACACTTTATTTTATCCTGAGCTCCTGGCTCATTGATCTCATGCTGCAAACCAAGCAAGTGGACGCGCTCCCCCTAACGGCTCTGCTCTTTAGTCATCCTTTCCTAACAAAGTGAATGGCTGGGGCTGGCTCCATCAAAACCTGCAGTAGGAAGTACCTGATTTGAGCAACTATTCATGGTAGAAGGGTGTGCAGAATGCCTTGAGCTAAGAAGGGGAACTTTCAAACAGCAGGCGTTTAACAGTTTTCCCGTCTGGAGCCAGCTGCCACCCAACCCCAATCCCACAAAGCAGCTGAAGCTCAGAGGCACGTTTCTTTTGCAGCATGGAATCGGGGCGGGTGAAGGTGGGACCTGGGTATGTGTGCATAGCAGGGGCATTTCTAAGGAACTCACGACACTGGGGATTGGTTTTTCCTTCCTGCTAAGACTGGGCTGGCACTGAGGGCCACTTCCATCGTGACCCTGCTGCTGGTGCCCTCCTTCACTCTTCCTGTGAGTCTCATTCTCTAGGCAAAGGGGACTGTACTTAGAGAGGAGTGAGTTACCCAGGAGCTCACCAATCTCTCTTCCTTCCTCCTCCTTTCTCTCCTGGGCAGGGTGTGGTGGGCATTGGGGTTAAGAACTATTCCTACAGAAGCTCCAGGTTAGCCTTTCCCATGGTGGCATCAACCTGGAGTCCCCGCCAGCCCAGGCATAGGATGTCCATTGATCCCAGTGCCAGCGGGCCCTTGCCTCCCTGGAAACTCACTGGCCTCCTAAGACAGCCCAGACAATCTGTGCCATGGAAGGCCACAGGTGCTGTATTCCATGAGGCTGGCAACAATAATCCCAAATGGTACCAGGTGACCTTTGCCTCATGGCCTAGGGAGGCTTTTACTGCTGCACTTGAGACCAGGCTTGGGGAGTGAGTGAGGAGAGGTGGCCTGAGGCTGGGATGCCCTTACCTCTCCATCTAATTGAGAACGCTGAATGGCTTTCTCTTTTTTTCTCCCTTCTCCTTCAATAGAGTCCAACAATTTAGCAAGCTCACCAAGCTGTGTCCTGCTTCATGACTAATTCACATATTTAAATGGGATCGGTCAAAGCAGAACTATTTGATGCCAGCCAAGCGCATTTATCAGGTCAAACTGCTCACAAAGGCTAGAGGCCAGCGTGGGTATGTGGGTGTGTATGGAGTGAATGTGTGGGATCTTTATTTATTTTTAGTCTCAGATTTCAAAAGCAAGGGACCACATCAGAAGCTGCCATTGCTCCCGGGTCCCTCCCAGAGCCTGGCTTGCTCCTGGCCCTGCCTCCCTGTCCTGAACCTCTCCCCCTCCCCCAGCCCTGAGCTGTGTGTCTCTGATGGGGCTTCAGAGAATGAATCTACTCAATTACAGCCCTTTTCACGTGACTGAGCAGTTTCAAAGATGCCACTTTTTATTATTTGGTGACCCCTGACATTGCAGGTGCAGATTTAATGGTGGAAAAGTTGAAATTAGCCAAAATGAACTTTTCCCTCCAATCCCAGCATGGAGAGACGTTCCAGGCTGTTCTAGCTGGAACTGCCATTACTTTGCTGAGTATGTAAGTTATCAAAGTGTTAGGTTTAGCTTAGGGCCAACTGCAGCCCCCATACCCACACCCACCCCAGCTGGATGGGTTCCAGGGCCAGGGGAGGAAAGAGTTAAACAGGCGTAGTGGCTATAATCCCCTTTAACAAAGGAAACTCAGTCTCCTATTTCCCTTTTGGGGTGTCCTCTGCATCAATCCTACAGTGAATGTGTGGCATTGGTCCCCAAGGGTAGCGTCAGGTTCAAGTAAAATGAGCAAACCAAAGTTCATGGCTTCCAGGCTGATAAATGTTGCCGCTACAAGGTCATGATTGATCAGCACACACTGTCGAGATGGATTTCGTGACTGGATGGCTCTCCACAATCAACACCCCTAGCCAGTGACCCATGCGTGTCCACATTTGGGTTTTGTCAGTCGAGCCGCCTCTGCTCTCCCAGCTCAGCCTTTTCAAGCCAACCCATGGCTGGCTTCTCTGGTTCTATTCTGCATCTTTCACTGGAGTCCAGGGAAATAAAGGGCATCTTTTTGTATACATCAAAATGAAGAGTAAACAGTTTTGCATCACCGGGCCTGGGTACCTTTGATGCTGGATTACATTTATGAGCTAAGACATGGCATACTTCAAAGGAAGCCATTCATTCAAGCGACAAGCCAGAGGCTGTGCAAAGACATAGGTCCCTTTCATAAATTACTTGCTTTTTATTTACCAGAAACTCCGGGTATCAGTTCAGTTGCACCTCAGTTGCCTATGCACAAAAAAAAAGCACTGTGGTAACTCAGGAAAAAAAAATGCAGGGTGGAGGAGTGTGATAGAAAGGACCATTAATAGGAAGCAGGCTCTGGGATATCTGTCTTGTAGCTGTGGCGGCTGCCAGAAGCTGAAATCAAACAAAGAATAAAAATCCAGAAGCCTTCCTTTCCCCTCACTTTTTTTGGGGGAAGAGTTGGACGGGGTTGGGGGATAAAAAGAAAAGGAGAGAATCCCTAAGGGTAAACCAGTTGAATGAATATAAATGTCTGAGATTCCCAGGGCTTGGGGGTGGGCACTGGTATGGGGGTGTCCCGTACAGCAGCCCTATGAGACTGGGGGAAGAGGTGGTAAAAATATCCAGATTCCATAGATGAAGCACAATGTAGAAATGTGGGTGTGTCTCCCTTCACTTCTCAAAATCCCTGTGAGTACTTTACTTTTTAAAATTAGGGGCCAGAAAGAGAAAGACTCAGGACTTAATGAACCTCATCAGAGGGGAGTCTCTGCTGTCCTGGAAAAAGCCAGACCCACTGGAGGTCTTGTTTGTTTGCCTGTGTTATGTGGGCTCTCTCTGAGCCACCGAGCTAATGGGAACTGAGGGCAGGAGCAGGGCAGCAGCAAGCACTTTTGGGTTTTGGAGACTAATCACCCCTCCCCATCTCCCCAGGCCCCAGTTGCCCCAGAATCTCCAATGGGCCTTGAGGCAGAGAGTCGGACAAAGCCACTTCTATACGTGCCCCTTTTAAAGCCTTGATCCAGAGGGGACTGGGGGGAGGAGGGGATTTTTTCCAAAACAAAACAAAAAAAGTCGGTGGCTTTCTGCTTTGGAGAGGCCAAACAGGTCCTTTAAAAAGAAAAAAAAAAAAAAACTATATCTCTGAAAAAGTGCAAAGAAATTCTGTTTCCCCGCCAGGGCCAAGGGCTGAGTTTGTGAGTTGCTTGTTTTTCTCTGTCTATTTTCAAGTATTTGGGAGGAGAAGTGTGTGCAGGGCGAAGGCGGCCACGCGAGCCCGGAGCAGCTTTCATTGAGAAGCCACGTGTCCGTCTCCAAAGGACCCTCCAACTTAACCAGCGTCATTGTCCATTTAACCCACATCGGCAGCGTCCTCCCCCATAAAAGGATTTGCAATTTCAAGATATTCTAGCGTAAATGTTTCTGACAGTTCCCCCGCTCTCTGGGCATGAGCGGGGTTATTTATTTCAGCTGTGCCAAATGGGTCACCTTGGAGAGATGTCTGTGCGCAAAGAGCTTCTGCGCGCATTCAGCCTGAATTTTTTCCAACTTTCCTTGACGGGGAAACCAGCTGCTGGTTTGTGAAAAGACGGCTTATTAATTGTTCTTTGTCATGCAGAATTGCTTGATTTCTAAAGAAACTTACAAAGGGTCTTTTTCAGGATTCAAGTATTTTGTTTCGTGCGCATTTCCAACCCATCAAATCAGCTGCAGGCACCGCACCGTCTAACAGACCCAGGTACTAACTGCAGCTTGCTGCCTTTGTGTCCCTTTAATGCTCTTGTAAATCGAGCAGACTGATTTGTTACAAGCTGCTCTTTTAATCTGATAGATAAGAGACAAGTCTAAGAAAAGTCTTAAACGAAAAATTAGTTGGAATAAAGACAAGGGTGAGTCTGGTAGATGGGGGCTTGTTGACACAAGCCGCCCTCTCTGTTCGGATGGGGCACGCACCAGACTGCCAAGGTCACTTCAAGAATTAGCTTTTCTTTTCTTAAAAAGGACACTGTAGCCTTTTTTGCTTCCATGAATGATCGCCACAAAATTAAGAATAAATAAATTGAGCATTTTGAGCTCCGGGCTTGGAGGTAGCCCAGGGCGTAAACGCTGCGCTATTGAAAGGGGAAAGAAAGCTTTGCAAAGACGCACCGGGGAAAATGGAGCACTATGGCGCAATTAACAAAATGGTCTAATCTGAAATCTTAACAAATGCAAATATAGGAGTTTTGTAAAAATGTTTAACTGCACAATTAAAGCAGAGTTTACAAGTGCGACTTCTCAGCCTGATTACATAATAACTCAAATAATTTGTTAAATATAGTGAGCTGTATAGAAACTCTGAATGTGCTTCGGTGCCAATAAACTGCCTGGAGTGTGAATAACCTTTAAATCCTGCTTTAATACTTTAAATCAATTTGGGGAGCAGAACTCTTTTCAGGGCGCCAGCTTTAATGGGGTATTTAGGCGCATTTATCCAAAACAAACTTTATGTTTTGGTCCTGGGAGAAACACTCACTTGCCTTTGAGCAAATAATTGCAAGATGCTGATACCAGAAATACTCCACCAGACCGTTTCGCGCTCTGGTTTGACGGCATTTCCAGTGCCAGGCGAAACCGAACAAGAACTTTGGGCTTTTTCTCCTCAGAGTTGCTGGGTGTTTTAACAGCTTAGAGGTTTGCACAACAAAGCCTGGCGTGTGAGGAAAGCCCTCCTCTGGGAAGGGTACAGGCAACTCTTTGCTGCAAGTCTGGCTCTGCATCCTCTGGGAAAGCAGCTTTTTCTGGCCAGTAACAATGGGGTTTTTCCTGAGCCCCTGATGCGCTCTAGAAAAAGGGGGCCTCCCTGCGCAAACACCACATCTCTTTGAGGTGCGCATTCAGCTTTTATGCTCCCCGGGCAACGGGTGATTGCTTTTTTCCACCCCAAATTCTCAGTTTGGAAAGCCTGAGTCCTGGCCCAGAATGAAACATTTGAAGGGGTCCCTGCGCAAGGATAAAGTAGTTGGAATGTCTTTTTTTTTAATTTTTCTTTTTCTTTTAGTGCGGCCACCCCTCTCGCCTATCTTGCGTAAAGTTCCTGGAAGCAGGGGCGCTGGCGCTAGAGAATCGCAGCGGCTGCTTTTGCAAAGCCACTCGTCCCGTTCACTTCTAGCCGTTTCCAGCCTCAGGCTGGGTTTCCCCCCATCCAAGCCTCCCTGTTGGCCCAGTTTTCCAGCCTGGGCTGGGGCGCAGTGGGGCGCGATGGGGGCAGTTACCAGGCAGAGGATACAGACGGCGCCCCCAGCACCCAGCGCCCCATGGCGCAGAGGAGATCATGGGGACAATCTCTGGGGGTGTTAAAGGAGCCACCTGGCTTTGCGCATTTGACTGAAAACAAAAGGCCCATGGGGTGACTGGGTTTTTGTTCTGAGGTTTGTTTTCTCTCAGCCAGTTCTCTCGTGGGAGAGGGAGGCGCACTTAGCTAGTCTTTTCGGTTCAGACTTCTTTCCTTAAAGGTACACTACTCCCAAACGCACCTGCCCACGACCTTCTCCCGGGAGACTGTTTTATTCCCACGTGAACCCCCCTGAGGCTTTCCTGCAAAACCAGAAAAGTGGGTGGCTGAAGGTGCGCTCCTGGGAGGAGGGGGTGACAAGCCTGCTGTGAGCGTGTGCTTTTGGAAGCGAAAGTCTCCTGCGACCCTCCAGTAAAGCGGGGACCAAGAGTAACTGGCTCTGATGGGCCCAGGTTCCCCAGGCCAGCTGCGCGCAAAGGCGACGCAATTACTTGGCTAGAAGCGCATTCCAGGTGGAGACCAGGGTGCCCCCTCCACAGTACATGCGCAATGCGCTTGTGCGCCCGAATGCGCGGGCAGGAATGGGCTGCCTTTCCGGCCCTCTCTGCCTGGGGCCGTGGGTGGGAGGGGAGAGGGGCCGAAGCAGAGTTTGGAAACGGACAGTTCCTTCTCTCCACGGGTTCCAACACAACTTTTTTTGTT
This sequence comes from Homo sapiens, assembly GCF_000001405.40. Lineage (NCBI taxonomy): Eukaryota > Metazoa > Chordata > Mammalia > Primates > Hominidae > Homo > Homo sapiens. The sequence goes on along the minus strand of NC_000013.11, from coordinate 27,820,516 downwards.
TGTTTGTTTTGTTTTGTTTTGTTTTTTGCTTTTTTTTTTGCCTCTCCAGGTGTTCCTGCTGGAAGAAACTGTCTTTAAGTTTCCCAGAATTGAAGGGGCTTTTCTCGCTTGCTCACGCCCACTCTTTTGAAACCCTAATGGCTGAAGAGCATCATCAAGAGAAGGGGAAGATGAAGCTGACTCCCTGCACCTGCTTCCTCCCCATTCTGTTGGCTCGGGTCGGTGTGGGCTTTTAGCCTCTCTGAATGTGGAGGTTCCCAGGGATACGGGGAACCACAAAGGTCCATATTCTCAAATGCAGCACTTCTTAACCAAGGCATGGCTTTTTCTAGGTGGTCGGAGGCCAAATACTCTGCTGCTGGCCATCCCAACCAGTAGGCACAGGGAAATGCCAGAAAAGAAGCAGCTGGGGCTTCTCTTGCTGAGGAAGAGGGTGAAATGAACCTTGCTTGCCGCAGCCAGTTTCTGACCCTGCTGCAGAGATGACGGATGAGATTCCAGCTGTGATGGAGATGTGGTCCTGGGAGGCCATTCTAGGCACTGCTCTTCAAAGAGGTTGTCTCCATCCTGGGATAGAAGTTCATAAGGGGAAATGTACAAACACAGTTTTCCTGCCACCTCCAAGCTGCTTGGGGCCGGACTGGATGCCCTGCCGGCCCCTCACTCTTCTTACCTTTGAACATCGACCCTGGCCAGGCATTTGTTTAGGCAGGTTTTCTAATTTAACTTTTACAACAACCTGTGAAATGGCTACGATTAACCCGCTTTCATGGCTGAGCACCTGGCTGGGAGATGTAAGGTACTTGCCCAAGGAAACCAATCAATTATCAACCTGAATTTGCCTGACTTCCCACTCATGCTTTGGTTGCAGTTCCAGAGTCTGCTACAGGATCTCCCATACAGAGTGGCCTGAAGGCACTGGTTTCCCTTGGGAAACAGCGAACTCATGTCCCTGGACTTCTCCCCTGTGGCCTCCCTCCCTGCTTCCCTGGGACTGTTAGTACCTTCTCCTATGTTTCATGTTGACCATACAGCTTTGCCTTTTTCCAGTCTAGGTTTATGCCAGACATTGTGTCTGTTATTTTCCCTTTTTAAAGTGATATCTGGGCTGAGTGCAATGGCTCATGCCTGTAATCCCAGTACTTTGGGAGGCCAAGGCAGGCGGATCACCTGAGGTCAGGAGTTCGAGACCAGCCTGACCAACATGGAGAAATCCCATGTCTACTAAAAAGACAAAATTAGCTGGGCATGGTGGCAGATGCCTGTAATCCCAGCTATTCAGGAGGCTGAGGCAGAAGAATCGCTTGAACCTGCGAGGCAGAAATTGTGGTGAGCAGAGATCACGCCATTGCACTCCAGCCTGGGCAACAAGAGTGAAACTCTGTCTCAAAAATAAATAAATAAATAAAATAAGTGATATCTGTGATATCTGGCCATATCGCATCAATTTTCACTTGAGGACCCACCCCTGCCCAATCTCGGTCTCCTGGATCCCAGAGGGGTTGGTGACCTGGGGTCAGGCTCAATGAGGTACTGCTCCTCTCTGCCACTTTGTTCAGCTTGGGGGTAACATGTAACAAAGCAGAACCGATAAAGTACATTTTTACTGGGGCTAGTTTTTCCTCATGTTAGAGTTGTTAAGCTAATAAGAAGTAATCCCAGAAAGCCTGGTGGTCTTCCTTTACTACCAGTTGTAGGAACCTAATTACAAGCTCCATGAGGACCACGCATTTTTTTTTTTGTCTTGTTCAATGTACCCCCAGGGTACTCTGTTTACTGGTTACTGCATCCCCAGAGCCTGACAGTGAAACAACTCAGAGAAAAACAAGCTAAGAGATATCAGTGTCTGACATCATCATTGGAGCAGCTGGATACAGCTATGCCTGAAGTCGTTAAATTCGTTTTTATGCTTAAGTCTGTATTGGTCTTCTGCCACTTGTAACCCAAAGAGTCATGACCAACACAAGCAAGTGTTGACTCAAGTTTCTTGAGAACTTTCCTGCAAGAGCAATCACAGATAAACAGTGACCTTGGGGGCCACAGTGGTCTCCCCAGGGCCTTAACATGCCACCTTTCTTTTCTAAGATTTCTTAAGCTCTGTGGCTTACAAACCCCTTGATAGCAGTAATGTGATTTTCTCTGTGTTATTTAAGTGTTCCATAGCTGCTGGGCATGGTGGGTCACACCTGAAATCCCAGAGTTTTGAGAGGCCAAGGCAGGTGGATTACTCGAGGTCGGGAGTTCAAAACCAGCCTGGCCAACATGGTGAAACCCTGTCTCTATTAAAAATACAAAAAAAAAAAAAAAAAAAAAAAGCCAGGCATAGTGGCAGGTGCCTGTAATCCCAGTGACTCAGGAGGCTGAGGCAAGAGAATTGTTTGAGCCTGGGAGGTGGAGGTTGCAGTGAGCTGAGATTGCACCATTGCACTCCAGCCTGGACAACAGAGTGAGACTCTGTCTCAAAAATAAATAAATAAATAAATAAATAAATAAATAAATAAATATATAAATAAAATGCTCCATAGCTTTTCAGACAGGACTGGCTTCACAGTGGAAGCCTCAGGAGATACTGGGCAATCGCTGCACTGGGAGGCCAGGGTGCAGGGCTGCTTCTTCCTTTCTGTGAACTGAGAACTATACTGTCTGGTGCTTAGCGTGGTTCCTGGAGTATGCTATGTGTTTAGTAAATACTTGTTGATGGAATGAACAATGTAAAGTGCACAGATCCCTTCCAGATCTCCTGAGAAAAGCAATGCTGGAAAGTATCTGTATCCCTGTAAGCCTCTCCTCTCTCTTCTTTCGTCTCATCTCTCCTTTTAGCATGACGTTTCCCCCGATCCTCTTTGTCCGGCTTCCTTGGGGTTCAGTGGCTGTGTGGCCCAGGTGTGAATGCCTTTGTTCTAGGGGTATCACATAGGCCTTTTGACCTGTCTGTCTGCTCCAGGCTGGGAGTCTCCTGAAGTCTCCCTCTCAGTATCTTATTCAGATCTGACTCTCCAGCATCTTGGGGAATAGCTGCCTAACAGAACACTCAGAACAAATGCTCTATGCCTGAATGAGTGGTGGTTTCCTAACTCCAGCCTCCTGCTGCTCCATCCCAACCCCTTGCTTCTGTGAGAGGGTCCCTCTTCTGGAGAGATGAAGGTGAAGTCTGCTCTGATCTCACAGAGCAGTCCCCGGCCCTCTCCACCCAGCTGTCTGCCCCTCCTGTCAATATTACCAACTTTCCTCTCAGAGTTCTCCCTGCCATCCCACCCACCATGGCCAATAAAGCCGAGCATTGGTCCCTGCTAAGTCACAGCTAGGATACTCCCCTCCCACAGGAGGGAATACCTATTATTGTGGCACTGGACTGTCCCTGGCCCAGCTGGTTGAAATGTTTGCTCCAGCTCCATGGGCTGGCCTGGGGGGTGTTTTTTAAATTGTGGACAAAGCTGTCTTTTTTTTTTTCTTTTTTGAGACACGGTCTCGCTCTGTTGCCCAGACTGGAGTGCAGTCACACTATCACGGTTCACTATAGTCTCTACCTCCTGGGCTCAAGTGATCCTCCCACCTCAGCCTCCCAAGTAGTTGGGACTACAGGCTCATGCCACCACGCCTAGCTAATTTTAAAATTTTTTTGGTAAAGCCGGTCACTTTGTTGCCCAGGCTGGACAAAGCTGTCCTTAAGAAGAGATGGCACAGGGATTGCAAGTGAAGAAGTGAGGTTTCAGCCACACCCATCTATGCACTGGGAGGGAGCCCTTGGCCAAATCATGTCACCTCTCTGGGCTTCTGCTTCCCCAGCTGGAAAACGACCAGGGCTTGGGAGAAGAGATGAGCTCAAGGGCATTTTCCAACAACAAAGTCCTCCAACCTTTTTCCAGTTTTCTGAAGAAGGGATGACTTTCATGTGCTTAAGGGTACAGGAGGTGGGTGGGAGAAGCTGCATCACACAGGAATGCCCAGGAAGGCTCAGCCTGGTCCTACCATCTTACTGAGGAGTTCTCAGAGTGATTCTTGGGGCAGGTCCAAGCAAGCACCAGACCTGGATGGTTCTTACTCCAAAATGGATCTCAAAGTCCACCCACTTCACATTGCCACAGCTCAGACCACTACGTTTTGAAGCTGAGTGACTGCAACTGCTTACTAACTCATTCATTCACTTCTGCATTAATGCATTGCACTTCTGCTTGTCTCAGGGCAGTGCACTGCGCATACACAGTGTTCGGGACAGGTCTCCTGCCTTCACCAAGCAACGGTCTAATGTCAGTGAAGGACACAGACAAATATCCAATTAATCTTGTGAAAAGGACAAAAGAGAATGTAATGTAAAAACAAAGAATGAGGCAGCAAAGAGCTATTTAGGTGGGTGAGGAGAAAACATATCAGCTGAGATTCGAAGAATAAGAAGAAAGTGACCAGGAGGAAAGCCTGGAAGGGTGTTACAGGCAGAGGGAACAACATGTGCGAGGCCCCTGAGGTGGGAAAGAGAGAGACCAGCCTGGCTGAATGAAGCAGAGTGAGGGAAGGAGGGAAGGCGGGAGCATGGAAGTGATGGGCCTTAGTCAGCAGGTGGGCAAGGAAGACTTGAAGGCCACAGCAAGGGGTTTAAAGTTCAGCTACGATAAAAATTCTGGTAAGGGTTTGTTTTTTGTCTTTTTAAGACAGAGTCTTGCCCTGTTGCCTAGGCTGCAGGCTGGAGTGCAGTGGCACAAGCTCAGCTCATTGCAACCTCCACCTCCCAGGTTCAAGTGATTCTTGTGTCTCAGCCTCCCAGGTAGCTGGGATTACAGGCATGGGCCACCATGCCTGGCTAATTTTTGTATTTTTAGTAGAGACGGGGTTTCACAATGTTGGCTAGCCTGGTCTCAAACTCCTGACCTCAAGTGATCCATCCACCTTGGCCTCCCAAAGTGCTGGGATTACAGGCGTGAGCCACCGTGCTCAGCCTGGTAAGGGTTTTAAGCAAGGCAGAATCTGAATGAGAAGTATATTCTGGATCACACTGGCTTGAGGGCATGGGAGTGGGGAGACAGGTGAAGAGGCTGGATGAGCCAGGAGAGAGGGCAGTGGCTGTGAAGAGAGGGGGTGAAGAATAGATCCAGTGCCTTTTTAGGAGGTGAAATTGGTGGCCTTGAGGATGGGGAGTGAGGGGGCTGGGAAGACTGACTCCCACTCTCTGGCTGAAGAGACAGGTGAAGAGGTGGTGGCAGGAATCCGCCTGGTGTGGGTTCCCAGGGCTCAGGGAAAGGAGAGGCCCGCGGGAGCCTGAGCCAGCCCCTCTCCACTCTAGCCATAGAGGCTTTCCTCAGACCCCACCTTCTCTATGAGGCTTCCCGTGACAGCCTTGTTTAATGCTGCAGCAACCACTCCACAACACTTTTTCTCCCTTAGGAGTCTATAATTCCCCACACTCCCATAGCATTCACCACCATCTATAATAAATAAGTGATAAGTAACTGCTACATTTTTTTTAGACAGGCTCTTGCTCTGTCACTCAGGCTGGAGTGCAGTGGTGCAGTCATATCTCACTGCAGCCTTGACCTCCCAGGCTCAAGTGATCCTCTCGCCTCAGCCTCCCCAGTAGCTGGGACCGCAGGTGCGCACCACCAGGCCCGGCTAATTTTTTTTTTTTTTTCCTGTAGAGATGGGGTCTGTTGCCCAGGCTGGTCTTGAACTCTTGGGTTCAAGGTATCTCTTATCTCAGCCTTCCAAAGTGCTGGGATTACAGGCGTGAGCCACTGGCCCAGCAGACTTTTGCATTTTTAGGTGTGTTCTTTATTGCCTGTCTCCCTGTACCAGAAGAAGAGCTCTAGGAGGGCAGGGCTTTGGCCTGTCTTACCCCCTGTTCTAGCTCCAGCACCAACAGCAATGCCTGGCACCTCATTGGCCATCAGAGATGTGCTGAATGAATGAATGAATGACTCTCACTTTGGGAGTCCTTAGCACGTGGTAGTGTTGAAAGCCAGGGACTTTGAAGAAAGGAGTAGAAGAGTCCAGGACCAGGAAAAAGGGTAAGTACAGGAGAGCCAGTGAAAGAAGGGAGGGAGATCCCGGAAGGCAGTGGACACCGGGAGCAGATGTCCTCATGGAGGCTCAGAAAGGGGAGGTAAGAACGGCTCTGCCCCGCAAGCTGCTATCCAGCTAGAGTGGTATTTCCATGGCTGTCTGGTCATGTCATTTGCCAGCCTGACACCCTGTGTGGCTTCTCATGGAACTCAGAGGATGCCTGACTCCTCCTGTGACATTCGTTCTTACCTTTCTGGCCTTGGTTCTTCAAGCTTCCCTCACCCTGCCCGCTGCACCCTGGGCCACCAGGGAATTTTCAGCCCTCCCTCATGCTGAACTAATTGTGACTTCCTGAAAGTGCCAACCTCTCCTCTGGACATTTCAAATACTTTTTTTGTCTTCCTAGACACCTTCATCCTGTCTATCCAAAACTCTTCCCCAGCTGGACTCCTAATCCTTCTCCAGCACTCAACTGAGACTTCCTGCAGCCGAGCGAGCCCGTGAGCTAGGCCGGGGCTACAGACTCCGCCTGTGCATGTGTGTGTGTGTGTGTCAGGGGCAGGAGGGTGGCGGGGGCGGTGCACACTCCCTACTCATCCCCCGTCATAGCACTTTGCAAAATAAGTTTTATTAACTGTTAGCAACGTACTGGGCATTATTCTAAGAGTTTCCTTATATTACCTCTTTAATGATCCCTATAGCATCTGGAATGCTGTGACACTACATTCCCCGCTTTACAGATAAAGTAACTCAAGGCAAAGAGAAGTTACACGGCTGGTGAAGGTCACCCAGCAAGCAGGTGGAAGAGACTGTGTTGTGCCCTGGAGGTCGGACTCTCTGAGTCCACTCTCTGAAGCCTTAGGTAGGCTTGCCTCTCATTGCCTGCTTATTTTCTCTAACGAAGTGTTTCTTCACGGAAAGTAATTTTCCTCTCTCAGGGCCATTTGGCACTAGTGAGTGGAGGCCAAGGATGCCACTAAGCATCCTACACAGGACATCCCCTACCATAGAGAATTGGCCCCAAGTGTGGACAGTGCCAGGGTTGAGAAACCCTGCTCCACCTGGACTGCGACCCATGAGCGTTTCCTCCTCCCACATTCTCTGCAGAGTCTAAACATTGAAGTGCTCCGGCTCCCATGGCCTTCTCCTCTCCTCTATCTCATTCAGGCCAGGATTTCCAGACTGGCTCTTCTGTTGACTCTCAACTTGATATCTCACATTCCCAAGGATGATCTATTGACCTCCACAATATGTCTGAGTCTGCTGCCCCTTGTCACCTGCACACCAGGCTGAGCAAATCCCAGCATCTCATTCTGGATCACGGAGACAACCTTTCGGCTCTGTCCCACTCACGCTCCCTGCTACCATTCATGGTTCACCCTACGGCTAGAACCATCTGTCCAAAGCATGATCCCAAGAGCATCTGTCCCCTGCTGAAACCCTCCAATAGCTACTGATCCTGCAGGCGTGACCTCCAGCCCCTCCAGCCTTCGAGGCCCTGCCTAGGTCTGCAGTCACCCTGGCTCATGCTCCCTCTTGGGCACTGTCCTCCTTTCTGCTTTTGTAGTCCCAGGGCTCTTTGTGCTTGCTCTTTCCCATGGCCCTGTCCTTCCCATCATTTTGGTTAATCTCAAGTATCCTCTCAGCCTTGCCAGGTTGACCCGTCCAGCGCCCTGTCTCCCCTTCCCTCTAGGGTTCATCTACAGCAAAACGATCTGCCATTTCCATGTTCTGCAGCTGTCGCTTCTCCCTGGAGCATAGCAGCTTGAGACCAGGCTGCCTCTCCTGTTTCTGCTAAGGTCCTGCCTGGCACGTAGCAAATTCTCAGAAATACTTTTAGGAACATAACTGAACTGGAAATTGTGGCAAGAGAAGTCTGTCCTTGTGAACCGCCAGGCTCCTTCTCTTACCTGCTTCTTCTCATGAAGAACTCTTCTCTCCTTTTTTGTTCTTATTTTCTTTCATTTCTTCCAACAAAGCTATGAATGCCCACATCAGTTGCCTGTTCAACATCTCACCTGGGTGTCTTAAGAGCATCTTCAACATGGCCAAATGGAACCCTGGAATGATACTCTATTCTTCTCCATCCCTACCTCTCCCCACCAGGCTTTTCCGCCTGAGTAGATGACAAGACCATTAACCTGGCCCTCAAGCCAAACGCGTACTAGATTCCCAGGACTCTGCTCCTGTCCTGACATCCAATCCATCAGCAAGTAGTGACTTCGGCCTCAAAATATATCCGATCACTACCCACAGCTACCACCCTAGTGCAGGCCACCACGAGCTCTGGATCACCACTGTCACACCCTACCTGGCTAGTGCAGGCCGCCATGAGCTCTGCCCTGGACCACCCTCGTCATGCCCTACGTGGCTTCCTGCTCCTGGTCTGCTTGCTCTGTACCCTGTCCTCCTTAGAGCAGCCTGGGCAATTGTTTAAAACACCAATCAGGCAGGGCACAGTGGCCTGTGCCTGTAATCCCAACATTTTGAGAGGCCGAGGTGGGCAGATCACCTGAGGTCAGGAATTCAAGACCAGCCTGGCCAACATGGCGAAACCCTGTCTCTGCTAAAAACACAAAAATTAGCTGGGTGTGGCGGTGCATGCCTGTAGTCCCAGCTACTTGGGAGGCTGAGGCAGGAGAATCGCTTGAACCCAGGAGGTGGAGGTGGCAGTGACCTGAGATCGTGCCATTGCACTCCAGCCTGAGTGACACAGTAAGACTCCGACTAAAAAAAAAAAAAAAAAAAAAGCACCAATCAGATTATTCTCTCCTGTCTGTTAATTAGCCAATGGATAGTATTTATTTAAGAGTCATATAGTAGCCCTCTTGGTGATCAGATCGGCAGGTCATAAGAAGGGTAAGTAGCATACAATAAACCATTTTGAGAGAGAGAAAGAGAGACCGTATTCACCTAACCTTTATGACAGCATATTATCATTGTTCTATTTTATTATCCATTATTGTTGTTAATCTCTTGCTGTGCCTAGTTTGTCAACTAAACCTTTGTCATAGGTATGTATGTACAGGAAAAATGCATACTATATATGGGGTCCAGTACTATCTGCAGTTTTAGACATCCTTGGGATCTTGGAACGCATCCCTTGAGGATAAGGAGTGATTACTGTACTGTATATAAAATACCCATTTCCTTTCTTCCTGTCACATGCCATGGCTGCCTATCATTAGCTTGTTCATTTATGTGGTTACTTGCTTTTGAGGTCTTTTGCCCCCACTGGTATGAAAGCAGTGACCTTGTCTATTCTGTTCACTGTAGTATGCCTAGAACCACTGGCCTAGTGCATGGAAGGAGCTCAATAAACCATGTTGGGTGAGTGAATGTGAATTAAGAAGGTTTTAGGGTTGAGGCACTGCCCCTGGCAGTATTGTTTGCCTATTTATTTATTTATTTATTTAGGAGGCAGGGTCTTTCTCTGTTGTCCAGGCAAAATGTGCAGTGGCACAATCATAGCTCACTGTAGCCCCGACCTCTTTGGGCTCAAGCAATCCTCCCACCTCAGCCTCCTAAGAAGCTAGGACTACAAGCACACACCACCATGCCTAGCTAATTTTTTTAAAAAACATTTTTTGTAGAGATGGGGTCTCACTATGTTGCCCAGGCTGGTCTCAAACTCCTGGACTCCAATGATCCTCTCACCTTAACCTCCCAATGCATTGGCATTGGGATTACAGGTGGGAGCCACCATGCCTGGCCTTATTTACCTTTTAAAATAGGGACTTTTGAGGACGTTTTTGCTTAAGGAGACTGAAGCTATTAAAAATCTCCAAAGGTCCAGGGCCTTAACTGTTTACAAGGCACTTGCCCATATGGTGACTCATTCATTCATTCAATAAATACTCATCACATTTCTGCTATGTGCCAGTCACTTGCTGATGGGGTGGTATTTGGGGTGAGTCCTTGCAGCTCATCACCACAGACCCAGGGGCCATTGCTTGGCTTCTCCAGAGCTGGCTCTCAAGGCCTGTTGCTGAGGTGGAATGCAGTACCAGGCTCAGAATATTTGTGTCCTGACAGCTACTCTGGTCTGTGTGCCCCGAGGTAAGTTGTTTCCACCTCTCTGCACTAAAGCTCATGTGGAAAACAGAGATCATAATACTAAAGAACTTGCAGGATCAAGGCTCTCCTTCAACCCTTCCCTCCTTCCACGTCCACCATGTGTGCTTCCAGCTCTCCTGAGTTCTCTTGACTGAAACTTGAGGCACTCAGCCTCCTGCAGCCAAGCCCATCTGGATTCCCTCAGAAGAACTTTCACCAGGGAGATTCAGGAAACTGCCTTCCTGCTGGTCGCCGCTTGTCCAGTCAGCGTTTTTCCAGTAACTCTTCAATGAAGGCTGCTCAGGCTAAGGCGTTGTCATGTAGAGATGTTTGCATTTTATGGGGGTCAGGGCTTTCATGGAAAGAGTGGACCTTGTATGAAGGATCCTGGCTCTGCAGCAGGGAAACGAGAGGGAAGTTTCTTGGCAGGGTGAAGGAGACCTTCGCTCAGATCACTGCAGTCAGGAGTTGGTTCTTGAGCCAGGTGTGTACCTGCAGGACCTCTGAGGCCAGTGCGGGGGATTGTGTGCTGCCTCTGAAGGACGCCGCCATGGAGCTGGCTCCCTGACCACTCTCGTTCCCTCACATGGCTCTTCCACACTGCAGCCAGTGAGTCCTTCAAACACAACCTGATGGTGCCAACCCCCTGCTGAGAACTCTGCAGTGAGTTCCATTGCCCTTAAAACAAAAACCACTATGCTCACTCTCATCAGCCAGGCTCAGCACCCCCTCTCCAGCCCTGCGTTTCCAGGAACTGCCCCCGCTCCTCACACTCCGGTTCCTGGGCCTTCTTTCAGTGCCTAGAGCATCCTGTGCTTTCTCACTGCAGGTCCTTTGCATGGGCTGGACTTCCCATCACTTCCTTCCCCACCTTGTCTGTGCCTCCTCAACTCCTCCACACCTGAAGATCTCAAGTCCCCCACAAGCCCTGTTAGGTTTCCTTCTTCTGCTCTCCTCATCTCACTGTGGCTTCTCCTCCAGCGTGTGGTGATTTGCTCAGTCTTTCTCCTTCATATTCTCAGGAGTGTCAGCCTCATAAATCCATAGTTCTGCTCACCATCACCTGATACATGGACAAGTTGGTGCTCAACGAATTAATATTGAATGAGCAATGCTTGCATCAGCAGGGAGGGGAGGTCTGAGTCAGCTGGGATGTTCCAGAAAGGATCAGGGGCTCAGTGGCTTTTTTGTTTTAATGGTAGACTAGAGTTTTATTACTACTCAAATCAGTCTCCCCAAGAATCAGGGATCAGAATATTTAAGGATAATTTGGTAGGTACAGGCTAGTGAGTGGGGAGTGCTGATTGGTCAGGTTGGAGATGAAATCATAGGGAATTGAAGCTTGTCCTCTTGCGCTGAGTCAGTTTCAGAGCCCAGGGGCAGAGGCTGAAACCACAGTGGTCTGTCCAGCAAAAGGTGGAGCCACGGAGGGAACTCAATCACTGCTGGAGATGCTGCCTGAAGGATCTGGGACTGTTCACATTACCTCTGCTTGGCTGAGCCTGGGCCTGCCTAGAGAAGCCAGACCTGCTCACAGCCCCAGAGAGGCAACTGTGTGCTGTCCTTCAATGCTGAAGCAGCCATCACAGTTCCCGTATCTGACAGAGGAGCTGACCCTGTGCGTAGGCTGTCTTTCTGCACGAACAGCAGATCTGAACACGTAATGGGCATATGCGTTTGCTTGGGCTGCCACAGTAGAAGTACCACAGGCTGGATAGTAAACAATAGAAATGTGTTTTCTCACAGTTCTGCAGGCTAGATGTCCAAGATCGAGGGGCTGGTAGCTTTGGTTTCTTCTGCAGCCTCTCTCCTTGCCTTGTAGAGGGCCAACTTCCCGGTGTGTCCCCACAGGGCCTCTCCTCTCTGTGTCTCTTTCTGTCCTAACCTCCTTTTCTCATAGTGATATCAGTCAGTTTGGATTAGGGCCCACCCTAATGGCCTCATTTCAACTTTGTCACCTCTTTAAAAGGTCCTATCTTCAAATACAGTCACATACTTAGGTACTGGGGGTCAGGGCTTCAACATATGAATTTGGGCGGGGGACAGAATTCAGCCCATAACAATAGGTTATGCCAGGATGCATGCCATGATTTGACCCCACATGGAGACATATGATTTGTCTTCACAACAGGAGACATAGAGAATATAAGGCAGACACGACAAACCTTGATTATTTTTTAATGAGACTATGTACAACATTTGCAGCTCCACAACCAAACTTCTACCCCCAAAAGTACCACATGCAGGGCCAGGGAGCATGTCGCCGATCTTACTCCCATCCCTGCTCCCTCATCAGTTCAGGTTACATCTCCCTCCTGGTGCAGAGGTGGAAGCCATCTTCCACCTCTGTGCCTATCCCAGCTTCCTCGGGGCAGGGGGACAGGTAGGTTACCTGTCAGGCAGAAGCCTTTGCATTCTGTTCATTCAGCTCAAACTGCCCCTTCTTGGAAGGGGACTGACATGTGGCTGTGGGAAAGCTGATCTCCTTTTCTGTAAAAGGAAACTTTGGGGCTGGCTTCTCAGACAATGGGCTCTTCAGAGAAGTGGGTTTTTTAGGGAAGGGTTTGCAAAAGGCATCAGGGTTAGTTTGAAGACAAAGGGGAAGTGTCTCTGTAAAGGGGGTGCAGTGGAGCTGTGGAGAGGTGACCCTTAAGGAGCTGGGAGAGGAGCCAGATCCCTATGGTGAGCTGGAGGGTGTGAGAGTTGCAGTGGCATGGTCTGTAAGCCGGAGGCAGAGGGAAGAGAGAGCACGCACTAAGAAAAACAATGCAAAGATTCTGTGCTCTTATTGAATTCATCTTGCTCCAGGTGAGAAGGAGAACATGAACCTAGGCACAGCCGGTGCTTGATGAGTGCCCACTGTGTGCCAGGCCCTGGGGACATGAAGATGAGGAAGACTCTGTCTCCTGCCTTGAGGAGAACCACTTAGCTAGAAGGGACAGATGGGCACACAGAGTGCCGTTCACTGTGGTCAGAGTGCCCAGCAAAGTGCCCAGCGTGGAAACCGTGCCCACGTACTCATGAGTCAAGGAGGAAGTGCTGTCCACAGCAGATGGGGTGGAGGGCCTTAACTCCACCTGGACAGGTCGGGAGGGCTTCCCAGAGGAAGCTGAGGAGGAGGTGGCCAGGCTGGGGGTGGAGGAACAGAGCATCCGGGCAGAGGGAGAGCATTCGGGAAGGCAGGAAGCAGCCAGAGGGCATGGGCACATCCAGGATTGGAACCCTGGCCTCTGCTGCGTTCTAATTGTGGCTGACATCTTTCTTCAGCCTTCTGTTTGTGCTTCAGGCCCCATGCGTTCCAGACCTAACTGGGCATGCCTGCTTGGATGGCCCTTTATAGTGTGCACAACCCTGTCAGGCATCCAAAAACCATGTGACTGGGAGTTTGGTATTAAGCTGTATTATTGAGTTCACAAACTCAACTTTCAGAAATCTAACCAAACAAGGGATTTGCAAAACAGTTTCAAACAGAGCAGAGCCAACTACATTTCCCATGACAATCAGCTTGTTTACCACCCCAAGGTACACTCTAGCCACTGTTGACACGCTCATTTGCATGCTAATACCCAGAATGCCTTTCCAGCCCTACTGCGCTTCTATCCTGCCAGTGAGCTGAAAGGTTTATTTACACATACAATGCATGACAACTTCATTTTCTGAAGCATCTTTCATACAAACCGTATCCCCAAAATGCCTTAAGTTGGTGAAAATTTCAAAATCCTTTTACCCTTCTTTCTGGGCTGAAGTGGAGTTAACTTATGCATGCCCAAATTAACATTTTAATTAAAAGATACTTGAGCGAAATGAGATTTTGGTTATTCAGCCATGTGTCATATTATGCTTGGTGTATTAAGCCAAGTTTATGAAGAGAAACTACACGGCCACAGATAGATCAGGCAACACAGAGAGCTCCACGTGTACATCGGACTGAGCTAGGATCAACAGAGGAACGTTAATGGATGACTTTCCTACAGCTGGAGTTCCCTGGCACTGTGACCTGTGAGATCACACTTATCTAGGGGCATTGGGCATAATGGCACAGGTGGTAAAAACACAAACACCTACCAGCAATTTTTCAATTTTAAGAGTACAGCAGCCAGGACGGGTGGCTCACGCCTGTAAGCCCACATCTTGGGAGGCCAAGACAGGAGGATCCTTTGAGCCCAGGAATTCAAGACCAGCCTGGACAATATAGCAAGACGCCCATCTCTACAAACAATAAAAAAGTTAGCTGGGCATGGTGGCATGCAAGTGTAGTCCCAGCTACTCAGGAGGCTGAGGTGGGAGGATTACTTGAGCCCAGGAGGTTGAGGCTGCAGTGAGCTGTGATTGCACCACTGCACTCCAGCCTGGGTGACAGAGCAAGATCCTGTCTCAAAAACAAAAACAAAAAGTGTAGCAGGAAAAAAAAGATGAAGTGAAATGGTAATCCTGCAAGTTTTCAGGAGCAGGTGTGCTAGATTTTGATAGTAGTTCAATATTGGTAAAAGGATTTTCCTGCCTTTTTTGTCCCAGAGGAAAGCAGTATAAGAGACCTTCAGGAAAGTCATGTTTGAAGATGTTATATAGGAATAGCCAGATTTTATGTTAAATGCATCTTTGAAAGTGGTTTGGTGTCTTCTTTTTTAAATCAGTGGTGCAGCTACTAGGCTTGGATATTGGGGATGGTAGAGAGAGGACCATGAAGTCTGAGGCCTCTTGATTATGCGAAATGCAATGGGTAGTCAGATGGTTACCCTGTGGAAAACAAATTAACAGCCTCATAACTGGCTCATAGAGAAGAGGCAACATTTTGAACAAGTTAGAAATGCGAACTCCAGAGTCAGACTCCTGGGCTGGATTTCCAGGGTCTCCACATGCTATCAGCATGACATTTGGGAGTCATTTTACCTCTCTGTGCCTCAGTTTCTTCATCTGGGCAATGAGGATTACAATAATTCCTACTTCATGGGGCTTTCATGAGGATTAAGAGGGTTAACAGGTGTCTGGTAGTGCTGGCTGCTATTGTTATTAATACACTACAATAGCCCATCACATGCTTTGGTTTTGAAGACCCTTTACACTCTTAAAAAATATTGAGGGCACCAGGCCACCAAAGGGTTTTTGTTTATGTGAGCTATCTCTATTAAAATTGACTGTATTTGGGCTGGGCGCTGTGGCTCATGTCTGTAATCCCAGCACTTTGGGAGACCAAGGCGGGTGGATCACCTGAGGTCAGGAGTTCGAGACCAGCCTGGACAACATGGTGAAACCCCATCTTTACTAAAAATACAAAAATTAGCCGGGCTTGGTGGCACACACCTGTAATCCCAGCTACTCAGGAGGCTGAAGCAGGAGAATCGCTTGAACTCAGGAGGCGGAGGTTGCAGCAAGCTGAGATTGCACCATTGCACTCCAGCCTGGGACAGAGCAGGACTCCGTCTCAAAATAAATAAAAATAAAAATAAAATGGACTGTATTTGAAATTAAAACACAAAATTTAAAAATATTTATAGATTTATTTTAAACAACATAATAAACATTCCTTTTTCACTTAAATAGCATATTTGTATAAAATAACTATAATTTCCAAAACAAAAAAAATTAGTGAGAAGAGTAGCATTGCTTTATATTTTTGCAAACTTCTAATATCTGGCTTAATAGAAGATAGCTGAGTTCTAAGATCACCTGAGGGATGTTAACGGGCATTCAGTTTTTTTGCAATGTGTTGTTTTCCTTGAACTATATGAAGAAAATCAGCCTCATACAGATAATTGGCTTAAAAAGTGGAGGGCATTTTAAGCCTGGGCAACATAGCAAGACTTCATCTATGAAAAAAAAATTTTTTTAATTAGCTGGGCATGGTAGTACATGCCTGTAGTCCTAGCTAGTTGGGAGACTGAAGCAGGCGAATCACTTGAGCCCAGGAGTCCGGGACTGCAGTGAGCTATGCTGGCATCACACTCCAGCCTGGGCAACAGAGTCTTGAACTCCTGGTCTCAAGTGTTTCATGCACCTTGGCCTCCCAAAGTGCTGGTATTACAGGTAAAAGCCAGTGCACCCAGCCAGGAGGAGTATTTTAATAGCCTTTTAATATAATTGTGGATATTTTTCTTGGTATTACATCAAAACTTGAATTTCTTAAAAGTTATGATGTGGAATCTGGAATCTTATAAATTTTTTGTTTGCACTCTGTTACATGAAAATCTGCTGATCTATCTTGATGTTTGAATGGATCCTTTACTTGAGCAGCATTTTGTAACATCATTCCTTGGTCATCTAGAAATACTGGTTCACTGAGTTAATAAAGAGCACCCGTATGTTGGCACATTTCATTATATAATGTATTTTTGAATCATATTTGTTAATGTCTCCACCAATCTCATCAGAAAAGTCTTCAAGTATTGAGAACCTGTCAAGTTCACAGTGATGAATGTAAGTATTCCAGCATTCCAATTTTTGAATGAAACCTCAAATTTTATCATTGACAGCAAATACTTCAGTTGTTTTTCTTAAAGTAACAGGCTCACTTCATTTTCAAGAAAATATCTGCCCAATACCCAAGTCTGAATAACCAGTTTTTCTGTCAGTCCTTCTTTCAAGTAAAATGGTTTTCCACGAAAAAAGCAGCCAGTTCAGCTTGCTATTCAATTATGTGTGTGTTTTTCAAGAGGCAACTTAATTTATTTTTTTGGTGTACTTTTGTTTGCAACAGATGAAAACTTACCATTTTGTCACATGGAATATTAAAAAGCCATGTCTTCAAAGTTGAGCTTTAATGAAATTATCATGTTAACCTCTTTGTAAATAAGATTCTTGGGTGCAGTTGGATTTCTTTTTCACCCTGGGTGTGTGGGGGCCAAGAACACAGTGATCACTAGCATAGCTCTTTCCCCACTGCCTGGATTTGTCTAAGGCACCAGCGGTTTTGCCCATAACTCCTTTTGTGCCATCAGGGCAAATATCAACCCAGTGAAAAAGACAGATAACGTCTTAGTAGTAGTATGAAAATAGCTTTGACCTTTTGGACCCCCAAGGGAACCTGAGGGCCCACAATGTATACTTTTGAACCACTGTACTATAACATGAAGCAGTGGTTGGTACCCAGAATAGATGTCTTAGTTTTGTCTGCTCAGCATCCATTTTGTTCCTTCCAGTCACCCCAACCCCCTATTTCCTGTGTTCTAGTGGAGCCTCCAGTGGAACTTCCCCCAGAGTGCCACCCCTGGCCACAGCCACAGGATGGCATGGAACCAGGCAGAGCCAATCTGTGGTTAGAATGGTCACCTCCGGGGTTGCCACCTGGACAACGCCTGCCACTACTCTGGGGCTGCTGCCACAGGCCACTTGCTATCACTAGAGAACTTTGGGAGAGAGAGAGAAAAATACTTTTGCTCTTTTGTTGGGGCCATTTTGCTGGGATGACCTAAGTCTGAAGCTGGTTGTTGCCATGCTGACCTTGTCCTCCTACCCTTTGTCCACCACCCCTCTATGGTCCCACCTTGTCCACAGGATGAGAGAATCAAACCAACACATGGAAAGAAGCAAAGCCAGTGGATGAGGAGGGCCAGACACCTCAGCACATCATTTAAGTCCCCGGAGCTCCTGAGGACAGCTTCACTCCTGAACTTAAATGGTTCTGTGAGCCCGTAGATACCTTTTAGCTTAACGTAGGTTCCAACACTTGCACTAAAAGAGTTGTGATTAGAATTATCCAGCACTCTTAGGACATTCTTAACTGCCACAGAGAGTCTTATGAAGAAGTTCAGGGAGCATCTCTTCCCTGGTGAGTAAGAGCAAAGTAGCACAGACTGAGCTGATCTAGAAATGTGTGCACGGGGTGGACAACCATCTCAAAGGGGCATGGCGTGGACATGGCTCCTCCTGCAGATGTGTAGAGTGGGAGGAAGCACCATTTCTCCTGCCCCCAGGAAGCCCAGTGCTGCTCCAGGGTGAGGCCAGTTCATGATCCAGCTGTGACCCATGTTATCACCACTGGGTGATGAACTCTGAAACCATCCACCCAAGTGTCTTAGTCTGCTTTCTGCTGCTATAACTAAATACGTAGGACTGAATAATTTATAAAGAAAATAAATGTGTCTCTTATAGTTCTGGCTGGAGTGCAATGGTGCGATCTTGGCTCACTGCAACCTCTGCCTCCCAGGTTCTCTCCTGCCTCAGCCTCCCAAGTAGCTGGGATTATAGGCATGTGCCACCACCCCCAGTTAATTTTGTATTTTTAGTAGAGACAGGGTTTCACTACATTGGTCAGGCTGGTCTCGAACTCCTGACCTCAGGTGATCCACCCACCTCGGCCTCCCAAAGTGCTGGGATTATAGGCGTGAGCCACCAGGCCAGGCCAACTTGGCTTTTTATAACAGATCTACTCCCATGATGATCCATTAGTTCATTAACCCATGAATAGATTAATCCATGGACCCAATCACCTGTTAAAGACCTCACCTCCCAATACTGATACATTGGGGATTAAGTTACAACATGAGTTTCAGAGGAGACAAATATTCAAACCATAAAACCAAGTCTAAATGCCCCAGTGTGTCCAAAAGGAATGCATGGGCAACAGCCTAAAGAGCCAAGGAAGGCCGGGCACGGTGGCTCACGCCAGTAATACCAGCAGTTTGGGAAGCTGAGGCGGGTGGATCACCTGAGGTCAGGAGTTCGAGACCAACCTGGCCAACATGATGAAACCCCATCTCTACAAAAATACAAAAATTAGCCGGGTGTGGTGGCAGACACCTGTAATCCCAGCTACTTGGGAGGCTGAGGCAGGAGAATCGCTTGAACCTGGGAGGCAGAGGTTGCAGTGAGCTGAGATCACATCATTGCACTTCAGCCTAGGTGAAAAAAGTGAGACTCCAGCTCAAAAAAAAAAAAAAAAAAAAAAGAGCCAAGGAATACCAAAGTACAGGGGATTCCATGTTCCATGTAAGTAATACTGATCACCTGGTCAGAACTGATGCTTGGTTCTAGGGAAGGAGCCATCATACTTCTCCATGCTCTGTTCACAATCCTGTGCAGGTTCTAAACAGCTCATTTATGTTATGAATTATTGCATCACTCAGAATTCTCAACTGCAGGCAACAGAGATGAATTCTGGCTACTTAAGCAGAAAAGGTATTGAAGGGAAGGTCATCTGATAATTCACAGAATCAATGGTAAAGCTGGAGAAAATGGCCTGGCTACCAGGCAGGGAGGGAGGAGATAGCCAAGACCCCATCCATGTACAGTCCAGCTAGAGGCCATCTCTGGGGTTCCCATCCTGGACAATCCCTTCCACACTGTCATGGGTCATTTGCCATTATGTGGAAGCTCTAAACTTCATGGCCATAGGAAATCATCCCTAACTGACATGCATCTCTGCATTACTCTCCTCTAGATTCATATTTCTAGGGGAAATGTCCAGTTAGTTGGGCCCAGGTCCTGTGCCCATGTCTGAGCTGTTAGGGGGACAGGTAGTAAGTTTCTAATCTCCATTGGATGTTGAAGAGGAACGCAGGAACCTGCCCATGGAGAACTCCCACGGTGTACAAGTGCCTGCCTCAGTGGGTGCCTGTTCTTTTCCAGAACTGACCTTAATTTGCATTTGACAAAAAAAAAATCTAGATTCTGTCACCAAAAGGAAGGGGAATGAATGCTGGTCAGAAGAAAACAAAAACAGAAACAAACACCAAATGCCTGTTACACCCCTTAACTTTGGAGAAGGGGAATCAGAGGTCCAGGAAGATTAGATGATTTGTCCAAAGTTACAGAACCAGTTAGTGGCACAATCCAGGATGGATGTCAGATTCTTGACTACCAGCCCAAAACTCTTTCCTCTACAATCTTCCATATTCTTACAGTAGCCTACAGAGGTCCAGAGAGCTCTCACCTAGGTCAGAACTTGTATCAGTCTGCGTGGGTGCCATGACAAAATACCACAGGCTAGGGGCTTCAGCAGCAGGTATTTATTGTCTCACGGTTCTGGAGGCTGGAAGTCCAAGATCATGGCGTAGACAGATTTTGTTTCTTTTGAGGCCTCTCTTCTTGACTTGCAGATGGCCGTCTTCTCCCCGTGTCTTCACATGGCATTTTTCAGGTGTGTCTGGGTCCTAAACTCTTCTTCTTATAAAGACACCATCATATTGGATTAAGGCCCACTCATATGACCTCATTTTACCTTAATTACCTCTTTAAAGACCCTATCTCTAAATATGGTTATATTGTGAGGTACTGGAGACTTCAATATGTGAATTTTGAGAGAATTCAATTTAGCCCATAACAGAGCTACTTTAGAAATTCACATCATTATGGAATCAGGGATAAGACATCTGCTTCTTTCTGACACTTCTCTGTGAACAGTGAACCAATGGGGGTGGCCCCTGGACTGACACTGCATCCTGGGATCCAACAGCCTGAAAGCCAACTGGATTAGGAGTGGGGCCTCCTCCTTGCATGGCTCCCCTGAGGGAGCCCTGGCTTGCCCCAGACTCATGCCCACTCTGACCAGTGCCCCCTGGACTAGGTGGTGCAGGGCAGACTCTTGAATGCCACACCTTCCTTACCCACTACTGCCCGAAATGGATACCAAGTCAAATGTCTCCCAAACATACCAAGGGAGGCACTTCCTCCCTTGAGCCACTCACAGATAAAACCCTGGAAGCCAGGCTGGGAGGTGTCAGGTTCAGGGCCCTGGAATTTCCTTGGTGGTTTCAAAGGAACTTTCTAGCACTAGTGCTTGGATTCATAGTGACAGCATGATCACTAAACCAGGCTGTTTAACTTGAGTGAAATCTCATTCTCCTCCTAGACTCGCCAACTTTTTTTTCCCACCTTCCCCTTGTTTCAGTCTCTCCAACATGTGCACACACATAAACATACACACACACATTCCTATTAGTATAACAGACTCACCTGTGGATGATTACATGCAAGGTTGGGGAAAGGCTGGATTCATGAGTTTTTGCCTCATTGGAATTGGTTTATTCCTTACTTTGTGGGTAAAGCTGGGTTCTGAAGAAGTCTAGTAAACACAGTGGCTCAGCCTTCCAATTTAGGGGTGGGGAACCAATGGCCTCACTGCACTGATTGGTGCAGTAAGACTTCCAGAGCCCTCCCCGCCACCACCACCCTTCTCTTGCCCTTGCATCTCTTCCATGTACCTGGTCCTCTGTCCTCATCACCCCCCTACTCTTGCCATTCCAGGGCCTTTTCTCAGAAAAAGTGAATGACTGTCAGTGCTCAGTGGTTACTGTTTGCAAGGCTACTTGTGTTTGCATCAAATGAGAGGCTTTAATCAAAAAGAATTGAAGTTCAGTTTCAGACATGTAGGCATTAACAAAACAATGTCTTCAAGAGAGAAGGTGTTAACAAATGCCTATATGTGCTTCAAGAAGAACCCTAATTGTGGTGGCGAGTGTATGTGTGTGTGTGTGGGGGGGGGGGGTGGGGAGAGAGAGAGAGAGAGAGAGACTTGAGAGATGCCACCTCAGCCTCCTAAAATTTTTCCTCCAAAGGTTGGCCTTGTGGGTACTCATGGACCTGACTGCAGAGGGAGCCTATTGTCTACAGGGCCATGAAATATATGGATAGGATATTCTTGGAAAGACTCTAGAAGCCCTGTAAATTCTGTTCAGCCAGCAGGCCTCTGACTGCCCTAGGCTTTCAACCTGTATGTCTTAGGCTGTGCAGACTAGCTGCATGCCCCCACTATGCAGAAAAGGCCTTCAGCTTTGCTATTTCCACCAGCTGCCCTTCCCGCACTTTCTCTTTCTGCTTTCTGCTGTCGCACTACATTGCAGAGCACAGTCTAGTACCTCACATGCAGAAGGTACAGGTATCCAATGAAAGGATAGCTGGAGGAAAGGAAGAAAGGTGTTCTCAGAGCCAGGCCACAAAATCCTGGCCACCGTGGACTTCTGCAGAAATGATACGGGTTGAAATCAGTTGTTTTCAGCTTGAAGTGATATTTCCTCCCCAGACTTTTGGCAATGTCTGGAGACATTTTTGGTTGTCACAACTGGGAGAAGGTGCTACTGGCATCTAGTTAGTAGAGGCTAGGTGTGCTGCTAGCTTCCATGGAATGCAGAGGACAGCCCCACACAACAGAGAATCATTCAAAATGTCAATAGAGTGGAGGTTGAGGAACTGGTTTAAATGAAGGTGAAAAGGACATCCCTGTTTGGACTTAAGCGATTCCAGCACCTGGTGCTTGGCAGAGGGGAGCATTCCTTATTTTCCACTAACTCCACAGAGTCCAGGAAATGTTTGCACCTGCATGTGTTCCCAACCCCTCCCTCAGCTGTAGATTTGGATCTAAGTCTGAGTGTGAGTGGTCACTTTTCAGCACTCATTAAATAATTCAGCATCTACTATGCGCCAGGCGCAGCTGTAGACACTGCAAATAACAACGGCAACGCCACCAACAACAATATTAGTTAACATTTATTGAAACATGGCAGACATTCTGCTTAGCATTTTATGGGAATTCTATCCATTAATATTGCACATCAACCCAGCAGAGGAACTGTTAACATAATCCCCACTTACAGAGGAAGAAACTGAAGTTTAGGAAGGACCAGTGGCTTTGCCCAAGATTAGGAAATGGTGGACACGGATTGCAAAGCCAGGCTTTTGCAGGGCCCACGCTCCTAGCCACTACACTGCACAGAGAAATGGACACTGTCCCTGAAATAAACTCAGGGACCTGTACGCAAATTACCAGGTTAAAAGGCAATTTCCAGAAAATATCATCCTGATAATTCAGTTTGGTTCTAATTTCACAATTCGCCTTGTGAGCCCCAAATTCCAGCTCAGAGCAGTGTGGTTTAATGGCTGGATTGGGTCTCCTCAGAGGAGGAGCCGGTAGTTCCAGGCCGCAATCACGCCCTTCCCTGGCGGTCAACCCAGGCGGCAGAGGAGAGGCTTTGACACGAGCGGAGGCCTCCCGGCCAGCTCAGCACAAGACGCAAACTGTTTCTGCATTCAGGTCAGAGGTTGCAGGGTGAGGAGTGTTTGAGCGAAAGTGTGCTGGGACTTGAACGCAGTCTCTGCTGGCGGCGGGATGCTTGAGAGCTCTGGTGCGCCGCAGCCGCCTCCAGGTCCCCAGCGCTGCGCTCCCGTCACCACCTTGGCAACAACTGGGATCGCCACAAGGAGGCTTGCTTTTTTCCTCCCGCTGCTCGCTAAGGCAGACTAGAAAGCTGAAAGCTTGGTCTTCCGGAAATGAATCCCTGGGAAGCCGAGAGGAGGAAACGTGCACTCCTGGGAAAACTGGCCCCACGCGGACCTGGCTCACAGCTGTGGATCTGCGGACTCTGGGGAGAAGCTGGGAACAGGAGGGACTCCTAGGCGGGAGAGGAGGGGGAGCTGGAGAAGAGGCGAGTGCGGGGAGAGCCGGGTGTGTGTGTTCATCCTTTCTATGTCTCCCACCGCCGTTTCCATCCCCTCCAAACTTGGTTCCCTGGCAGGCTCGAAAGTGCATTTCTGATCAAGATGCCTGACACTGAGTGCTGGCGAAGGCCTTTCCCAGGTGCACAAGACCACCCCCTCCTGTAATCCAGGAGAGGTGCTAGTTCTAAGCCGGTCCTTCAGACCCACAACGAACTCGTTGCCAGAAAATCGTGCTGCCGCCCGCCCCCAAATCCCAGCCAAACGGAGGCTGGGCCGGTCCTGCTGGAGCTAAGAGTGCACAACTGCACTCACCCTGGGGCCCTAGAGCAACATGCAAACGAGCAAAACTCAGCAAGCATCAGCCTCATCACTGATAGTAAAACAGTTGTGATTCTATTCACTGGTATGCACTAAAGCACCTTGGCTTCGTTCAGATTGGCCGTAGATTGGCACAATGTCGCCTCCTGGGATGGTGGAGAATTGGTCCCCGTCTAAAGTGAGGTTCAGACTGATGGAGATCCTCATCAGTCTAGAGCACAACTCAGATGCCTAGCTCCAGGAAGAACCGGCAAGAGTTTCTCCATGGGGAGCTAGATCGTGCCTGCCCTTGTTCCAGGGGAACTGGAGAGAGACCCTCCCACCCCCATCCTCAGCTTGATTTGAAGGAAAAGATGGAAGATTTTAGAACTAAGCCCCACAAGCTCCTGGTTCCGGGGCCTTGTAGTCTGGGTCTTCGATTAGCGGCTTCCCAGGTTCTCAGGCTTTTGGCCTCCGACTAGGAGTTACACCATCGGCTCCGCTGGTTCTTAGGCCGGTTAGACTGGGACTAAAATCACACCATTGGCTTTCCTAGTTCTCCTGCTTGCAGATGGCATATCACAGTAGTTCCTGGTCTCCAGAATAAACCTCCTCACATAACTACATACAGCCTATTTGCTCTTTTCTCTGGAGAACCCTGACTAATACAAGATCAAAAGTAGGTTTGTGGTTGCCTAGGGCTGGGATATAGTGAGAATTGGCAGAGACTATCAATGGGCATGATGGGGTTTCTCTTTGGGATGACAAAAATGTTTTTAAATAAGATTGTGTCGATGGTTGCACAATTCTGTGAATATACTAAAAGTTGTGGAATTGCACACTTTGAATGAATGAACTGGATGCTAATGTGAATAGCTCAATAAAGCCGTTTTGTGGGGGGGAGGAAATGAGCTTCAAAAATGTTAAGCAACCTCAGGTGGACCGTCTTTCCTGCTGGAAAAGACGCATTTGCTTTGCCTAGACACGGGGAGTTCAGCGCTCCCCAGGGTGTGTATGTGTGTGTGTGTCTGTGTGTGTGTGTAGGGGTCTGGCAGGAAAAGAAGGTCTATCAGGTTTCCTGGACACAGAATGGGAGCGGCGAGAACGCGGATATTAGCTTCCCAGGTCTGACTGCAGAAATACTGACTGCAGAAATACTCCTCCCGCAGCTGTGCGCTCTCCGTTTCTGCAGAACCTCACGCACTTCCTTCTCCTCATCCATCTTAGAGAGTAAAAAAACCCGCATATGTCCTCAAAGGGAGCTGGGGTGTGGATTCTAAGTCGTAGGGGGATATAGGATTTTAACGAGAATTGGTGAGAACATGAGGTCCCAGAGCCACTGGCTCCAGCTATGCAGAGTCCCTCTCGGGGACTCCCTGGGGCAGGATCACTTCGGATTCTCGGATTCCTTGCCCGGAATGTTCCGCGACCAGGGACTCGGCTAAGGGAATTTGCCTTAAAACAAAGAGAGGAGGGCCCTCTGAGAGAAGTCTGCACCATCCCGCAGAATGGAAATTTGTCCCTAACGAATCGTTATCAATCCAAGCGCAGTGAAGGACGGATTTCTTGTGCTTATGGAGGGAGTGGTTTCTGCCCTCCCGGCTGTTGGCCAGGACAGCGAAATGGTGAGGGATGGAGGTGGGGCTGGATCCCAGGTGAGAAGGAGGCGCTGCAGGGGTTGGGACCCATGGTGCAGTCCAAGGAGAGCGCTCTCCTTCCCTTCCGGCTTAGCTCTCTGAGCTCCGCGACGCTTGTGCGCCACGCCGGAGCGGGACAATCGTTAGCGCGCACCTGGCTGGCATGCAAGGCGGGCTCTCAGCGGAGCTGAGGGTTCCGAGAGGCACTGGCTGAGCTGTAAGGCGAGGAGCCGGCTCGGACCCTGCAACTGGATCCCCAACCCTTCCCAGAAGGGAGGCCCAATCCGGGTTGGCGCCTGTCTACTCCAGAGCGAAGGCCTCTGGGCTCAGAGCCACGGGCATTTCTAAGAAAAAAAAAAGTTTATTTAAAATTTTGTACATAAATAAATAAATAAATATCTTCTGGCATTGCAGAGGCCGTACAATTACACAGCTAGGCTGGGGCGGGCCAGAGTCTGGAGGGGGAAGAGTGGGGTCGCCAGCGGCGCAGAGCGGGGTCCTATGTTTAGAGGAAGGAAGAGCGTGTTGGAAACAGAGCAAATCTGTTTCCCCAATATGGATACTACGGGCGAAATTTATCATCTGTGAGAGGAGCCGTGGGGACTGAGGACAGCAAGGCCAGATCAAGGGACAAATGGACTGACTGAAGGAGGAGGCTCCCTGAGGAGGGGAAGGGAAAAGGAGAAGGAAAAAAAAAGTGGGGGTTCATAAATGTGTGTGTTGGCGGGCGGGGGCCGAGTGAATAAATGATCACAGGAAAGAGGTGGGGAGGGACAAAAAGACATTTTAAAAAGAGAAGCGAACGAGCATCCAAGGCCGCCGACCTTGACCGAGAGCGGAGGAGAGTAGAGTAAGCGAGGAAGCCCAAGCCAGCCCAGAGAGGGCGGGCTAGGAGGCGCCGGCTGCCAGCAAGGCGCTGCGCCAAGCAGGCTTGCGGGCGGGGGCCGCGGTGCTGCACTGCCCAGGAGGACTCGAGCGCTTACAGTGTTCACAGCTTGGAGTTGGCTTTGGACACGAGCGAGCCCTGGGGCGGGGACGCCATGGTCCAGTCTCTGCCAAGCTCTCAGCCCTGCCCAGGCCCGGGACCTCTGCAAAGCAGTGCCAAATCCATGCCAGGCAGTGGTTTGGCTGCGGGTGCCTGGGAATCAGCGCTGAGTCCCAGGACTAGTCTCCGAGGCGCAGGGAGGTCTTGGGGTGGGCGACCTAGGGAGACACGCGCCTAGGGAGTGACCGTAAGATCCCGGTCGTCCTTCCCTGAGGAGGACGGAGACATGGGCAATTCGTCGTCATCCTCGGAGCACTTGGCTGAGGAGAGCGATGCGCACTTGCAGCCTTGCGGTGCGCTCCCGCCACCACCGGCACCCCCGCCGCCGCCGCCACGATGGTTGCTGCCCTTGCCCTCCTTCTTGTGCTTCACTCGGCGGTTCTGAAACCAGATCTTCACCTGCTTCTCGGACAGATTCAGGTAGGTCGCGATCTCGATGCGACGTAGGCGGGACAGGTACATATTAGAAGCGAACTCGCGCTCCAGCTCTAGCAGCTGCGTGCTGGTGAAAGCCGTGCGCATCCTCTTGCTGCTGGGCAGCTGGTTAGAGCTGCTGTCTGGAGGTGGCAGAGCAGAGAAGGAAGCGATCAGACCTCTGTGCTGTGGACCCAATCCCTTGGTAGGCGGTCGCCAGAATCCTACGACTTTGACCTCTTACCCATCTCTTCGCCCCAACACAATCCACAGCAGAGCTACAGTGAGCGCTCCTTGTCCAGCTCCGAGATCCTGATTCTCCCGGAGTCATGCAGCCCTGGAACCCCTTCCCCTTCATGGAGAGCCTTGGATCCCAGCCCTCACTTACCCCGGCCCACACTCCAGGACCTGGACGTCTGCCCTCATCCGCCTCCTGGCGTTGTGTCCCGGCCCTCTATCCTCACTCCACCCCAAGCGCCCCCCTTAGTCCCCGACATGACCCTCACCGCCCCCAGAAAGCCCAGGGTCCCTCTTCCTCCATCTCTGGCTCTCCATCCTGCTTCGGATCACCTCTGCCCGGTCCCTCTGCGCGGCGGCCCCGCTTACCCACAGAGATGCAGTGGAACTGCCTGGGGTCAGGCAGCGGGTAGGAGGTCTGGTAGAGCGCGGCGGCAGCAGCAGCGGCGGCCGGGCCGTGAGCGACCCCGGGCGACACAGCAGAGTGCTGGCGGCCCAGGGGCGCGTGGCAGTACTGCGAGCCGAAGGGTGGGAAGGAAGCCTTGAGTAGAGGCAGCGCGGGCGGCCCGGGGGGCCCATGCAGCTGCGAGGCGGTGACGCAGAGCGGGCACACGCACAGCAGCCCAGCCTTGCGCGCGTGGCAGGCGCCAGGCGAGAGACCGTGCAGCGCGTGCGGCGGGGGCACAGCGTAGGGGAAGAGCGGCGGCGGGCTGCCCTCGGGCGCCTTCTTCTCGCCCGCCTCGCGCAGCACTAGCGAGTCCACCAGGAAGGAGCGCGGCATGGCCCCGGCGCGCGGTCGCCCCGCAGCCAGCCCGCCCTCTGCGCCCACCGCACCTTTCGGCTCTCCACGCGCTTTCCCTGGCCGCGGTATCCCGCAGCTGCCTCTGCCCAGGAGGCTGAACGCGCGGCTGAGACCTAGGCTGAAACAGTAGCCTCTGCTGCCGTGGGCACCGCCCAAAGAGCGCGGGGTGCTGGCCAGCGCTAGTGGTGCTGAAAGGCGCCGGCGGCGCGGCTTAAATAGGACTATTGCCATGTGATGGACTACGCCAGGAGCGGCCGGGGCCTCTCAATAGGGTTTTTGTGCCTTTTCTCTTGGCATTCACTCTGCACGCTTCCTCATTATTTCACTTGTTAACTAAATGAACTGCATAATGTACTCTATTCTTGTCAACCCCACCCACGCCGTAACAGGCGCCCTCGCCCCCTCCTCTCCCTTTTGCGGGTTTATTTTCTCATTCTCCCGCGATTTAATATTCTTTCCTTTCTCTTTATTTCTTACTCCCCTTTGGCTTTGCATTGGCCATCAGCCCGTTCACCTTACTGATTTTGCACCCCCGCGGCCTCTCTTCTACAGATCCCCATGGGCGCACACCCTCATATCCTCTGTCCACTTGGTCCTGGTCCCCTTCTTTCTATTATCGCCCTTACACCCCAAAAGTATGCTGTCTCCAGTCAGCCCTGTCAGCTCAGTGCCGTGCACCCCCGAACCTCCCTCCAGCCGGTCTCAGATTTTCCACCTGTGGAATCGCTTCTCTCTCTGCGTCGGAAGAAGGAGGACCGGGTTCCCGCGTGAAGGAGGCGTCTGTGGGGAGGGAGGAGAAGGGCTCATTATTCCTTATCCAGCCCTAGACCCATCGCTGTCCCTCGGTTTTCTCTAAGTTTCTCAAATAGTCTTAATTTTGGTGCTGCCTACGACGCCCAGTCTTTGTTCGGTAGATGCTGGCCAACCAGCCCTTTCCTTCAAATGACAGGGCCGTGGATGTAAAAGAGGAAAAACAGTCTCTGAGCGTTACGAACAGAGACAGGGAATGGGGAATGAAAGCCGAGATGGCGCAGATCTAGATCTCGCACCCCAGCACATGTGGCGAGTGCGGACTGTCTGCCCGCGCATCTTGCCCACACCCTGTCTACTGGAGCACACTTCCAGCAGTGCGCTGGGAAACCGCTGCCATCTCTTAGTTTGGAACGGCGCGAAGGGCGGTTGTATTCCTGGCATCGGCTGCCTTTGCCCACCCTGACCCGCCTCCGCTCTCCCCAAGACCCGGCTTCTTCTTCCTGCCGCGTCACTCTTCTTTCTGGTCACACAATGGTTAAACAACTTCAAACGCTCAGAGCTGTGTACACAGCTCCAGCTTTTTAAATCGTTCTCGGGCTCAAAGCTGTTTCGCCCAGGAGCTTTTTCCATACAATGGGAAATCAGCATAAACATTTCTAATTTACAGCCCGGGACTTTTCACAGGAGACGTTTACTTTCGATTTTATTGGAACCAAATCGCTGCAGTCACCTGCTCTGAGCCCTGAATGGAATTGTGAGAAATGGAGGGGGAAGCTTAGGGGTCTGGGGAAGCAGTGCGCAGGAATAAGATTGCCCAAACCCGAAGCATCTGCATGGGCTTTTATCCTTGGCAACATCTTTGCAATAACAACAGCAACAGATTATAACTGATTAAAAAGCAAAGATAATTTGTTTTGCGAGATAATAACTGCTTCTGTAAAAGGGAATAGGAC
Source organism: Homo sapiens (assembly GCF_000001405.40). Taxonomy (NCBI): domain Eukaryota; kingdom Metazoa; phylum Chordata; class Mammalia; order Primates; family Hominidae; genus Homo; species Homo sapiens. The sequence goes on along the minus strand of NC_000013.11, from coordinate 27,790,963 downwards.
AATGGGAGAAGTAACCTGCATGGAGGGCATGGCATCTAGCAGGAGTAAGGGTTCAATGTTTTCTTGGTTGCTTGGCATGGAGTGGGGGGCAAGGCTGCCCTCTGAGACAGAGTCTCAGCGCCAAGGCTCCCCCACTCTAGGGTGGTGCCTGCAAACCAGCCGGAACGCATCAATGCAGCCTAATTCCCGTTCTAATTGCTCTCTGGGAAATTTGAGCTGGGCTGGGTCGCTGAGAGGAAGCGAAGAGCGAGACCCGGGCGGGGAGAGGGGCTTTCCGCTGGGCAGAGGCAGGCTGGAGGGGCGCAAGGGCGGGCGGGGCCCAGGGGTGCAAGGGGCGGGCACTGCACCCGGAGCTGGGAGCCCGCGAGTGGCCAGCGTGGAGCTCCACTGGCAGCCGCCCCGCGTGCCCGGGGAGGAAGGGGTTAAGAGCCCCTGAATGCGAGCAAGGCCAAAGCTACTGGGAAAGAATATGGGGGTGGGGGTGGGGGTGGGGGGAATAACCAGGTTTTTTTTTTTTTCCTCTCTCCAGCCTCTGGACCTTATTGAATGTCATTGAAGAAAGTTTTGAATGCCAGATAAAGAGAGGCGAATTAAAGTGTGTGACAGCGAAGGATAAGCAAACACAAAGAGAACTCTGTCACACTTTGGGGCAAAATCCGTGGGCTTTTTACCAAGTCTCTTCGCTATGATTGAATTAAGTAATAGGAAAACATTTTCTTTCAGTTTAGAGCCATTAGACAAAAACTTCAAAGCGAATAACACTTTTTAATGTGCGGCCCCACAATGGATCGGGTTTTGTGCTGAAATGTTTAAATGGTTTGTTGTGCAACTCGGCGCGGGAGAGACCCGGGCCGGAGCAAAATAGCATCCCTGAGAGAACCAAGGCGCACTTAATCTGTGGTCTCTCAGCCCGGCGGGCCGCGGCCGGAGAGGGGGCTCCCTGCTTGGCGGTCCAGGGCCGCCAGCGCGCCCAGGAGCCTGGCCATTTCCGCAGAGAAAGCTCCGTGCCTCTGAGAGACCCGAGCCTTGGGCAGGTGCTAGCGCGGGCAGCCGGGAGGTCCGGGCCGCCCCGCCAACCCGGCCTCCCCACCCAGCCAACCCGGCCTCCCCACCCCGCGGCCTCTGCCCGCCGCCTGGTTTCCGGGGGCCGCTACCCGGGCTCTCTCGGGCGGCCGCGCCACTTTCCTGTTTAAAGCGCCTCCCAGGGCTTGCTTTAGCCGAGTTTGAACTTTAGTCACCCGAGCAAAAGTCCCCCAGAGCGGGGCGGGGTGGGAGGCGGCTGCCGGATTAGCCTGACAGCCCCAGGAGGGGCCCGGGAGCCCCTGGGCCTGGCGGGTCGGCTCTGCTGCCGGAGCCGGTTTTCAAGTGTCCATCAGGGACAGTTCAACATTGAAAGAATTTCTGTTGTCCCGGGCTTTCCTTCTTTCATTCTGTCTCCTTTCCTGTGGGTAGAAAGAACACACGATTTTTCTCCCGGAATTGCAGCTCTAAGATACTTGCCGCAAAAACTGCTCAAATTGGAGGGTGGGGAGGGTGGCAGTGGTGGTGCCTTGTTCCCTTCTTTCATGTTTTTCTTCAAATGTCACTTTCCTTCTCAGGGAGGCCAACGACCTTATTTAAAATAGCCCCTCACTTCCGCCACACTCCGTGTTTGGTTCCTTGCTACATAAGCACCTTCTAACTTCCTGTGTTTTTTGATCATTTGTTTTATTATCTCCTACTCCCGAAATTTATGCTCTATGAAGAGCAAGGTTTTTGTCCATCTTATCCATTGCTGCATCCCAACTTAGAAAAGCTCCTGGCACATAGCAGGTGGCTCGTATATATTTGGAGAATGAATGAGTGGATAAAAGACAGTTGAGCAAGGAGGTCGACTGGGAGGACCTTCTGGTGTGCCTGCTGGAGACACCTAAAACTCAGGAGCATGGCATGGGGCCACCCACCCAGGAAGCCCTGGAGGGCAGGGCTGTCTGAATCTCCCCCAGCCCACTTCCTAGGCCTGGGTTATCAGAGGAGTTTAATGTGTTTGTTGAGTGAATGGCAGATGGGTAAGCTAATCTGTGTATCCCCAGCCCTCCACTGGTGGTCCTCAAGCTCCTTCAGAAACAAGATGGTCCCATTGAAGGCAGTTCCAGTGTCCTGCTCTGCAGGAGTTGGATGAACGCTGCAGGAGCTGGATGAACCCACTGATAGCTCAAGGCTAGGGCTTGTCATCCAGATCTTTTCATGGTGTGTAAGAGGGGTTGGTTGGAAAGGGACCAGATGTGGTATATGCTCTGGGATGATCAGTGACCATTTTTGCTCTTTCTGGCTGAAGGCAATGGAGTGGGAATTCTCATTGTAAAGGAAGAGACTGCTCCCCTGACCAGACCAGGAGGGACTCAGACAACTCCCTCGGGAGAGAGCAAGTTGTTCAATTGAGCAGAGGGGCAGGGAAATGCTATGAGGAGCTGAGAGCCAGGCATGGGAGTGGCAAAGGGAGGGGTGAGGAGTGGTGGCCAGACATGGGTGTGGATCAGAAGGGGAGGCCAGGCCAAGTCATGAAGGGCCATGCTAACTGGTTTGGATTTGAGCCTGTTCTGAGATTTTTCAGCAAGGAGAGTGACAGAGCTAGATATATTTTTTTTAACTTATTTGTTTTGTTTTGTTTTGTTTTGTTTTTTGAGAAAGGGTCTCACTCTGTCACCCAGACTGGAGTGCAGTGGCATGATCTTGGCTCACTGCAACCTCTGCCACCCAGGCTCAAGTGATTCTCCTGCCTCAGCCTCCCAAGTAGCTGGGCTTACAGGTACACACCACTACCACCCAGCTGATTTTTGTATTTTTAGTAGAGACGGGGTTTCACCATGTTGGCCTGGCTGATCTTGAACTCCTGACCTCAAGTGATCCACTCACATTGGCCTCCCAAAGTGCTGGAATTACAGGCATGAGCCACCGCGCCCAGCCCAGGAGTCAGATTTGAACTTAAGAAATGTAACTGGAGGCAGCAGGAAGTTCTATGGGTGGGGACACAGTGAAGCCAGAGCAGGGTCCAGCAGAGTCAGCTTGCATATGAATATTATTGAAGAAACAAAAGTAGAGAAACATACAATGAGAAGATTATATGAGTTCAAGTGATGGATGACGACTATCTGAACAGATGCAAGGCAGCAGGACCAGAAAAAGGAAATATTTGAGAGAGCTTAAAGATGAATGAGTAGGATCAATTAGGGGTGTGTGTGTGTGTGTGTGTGTGTGTGTGTGTGTGTGTGTCAAAGAGCAGGGCATGAAACAGAGAGGGATCAAACACACACGTGATAACCTGGTTGTTTGTTTAGGGGAATGGATGGGTAGAGATATCAAAGGCAGAGATAGGGAAGTCAAGAGTGAGACACACTTTTGCTTGTTGGGGGTGCAACATTAAGTCGTATTTTGGATGTGTTGCATTTTAATCCTTAACCTTTGGAGCATTCTGTGGATGTCCCATCAGTACATGTAAATGTGAGTCTAGAGCTGAGCAGAGAGATTAGAGATGGAGACAGGCATCTAGAATCGAGATATGCAAAAATGGTAGGTTTAGGCCGGGCGTGGTGTCTCACGCCTGTAATCCCAGCACTTTGGGAAGCTGAGGTGGGTGGATCATGAGTCCAGGAGTTCGAGACCAGCCTGGCCAACATGGTGAAATCCTGTCTCTACTAAAAATACAAAAAAATTAGCCGGGGATAGTGGAGGGTGCCTGTAATCCCAGCTACTTGGGAGGCTGAAGCAGGAGAATCACTTGAACCCGGGAGGCGGAGGTTACAGTGAGCCGAGATCTTGCCACTGCACTCCAGCCTGGGTGACAGAGGGAGACTCCATCTCAAAAAAAAAAAAAAAAAAAAAAAGTTAGCTTTAGTCTTGGAAAAATGGGAGCAAGGAGGAAGCATAGAGAAAACAAAAACAAAAAACCCAGAGGGTCATAGATGCATTCCCTAGGAAACTCCCTTATTTAAGAAGGCAGGTGAAGGGAGGACTCTCTGAAAGACAAGATAGCCAGAGGAAAAAGAGAAGTGAACAAGATAGGAGAAAATAGAAAATAAGGAGCTATACCAAGGCAATCTACCCAGGCAGAGCTGGCAAATTTAGCAAATAAAATACAGGATACACAGTTCAATCTTGATTTCAGATACACAATGGAAAAATTCTTTTTAGTATTATTAGGTCCCAAATATTGGGTAAATGTATAGAATACACTTATACTAAACAATTATTTGTTGTTTATCTGAAATTCAAATATCTTCTGTTTTATCTGGCAACTCTACACTCAGGTTACTATGACACAACTTACACTGACTGGGCATTTCAGCTTATTGCCCCATCTAGAGATGAAGAAACTGAGGCTCGGGGAGAAAGAGTGACTTATCCAAGATCATACAGCTGGTAAGGGCCTAAGTGGAATAGACCAGGTTTTCTGAACACAAGTTGGGGTCCTTTCTTCTAAAAGTGTGTCCAAGGGTCCACGTGATGACGACATTTGATTGGGGCCAAAAGCTCAGCACTGGAAGTAGAACAGAAACCAACATGGCCCCAGGAAGATGGTTATTCACAGGCTACTCCCGTAGAAGGCAGCATTGTTAGGTAGGATTATTATTAAAGGACCCATCTCTAAGGGATTAAGCCAAAGGAGGAGGGGGAGTAGAGTTTGCCTCAGATCATATGCCTTTTATTTGTCCTCTTCTGCCTCTGGACTTTTTCTTTTCTTCTCTTTTTTCTTTTTCTTTTCTTTTCTTTCTTTTTTTTTTTTTTTTTGAGACAGAGTCTTGCTCTGTCACCCAGTCTGGAGTGCAGTGCATTGATGCGATCTTGGCTCACTGCAACCTCCACCTCCCAGGTTCAAGTGATTCTCCTGCCTCAGCCTCCTGAGTTGCTGGGATTACAGGCATCCACCACAACACCTGGCTTATTTTTTTATTTATTATTATTATTTTTTAATAGAGATGGGGTTTCTCCTTGTTGGCCAGGCTGGTCTAGAACTCCTGACTTCAGGTAATCCACTCACCTTGGCTTCCCAAAGTGCTGGGATTACAGGTGTGAGCCACCACACCCAGCTTCTGCCTCTAGACTTCTAAGTCAGTTGCAAGGAGCGCGGGAAGGTACTGGAAAAGATGAATCATTTAAAAATATTTTCTTCTAGTTTAAAAAAATAATTTGACAGAAGTTTTAAATTGAAAGAAACACATAAAATTTACCATCTTTATTTTTAAGTATATAGCTCAATAGTGCTAATTACATTTACATTGTTGTGCAATAGATCTCCAGAACTTAATCGTGCAAACCAAAACTTTGCATTCATTAAACAACAACTCCTCATTTCCTCCTCTCCTCCCAGCCCCTGGTAGCCACAATTCTATTTCCTTTCTCTATAAATTTGTCTACTCTAGATACCTCACATAAGTAGAAAGAGGAGCCATTTTTAAGCTGGGACCATAAAACTGGATCCTCACCTAGAGGCATTAAAAGAGTAGAGTTTCAAAGAGTAAAGTCCTTCCCTGCCTGGGAAGGACTGACATTTTTTAACTGACATAATATGGTCCTAGGAGACCATATCACCTAAGGGAACTGTGGCTGTGTTTATAGGCAGCTGGTAACTTAAATCGTTCAATTTTTTAAAATGCGGTTTTGCTGTTCACCTCGAAGGCTACAACAGAAATGTGCAAAAAAATTTCCAAAAAGATGAGCAGTATTCTAGAGGTGGCTGAAAGAAAGATTGTCGAAACCTCCCAATCCTGGATCTCTTTTATGATTTTTAGGGGGGAGGAATTTATGTGGTTCATCATTGCTAACCACAGGTCATTGCTCACATGGTGGCTCAAATAATTTGGAGAGACTCTTTGGATTCCTGGATCTCTAATTTTTAGAGAATAGGTCATTTTCTGTTTTCCTATTTAATTTTCTTTATCACCAGTGGAAGAGGTTGCTAGTAGTCTACCCAGTATCTGTTCTCCCCTTCTTCATTAGTAACAGAACCCCAGTTTTATTTAGGGCAATAGCGTGTACCAAATATCTGAGCCCTCCTTGTAACAAATGATGGCTAATGAGTTGGAAGCAGAAAGCTTAGTGGCGAGGAGATACTTTGGGGAAAGCCTCAGCAGCTGTCAGGCACTGTTTCCGTTCTTTTCCTCTTCCTTTCCTCTTGTTGCATGGATGGTGAATTTTTTTAGCAACCATCTTGGTCCAGGAGATGACTTAAAGATAGAAGCTTTGTACTGGGAATAATGGAGGAGAAAGATGAGAAGAAGCAGAGTCCCTGAGAGATCAAGGAGCTGCCTACCTATTTTATGTGAGCAAAAGGTAAACATCTTTTTTATTATTATTTAAGTTTTCTATTACATCTGCATCTAAGCATAACTAATATGGTCCCCAACCCCCGATCCAATCAGATGATAAGCATCAAGCCAAATGAAGGAATCAATGTAATTATGGCATAGTTGCTGGGATACCCTCTTGTTGCCTTCCAACTGGATTGCAAGCCCTTAAGGGAAGGGATTAAGGCTATTTACAGAGGTGTCACCAACCTTTATCATAGCACTTGGCACAATGTATATATTTAATAAATGTTTAATGTTAGTGCTGATGGCAATAGAGGAATCTCGTCTCTTGCACTTATTCAATGATCATAGTTGCATCTTGATGAGCATCGTAAGATTTCATAAGTGCTCAGCTCTTTAGTTTTCTTACAGTAAAATTGGAATGATACTTCACCTATCTTGAAAAGATTAGAGATAATATATGTGTAACCTGAATGTAAGTACCAGGTTTCTCATTCATTGGGTTTAGGTAGAAGCAGTTAATAACAACCTAGAGTTTCTATATGGAGCTTGCTGGACCTCTGGCCTTACTTGCAAAATTCCTCCCATTCCCATATGGTTTCCTGGGTGTCCTTCATGAGATGCCTTACAAGTATCCACAGGCCAGTCTGTCGGCTGGCACCACCCTGACAAAAACCACATTATCTCCTTCCAGGGAGGTTTCCCCTGAGTCCGTGAGCTGAGCCTGAGATAGACATACTGCCTCCTTCTACATCTTGCTCCAGGGACCACTGTTTACTCCGTATGCATTCGTAGAATGCTGAGATGCTGCCCAAGACCGAGTGTGGCCTCAGTAAATTTTAGCTGTATGTTTTCTTTCCTGGGTGACAGGATGCAGAAACATTGGTGAGGCCTTCTCTGGACATAGAAGTTTCAGCCTAAGTTATTCACCCCCAGCCATTTCCTTTTCTCTTCCACCTTGAAAGTACTGGAAGCAAAGATAATTTCTGCAGGGATGAAGGAGTTCTACTCAGGGACCTGGAAGATGAGTATGAAATATCTTACTAAGAATCTCCATGCAACAAATTTGCAGATTTAAAAAAGAAGAAAACATGGTGGATTAGAGACTGACAGAACCAGTCTCACCTAAAGTAGTTATCCGTTGATGAATGAACCCCTCGCCTTTAAGTCCACCTTTCGAAACAGTTCCTGTTTCCCCCTTAGAAGTGAGTGACAGTGACACTTGAGTCAGGAGGCTGGATGTGATGGTCTGTGGCCTCAGGCGGGATTCCCATCAGGAAGCCTGATGTTGAGACCTCTCAGTGTAAATGTTCCCTGTCTTCTCTGCCTTTTCTTTCTCTGCCAGCAGGAGCCTGAAGCTCAGGGCTCAGCCAGGTGGCAGCATAAAGCAATAAACCCACAGAGAGTGGTGCTGTCCTGTGGCTGCTCCGTTCCCTCCACACACACTCCTCTTTGCCCATTTTTATCAGAGCAGGCCCAGGCCACATCCCCTCCTCTAGTCTTGACCTTTCGGAAAGCCTTGGCTCCAAATCACCAAAGAAAGCAAAGATAAGCCACTGGAAGGGAAGGAGCTGAGGACTTGTTGAAGGCAGAAATTCTGTGGTACATCATACAGAGCAGAGTAGAGAGGACTGGTTTAAAAGGTCCTGGGGATTTATCTGACCATCGCCTTCACCTCCACCCCCACCTTTAAGGAACACAGCCAAGCTCCCATTTTATTCAGCAAAGTACTTGGATTTGCAATTTCTCAGAGCCACAGTGACCAGTGCTGGCTGTACCCTCACTACATTTTCAGAAGAAAGGAAGGGAGGGGTTTGCAGAGAAGGCTGCTGACAAAATGCCTTGATTCTTACAGCAGCTGCTCCAGGATTTTCTTGGCCATGCCTACAACCCTGGCAGGGAGCTGAGTATTTCTACTCCTAGTTGGCACAGACAGGCTGATGCATTACCAATGGATTCTGGGGCCATGTTGTCTTGCAGTTATGTGCAATTCCAAAGGATAATATCTTCACCACTTGACTAGTGTTCCTCATTCTCAAAAACCCTGGTAATTCCAACAAAGAACATTGAGTCTGTCACCGTTACTTGAGTAATTGTAACTGCACAGATCTCTGTGTCATTTTGGAGTACTAAACTAATATCTCTAGTACAGCAGGCCTTGTAAGAAGGAAAGAAAATAGAACAGGTGAGATCCACTGATGATTGTTTGTCAGCAGATCCGCTCTGAGGAGGCTCCACGCCTCAGGGAGAAGTCCCGCTTCTAGCTCACAATGTAGAGTTAATGAATAAACTGAATTCCTATGAACAGCCACTTTTCTTTACTTCTCCAGCTATTAAGTGAGGACTAACATCATGGGACAGTTCACATCGGCTGCAGCCTGAGGGCTAAGCTTAGCTGGCTCAATCCTGGGACAGCAAGAAGATAGCATTTCTACCTTGCCTAGTTTGTACAGCAGACACAAACACTTTCTTAAGCTTTCATTACTCATTAAGGATCAAAGCATCGGGAACAGCCTCTGAGATCTCTCCAATTTATTGTCCTTGGGGACCTCTTGAACAAGTCTCCTGACTGTGCTAGGAATTCCCTTCCCACAGATGCACTCTGGCAGTGACTCTATTTGTAAAGTAAGTGGCCCTGTAGGGGCAGACACTGTCTTATCCTCCTCCCCCGCTACTGCAACCTAAGGCCTCATTAATGGGGCAGGCTCTAAGATTACCCATTCCAACTTTTCAGCATCTTTTTCCTAATTTCTTGTTTCTGTGATGGGTGCAAAGATTTGTACCACACTTAGGGCTCTCAGAGGCTGAGTCCCATGGGAAGTAGCTTTGTCAAGCTGGCTTCAGAGGAAGGGGTTGGCCTGTCGATTTGTTTAACACAAACACTTCGGGAAGACAATGGTGGGAACTGATACTCTCCTGTGAATATTTCTTTTGGTGGCAATTGGTTTGTGGGAGGAAAATTTGAAAATATTTAAAAATCAAGTCAAGTAGATTACTTAGCAAAAACTGTCCCAAACTATAATATCTCACCAATAAAATACAGATTTTATATTTCTAGCCAGTAGTTCATTTTATTGTCCTTTTAAAAATTATTTTTTATTTTTAAAAATTCTTTGTTAATAAAATAAATTTCTTACAGAGATGGAGTCTCACCACTTTGCCTAGGCTAGTCTCAAAATCCTGGGCTCAAGCAATCCTCCCACCTTTGCCTCCCAGAGTGCTAGGATTAAGGCATGAACCACCACACTTGGCCTCATTTTATTGTTAAAATATGATGTCTTTCTATTTTGTGACAGAGTCTGAATGGGGTGCTTTCTTTGGAGTTTCTCAATTCTCTGTTGAGAGAGATTTATAGAATAGCATTCAGCTGAATTCAATCAACTGACTTGAACGTAATACTTATATGTCAAGCATGTATCCTAATTTATTTTATTTTCACAGTCAACAAAATGAATTACAATTTAGGAATTTAAAATATGTATTTCTTGTTATATATTACAGTTTGGGACAGTTTTTGGTTAGTAATCTTTTCAACCAGGAATTCATATACTTAAGAAATATTTGAAAGAGGTATTGTTATTATTTTTATTTTACAGATGTGGCAACTGAGACAGAGAGAAGAGCCCAGCCAGGTAGGCACAGGCTCAGCTAGAATCTTAGATGATAGTGGTTGTTGCTACTAAGATGACGGGAAGAATGAGTAATGGGTGAAATCAGATATTTCTGCCACTCTTCTTCTAACTCATCCAATAAATTTTTATTGAATTTCTGCTTTGAGCAGGATAGCATAATTGTTAAAGAGAGGGTCTCTGAAGAAATCCGGGCTCTGAATTGGGCAAGTTGTTTAACTTCTCTGAGCTTCTGTTGCTGTGTCTATAAAATATGAAGCATAATGGTGCCTGCTTCATAGAATTGTTGGGAGACCGAAATGAATTATAAGAGCATTTAGGACTGTGTCTGTCACATAGTAAGTGTTCATTAAATGTTAGCTATTATTGTATGCACATATCATATGGGTGATTTTATGCAAGCCCCAGGGCCCAGCCACTGGCATTGCATAGGAAAGGCAAGGTCCCATGCCAGGGCCTTAGTTGAACTCCCAAACAGTACAGTGCAAGACAGACGGGAGGGGAATTCAGAAGGCATTTCTGAGAGATGCAATTCAAGAAGTTACTATATAGGACTGGGGATGTACATTTTGGCTCATTATTATGGGGCAGAACTGCATGGAGGGTCCCAGATGCACTAAACAAAAGTTCACTGGGAGTAGTCCTGTTAGCCAGAGCCCCCATTCCAGAAAGGGCCCAGGGACCATAGCTTAGGCTAAAGACATAGACCTTTTCCTTCCTTTCCATCCTGGTTAGATGCTGTGGAAGGTATGAGAATAGCTTTGGTACTGTGTAACTTTCCACTGGGATCAGGCTTCTCTCTGGTCCAGCAAAGGATGTGACCAGCCCATGTAAGAGCAGCTAAGAAACTCCACTGTGTCTCAGAGAAATGAGAGGAAAATGTGAATCAAACAAAAAAAAAAGCTCTGGTTGAGAATTCTGGGGTTCTAGAAGTGAGGACATCTGCTTCTCCCTTTAATAAATATGGTAAATAGAGACCCCAAGAGCTATTTCTTTGGAGAACATGTGGTAATTTGGTGGGAAAAGAATGAAAAAAATGATGATTTTCTTCTCATTCCTACTTCTCTTTTTCCTGATTTATTCTGCCATCTTTACTCTCTTTCCCTTTTGCTATCTCCTCCTCCTCCTCATTATCATCACCATCATTATTGTCATCTTCACCAACATCAGAAATTTATAATGGAAGATATTGGAGCTTTGGAGGAAGATGGTGTTTAGCCTCTATCTAAATTTGTCAGTAGGGAAGCAGAAACTCTGGGTGGGTCAGCTGACTCTAGGCTGGGCCTTCAGGAAGTTTGGTAACACCTAACTAGCCTACCACAATCAAGAAAGTGGAGAGTTGGAACAGTTGAGCTCAAAATCAAAGTCATAGCTGTGCTGTGGAATTAGGAATTTAAGTTTCTATAATTTCCTGTGACATGATGAAGCTGGTAATTGACCTCTGAAATGTGGCTGTAGAAAACCTAAAATCACCATGACCATCCTTGCTAGAAGCAACAGCTGGCCACAGGAAGATGACCTTGTTGGGAGACAGTTTTCCATGGGTCTTTTGTGTTTCTGCACAGCTTGCAAAGGCCCTGGCTGCTTTTGTTCTGAACTATGTTTTCAAAGATGCCTGTGTACCAAAGAGCCTTGGCTATAGAGACAGCCACAGTGTATCCCTTCAGAACAAAAGGCAGGTACACCCACTGTTCATTTAAAAATATTTGTTTTTTCTAAGCTCTGGGTTCCTCTTTTTTAATGTAACCCACTGTGTGCAGGTCTCAGCTGGCCATCTTCACATTGCCCTGTGGCATCTGGGCCTTGAGGGACCAGCGAAAGAAAATGCTGATGTTGCCATTGCTGTCAGTAATAAAGTCCTTTGTCTCTAACCCAGGAATCTTGTGTCTTCTACCAGTATCTATTATGCTGTGGCCAAGTAATTGTTAGTTTGCATATAGAGTAAAACCTCAGACCATTCGCAGTTCTTGACGTATCTTCCCTCACTTCTGTCTTTCAGATATTGTACAAGTACATCTAACTGTTGGAACCTTATGTATAATCTGAACTTTAGTTGCAAGGGAGTCTGAGACTTGTAGGTTTAACTTTCCATCCTCTGTAGTACAGAAAAGCACCATCCCCACCATACTCCCTTTAGGGGCTTGCTATCTAGCTGAGATTTACAACAATGGCTACCATTTATTGGGCTCCCACATTACCTGAGAACTGTGGTAATTGGGTTACATACATTATTGTGAATGCTGACAATAGCTCTACAAGATAGACATTATTTCACTCATTTCACTCATGAAGAAGCATCCACGGAGATTTAGTGACTGCCCAGAACCATGTAGTTCTGTTTCTGAGCCACATTCACACTTTTGGGTCTGCCTGGCTCCACTGCCTGGCTCTGTCTGCTCCTGGATGCTGCCGTGGCAGTGTAGCACAGAGAATGACACATCTTGGTGAATGTTTTATTTACAGGAGCATCAGAGAGGAGCTCTCGCAGCCTCAGGACAGAGAGGAATGCTTCTGAGGAGGGAGGCTTGATGGTCCTTCAGGAAGGGCAGAGCTTGGGCTCCGGGATGCAATGCATGGGTAAGGCGGGGAAGAGAAAGAAGCTAGAAAGGACGATGTGAGAAGATGCGCCCAAGTCTGTGTTGGGGATAGAACAGGAATTTTGTGGGAACAGAGAGATAGCATAGGAAGAGTGGGCGGAGAGCCCTTATAAGGACCTGGTGTAAAGGCGGTTGAATTTCAGAATAAGGCTTGCTCCTACAGATAGCACTGGGAATACCAAATCCATGACACAGCCCCACCACCTTCTTTTTCCCACTGACTTGTTTTCCAACCTAGATGACTCCCAGAAAAAAGAGCAGCTCACCATTTCTCTAGCCAGGAAACTCAGAAGGGGAAATGGCTGCTGGTTCAGTCACTCATGGAGCCAGGGAGACAGCCTCTTCTCCCGGTTCTCCAGCAGGACCAGCAGAGGAAAGGCGTTAGCATAAAATGGAGAGAGAGCATGGAATATACCTCACATTAGCAGACAATATTGCCTTGATTGCAGACAACACACATGAATTGAATTGATAAAGGAATCTTCCCATCAAAGCCAGAAATGAGTGGAAATTAACTTTAACAAAGTAAGCAACTGTGCTCAAGAGACAGACAGAAGAAACCCATTGCATACTTGGTGCGTGTCAGAGACGTAGAGGAGCAAAGTGTTCAGGCCCATCAGCGAGCGCAAGAGTGATTAATAAACACTTATGCGGACATTCATCTGACAGGCGACTGACAAAGCCCCACAATGATGGGGGAGAAGGGGCATTTCTTCTTGATAGATGTATCTGAAATGCTCATTTACTCCTTTTTGATAGATTTAAATGTCCAGGTATTCTCTCACCATAGAAAATGATTCAGAAATAGTGCTGGGTTAAAAATAAGGGATAGAGATTTAACTCCATCCATGTGGAAGGAAATGTATTCGTCCTAGTCATCAACACATAGATTGAAATGTGCTGGAGTTTCCGGAGGTTTGGGGGGAAGGGTACTTATTCTCTTTAAAGCATAAAGTGAGATAGATGAGTACAAAATCATTCTGCCTAAGATTTTGTAAATAGCATTAGTGACTGAATACAAGTATTTTTCTCTTGGTCTGAAACAGTTTAAAAATTATCTGTTCGAAACCAGTTCTCAAAGGGCAGACTTAAATTTGGTGCTTCATCCTCTAGATTTCTGTCACATGCCACCCTTGCTGGAAGGGGGTCAGGTAAAGGGAATTGAGGCTGGGGGTCAAACCAGCCAACAGTGGTGTCTGCCATGTGTACTGACAGCAATGACCGCACAACAGAGAATGAGGGGGCCACTTCTGGAATGGAAACTGTGATCAAGAATGATGGGAATTGTAGGATGCTGAAACCCTGCAACCTACAGGCTCACCCTTTCTTTTAATACTTGATTGAAATGGTTTGCCTGTTCACCCCATCCCAGGAAATGTGGGAAGTTCAGTGCCCTCCAAGATATCTGGGGAACGCTGCACCTGCTTCTGCTTCCACCAAAGTCCTCTTCTCCCCACAAAATGTCCCCCATGCTCAATTCTGTCCCTCCTCCTTTATTCTCCCAAAACATCATCAACACAAGTCATAGCATGATGTTTTCATTGCAACTCAATCACAGTGACCAACTCATCAAAAACCAGGAGTCCACATAGCTCTTTCATTCATTTTAGTTAACCAGTGTTTACTTTAATCAACTTACCAGCTAAAGAATGAAACACTCTTTAGGATAAAATCTTGCTCACAGTGGTGAGTTGAATTTTTAAAGAACCTTTCCTGAGGGACAATTTGCCTTTTTTCATCTATAATCTAATTCTCAAGGGCTTTTCAGAGCAGAGTCTTCTTTTTCACCTTGAGATCATTTTTTTTTTCCTTTTCCTATAGAGGTTTGTAGCCTAGTGTTTCTGATTGTGAACTAAATACGTAAGTGAGCACTAATTAGCCTCGCACATTCCACCCAGCCATTCTAAGACTCAGCAGTCATATTTCCTAAGAAAAAAAAGTCAACATTTTATTTTGCCATCCATCACAAAATATGAAAAAGAACCATCTCCATTTTCTTTAGTAACAGCTAAGGGCAAAGACCACAAATTAACCTCCCTCCATTAGGCACAATCAATAGAGATATGGAGTTTTTCCCCCTAGTCTAGACTTCTATTTGGGAATGAAATGTTAGAATAAGCCACATTTCCTGCAAAGGCCGCCGGACAAAGGGACCTGCTGATTGCAGTCCATGTGACTCCGGGAAACGCCGAGCCTGGAGCTCAGGTTTTCGACTCTGGCATGGCAGGAGGCAGTGATGGATGGAGCTCCAGTTTGAAGGTCTGAGCTGCGATGAATGAGGCAGGCCTGCTGCGCCTGCCAGGGGCTAAGTATTCTCAACAGTCACTTCACAGCTCGCTGGAAAACCCGGCACTGTTTCTATGATGGGCAGAACTGGAAGCTGCCGCTGACACACCCTTTTGGTGAGCACAGGTCATGGGTCAGAGCTGGCTGCACGGGCTGAGCCAGGCAGTCAGAGGGACTTTCAGAGTCAGGCTGAGCTTGCTCTGGGCTCGGATGTTTCCTGCTTAGGGTACTGGGGGAAAAGTCACTGGAAGAAGATGCTGATGCTGTCCCCTCAGGGCTCTGACGGGGAAGGCGGATCCTGTACAATGGAGCTGGAAAAACCACAGTTGTGAAAAATGTAAAACGGTGAGGGGTGGCCTGATTCATCCCCACGTGTACTCAGGACCACAGAAATCACCTCAGACTGAAAGAGCCCATCAGGGTTTAAACGCTCACTTGCCCACCCTTGTTATTGATGTTAGAGGGCCCTCTGATGCTGGAAGGAGGCCCAAGTCACCCCAGAACTGGGCCATCACAGAGTGGGGAAGGGCCTGACTACCATGGCAGGCTTGGCATGTTACTCACATTTAAATCCATGTTTAAATGTGAAAATTGCCCCTTGCAGAGTGCTGCAGCTTAACTGTGTCCACTAAAGCTCAGGTGCTGGAAACTTGATCCCCAGTGTGGTGATATTGGGAGGTGAGGCGAGGTCTCTAAAGGGAAGTGTTTGGGTCATGGGGACACCATCCTCATTAATGAATTAATGTCATTCTTGCAGGAGTGGGTTTGTTATAAAAGGGTGAGTTTGGCCTCCGCTAGTCTCTCTCTCCCTTATGGGATGCCTTCCATCATGTTATGATGCATCAGGAAGGCACTCGCCAGATGCCAGCCCCACAATCTTGAGACTTCCCAGTCTCTAGAACCATAAGCCAATAAATTCCCCTTCATTATTAATTATCCAGTCTGTGGTACTCTGTCATAGCAGCACAGAACAGACTATGACCCAGAGGGAGGCAGCATTGTCCCCACTTTATGGATGAGAGCACAGAGGCTCAGTGAGTTCTCTTGCACACAGCCACAGTGCTAGGAAATGGCAAAACTGGGATTTGAACACAGGTCTCTCTTGCTCCAAATATCCTACAAAGGGCTTCCCCCATGAGACACTAGGAATGTAGGGGGAGTGGTTCTAGATCCACAATGGAAGTGGTGAAGGGATTTGGTAAGGCTTTTGAATGAAAATAAAGCTGCTTCCCTTTTGTGGAGGCACCTCCAAGGCGGTGGGGAACTCATCTTGGGCAGCTGGAAATACAGCCCTGAATGCTTTCACTTCCACATCCACTGGTGCAGCTATGGTTTCCACTGAGCCCCTTAAAAGAGAAAACTTGAAGTTGCAAGCATGAAGCTAGCCTTGGGGACCAAAAAGTTCCTCCACTCTAGGCCAGACCATCTAAGTCCAGATCATCCGAGGCCTAGTTATCTGGCATGGGGTGGGGATGGGGTGTCCTTCAGAAGCAAGGGCCATGAAGAGGCAGCTGTTTCCTCCAAGGGACTGCCAGGTGCAGGTGCTTGAGACTCACTGGGAAGAGGTGGGGCTGGAGGGACCGTGGTACTAGCAGGGGAGCTAGAGCTGGGAGGCTTAGATTCACACACAACTGCCTTCATCATTCATTCACTCACTCACCAGCCAGCCACTTGGCATTGTGCTAGAAGCCGAGGTAAGGCAGAGTTGAGTAGGACACCATCTCTGCCGACATGGAGGCTTGCATGCGTGTAAGAAAGAAAGGCAGACAGTCCTCACATGGGACTGTGGGGGCCAAAAGAGGATGTGAGAAGCTTCTTGGGGGAGGTGATTCTTGAGCTAAGACTCAAGCAATGAGAAGGTGTTTGGGTGGACGATGCGAAAGGCATCTCGGGCTGAGGGGCGGGCTGTGATCGAGGCATGGAGCAGAAACAGCCTGCACTTTGGGAAAGATGGCTGGATCTGTGTTTTCCCAGCCACTTATGCATGTGTGGCCCTGAGCAATTTCTCTGAGCCTTGGTTTCCTTATCTTCAAGATGGGCATCTTATACTCCTCTGATTGGACTGTTGGGAGGACTCCCCAGGACAAAATAGAAAAACTCCTGGATTGGAACCCTGGCATCAGCAGCATGAGGTCAGCACCTGCTCCCTTCCAGCACCTCAGGACTGGCCAGGCCCCAAGGCCCCACAACGCTGGTGCCCCTCCTCCATTTAGTCACAGTACAGTGGCTGTGACGTGACACAGGGACCACTGTGCACGTGTTGGCTGGTGATTTAGAACTGGGCTGCTCTTCTGTTCCCTTCCTTTCCCTTCCCAGTTTTGCCACTTCCTGCCCTTTCTCCTTGTTTGCAGAATCTGGCCCTCTGTCCCTGGCCCAGTTTTCCAGCCTCAGTTCTCTCCTCTGCAAATGAGCTCCTCCAGGGCTATTGTGGCACTCACAAGTCACACTAGGTGACTTCTAGCAGTCACCTGTTTCTGCAGGTGAAAGCTCTTTGTTCACTGCAAATCACCGGAGAAAATCTCTCGAGGCCTGTACTGTCCCATGAGAACATCCAGGTTGCAGGTGGCGTGGGGTTGCAGGGGTGGTGGTTTAGGAGAAGGTGAAAGGGCTGCAGGTCTGAGGGAGGGAGAGACTGGAAGTGGAAACGTAGTGGTTGGCCACTTGTGTATTTGTGGATCTTGATGTGTGAAGGGTGACTGGAAAGCTGCTTTGCTGTGTTCCTGGCCATCTTCCTTTGTTCTGTCCTTGGGTTGGGTGGAATCAGTGATCATCACTTTGCTTGTTGGAAGCATTGTTATCCTCAGGTCTCGGTGCCCCACGGGTGCCCCAGACGCTCAAGCTAAATGAAGCCCAAGGAAGCCTTGCCTGAATACAAAATTCTGTCTGAAGGAAATCTTGGAGATAATGTGTTTACAGGAGTGTCTGTGGGTGGCGGACAGAAGCAAGTAAGCTCCCGCATCAGCTGGGGGTGCAGCGCGGAGCCGTTGACAGAGCTGGGTCCCTTGGTGCACCCGCAGCAACCACATGTGTCTGTAGTTTGTTCTGAGGGGCTGCCAAGCCTTTGGGGCTGACCCAGTGATGCTCTCACACCCTTCTCATAGGCCGCCTGGGGTGAGCAGCTGCTCTGCTGTGGTGAAGAAACCTGGGGTTACAGTTGTTCAGATATGTGGTCAGGAGCATGTCCTGACACTTATTACCAGTGTGACCTTGAGCAAGTCGTTTATCTTCCCTAAGCCTAAAGCAAAGCTAAAAATACTTACCAGCCTTTCACATGGGGTTGTTACAAAACTCAGATGAAAGGACGTGAAAATGCTTAGTAAGCAGAGTCTCTGAACCACTGTGTAGTTCCAGGATTATTATTTGTTCCATGAGGGACTGACTGTTCATAATTCATGACAGGACCCCCGATGAGGAAGCCTGAGGGCTGGGCCTGGAAAGACCCTCAGTAGCTGCACCAGTGCTCAGAGAGGACCCTGTCTGGGTTCAACAGATACACTTTGCCCTGGTCGGTGACCCCTGCACCAGGTCGGTGACGTCCTGAGACGTGCAGGCAAATCCATTTTAGGGTGGCCAGCAGCCCAGTCACCATGGCCAAGGGCTCTGGGGGACCTTTTGGGCTGGAACCAATGGCTAGTGGTCTTTAAAGGGTCCAGGTTTGTGACGGGAGTGGAACAAGCTCACAGATGGGAAGGCTGACCAACTTCTACAAGGCAATCGCCACCAAAGTGAGTCTACCCGTGACCAGGATGTAGCTGGTCTTCTGCTTTGAAGAATCAGAAATTTTATTTTCCTTCAGAGTTAATCAAACCTAGGGGCGTTCTGACTCATCTTAACAAGATCACGACAGGCTGATGCATAAAACTAGCTAATTTACAATGAGAAGGTAGTGGTCCAGTTGACCAGATAAACACACATGGTTTCACATTAGATAAGCTATGCAAAAAGCAGATTTGTCAGAATTATCAGTATTCCAATTAGAAAGTTATTTAGCAAGCTTGGGATAGGAGCACAGGAAGTTGGTTAGATGGGTTAACAATGGTAGTAGGCTAAGATGGACAGAGACAAACTTTTTGCTAGGAGATAACCTTACTACAAGGCCATGGCTGGATCAAGTTCTTGATCAAATTGCGCTATTCCTAGACAGAGATTGGATGGGCACTGCCAGCATTTGTCTTGGGACTTTTCTTTCTCTGACCTTTTATTGTAAACCCACATGTCTTCTCATTGGCCTTTTCTTTCTTAAGTTAAAATTCACATTAATCAGGTTGGCATGGGTTCTGCAGGCCTGGGATCCACTGAGGTTTCCAGGTCTCTATCTGCATCTACCATGTGTGAATTGCATAGCTTACCCCTCTGGTGATTTTATTCTTTTTTTCCAAACACCTTGGAAAGAGAGGCCAGTGGATACTAAGTTGGGTAGGTGGAAATGTGATGATTCCAAGCAGCCCATCAGATCTGGAGCAAGATTCCCCCACCGGCAGCTGAAGACACTGGGGGAGGACTAAGACCCCTGACAAGAGCTGATTAATTGGGAGGTAAGCCACAGACGGCTTCCAGTACCAGCAGAGCTATCTGACTATACCCAGGAAAGCAAGGTGGAAACCTGGCCCCAGGGACTGAGCTGGCCAAGGTGTGAGGTGGGAGGAGACGCGCAGATTAACAGGGTCTTGGGTCCTCCTCATCTCCCCAGGGCTCATCAGTTACAGAGAGGGCAGCAAAGACAACTCCAGATGCCATGTGCCGTTGGGGAGTGGGAGAGGCGGACCCAGAATGTGGCTGGGCCTGAGACTTACAAGAATATTGGGCAATACTCTCAACCAGGTGGCACCAAGATCGGAAGAAGAAAGGATGTTTGGAAAGTGGGTGATGTTGGTAAACGTAGGGAGAACCAATGCTGATCTTGTCCATCAAATAAAAATTCTCTGAGGTTTTTGGGAAGCCATTTGCCAGGTCAAAGTGAGTTAGGACTGGCCCTGTGATTCTCTCCTCCCTGACTCCTGGTCTCATCTCTCGGGGGTGGAGCAGCTCGTGTTTGGACATGCCTGTACAGTCTTTCCCTAGTCCATGAGCAAAGATTCTGTGAGAGGGGTAGGTAAGTGCTTACAAGCACAGCCTTGAAGAGAGACAGACATTGTTTGAATCGCAGCTCTGCCACCTACTGGCTGTGGGACATTGAGCAAATCAGTTAACCTCTCTCCAAGCCACCTCAGTTTCATGGTTGGTAAAATGGGAGGAATCATTTTCACCTCACCTGTTTGTTCTGAGAATTAGATGCCAGTGGCTGGCATGAACAAGCTCTCAATCAATATCTATTGACTGATAAAATGAGATGATGCTTATAAGATTCTTGGGCCACAACTGACAGATAGTAAATGCTCCATAGATGTCTGAAAATAATAAGTGGTATTCATGGTATCATTTGCAGGATGGCAGAGCTCAGGGCCAGCCTGGTGGGCCACTCGAGCTCCAACACACAGTCATGGAGAGGAGAGTGCCACATCTTCTAGTCCCTGGCCACATGGCCACAGTTTAAAAGTTTAATCCATATAAACGGGGAGCAATTTTCCATTTTGATGGTTTGTTTAAAGCGCTCCTGGTCAGGAACCTGCACCCACCCAGGGAGCTGACCCAGGTTCAGCCCCCCTTGAATGGGTGTGGGGGTCCAAGTGAGACGAATGCCCCTGACTCACTTTCCCACTCAGTCTGGCAGCTCCTGGCATCTGAACTCGCTCCCTGACAGATGGGGTAGGAAAGGGGTTCCACATAGCATGTTCCTGTGGCTAAAATGGTAGAATCCTAAGCCCTTCTCTCAGAGCTGCACTGCCTTGAGAGCTTCCATAAAATAGGTATTTCGTATTCCAATCAGATGTCATCTCTATTAGGAACCCACCTGCAGTGATCACACACAAGAGTTCTCAGCATGAAATGGAAGGCCCCTTGCCTTGTGGTTCACTCTACACAGGTCCCCCACCCACCACCTTCAAAACTGGGGGCGTCTCAGTTCTGCCCCAACAAGTCCAAAGTCCCCAACACATCTTTGGATGGCCTTTGGTCTGAGAACAGATGGGGACAGATGCCAGCTTGGGATCTGCAGGATCTGTGAGGCAGGGAGAAAGGGCATCTGGCCGTTCTAGCCTCTGTTGAGCCAGCCCCACTGTGTGAAGTTAGTTTTCTTCATAAAGGAGCCACAAGGTTGAAGCAAGGGCCATTGTCTACAAAAAATTAGTACCTAAAGGCTACTTTTTTCTGTTCATATCATAGTGCTAGTCCTTTGGTAAATTCAGAACTTGTTGGTCTCACTTCCTCGTTGTTACACAGTGAGGAGAATTTGGGATATGATTCCCTGTTGGAAAAGGACCTGCCGATAGCATTTTAGACTCTAAATTTCAGAGAACCCGTATTTGACATCAACTGTCCAAAGGAAACAACAGGTATCATTAAGGGAAAGCTCAAGCAGGATTTTTTTTTTCTGACCCACCCCCACTTTCCAGCCTCTGACTTGATGAGTGTGGCTGAGAATAGTTTCGAAATAATCATCAGAAGAGTCAACTAGGGGATGCCAGGCAGGTCTAAGATCAAGATTACCTTGAAATGTTCAGTCAACAGAGATGGTTTCAGCCTCTGACTACCTTTGAGGGTGAGACCCCTAAAATGATTCCATCATGATGGTTTCTTCAACTGCTCTGTTGGTAGAGTCATTCCTTGCTGCACAAGAAATCACATTTCCCAGACTTACCCTTGCAAAAGAGGCTGGAAGGAGCTCCTCACTCTCTCTCTTGGACTTTGGTGCCAGATCATTATTAAATTGCCTTCATGACCCACCTCACCACCACTTACACACTCAATGAGTGTCTACTAGACAGGGGCTTTTGTAATCCTCACAACAACCTCATCACATTAGTGCTGTTCTTCACATTATGCAGATAAGGAGGCTGAGGGCTAGAAACTTCTCATCACTCACCTAAGACCCCCTGATTGGACCTTATGCTGCTGGAAGGGGACAGGATATGGACTCTTCTCTCCACCCTTTCTACCCCCTGGTTCTTCTTACTTTTTCTGTCAAAATAGGCATCTTGTACCTACTAAGTGTCAGATACTGTCCTAAGCCCTAAGGATTCAAAGACGAATAAATGAATCTCTGTCCTTAAGCTGGTACATTATTCCTTCTATAATACCTCATCCCAATGGAAAGTGATGGATGTTAGACTACATATGTACTTGGTGCTTCTTACTCTTTCTTTCAAAAATAGGCATCATGTACCTACTAGATATCAGGTACTGACATCTAAGCCCTGAAAGTCACAAATGAATAAGACATCTGTGCATGGTGGCTCACACCTGTAATCCCAGCATTTTGGAAGGCTGAGGTGCAAGGTTCACTTGAGGCCAGGAGTTCAAGACCAGCCTGGACAACATAGTGAGACCCCCATCTCTGCCCCCTCAAAATGAATAAGACCATCTCTGTCCTTAAGCAGCTACATAATTCCTCAGGCATCACCCAGTGGAAAGTGGTAGATGTTAGAATACATATGTACTTCGTGCTTCACAGGAGATATGACAAACTGAGCCTTTTAAAAATATTTTTAAATTGCTGGAAGTATTAAATAGAGCAGAAAAATAAAAAATAATAGAGTAGATATAAATATAGATATAAAAAATAATAGAGTAGATAAAGAGTAGAAAAATTAAAAAATATAGAGTAGAAAAAAGTAGGCTAGGAAATTGCAATATATAAATAAGGAAAAAGACAAATTATCCACATTTTTTCTTCAAATATTTTCAAACAAGTGGAATTACACTATAAGGATATTTTTGTTTTCTTTCATTGTCTTAATTATTTTAATAATAGATTCATAAATACATTCTTATTAGAAAAATTCAAATAATACAGTAAAGTTACAGTTAATTTGCCCACCACTCCCAATCCCCAGTTTCATTCTTAAAGGAAACTCCCATTAAAAATATTGTTTCCAGGCCGGGCATGGTGGCTCACACCTGTAATCCCAGCACTTTAAGAGGCCGAGGTGGGCGGACCACCTGAGGTTGGGAGTTCAAGACCAGCCTGACCAACATGGAGAAACCCCGTCTCTAATAAAAATACAAAATTGGCTGGGCGTCGTGGCACATGCCTGTAATCCCAGCTACTTGGGAAGCTGAGGCGGAAGAATCGCTTGGACCTGGGAGGCAGAGATTGCGGTGAGCCGAGATGGCGCCATTGCATCCCAGTCTGGGCAACAAGAGCAAAACTCCTTCTCAAACAAAAACAAAAACAAAAAACCCTATATATATATATATATATATATATAGAGAGAGAGAGAGAGAGAGAGAGAGAGAGTTTGTATCTTTCTAGCCCTTGTGCGCATACACACACACACGCTTTTATAACCTTTTTTTAAGAGTTTGTTCCATATAATTAAATATACTTCTACAACATCACTTTAATGTCTGGTTAATATTCCATTGTATAGATGTACCATAAATGATTTAACCAATTCCCTGTCTTTTGGCATATAGATTTGCTATGGTTTGAATGTTTGTGTTCCCCAAAATACATATGTTGGAATCATAGCCCCCAAAATGATGTACTAGAAGGTGGAGCCTTTTGAAAATTTATTAGATCATGAAAGCAGAGACCTCACAAATGAGATTAGAGCCTTATAAATTAAGCCCAAGGGAGCTCATTCACCCCTTCCACCATGTGAGGACACAGCAAGAAGGTGTCGTCTATGAATCAGAAAACGGCCTTCACCAGACACAGAATCTCTTAGTGCCCGGATCTGGGACTTCCCAGCCTCCATAATTGTGAGAAATAAATTGTACTGTCTATAAACTACCCAGTTTATCATATTTTGTTATAGCAGCCTGAACAGACAGGACTGTCCACTGTAATAGTAAAAAATAGTATTTTTACTATTACAAACATGGCTTCAATGAACCACCTTGGCTCTAACTCTTGGAATTTATAATGATTTTTTTAAGAATAATATTCATAGAAATGGAATTTCTAGGTGAATGCATACATACATTTTGAGTCATTTAATATGTATTCCTTTTCAGAAGCTTATAGTGATTTAATTCCCACCAGCTCTGTATGCTTGCCTGTTTGCTTAATCTGTCCTGATATTTATACTGTTTAACAGCTAAAGAGTGTATCTTACTATTGTCAGGTATTGAATTTCTTTGTTTTGTTTTGTTTTGCTTTTTGAGACAGGGTCTCACTCTGTTGCCCAAATGTGAGTGCAGTGGCATGATCATGGCTCACCGCAGCCTCCAGTGACCTCCCAGGCTCAAGTGATCCCATCTCAGCTCCCCCAGTCACTGGGACTACAGGAAATGCCACTACACTTGGCTAATTTGTAAAATTTTTTTGTAGAGATGGAGTCTCTCACTATGTTGCCCAGGCTCTCAAACTCCTGGGCTTAAGAGATCCTCCCACCTCAGCCTCCCAAAGTACTGGGATTACAGATGTGTGCCACCATGCCCAGCCTGGATTTCTTTGACTACTACAGTGATTGAATATTTTTGTGTGTTTATTGGTAATTATTTTTCTTCTTTACTTATTACAGATATTAATCCTTTAGATTTGAAAGAGTGTTAATTTTATTGCAAGTGTTCTTTACTACTATCATTTGCACTAAAACCTTTTATAAAAAAATTATAGGCCAGGTGCAGCGGCTTACACCTGTAATCCCAGCACTTTGGGAGGCTAAGGCTGGTGGATCACGAGGTCAGGAGTTTGAGACCAGCCTGGCCAACATAGTGAAACCTTGTCTGTACTAAAAATAGAAAAATTAGCCAGGTGTGGTGGCATGTGCCTGTAGTCCCAGCTAGTCGAGAGGCTGAGGCAGGAGAATCGCTTGAACCTGGGAGGCAGAGGTTGCAGTGAGCCAAGACTGCACCATTGCACTTCAGTATGGGTGACAGAGCGAGACTCTTGGTCTCAAAAACAAAAAACATAAGAAACAAAAGACAAATGTAAAACACAGTGAAAATCCCCTGCATGGAAGGATTAATTGTAATGTTCTTTTCCCCTCCTTTTCCCCTTTCTTTCCTTCCTGTTAGTCATAGTAAATTTAGTATAACATATCAAAGTTATGCTTTGAAAAGTGGTCAGTTTTAGCAGATTCAGAATGAAGACCAGAACAACTTTTGAGATGGCAGAATTTGGATGGGCAGAGAAGTGGTAGGGATCAGGGGAACTTGTGTGGAGGAGGTCAGAGGTAGGGGGTTCAAGGAGAGGAGGGACTGCCAAACGTCCATTTGCAATAAGCTGTATGTATAGCCTGAAGGGAAGCCCGGGATATGTTTGGCGCCATCCTCTGGATGTCACGTGTGTTTTGATTGGTTAATGGCAACCTTATTTTCTTCCTAATGGCTTGTGCCTTTGTGCCCCTCCAGACATGATAGTTACAGTCCCAATCCCACTTCCTAGAGAAAAGCGCCGTTAATGGTTGTGGTGGGTTGAACGATGACCCCGCAAAGATGTCCATGTCCTAATTCCTGCGAATATGTTACCTTAACGTGGTAAAAGGGACACTGCGGATATGATCGAGTTGAGAATCTTATGATGGGGAGATTGTTCTGGATTATTCAGGCGGATTCAATGTAATTGCAAGGGTCCTTATGAGAAAGCAGCAGGTGGGTCAGGGTCGGTAGCAGGAGAAGCAACCAAGGAAGCAAAAAAGTTGGAATAGTGGGAAGAAGGATCCAAGGAATGCAGGGGCCTCTAAAAGCTGGAAAAAGCGAGGAAATGGATTTTCCCCAGAGCCTCCAGGAGGAACCAGCCATGCTGACGCCTTGAATTTTTTTTTTTTTTTTTTTCTGAGACAGGGTCTCACGCCGACACCCAGGCTGGAGTCCAGTGGCACGATCTCAGCTCACTGCAACCTCTGCCTCTCGGGTTCCAGGGATTCTCATACCGCAGCCTCCCGATTAGCTGGGATTACAGGCACCCACCACCACGCCCGGCTAATTTTTACACTTTAAGTAGAGACGGAGTTTCACCATGTTGGACAGGCTGGTCTTGAACTCCTGATCTCAAGTGATCCACCCGCCTTAGCCTCCCAAAGTGTTGGGATTACAGGCATGAGCCACCAGCCCAGCCGACACCTTGACTTCTGACCTCCAGACCTGAAAGAGAGTAGATGTGTGTTGTTTTAAGTGACTGAGTTTGTAGTAATTTGTTACAGCAGTAACAGGAAACTAATACAATGGTCGATATCTATTCAATCTTTTTTTTCCTTTTTTTGCTTTCTACATATGTAACTAAACGTGAATGTGTCTGTATATCTCCATCTTAGACACCTTTCTATATCTGTGCATATAAATTTACCTAACTTTAGAAACAGTGTGGATTCCCATTATCTAATTAGAACATAACATTTATTCAGCTGGTTCCCTCCGGAAGAATTTCTAGGTTGTTTTAAGGTGTTTTTTGTTTTTCTTTTTTACCATCACCACCACCAACAGTCCTACTGCTAAAATCCATGTACACATATCCGTGCGCTAACTAGTTTGTGTATTTCTGTAGAATAATTTAATAGAAAGTGAACTGCTGAGTCACGTATTTTAAACTGCAAAAGAAGACATAAAGATTTGTAATTTGTGTCTTCTTTCTTTCTGATCAATCTGGCAGAGGTTTATCAATTTCACTGATCTAAAAAATTTCTGGTAGATGGGCATGGTGGCTCACACCTGTAATCCTAGCACTTTGGGAGGCTGAGGCAGGTGCATCACTTGAGGTCAGGAGTTTGAGACCAGCCTGGCCAACATGGTGAAACCCTCTCTCTACTCAAAATAACAAAAATTAGCTGGGCATGGTGGCCCATGTCTGTAGCCCCAGGTACTCGGGAGGCTGAGGCAGGAGAATCTCTCGAACCCTCCCGGGAGGCGGAGGTTGCAGTGAGCTGAGATCATATCACTGCACTCCAGCCTGGGTGACAGAGTAAGACTCCATCTCAAATAAATAAATAAATAAAATAAAAATAAAAAAATTCTGGTTTTAGTTATTTGCTCTATTGTTTTTATGTCTTCTTACTGACTTCCATTCTTTATTATTTCCTTTATTCTGCTTACTTTAGATTTATGTTTTCCTCTTTTTTCTAATTTCTTAAAATGAAAGCCAAGGTCATTGCTTTAACACCTGTCTTCTTTTCTAACGTAAGTGTTTAATGTTACATATTTCCACTTAAGTACTACTTTAGCAGTATCTAACAAATTCTTTTATGTTGCACTTTCACTTTTATTCAGTTAAAAAATGCATTCTAATTTCTTTGACCCATGTTGTTTAGAAGTATGTTATTTAGTTTCCAAATATTTGGGAATTCTGCAGATATATTTCTATTATTGATTTCTACTTTATTTCCATTGTGGTCAGAGAACATACTTTGTTTGACTTGAATCCTTTAAGTTTATTGAGACTGTTTAGTTCCCAAGAATTTGATCTTGGTCAGTGTTCTGAAAGCACTTTAAAAGGATGTTTATTCTGCTGTTGTTTGATGGAGTATTATATAAACGCCAATTAAGTCAAGTTGGTTTATAGTGCTATACAAGTCTTCTACAACTCAACTGTTTTTCTGTGTACTTGTTCTATCAATTATTGAAACAAGGATAATAAAATCTCTAAGTGTGAACTTTTCTATTCCTTTTTATAATTCTATTAGTTTTATATTCATATTTTTCAAAATCTATTATTAGATGTACACATTTTTGACTCCTATGTCATTACATAATTACCCTCTTTATTCTAGTTCTGAAATAGTCTTTTTGATGAAATATACTTTGTTTGACATTAATGTAGCAACTCCAGCATTCCTTTGATTGATATTAGCCTGATACATATTTTCATCTTTACACTTATATGTTATAAACTTCACACTATGTTACTACCTTTGTTTAAAACAGTAGGATGTCTTTTAAGAATATTTAAATAAGAAAAAAGAGTCTTTATAGTTATGTACCGTTTCTGATGTTTTTCATTACTTTAGATAAACTTATATTTCTTTTCGGTATCATTTTCCTTCTGTTTTAAGAACTTTCAGCATTCTTGTAGTGTGGATTGCTGTCAGCTTTTATATCTCTGAAAAAACCTTAATTCATATTGTTATTTTTTCATATTTTCCAATCTGTGGGAATAAGTACCATCCGCACCCCTATGTAGAAACTGAACACTGTTCCCTTCCATCCTTTAAAAAGTTCTTGGCCGGGCACGGTGGCTCACGCCTGTAATTCCAGCACTTTGGGAGGCCAAGGGGGGCAGATCACGAGGTCCGGAGATCTAGACCATCCTGGCTACCACGGTGAAACCCCGTCTCTACTAAAAATACAAAAACTTAGCCGGGCGTGGTGGCGGGCGCCTGTAGTCTCAGCTACTCAGGAGGCTGAGGCAGGAGAATGGCGTGAACCCGGGAGACGGGGCTTGCAGTAAGCCAAGATGGCGCCACTGCACTCCAGCCTGGGCGACAGAGTGAGACTCCGTCTCAAAAAAAAAAAAAAAAAAAAGAAAAAGAAAAAGAAAAAAGTTCTTTCCCTGACCTCCTGCAGTTTCCCTACATGCATGAGTGGATCAGTATTCTCCTGAATACTCAAAGGGGATTTCTGATTTCTTTCTGTATGCAGTTTTCTCCTCTCCAGTACTCTGTTCTGTGAACTCCAGCTACCTTGGTCTCCCCAGATTTTCAGCTGTATCCTCTCAGCTCAGGAAGTCCCTAAGGCCCACCTGAGTTCCCCTTTCCTATGCCATGGCCTCAAAACTCTTTCATTGTAATAATTTGGGGGCAAGACCGGGCACGGTGGCTCACGCTTGTAACCCCAACACTTTGGGAGGCTGAGGAGGGCAGATCACTTGAGGCCAAGAGTTCAAGACCAGCCTGGCCAACATGGTGAAACCCCGTCTGTACTAAAAATACAAAAAAATTAGCGGAGCATAGTGGCAGGCGCCTGTAATCCCAGCTACTTGGCAGGCTGAGGTACAAGAATTGCTTGAAAGCAGGAGGTGGAGGTTGCAGTAAACCAAGGTGGTGCCACTGCACTCCAGTCTGGGAGACAGAGTGAGACTCTGTCTCAAAAAGAAAAATAATAATAATCTGGGGGGAATCATAGGACTCACATAATTTTTTTTCTGTCTCTCATGGATCACTGCCCTTCATTGCCCAGTTTCCAGTATCTTGAAAACCATTGTTTCAAATATTTTGTTTTTTCTTTTTTTTTAGAGGAGGGGAGACTGTTTCAGATGGGAAAGTAAATTTGTTCTGTTCCTCCATCTTGGCTGAAAGCAGAAGTTCCCAAATCAATATTTATGATAAAATGAATCCAACAAATAGAAGCACACAATAATGTAAGTGTCCTTTTCTAGCCACCGTATTAGTTCTTTTTTTTTTTATTTTTGGAGACGGTGTCTTGCTCTGTCTCCCAGGCTGGAGTGCAGTGGCGTGATCTCGGCTCACTGCAAGCTCCGCCTCCCGGAATATTAGTTCTTTACCAATTACAACTCTATTCAGATTTTTATACTTTTTACAAGGTCAAAATCTGAGTTTATTTTTATGCTATTTTAAAAGGATTAACTAGGGTATCGTAATTTAGACACACAAAAAGTGTCAATTATATCAATCTTGATTCATTTAGTTTTAAAATGTATTTATTTAACAAATAAATGGGAGTAGGGAGGGAAGTGGAGATGGTGGGGAGATAGGAGGCACTTCACAGTATTCACAGAGAGGACTCTCATGGTGCCTCCTCAGAGGGCAAAAATGGGCTCACATAACTGTTGAGCTTATCAGTTTTGCAACCTTAGTGTGTCAAGTCAGAGAATATTTTAACCAAGTCATTGCCGTTTTCATTCTGGTTTAGTAGTATCCATTTGTCTTCCTGGCAAGGAAGGCAATCCTTAAACATCCTTCAACACCCAGCTTACTGCTAAAAGAAAACATGATAGGTAAATAGGTCCGTGATCTTGCTAATGGAGGTCTAAGTGGGGCAAGAGAGGCAGAAGCATTCTATTAGAAGAGTGACAGCTGATTTCACAAATGTTTAAAACGCCTGTATATGAAAGGCATCTCGGCAAGGCGTGGTGGCTCACGAGTGTAATCCCAGCACTTTGGGAGTCCTAGGCGGGCAGATCACGAGGTCAGGAGTTCGAGACCAGCCTGGCCAATATTGTGAAACCCCCATCTCTACTAAAAATACAAAAATTAGCTGCGCGTTGTGGCGCGTGCCTGTAGTCCCAGCTACTCAGGAGGCTGAGGCAGGAGAATCTCTTGAACCCGGGAGATGGAGGTTGCAGTGAGCCAAGATCACGCCACTGCATTCCAGCCTGGGCAACAGAGTGAGACCCTGTCTCAAAAAAAAAAAAAGAAAAAAGAAAAAGAAAAAGAAAAAAAAGAAAGGGAGGGAGGTGAGATTCCAAATCAAACACCTCTCCTATGAACTGTGTTGTATTATTTGAAGACAACATCATAACAGCTGTTTCAAGATTCCCCTAATACTGATTTATCTGATGCCTAACTTCCGATTTATCTTTGACTTGGAGCCAGTACTATTTCCAGACATATTTTTAAAAAATCGTTTGTCAGCCAGGAGCAGTGTCTCATGCTTGTAATCCCAGTACTTTGGGAGGCCGAGGCAGGTGGATCCCTTGAGCCCAGGAGTTCAAGACCAGCCATTGCAACATGGTGAGACCTCATCTCTACAAAAAGCACAAAAATTAGTCAGGTGTGGTGGCATGCTCCTGTAGTCGCAGCTACCCGGGAGGCTGAGGTAGGAGGATCGCTTGAGCCTGGGAGGTGAAGGTTGCCGTGAGCTGAGATTGCACCACAGCACACCAGCCTGGGTGACAGAGTGTGAGACTCTATCTGAAAAAAAGAAAATGGTTTGTCACATATCATTTGATATGTGCTCCCGCTGGCCCTCCATGTGAAAGCCCCCCTCTAGTGATACTCTGTAGGAACAACTCCCACAGAATTCACGGTGTGGATCGAGGCAGTAGCATTACTTGACAAGAGTTGTTAAGTCTCACTTATGGCTTCTTTGGAACATTTGAGCAAAAGCCTCTGACAATGATGGAAGGGATAGTCTTCATTGTGGTCATGAAAATAAATTTAAAGAAGAATGGCTGGCCGGGTGCGGTGGCTCACGCCTGTAATCCCAGCACTTTGGGAGGCCGAGGCAGGCGGATCACGAGGTCAGGAGATCAAGATCTTCCTGGCTAACATGGTGAAACCCCATCTCTACTAAAAAAAATACAAAAAATTAGCCGGGCATGGTTGCGGGCGCCTGCAGTCCCAGCTACTCGGGAGGCTGAAGCAGGAGAATGGCATGAACCCGGGAGGCAGAGCTTGCGGTGAGCCGAGATGACGCCACCGCACTTCAGCCTGGGTGACAGAGCGAGACTCCATCTCAAAAAAAAAAAAAAAAAAAAGAAGAAGAATGAATTCTGAATTTAGTGTTTTAGTTTCCCAAATTCTAGTCATACCCTTGAGTGATGTTTTGAAATATTATGTTTAGGTTTGTATAAACATGTATTCCATTACCCCAGATCCAGGGGAATAAAATACTCAAATTGTCTTAGAAGGATAATCTCTGTTGACTTGACAAGTTTTAAAAGGACATTTCTACCAGGCCATCTAATTTTTCATGCTGCATTAAAATCTATTTATGGGGTCATTGAATCATGGACTGTGACGGTTGGCAGGAATTTTAGGGGTCCTGGAGATTGCTTTGTGGCAAATCCCTGAGATGTATTTTCTCATTGAGCCCTCATAGCAAGAAGAGGGAACTATTAGCACTTCCATTTTACAAATGCTGAAAATTAAGCACAGAGAAAATGTAAGTGCTATTTGCTAGCTAGTTAATGTCATGTCTTCACATTCCTACTCTCCCACCCTGAGAACCTCATGCCTGTAAAACACTGAAACTTTCTCAAGCTCCTCCCTTGCTGTTAAATAATCTTACTTGTTTTAGGCTTCTTCTCATACACTCTGGTTCTTCTTATTTTTATTCTGTATCTTTAGGATTTTCTGCATTTCTCCATAGTTTGTTTTATCTAAAACCCCAGACAAAGACAGTGACTACTCTTCTAAAGGCCTGGTAGGTTCTAGAAAGTGATACCTAGGTTTACATATCTGAGTGACTTGCTTGATTTTAGGTTGGGGTTACCATTCAGATACTTTGGAAAATAAAATTGACTGAACATTTACTCTAATTCCAGTCTCTGCCAAAAATCCCTCTAAAAAGACAACAAAGGATTTTTTCCATAAGGATGGGGAGTGTGGAAGAGGAGACGAAACAACAAAATTTGGGGAAGTACAAGTCAGGAGGATTTAGCAAGGATTTAGTTAGAGGTGACTTAGCAAATGAAGGAAGCTGAATCTCAAGCTGCTAATAGGGGAAGCCAAGAAATAGCCCATTTGACATAGTTGAATCCCCAAATCTCAGGAACCAGGGGGGCCAGGTATGCCTTCAAGTGAGAGTGAAGGGGGAGCTAAACGAAGAAGGATTTGCTGAAAGCTGTCTGCAAAGCACCTGATTCCCTTTATTATCTATGAGTTAGGGACTTCCTCTCCCCAAACCTAGCAGAGGCTAGAGGCCTGTTATCTGGAACCTGTGTAGATGGAGGACAATATGTCCACCCAAAGTCATGGGTACTAACCTGAAACCAGATGAAACGTTAGAATACATGTAACCAGGATTTGACCTTCCAAAAGAATATTTAAAGGATCTTTTTAGGCCGGGCGAGGTGGCTCCTGCCTGTAATCCCAGCACTTTGGGAGGTTGAGGCTGGCAGATCACTTGAGGTCAGGAGTTCAAGATCAGCATGGCCAACATGGTGAAACCCAGTCTCTACTAAAAATACAAAAATGAGCTGAGCGTGGTGGTGTGCACCTGTAGTCCCAGCTACTTGGGAGGCTGAGGAGGTAGAATCACTTGATCTGGGAGGTGGAGGTTGCAGTGAGCAGAGATCACACCATTGCAGTCGGCTCATCCTATCACCCAGGCTGGAGTGAATTGGTGCGATCTCAGCTCCCTGTAACCTCTGCTTCCTGGGCTCAAGCAATCCTTCTGCCTCAACCTCCTGAGTAGCTGGGACTACAGGTGTCACCACTCCTGGCTAATTTGTATTTTTTGTAGAGATGAGGTTTCACCATGTAGCCCAGGTTGGTCTTGAACTCCTGACCTCAATTGATCTGCCCGCCTTGGCCTCCCAAAGTGTTGGGATTATAGGTATGAGCCACTGCACCCAGCCTGAAGGGTGTTATCTAGGGAATCTGACCAGTACAAGAGACCTAAAGGTGCTGACAGAACAGCCCAACATGGGAAACTCAGACCTGACAACCTTCAACTTTATGCTCAGAGATGCTAACTGGCTACTGTTAAATATACGCAAATAAGCAAACTATCACAGTGCTGAGGAAAGGCATCTAAATGAAAGATAGAGACCACAACACACAGACAGAAAAGAAAAATGAAAGACCAAACCTTGGAGATACAGGAACTGTGTAGGAGCCAAAAACTTCAAAAATACAATTAATGCTCTCAGAGACACTGTAGGAAATACTGTAAACATGAAACAAGACCAGAAAAAACATTTCCAACCTAGAATTCTATGCCCAAACAAGCTCTCAATCAAGCGTGAGTGCAGAATAAAGGCATTTTCCGATATTCCAGATCTCAGAATTTTTCCATCTTATGCATCCTTCCTTGGGCAACGAGGAGAATGTGCTCCACCAAAATAAGAGAGTAAGCCAAGTAAAATGAACATAATGGGATACAGGAAAAGAACACATAACATTAAAAAAAGTGAAAGAAAGGGGCTGGGTTCAGTGGCTCACACCTGTAACCCCAGAGCTTTGGGAGGCTGAGATGTTAGCAGTTCAAGGCCAACCTGGGCAACATAGAGAGACCCTGTCTCTACGTGTGTGTGTGCGTGTGTGTGTGTGTGTGTGTGTGTGTGTGTGTAGCTGGGCATGGTGGTGCATACTTGTAGTCCCAGCTACTCCAGAGGCTGAGGTGGGAGGATCACTTGAACCCAGGAGCTTGAGGCTGTAGTGAGCTATGAACACATCACTGCACTCCAGCCTGGATGACAGAGCAAGGCCCTGTGTCAAAAAAAAAAAAAAAGGAGAGAAAGAAAGAAAGAAAAGAAAAAGGGGAAGGGACTCAGGGAAATGATAAAAAGAAAGGTCTCAGGATGACAGCTGTGCACCAGGCCTGCAGAGCAGCCACTTCATGTTGCAGCAGGGCAGATCTAGCAGGGTTTTTCAAGATGAAATTTGCAAGCCACTTTGACAACTGAACATCTTGAGAATAGATTTAGGCCTGGCACGGTGGCTCACGCCTGTAATCCCAGCACTTTGGGAGGCAGAGGCTGGTGGATCACCTGAGGTCAGGAGCTCGAGACCACCCTGACCAACATGGAAAAACCCCATCTCTACTAAAAATACAAAATTAGCCGGGTGTGGGGGCACATGCCTGTAATCCCAGCAACTCGGGAGGCTGAGGCAGGAGAATCGCTTGAACCTGGGAGACGGAGGTTGTGGTGAGCTGAGATCACACCATTGCACTCCAACCTGGGCAACAAGATCAAAGCTCCACCTCAAAAAAAAAAAAAAAAAAGAATGTAGTCTGCACAATGGCAGAGATTAATATGTCTTTTTCACAGTTGAATCCTATACCTAACAGAGTACCTAACACTCTGTAGGTGATCAATAAAGTTTGTTGAATGAATCACTGAACCTGGGCAGTCTGAGAGAGGAGTATGTTCTTCATGTAACTGTGTCTTTATCACCATATTATAGGCTGCCCTCAACTCCTGCAAAAATGCGATGTTTTGAAAATAGAAAGGATGGAACCAGGGGCTGGATCTGTGCTACACATGGAAAAGTGACTCAAAGGCAACATTCCTTTCAGGGAACTATTACCTTTTTTTCAAATATGTTAGTCTCTATTTTTTTTTTGTCTCCATGAACCCTGCTTGAGCATTTGTATTGTTATTATAGTTTATAGTTAAAAATGACACTCAAGAAACTAGCAAATAGCTTGTGTTCTATTTAGAAAAGACTTCGGCTGGGCGCAGTGGCTCACACCTGTAATCCCAGCACTTTGGGAGGCCGAGGCAGGCGGATCATGAGGTCAGGAGATCAAGACCATCCTGGCTAACATGGTGAAACCCCATCTTACTAAAAATAGAAAAAATTAGCTGGGCGTGGTGGCGGGTGCCTGTAGTCCCAGCTGCTTGGGAGACTGAGGCAGGAGAATGGCGTGAACCTGAGAGGCGGAGCTTGCAGCGAGCCAAGATCATGCCACTGCACTCCAGCCTGGGCGACAGAGCGATACTCGTCTCAAAAAAAAAAGAAAAGACTTCATATACCAAAATGTAGGTTTATAAAATACATAAATATAGGCAAGGCTATGGGCACCCTAAAAGATCCTGAACTTATGAAAGAAATCATGTGTGAATTCTGATAAAAAGTCAACCCCATGGCATACTTAATGTATTTTTCAATTTGCAAGATCTTGATGTGCAATCACTTGAGGATATCTAAAGTGAGGTTTATGTAAGGTGGTATATACTTGCATAAAAATTTTACTGTGACCATGAGTGAGCAAGCCCGGGACCTTTATTATCACCCTTATTTCAGCATCTCTTATTATACATCACTGATAATTGTCATCTTAACTTTGAGCAGTATCCCTTAGTTTAAAGAAAGAGAGAGAGAAAAAAAAAGAAGAGTTAGGCTCCAGTCGACTTTTTCCAGGCCAGAGTTTATTATTTGCATGAAAATCCCTTAATGTTGGCCAAGAGTTCTCAAAGGCAACTGTCAGGCTGCTGACACCATCAAAGGAATGATTCCCTGAAAAAAGCCAAAGCATGAGGGATTTCTTCACAGGTCCTTCTCTGGTTGGGTTCCAGTGGCCAAGCAGAGGAGAATCTGGATTGGATAACCAATCTCATCTGTCCAGCATCTTGAAAGGGCAGAAACTTTTCTAACCTACCACTGTATCAGATCTGCTGGCCCAGAACCATCCACCATGCCCCAGTCTATAATTTGACAGCACATGGCAGCAAGACCCCTGGTCTGGGTGATGTTAGAAACAAAATGCTTCTTCCTCGGTGCCACAGAGAAATAGCACTTAAACATAAATTTAATTTTCTCAGCAAGGCAATTTTTACTTCTATGGAAGGGTGCGACTTGCAGACGGAGTAATGGCAAGAGCACACCTGGACAAGGGAGGGGAAGGGTTTCTTATTCCTGATGCAGGTAGCCCCTTCTGCTGTGTCGTTCCCCTATTGGCTAGGGTTGGACTGCACAGTCTAAGCTAATTCCAACTGGCTATTTTAAAGAGAGTAGGGATACGAGCTGGAGTGGTGGGGTGGGTAGGATGGTGGGAAGGGCAGTTACAGAACAGGTGACTCAGAATGATCCGGGTCAGAGCAGGTGACCAGGGGTGATTCAGGTCAAAGCAGGTGACCAGGAGAACAGATGTGAACTACTGATTAGAACTGGTGGGAAAGTTGTTTACTGAAACTAGAGGCAAGGGGGCGAAGAGAACCAGGAAGTTAAACTTTAAAATGGAGAATCAAAGAATAAGAGAGCTGAACATACTGACATACTGATTCTTTGAAGAGAAACTTGGAGTTCAGTATGTCTAAGTGATCATGGAAGAGAACAAACTTACTGGCCTGGGTTGGGGAAAGGGGTGCAAATGTTGTTCTTTCACTTTGAAGGACAACGCACATTTGGAGTGTTTTCTCATTGCAATCACCCCATTTACTGCACATTTACTAACTGTGAAACACTATGTTAAGTGTTTAATCTTTACATCAATGCTGTTGAGGAAATATCACTTCCCCTACTTTACAGATAAGATACGTTAAACTCAGAGACTCACTGGTCTTCTCCAAATCTCCACCCAGTGGTATCATGTGCAAGCCAATCTGAGAGCCCTTGA
Organism: Homo sapiens; assembly: GCF_000001405.40. Classification (NCBI taxonomy): domain Eukaryota; kingdom Metazoa; phylum Chordata; class Mammalia; order Primates; family Hominidae; genus Homo; species Homo sapiens. Next base: position 27,754,219 of record NC_000013.11, on the reverse strand, counting down.
AACGCACTTGCTCCAGTGATTTACTACCAGGACCTACCACATGAGTCAGGCCTCTGACCCCATGACTTTGAGAGAATTATGCAGTGTGATGGTTCATTTTATGTGTCAATGTGGCTGAGCTAAGGGACACCCAGATAGCTGGTAAAATGTTATTTCTTTTCTTTTTTTTTTTTTTAAGATGGAATCTCACTCTGTCACCCAGGCTGGAGTGCAGTGGCATAATATTGGCTCACTGCAACCTCTGCCTCCCGGGTTCAAGCGATTCTCCTGCCTCAGCCTCCCGAGTAGCTGGGATTGCAGGCACCCACCACCACACCTGGCTAATTTTTGTATATTTAGTAGAGATGGGGTTTCACCATTTTGGCTAGGCTGGTCTTGAACTCCTGACCTCGTGATCCACCCACCTCGGCCTCCCAAAGTGCTGGAATTACAGGCGTGAGACACCATGCCCGGCTAAAATGTTATTTCTGTGTGTGTCTGTGAGGGTGTTTCCTGAAAAGATTAGTAGACTGACTAAAGAAGATCTCCCTTCACCAATGTGGTGGGCATCATCCAATCCGTTGAGGGCCCGAGTAGAAAAAAAAGGTGGAAGAAGGGGGAATTTCCTCTCTCTTCTTGAGCTGGGACTTCCCTCTTCTCCTGCCTTTAGATATTGGTTCTTGGTTCTCGGACCTTTGGGCTCCGGAACTTGGACTGAATTATGCAACTGGCTTTCCTGGGTGTCCAGGGTGTAGATGGCAGAGGTAGGACTTCTTGGCCAATTGCCACAATAATTCTCTTCACATATATATGCATATATATTCCATTGGTTCTGTTTCTCAAGATGACCCTGACCAATATACTTAGCCTTTCTGTTCATCTGTTGCTCTCTGATGCAAGATAATAACATCATGGCTCTTCTGTGGCTGTTTGCAAAGTTGGCAATGACTCAGGTGGCAGAGCAGCAGAAACTTCTGGGAGTGGGGGGAGCAGGTCACCTCTAAGCAGGGATGGGCCTTGGCACTTTTGCCTTTGTGGACCTTTTCCTTCATAAAAATTTTTTAAAATGTGTTTTATGATGGTGTTGGTATAAAGATGAATATATTAATATTTATGAAAACATTTTCTTTGACCCCAAAGAAAGTTAATTAAAGGAATTAAAACACTTCGTGGGGGGGGGGTCTCTAAAGGTATGGTGGGCCCTAGGCACTGTGCCCACTGCGCCTAACAGAGAGGTTGGCCCTGCCTGCGAAGTCACTCTAAGACCGTGCTCTCCTTCCCACTACATATACTGCAACATAGCAGTTAGGAGTTGGGAGTTAGACAGATCTGGATTTGAATCTTGGCTCTGCTAAACTAGCTGTGGTATCTTGGGTAAGTTGCTTAACTTCTGAGTCTAACGTAGCTTATCTGTAGAGCAGGGAAAGTGATATTCCTCAACAGGATTGATGTAAAGATTAAACACTGAACATAGTGTTTCTCAGTAAATGTGCAGTAAGTGGAGTGAAGCAATGAGAAAACACTCCAAATGTGCCTTGTTCTTCAAAGCGAAATTCATCTGAATTCTTTCTGTTCCCTATGCCCAAAGCCTGGAGTTCTGGAAGTGGAGCTGAATCTACAGTTCAGAGTTAAGGGGCTATAGCAAAATCTAGTAAGACGTAGAAGGCAGGGAGCAGGAAGATTATTACAAAAATTGGAGTAGATCTCATTTTTCATCTTGCTAAGTGCCACCTAAGAAGTGGCCTAAATGCAGCTGCACTGGTTATTTGGGGGACTTTCTGTCTGTTCAGGCGAGGAAAGAGTGAAGCAAGATGGACACAGTCCCCTTTCAGTTCAGCTCTAGATTTAGAGGGATAAAGTGCTTTACCCAAGACAGGGCTCAGCAACGCATTAGGCAACTGATGATGAAAATAACAACTCAACCAATGAACTCACTATAAATGGTAAAAAGATCTGATCTTTGGTATGACAGGTTCCAAGTTGCTTATGTGGTAAACAAAACAAATCTCTTCTTCCCAAGCTTGAAATGCATGCAAATGAAGATTCAGTAGGGTGCATAAAATCCTCTTTTAAAATGCAAATCTCCAAGGGATATTTATGGGGCTATCAATCATTCACACCTTAGAGTGAATTAGTTTAGTGAGCCTGATTTCTTCTCAGCACTTAACTGAGATTTACATTGCTGATGAACAGGAGGTTTGATGGCGTGAGGAAAAAGAGAGGAGAGTATTTCTTGGGTCCTGTTGAAGGACAAGTTTGGAGTTTCGATGCCTTGGGGAGCTTCCAGTGGCTAGATGTGAAGAGGGCATAGGAACCCTGGAGGAGAGGTTGGTATGGGGTGGAGGACAGGTCATGATGAGAAAGGAGCCTCGAGAGAGATGGGGAAACTTTCTAATCTGAATTTTTTTTAAATGGTGAAATCAGCATCCTTAGGTGTTTTATGAAAGAATAAATTGTCATCCTCTTGGATGCAACCTCCACCTCAACCTCTGCTCTGAAAATCCTTTGCACATGGTCTGGCAGATGTCAGGAAGCAAGCTTTTTTCTCATCTCACCAACAAATTATATTTGGTAGTTTGAAAATATGCTTTTTGATTGCTTGGTAGAATTTGAACTTGGCCTGCATGGAAAATCTGTACTTTCATGATAATCCCCCTAGAGAAACACATCTTTTGGTGTTTACTTATTTAATTACAGAGAGCATTCATTTTATATGGTTATTTATCTTGATAAAAAAAAATTCATCCACAGCTTGATAACCCAGCTTGAAAGGGAATCCTCACTGGCCCAGTGAAGTGAGACTGTAAGAAACTCCCTGGGGAATTGATATGATTCTAGCCCAGAAGCTGTGTTGTTTCCGAAAATCATTAGGATAAATTGTTACTCCCACTTCCCAAGGGTGAGCAGGGTCAGTCCCTAACCTAGTTAGGTTGATGATGAAAGCACTACTGCAGTTGGAGGAAAGGCACCTTTTAAATTATGATTTAAAGAGCACAGCTGCATGTCACTAGGCATTTTCTCTCTCTCTCTCTCTCTCTCTCTCTCTCTCTCTCTCTCTCTCTCTCTCGCTTGTTTGGTCTCTAACTCAAGAGACATTTGTTAAGCTTCCTGATGTAGTAGTGCCTAAACCTGGCTGATGATCCTGATGAAGCAGTCCAAAGTCTTCCCTAGCCCTAATATTTATGCATTGCTATCTTCTTTTTGTCACTGCAATTATACTGTATTTCTGCTATCTGGTCCCAGGACAGCTAAGACAATGAACTACAGCTGCAAATATTTAAGGTCTCCTCTCTGAGTTTTTTTTTCCATTAGAATCTAAACCAGCCATTTCCATAAGCTGTAAATCCCTTAAGCAAGCACCTGAATAGCATTATAGATAAAAATAAAACAACCCATTTCTTGCTCTTTCCATGAGATTGTGTGTTAGGGATATGAAGACTCAATTGTGCTTGGAGTATTTTTATCCAGATAAAAGGATAGTAATGTTTATGATTTTGACCCATTTTATTTTATTTATTTATTTATTTTTGAGACAGAGTTTCACTCTTGTTGCCCAGGCTTGAGTGCAATGGCGTGATCTCAGCTCACCGCAACCTCTGCCCCCCGGGTCCTGGTTCAAGCAGTTCTCCTGCCTCAGCCTCCTGAGTAGCTGGGATTACAGGCACGCGCCACCACACCCAGCTAATTTTTGTATTTTTTTTTTTAGTAGAGACGGGGTTTCACCATGTTGGCCAGGCTGGTCTCGATCTCTTGACCTCGTGATCCGCCCGCCTCAGCCTCCCAAAGTGCTGGGATTACAGGTGTGAGCCACCGCGCCCGGCAATTTTGACCCATTTTAAATTTACTTGGCTTGGCTGGGCAGCGGACTCATCCTGGTATATGGTGGGAGGGTGGGAACTTTAAAGTCAGAGGACCTGGGTTTGAATCCCAGCTCTGCCACTTAATAGCCAGAGCCACCGAGAGTAGTTCCTTTCAATCTAGTTTTTTTTTTTTTTAACCTGTAACAGAGAAACAGCAAACATAATATCCAGCTCCCAGAGATAAATCACACAATGCACCTTTGAAGGCACTCAAGGATGCTAGGTTCCTACCTTTGCTCAGATGTTGTTGGGTAAAAGCTTCTTTGTCCTTATAAAGGCCTGAGAGGGGTAGCAAGCTTTAAAAGAAAATTTGAAAAAAATCTCTTTACCAGGTACAAAGGAAATATAAATTCAAGAAGCTCCAAATTGCTGCAGAACTCATATATGTATAGTCTCATTTGGATTAAAAATCTTGAGGGAAAAATCATACTTTCTGCTTGATCCTGGACTTAAAGAGAACGCTACACCAGTGTTTCTCAAACTTTAATGTGCATACAAACCACCTCTTAATCATGTTAAAATGCAGGTTAGTATTGGGGAGGGGCCCAAGATTCTGCTTTTCTAACAAGCTCCTAGATAATGTTGGTTGATGCTGTTGATCTGTGGGCCACACTTGGAAAAGCAAGGTAGACCATGGACTGATGGATGCTTTATCCAGTAATGATATCCTCCACTTGTTTAATACCCAAGACAGTTGCAAAGTGTTTCATACGGTGCCTGGCATACTGTAGGGTGTCAGTATGCCAGGCAGCCTGTCACAATTTTGGCTTTATTATTTAATACACTATTGCTTCATATGATCAAAACTGGGGCAAAGCTGATTTTCCTCTTCAAGGACATGGTAAGAGATGGCTCTCACTGATCTGCTATGGGGAGAGTGACTGCTTCACAGCCAGCCTGCACTGCCAGGTGATCATCTGCCCCAGGTTTTCATAGTAAGGGGAGGGCAGGATGTAGCTGACTTGTGGCCTGGCCAGCTGGGTTCTTGGGACAACTCGGCTTGCAGGGAAGGTCAGAAAAGCCAAGGCCCAGCTTTGAGGGTAACTCCGAAGCCTCAGCTCAGACCATGTCTTCAGTGGGGTGCAGCAACACTCCATGGAAATGGAGAAAGGCATTGAAGGGCATTTATTCTTTCTTCTACTCATTTCACCTTCCGCTTTCTGGCTGCACAGACATAATTGTCAGGCAGCACAAACAGCCTGTGGCAAGCAACATCAAATAATTATAGTCAGAGGGTTGCTGAGTGTCCTGTGTGTAGCTCCCATGGTCTGTGGTTTGATTTATGTGAGGGGCATGATCTTTGGATTGGAAATGGGAAATGTGTGGCACGTGGTGTGCTGTGGAGACAGTACAGCATATTGGGAAGAGCATGGGCTCTGGGGTCAGTTAGACCTTCTTCTAACCCCAGTTCTGTGGTCTCAAGCAACACAGTTGTTCTCCAAGCTTCAGTTTCCTGGTCACTGAAATGGGGCTGTCTATATAAGACTAGCTGGGTTGTTATTGAGAGGTGACAGCGTGCTGGCAGTCCTCACAGCCCTCGCTCGCTCTCGGCGCCTCCTCTGCGTGGGCTCCCACTTTGGCGGCACTTGAGGAGCCCTCCAGCCCACCGCTGCGCTGTGGGAGCCCCTTTCTGGGCTGGCCAAGGCCGGAGCCCACTCCCTCAGCTTGCAGGGAGGTGTGGAGGGAGAGGCGCCAGCGGGAACCAGGGCTGTGTGCGGCGCTTGCGGGCCAGCTGGAGTTCCGGGTGGGCATGGGCTTGGCGGGCCCCGCACTCAGAGCAGCCGGCCAGCCCTGCTGGCCCCGGGCAATGAGGGACTTAGCACCCGGGCCAGCAGCTGTGGAGGGGGTACTGGGTCCCCCAGCAGTGCCAGCCCACGGGCGCTGCACTCGATTTCTCACCGGGCCTTAGCTGCCTTCCCGCGGGGCAGGGCTCTGGACCTGCAGCCCGCCATGCCTGAGCCTCCCACCCGCTCCATGGGCTCTTGTGCGGCCCGAGCCTCCCCGACGAGCGCCACCCCCTGCTCCACGGTGCCCAGTCCCATCGACCACCCAAGGGCTGAGGATTGCGGGTGCACAGCCCTGGGACTGGCAGGCAGCTCCACCTGCAGCCCCGGCGCGGGATCCAATGGGTGAAGCCAGCCGGGCTCCTGAGTCTGGTGGGGACGTGGAGAGTCTTTATGTCTAGCTCAGGGATTGTAAATACACCAATCAGCACTCTGTATCTAACTTAAGGTTTGTAAACACACCAATCAGCACCCTGTGTCTAGCTCAGGGTTTGTGAGTGCACCAATCGACACTCTGTATCTAGCTGCTCTGGTGGGGCCTTGGAGAACCTTTATGTCTAGCTCAGGGATTGTAAATACACCAATCAGCACTCTGTATCTAGCTCAAAGTTTGTAAACACACCAATCAGCACCCTGTGTTTAGCTCAAGGTTTGTGAGTGCACCAATGGACACTCTGTATCTAGCTGCTCTGGTGGGGCCTTGGAGAACCTTTATGTCTAGCTCAGGGATTGTAAACACACCAGTCAGCATCCTGTGTCTAGCTCAGGGTTTGTGAGTGCACCAATCGACGCTCTGTATTTAGCTGCTCTGGTGGGGCCTTGGAGAACCTTTGTGTGGATACTCTGTATCTAACTAATCTGATGGGGACGTGGAGAACCTTTGTGTCTAGCTCAGGGATTGTAAACGCACCAATCAGCACCCTGTCAAAACAGACCACTAGGCTCTACCAGTCAGCAGGATGTGGGTGGGGCCAGATAAGAGAATAAAAGCAGGCTGCCTGAACCAGCAGTGGCAACACACTCGGGTCTCCTTCCATACTGTGGAAGCTTTGTTCTTTCGCTCTCTGCAATAAATCTTGCTATTGCTCACTCTTTGGGTCCACACTGCTTTTATGAGCTGTAACACTCACCGCGAAGGTCTGCATCTTCACTCCTCAAGCACAGGGAGACCATGAGCCCGCCGGGAGGAAGGAACAACTCCAGACGCGCTGCCTTAAGAGCTGTAACACTCATGGCGAAGGTCTTTAGCTTCACTCCTGAGCCAGCGAGACCACGAACTCACCAAAGGAAGAAACTCCAAACACATCTGAACATCAGAAGGAAACAAACTCCAGATGCGCCACCTTAAGAGCTGTAACACTCACCGCGAGGGTCCGCAGCTTCATTCTTGAAGTCAGTGAGACCAAGAACCCACCAATTTTGGACACATTATGACAAATGAGGGAGATGGCTCATTGTAAGATGGCACCATTATAACATGGTACCTTTAATGTTATAGGTACTGGCTAGTTTCTTTCTGGAAGGCGGCATCCACTCAGACAAACAGCCAGGCAAGCTCACTTGGATTACCTACCCCTATCATAATTTTTGCAATCACACATCAGACACAGGGTTAACCCTTAGACCAAGAGTCCTGCATTGCAGGCCATGAGAAGATGGCCTGGATACCTTGGGCTAGCCCTCTTCTCTTACCAAGATCACACCCTGTGCTCTTTTTTGCTCCTGTAGAGTTATAAGCCTTCTGGGATGTGCTGTTCATTTGTAGCTAAGCACGCTGAGCAAGCTGACGATCCTCCACACTGTGCCTATGGATGGTCGGTCACTCTCAGCCTTTGATGCGCCCACCCCTTCCTGTTGGCCAACCAAAGAGAAAACAAAATCTTTTTATCAACAGCCAGGAAAATCTGAGCCAAACCACAAAGTGGCCAACCTACTGAATTAGGCCCTGAGCAGAAACCAGCCCTAAAAGAAAACCTAGTATAGAAAATGATTTTAACAAAAATGTTAACTATTATCATCCTTAGCACAGATCCTATGGGCAAACGGTTAAGATAGTTTTGCAGATTGGTAAACCTTTATAACAGGCCCAACGCTGTTTACTGGTTTAAAAAATGTCTTCTGAATGGCTGAAGATCTCAGGCATGCATTTTGAAGGATAGCAACCCTTTTCCCACATGCGAATCCATGCATACCCTGTTGGCTAAATACTAACCAGGACCTATCAAAAGCATCCAGCTTTACTTGCATATTAAAAAGTCACTCATCGGCTGGGCGCGGTGGCTCACGCCTGTAATCCTAGCACTTTGGGAGGCTGAGGCGGGCGGATCACGAGGTCAGGAGATCGAGACCGTCCTGGCTAACACGGTGAAACCCCGTCTCTACTAAAAATACAAAAAAAATTAGCCGGGCATGGTGACGGGCACCTGTAGTCCCAGCTACTCAGGAGGCTGAGGCAGGAGAATGGCGTGAACCCGGAAGGCAGAGCTTGCAGTGAGCCGAGATCGCGCCAGTGAACTCCAACCTGGGCGACAGGGCGAGACTCTGTCTCAAAAAAAAAAAAAAAAAAAAAAGTCACTCATCAACCAGTTTATTCATTAAGTTTGATTTCGAAGCTCTCTTCCCAGCTGTAATCCCAAGTGGGTCAGAGAGATTGAATTTTGATCATGATGTTTCCTTTTGGGGGCAACCAGAGAATCACAAATAGTAGTGACTTCCTCCTCTTGAATTTTGTCTCCTTTCCCCTCATTCTCAATTTCCAAAGATAAATACCTCTTCTCTCCCATGAAGCATTCTGTTAGATGAAAATGAGAGAAGAGCCGCACAGTCCTGGGACCTCCCAGCCTCAATCGCGAGCAAAATCATTCCCCAGCCTGCAAACAGGCCCTGGTGCAAAGCCACAAAGCAGTGAGGACCCCAACAGCAAATCAAGGCTACCGTGATGCTATATGTTCATGCATGGTTAATGGAGGCAGATACGGGAAACTGCCCTTTAAATGCGTTATAAAGAAGGAAAATCAATCCAGGGGGAACAGCCATTGGTGGGGCTGTGTGCCTGGCCAGAGGTCTCTGAGAAGCCAGTACCCAGGTGAGAAAGCTTGGCAGGGCCCCATGAGCTGTGGCAGGTTTCACTGTACCTACAGATCTCAGAATCATCCAGGCCAAAATCCTTCTCCCAGACCCTCGCTTTCCCACATCTGTTAAGAACTTGACTTTAGGAATTCCTCCCACGCTCACCCCTACCTCTTCCTGCACTGAGTGTCCCTGTGCATTTTGAGGCTGGGGGAGCAGGATGGAAGGATACAAACTTGTGAAATAAACATTTTTGAGAAACCTCCAGATTGTTTCAGAATCAGCAGGACACATGAGCCAGCCACAATAGGTTCACTTTCATGTGGATGCTGGAGCAGGCAAGACTTCCAAGTAAAAACTCTGAATGTGAATTTAGCTAGTTTTGGATAAAGACGCCTTTCAGCGTCAATAAACACCATGAATGCAGCCGCGGTGGAGTTACAACTTAATGAGATGAGGGGAAGTGCACCGGGTCAGGCCTCATCTCCCAGCCTCTGTCATGCTAATCAGCTGGGCAGCCGGCAGCTGAAAAACTGCTGGAATTTTTATTTGCATTTCATTTACTTGGAAGGAAATTGACCCAGATGGTCCACAAAGGCCCTAGAAGGCTGGCAAGCAGTGTAGAGCTGCACACTTCTCAGAGGGCCTGCACTTGTCTGCCCATCCCTCTTTGAGCCTAGGGCATAAAGGATTAAAACAGCGTAAGGGAATTGATTTCATGATTTTTAGATAATTTCCCCAAGATTTCAGAAAGGACCTCAAAAACTAATTTAATCAGCCAGGAGCTCAATAGTAATTAAGGGGAAGAAAAGCTGAGATAATGAAAGAGGTGGTGAGGATTTTTGCTGTTGCTGGTGGGAACCTTTCTTAATTGGGAAAATCTAAAAACTAAATGATGTTAGTGGAGACCAGCCTAGGCATGGGGAGCCAGCAGCCGGCACCACCATCAGCTGATGATGGATTGCCCACGCGGTTCCTCCTCTCCAACGGGCCAGAATGATTGGCCACAGAGGTGCCCTACTTGGCATTTCCATGGGTAGTTGCCTGAATCTGGCAGGTTTGGACTTGTTGGGGAGTACAGGCTTCGTTTCTACACAGTCCTTTCCAGTGAAGGGCTCATTCTTATCCAGGTGGTCATCACCCTTGGATGGCATAGGATTTGGGAGTGCAGGCTCTGGGGTCATGAAAGGGAGGGCGTATTAGGCTGTTCTCGAATGGCTATAAAGAAATACCTGAGACTGGCTAATTTATAAAGAAAAGGGGTTTAATTGGCCCACAGTTCTGCAGGCTGTACAGGAAGCATAATGCTGGCCATCCGCTAGGCTTCTGGGGAGGCCTCAGAAAACTTACAATCATGGCAGAAGGTGAAGGGGAAACAGGCACATCTTACATGGCTGGAGAAGGGGAAGAGAGAGATGGCAAAGGTGCCACACACTTTTAAACAACTAGATCTCGTGAGAACTCTATCATAAGAATATATGAATTGGGAAATTCATATGAATTTCCCATGAAAGGGGGAAATCCGCCCCCACGATCCAGTCACCTCCCACCAGGCCCCACCTCTAACACTGGGGATTACAATTCCACATGAGATTTGGGCAGGGAGACAGATCCAAACTGTATCAGAGGGTAAAGATGAATGTTGAAAATGGGGGCATGGAGCATTCAGGGACACACTCTGTTGAAAGGGAGCCTGACCAATGATTAAACTAATTCCACTTGGGGCCATCTGAGTTCCCCAAGAAGGGGCTGTACATCAGGGAGCACCAGGACAGTGACGGTGCAATGAACTTAAAGTCTGTGTCCACCGAAATTCATGTGTTGAAATCCTAATATCCAAGATGATGGTATTAGAAGGTGGGGCCTTTGGGAGGTGATTAGGTTATGAGGGTGGAACTCTCATGAATGAGATTAGTGCCCTTAGAAAAGGGACTGCAGAGAGCTCCTTCATGCTCTTTCTGCCATGTGAAGACCCAGCAAGAAGACAGCCATCTGCAACCTGCAAGAGAGCCCTCACCAGAACTCGAGCATCCTGACACCCTGATCTTGTACATCCAGGCTCCGGAATTGTGTGCAAATAAATTTCTGTCATGTATCATCTATCCAGCATGGATATGGTTATAGCAGCTGGACTGGACTAAGACAGATGGTGAGAGGGAGCCTGGTTAGGTGCCTGTCCCAGCAAGAGTAGTGTTTCAAAGTGCTATAGTGGGGACAGGCTTTGCATCAGAGACCTTTCTTTCTCAGGAACTTTGGCTCAAAAGCAGAGAGAGCTGACAGGATGAGTACCCTAGGGCAGTTGTTCTCAACCAGAGAACAACTAGAGGCTAGGGATGCTGTTAAACATCCTATACTGCACAGGACAACACCTCATCACCACAAAGAGTTATCAGGTTCAAAATGCCAATAGTGCTGAGGATGGGACACTCTGGTCTAAGGAGAGTCTTTCCTGCTCTTGCAAGAGCTGTTGGCATTGGTTATAGAGGTGGCCGGGTGGCTGTGCTAGCAGAGGAGGCTGACAAAGATGCAGTGTTTGCACTGGTCAAAGGGTTGGCCAAGGTGATGGGTTGGCTCCTGAAGGCAGAGGAGCACATCCCACAGCCAAGCTGTGAAGCATACAGACTTTGCCGACAATGGCCTAGAACTTGTATCCCATGCTCTTCAGTCAATAGTTGAGAAATTATTTAACCTGTTTGAGCATCAGTTTTCTCTTCTATAAAATGGGAATAACACTTCCTTCCTCTCAGGGCTGTTGTGTGGAGAAAATGACATAATGCATGGTGGAGTGTTCAACACAGGGCATCTCTGCCTCCACTAGACTCCTCAGCAGGGTTTCCTGCAGGAAGCAACGCTGGGCGATACAGTGGCGGGAGTGGGAGCAGAGTCAGTGGGTGTAGGGGATGGGGCTAATGAAGGCCTGATGGGGAGAGGCTTGAGATGCATTCCTTTCCTTGGTCAGGAGAGGACTCAGTCATTGCCCAAAAAGGACCAATGGATTACAGTTGAGTGGGACATCAAGGTGGGCCAGGGTCTTCCTGTGAATAGGGACTCATTCAGATATCAGCTCAGGAGGAAGAAGGCACTGTTGATGGTACGTTCCAATCTGCTCAGAATCTCTCTTCTCCCAAGAAAAACTGAGTTACCTTTTTGAGCTTCCCCGCAACTTCCCTTGGATTGGCCCCACACTCACCCAAGTGAGCCACCAAGACAGTGTCATAAGGAGAGTCAAGACATATCCTAGCCCAGGCCTGCAGGTGATGCAGCTGGAGCGCCATCTTGAAGCGAGAATTGTAGGAATTCCCTCTGGAACTTCTGGGAGAACCCATTGTTCAGTCCTAGATGTATCAGACAGAAAGTCCAGGATGTGCAAACATGTGTGGTCCAAGTGTTTCAGGTGGTGAACTGTGGAAACGTCCCATAGAAGATGTTAGATGTTTTCAAAAGGACCCTGTAGACCAGCATCTTCACATATCTAACTTTTCTAAAGAAAGTGGGGTTTTTTTTCAAATAAGAAGATAGGGTCTACTCGGACAGGCTGATAATGGTTGTTGGCAGGCTCCGCCCGGCTTCTGGAGCTCTGGCAGAGGCCTTTAGAATTGGGGGGGAAGGGCCAGCCATTTGTCAGTGGTCCCCAGCTCTTGGTGGAAGCCACTGTGATCAAAACATGTGGTTCTTTTCCAGAGGTGCAAGGCCAGCTCCCAGAGAGGAGGATTTGAACTATGGCTAAAATACATGTCTGCCTCAGTGAATGTTACAAAGTCCCAAGTCAGATCAACAACTCCAACAAAGTATTTGGTAACACAGAGAGAAGCAGGAACTTTGATGTTGTCATTATGAAAATGCATCCAAAGACTTCAGAAAAAACTGTGGCATGCATGAAGGAGCTGCTGAAGTCAATGGAGGAAGATGTAGAAAGAAGTGAGCCTGACAACAAAGGCCCGGATGGAGCATGTGACAGCAGGTGGCATTTACAGGAAAGGCTGTCGGGGATTGAACTGCATGAGAGACCAGGGAGACTGCTTGAATTCTTGCTGTTAATAAAGCCAATTCTGGAGAAGGAGGAGGAGGAAAAGAAACCAAAACATTTCTATAGGCTTGTAGAAAAACAGAAGGCTGCTGCTGAGTTAGCAACTAGATCCCTAGATCTGGCCTTGGTGGCAGATGCCACCACACTGAGGCAACATCTACGGGCCTTAAGTGATTGACAGTGGCCAAGCCCCATCCCCAAAACTGTGTGTCTCTCAGTGAAAGCTGCAGGGCCCAGCAAAACATGTTTGTCCAGTTCTCTACTTTGTACCAGAAGTTGGGCCGGGTCTCCAGGGAACCATGGCTGGTCCTGCAAAACCAACTGCTTGCATAAGGAAAGATAAGAAATGACCCTTGGTCTTTCATACAAGGCACCCTTGTCCTTGAAAGTATAGATACCACTTAGAAGGGCAGTCTGATTCCTCTTCCCTAGGAGTAGTCAGGGTCCCAGACCAATGCGGACATCGACGTAGAAGGATAAGCATACTTTGTGGTCGTAAGAGATGAGAATCAGGTTATTAAAATAGGATCAAGTCTTTCTGTGGTTACCACTTGTTCTACCTGTAAGTTCAAGACCTGGCAAGGCCAGTCCCCCGGAGCATGGGTCTCACAGGTTTTTTTGTTTTGTTTTTTGTTTTTTTGAGATGGAGTCTTGCTCTATTGCCCAGGCTGGAGTGCTGGAGTGCAGTGGCATGATCTCGGCTCACTGCAACCTCCATCTCCTGGATTCCAGCGATTCTCCTGTCTCAACCTCCTGAATAGCTGGATTACAGGCACACACCACCATGCCTGGCTAATTTTTGTATTTTTAGTAGAGACGGGGTTTCACCATGTTGCCCAGGCTTGTCTCGAATTCCTGACCTCAGGTGATCCGCCCACCTTGGCCTCCCAAAGTGCTGGGATTACAGGTGTGAGTCGCTGTGCTTGGCCAAGGGCCTCACATGCTCTGCAGTAAGCAGGGTATGTGCTGTGCCAGGAGAACTCCTTGAGGAGGCTGTGTAAGGGATGGATGAAGTGGCACAGCTGCAGTGGCGTGTCATGATCTGGCAGAGATGATGCTGGTGGTGGCCTCACAAGGACTGGCCCTAGCCTCTTCCAAGTTCTGTCCCTTTCTTGCAAACCAGCTAGCCTTCTAACAATCAAATGGGGATGCCTTATGCTTCTCTTATGGTACTTACAGAAAATGTCTAGAAAGATCCAAATGTGCATACACTTCCACATTTAGCTGGACTAAGACTGAGTAGGACACAGTGCTACAGGAGGTGTGTGTCCTGGATTACTTACTTACAGGGGTTTCATGTTTCAGAGGGTTAAACATACTGCATATTACCTGATAGCAATAGTTGACAGAAATAAAGAAAACAAATCAAGTTTTTCTGCTGTTTTTATCAGCTAAGAAGGACAGCCCAATCATCCTAGGTTGGGGGTGCATTTTGAAGTGTAATGGAGATGGCATTTGGAGACATGGAAGCACTAGAGGTTCTTGTGTACTTTTGTCAAGATGTGGGATGAGCAGCAGATGCGGCTAAGGTCCTAGACCTACTTACTGGAGGGAGCCCCACACAGCCAGTGATGCTCCGCTGATCTGTAACACAAAAAAATAAAGAATCAAGGATCATAGGAGGGAAGAATCAAAGATCTTGAAAAAAGAATAATAGACATATTTTGAATTTCTCCCAAATGTTCTTTTAGCACTTTAATTTGTGTTATACCTATTATTACCCATAAAACAAAAGAATTTTTCCCATAACCAATTATTATGAATGTTTCCTATACCATTTAACCAATAAAACTAATCTGGTTGGTTGGAGCCTCTCATGAGGTCATCAATAGGGGCTATTGGTCCTCTTAATTCGTATTGTCAGCTTGGAGGTTTTGGTTTACTTGTATGCATTGGCACCTAACCGACATATATCACTTAACTTTTGTGGCCAGACCCTTTTTTTCTCATGTATCAAACAAGGTTGCATGGCACAACACATGTATTGTTCTGAAGATATTACAAAAAGGATATGGAAGAAAGAAGGAGAATGGTGTAGTGGAAAGCAATGATTTCAGAGTCAGAACTGAACCTAATATATATAGTTGACCCTTGAACAACACAGGAGTTAGGAGTGCTCACGCCCCCATGCAGCAGAAAATTCATGTATAATTTTAAAAAATTGACAATTAGTAGTTTCACATATTCATGAGATATATAGTGATGTTTCTGTGCATATAATGTGTGGTGATCAGATCAGGGTAATTAGCATATTCATCATTTCCAACATTTATTATTTCTTTGTGTTAGGAACATTCAATATCCTCCTTCTAGCTACTTGAAACTATACAATATATTATTGTTAACTATAGACTCCCTACAGTGCTATAGAACACTAGAAGTTATTCTTCCTATCTAGCTGTAATTTTGTATCTTTTAACACATCTCTTCCCACCCTTCCCTTCCCCCAACCGTTCCCAGCCTCTGGTATCTTAAGACCATTTTACTTTTTACTTCTCTAAGATCAACTTTTAAAGTTGCTATATATGAGTGAGAACATGTGGTGTTTAACTTTTGACTCCCCCAGAGCTTTACCAATAGCCTACTGTTGACGGGAAGCCCTACCAACAGCCCACAGAGTTGATTAACACTTTTTTTTGTATGTTTTAAGTATTATATGCTATATTCTTTTAATAAGGTAGCTAGATAAAAGAAAATATTAAGACAATCATAAGAAAGAGAAAATATATTTACCATTTATTAAGCGGAAGATCATCACAAAGTCCTCATTCTCATCATCTTCATGTTGAATAAGCTGAGGAGGAGGAAGAGGAGGGGTTAGTCTTGCTCTCTCAGGAGTGGCATAGGCCAAAGAGGTGGAGGAGGTGGAAGGGGAGGCAGGAGAGGCTGGCACACTTGATGTAATTCTTACTGAAAAAAATCTGAATATAATTGGACCCATGCAGTTCAAATCCATGTTGTTCAAGGGTCAACTGTATTAGAAAGGAGAAGAAAACTTATTATGTGTAGGTAATGTAATTTCCACTTAGAAAATGCAAGAACTGAAAAACCATCAAAATTTATAAAATAATTTACCTAGGTGGCAGGATATAAGATAAATATAAAAAAAAGAATAGCATTTTTATACCAAGAAATAATCAATTAGAGGATACAATGAGAACCAAATCTCTTTATGTTAGAAACAACCTCTTCCCCAACACACACACACACACACATACACACACACACACACACAACACAGAACCTACGAATAATTTAATGAGAAATATGAAGGATTTATACAGAAAATAATAAATTATAAATCTTTATTGAGAGATACAAATACTGATATGAGCAAACAGTAAGACATGGTGTCACTGAATAGGAAAAAATACAAGCAATTCTTTTCAAATTATGAATGTATAGGTTGAGTGTTATCTATACATTCTAAAACATGCTGAGATTACTTTTTCTTTAGAACTGAAAAAAAAAGGCAGATCAAAGCAGAATACTTCCATATATTGGAATGAATGTCCTTGACTGATCCAGGCAGCAGCAGAGCATGGAAAGGCATGATTCCTAAATTTTTATCTCTAGCCTGGACTTCTCCCTTGTACTCCAGACTCATACATAAAACTGCCTAGTGATATTTCTACCTAGATGCATAATAAACATCTCAAATTTGATTCGCCCCAAACCAAGTTCCAAATCCCTCTCACTACCCACCGAAAAACTTGCATCTGAGTTTTCTCTCTATGAAATAACAACTCCTTCTTTTCTAGTTTTTTCTTGGAGTTATCTCTAAGTCATCATTAACTCCTCTCTTTGATGCTCCACATCTAATTTATCAGTGAATCCTATTGGCCCTACCCTCAGATTATAGCCAGAATCTAACCTCCTTTTACTTCTTTCTCTGCCTTCTCCCTGCCCAATCTGTCATTAAAACTTTCCTGGACTTTTTTTTTCAGTTGCTTTGTTTACTCTTTTATCCTTAGAGTCTAAAATACTACCTGACACATGGTAGGCACTTACTATATATTGATTGAATGAATGAATCAATTGTACCAGGCACTTTGTGAATCTTTTTATTCTGTAAATTCATGTCCATCAATTCCAGGAAATTTTGTTACAATATTTCATTGATTATTTCCTCCCCTGTATTATCTCTGCTCTCTTTTTCTGGAACTCCTATTATTCAGGAGTTGAGCAACCTGGAGTTGTACTCTACTTCTATTTTCAATATCTTTTATCTTTTTTTTCTACTTTTTGAACTATTTCCTCAGCTCAATCTTGCAGCCATTTATTGAAGTTTTCATTTCTGCTATCATGTTTTTAATTTCCAGGAGCTCTTTTTTGTTCCTTTCATTTGTTCCCTTAGTGTCTGTGCTTGTTTTATTGATATAAGGTCTTTGCTCACCTTTCTAAGAATGTTAATGATAATGTTTTTGCTTTGTTATTTTTTTTTAAGGAATCCTCTCACTTCTTGATTTCTGTTTTATGCCAGGTGACTTTCCTGTTTGTTTGAGTTCTCAGCTATCTATTAACCTTTGATGTCTGTTAATGATTTAGAGTTCTTTTAAAGCTTGTTGTCCTTCCCAGGCCTTGAGGGGTCTTGAGGAACATCCAATGTCCCTATCTTTGTTTTATCCTCTTCGGCTTTAAGGTTTCTTAGTCTCCTGCTTGGGGGGCAAGGATCTGGCTGCTGGTGTTCTGGGAACTGGATGGGAGAAAACAACTGGTGAGGGTGAAGTTGGGAGGGGAGCAGGGGCAGTTTCAGCTCCTGCTCCACTAGCACTAACCACCTAATCCTCCTGTTCTCAGAATGGCACTGTCATATGTCCTCATTGCCAGAGGTCCTCTGAAGAGAGCAAACCTCCAGTCTTCTTTCCTCATAGAGGAGGGCAGATGCCCAGTGGAGTGGAATGGGTGTGTGTGCCGGTCTTGGGGTAGAACTTCTTCTCAGATGGTTTCAGCTGTCCTTCTTGTTTTAGTTCTTCTCCTTTACCCCTGGTTTCAGAGACACCTGGTGCTCCCAGTCCTTGTGCCTTTTGAGGGTTTTGTGACAGAAATTGAGCTGGATTTGGGATTCAGCTTGCTTAGTTTTACAACATTTGTTACTATTTGTCTCTTGGATTTACAATTCTAAATATTGCTTTTGTTCCTCTCCTGTTCTCCTGGATTAGAAAAAAATCTCTTTCCTTTGGTTTTAGTGGTGTTTCTAGAGGGACTAAATTGGATGCATGTGTTAAATCTATCATAATAACCTAGAGCTCCCTGCTTTGTCTTTTTCATACGATGATCATAATTTGACACCATATTATTTGTTTATTAAAAGTTTCCCCCATTGGAATGGTAACTCTTCAAAGACAAAGACCTGAACTGTCATGTTTATTACTATATTGCTCATAACCTAATACACACTGGGTACTCAGAAAATATATTGGATAATGAAGGACCAAAAGGGACAAAGGCCAGACAAACTTTCTCATATACAACTTGAGCACATCAGGTAAAAAGTTCTTAGGGTTTCTAGGTCCTCAATATGAGTGCAATGGTTTATGGCAGCCAGAGCAATGAACATAACAAAAAACTGATGTTGGCCTGCAATGTCGGAACCAGAGCGTATTAGGTTTCTAGAGCTGCCACACCAAAGTACCACAGAGTGAGTGGCTTAAACCACAGAAATTAATTTTCTCACACTTCTGGAGGTCAGAAGTCCTACATCAAGGTGTTGGCAGAATTGGTGTCTTCTGAGGCATCTCTCTTTGACTTACATGGTCATCTTCTTCCTGTGTCTTCACACAGTTTTCCCTCTGTGCATGTGTGTCCAAATTTCCTCTTCTTTGTTATTTTTTATTTACTTATTTATTTTTTGAGACAGAGTCTAGCTCTGTCACCCAGGCTGGAGTGAAATGGCACTATCTCAGCTCACTGTAACCTCTGCCTCCCGGGTTCAAGCGACTCTCCTGCCTCAGCCTCCCGAGTAGCTGGGATTACAAGCAGCTGCCCCCACGCCTGGCTAATATTTGTATTTTTAGTAGAGAGGGGGTTTCACCATGTTGGCCTGGCTGGTCTCGAACTCCTGACCTCAGGTGATCTGCCCGTCTCGGCCTCCCAAAGTGCTGGGATTACAGGCATGAGCTACCGTGCCTAGCCCATTTCCTCTTTTTTTTTTTTTTTTTTTTTTTTTGAGACGGAGTCTCGCTCTGTCACCCAGGCTGGAGTGCAGTGGCATGATCTTGGCTCACTGCAAGCTCCGCCTCCTGGGTCCATGCCATTCTCCTGCCTCAGCCTCCTGAGTAGCTGGGACTACAGGCGCCCGCCACCACGCCCAGCTAATTTTTTGTATTTTTAGTAGAGATGGGGTTTCACCATGTTAGCCAGGATGGTCTCGATCTCCTGACCTCGTGATCCGCCAGCCTCGGCCTCCCAGAGTGCTGGGATTACAGGCGTGAGCCACTGCACCTGGCCCCATTTCCTCTTCTTATAAGGACACCTGTCATATTGAATCAGTGCCCACCCTAATGACCTAATTTTAACTTAATCACGTCTTTAAAGATTCTATCTACAAATATACTCACATTTGAAGGCAATTATTCTGGGGGTAGGACTTCAGCATCTGAATTTGGAGGGAACACATTTCAGCCTGTAACATTTTACCCCCAAATTCATGTCCTTTTCACATTCAGAATACACCCATCCCATCCCAAGAGCCTCAAAAGTCAACTCATTCCCGCACCAACTCTAAGTTCAAAATCTCATCTAAACATCATCTAAAGCAGATATGGGGCCAGGCACAGTGGCTGACGCCTGTAATCCCAGCAGTTTGGGAGGCTGGGGCGGGCGGATCACCTGAGGTCAGGGGTTTGAGACCAGCCTGCCCAACATGGCAAAACCCTGTCTCTACTAAAAATACAAAAAATTAGCTGGGCCTGGTGGTGGGCACCTGTAATCCTAGCTACTTGGGAGGCTGAGGCAGGAGAATCGCTTGAACCTGGGAGGTAGAGGTTTCAGTGAGCTGAGATAGTGTCATTGCACTCCAGCCTGGGCGACAAGAGTGAAATTCTGTCTCCAAAAAAAAGCAGATATGGGTGAGGTATGATTCATCTGAGTAAAATTGTTCTCCAGCTGTGAACCTGTGAAACTAGACAAGTTGTTTGCTTTCAAAATATAATAGTGGGATAGGTTTAGGATAGGCGTGTCCATTCCAAAGGGAAGAAATCAGAAAAAAAGAGGGAGTTATGAGGCCCAAACAAATCTAAAATCTAGCAGAACAAATTTCATTTGATTTTTTTTTTTTTTTTTTTTTTGAGACAGAGTCTCACTCAGTCATCCCAGCTTGAGTGCAGTAGTGTCATCATAGCTCACTGCAAACTTGAACTCTCCTGGGCTCAGGTGGTCCTCCCACTTCAGCCTCCCGAGTAGTTGGGACTACAGGCATGAGCCACCACACCCCACTAATTTTTTTTTTATTGTTTGTAGAGACAGGGTCTTGCTATGTTGCCCAGGTTGGTCTCAAATTCCTGGGCTCAAGCAATCCTCCCACCTTGGCCTCCCAAAGTGTTGGGATTACAGGCATGAGCCACTGCACCCGGCAGCAAATTCCATTAAATTTTAAGGTTTGAGAATAATTCTCTTTGGCTGATGCTCTGTCCTCTGGGCCAGCCAGGGTGGCCCTACCCTCAGGGCCCACCAAAATGGAGGTCTCAATCTCTTGGTCCTGAGTGGCGACTCCAACCTCTAGAACTGAAGAGGAATCATCCCGGCCCTTGGGCTTCTTGAATTAATAATTTTTTTAATTGTAACAAATCTAAAGATTCTCTTAACATTTTAGTTCACCCAAGGAAGGAAAGAATGGCCTTTTTAACATAAGGCCATATGCCTTCTACGGGGGCAATAAACTAAAACTCAAAGTTCACTGAGTTCTAGTTTCTCCATCCCCAAAACTTAGATACTGAACTCAAATCTCTATTCCATGAAAAATTATGTTCTGTGAAAAAAAATAGAAAGAAAAGCAGTAACTTCTTAGAATGTTAATTATCAAAGATAACAACAATGTAGGTTTTGTCTTAGCAGGGGTAAAAGGGACCACAATCCCTAGGTCAGCAGAGAGGGGACACAGGGCAAGGGGACATGGGATGGGACCTATGATCACACCCATCCTGGCTCACCTTACCACTTCTCATCCCAGCCTTGGGGAGCACACCCTGGGAACACCATCTAGCAAGAGTATAATATGTTTGTATGATTTCTGTGAGGGTGAGGATAGAGGCAATCGTTCACTTTCTTGGTCTACCTTCTAGACTTGTCCTATTTAAATCTTTCCTGGCTGGGTGCAGCAGTTCATGCCTATAATCCTAGCACTTTGGGAGGCTGAGGTGGGAGGATCATTTGAGCTCAGGAGTTCGAGACCAGTCTGGGCAACACAGCAAGACTCCGTGTCTACAAAAAATACAAAATATGAAATAAAAATCAGCCAGGCATGGTGGTGCATCACTGTAGTCCCAGCTACTCAGGAGGCTAAGATAGGAGGATCGCTTGACCCCAGGAGTTCAAGGCTGCAGTGAGCTGTGATGGCGCCACTGCACTCCAGCCTGGGTGACATAGTGAGACTCTGTCTCTGTAAATAAATAAAATAAATCTTTCTCAAGAACTGTGTTTTTATTCTATTTTAAAAGATAGCCTTAGGTCAATACCATTCAGGACATAGGCATGGGCAAGGACTTCATGACTAAAACACCAAAAGCAATGGCAACAAAAGCCAAAATAGACAAATGGGATCTAATTAAACTAAAGAGCTTCTGCAGAGCAAAAGAAACTACCATCAGAGTGAAAAGGCAACCTACAGAATGGGAGAAAATTTTTGCAATCTACCCATCTGACAAAGGGCTAGTATCCAGAATCTACAAAGAACATAAACAAATTTACAAGAAAAAAACAAACAACCCCATCAAAAAGTGGGCAAAGGATATGAACAGACACTTCTCAAAAGAAGACATTTATGCAGCCAACAGACACATGAAAAAATGCTCACCATCACTGGTCATCAGAGAAATGCAAATCAAAACCACAATGAAATACCATCTCACGCCAGTTAGAATGGTGATCATTAAAAAGTCAGGAAACGACAGATGCTGGAGAGGATGTGGAGAAATAGGAACACTTTTTTTACACTGTTGGGAGTATAAATTAGTTCAACCATTGTGGAAGACAGTGTGGCAATTCCTCAAGGATCTAGAACTAGAAATACCATTAGACCCAGCAATTGCATTACTGGGTATATACCCAAAGGATTATAAATCATGCTACTATAAAGACACATGCACACATATGTTTATTGCAGCACTATTCACAACAGCAAAGACTTGGAACCCAAATGTCCCTCAGTGATAGACTGGATTAAGAAAATGTGGCACATATACACCATGGAATACTATGCAGCCATAAAAAGGATGAATTCATGTCCTTTGCAGGGACATGGATGAAGCTGGAAATCATCATTCTCAGCAAACTATCACAAGGATAGAAAACCAAACGCCACATGTTCTCACTCGTAGGTGGGAATTGAACAATGAGAACACGTGGACACAGGGGAGGGAACATCACACACCGGGGCCTTTCTGGCGCTGGGGGAGGGATAGCATTAGGAGAAATACCTAATGTAAATGACAAGTTGATGGGTGCAGCAAACCAACATGACACATGTATACCTATGTAACAAACCTGCCCATTGTGCACATGTACCCTAGAACTTAAAGTACAATTAAAAAAAAAAAAGAAAAAACAACAAAAAAAGATAGCCTTAGGAAAATATCTTGTATCTCATAGCAGTAATCCCCAATAAGCACATATCAATACTTAATTTCATGTGTGCTTTTATATCACTCAGGATCTGGTCATTGGAAGGAACTTACATAAAGTTCTCCTCAGTGTGTGGACTTTGTGATCACACAGATCCAGGTTCTATTCTGCTATCTATTTGCTGTGTGAACTTGGGAAGTTCCTTGATCTTTGAGTTTCAATTTCCTCATTTATAAAATGAGTATAGCAATCTTACCCTCAACAATTGTGCTATATTATTATATTGTAATAGTAGCTAGCAACAATTAGAAATGAACTTTCCTGGCAGAGAGATATTTATTCATGACTTTCAAGAACTCTGTCCCTGGAGTTTTTAGAGTTCTACACATATATTTGCTCGATGGGCTTTCTGCATCTTCTCAGTTCAATATAGAGTCACAAAGTGTTCACTGGATTCTGCCTTTCTCGGGCACTTCATATCTACTGGGTTCAGGCTCCTCAACCACATCTCGCTAGGCCTGGCATCTCCCCGACTGGCTGATGGTGTTGATAGAATTATTTTTAAAAAGTCATCAGAACTGTGGTATCTAGTAAGTGTTAAGTGGTATCAATAGTTTGATTTTTGCTCCTTCTGCATTGAAGTGGATGGATGGTTTTCCTATTCTTTTTTTTAGGCAGAGTCTCACTCTGTTGCCCAGGCTAGAGTGCAATGGCACGATCTCGGCTCACTGCAACCTCTGCCTCCCGGGTTCAAGCAATTCTCCTGCCTCAGCCTCCCAAGTAGCTGGGATTACAGGTGCCCACTACCATGCCCAGCTAATTTTTGTATTTTTTTAGTAGAGACAGAGTTTCACCATGTTTCCCAGGCTGGTCTCGCACTCCTGGCCTCAAGAGATCCACCTGCCTCGGCCTCTCAAAGTGCTGGCAGTTTTCCATTTCTTTTTAACTGGACAAAATGGAAATGGGAGAATGCTTAAGAGTAAAAGTGAGAGAGAGGAACAGCAGGCTGAAGTTGTCTTCTGGTTGAAGGGCACTTTTTTGGGTTTTTATTGATAATTTCTCCTCCTTACTTGCCCCCACACTTCACACACTTTAAATGAGAACTGTTTGTGACTACTTTTGCCATAAAAACACTCATGAGAAAAAGACAGGGCTTTGAAATGCCGCCATTCCTCAATGTGTCCAGAAGAAAACTTAAGCTCACCTCAAGTCCAAAGGTGCATACTGACTGAAAAAACGACAATTCACGATCAGGAAGTTCTGAGCAAGGACAGAGAGCCCAGCTTAGGGCAACAGGACCAGCCTCAGCTGTAGCTTTGTCAAGCTGCTGAAGAAGGTGAGCAAAACCACTTCCTTGGGAAGAAAATCAAATTCAAGATAACAGACTTCCTTCAACTTTAGCGTTGTTTCATCCTTGCATAAAATTAAGAACAAACCCAAACTTTTCTCCAAAAATACGATGTAAGCAAAAATGCTGTGGGGCAGCAAGCCAGACTTCAAACAGCCCTAAAACGTCCTTTGCCTACACACCAGATAGTTCAAGGAAGCCGAAAAGTGCCCACGGGAAGATTTTGTATGGGAACTTTAACTTCCCATTCCGTTTGACTTTTGGTCTTTAAAATACAGGTCAAATCAATGAATTTAATGGAGGCCGGTTAACACAATGGCTTTGCCTTGCATTTTGACCCACATAAAGGGGAGGCAGTCCGGGGCACAAAGCTTCAGCAGAACTTTAAGTGGTTAGTACACAAACGTGACAGAACGTTTAGAATCTCAGGGACTTGCGAGACCTATTGACAAGCAGTTAAAAGTATTTGAAATAGCTGCATGAATGAACTTTGATAAGGTAGCACTATTGTCTTCCATTGTCTCTTTCTCTTCATACGAAAACTCCCCCAAAAGAACAAGAGTCAATGAATGTGAAATGTAGTGTCAGTTTTACTGGACTCTGGACGCCTTTGAGCACTGCGACTTTTTGTGGCGAGTTCATGCTACTTAAAAGTATTCTTCCCTCTGAGTTTCAACTCTTGCAAATGGTGACTTCTTAGTTCACTGCCCACCCAAGTCTTTTCCAACTGCTTTCACACCGTGAATAGCTCTTTAAGTTAAAAGCAGTGAAGATTAATTTCAGTATTTTTGCTTCTTCTTGACACTTGGGTTTTTCAAGACAGATGCCTGGTCACTCGGCCCTAAGCTCAGTGGAGGGGGTGAGGGGTGGAACAGAGCGGGAAGGAGGCCTGTCCTTCTGCAACCTAAAGATGCCAAGAGCATGGGCAGGCAGCTCCATTCCAGAAATCTGCTGAATCACCTTCCGACTTGGGAGAGAGGAGGAAACAAACAAAATCTGACTAAGTAACACATTTTAAAGAAATGTGGGGGCAAGAGAATAGGGTGGGGGAAGGGGTGTCAGCCCCAAATAACTCCTTATGAATTGCTGCGAGCCAGTGTCTCCATTCCAGGAAAGGCCTGTCTCCAAGGGTCATCTCTACCTGTCTTTACATATATTTTTTTCATCAGCAAACATCCATTTTTCCAAGCTGTGTCTAAAATATGAGTTCCCGGGGAGGCTCCTCCATTGTTTGAAAACATCCTCTCCCGTCCGTAAGTTGCGAGGAAACAGTGGTGGGACACAGAAAGTCCACAAAGGCCCTGTCTAAAGAGCCATGTGTTGGTTTCACAGGGTTTCATAGTTCTAAGATTTGCTAAATATGCTTTGGGGGGTTTTCTCAGTAAATCTCTATAGATAGATTTTATTGTATTTTACCCTTTTGTCTGTTTTTTGTGTGTGTGTCTGAAATTTCTCCCTTATTCATTGACCAGTAACTTTCTGTCACCCATCTTTGACTTTTCTCCTTACATCTGCATTTAAGCTGTCATTTACTTCTGCCATTCCCTCCTCTCAATATCTGACAGCCAAAGCCTCCATGCGCTTTTATCCCTTTGTGTTTGCATTATGACATAACCTGTGCAAAGTGGCCCAGCTCCCCAATTCTTGTATGTAAAATTTGCAACATTTTTTGAGACGGGTCAGTGCCCATTTTTGGGATCCTTTTCTTTATCTGAGTACCGTGTTAAAACTTTTTGCAGATGTGGCCTATTCAGGAGCAGGCTGCGGCTGCATGCAGAGATGGGGAAAAGAAGAAAAGGCCTTCCTATTTTGTGATTGCCATAGTAACTCAAACATTGCCAGTGTGTTCGCTGGTCCGGTCAGCCACAGCCCGGGAGCTTGATTTCCTGTGCAATCAAGCCCTCTACTGGAGATCATGGCTTGTGTGACACGGGGCTACACAGAGGACAGTGTGCTTGTTAGGCCTGAAATTAAGCATTTCACTTTAAAATAATACCCATTTGTATCCATTTTGTTCAACATAACAACAGCTGCTGTCCCTGGAATGACAGACTTGCCTTTTAAACCAAAGCTTCATATGACATTTATGAATGAGGCCAGTTCCATTCATTTGCGGTTTGAATTCACAGTAGTTATTTTTGCTGTTTTTTTCCCTTCCCCGGCATATGGGTGAAATTCAACATTATTCAAGTAATTATATACACAGTTCATGAGGAGGAAAAAGCCTGCTTTCTTTGTGTCATCTCTTTTAAACTAGTTAGTAGGCTTTAGTTCTTTTTTCTTAAGAAGGCAAAATATAGAAGACGAATTGATGTTAACTTTAAACATGCTGATTACCTCAAAATAGTGACAGAACACAAGAAGAGGCAATGTTGTCGCCGGGTTTTGTTGATTCATTTTTTTTTTTTTTTTTTTGGATAAACAACAAAAAGCATCAATCCAAGCCGCTCACTGGGAAAGCAGCAGTGAAATTCTGGGCAGAACCCTCCTGCTAAAGTCTTTAAAATGACAGCTCTGCGTTCTTGTTTTGCCTGCCAAGTGCCAGGGCCCAGAAAGGTGAACAAGACTGCAGGGCATTGCCCAGGTGAAGATGCCTGATTCGGGACAAAAGACAAAATGGCAGGCCTTTCAGGATACGCTGCAGTTTTACAATATTGAGAGTACTTAAAAAATTGACGTTTAGTCACCACGTTAACCCATAGATGCAGTGCAGTGGGGACGCATGACTAACATCCCTATGAAGGAGCAGCACCATTGATGCATTGATGGTGCTTTTCCTCCTGCTCCTGCTCCTCCCTCTCCTCCTCCTTGGTCATCGTCCTCCTCCTCCTCCTTACCATCATCTCCATCATCATCATCAGATTCCCTAAACTCTGGCAGAAGATACCCTTCTACACACTTTTTTATATCATATCTCTAAAAGCCTTCTATCCCAGCTTGAGAATTAGAGAAGTAACAGGAAATTAAACTATTTGCACCTAATTCTCAATTTGTAAATTTACTTCAGCTAACATGAATTTCACTCTATGAATTCAATGTCCCTTCAACATACTCCCCTAACCTGAAAATAAAAAGGACCTAAAAGGATGATTTTCATAATCTGTAAATTTCAGTTTCTCTCAACATGTAAAAACATGCTTATAAAATTAAAACATTTGTCTTGAGTCACAAAGTTAGGACAAGTTATTCTAGCCTCCCTTCGTAGCCCCAGTTTGTAGAAAACAGGGTTGAAAAGCAGCATTAGTAGGACCAATTGCAATGGAAATGATCTTCCTCTGGAATCCATGGCATTTGTTTTCTCACTCTTTTGAAGTTATCTATTTTATAGAAAAATGATGATAGCAACACAAGCTATAATTTTAGGAAGGCAAATTTATGTTCCTAAATTCACATAATGGTTTCGATTTGTGTAAGAAATGGATAAGGTATATTATATAGCTAAGCAACAATGAATGATGAAGATTCCACTCATCAGAGAAAGTGTGTGTGTGTGTGTGTGTGTGTGTGTGTGAGTATATACACATACAATGTATCTAGACTACAGTAAGTCAGGGATAAAGTCTACAGTAGAAACTATTCTATATCTTTTTTTTTTTTTTTGAGACGGAGTCTCACTCTGTCTCCCAGGCTGGAGTGCAGCAGCACGATCTTGGCTCACTGCAAGCTCTGCCTCCTGGGTTCACGCCATCCTCTTGCCTCAGCCTCCCGAGTAGCTGGGACTACAGGCACCCGCCACCATGCCCAGCTAGTTTTTTGTATTTTTAGTAGAGATGGGGTTTCACTTTGTTAGCCAGGATGGTCTCAATCTCCTGACCTCTGATCCGCCTGCCACAGCCTCCCAAAGTGCTGGGATTACAGACGTGAGCCACCGTGCCCGGCTGAAACTATTCTATATCTTAAGTGCTTAGAAATGAGTTTGGCACAAGGTAAGTATCATAAAGTGCAAGTTATTTTGCATTATTCTGGTAATTTTATCTATTAATATATTCAAAATTCATATGATGCCAAAATGGGATGGGTAACACTAATAAAAGTAAACTTTCCAACAACTTATTTGCTTAAGAACCAATGGGACTCTTAAATTAGTTTTTCACTATGCACACATAACAGCTATTACTTTATTCATTCATTCATTCATTCATTTATTCATTTATCCATTCACTTATCAGAAATATAAAGACTGTTTCAGTGTAGCACAGTGCTGGGCACTGGGGCCAAAAGATAAAAAATAGCCCAGAGATTCCCAGAGCAGGCACTGCCATGGGGAGACAACAAAATGAGACCTGCCCCAGCGACAGGGCACCAGCCAGAATAGAGTGTGGTCAAGATAGACAGAGTGCCTGAGTGAGGAGAGGAAGAACCTTACTCAGCTAAAACTGGAGGAGGATGCCATGTGGAATTTGGATCGTTGAAGAGGAAGAGAGGACAGGAATGAAAGAAGGAAGTACTCCAGGTGGTTGAAAGCAAGTTGCAAAAGCATAAAGCAAAGATTTGCTGCATTCCTATTAGAAGCAAGTTACTTTGTTAATAGAATAAAAAAATTAATCAGTCTCTGCCCTTAAATGACTCCCAATCCACCATTATATGTCTAATAAGGAAAAAAATCCATTTCAAACCAAGTAGAAACTCTCTTTGGTTTTTCTACAGCCTGGCTTACCTGCACTCATTGACACGATTGAGGATGAACTATGATCAGTCCTAACTATGGCCTCTCTTTTGCTCTCCGCAACTTGAAAACATGCCATGGGCCCTCTGAGATGTCCAGTCTGTGTGGTGTGTGTGTCCTCTGTGGTATAAAGGCCTCGTTCTGATGAGGCCTTAGGGAAGAGCCTTGGGAAGGACTATACTTCTGACACACTGGCGAAGCCTCAGGAACGCATTGGGAATATTGCCAAGGCCGGCAGCCAGGCAAGAGGGAAGACCAGCTCACAGTGTGGAGCTGGAGTGTTTTTCTTTTTCCTGATGCAGACTTGCCTCTCAGTTAGTGCTTCCCTCTCTCATAGATCCTATCCTCCCATGCCCCCACCTTTCCACCCCCACCCACACCCTACATTTCTCTACTCAGAACCTCCTCAGTAAGTATATAGCGGCCATAAGTAATATTATTCCCAACTTGTGAATGTGTTGTTTTGTTAGTTTAAGTTCACTTGGTTAGCCCAGCTATATCAGCCCTACTCTGCAGGACTCTAGCAGACGATATCACTTCTACACACTCTTCATATCGTGGCACCAAAAGCCCTCTATCCCAGCTTGAGCACTGGGGAAGCAATAAGGGATCCACCTATTTGAGCCTAATTCTCATTTGTAAATTCACTTCAACTAACAAGAATTTGACTCTGTGAATTCAATGCCACTTAACTAGTCCTATTCTGTGCTCAGGATGGGTTGAGATTATGGGATGGAGGGCTAGACAGGAGCTCGAAGAAGTGTAGAAATGGACTCTGTAATCAATTTTCACACTTCCTTTCATAGCGCTTATGGGCATTGTAACTTAAATAACAGCTTGGGTCATTACTTGTGTAATCTCCATTTCTCTCACTAGAAGGTAAGCTTGGTGAGGGAACGCTGCCTGGCCTATTCTCTGCTGTGTAGCCAGGGCTGAGCAAATGACAAGAAGACAGTGGTCACTCAAAAACTAGTTGTTGAATGGATGAGTGTGTGCATCTGGCAACAACCACTGTTGCAAACTCGCTGGGATCCTTCCAGCAGCCACACGGCCACCTCTTATCCCCAGTGAGATTGTCTGTGGACATAACAGATGTGCACCCACGTATTTCTAGTGCCACCTGCTATAATAGAAAGGTATTGTCTAATATCTCTCCATTTCCTGCTGGAATCAGAAAAATACATGGTTTTCCCTACTCTTCAAACTTTCTCTAGTCCTTTGCTCTTCTGTTCCCAACTGTCCTATACTCTGACAGGTCAGTGGCTGTGACATATAAGATCAGAAGATTCTATACATTTTGAAAATTCTTACTCATCTACATTATGTTGAGAACAGTGATTTTCAACTCTGGAAGCACATAAACATCACCTGGCAGAGTCTCCACCAACTCCTGATACTCAGTTGCACTCTAGGCCAATGAAATCAGAAGCTCCAGAAGCTGGGCCCAGGACACAATATTTTTTAATCCTCTGCAGATGATTCCAACATATAGCAAATGTTGAGAACCCCGTCTAGCAGACAGTCATAACCTCTTCCTCCTGGAGGGCCATAAGGAGGGAAATGCTCCAAATTCGTTTTCATATTCGCGGATGATTCTTAGATGTTCCTAGGTTCCTGTTCTGAGCTTGACCCACAGATCACAGCCTTTACACACTCGTGGGAACCTGGCGGTCACAGGTGGCAGGCAGGGACCAGAGATCCCAAAATAAAAAGGTGCTCAATCTCATAGCAATCAGAGAAATGCAAATTAAAGCAATAATAAGATTCTAGTTTTTGCCCATTTGCTTATCAAAAATGACTGATACCATACAGGGCTGGTAGCAGTGAAGGAATGAGTATTCTCTACAGGATCAGACTATAAGTTACTATATCCTTTTTGAAAAGTAAGCTGCCAATATTTGTTAAATATTTATTAAAGTTTAAAATGGGTCTGACTTCTGAAACAGAAATCCCATTTCTAGAAATATGTGTGTCAGAAATAAATGTATAGAGTGCATCATGGCTTGTGATAGCCAAAAGGGAATCCAATGTGAGTCAGTTACCAATGGGATATTTACAGTTCATTCATATTATGTGATATTTTGCTGCTATTAAGAAGAATGAAGGAAACACTTGTATATGAATCGACCTTGAGGGATATTCATATTATACATTGTTTAAGTGAAAAACTGAAATTACAGAATTATAGATAGGATTCCATTCATCTAAGAATAATGAACAAGTCTATCTCCAGGTGTATGTGTTTGTATAGAAAAATATGGAAGAATATGCTCCAAGTTGGTGATAGTGATTAAAAGGGGGTAGGGTAAGATTATTAATTCCACTTTAGCACTTCTATGCACTGTTTGAATCGTGACAGTGAGCATCTATCACTCATGTAATTTCAGATTGCTGAAATAAATGGACTGGGCGTGGTGGCTCATGTCTGTAATCCCAGCACTTTAGGAGGTTGAGGCAGGCAGATCACTTGAGGCCAGGAATTCAAGACCAGCCTGGACAACATAGCTAGACAAAAAATAAAAAATTAGCTGGGTGTGGTGGTGCATACCTGTAGTTCCGGTTACTCTGGGGCTGATACAGGAGAATGACTTGAGCCCAGGAGTTTGAGGCTACCATGAGCAATGATTGCACTACTGCACTCCAGCCTGGGTGACAGTGAGACCCTGACTCTTTAAAAAAAAGAAAGAAGAAATGTTGAGAGACATTCAAGAAGATCCAAGTAAATAAATAGACTACGCCATGAAAACAATCATTCCCAAGCATGTACAACTGCCAAACCCAGAGCTAAGCACCAAGTGGGAAGAGGCACAGGGTAGAAAGAGAAGACGTAGCTCTTAAGAGTTTTAGAGTTTTATGTGGTTCTTAGCCTCCTCTTATGGAAAGTGGAGGTAATAATATCATGGACCCCAAGGAGGTGTTGTAAGGCTAAAAGGAGATGATGCATGCAAAGCAGAGATTCACAGCAGTCGCTTCATGAATGTGGACTGTGGTGGTAATAGTGAGGATGACCTTCTATATAGTCAAGCCAATTCAGAAGTACACATTGATTAGGCTTCCATTTTCATCTAGGAATAACAAACCACCCTGACTACAGGGTGTATTTGTTTACATGGTCAATATGGAAGAATATACTCAAAATTAGGAATAGTGGTTAAAAGGGGGAAGGATTTAGGGTTTTACTGGGTTTAGAGTTCTAAAATTCTGTGATTGGAAGCCTTCAGTGAGTTGGGAGTTCATTTGGTTTGTGCTTTCTCTCCCCACAATTTCCCAAAAGAGCTGTGAAATGGGCCTTTTCTCCCTGGTGTAGATTAGCTGTGGGAAGCAAATGATTATACCTTGTAAAGCCTAAAGCCATTTCTTTAGGAGCTAGACGTTTCCAGGAACATGGTGGGGGGAGAAGCAAATGAAAGAAGGTGATGGAAAAGTTATCTGTGGGGCTGGGGGTATAGCCAGAGAGGCAATAAGACAAGCAGCCCCAGGAGAAAGACCATCTCAAGACCGGGACACACAGGCGCAGACCTGCTGGATCTCCACTGAGCAGAGGCAGCTGTGTTTGTAACCCAACTCACCTGGACTTCCCAGGCTGTGGGTACTCATGAGGTCACTGTAAGAGGAAACAGTGTGCAAAAGGTCATTGCACTACCTGTAGACAAGGGGGCTGGGCATCAAGGGTGGGAGAGTCTCACCTGGGCTCACATTCAAGTCTGTTCTTTCTGGGGCCACCCTCACTCCCACATCCCAGCTGTCTCTCCTGAAGAGCTCCTGGAATGGGCTGCAGGCTGCTCACCAGGTATGGCGAATCCCCACCATGCTGCATATGCCTTGGTATCCTCACCAATGCAATGAACTGTTAGGTAGCAGGGCTGCATGGTCATGGTCAAGGCAGGCAGGGCCTTAGCAGAGGGCAGGGATTTTCAACACAGGACTCCACAGACGGGCCTCAGGGCCCATCACAGTTTGAAGGACTCTTTGCTGAGGGAAGGGAGCAGGGAGAGCCCCAGTGTCTGATGCAACAGAAAAGCTCTGCTTTCACTCATGTTAGGTCAGGATCCATATTCGACTTCCTTCATGCAAAGGCTTCCTCTGCTAAGCACAAGTTTGCAATCCTGTGGTACCTACTTGACTTAACTGGAGGAAAGTTCAGACACTGACTTACTGTGGCTTTAGGGGAAGGCCCTGCAACTTCCCAGATCTTTCTCACGGAGGGCCGAAGGCCTAACCTGTTACCAACAGGAACAATTAATTCTTTTAGTGATCAATACTACAGGCATGCTTCTTTGTACGCTCTGCCTTCTCTTTAAACAATTATTTATTTTTTTAAAATTGGGGTAAAATAGACATAAAATTTACCATTTCACCATTTTTAAATGTACAGTTTTGTGGCACTGAGTGCATTCACATCGTTTTACTACCATCACCACCATGCATCTCTGGAACTCTTTTCAATTTGCAAAACTGAAACTCTGCACCCATTAAACAATAACTGCCCATTCTCCTCTGCTCCCAGCCCCTGGCAACCATCATTCTGTTTTCTGTCTCTATGAAGTTGACTGCTCTAGGTACCACATAAAAGTGGAATTATATGGTATTGGTCCTTTTGTGACTGGCTTATTTTACTGAACCTAATGTATTCAAAGTTCATCCACGTCATATCATCTGTTAGAATTTGTTTCCCTCTTGAGGCTAATATTCCATTGTATGCATATGCCGTGTTTTGTTATTCATTCCTCTGTTGATGGACACTGGGGTTTCTTCACCTCTTGGCTATTGTGATAGTGCTGCAAGGTACATGGGTATTCATCTGCTTACTTTTTTTTTTTTTTTTTTTTTGAGATGGAGTCTCGCTCTGTCTCCCAGGCTGGAGTGCAGTGGTGTGATCTTGGCTCACTGCAACCTACGCCTGCCGGGTTCAAGCGATTCCCCTGTCTCAGCCTCCCCAGTAGCTGGGATTACAGGCATGCACCACCCTACCCAGCTGATTTTGGTATTTTTAGTAGAGACGGGGGTTTGCCATGTTGGCCAGGCTGGTCTCAAGTTCCTGACTTCAGGTGATCCACCAGCCTCGGCCTCCAAAAGTGCTGGGATTACAGGCATGACCACCGCGCCCGGCCCATCTGCTTACTTTTAAAGCAGATTTCTATAACCACTTGTGGCCCCATTCCCCACCCCTAGCATGTTACCAACAGGAACACTTAACTTCTTTTAGTGATCAATACTACAGGCAGTCTTTTTCTGCCAATCTAATCTACCTTCCCGCAATGTGGACTTCCTCTTCCAAATCTGACTTTCACAGCTCTTATGGTCTGAGCTATCCCCAGCCTGGCACAGGAGGAGGACCTCAAGGGGCCTATGAAGTTCCTCCGCAGGTTCTCTCCAGCAGGCCCCTTGCCACCTCCTCCTCCCCTGCCTTGGCTACCATATCGTCAGATCCCCTGGCCACCACATATCGTCCCTGTTCCCTGCCAGCCGGGGACTGCTCAGTGCAGAAAGGTAGCAGCATTTTCCCAGGCTAATTTACTAACCCAGATGAAAAGAACCCATAGAATTCACAGGCAGAAACAGATTATTTTTAAAAAATATAACCCTAAAACTATCACAGCTAGATGAGGAGATGGGAGGGAGTCCACCCCCAACTCTTCTCCTTTTTTCTTTTTTTCCTTTTTTTTTTTTTGCTTCTGCAAAAGCCACAAAAGGGTTAAATACTTTGCCACGAGGTGGGATAAACTTCTCAAATCTGCGGTCCCTTGATTGTCTGACACCCGCACTGTGTGGGATGCCCCAGCTCCTTTGTTGGTTATAATGGCACATCTTCATTATTGTTCTAATACTCCTTTAAAAAAAACACCCTAATCTTTCTCTGGTGCCAATGACGGCCCCAATGCGGGGATGTTTTATTTCTTTCCCCTCTGTCCTTCCCTGAACCCCCTATTGTTGCCATAGTCACGATGGGGTGATAGTGCCGGGGCAGGGCGGTTTCTGTACTGTACCGCCCCGAGCTTATTGTTTAAATCTGTATTATTCCACTGTTCTGAAGATTTACATTTTTAATGGCTCATTTATGTAATCCCATAAATAAAGTAGCAAAAAAAGCATCCCACACAAATGATTGAATCGGAGTTTGAAAAAGGCCCCTGAAGCAGGTCACTGAGGGTCTCAGCTGCGGGGCCTTGATTGGTGTGGCCGGTGTTAGCCAGGGTGGCAGTGGGCTTAAGACCACCCAGTCAGCGCCCAAATGGGGCATTACCAAGGAATAGCGGGATGGTGCTGGAGTTCAATCTCCCCTATTTATCAGAGAACACAGTTCTACTGCAAAATCCATTTTAGTCTGAGACTCATTTACCTTATTGCTTTGACAGCTGCACCTCTCTCTGGCAGAGAAGTTTCTACGATTAGCTTTTTCCCTCCTAGCAGCTGATGTGTGTTTTCCCTGCCCCTCCTTTCTTCTTCTTCTCAACCAATATATTCCTGGGGCTGCTAAATGTTTCTCTAAAGAGCCTGTGAGTTCAAGCACCTGCCTCAAGAATGTATTTGCCACACTGAACAGAGATATAGTTGGAACAATTCACTGCTAGGCTTCCCTCCACCAGTTTCTTCATCCTCCCTCCCCCGATGAAAAGCCTTAGTGAACCTTAGCTCCTTTGAGAAAGTTTGTGCTAATTAAGCACAGATGAAGAAAATGGCCAAAACATAACTGAGTCGGCGTGTCTAATACTCTTTCCCAGGTCTCTGCCCAGCTTCAGTGCAGACCTATAAATCCTTGTTCTCGACAGACTGCTTGGTTCTGGGTTGCTTGTTTAACAGTCACTGGAAACATTTTTGCTTTAGAATATTATAGCAAAGTGTGACCATGGGATTGGAGTCCTCTGTCTGTATCTGTCTTGCCTCTCTGTGTCTTTGCAGTGGCCCCTGTGTGTAATTGTCAGTCAGAAACACACAGTTGGTAGTTTGCAAGTGATCTGGGACCAAAGCCATAGGAAAACAGAGGAATTGTAAAGTGCTCTAAATGCACATAAATGTCATGCTGTATCCAAATACAGTCAAAATTAAATTGATTAAAACAGTAGTCTCAAAGCAAGAGAGTCATCAAATCTCAATTTTCTTATTTTCTCACCATGGAAAATGACTTTTAAACTTTGCAAGGATTTTAATCCGTAATCCCTACCTCAGGGGGCTTATTCTCATAAAGAGAAATGTGTTTTTTTCTCTTACATCTTCTTAGATGGGAAAGTACTGTGTAAGTCAAAGAAGCAATCATAGGATTGGTTGTCCATTTTTCCCAAGAAGGCCAGGGAGGCTGGGTGGCAGAAGCCCCATAATGGGAGTCAGATACCAGGACTTGGGTCTGGTGAGTGCAGGCTTGCTGGGGAGCCTGAGGCAAGCCCCCTGTTCTCCAGAATGCAGGTCCTGAGAAGTCGGCAGGAATTTCTCTCTGTCCACTGCCATATTCCCACTACCTGGAACGATGCCTCACATGTGACAAATGACACACGACATATGACAGTGGTATTGACTGCCAGACTGAGGGAAGACTCTATCTGAGCCTCACCCTAGTCTTTTGTGAAGCCTGTCTCTGAGTGTGGTCATGAAAACCTAAGGAGGCCGGATGCGGTGGCTCACGCCTGTAATCCCAGCACTTTGGGAGGCTGAGGTGGGTGGATCACCTGAGGTCAGGAGTTTGAGACCAGCCTGACCAACATGGTGAAACTCCATCTGTACTAAAAATATAAAAAATTAGCTGGGCATGGTGGTGCACGCCTGTAGTCCCAGCTACTCGGGAGGTACAGGCAGGAGAATCACTTGAACTGGGGAGGCAGAGGTTGCAGTGAGCTGAGATCATGCCACTGCAGTCCATCCTGGGCGACAGAGCAAAACTCCGTCTCAGAAAACAAAAAAAGAAAAGAAAACCTAAGGAATTTCTCTATGTGAATGCCCCTTCGAGAGCATCAAGAGAATACCTAAATGTGAGTTATTATTCACAGTGATGAGCACCTCAGGAGAGGGGACAGAAGCTAATCTTTTCATTAGACTTTCCATCTTCTACAATATTTCCCTTGGGAGTCTTTAAGCCTCACTAATGGGGTTATGATCATTCCATAAAAGACAGAAGGAAATTCCACACTGTTCTGCTTCCATATTCAAAGGTGATGCTATTTTTTTAAGCCTCATTATTGGAGACGAATTCACCCTGAACCATCTACAAGTTCTGATTGGTCCTCTTTGTGATCATGACCCAATAGGGAGCTGAGGTCATTTGTGGCTTAAAGAAGAGTTTCAGGCAAAGACATGGAGGTGTGTCATTTAAAAATGTATTATTTATAGGGATTGAATTCATGGTCATGATCTTTTTACAGTGAGTTCTGATTAGTCAAGCTAAAATACCTAACTAGTTCATAAAAAATTAGCATTAATACACTTGAATTTAATAGATTGGAAAAATGGTTAGTCTGAGGAAAACCACACTTCATTTCTCTACACTCACACAGAACCCTGCTGACACCAGATGTGGGACATTTTCCCCATACCCCAAGCAATTCTCCAGCAGACACCAACTGGGCATACTATAATTCAATTCAATTCTGACTCTGCCTACCTGGAAGTAGCATTAGATCCCACAGGTTAAAGGGCTCAGTCCTACAAGACTGTCCTCCCTTCAGATGCCAACTGCAAGTCCCAGACTGGGCTTGTGCTGCTGACAGACTGGCTATAAGTTGGGGTGCCCAGGACACCTTCCGCAGGTTCAGTTAATTTGCTAGGAGGGCTCACAGCACTGAGGGAAACACATTAACTGATTGATTATAAAGGACTTTAAAAAGAATACAGGTGAAAAGCCACATGGAAGAGATGCTCAGGGAAAGGATGTGGGAAGGGCACAAAACTTCCAGGCCTTCTCCAGGTGCACGACCTTCCTGGCACCTCCAAGCATTCACGTATCTGGAAGTTCATTAAACCTTATTGTTCAAAAAATTTTATAGGACTTAAGCTCCAGCTGCCCTCCACCACTTTCCACCACTTTGGTGGGTGTGGCTGGAAGTTCCAGCCCTCTAATCACTTGATCTTTTCAGTGACCAGCTCAATTCTGAGGCTACCTAGGGACCGCAGCCTAACTCACCTCATTAGCATAAGCTCAGGTGTGATCCAAAGCAGGGTTATCATGAATAACAGAAGACATCCAAGTCACTCAGGAAATTCTTAGTTTTAGGAGCTCTGTGCCACGAACCAGGGACAAAACCCAAAATATATTGCTTATTGTATCAGGGATAAATTGCGAAGGCTGCCACATAAACCTGGACACAGACGAAAGACACCTCCTCACCAGGCCACCAGAGCCTGGGGCTTTATGACTCAGTTTCCCTTACTAGATCAATGGCATTAATCCCATCATGCCTCACTTTTCTTCCCATTTCCAAGCCACCCAGGCCATTCATCACCATAGGGATTCTTGTCGCCATAGGGTCCTATAATCACCTAATGCTGTGGCTTTCAAACTCTTCTCACTCCAACCCACAATAAGAAATGGATTTTATGTCTATATCCAGTACACACACACACACACACACACACACACACACACACACTAAACAAAAAATAATTTTACAAAACAATTTTATCTAAACCTCATCCAATATTATGCTCTTATATTTTCTGTTCTTTTATATACATTCTCTTTTAGTTTTTTTAAAGCTCAGTCATGTCCCACGAAAGTGATTCATAACCTACTAAGTTGGCTTCTTACTGTAACTGAAGCCTTACCTTTCTCCTGTGGACACCAATTTCACCCTGTTTCTCTTGGATGCAGACTTTCTTCTCACACTCACAGTATATCTCACATTCCTTGTGACCTGCTTGACTCTTGCCTCCATCTTCCTTCCAACTCCCAGCTCCTTTGACATGCATACCAGCAGCTTTGTCATCAGCCACCCCTCCTTCTCCTTGTCATCTACTAATATCCCCATTCCTGCCCCTTATTTCTTGAAGATTATGGCCTTTGAGACATGCTTTTCTCTCCATAGGTACTACTGCATCATGCTGAGAAACTCCAGCATCTATGTCGATGATACATACAACGCATTGACTTCTCCTTGTTGTCTTCACTTCCCAGGATCTCTCCTCATCTTCACCAAGAACTGCACCACCTGCTAAATCATACTTCCCACTCACGGCTCCTCTCCCCTTCAGCAGGTCACTTACTCCAGTACCCTCCACCCCAACATTTTCAACCCAAGCAAGACCTCCAACTTATTGACTTTAATGCTCTCCATCAATCATTTTCACTGGGTCCTTCTCCAGGGTAGAGTCTATGCTTTATTTTATTTATTTACTTTCTTCTGAGACAAGGTCTTGCTCTGTCTCTTGAGCTGGAGTGCAATGGTGTGATCATGGCTTACTACAGCCTTGAACTCCCAGGCTCAAGTGATCCTCCTACCTCAGCCTCCCGAGTAGGTGTGACTACAGATGCATGCAACCATGCCTGGCTAATTTTTAAATTTTTTGCAGAAATGGGGTTTGGCCATGTTTCCCTGGGCTCAAGCCATTCTTCCACCTTGGCCTCCCAAAGTGCTGGGATTACAGGTGTGAGCCACTAAGCCCAGCTGAGTCTATGCTTTAGACCCTTGTCCTCCCTACCCCTCCATTATAACTGCCTGCAGGGAAAAGCAAACTGGTGAGATACAGCTTTCTGCCTTCTGTGGACTGGCGCCTGAGCAGCTGAATGTGACCAAGAGGGCACATGCCGTGCAGACAGTTCTCACTTTGGCAAGTGGCACTGCCCAGCCATCTCATCCCTTGTCTTTATCAACTTAGATTTCTGCTGCCTAAGGTGGCGGTTTCACACATTCTTTCTTCAGTCTCAGACTTCCGAGTCCTACACACACATCAACCCTGATATTGATCTAGCTCCATATTTCATTGAAGAATGAAAGCAGATGATACATACCTCATCTTCCTATCTTCAAATCTTTCAGCATGCCCTACCTGTGTCCACATATGTTGCCTTTCCTCTCTTTCCAAAGGCTGTCCCAGAATCCCACTCTCTCTCATCTTTTTAGGGACTTGGCTCTGAAACTCCCGTCTTCTTCTCTTGCATTATCAATTTCTGCTTCTCTGAGGGTCTGTTTTAGCCCACATATATGCTGTTATAGTGCTCACCTGAAAAAATAAACTTTGAGTCATCTGACTCCACGCTTCCTTCAGCTATCACTCAGTATTTTGGTTTTCTTTTATAGCAAATCTCAGGTTTCCTGTTTTACTGTCCTTACACCTTATCTCCTACTTTCTCTTTCAACAACTCCAGCCAGGCTTTCGTCTTCACCTCGCCACAGATACCACTCTCATCAAGGTTATCAGTGCCCTCCATCTTGCCCAAATCAAAGGTCTATTCTCTATCCTCTACAAAACCAGTTTGGCACACAGTAGGCATTCAATCAATATTTGTTGGCTGGGCATAGTAGCTCACACTTGTAATCCCAGCACTTTGGGAGGCCAAGGTGGGTGGATCACTTGAGGTCAGGAGTTCGAGACCAGCCTGGTCAACATGGCGCAATCCCATCTCTACTAAAACTACAAAAATTAGCTGGGCATGGTGGCCCACACCCGTAATCTCAGTTACTCGGGAGGCTGAGGCAGGAGAATCAGTTAAATCCAGGAGGTGGAGGTTGCAGTGAGCCAAGATTGTGCCACTGTACTTCTGCCTGGGCGACAGAGTGAGACTCTGTCTCAAAAATAAATAAATAAATAAATAAATAAATAAATAAATAAATAAATACTTGTTGAATGAATAAATATAGCTCCATCTTATTTGTATACTGAATTCATGGTTGAGGCATTACAAAAATAGATGAAATTCAATGTCTATGTCAGGCTAATAAATTTTCTTGTACTGATCCACTTAGAAAGTTTTGTGTATATTTTAACCATATCAGCTTTTTTTTTTTTTAAGACGAAGTCTCACTCTGTCGCCCAAGCTGGAGCGCAGTGGCGCGATCTCAGCTCACTGCAACCTCTGCCTCCCAGGTTCAAACGATTCTCCTATCTCAGCCTCCCGAGTAGCTGGGACTACAGGCGCGTGCCACCATGCCCAGC
The DNA here is from genome assembly GCF_000001405.40 of Homo sapiens. Classification (NCBI taxonomy): domain Eukaryota; kingdom Metazoa; phylum Chordata; class Mammalia; order Primates; family Hominidae; genus Homo; species Homo sapiens. Next base: position 27,713,628 of record NC_000013.11, on the reverse strand, counting down.
TAATTTTTGTATTTTTAGTAGAGACGTGGTTTCACCATGTCAGCCAGGCTAGTCTCAAACTCCTTAACTCGTGATCTGCCCACCTTGGCCTCCCAAAGTGCTAGGACTACAGGCATGAGCCACTGCGTTCGGCCCCCATATCAGCTTTTTACATGGAAATCCCTAGAGCTATGATTCCTAACTTTGCAAAATTTCAAAAGGACTTTTTCTTCTTAACATTTTAATTTAAATGTTAAACTTTGAGGACAAAAGAGTACTAGTTGGACACATGAGCATGTCTAATTTTTAAATTGGACCTCAATTACACAGAATTGACTAACCATAATCCAGAGGTCAAAATACTTTTTTTTTTAGGGATGGGGTCTTTCTCTGTTGGAGTTCAGCGGTGCAATCATAGCTCACTGCAGCCTCAAACTCCTGTGCTCAAGTGATTCTCCTGCCTCGGCCTCCCAATTAGCTGGGACTACAGGCACATGCCACCACGCCTGGCTAATTTTCTTTAGTTCTTGTAGAAATGAGGTCTTGCTATGTTGCCCACGCTGGTCTTGAACTCCTGGGCTCAAATGATCTTCACGTCTCGGCCTCCCAAAGTGCTTGGAATACAGACATCAAGATACTATCATTATTGTCCATGCTATGTTCTGCTTTAATAAATTAATTACTCAGGTCTTACTAATGCAACAATCATTCATAAATCCACTGCCAAACAATAAAATTATCATGTGCTGATTTGACATATAAATTGTTCTAGTCATGGATTATAAGAAAAGAGGAAAAAAGGAAGGAACTGATACTATATTTGTACTTTGTATTAGACTCCATGCTGGATACTTTATTTGCATTATTTAATCCTCACAATAACTCTGAAAAATCAGCATTATTATCTCCATATTCCAGATGAGAAAACTGGCTCAGGAAGATTATTCATCCAAGTTCTCCTAGGAAGTGCTAAAGCTGGAATTCAGATTTCATTTTGTTCCAATTCATAGCATAAACTCATTGGCCCTGGTGGGGGCGGTGACAATACACAGAAGATGGTTTGCCTGGCACGTCTGGGACTCAGCCTGGCTGTCCCATGTCAACTGCCTTGCTAGGATTGAGATATCTTAATGCCAACAGAACAGAAAGATTTAAAAACTATTTTTCTATAATATATGATATAAAATGTAATAAAGTAATGAGTTTACAAGTACAGGCATCTTAGAAACCTTTTGTTTAAACATATTGTAAAAATTATTTGAAGGCCAGGCGTGGTGGCTCACACCTGTAATCCCAGTGCTTTGGGAGGTGGAGGCAGGAGGATCGCTCGAACCCAGGAGTTTGAGACCAGCAGGGACAGCATAATGAGACCTCCACTGTGTTATTTCTCTAAAAAAAAAAAACCAAACAAACAAATTAGCCAGGAGTGGTGGTGCACGCCTGTGGTCTCAGCTACTCAAGAGGCTGAGTAGGAGGATTGCTTGAGCCCAGGAGTTCAAGGCTGCAGAGAGCTATGATCTCACCATTGCACTCTACCCTTGGCAACAAAGTGAGACCCTGTCTCTCAAAAAAAAAAAAATTATTTGAAAAGGTGTCAGCAGTTTTGCATTTTTCAAAAATATTTGGGGATATCTGAAGGTTTAAAAATTATACAAACCTCATATTTTTAGTAATATAAAACCTGATGATACATTTTGAATATCAATTTTCATACCAAAAATATGAATTTGCAAGGCACACTCATTTCTGTTAAAATGTCCACTGAAAGAGTTTGGTGCAATTAGAAAACAAACAAAACAAAACAAAAACAAAAAAAACCTACATATGACATCTTTTATTTATGAGAGACTTTTTGTTGATTCATAAGTAGTGTGTTAACCTCACCCCACTCCACGAGTGATTGTCACAGCATCTGTGGGGCTGGCCAAGGAGAAGATGGGGAAGTTCTTTGAAAAATTCTTCAGGTGTCTCTGCCTGTAGTCATCTTTTCTTTTTACTCCCCTGCTTGGCCTGTATATTGGAAAATCTTTTGTTTAGCAGTCCATAACTACTGTGAAATTCACAGGTTTCACTACACACACTCCCTCCAAAAAAAACTCCCTCCAACAAAAATCGTTTTTGTTCCATCCTCTTTAATCTGTACCTCTTTGTTTGAATCCCATAACCAATCCCCAAATTCCAGATCAGCTTTATAGAATTCCACATATGAGTGAGACATGCGGTATTTGTCCTTCTGTGCCTGGCTTGCTTCACCTAACGTAATGTCCTCTAGGTTCATCCATGTCGTCACAATTGACAGGATTTCATTCTTTTTTATGGCTGAATAGTATTTCATGTGTTTATACACCACATTTTCTTTATTGATTCTTCTGTTGATGGGCACTTAGGTTGATTCCATATCTTGGCCATTGTAACAGTGATGCAATAAACATGAGTGTGCAGAAGTTTCTTTGATACACCGATTTCCTTTCTTTTGGATACATATGAAGTCATGGGATTGTTGGATTATCACTGATGATGATTCTTGACTGAAATAATTATTCCTGCCAAGTGATGATTTTCTATTCCCATCATTCTTTCTACATTCTGACATTTTCGAAACAAAATGGCATCAAAAATAAAATATTTTAAAATCCAAATTTTAAGTGACAAAGTTCATTAATTATTTTCAGTCTTCCTGAATCTATCTGAGTATATTCAACTCCAACAGCCTCTCAGCACTTGTGAATCAATTCAGCAATTAAATGCGGCCCTCACTTCCTGAGCTCACCTCTTTACAAGCCCAACTAGGAAGCACTTTCTCACCCAATATCCCAATTGTTGTTTGATATTGTTGTCCTCATTCAGGGCTGGGAGGGGTTGGAGTTGAACAAGAACAACCAGATTAAAGGAAGTGCCAAACTAACTTAGAGTGACTCAAATTTTTTTCTTTCTGTAGTCTAAATATTAAACTCAGCCAAAGAATAAACTCATTATAGTCAAAGGATAAACTTAAAAGGGTCAAAGAATGTGTGAAAGGGATAGAACTCAGGGTGCAGAGTTTTTCCAAACTATATAACTGATTTTATATTTACATTGCAAAGTCACTGACTTAAAATTCATTAGTAAGTGATCAGGTAGAAGTCACTAATAATATTAAAATATGTTTTTATTTCTAAATTTGCCCTGCTCTTTTCCTCTTTATTTCTTATAAAGAGACACAAATACAATCTAGAAGAAAGGTACAAACAAGGAACAAAATTTACATTTTCTTGCACAGAGTGTTTTAGAAAAAATGCAGTTGTACTTTGAGCACATTTTAATTCATATTCCAGGCATTTCTCATCCATTAAACAAATACCTTTTAAAAAGGTTTGTACTGAGAAGTGGATATTTAGTCTCTACTACTTAAAATAGCCAGATTCCTGAAGCCATCATTTAGCTGACCATGTAGTGAAGTCACTTCAATGATTACTGTAAAACAGGATTTAAGAAGAAAATAAATGAAAGGGGAAAAGTAATTTTGGGATCATTTCAAAGCTCTAAACACACAGGGCTGGGTGCCATGACACAATTATTCTCTTTTGCCTTTAGAGACAGCAAGAGTGGATGGATTTGCTTTGAAAAAAGTGTTCTTTCTAAATCAAGTCCATGGTCAAAGTAAACACCCAGCTGAAGATTATGTTTGAGAAACTGCTTACAACTAGTGTGAAGGCATTAAGCAAACAAGGAGCTGGGATGCAAATGCCGTGGAGGACATGAAGTCATGTATTGAAAACATCCAGTGTTTTAGGCCATCCATGGCCAGAATCCAGCCCCTTCTGGAAGGATGTCCTGCACCTTAATCTATTTTGTGGTTCTCCCAGAAAATAATTATTAGGAGCTACCCCAACAAAATAAACCAAATAATGTAATCAGCAACTAGCTTGCAGACAAACACACCACACAAAAAGATTCTGTTTGTTGGGAGAAACGCAACCCCCTCCTGCTACATTATTCCATTGATGGAAAAACATTTACATCTCCTTTGTTAGCTAGTTTTCTGTAGAAATTTTATAATCACTGGGCAACTCTATTACACTGCTCTCTGAGAAGTGACTCTGAGTAGCTAGACCCATGTTTTTATCCCACAGCCAAAGAGAAAAAAAAATCTTTTTCTGTCTTTTTTTTAAACTTTAGTCTATCATACATCAAACCTGTCAAGCTTTTTCATTAAAGTTCATGGTTTTTAAGTTCATTGTAAATAACTCAAATTGATTTTACAAAAGGGGGAAAAAAGTCTTGCCCTGATGTTGAGCAGTACAAACTGTAGTAATATCCCTTGTCAAATGGGATTTCTCAAGTGGCTTTTTAAAGAGGAGAAAAAGGATTTAGTTGAATAGAAATATTTTGAGACTAAAACCAATGTTATACTCTGATTGTAGGTTGACCTCTTTTATTTTCTTAGAAGTCTAGGATTTTTCTACGATATTAAAAAAAAGTCCAGTAGCTGTGTTTATCAAGAAATACATGTTAGATTTCACAGTTTGAGGTCCTTAAGAGTTATTTGGTTGGAGAAGATAGTTAGAGGCTTTTATCTGCATTTCAACAGTAAAAAAGATCCATATATTTGCTGATAGCTCTGTAAATATTTTCAAAGTAAGCAATCTCTTGGATTTACCTTTCCTAAAGTAATGAAAAAGATACCTAACCCCTTTTCACCAGATAGGTTCATTGGATCAGGCTGCACTGCACAAGTCAGGGTTCAGCCAGGGAGGCAGAACCGGAACGAGTGATACAAAATAAGAGACTTGGGTAGAGATTGGACCTCTCACAGTTGTGGGAGCTTGTGAATATCTAGGGAAAGCCCTTGCCTTTGTTGTCTGGGGGTGGGTTTGAAGTTGCTGTAGGTTGGCCAGGCCAGAAACAGGACAAGCAAGACAAACTGGAACCTGCAAGGACAAACTACGACCCACAAAGACAAACTGGAACCTGTGTCTGTCTCCCATCACCTCTCGCCTCGACAGCATGGGTGACCTACAGAAGCTGGCATTCTCCTCCCTGAGCTGCACCGGTGCCTGTCCCAAAATTCAGAGGAGCTGAAGGAAGAGATCGGATGGGAGCTGGAGGGAGCCCAGCTGCTGTGCCATACTCAGCAGGAGGCCAGCACGTCAGCAACCACATGCATGAGCCACAGCTGTGCCTCTACCTGGCACCGATCTTCAGAGCTTAGTGGATGCCGCTGCACTTTTGCTTTTCACATCATCCACATATTTTCCCTGTAGCCAACTCAAACCTGGATTCACACAGGAAAGGAATTCTGGGAAACATTTCTGGCTAGCTGGGTGGATCCCGCACAAAACCACCCCTGCAATTTTCTTCCAATCTTGCTGATCCCCTATTAGCTTTCTTCTTTTTCTCTGATAAGTTGCTGCTGTTCTTTCTGTTAGGTTGTCAAGAGGCAGCCCAATGTTAGTACAACTGAGGATCGTCTTCACATTCTTCCTGTGATGACATTATCATTACCCAAGGTTTAGGTACTTCTCAGATTGAAAGGATACATGGTCAACCTCCTGTTTATGCTTCCATAGTAAACATTTGAAAAAGTTTTTTGTTTGTTTGTTTGTTTGAGATGGAATCTCACTCTGTCATCCAGGCAGTGCAATGATGTGACCTCAGCTCACTGCAACCTCTGCCTCCTGGGTTCAAGCGATTCTCCTGCCTCAGCTCCCGAATAGCTGGGATTACAGGCATCCGCCACCACACCTGGCTAATTTTTGTATTTTTAGTAGAGACAAGGTTTTACCATGTTGGCCAGGCTGGTCTTGAACTCCTGATCTCAGGTGATCTGCCTGCCTCAGCCTCCCAAAGTGTTGGGATTACAGGGATGAGCCACCACTCCGGCCTTGAAAAAGTTTTAATCCAAGCCCCACGTCAAATACCGCTTTCTTTCATGAAAGGTTTCTCTTGAGAGCTGGCCATGGTCCCTCCCTCTTTGATACCTGGAAACCTCTTTCTTAGCACTTAAGTTTTTCTGCTTTCCATTAGTCATTCCTCGACTCGTCTCCTCACATGCAGGGCACTGAGAGCAGGGACCTTGTCTTATTCATCTTTTCATTTCCTTCTTCCCCTTCCCCTTGTTCATGCCTACCTCTAGACCTGATATCATGCCTTCCACATAGTAGATGCTCAACAAATGTTTGTTTAGCATAATAACTAAGTGTCGTGACTTACATTTCTTGTTTTATACTTTACTTTCATGTTGGATCCTACTAGATCAGGTGAGGATTGTCTTCAGCTTGAATGTGTAGTGTCCTTTCTTAGGATTTCTGTCTTCACACATCATCCTGAGGATCCATACCTTTATCTTCCACTCGGAATTTCCCTCCCTCCCTCCCTCCCTCCCTCCCTTCCTTCCTTCCTCCTTTCGTTTTCTTCCCTTCCTGCCCTCTTGCCCTCCTCTTGCTCTCTCTCTTTTCTTTTTCTCTCTTTCTAAAATAAACCCTTTTGGCCAGGTGCAGTGGATCACACCTGTAATCCCAGCACTTTGGGAGGCCGAGGTGAGTGGATCACCTGAGGTCAGGAGTTCGAAACTCCGTATTTACTAAAAATGCAAAAATTAGCCGGGCGTGGTGGCGGCCACCTGTAATTTCAGTTACTCGGAGGGCTGAGGTGGGAGAACTGCTTGAACTCTAGAGGCGGAGGCTGCAGCAAGCCGAGATCATGCCACTACACTCCAGCCTGGGCAGCAGTGAGACCCCATCTCAAATAAAAATAAAAATAAAAATAAAATAAAAAACAAAATAAACCTTTTCTATCACCCTGAAGCCCATTCATGGTAAACAAATCAGTGCTAATAAACTATAGCAAGTGAAGAAAGCAAGATGCACAATTCTATATAGAATGTCATTGCAACTATTTAAAAGAGCTGTGGTGGAATAATTAATGACATGCAAATAATGACTGGAAACCTGTGAATTTTACTCTATATGGTAAAAGGGACTTTGTAGATGGGATTAAAGATCGGGGGAGTGGTTTGTCTTGGATGATCCAGATGGACCCTAAATAGAATCATAAGAGTCCTCATAAGAGGGAGGCAGAGCCAGGTGCAGTGGCTCATGCCTGTAGTTCTACCTACTTGGGAGGCTGAGACAGCAGAATTGCTCGTGTCCAGGAGTTTGAGACCAGTCTGGGAAATATAGTCAGACCTCGTTTCAAAAGAAATGAAAAAAGAGGGAGGCAGGAGAAAATTTGACTACAGAAAAGGAAAAGGCAATGTAATGATAGAAGCAGGGATTGGGGTGATGTGTTTTTTTTAGAAGATCAATAAAATGGGTAACCTAGTAGCCCAGGTTGATCAGGAAAATAGAGAGAAGATATGAAGTGTCAATACCAGGAACAAGAGAAGTGCCACTACCACAGATTATACAAATATTAAAAGCATAATCATATTATATTATAAATGACTTTATGCCAATAAATTGAAAAAAAGGAGCAATCCTCACTCATGAAGAAATAGATAACCCAAATGTCTCTATATTTATTTTTAAAATTGAATGCTTAAAAATCTTCCCACAAGAAAAATCCCCAGGTGAAGTGGCTTCATTGATACATTTAAAGAAGAGATAATACTAAATTCTATACAAATTCTTCCAGAAAATTGAAAAAGAGGAACTATTTTGCTCATTCCATGCCAGCATTACCCAATTACCAAAAACAGACAAAGATATTACAAGAAAAGAAAGCTACAGACTAATATCCTCAATGAACATATATGCAAAATTTTTAAACAAAATTTTAGTAAATCAAATCCAACAAGGATTGATATATAACAAGAATAAAATATCAACACTGAGTGAGGCATATTCCAGGAATGCATGGTTTGTTAAACATGCAACAATTAATCTATATAATTCATCATGTTAAGAAACCTCATAACCATCTCAATAAATGCAGAAAAAGCATTTGACAAAATTTAGTATCCATTCCAGATTTTTAAAAACTCTCAGCAAACTGTGAATAGAAGGGACCTTCCTCAAACTGATAAGAGGCACCTACAAAAAACTTACAGCTAACATCATACTTCCTGGTGAAATACTGCATATTTTCCTCCTAAGTTCAGAAACAAGATGATGTCTATTCTCACTCCTTCTGTTCAACATCATACTTGAAATTCTAGCCAGTGCAATGAGACAAGAAAAAGAAATAAAAGGCATCTGGATTGAAAAGAAATAATTAAAACTGTCTTTATTTTCAGATAACATGATCATCTATGTGGAAAATCCTATGGAATCGATGAAAAAACCCTAGTGGAACTAACAAGCAAGTTTCTCAAAATAGCAGGAATATAAGATCAATATACAAAAATCAGTTGTATTTCTATATTCTAGAAATGAACATTCAGAAAGTAGAATCTAAAAAGCTACCATTTACAAAATGACAAAAATATGAACTAGTAACAGAAAATCTGACAAAAAATGTAAAACTCCCTTTCACTGAAAACTATAAAACATATAAAGAGAATAAAGAAACCCTAAATAGGTGGAGATACACAATTATTTATGGAGATCAAGACTCAAAATGAAGATGTCAGTTCTTCCTCAATGAAAGACAAATATTCCAAACAGCCTCCATTAAAATCTTAGCATATTTTCCTTCTTTATTGTGGTAAAAATATATAACATAAAATTTACCATCTTAACAGTTTTTAAATGTACAGTATAGAAGTGTTAAGTGTATGCACATTGTTGTGCAACAGATTGCTAGAACTTTTCCATCTTGCAACACTAAAACTCTATACCTACTAAACAGTAATTCCCTCTCTCACCTCCCCCTAGCCCCTGGAAAGCACCTTTCTTCTACTTTCGGTTTCTGTTTTGAGTACTTTAGATACTTCATATGAGTGGAATCACATAGTATTTGTCCTTTTGTGATTGGCTTATTTTATTTAGCGTAATGTCCTCAAAGTTTATCCATGTGACAAAATTTCCTTCTTTTTTTAAGGCTTCATAATATTTCATTGTATGTATATATCACATTTTCTTTACCCATTAATACCCAGACATTTGGGTTACTTCCACCTCTTGGCTATTGTGAATAATGCTGCAATAAACATGGATGTGCAAATATCTCTTTGAGATTCTGCTTTGGATTCTTTTAGATATACACCCAGAAGTGGGATTGCTGGATCACAGTGCAATTAAATTTAAACTATATTTGACATATCTCTAGAATTTCATTATGGACATATCTAAGACTTAAAAACACCAGTGTGCCCAGTCTTAGGGGGACCTACACACTGTTGAGTGTTTTACTACCACGTTCCTCCCCAGTTTCTCACAGTGAAGATCTGAGAAAAATCTGTGCTTCCAGAGGGGAAGGAGAAAAAGTAGCTATTTTAAAATACACCTTGGGCATTCTGTTCTTAACAAGACCTGCCTCAAAGGAAATTGACTTTACCAGAGACTAACCAACTGGAATTTTACCAGAGCCTTACCAACCTGGGGGAAAGGGAATACCGAACTCCACCCTGCTCTAGCTTTCTGTGTGGCGGAAAGAAAATGCCCATCTCCAGACCCTCTAGCTTTCCTGTCTGACAGGGGTGGGAAGATAAAACAAGTCAAAATAGAACTGCTCTCATCAATAGACTTATGAAGGTCACAGCCCAGAGACCAGGCTCACTAAAAGACAGATCTAATCATAAGACTATAGAATATTTCCCCTCAATACACATACCCCTCTTACTACCACATCAATAGAGCTCCTATATAATAATGGGAACACAACTAAAAGGAATACTCATCTCAGATCTTATCTAAGATGTCTCTAGGGAAAAGCAAAGAAAACAAGGGAGACAAAAAACGGGGATACCAAAGGAAATTTTAGTATCCAATGCCTATAGCTACAACAAACACAAACACAATTTTACTCCTAGCCAGACAAACATAACACCTCACTCTAAAGGCCTATTTGCCTCAGTTCCTTTTAGCCAATACATCAAGTCTGGTTTTTAACCAAAAATATAAGGCATACTAAAATATACAAAACACAGTTTGAAGAGACAGAGCAAGCATCAGAGCCAGACTCAGGTATGACAGAAATGCTGGAAATTTAAAACAACTATGATTAATACACTTAGGGTGCTAATGGAAAAAGATAGCAATATGCACAAATGGGTGGATAATGTAAGAAGAAAGATGAAAACTTTAAGCAAGAATAAAAAACATGCTAGCAATAAAAAAATTCGTAACAGAATTGAAGAATGTCTTTGATGGGCCAATTAATTGACTGGACACAGCCAACAAAAGAACGAGGGAATCTGAAGAAAAGTAAACAGAAACTTCCAAAACTGAAAGACAAGGAGAAAAAAATGTAAAAGTGGAGCAGAATATTAATGAACTGTGGGACAATTATAAAAGGTGTTACATATGCATAATAAAAATTCAAAAAGGAAAAGAAAGAGAAAAAGGAACACAAAAAAATCTGAAGCAATAATGGCAGAATTTTCCAAAAGTAATGGTAGGTACTGAACCACAGATCCAGGAAGCTCAGAGGATACCAAGCAAAATTAATAACCAGAAAGTCTAGACCTAATCATCTCATACTCAAACTGCAGATAATCAAAGATAAACAGAAAATCTTGAAAAAAAAACAGAGAAAAATAAAATCTTAGAGGAGCAAGGAGGAGAATTATATCAGACTTCTCTTCAGGAAATATGCAACCAAGGAGACAGTGAAGTAAAATATTTAAAGTGTTGAAAGAAAAAACCTGCCAACCTAGAATTCTGTATTCAGCAAAGTTATTCTTAAAAAGTGAAGGAGAAGTAAAGACTTTCTCAAACAGACAAAAATTTAAAAAACTTATTTAGGTTGCCAGAAATGTTAAAATAAGTTCTCTCTGAAGAACTTTCAACAAGAAAAGTGTTAGAGGAAGAATAACTGAGGTAAAATTGTCTTTTAGTTTTCTTAATTTGAACTGAGCTAACATATAACATTTATTTAAAATAATAATAGCAACAATATATTTTGTGATTATAGCTATTAGATAAGCAAAACAAATGACAGCAATGTTATAAGGAATGAGAGTGAGGAATTGAGAATTTTGCTTTAAGCTATTTGTATGATGTGTGAAGTAGTACAGTGTTATTTAAAAGTGGACTTAGATTAGTTGTAAGTGTATATTGCAAACTCAAGGGCAACCATGAAAGAAGTATAACTGATATGCTAAGAGAGGAGAAAAATAGAATTATAAAAAATGCTCAATTAAAACCAAGAAGACAAGAAGAGTAGAAGACAAAAGAAAGGGAGACAATGAAGAGAAAACAGTGAAAAATATGGTAGATATTAATCCAGCCATATCAATAATCACTTTAACTATAAATGGCTTAAATACACCAATTAAAAACAGAGATTCTCATAGTAGATTAAAAAACAAGCCCCAACTTTATGTTGTCTATAGAAAATCCACTTTAAACATAAAGACACATAGATTAAAAGTTAAAAGATGGTCTGAGCACAGTGGCTAATGCTTGTAATCCCAGCACTTTGGGAGGCTGAGGCAGGCAGATCACAAGGTCAGGAGATCAAGACCATCCGGGCTAACATGGTGAAACCCCGTCTCTACTAAAAATACAAAAAAATTAGCCAGGCGTGGTGGTGGGCACCTGTAGTCCCAGCTACTTGGGAGGCTGAGGCAGTAGAGTGGTGTGAACCCGGGAGGCAGAGCTTGCAGTGAGCTGAGATCGTGGCATTGCACTCCAGCCTGGGCAACAGAGCAAGACTCTGTCTCCAAAAAAAAAAAAAATGTTAAAGGATAGAGAAAGAGTATGCTAATTTTAATAATTTTAATAAAGCTCCAGTAACTATATTACTTTCAGAAAAAACAGACTTCAGATCAAGGAAAATTATCAAGAATAAAGAGGAACATTACCTAATAATAAATAAGTAAATTATTTAAAAGACATAACAATTTTTTTTTTGATACGGAGTCTTGCTCTGTCGCCCATGCTAGATTGCAGTGGCATGATCTCAGCTCACTGCAAGCTCTGCCTCCCAGGTTCCAGCCATTCTCCTGCCTCAGCCTCCCAAGTAGCTGGGACTACAGGTGCCCACGACCATGCCCAGCTATTTTGTATTTTTAGTACAGACGGGGTTTCACCGTGTTAGCCAGGATGGTCTTGATCTCCTGACCTCGTGATCCACCCACCTTGGCCTCCCAAAGTGCTGGGATTACAGGCGTAAGCCACCACACCCAACTAAGACATAACAATTCTTAATGGACTTGGACTGGGACATACACCACTGGACCCCCTGGCTCTTAGGCCTTTGAGCTTAGGCTGGATTACATCTCAGCTTTTCTTGTTTTCCAGCTTGCAGACAGCAGATCATAGAACTTCTCAGCCTCCATAACCATATTAGTCAATTCCTATAATTGGTTGTAGAAATAATAACCAATTCCTATAAGTGGGTTATCTTATCGTATTGGTTGTGTTTCTCTGGAGAACTCTGACTAATTCAGGGCCATCACTATTGATCTCATGGATATTAGAAAGATAATAAAGAAATATTGTGAATAGCTCTATGACTGCAAACTTGATAATTGAAATAAAATGGACCAATTTCTTAAAAGACATAATCTATCAAAACTCACACAGGAGAACAGATAATTGGAATAGACCTATATCTATTAAATGTGTTGAATCAATAATTGATAACCTTCTAAAACAGAAATCACCAGGCCAATGTGGGTTAACTGGTGAATTCTATTAAACATTTAAGGAAGAAATCATACCAATTCTCTACTATCTCTTTCAGAAAACAAAAGCAGAGAGAATACTTCCTAACTCATTCCATAAGGCCAGTATTACCCTAATACCAAACAGAAAAAGACATTACAGGAAAGGAAAACTACAGATCAATAACTCTCATGAACATAGATGTAAAAATCCTCAACAAAATATTAGTAAATCAAATTCAAAAGTGTATAAGAATTATGCAACATGATTGAAAGATATTTATTATAGATATGGAAGTCTGGTTTAACATCTGAAAATTAACTAATGCAGTCCATCACATAAACAGCTAAAAAAATTATGTGATCATGTCAATAGATACAGAAAAGGCATTTGACAAAATCCAACACCATTCATGATAAAAACTGTAAGTTTACTAGAGAGGGGAACTTTGGTTTTTAAAAATCTACAAAAAAACCTACAGCAAACATCATACTTAATGGTGAGAAACTAGATACAGTCAGCCCTCTGAATGTGTGGGTTCTGCATTTGCAGATTCAACCAACTGTGGATCAAAAATGTTTTTAAAACAATGAAAAACAATAATACAATAAAAAACAATGCAAATTTAAAAATATAGTCATTTACATAGCATTTACATTGTATTAGGTATTATAAGTAATTTAGAGATGATTTAAAGTATACGGAGGGATGTACATATTTTATATGCAAATACTGTACATATTATGCAAGGAACTTGAGTATTTGCGGATTTGCGTATGCACAGTGAATCTTGGAGTCAATTCCTCATGGATACTGTGAGATGACTAGACTTTCCTGCTAAGATCAAGAAGGAGGTAAGAATATCCCCTATTACTCACTCTTATTTAACATTGTAGAAGAAGTTCTAGTTAATGCAATATGACAAGACAAGGAAACAAAAGGTAGACAGAGGCCAAGCGAGGTGGCTCATCTGAGGTCAGGTAATCCCAGCCTGTAATCCCAGTACTTTGGGAGGCCGAGGTGGGTGGATCACCTGAGGTCAGGAGTTTGAAACCAGCCTGGCCAACATGGTGAAACCCCATCTCTACTAAAACTACAAAAATTAGCCAGGCATTGTGGTGGGCATCCCAGCTACTCGGGAGGCTGAGGCAGGAGAATCACTTGAACCCGGGAGGCAGAGGTTGCAGGGAGCAGAGATCACGCCACTGCATTCTGGGTGACAGAGCAAGACTCTGTCTCAAAAAAAAAAAAAAAAAAAAAAAAAAAAAGACAGACAAACAAACGACAAAAAAAAACCCCAAAAAGTATACAGGTCAGAAAGAGAGAACACCGTCTTTGTTCATAGATTGTCTATGAAGAAAATCTGAAGAAACCAATTTTTAAAAAACCCTGAAAAAACCCTCAAAATGGATCATACGCCTAAATGTAAGACATAAAACTATAAAATTCTTAGAAGATAAAATAGGAGAAACTCTAGGTGACCTTGGGTTTGTTGATAAGTTTTTAGATAGAATACCAAAGGTAAGGCAGGGCACGGTGGCTCACGCCTGTAATCCCAGCACTTTGGAAGGCCTAGGCGGGTGGATCACGAAGTCAGGAGATTGAGACCATCCTGGGTAACACAGTGAAGCCCCATCTCTACTAAAAGTACAAAAAATTAGCCGGGCGTAGTGGCGGACGCCTACAGTCCCAGCTACTCAGGAGGCTGAGGCAGGAGAATGGCGTGAACGTGGGAGGCGGAGCTTGCCCGAGCCGAGATCGCACCGCTGCACTCCAGCCTGGGCGACAGTGCAAGACTCTGTTTCAAAAAAAAAAAAAAAAAAGAATGCCAAAGGTATAATCTATGGAAGAAAAAGTATTAATTTGGACTTCATTACAATTAAAATCATTTAAGGAGTGCAATTCAACAAGAAGACTTAACTATCCTAAACAGATATGCACTCAACATTGGAGCACCCAGATTTATAAAACAAGTACAGATCTACAAAGACTTAGCCACAGAATAATAATGGGGGACTTCAACAACCCACTGACAGCATTAGACAGATCACTGAGGCAGAAAACTAACAAAAAAAGTTCTGGAATTAAATTCAACACTCGATCAATTGGAACAAATAGACATCTACAGAATACTCCACTCATCAACCACATTCTTCTCATCTACACATGGAACATACTCCAAGATCAGTCACATGCTTGGCCACAAGGCAAGTCTCAATAAATTAAAAAAATCAAAGTCATACCAATCATACTCTTGGACCATAGTGGAATAAAAATAGAAATCAATACTAAGATGATCTCTCAAAATTGCACGATTACATGGAAATTAAACTACTTGCTCTTGAATGATTTTTGGGACAACAAAGTTAAGGCAGAAGTCAAGAAATTCTTTAAGATAAATGAAAACAGAGTGATACGGTTTGGATGTGTGTACCCTCCAAATCTCATGTGAAATGAGGAGGGGCTAGTGGCAGGTGTTTGGGTCATGGAGGTGGCTCCCTCATGGATGGCTTGGTGCTGTCCTAGCAATATTGAGTGAATGCTCACTCTATTAGTTCATGTGAGATCTGGTTGTTTAAGAAATTGTGGCACCTCCCCACTTTCTCTCTTCTCCCTCTCTCACCATGTGATATTCCAGATCCCACTTTGTCTTCCAACATGATTGTAAGCCCTCTGAGGCCTCAGCAGAAGCCAAGAAGATGCTGGTGCCATGCTTTCTGTACAGCCTGCAGAATCATGAGCCAATTAAACCTCTTTTCTTTATAAATTACCCAGCTTCAGGTATTTCTTTATAATGACACAAAAGCAGACTAACATATAGAGACACAACATACCAAAATCTCTGGGAGACAGCAAAAGCAATGCTAAGGGAAAAGCTTATAGCACTAAATGCCTACCACAAAAAGTTAGAAAGATTTCAAATGAATGATCTAACATCACACCTACAGGAAGTAGAAAAACAAGAACAAAGTAACCCCAAACTAGCAGAAGAAGAGAAATAACTAAGATCAGAACAAACTGAAGGAAATTGAGACCCAAAGTCCATATAAAGAATCAATGAAACCAGAAGTTGATTTCTTTAAAGGATAAACAAGATAAAGAGACTACTAGCTATATTAACAAAGGAAAAAATAGAAGATCCAAATAAACACAATCGGAAACAAAAAAGGTGACATTACAACCAATCCCCCAGAAATACAAAAGGTCCTCAGAGACTATTATGAACACCTCTATGCACAAAAGCTAGAAAATCTAGAGAAAATGAATAAATCCCTGGAAACACACAACCTCCCAATATTGAATCAGGAAGAAATTGAAACCCTGAACAGACCAATATCGAATACCAAAATTGAAGCAGTAAGAAAAATCCTACCAACCAAAAAAAGCCCTGGACCAGATGGATTCACAGCTGAATTCTACCAGATGTAAAAGAAGAGCCGGTACCAAATCTACTAAAACTATTCCAAAAAAGTCAAGGGGGAGGACACCTCCCTAACTCATTTTATGAAGCTACCATCATCCTGATACCAAAATCTGGTAAAGATACAACCAAAAAAGAAAACTGCAGGCCCATATCCCTGATGAACATAAATGCAAAAATCCTCAACAAAATACTAGAAACTGAATTCAACAGCACATCAAAAAGTTAATTCAGTTCCCTGGTATGACTGTCTCCTGAGCAGCTATTCTCTGGAGCAGTAGTCCTTTATCTCCATTTGTCTTCTCTTCTGCCTTAGTGCATGCCACCACCCCATGGAAGATTTGGTGGACATGGAAATGAGCCCCCTGAGGCCCCAGAACTATCTTTTTGGTTGTGAACTAAAGGCTGACCAAAGATTATCTGGATAATGATGAAAATGAGCACCAGTTTAGGGGCTGGTGTGAGGGATAAATTGCACATTGTTGAAGCAGAGGCAATGAATTATGAAGGAAATCCAATTAAAGTAACACCGGCAACTTTGAAAATGTTTGCATAGCCAATGGTTTCCCTTGGGGGCTTTGAAATAACACCACCTGTGCTTTTACGACTGAAGTGTGGTTCAGGGCCAGTGCATAATAGTGGACAGCACGTAGTAGCTGTAGAGGAAGATGCAGAGTCAGAAGATGAAAAGGAGGAGGTTGTAAAACTCTTAAGTATATCTGGAAAGTGATCTGCCCCTGGAGGTGGTAGCAAGATTTCACAGAAAAAAGTTGCTGCTGATGAAGAAGAAGAAGAAGATGATGATGATGAAGATGATGAGGAAACTGAAAAAAAAAGCACAAGTGAAGAAATCTATACCAGATACTCCAGCCAAAAAAGCACAGAAGTCAAACGAGAATGGAAAAGACTCAAAACCATCAACACCAAGATAAAAAAGACAAGAATCCTTCAAAAAGAGAAAAAAACTGAAACACCAAAAGGATCTAGTTCTGTAGAAGATATTAAAGCAAAAATGCAAGCAAGTGTAGAAAAAGGTGGTTCTCTTCCCAAAGTGGAAACCACGTTCATCAATTATGTGAAGAATTGTTTCTGGATGACTGACCAGGAGGCTATTCAAGATCTCTGGCAGTGAAGGAAGTCTCTTTAAGAAAATAATTTAAATAGTTTGTTACGAATATTCCATCTTATTTCATTTCAGTAACAGTTGATATCTGGCTGTCCTTTTTATAATGCAGAATGAGAACTTTCCCTACCGTATTTGGTAAATGTTGTCCAGGTACCATTGCCAAGAATATGTTGTCCAAAATGCCTGTTTAGTTTTTAAAGATGGAACTCCACCCTTTGCTTGGTTTTAAGTACGTATGGAATGTTATGATAGGACATAGTAGTAGCAGTGGTCAGAAATGGAAATGGTAGGGAGACAAAAATATACATATGAAATAAAGTCAATATTTTAATAAAATAAAAAAAGTTAATTCACCATGATCAAGTAGGCTTTATTCCTTAGATGCAAATTTGGTTCAACATATGTGAATCAATAAATGTGATTCACTACATAAATAATTAAAGACAAAAACCATATATTATCTCAGTAGACACAGAAAAATCTTTCAATAAAATCCAACAACACTTCATGATAAAAGCCCCCAAGAGACTGGGCATCAAAGGAACATATTTCAAAATAATAAGCCATCTATGACAAACACACCAGCATCATAAAGCCAGCATCATACTGAACAGGCAAAAACCAGAAGCCTTCTCCTTGGAAACTGGAACAAGACAAGGATGCCCACTCTCATCAATCCTATTCAACATAGTACTGGAAGTGCTAGCCAGAGCAATCAGGCAAGAGAAAGAAATAAAAGGTATCCAAATAGGAAGAGGAAAAGTCAAACTATCTTTCTTTGTGGATGAAATGATTCTATACCTAGAAACCCCTAAAGACTCTGCCAAAATGCTCCTGGAACTGTTTGTCCTTTCAAGGGATAGCTGCTTAGCCATATATACAGAAGAATGATACTGGACTCCTATCTTTCACCATAAATAAAAATTAACTCAAAAATTAATGACTTCGGTAAAATTTCAAGATACAAAATCAATGTACAAAAACCGGTAGCATTTCTTTTTTTTTCTTTCTTTTTATTTTTTGAGACGGACTCTCACTCTGTTGCCCAGGCTGGAGTGCAATGGTGCGATCTCGGCTCAGGTGTGAGCCACCGTGCCTGGCCCAGTAGCATTTCTATACATCAATAATGTTCAAGCTGAGAGCCAAATCAAGGACACAATCCCATTTACAATAGTCTTAAAAGAGCTAGGAATACATCTAACCAAGGAGGTGAAAGATCTCTGCAAAAAGAACTACAAAACACTGCTAAAAGAAATCATAGATGACATAAACACATGGAAAAACACTTTATACTACAGATCAGAAGAATCAATATTGTTGAAATGGCCATACTTTCCAAAGCAATCTACATATTCAACACTATTCCTATCAAACTACTAACATCATTTTTCACAGAACTAGAAAAAAACTATTATAAAATTCATATGGAACCAAAAAAGAGCCTGAATAGCCAAAGCAATCCCGAGCAAAAAGAACAAAGCCAGAGGCATTACATTACCTTACTTCAAGCTACAGCAACCATAGAAGCATGGTATTGGTACAAAAACAGACACATAGAACAATGGAACAGAATAGAGAACCCAGAAAAAAAGCCACACACCTACAGCCACCCAATCTTCAGGTAAGTCAATAAAAATAAGCAATGGGGAAATGACTCCCTCTTCAATAAATGGTGCTGGGATAGCTGGAGCACCATATGCAGAAGAATATAACTGGACCTCTATCTTTTTACCATAAACAAAAATTAACTCAAGATGGATTACAAATTTAGAGTAAGATCTAAAATCCTAGAAAAAATTCTAGGAAACACCATTCTGGACATTGACCTTGGGAAAGAATTTACGACAAATCCTCAAAAGCAATGTCCACAAAAGCAAAAATTGACAAGTGGGATCTAATTAAACTAAAGAGCTCTTGCACAGCAAAAGAAACTATCAACAGAGTAAAGAGACAACATACAAAATGGAAGAAAATATTTTCAAACTATGCATCAAAGGTCTAATATCGAGAATCTATAAGAAACAAACAAGAAAAAACAAACAACCCTATTAAAAATTGACAAAATACATGAACAGTTATTTCTCAAAAGAAGACATACAAGCAGCCAACAAACATATGAAAAAATGCTCCATATCACTAATCATCAGAGAAATGCAAATCAAAACCACAGTGAGGTACCATCTCACACCAGTCAGAATGGCTATTATTAAAAAGTCAAAAAAACAACAGGTGCTGGTGAGGCTTTAGAGAAAAGGGAATGTTTATACATTGGTGGTGGGAATGTAAATTAGTCCCGCTGTAATGGAAAGCAGTTTGGAGATTTCTCAAAGAACTTAAAACAGAGCTACGATTTGACCCAGCAATCCCATTACTGGATATATATCCAAAAGAAAACAAATCATTCTACCAAAAAGACACAAACATGTTGAATGCAGCACTATTTGCAATAGCAAAGACATGGAATAAACCTAGGTGCCCATCACCAGTGGATTGGATAAAGAAAACGTGGTATATATATACATCATGGAATACTACACAGCCATAAAAAAAGAATGAAATTATATCCTCTGCAGCAACATAGATGCAGCTGGAGGCCATTATCCTAAAGCATTGATGCAGGAACAGAAAACCAAATACTGTGTGTTCTCACTTATAAGTGGGAGCTAAACATGGGGTACTCATGGACATAAAGATGGCAACAATAGGCCTGGGGACTACCAGAGGGAGGAGGAAGGAAGTGCGGAGGGTTGAAAAATTAACTCTTTGGTATGATGCTCAGTACCTGGGTGAGAGGATCACTTGCACCCTAAATCTCAGCATCATACGATATACCTAGGTAACAAACCTCCACATGTACCCCCTGAATCTAAAATAAAAGTTGAAAAATAATATTTTGCTCTGTGAAAGACCCTGGTAATAGAATGAAAAGACAAACCATAGACTGGGAAAAAAATCTTTGCAAAACAACTATTTGATAAAGGACTGTTATCCAAAATACGCAAAGAACTCTTAAAACTCAGCATTAAGAAAACAAACAGCCCAATTATAAAATAGGCAAAATACTTAGACACTCACCAAAGAAGATATACACATGGCTAGTAGGCATATTTAAAGATGTTCAACATCATATGTCATCAGGGAATAGCAAATTAATACAATGAGATATCACTATACACCTATCAGAATGGCTAAAATCCAAAACACTGATAACATCAAATGCTGAGAGGGTGTGGAACACCAGGAACTGTCATTCATTGCTGGGGGGGATGCAAAATGGTATAGCCACTTAAGAGGCACCCCAGAGAGTCCCCTGGGTTCCACACATAGTCCTCCTTGCCTCCAATTTCAGTTTGGTAATTGGAATCAATCACTTCAACAAGTAGGGTAACACCACCCCTCCCTCCTTTTACGCATGTTGCTTCAGTGGCATAAGATGCCCAAAATGGCCTGGTAGCAGTCTCATCTTCTAGTTCTGTGGAACCATTCATGTGATCCCTGCTGGAAGCATTCTCCCACTTCCCAACTACCACCACCTTGGCGACTAAGAGTTCCAAACCAGCAGAGCTCAAAGTTGCTGGGATAGGAAGCAAAAATTCCAGGAGAAGACTATTAGGTGCAATGGTGAGAAGATCCATTCTCACTTCTGCCTCACCCCTTGATTTGCAAAGCAGTGTGTGCTGGCTCTTGTGGAGACAGCACCATATAATGGTCTCCAATTCAAAACATAAATGCATTCTGTAAAATAGAACTCCATTCCTCCCGGGTATTTTCTCCCAAGTTACTGCCATCTCTGAAGCAACAATGCCTATTTATTTATTTATTTATTTAGACCTTGTATGCACTTTAACCAAGCACCAGGGACTTTTTCTAGGTTCTTAATATAGGGAAAAACTGACCTGAATTTAATCTGTAATTTAACATTTCTAAGATCTAGCAATAAATTGTCAACCTCTATCTCTTTTCTAGTCTTCTGGACCTCAGCATCAGCATTACTCATATGCTCCTATCAAAATCTTAGAAATCATTCTAGATTCCTTTTTTTCTCTCTCACCTCATATCTAATATGTAAGAAAATTTAGTAAATTTTACTCCCAAACTACATTCTGTCCATATCTACTGTTATCACAATATCCAGATCATTACACTTCTAACCTGTAATTACCTCCTAACTAGTCTTTCTGTTTCTTTCCTTGCTCCATGTGGGTTTTGGAACATTTTTTAAAATTCCATTTTTATTTATCTATAGTACTTTTGAGTGTACCTCTTTGCATAGCTTTTTTTAATGGTTGCTTTGGGTATTATGTAATTTATCACAATCTACTGATGTCATTATTTTACCAGTTCTGGTGAGTCATTTAAATCTTACTCCCTTTTATTCTCTCCTATTTATAACTTTTTTTTTTGAGAAGGGGTCTCACTCTGTCACCCAGGTTGGAGTGCAGTGGCATGATCTCGGCTCACTGCAATCTCTGCCTCTCAGGTTCAAGTGATCCTCCCACCTCAGCCTCCCAAGTAGCAGGGATCACAGGCACACACCACCATGCCCAACTAATTGTATGTATTTTTGGTAGAGATGGGTTTCATCTTGTTGCCCAGGCTGGTCTTGAACTCCTGCACTCAGGTGATCCACCTGCCTTGGCCTCCCAAAGTGCTGGGATTACAGGCATGAGCCACCATGCCCAGCTCTTAATTGTTTTTAATATTTCCTCTATATACATTTAGAACCACATCAGATGTGTTATAATTTTTGCATCAACCGTAATTTAGAAAACTCAAGAGGAGAAAGAAAATGTAGTATATTTCCCATGATTTTACTTTTTCCACTGTTCTTTATTCTTGTGTTTCAAGATTCCTTCTTTTATTATTTTCTTACTGTTTTGAGAGTTTTCTTTAGTCATCCTAAAAGGCAGCAAATTCTCATTTCCTTTCATTTGAGACTATCTTGATTTTCCTTTCATTGTTGAATGACGTTTTTGCTGGATATAGAATTCTGAGTTGACAGCACTTGAAATATGTACCACTT
The DNA here is from genome assembly GCF_000001405.40 of Homo sapiens. Taxonomy (NCBI): domain Eukaryota; kingdom Metazoa; phylum Chordata; class Mammalia; order Primates; family Hominidae; genus Homo; species Homo sapiens. The sequence goes on along the minus strand of NC_000013.11, from coordinate 27,691,387 downwards.
CCTTCTGGTATACCACAGTTTCTTTTTAATTTGTCTTTAGTTTTCAGAAGTTTGACTGTATTATGTGTCTGGTGTAATTTATTTGGGCATATCCGTTTTGTATTCATTCAGCTTCTTAAATACGTAGGCTTATGCCTTTTGCCAAACTTGAGGCTTTTTCAGCCTTTATTTCTTCAAGTATTTTTTCAAACCTGCCCTCTTTCTCCTCTCTTGAAATTCTGATGACATAAATGTTCAATTTTTTTGTTACAGCCTCACAGGTCCCTGAGGCTCTGTTTATTTTTCTCAAGGTTTTCTCTCTGTTGTTTGGATTAAGTAATTTTTATTATTCTATCTTCCAGTCACTGCTTCTTTCATATGGCTCCTCCACTCTGCTGTTAAATCATCTATTAATTTTTACTTTTCAGTTATTGTATTTTTCATTTCAAAAATTTCTACTTGGTTCTTATTTATAACTTCTATTTCTTTACTGAGACATATTTTTCATTTGTTTCAAGGGTATTTGTAATTGTTGAAGCATTTTTATGGTGGCTACCTAAAATCTTTGTAAAATAATCCTAACATCTATATTACCATGGTGTTGGCATCTATTGATTGTGTTTTTTCATTTAGTTTGAGATCTTGCTGGTCCTTGGTGCAATTTTTTATTGAAACCTGGAAATCTAGGATATTATGTTATAAAAGTCTGGAACTTATTTAAACCTTCTGTTTTAGCTGGCTTCATATGACACCATTCCAGGAGTAGAAAGAGGGTGGATCCGGCCAGCTGCAGTGGCTCATGCCTGTAATCCCAGCACTTTTGGAGGCTGAGGTGGGAGGATCATTTGAGGTCAGGAGTTAAAGACCAGACTGACCAACATGGTGAAACCCCATCTCTACTAAAAATGCAAAAAAAATTAGCCAGGCCAGGTGGCATATGCCTGTAGTCCCAGCTACTTGGGAGGCTGAGGCAGGAGAATGGCGGGAACCCGGGAGGCGGAGCTTGCAGTAAGCCGAGATCGTGCCACTGCACTCCAGCCTGAGCGACAGAGCGAGACTCCGTCTCAAAAAAAAAAAGGACACTGCCAGGTAGGGGCTGGGGATCAGCTCTCATTACCACCCACTGGGGATGTATGTCTTGGCTCCTGCCTTGGTCTTCTTTGACATTACCCTAGTGGGAGTATTGTGATGCTCCATTACAGCCCGGCAAGAGTGGAAGTCTAGGTTTTCCACTAAGCCTTTTCTGACATCAGTTGGGATGGATCCACTGCTTTTTCTATGGTATTTGGCTAGATAGAGCATTTATTGTCTGAAAGTTTTCTGTCTTCCTAGGCTGTCCCTTTCCTAGTTCTTTGGCTAGAGAGAGCAGGCTTTTAAGATCTGTACCCTTTGGTGTTTCCTGACTGCTGGCTTCCTCAGCTCCAAGTCTGGGATATATGAGGCAAAAGAAAAGCTAGGGAACTCATCATCATGATGTTTCTTGGGTTCCAAGGTCCTTACCCAGTTTGTCTTCTTGACTTTTCAGAACGTCGTTATGCTTGTTTTATGTATAATGTCCAGGGTATGTAATTGTACTTAGCAAGAGGGGTAGAGAAAAATACATCGATTTCATCTTCTCAGAAGTATATACAGTAGTTTGTCTTTTAGCTTGGTTTATGATGTCCTTTGTTATGCATGAGTTTTAAATTTTAATGTATTCAGATGTATAAGTACTCCACTTGATCTCTTTTTTAAAAAAACAAAAATCCTGTACTCTTACATCATATTTTCCTCCAAAGATTTTTAAGTTCGCTTTTCCCATTTAAGTTTTTAGTCTACCTGGAATATATTGTGGTATGTTGTGGGAGATGTAGGGATCAATTATTTTCCTATGTAGATAACCAGTTGTCCCAACACATGGATTGAAAATTTTATACTTTATCCCTTGATTTTTAATGCCACCTCTGTAATACATTACTTGTCTATAGGAATGAGTCTGTTTCTAGAATTTATTCTGTTTCATTAGACTACTGATATCTGCATAATTTCACACTATATTTAATACTAAAGGTTAATCATTAAAGTCTTCATATCTGGTCAAAATTGTCATATTTTTTCTGATTCAGAATTTTCATGTTAATTTTTGGAGTCTTGCTCTGCTGTGCAAATTTTTGGATGAGCTTGTCAACTGACATTAAAACCCCTAATGAATCTCAATTATGATGGTGGTTACATGATTGTATTCATTTGTCAAAGCTTGTTGAACTGTACTATACACTTTTTAAAAGTAAATTTTATTGTATGTAAACTATTCTTCAATAACTTGACCTAAAATAAGAGGCCAGATACCCTTGTAAAAGGAATGTATACTCTGTTGCTTCTTCCTAGTATTTCCCCAAAGGAATATGCAGCCATGTATTAGAATAATTGTGTTCTAGAGAAAGGAAAATATCCAGACTTTCTAGGAATTCTGGACATGGTTAATTTGCCGGAACCCAGGACTCCACTGTGGCCCACCCATCAAAATGGGTGTTTATACGGGTGTGATAACAAATGGAATTTTGTTGAGTCCTTCTCATAGCTGGTTCAATGTATCCATAAACCTGTCTTGTGGTTATTTATACTGTTCCTGAGTGAATGCTTCAATAAGCACACCTGACAACTGATGGAATTCCCACATTGGCTTTCTGACACATCGAATAACAGTTATTATGGTAGAAATAACCAAGTGGAAGGACCTGGGATTACCCTACAAAAAATAGAAGGCAATACTAAATCCCTGTGTGGAACCTCAAAGATGAACGTAACCAAGCAAGACTAAAAATGCAGGGTAATTATTCCTATCAATCTGCATTTGACTCACCTGTTTAGTATATGCTTCAAAGACTGACAGTCTTAGAGGGTAAGAGTGTATCATCATAAACTTAATCAGATGATGACTCCAACTGCAGCTACTGTCCCACATGTAGTTTCTTCACTGGAGTAAAACCTTTGGCCTCTTGTATTTACCTATCAATCTGAAATATGTCTTTGTCTCATTACTTCCCCTAAGCAAAGAGCCCAGAAACTGTTTTTGTTTACCTGACTAGACCCTCTGTCTCTTTATTATAGTCAAGCCCATAAAGACTGTACCCCTATCAGTCCATAGCACTTCAGGCTGGTCTGCTACATTGATATAATAAAATCTTGCTGGCAGGTGATGGAAATTCCTGGTAAGCAAGAAATTGCAGGTGCCTTGGATGTCTTGGCAAGGTATATGCAAGCCAAAGATTGAAAATCTGCCCTTAAAAATTTTTGAAGACTGCCACCCCTGTAAATTTTCTAGGGATCCTCGGGACTGGGGTGCCAGGATTTTTTTTCAAATACAACTTTTACTCTTTATTAGAAAAATTTTTATGTGAATAACAATACCCATCAGCCAATAGCTGGATGATTATTTACTTCACTTTAGTTTTCTTCTTTCTCTGATAACATTTTTAAAACAACTATATTGAGGCATAATTGGTATAAAACAAAGTAATATATTTAAAGCATAAAGCTTTATACATGTTGACCTATGCACACACCTGTGAAACCATCACCATAATCAAGATAATGAACATATTAATTACCCCTAGCATTTCCTCGTTCCCCTTTGTTCACGTCTGCCTGTTCCTCACTTCAACCCCACCGCAGGCAACCACTGATCTGCTTTCTGTCACTATAGATGTTTGCACTTTTTAGAATTTTAGATAAAGGGAAGCAAAACTGTGTACTCTCTTCATCTGACTTCTTTCATTCAGCATAATTATTTTGAAGTTTATCAACATTTATCCATGTGATTCATGTTATTGTATAAATCAATACTAAATTATTTTTATTGCTGAGCAGTATTCTGTTGCATAAATATACCATAACTTGATAATGTATTCACCTCTTGATGGACATTTGGGTTGTTTTCAGTTTTTGACTATTACAAATAGTGCTGTTAGGAATGTTTATGAATAAGTATTTGTATGGGCATATGACTTCCTTTCTCTTGGGTAAGACACCTAAGAAAGGAATCGCTGCATTATATAATAAATATATGTGTAACCATTTAAAAACCTGTCAAACTGTTTTATAAAGTAGTTGTACAATTTTACATTTCTATCATCAGTGTATGAGAGCTGTAGTTGCTTCACATTGTTGCTAACATTTGGGATGGCTGCTATTTTTAATTTTAGATATTCTAATTGATGTGTCAGGTCATTATGGTTTTTATATACAAATAAATCCTTTCTCTTCTGTTCTTCTGGTACTCTCATTACATTTATGTTGGCGTGCTTAATGATATCCCACATTTCTCTGAGACTCTGTTCATTTTTCTTCATTCTTTTTCTCTGTGTTCTTTGGATTGTATAATCTGAATCAATCTATCTTCAAGTCTGCTAATTCTTTCACAAGAAGTTGAGCCCCTCTGATAAACTTTTCATTTCAATCATTGTACCTTTCAACCCCAGAATTTCTATCTTTTTAAATAATTTGTATCTTTATTAATACTGTCTATCTGATGCAATATTGTCATCACACCTTCATTTACTTCTTTAATCATGGTTTCCTTTAGTTCTTTGAACATATTTATAATGGCTACTTTGAAGTCTTTGTTAAATCCAAAATCTGGTCACTTTCACAGGTAATTTCTGTTGCCTGCTTTTTTCCCTCAGTATATGAGCCATATTTTCCTGTTTCTTTGCATGTCTCATAGTTTTTTTTGTTGGAAACAAGACATTTTAGATAATATATAATAGAAAGTCTCGGTTCTGGTCCCCCTCTCCAGGGCTTATTATTTGCGTGCTATTTGCTTAGTGACTAGCTTTTATCTTAGTGAAATCTATTCACCACCACCACCACCATACCACCACCACCATCTCTATCTATTTCTCTCCTCTCATCCCTTCTCTCTCTCTCTCTCTGTCTCACACACATATGCGTGCACACACACACACACACACACACACACACAAACACAGTGTTAAACCCCTGGTGTTACTCCTAGGGTGGGCAGCCTTGGGTATTTCCACAGTCATTCTGGGATGACAGTGGTTTTGACAGAGCTCTCTTTAGCTGTCTCTACCCTAGACTGCACCCAGCTGCTAAACTCTACAAACTGGGGGCTAATTGCATTATTGTTTTCAACAATGCCCTGGGGCATAAATCGATCTACAGACTTAGCCAATCAAATTTCATCTCCTTCGAAGGAATAGTTCCTGTGGTCAGTGTTTGATATTTGTTTTGACCCTAGGAGGGCTACTTCTATCTATCTCTTTCTCCAGCTCTCTTATGCACAAATCTTCAACAAATCTACCAATATCTTTCCAAATGCCTTTCACCACAACCTTCATTGTTCTTGAGTGCATCCTTAGGTTTAAACTTCTTCATGCTCTATTGCAAATAAAATCAATTGCTTTGGGATGAGATTAGGTGCCATTTACTTTTAGATTTGCTTCTTCTTCCAGGCGAAATATCTGATCCAGGGCTCTGGAGCTGGGGTTTGTGATAATGGTGTGCTTCTCTTTGAGTGATATCCCTACTTAAGGAGCTGATCATGAGGTGGAGGGGGGACAGTGGTTTTGGGTCTTCTCATCTTGCCTCTCCTGGCATTGAACCATCACCTTATGAACTAGGGCAGGGAAAATGAGAGACACAGAATTCTCAGTGGTGCCATGCCCAAGGCCAAGCCTCTGTTCCACCAGTGGGGACTGGATGGGAGAAGGAAGCCCATCCCTTGGGCATACTTGCCTAGAACTCAGTCTCAGCAACAGGTAGCTGGGAACTGGATGAGAATGCTGATGTCCTGCCCCTCCAAGGAGGATGGCCCACTGACTGGTTGCTGGGGGCAGAGGGAGCCCTGTGTTCTTGGCTGCACCTGTCTGGGGTGGAATTTCTGTCTTGCTGAACTGGTGGTCAATGAGGAGAGAGAAGTGGTCTTGGTTTAAATATCAAAACTCTCATTGTTCTTATCAAATTTTAGTAGCCTTAAAAAGACAAATGTTTCTTCGTTGGCTATGCACTCTTAAAACCATTTCTAGGGATATTTAAATAGTTGTTTTTAAAACAATTTTCATGGCCAGATGCAGTGGCTCATACTGTAATCCCAGCACTATTTGGGAGGCTGAGGTGGAAGGACCGCTTGAGCTCAGGAGTTTGAGACCATCTCAGGTAACATTGTGAGACTGACTACAAAGAAAAAATAAAAAAATTAGTGGAACATGGTAGCATGTATCTGAGGTGGGAAGATTGCTTAGGCCCAAGAGGTCAAGGCTGTAGTGAGTCATGATTGCACCACTGCACTCCAGTCTGGACAATAGAGTGCAACATTGTCTCAAAAAATTAAATTAAAAAATGAAATAATAAAATAATTTCACCATTTTACTGGGGAACATGTCTGCAGAGCTCCCCATACTATTATGCATGAAGTCTATATCCCACTAAATTGCTTTTGCACTTTTGCCAAAAGTCAATTGAGCATATATGTGTGGTCTACTTCTGGAATCTTAATCTGTTCCAGTAATCTAATTGTCTTTCTTGATGCCAATATCACACTCTCCTAATTACATAAGTTATAATAAGCCTTGAAGGCAGGTAGAATAAGTCCTCTAACATTTTTTTTCAAAGTTTTTTGGCTGCTCTAGGTCCTTTGCATTTTCATCTGAATTTTTGAAGGCATTTGAAAAAAAAACACTATTGGAATTGCATTGGATTTATATATCTATTTTGGAAGAATGAGATATTAAAAATATTGAATCTCTCAATTCATGAACATGGTATAGCTTCCCATTTATTTAGATCTTTAAGATTTTAGAAGTCTTTTTATTTATTTATAATATACATATTTTTGAGACAGGGTCTCAGTCTGTCAACACAGGCTGGAGTGCAGTGGTGTAATCATGGCTCACTACAGCCTCAACCTCCTAGGCTCAGGAGATCCTCCTGCCTCAGCCACCCAAGTAGCTAGGAGTACAGGCATGTGCCACTATGCCTGGCTAATTTTTGTATTTTGTTGTAGAGATGGGGTTTTGTCATGTTGCCCAGGTTGGACTTGAACTCTTGGGCTCAAGTGATCTGCCTTCCTCAGCTTCCCAAAGTACTGGAATTAAAGGTGTGAGCCACCATGCCTGGCCAGATTTCAGAAATCTCGGCCATGTTTTGTAGTTTTGGTGTACAGGCCTTTCATATCTTTATCAGGTTCATCCCCATGTATTTCATATTTTTAATAATACTTATTTTTTTCTAAATTTTATTTCTGATTGTTCGTTAGAACAATGATGTTAGTATTAGAAATATAATTCATTTTTGTATTCTCTTCTTGTATTCTGCAGCCTTGCTAAACTTGCTCAGTAGTTCTGGTAGCTATTTAAAGTTTCTACAGGATATTCTAATAGAAAACTATGTCAATTGCAAATCAAGAAAGTTTTGATTCTTCTCTTCTGGTATGAACAACATTTATCCCTTTTTCTTGAGCTATTATACTTGGCTAGACACTCCAGGATAATGTTGGAGAGAAATAGTGACCCTTGCTTTATTCCTGATCTTATAGGGAAGAACATTCATTCAGACTTTCACCATTAGGTAAGAGTAAGGGAAGAGTATAATTTGTACATTTCTTTTCTTTTTGACATTCTTTTAAAAATAAAAAATGCATAAATTTTGTAACAGAGAACAGTACCTTAAAAAAATCCAAAGCACTACGTAAAAAACCTCAAAACAACAGTACCTCATCATCACCCTACTCAGTTATTTTCCCTCAAGTGTTCACAAGGGGCTCAAGCTGGTGGCAGCTACAGAAGGGGACTCTAATTCCATGGCTGGAAAACTCTCTCCAAAGAGGACTTTTTGTGCAAGGAAGGGCATGGCTGATGAGGCTGATGAGAGAGTGAAGATGAGGACATTGGAAATAATATTTCATTTTCAAAAGGTATTTTAACTATTCTACATTGGCAATTGTTTTTTTCTTTCTGTACTTTAAAGATGTTGTTTCCCTGTCTTCTGGCTTCTATTGTTTGTGATCATATCTGCTTTCAACCTTACTATTGTTTCTCTGAATGTACTGTATCTTTTTCCTTTGGTTACTTTTAATATTTACTGTCTCTTCATCATTGGTTTAAAGCAATTTGATTTTTATGTACCTTGGTGTGGTTTTCTTCATGTTTTCTATTCTTGGAGTTCATTGAGTTTTTTTGTGTCCATGTGTTTATAGTTTTCATTATATATGGAAATTTTTTGGTCATTATTTCTTCAAATATATTTTTTTACTCATCCTAATCTTTAGGGATTCCAATTGCAAACATATTTAGTCACTTGAATTTGTTCCAGGGCTCTGTTCCTTTTCATTTCAGTCATTTTTCTTTCCATAGTTCATTTTGAATAGTTTCTTTTGCTGTCTTAAAGTTCACTAATTTTTTTTGCAATGCCTAATCTGTCATTAATCCCATCCAAAATATTTTTCATCTCAGAACATTGAGTTTCCATCTCTATCTATTTGATCTGGGTCTTTTTTATATATTCCATGTCTCTACTTAAGATGTTTAATCTTGATCTATTTATATGGACATATATGAAATAACAATTATTGTCCTTAGCCACTAATTCTATCATCTTTAACATCTCTACGTCTTTTTTGTCTTTCTCCTCCTAATGGCTTGTGTTTTTCTGCTTCCTTTCATGCCTTCTAATTTTTGATTGAGTGCCAGGCACTGTGATTTTATCTGGTGATGCTGTATATCTTTGGATTAATGTGATCATTCTATAACTTTGTTCTGGAATGCAATTAGGTTACTTGGAAACAATTTGTTTATTTTAGGTCTTGCTTTTAATCTTTGCTTGGTGGATTCAGAAAGCTATTTAGTCTAGGGCTAAATTTTCCCTACTACTGAGGCAAAATTCATGTAAGTACTCTGATGTTTTGTGAATTGTTAGGTTTTCCACTGTGGCTAGCAAAACCAGAAACTGTTCCTAACCCTATGTGAGCTCTGAGGATTGTTTCATTTAATGCCTTCATGATTGTTGTTTTTATTCCTAGCCTCAGATAGTTTTTTTTTACACACATTCACTGATCAGTGTTTATCTGAATATCTTATAGTGACCCTTTAGTGATTGGCTTCTTTCTTTGTGATCTCTCCTCTTCAATATGTTCCCCTGTAAACTCTAGCTGCTGTGGCCCCCTCTAGACTCCCAGAAAGTTCTGTCTTCTCAACTCAGGAGAACCTTGTGGCTCTACCTGGATTCCTGTTTCCTGCACCATAGCCTAGGAACTTTCTCCACACAAGGACAATCATAGGGTCCACCTCATTTGTTTTCTTCTACTCAAGGATCATTATTCTTTGTTGCCTGCTGCCCATATCTTGAGATCTGTTTTTCACATGTTTCATCTTTTTGGGTTTTTTTCGTTATTTCATGTGGGAGGGTAAATCTGGTCCTCTCAGAGAGTAAATCTGGTGTACCACTTTGGCCAGAAGCAGAAGTTCACTTCAGTTCTTAGTACATTACTTTCACAGGTTCTTTTTTACACAAGTACAACCCAAGATCTTCACCCTACCTTTCTACATATAAACTAGCTAATATATAAATAAACATATAGTATAAATTTGAAAAGTGATTCAGGTGTATATTTTTGAAAACAGATGGAGTGGTAGTAAACCAGAAAAAATTTACACTTGCAAAGAAAGGTAATGACAATATTCTTTTAGAGTTTTCAGAATATCTGCCATAAAAGGTGTTTTCCCTCATCATTCTCCTCTCTCTATGGATATATAAATCCATTCATTATATGTATATATTCATTATCTGTAATTATACCTTTCCAAGGGCTGTAGTTGTTCATCCTCAGTGTAAGAGAAACCTCTGGGAGGTGGACAAGGTGAATAGAAGGAAAACAAGACTTAAAGCGACAACAAACTTAAATTGTAGGCAAGAGAAGGACTTAGGTATCATACAGTTTATATTAGCTGACTGGTTTTCCAGCTCATACAGGTAGTCCTGAGGTTATTTTTCCTGTATCTTCATGCAGTTTTTCAAGACTTCAAGGTAGTCTTTACTCAGTCATAGATGCCAATGGGTAATCCCTTTACCTTTCTCACACTGAGACTGCATTTGTTTTCCTGCAGGAAAAACCCTTGAACCACAGAGAGAATAGAAAGACTATAATTAAAATTTGAACATAGCTCATTGACTGGGTAACACAACAGTTTGCATCCTCTTCCACTTAAAGAAAATCAAAATGCTTGCTGGGCTTCTTTGAATCTTGGAGGCAATATATGTCTAGAGTGACTTATTTGCCTGGAACAGTTCAAGTCTATGCCTGTTGTCTTGACGTATTTTAAGTAATTCTTTTGTTTTAATGTGCTTGGACTGGGACAACAAATTCCATAGTGCCCTACTCTGCCATATTTGAGTGTGATTCTCTATCCATTTACCAAGAAATATGTAAAGCTAGCAGGTCTGAGTGGCATCAAGAGCAAGAGAATGCTTCCTAGCTGGGTCATGCACAATGTGACTATCATCCTCAGGCTTTATGATCTAGCAAATCTAGTGATACTCAATATGTCTGAAGTAGAAGATACTCTATTGAGCCCTGGGCAAACTCATGGAAGAATTGTAGTTCCAGTTACAGTGTTTGAAAGAAGCTATACACTCCTGAGCAAATAGCTAATCTCCTCTTGAGAAACAGTTCCTAGATGTCTATTGGGTCTGAGTGGGGACTAAACACTTGATTATAGGGCATTAACTGAACATATGACTCAAACTGCTCATTATGAACTGCCCATTATGATGTCATCCAAACATCATACATTTGGGCATATGAAGCAGCACTTTACCTTCAAACCAAGTGTTCATATGGGATCAGGCAAAAGCAGGTCCTGAAGGCAGGATCCTGAAGATCAGGCACCACCTGACAGGTAGGATTCAGAAGAAGTGGCTCAGACTTCCTGATGTCCTGCTCATCTCCTTCATCCCTCTGGTCTCATTTACAGCTTTCTTCTGCTGGTTGTAGGGATGGCTATAGCATTACAGCCCCACTCATGGGTGGCCCTGAAGGACACTGGGGAAAGGAATCTTCCCAGTGGGCAGAACATCTAGCAGGACATTGGTTGTCTAGCTTAAATGGAAGAAGAAGTCAGAGGTGCATATCTATACTGACTCATAGTCGCTGGACAATGATTTGGCCAGATGGTCAGAGACATGCTAGAAACAAGATCAGAGAATTAGAGACAAGGAAGTTTGCGCAAGAGATATATGGCCAAACCTCTTAGAATGCACAGCGTGAGATAAATTGATATCTTACATGAATGTTTGCCAGAGGGAGCCCATGGTAGAAGAGGATCTCACTAACGAAATGGACAACATGACTCACTGTGTAGACCTCAGTGAACTACATCTGAGGAGTTTGTGTACAATGTGGTCATGGTGGCAGGGCTGGAGATTAGGCATCCGTGGATATTGCCACTGTGCTGATCTGACTACCACTACCACTGCAGAGTATCCAACTTGCTAACTACCATTTAGCACCATGCTCTGAAGGGACCAGCCAATCTCCTAGTGGCTCATTGATTGCACTTGACTCCTTACATCATGGAGAGGGCAGTAATTTATCCTCTTTGAAGCAGACATTCTGAATATAGATTTGCCTTTCCTGTCCACCATGCATCTAGCATCTCCATCCATGGATATTTTTTGTGTCTTATTCACCATCATGTTATTCCTTACAATGTTGCATCTGCCAGAAATTTATTTGACAGCAAAAAGGTGACTCAATATGCTCAAAGGATTCACTGTTCTTAGAATAAACACCATCAGCTAGAAGTCACTCATCCTATAGAATGGTAGAATGGCCTTTTGATGACTCATTCATAATATCAACTTGGAGATTTACAAGTGAAGTTAGGGTTTTGTTCTATACAACAGCCAATATATGGTGCAGTTTCTCTTCTTATGGTGCATAAGCAGAAAAAATGGGTCCAAGAATCAAGGGGTGAAAGTAGGAGTGGTACCTACCACTGTGACGCATAAGGACTCACTTGTAAAATGTTGCTTCCTATTCTGGGTTTAGGTCCTGCTTCTTTAGAGGCCTGACAAAGAAGGCAGGCTTCTAGAGGGGACTCAACAATGGGTCCAGTGAGACAACCACACGGCCATTGTGGCTTTTGATGCTAGTGAATCAACTGGCATAAAGTGGAGGTGCTGTGTTTGCTGAGGTGATTGCTCCTAATTAACAAGTAGAAATAGGGTTATTGCTGCACTTTATGGGCAGAGAGGGGCTCTATCCCCAAATACCTGGAACTTGAGTTCTTTCCTAATACAGCTATGACTAGAGGTAAAAGTTCATGAAAGACCAGCTATTTGATAATGACATTTCAGTTTCACTCAGCAGGGGCCATTGCTTTTTCCATGCTTCCCAAGTCATTTTAGCACCAGGCAATAGCCATAGAATCCCCTTATCCTTGTATCTACTATTTCTTCCAGAATTCTCAAGCACCTGACTCATCACCTCTGCAGTGCATCCCTTTCCAGAAGTCCACTCTCCTGATTCACCACCAGTGGAAGTTTTAACAATGGAAACACCATCTGTGCAAGGTGTCCACATTGCTAGCTGGGCGGTGAATGATTCAGCTCCAAAATCCCATTTGATTGCCTGCTCTTTCCAGACACAACTGCAGCAAACTGGATTGTCTAGACACAGATGATGAGACAGAGTTTAGGGTGCAAGAAGCTAACTAGGGATCAACACCTGTGTAAGGAAGCAGGTGGAAGCACAATTGAAGTTGAGAAAGATGAAGAGGTTGAACTGCCCTGCAGGCCAGATAGAGCCTTGCCAAACCAGTGGGGAACTCGGAGGAAGTCCTGCCTGCCAGTTTCCCATGTGGAGCCGAAACAGTCGTGCTTTTATCTCTCCACCTTGCTCAGTCACCAGATGCAGGCCACGCCCAGAAGGGTATGTTTTTCTCTGCAGCTCAGACTGATGTTGAGGAGCTGGGAGCTGGAAGCCACCTGCTGACTGCACTCCCTGCAGCTGGTCAGCCCATCCTTCTCGAGGGGCATCTGAATGGCATCTTCATCAGGTCTACAATTTTATGTACATGCCACATTCTGGGCTTTCCCACTTTGAAGCAATTATCAGTTATGAATGTTAGGAACACTTTGTACAAGTTTTACCGTGACCAAATGCTTTCATTTCTCTTGGGTAAATATCTAGGAATGGAATTGCTGGGTCATGAGGTAGGTGTATGTTTAGTTTTATAAGAAACTACTAAGGCTGGGCCAGATGGCTCACGCCTATAATCCCAGCACTTTGGGAGGCCGAGGTGGGCGGATCACTTGAGGTAAGGAGTTCAAGACCAGCCTGGCCAACATTGTGAAATCCCGTCTCTACTAAAAATACAAAAATTAGCTGGGTGTGGTGGCACATGCCTGTAATCCCAGCTACTTGGGAGGCTGAGGCAGGAGAATCGCTTGAACCCAGGAGATGGAGGTTGCAGTGAGCCGAGATCGCACCATTGAACTCCAGCCTAGGTGACAGAGTGAGATTCTGTCTCAAAAAACAAACAAACAGACAAAAAAAAAAAAACTACTAAAGTGATTATGCCATTTTACTCTCCCACCAGCAATATATGTTAATTCTGGTTGCTCTAGCTCCTCAATGAGATTTGGAGTTGTCAGTCTCCTTAATTTTAGCTCTTCTGTTGGGTGTGTACTATCCCATTTTGGTTTTAATTTGCAACTTCTTGATTACTGACGATGTTGAGCACTTTGTCAAATACAGTCATGTGTCACTTAACGATGTGGATATATCCTGAGAACTGCATTGTTAGATGATTTTTTTTTTTTTTTGAGATGGAGTTTCGCTCTTGTTGCCCAGGCTGGAGTGCAATGGTGCAATCCAGCTCCAGGGTTCAAGCAATTCTCCTGCCTTAGCCTCCCAAGTAGCTCAGATTACAGGCATGCACCACCACACCCGGCTAATTTTGTATTTTTAGTAGAGATGGAGTTTCACCATGTTGGTCAGGCTGGTCTTGAACTCCTGACTTCAGGTGATCCGCCCACCTCGGCCTCCCAAAGTGCTGGGATTACAGGCGTGAGCCACCGCCCCCGGCCCAGATGATTTCACCACTGTGTGTACATCATAGAGTGTACACTTACATACAGCTAGATGGTGTAGCTTACTACACACCTAGGCTATATGGTGTAGCCTATTGTTCCTAGGCTACAAACATGCACAGCATGTTACTCTACTGAATACTGTAGGCAATTGTAATACAATGGCAAGCATTCGTGTATCTAAATATAGGAAAAAACGGGAAAAGTACAACATAAAAGATAAAAAACTGTATACCTGTATAGCACACTTACCATGAATAGAGCTTGTAGGACTGGAAGTTCCTCTGGGTGAGTCAGTGAGTGAGTGGTGAGTGAATGTGAGGGCTTAGCACATGACTGTAGACTACTGGAGACTTTCGAAACACTTTATACTTAGGCCACAGTAAATTTATTAAATAAGATTTTTTTTTCTTCAATAATAACCTTAGCTTACTGTAACTTTTTTGTGTTATAAACTTTTAATTTTTAAAAACTTTTTGGCTTTGTAATAACACAGCTTAAAACATGAACACATTGTACAGTCATACAAAAATATTTTCTTTATATCCTTATTCTATATTCTATAAGCTTTTAACTATATATATATATATATTTACATTTTAAACATTTTTGTTAAAAACTAAGACACAAACACAACACGTAAGCCTAGGCCTATATGGGAGCAGGATCATCCACGTCACTGTCTTTCACCTCCACATCTTGTCCTACTAAAAAGTCTGCAGGGGTAATAACACACACGGAGCCGTCATCTCCTATGATACCAACACCTTGTTCTGGGGTACTCCCTTCAGGGACCTGCTTGGCTGTTCCACAATTAACTTTTTTTTTTTAATAAGTAGAGAGTACACTCTAAAATAACAATAAAAATATAGTAAATACATGCACCACTAACATAGTTATTGATTATCATTATTGAGTATTATTCACCGTACATAATTGCATGTGCTGTACTCTGATATGACCGGCAGTGCAATAGGTTTGCTAGCCCCAGCACCACCACAAACATGTGAGTGATGTCACCACTTTGAGCCCTTGTGAACATGTGTGAGGGAAAAGAACTGAACAGGGTGGGGATAAGTCACTGGGTTTGCTCCCTACACTTTTCTTTTTCTTTCTTTTTTTCTTTACAGATTTTTTTTTGTTACAAATTTATATACATCTATATTTTAAGAGTATGCATAAAAAGAAAAGAAATGTATTAATAATACTCTCAGCTGGGCGCGGTGGCTTATGCCTGTAATCCCAGCACTTTGAGAGGCCAAGGCGGGTGGATCACTTGAGGTCAGGAGTTCGAGACCAGCCTGGCCAACATGGTGAAATCCCGTATCTACTAAAATAAAAAAAATTAGCTAGGTGTGATGGTGCGCGCCTATAATCCCAGCTACTTGAGAGGATGAGGCAGGAGGAGAATCGCTTGAACCCAGAAGGCAGAGGTTGCAGTGAGCTGAGATCACACCATTACACTCCAGCCTGGGCAACAGAGCAAGACTCTATCTCAAAATAATAATAATAATAATGATAATAATAATACTATTCCCTCTCACTCCAGAGCGAGCCACTGCTATTAGTTTGATACATATAGTTCTATGTATTATATGTACATAGTTGTATGTACATAAGACATCAGTTTGATCCATATAGTTTTGAACCATGGGCACATTATTTTAAAAATAAAGTTATTTTATTTTAAATAAATGAATTAAGTAGATGTATATGCTGCTATCATTTGGATATTTGACCCTCCAAACCTCACATTGAAATGTGATCCCCAGCGTTGGAGGTGGGGCCTAGTAGAAGGTATTCCATGTACATACAACTAGGCCATGCCCTCCCACACATGTGAATGCACACACAAACACTTAAGAAATCACACACAAATGGGGTCATATTTTGCTTAAAGTTCTGCAGCTTGCTTTTTTCACATAACAATACATCATTTTCATCACAATGTATATATCTTAGTCCATTGTGTGTTGCTATAAAGGAATGCCTGAGTAATTTATTTAAAAAAGAGATTTATTTAGCTCATAGTTCTGCAGGCTGTACAAGAAGCATGGTGCCGGCATTTGCTTCTGGTGAAGGCTTCAAGCTGCTTCCACTCATGGCAGAAGGTGAAGAGGAGCCACATGTGCAGAGATCACATGGTAGGAGAGGGAGCAAGGAGTGGGAGGTGCCAGGCTCTTGGTAACAACCAGCTCTCATGGGAACTAACAAAATGAGAACTCACTCACCACCCCCACCTCCTAGGGATGGCATAAATCTATTCATGAAGAATCCACCCCCAAGACCCAAACACCCAACCAGTAGGCCCCACATCCAACATTAGGGATCAAACTTCAGCATGAGGTTTGGAGGGTCAAATATCCAAATGATAGCAGTATAATATACTTAATTCATTTATTTAAAATAAAATAACTATTTTCAAAATAATGCTCATGGTTCAAAACTATATGGATCAAATGGAAACAGCAAAACTGGAGGTATGCCTTCCACTCTCCATTTCCCACTCTGTTTACAGTCTCTTAAGTATTGGTCCAGAGGTATTCTATGCAAAGAATGGTATGTGTATGTCTGTATACAGATATATTACCATATCTATACAAAGATGTTCCATTTTATTTTCTTATACAAATGGTAATGTTATACATACCATTCTGTATATTGCTATTTTTCTTAAAATATCTAGGAGCTTTTTTTTTTTTAATCCTTGCATAGTGATTATAGTAGCGAAGGTCCTTTGGCTACAAGCAATAGAAATCTACATAATAAATTTAAGCACAAAGGGACGTTATTGGAAGGATGCTGGTGAACAGCTTCCCAACCAAGCTTTGGAAAGGACAAGAACAGGATTCTCTGGGGAGCTTAGCAGCAGGAACACAAGGACCATCTCTTTTAGACACTCACATCCAATGACTTCAGCTCCAACTGCCTTCTCTCTCTGTATGTTTCTGTTCAGGTTCCAAACTCCTGAGAGAATAGGCCTAATCTGAGCCTCCTTTGGTCATATCCCCATCCTTGGATAAACCCTTTTTGGCTTCAGGTGTGAAGTAGTCTGTCTGATTGGCCCAGCCTGGTTCACGTACCCACCTCTATGGCTGGGGCAGGCTCCATTACAAAATGAAGGCTAGGAGGAGGTACTGGGTGGATAAGGTCATTTCAGTCCACCCCTACACTGTCCATAAACAGAGAGACACACAGAGTTCCAAAAATATCCCAGTCTAATCCAAGTAACTGTCCTACATACAAACTCACTTCATCATTGGCAGAGCCAGCATCACACCCAACTACTGCTTCTAGAAGTGATGTCATGGGACTACTGAGCTCCAGCACCTCAGCTGATTTACTTTACTTTTAGTTTGTCTCAAGTCTCCACTCACTTCTGTGGACTCAAGTATAAACCAAACCACAGGCAACACATTGAATATACAATAGTAAGGGAAAGGAGAAAGAAAGATCAAGAAAAATAATTTAAATCATGAAAAGTTATAGTCTTCGTTTCTTTAGCTGGTTATAACAGCGTAGCTGGTGTTTCTGAGTCCTCTCCCATTCCATGAAACAGTTGCCTTCCGCCAGCACCTTAGCTCACTGGGACTCTTTGTCTAGTGGGGTAACCTAAACTTTCATTCATGAAGTAAAGTCCGTAAAGTCCATGTCAGGGCTGCCACTTGGAACTCCAAGTGATGGAACCTGCACAAGGGCGCCCAGATGTGAGTGCGAATGGAGGCAAAATCCAGCTTGCCAATGCATATAGCCTCCAGAATTTAGCCACCCAAAGCAGGCACCTTGCTCCCATTCACATAAAGGTGTTATATGGGCAAAGCATGCCCCTGGTCTACATGGCATGGCTACTTGATGCTTGGTCTTCCACTAACCTTTACCCCTAAGCATGATCCCACATGGAGGTGTACCAGGATTTCTCTTAAGCTTTCTCCAGCTTCCAAGATAGAGTGCCAACCCGATTTTCTTTTAATATTCAGGGTCAAATTCCCCATTCAAGAGTGTGATCCTAAAGAGGAGGCGGAAATTGCCACGTGGCAGATGTGGCAGTCTTTTTTTTCCCCACACGTTACTGGTTGAACAGGTGGTGTTTGGTTACATGAGTAAGTTCTATAGTAGTGATTTGTGAGTTTTTGGTGCATCCATCACCCGAGCAGTACACATTGCACCCTGTTTGTAGTCTTTTATCCCTCACCCCTTTCCCACCCTTTCCCCCTGAGTTCCCAAAGTCCACTGTGTCATTCTTAAGCCTTTGCAGCCTCATAACTTAGCTCCCACTTATGAGTGAGAACATACGATGTTTGGTTTTCCATTCCTGAGTTACTTCACTTAAAATGATAGTCTCCAATCTCATCCAGGTCACTGCAAATGCCATTAATTCATTCCTGTTTATGGCTGAGAAGTATGCCATCATATGTGTGTGTGTGTGTGTGTGTGTGTGTGTGTGTGTGTGTATCACAGTTTCTTAATCCACTTGTTGATTGATGGGCATTTGGGTTGATTGCCACGTGGCAGTCTTAACTTCCAATTCAGTGTCATTGCTTTTATGATCCCTGGTAGTACCCTTTCTCCACTGGATCCTAAAACAGATCTGCAGGGCTCAGAGATTTAGGGAGACTGAGCACATGCTTTTGAGAGTAAATCATTAATTTTAATTTTGAGTTTTGCCACATCCTCCTCTTGGTTTCCAGACTAGTCGTGTCCTGGCTTTGGGAGAAAAAACAATTTGTTGGTCACTAATTCAGAGTACATACTGCATCCTGTTAAACAGCATCCCAATCTCATAATGCATTGGGAACATGGGGAAATGAACATAGTTAACATGTAAGAAAAGACATTTGTGATTTATTTTCATTTTTACATTGATATAATTATTACTATGTTTGTTCATATAGTTCTAAAGCAGAATAATTAAAACAAGAACAAAAGCCCAGTGATTAAATCAGAAGAAAGTTTTAGCAAACATCTAGATAAGGATGCTATATTGTCTGCTTAGGCTGCCATTGCAAAGTACCACAGCCTGAGTGGCTTCAACAACAGAGATTTATTTTCTCACAGTTCTGGAGGCTGGAAGTCCAAGATCAAGGTGTCTGCAGGGTTGGTTTCTCCTGAGGCCTCTCTCCTAGACTTGCAGATGGAAGCCTTCTCCCCACATCCTCACATGGCCTTTCCTCTGCATGCAGGAGCCCCTGGTGTCTCTTTGTGTATCCACATCTTTTTCTTTTTTTCTTTTTTTTTTTTTTTTTTTTGAGGTAGAGTTTCACTCTTGATGCCCAGGCTGGAGTGCAATGGCACGATCTCAGCTCACTGCAACCTCTGCCTCCTGGGTTCAAGCAATTCTCCTGCCTCAGCCTCCTGAGTAGCTAGGATTACAGGCGTGTGCCACCACGCATGGCTAATTTTGTATTTTTAGTAGAAACGCGGTTTCTCCAGGTTGGTCAGGCTGGTCTTGAACTCCTGACCTTGGCCTCCCAAAGTGCTGGGATTACAGGTGTGAGCCACCTCGCCTGGCTTTCTTTTTTTTTTTTTTTTTTAAATAAGGACACCAGTCAGATTGGATCGAGGCTACCCTGACAGTCTTTTATCTTAGCTACTTCTTTACAGTCCCAATCTTCAAATACAGTCCCATTCTGAAATACTGGAGGTGAGGACTTCGGCATATAAATTTGAGAAAGACACAATTCAACCCATAACAGATAAATACTGAAGCCAAACACAAAACCAACTGTGAAACTCTTAGAAGAAGTACTTTGTCAACAAAAGAGAACATTTTAAATATTTCTGGAAATACTGAGCCATTGTGCCCTCTTACAAATTTTTTGAGTATCTGCATTACCACACCTTTGTCAGAAGAATTACTTAAAATGACAACAGCAAAAACAAAAACAAAAACCTCAAAGTCTTTGCTAAATTGAAAGGTAAAAAAAATTGTTTTAATTTGCATCTTTTTTTGTTTACTGCTGATTTGAACATTTTTTCATATGCTTATTGGACAGTTGTATTTTCTCTTCCATGAGCATTTCATCTTTACCAATTTTTTTTACTGTGCTCTTAGTTTATTTCTAGTAGTTTTACATGAGCTGGTTTTATATCATACATTGCCTGCTGTGTCTGCTGTTAATACTTTAGAGATTCACATACATATTTTTAAGATTCATCAGATGCATGTTTTTAGAATTCATCAAAATGAAAATTTGGACTCTTTAACAAAATGAAAATGAAGGAATCTGCACTGTTTTTGTGCTGATGAACAACTACCAACTGCTTCACCAGTATGGAAGATCAGAATAACTGCAGGCAGGGCCAAAAAAATTTCAGGAAGCAAGTATTGTACTGAACAGATACTCTGTAGCTTTAAGTATGGAAGACACAAGCATGGCCTAGATTTTGGAAACGGGGTTAAATTGTCCAGGTCTGGGCCCAGCATGTGCTTGTCATAATCTCCTGATTCTCTAAGTGTTCACTGAGTGAGAGAATGAATGAGTACACCAATGGTCTGTTCTTCATGCAGGATGTGGGATTAAAAATAAGTCTTGTGGAGTTTTCTTTGTAAATTGGTACTGAGCTTTGAAAGGAGTATTTAGCAGACTGATGAGTGTAATTTGGAGTAGATAGGGGCTTATAATTGGACAGTATATACTAGTTCAACTTGAGGGAGCTACCACTGAGGAATTAATAAGAAAAAACAATCCAGGAAGGACAAGGGACCACCACTTAGGGCAGGCTATACATTTATGTGGAGGAGAAATGTCTCCCTCAGGTGTTTCATATGATGTGTTATATCTGGTATTTGTTTCACATAGAGAGTATTTATAAGTTATCGAAACCAAAGGTGAATATTACAGGACTATATGGATGGGAGAAATAGTTCATCTTTCATCTTACTATTAATGATGCTCCAAAATCCATGTTTATTATTGGCCTTTTCATGGTAATGTTCATTGAGATTTATAACATGGGTTACCAAATAAAAATGTATAAGTTGCCTTTGAATTCTGCCTTCAGTGTTGCCTTGCCAGTTTAATGGGGATTAATTTACTTTCCTCTTTATGTGTTCCTGTGTGTAAAAGGGCATGCTTCCTGGGCATCTTTTCCATGTTGAGAACAAGAGTTTCCACTTGGCAAACTAACCTTCTCAGTATCTAGACTCAGAAGAGCCATGGGTGAGGCTCAATTTATGATCTGCTGACATGGCTTTCCAAGAGATAGTTTCTCAAATTCCTTGGATTATAGAATGTTTTCTATGGTATCAAAGAGGCCGCGTCCCAAGGATTTCTTTACTCCCAAATCTCACTATTCTTATGGATGGAGAAAAAAAAATTCAAACATGGAAGATCTAGAATACTGGCTTCACCTGAGGTTTTAGTTTTCCATAGCTATATTCCATTAGCTGCCATTTAACCATTTCACAAGAGTTGTGAGAGTTTTTCTCTTGGATTCAGATCGCTGTCTACACTGGCCCTTGGGAAACAGTTCCCCATACAAATGTTCTTTGCTGGGGCTTCCATGTTCTGATCTATGGGAGTAGATTTTGGCTTGCAAAATGCAGTGATTATAAAAGTTCTTTAGGTTCTTAAATTGGGAAGACATGGAGCATATACACCTTGAGACGACCCTCCCGTCCTGTGTTTTGAGGGAGCCGAGTTTGGATTAAGTTTGGCATAGGGTACAGGAAAGAGTATGGGTTTTTGATTCAGAGAGTCTTGGCTTCAGCTAGCATTTCTGCCACTTCCTAGTTCTGTGATTTTGGGCAAAGTTTTTAATCTATCCTCAGTTTCCCTTATTTGTAAAATGAAGGTGAGTAGCATCTTCTTCATAGGGTTGTGGGATAACTACCTGAACACAGGTAAAAGATATAACAGTGTTTGGCCACAGGTGATAGACAATCACTGTTACTGTCCACACAGTTCCAATACAGCCTACAAACACCTCATAGGGAGAATATTTATGGGTTTCCTAGATTCAGCTCCTCTGGGGAGGGGAGTCCTCTATACTGGATCCCAGGACACAGAACACTCCTTAGGAAAGTGATGAGGCTTCATTTCATCAGGAACCCACCTCATATAATGTCTATTAAATAGGCACTGCTTATCCACCAGATACTCTTTATGATTCTAAGGTGATGGCATGACCTCTACGAATGACGAATATGTAACTAATTGTAAAAATATGGGCTGGGTGTTGTGGCTCACGCCTGTAATCCCAGCACTTTGGGAGGCCGAGGTGGGCAGATCACCTGAGGTCAGGAGTTCAAGACCAGCCTGGCCAATATGGTGAAACCCCGTCTCTACTAAAAATACAAAATTAGCCAGGTGGCACATGCCTTGTAGTCCCAGCTACCCGGGAGGCTGAGGTAGGAGAGTTGCTTGATCCTGGGAGGCAGAGGTTGCAGTGAGCTGAGATCGTGCCTTTGCACTCCAGCCTGGGCAACAGAGCGAGACTCCATCTCAAAAAATAAATAAATATGTAAGTGCCATGCTAAGTCACTTGAATAATCAGTGAAAGAATAAATGCTACCCCAAAGCATTTTTTATGCTTTGAAGCAGATGTGCCAATGTGCCCCCTGCCCCCCTGCCAACCTCTCAGCAAAAAAGAAGTCCACAGGGAAATTCAAAACTCCACAGCCATCTTCCAGAATCAGCTCTGAGGAAATGTCCTTTAGTGCTTAGCCTGCTGAGCCCTAAAGTAAAACCCACTGAGATTTATAACATGTGTTTCCAAATAAAAATTTATAAACTGCCTACTCAGAGGGACCTACCCTAAGTCCCTCCCCCTTCATAAATGGGCGATTCAGAAAGACTAGCCACCAATAGGTGACCAGATATGGCTAGGAACCATAGCTTTTTGCTTATATTTCTTACAGGCTGTTTTCTAACATGAGATAAAACAAAAAATTATGTCAAGTTGCATTTGTGTTTAAGTCTTAATGGTTTCTAGTGGAAGCATGGAACGCAGTTCCTAAAATTTAGGGCTATTTGCACTTCTTTCTTTACCTATTGAAAGTTAAAGACTCACTCCAAACATCTTAGTTTGCAGATGAAAAAATGCAGTCCAGAAAAGTGACCCAGATAAGGCCTGAAGCTAGCCAGAAGCAGAGGCAGGACTAAGATTCAGTTTCTCTAACCTCTATCCCAGGCTTTGTGATCTCTAAATATAGTTACAATGGAGATCAGATAGTAACACAGGCGGATGGGAGCTCTTGGCAGCGCCAGTATGTTAACCACAGAAACAGGAGGTGGCTGGTGAATGTATCTCATGACCAATCCCTCCCCTAACATCTACTGTATACATAGGGAATAAAAAATAGATAATTTTCTCTTGACATTTTTAGACTGGAAATTATGGCTGCTCTTGATAGAAGCCTAAAGATTCCAATAAACTTTTCTGAAATAGAACAGTGCTTTTAAAAGGGAAAATGGTTTTGTAGGCCACTGTCGTTTAACACAACTTAAGAAAGGTAAGTATAGTTAGGCTAAAAAGCTTCCCTTAATTTTGAGTACAAAAATGTGTTCATTTCAGTCATTCCCTTTTAAAGGATAATGAACTTGTCTGTGTGTTATAAATACAGAATGCAAGGCTGGGTGCAGTGGCCCACGCCTGTAATCCCAGCACTTTGGCAGGCCGAGGCGGGCAGATCACCGGAGCTCAGGAGTTCGAAACCAGCCTGGGCAACGTGGCGAAACCCTCTCTCTACTAAAAATACAAAAATGAGCTGCACATGTTGGCGCACACCTGCAATCCCAGCTACTCAGGAGGCTGAGGCAGGAGAATCGCTTGAACCCAGGAGGCGGAGGTTGCAGTGGGCCGAGATACGTGCCATCACACTACAGCCTGGGGGAAAAGAGCGAGACTCCTTCTCAAACAAAATAAATGAATAAATAATGAATAAATACAGAATGCATACACAAATGACACAATTCAGCTTTATTTTTACTTAATTATAACAATTTTTAAAAACTCCATGACTTTGTGCTATTTCTAATATTTAAATAAAAAACATTTCAAATTTTGCACAAATAATTTAGGCCAATACATAACTAGATTTGAATAAAGTCAGATGAAGCAATAATTCCTCCTCTGTGTTTGAAAGGAATGAGTGTGGTTACAAAGTCACAGGATGAGTCCCTGGGATCTGGGGTGGGAGAAGGGGTGGATCAAGAATGACTTGGGCTTGTCACTCCCTAGCAGGCTGAGGGCGTGACACAGCAGCTCGGTGGCGGAGAGGTCTATTCTAGTTTCTAACACTCCAATGCTAACTTTTTGGATGTATTTCCTTCTAGCATGTAGAAAGGGCTTTTCTTGGCTGCCAGGAAGTAGGGAGCAGGGATGTGGCATGGTGATGATCTGAGGACAGCCAGGCATATGCTCAGACACTTTGGAAAACTGGGGAGGGGGAACAGGGAGACAGAATCTTCATCTTCTTCCTTTTGTGAACTGGGGAGGAGGGTGCTTGGTGACATTTTCCTGAGTATAAAGAAGGAATACAGGTTTGAAAGGTTTGTAATTGTATATGAAAACAGGTATTGAAAACCAATACTGGGGGAAAAAAGGCATTGTAAACACTTCTATTTAAAATGAAGATTTCTGGAACAACTATACTATATAGTGGTATCACAAGTCTTTAGCTGGTAAGATCTAGCACTGAAACAACTCTTAATTTTTAACTTGTGAGGGTTCTTTTTAAAGCACCACTTAAGACCTATATATTAAAAAAATTAAATATAGAAAGATTGTTCTATCTAATAAATGAGTTTGAGAATGCACAGGAAACAACAAAACCCATTTTTAACCTCTGGTAACTGAAGTGGAGCATTAAATTCAAAGCCACTTTGAGGATTTCCTACATTGTTCACCTAAGGGAAAACAAATGCAGAGCTATCAAAGAGCTTCTCGATAAATTCCCAGACCTTGGAGGGCTACAGCTTTTCATAAATATGGTCACTGGACTGATGATTTCTAAATTTTAAATGTAATACCCCCAAAAAGTAAAATATAGGATTTATAAGTATTTTATTTTTCTGAGAAATGACCAAAAAATTGGAACCAGTTTTAACAATCTCTGAAAACTTTAAATTCTAGACATGTTTATTTTGAAACACACTTCCAAACAAGATAAACAACAATATGTAAGTCTACTACACTGCAGAAGTAGCTTAAACTTGCCAAGACATCCTCCTTTGCACTTGTTTCCTCAAGAGTTGCTAGGTCATTTTTTTTGCCTGTGGCCAGCAGCCTCTTTAAAAACAACAAAGGACCTAATGTCAAAGTCACTCTCAGGTGTTTGCCCTGCCAGCTCAGGCCTTCTCCGCACACCGCACCCCGAAGGAGCACGGAGGCCCGCAGGGCTGGCTGGCCCTGGTTCCAGCCTCACCGCCGGTTGGACCGCTTTTCGTACTTGTCCTGGCTGCTCCGCTTTCGTGGCGGGGAGTAACTGGCGGAACCTCGAGCGCGGAAGCTGTGCTTGTAAGGATGGCTTCTGTGTTTCTTCGGGTTTTCTTCTTTCTGGGCCTGGCTCTTCGCTGGTTCCTTATCGCCCTCTTTTTGTTCATGGTCTTGCTCTTTATGAGAGGGCAATGTGTTTTTAATTGTGTTAATTAGAAATCTTTTATTGGTGCTAGCAAGAGGACACTTCATCCTGGGGTGGGGAGGAGAAAAGAAAAACCATCACAAATCAAATGGTTAACTCCAAAGCTGGACCCACTATCGTGATTAGTACCAAAGAATCCTGCTCCCACAGAATCGAGTTTCTGAATTTGTTAGCTTTCCTTGCATGCCACCTAGTGTAAACTCTGAGTACCAGGGAGGAAAAAAAAAGACGATTGGAATTCTTGAGACAAGACTGGCTGGAACACTTTAAACCTTTCTTCCTTCCTGGGACTAAATTTCCTACTGAAGTTCATATGTACAGGTATTGACCACACTGTGAACTAACAGAATCATTTAATATTTTCTTTCAAACTAGTAAGTGCCCTATTTTACTGTAACTTATTTTGGATTAAATTTATTGCATCTTGCGTTTTATTACCAGACAGTGAAAACTGTTCCTTTCCAAGGAAACTAAAAAGTATATTCTGCTGTATATTAAATACAGGAGCTAAAGGATCTACTATAGAATAAAAAAATTGTGTAAAGAATCCATAAATATGCAATAATCTTTTACTTAAAAAAATTCTTACACTTCTATTTCAGGATGCCAGGCTATGCTCTGTGGAGGAGCACTTTACTCAATCTCCTGCCCTGGTGAATTTCTGTGCAGGATATATTTCAGTACCTTCATGATTCAAGTTTACCTAGGAGAGGCTGCAACCAATCAAATTGCTAATTAATGTGCTTAGATCTACTTATATACTATGTATTATCTTTTTCAGGTGTTAATAAATCTTTCATTTTCAAAAAGATGACCCTATACAAATGAGAACGTTCATATTTCTCTTAGCCTTGAGGTGTCTGCCATATGATGGGCTACTTTAGGAGTATGCTGATTCTCAAAATCATGTTATTCAGGGTGGCTGGTATTAAACAAAAACGAATGTAGAATAGCCACATTTCTATAAAACTTTGATTTACAGAGAACCCCAAACAATACTTCAAAATCAAGCCAACAACACTCCACATAGGAATTGTGTGGACTAGTACTGTACAGGTGAAGTATAAGCAGTCAGGCATTAGCATAGCCTCACTCACAGAGGTCAGACCATCTCAGAAAACCAAAATGGCACTGAATCTGGAAGTAAAAGGAAGAAAAACAAGAAAATACCTCCTGCTGCAAATAGGTAGCTCTTGAGCCTACAAGGACAGAGAAAATATCTGAGAAAAATGGTCAGGCCAGAAAAGTGACAAAGGAATGAACTAGAACAAGGAGAAACTTAGAAAAGGACAGTGGAAAATTAGAAAATTTAAGAAAAGGACAGTGGAGTGCAACAGAAATAGTGGGAACATTCAGAGGTGGTGACAGCTCTGGAGTTTAGAAGCCACAGTGAATGAGACGAAGGGCAAAGAAGAAAGGCAAAAACAAAGAAAAAACAGTTCTGCAAGTACGAACTATAGAGCTTCACAGAGCTTCCAGAAAAGGTACACCAGCATTACGCTGCCTTAGTAGTCTCAAGGTAAAGACATTTCTACCTCCTGGGGGCACGCTGGCATTAGGACATTCCTGTGCGGGAAGACAGGCACGTGATGAGAGGCAAGCCGAGTTCTCCTGCAGGGTCTGACAGGGTACTACTGAATGCAGGCGTTGCTTTGGTGAAGACACTTGACCCACTGCAGTTGCAAACTCAGCAATGATTCAGAACAGTATTAAACACTGGCATGTTCCAAAACAGCATAACACAGACAGCCTACAGGAAAAACTACCCTCCATCACAGAGAGTAAAAAGCTTAGAGGGCCTGTCTTTGGCAATGGTGGCCTGGTGCTTACTACAAGAGCAAAATCTTTTTTATAGACAAATGAACTACATATGTCTCTTGGATATATAGGGCTAGGAGTAGCTGGTGAAACATGTCCAGCAACAGAAGAATTCTGGGGTCTTTTCACTGAAGTGGGCCATCTCAGTGGTGGTAAACTGGCCAGTTCTTCTCTGCATTAAACAACAAGGAAGGGTACTTTTCCCAGACGTGATGGTAATCCAGGATCTCAGAACAAAACCTTTGGTAACTACTGGTGAATTCCACTCTATTTTGCTGTTTTCAATGTCAGATCATCTTTAAAACCAAATGCTTCCTCGAGGTGAGCAAAGCCCTGCTACTAACTGCAGCATTCACGCCAAGAGGCAGAGGGGACTGCACCTATCTTCCAACTGCTAGTGTAACCCACTGACTCAACATAGTGACCCAAAGAGTTAGCCAGAGAATGAGATGGTTTTATAGAATAATTCCACAAGAAAACTGGCATTTACATCTCTTTTAACATCAGAGATGCAGTTTTTTAATGTTGGTTATGCCTGGGATTCTATTCTAGGTAAATAGCCAAGGGTGGCCTGAGGAGATCTTGGTTTACTGGGGTGGGGTGGAGGTGGGGTTTGAAAGTCAGACATCTCCCAGGCATGCCAGTACACATTTTAGAAGTGATGACAAGTGCTCATTCACACTCTACTAATAAATAGGGCAGGGCAATGAGATACAGTAGTTGCAAGCAGATGTGAAGGTACATATAGTAAATCATTTTATATAAAGAAATTCCAAAATCTGCACAGAATAGATCCAAGTCTAAGGACGGCAACATCAAAACCAATGTCTGAGGGAATCAGTGGGGAGAGCTTCTCTGGCCTTTAAGGTAGAAATTAATTTTGCTGAATCTCACAGTTGGTTGTTTCATTGCTAAGAAATCACACTACATGAGACAGTGGCTGGGCACACATGCTCTGGAATCACACTAACAGACTGGACTTTGGGCATGTTATGTAATCTCCCTGCTGCCTCTTAGCTGTTAAGTGGGGATAATAATGGCGACTATCTTAAAGGGTTGCATGCAGATCAAATGAATTAGAACATGTAAAGTACTCAGAACAATGCCTGACACATAAAGGCATTTGGTTAATTTCAGTTTTGGTTCACAGCCTACTATTTAATTAGCTGTGTGATCACAAGCAAGTTACTTAACTCCTCTTTGCATTCGTTTCCCCCACTTGCAAAATGGGAATAACAGACGTATCTACCTTATAAAGTTATTGTGAGGATTTAATGAGATAATGTATAAGGCATTTAGCATGGTATCTGGCATACAGCAAACTGCAACAAATGTTACCTACAGGTCCACAATTTCTTATCCCTAATTCCAAAATTTAAAAACCTATTAAAACCAAGTTATTTTTATGACACCAAAGTTTGTTTGGCAGCAAAACTTGATCTGACCTGACTTTGGGCTATTTATATAGTCTTTATCCCATTTAATATAAACATTCATGTTTTGCTGAAGAAATGATACCATGTTGAACAAGTACAGAGTAGTGGTGGGGGGGGTGTCTAGTACATGCTATCTGTGCTGTAATACCTTTCTAAAATGTAAAAATATCTAAAATTAGAGACTTATTTGGATACAAAGGTTTTAGAAAAAGGATGGTGGACATATATTATTTTACTCTCTCTTCATGAGAAAGAGTACACATAGCTCTCAAATAGGCTAATACATCCGGAATTTTTGCAAGATGGCAACTCAAGATATCCCAAAGCCTCAAATCACCTGTGATAATAAGTTAATCAAGAACAGAGTAGAATCTCTATGAAAGAAAAGATTAAGAAAAAAGTAAGCCATCATTAAAAGTTAATGAGACATTTTACATAAGTTTCCAAAAAAAGGGTTAAAATTTAAAAGTTTTGGTACTTTTAACATGGTTAGATTTGTATTTGTAGAAGTTTCAGATTCCCGGCTATCTCAATTCTCCATTGCCACCGGGATCAAGAGGCTACTACATACTACCTTTGAGCTTATCATTTGTATTTCCAACTGTTCCACAAACCCTCTAGGCCTCTGTCCTCAGACGTAAAACTAACGGTTGAAGTAGGTGGGTGATCTCTAGAGTCCCTTCCAGTTTTAGGATCCTCTGCTCATGCTCTGTACATTAACTCTTTAGAAAAGTTCACTCTTCTCATTCATCACATTAGGAAATTATTTCTTACTGCCATTTCCCGCCTCCCCCGATCTTCCACAGTATTTGAGATGACATGATAAACTGGCATTAGACACTCCACCATTCCTGGCTTTTCTCGTATCAGCTTTAGGGTAACCATCTGAGCCCTGAAATTGAGCATAAGATCATAGGCCACGGCTGCCTGCTGTGTCTGCACTGTCTGTCACTGTCTATGCCCAAAAGGTGTGCTGGGGGAAGGACTGGAGGAGGCCACAGGACAGGGCAGCTGATTTCCTGTCTTAGCTCTGACCTGGGGGGCGACTTTCTCACCCTGGCTAGTTATTTTTATATTTAGTTTATTTTTGTTTCTAGAAAGTTATGCTAGCTCACATGGTAAGAGCCAGATTTAAGGTGCTAACAACATAAATGGATATAAACCCTAAATATCATGAGACTGGTTAAATCTGCTTTGGAAAGTACCCATGACACAATGTCAGATTTGAGATCTGGCATTCTATCCAGGTTAAACTTTAAAAGGAAAGCAATTTCCTTCACTTTGAAACCTGTGGGCTCAGAGGCTGTGATGGAAGGGTTCCACATGCCATGGGAAAGGCTGACTGCTCAAGAATCTGCCACTGGAGAGATGAAGACTCACTGGGGCTAGAATTATAAGCTTTTCATCTTTTTTGTCTCTCTTGCTGAAGGATAGAGGTAGTAGTATCTAACTTTCCACAGATTTAGACCTGCTACCTTTTGCTTCTAAAATATTTCCTGAATAGGACCTATCTGAGAGTGACACAGGATCGCCAGCCAACAGGGTACGTTGAAGACACAATTACCTTGTGCTATTCCATTACCAATGTTGCCTCATTTCATCTCCACAGCCGTCATCCGAAAGGAAAGAAAAGAAAAAAGGTACAGCGCCTATCCACATCCCAAGCTAGTAAGATGCGGAGCCAGACTGGAAGCAGGGAGTCTGGAAAGGGGCAGAGAGAGTGGAGCAGAGAAAGACTCACTGCAGTCCAACCAGATGGCCAATTAACAGAGCAGTCAAGAAAGAAACCGCAGGTGAAAAGCTTGTCAGCACGCTGTGGCTAAGGCTCCTCATCCAGGACAGGCATGAAGCAGCAGATGCACACACAGTGACAGGTCTGCTGAGAACAGCTGGCCACTCAGGAGCCCAGGAGAGTCACCAACACAGCCAAGGACAAAGGTGGAGAGTCCCTTAAACATGCCTGACTCTGAGATGTGTGAAGTCGAACAGGTAGTGGGAAATAAGAATTATTTTTATGGTTAGGGAATAGACACCTTGGAGTCATGGAAGCAAGTTTCCATGCAGTGCACTTCAATGCGTTCTTTTATTCTATGGACAAATCCATTCCCATACTAGCAAATAGCGTATCTTCCATTCTGTACGTGTCTTTGCACTCTCATGGATGTAGGTCTGGAATAATGCATCTAGAAAGACTGAAGCAGAGGCCTAACTCTCCCAACTCTGCATGAAACAAGGGGAATATTTTTTATCTTGATGCTGTGGTTGATTACAACTCATTTTGTTGTTTAATGCTGCCACAACTACCAAAACCACCCATGGTGCTACAGTTTATAATTTGGCAATCAAATGCCTCAGCATGTGGCCACCTGAAAAATGCTTTTTATGGTGTTATAATCCCTATTAGTAAGCTGTTAACCCTTAATTACTGTGTACAACAGTCCTGAGGCTCACAGTGGGTGTTCAATGACTGTCTCCAACATTGTACCTAAAAGTAATAAAAAATCATTGACATGTGTTTGTCTGTATATGTATGTGTGTGTGTGTATGTGTGTGTATATATATATATATATATACACCTGAGATATGCAACGCATTATGCTAAGCACTGTAGCAAAGATACATACCAAGCTATCTGTTTATGTGTCTCTGTCTTTGGAGACTACCAAGAGGAACAGAAGGTAGGGGAAGTCAAAGTTCAGAAGCAGATACGTGAATAGTAACACACTGAGACAGTTTGCAAGGCTATAATCCTCGGCCTCCAGCTCCCTCAGCAACGCAAATCATTTACATAGATATGTGCTCTAACAGTAACACATTCAGGGCTCTCTCATTCACTTTCATAACTGGATATGAAAGGAATGTGGGAAGCAGGGGCAGTAAGCATTGGCATTTCAGCATGTTATCAGACAATAATCCACAGAGAGAAGTGATGCCATACAAGGAGTGTTAAGTGACAGATAGGAAAGCAAAGTTATAGTCCCATCAGCAATTCGCTAGCCAGGGCTTTAGGAAAACTCTTTGGGTTTCATGTTCTATACGTATAAAGGCTTTGGATCTCTGTGGCCTGAAAATATTGCCAAGAGCCTCCTCCACGAATCGTCTGAGATGTGAGCCCTTGCTCCCCTCCTCATTGGTTCTAACACAGTCAGTGTGGCATGCCACACTGTGATCACTTGATGCTTGTTTCTGTATCCACCAGGGGATTAAAAACTTTAAGGCCAGGAAAGTGAGTCTTCTTTACTGCTGTCCATGATCAGCCTCTTAACATACCTGCTGGTGCCCTGTGAATATTTATATAAATAAATAAACACATGTCTGGATAAAGACTGGAGAAATTATTTAGTTTCCAATAATCAACAGTTGATGACATAAACTGGAAGAACAAGATGGGTGACTTCCTTCCATATCTCTAGATTGACTCTCAATCCAAACAGAAAAGCATAAAAAAAAGTCATTCCCCTTAAAACAATTGGGTTAAGAGAACTCAAGAATCATTTTCTCTCAATTCAACCTTTAGGATTTATTTTGCCAAAATATAAGCTTTTCCAAGTATAAGGCTGAAGTTCCACAGGCACTAGACTCAGAAATTATATTGGGCAGTAGATAAGCTAAAGTGAATGTGACCAGAATTAAAACAGCTTTGTAGACAATGAAGCTGGGCAAATTTCTGAAATTTATGCTTATAAATTCCTTTATGTTGACTAAAAGGAAGTCATATGAGCCAATATTTCAGCTTCTCCTAAAGCATCTGTCAACAACAGCTTCTAAAGAGATTCTTTTGCTGAAATACATCCAAGGAAGAATATAGCACCAAATGGTCTCTTTCTTTATAAAATAAAAAATGGCATCCCACTTGCATTTTCTTTAGATCAGCAATCTCTCTCTGGCAACTGCTCAACCATCTATTTCTTATGGAATATCCAAAATGAAAAAAATAATACCACTCACTCTAGTTCTATTTTAAATTTTAAAGCAAATAAAAGGTCTTCTAGATACTTAGAAAAAAACAGGCCATGGCCACTAGTGAACAACAGATTGCTACTCTTTTAAGAACTGTCCAAGAAGTCCACTCCACAGCGATGGGTCTTGGGACTCTTGTGGCTGAACACCTGGCCAGGCTACCTAAGTGCTATTTCAGTGCAGAGGAGCTGTCTGCCTCTGGCCGAGGTGTAGGATTGTTCTGGATTCTGCAGAGCAGGCTGGTATCATTCTTTTTAATAAAACAAAAGGGACTAGTAAAATGTTTTTCAAATTTGTGTTCACTTTAGAATCACCCGGGTAGCTCTTTAAAACTCCAAAGCCCAGGCCACACCCCAAGTTCATAATCACTGATAGTGGGGCACAGGCATCAGTATTTTTTGAAGCTTTCCAGGTGATTCCAAATGTGCAGATAAATTTGAGAACTAATGACTAGTGGTTAAAAGTTTCTCACATACACTTATTTAAATAAATGGAAACCAGGTGATCTTCCAGAACGAGCAGATGAAGGGCAGGTGCCCTTTGTCCCAGCACTAGTGAGTAGAAGCAAGCCACGGTTGTCATGGGTCCAGACCTCCTTTCATAGCCCATATCTGTTTGGGTGTGCTGAACTGCTGGACTGAACTCTGGCTAGGAAAAAACAGTTGCCCCTGGAATAAGCAAGTACCCAGAGATTCCTGCTTCCAGAGCAACACAGATCAAGAATCAAAATGTGAACATTATGAGAGAGATAGAGAAAAATGCAGATAAACTTTTTATTTTTAATGAAGTGAAGTCTTCTATGGGATTGACTTGCTCAATTGTTCAGAGCAGTGCTTCCCAAACTTGATTGATGAGATCTTCTAGTAAGCTTAAAAAACTAACAAACAAACAAAAAACCTGTAGGACCGATCTTAGACTTCTCTATCAGAATGCCCTAGAGTGAGGCAGGGAAGGAGATGTGTATTTTTATTTTTTATTCATTTTTTATTTTTTTGAGATGGAGTCTTGCTCCGTCGCCCAGGCTGGAGTGCAGTGGCGCAATCTTGGCTCACTGCAACCTCCGCCTCCTAGGTTCAAGTGATTCTCCTGCCTCAGCCTCCTGAGTAACTGGGAACACAGGCGCCACCATGCCCAGCTGATTTTTTGTATTTTAGTAGAGATGGGGTTTCACTGTGTTGCCCAGGCTGCTCTTGAACTCCTGAGCTCGGGCAATCCACCTGCCTCGGCCTCCCAAAGTGCTAGGATTACTGGTGTGAGCCACAGCGCCTGGCTGGAGATCTGTATTTTTAAAAACCTCTCCAGATTATTTTCTAATTAAAAAAACTCTGTTAAAAAGTGATAAATAGAAGACATATTTGTTATATATTACTGTAACAGAGCCCCTGGTAGAGGGTTACAATGGATAGCATTCCCTGCTTCTCATGCTCCCCTTAGTGCTCACTGTTAGGAGGCCTAACTTCTCACAGACCTTTATGCGTTACGGGGTCCCATGGCCTTCCCTGACCTGGCCAATAGAGGATTACATGCATTGATCCACAACTCAGGTTTTCACATACATAGTAGATATTTTCTCACAAGGATTCATATAGTGCTGACCAATTCTTTTTAGTGACTGTAAAATATTCAACAGTAGGATGTACCACAGTTTATTTAAGCATTTTCCTATCTATGGACATTTGGACTGCTTCCCTTTTTTTACTATCAAAATGTGCTACAATAATTCTGTACTTAGGTCTGCACACATTTATTAAGTTCTATGAAAGAGGGATTACTGGGAGCAGAGATCCTGGGTAAAGGGGCACAGAGAACTGTGACTCAACATTTTGCCCATGGCCCTGCACAGAGCAAACCACACCACTGCCTGAAGCACAACACTGCACCCCTTTCCACATCCCTTCATCTCCACTGGATTACTGCCTCTTTCATTTCTGCCAATCTAATGGTGAAATTTAAGTGCTATTTAAGAGGAATATAAATACCTATGCATGCACTCCCACCCCCATTAGATTATAAATTCCAAGAGAGCAGGAATCTTTGTCATTCTGTTTACAGATACATGAGTGTCAAAATAGCAGAGCCTAGCTCTGCTAAGTACTCAATAAATGTGTTAGTATGTTTACTTACTGGCCATTTGTAGTTTTGATATATACACATACACATACACAGACACAGACACACACAGATATGGTTTTCTTTTTATAAACTGATTTGTAGAAGCTTTTTCAATACTTAGAGTATTAGTCCTTTGTCTGTTATATATGGCAAATAATTTCAACCAGTCTACCACTTGTCTTTTCACAAGTTAACTTTTTGTATGGTATCTTTTTCTATGTAGAAGTTTACTATTATTATGACATGGTTGAATCTGCCATTGTCTCATTCATAGCTTCTAGGTTTTGTGCCTGGCTGAGGGAGGTTTCTACCTTATCCTTGCCAATATTATAAAAATATTATCCTGTATTTTCTCCTATAAGATTCATATTTTGTATGTTTAGTTTTTAATTTTCAGTATTACAGATGAATAGTCAACTGTATCAGCATCACTTACTAAATAATCCACCCTTTCTCCACTAGTATGAACAATGACCTTTTTCCACACAGTTAGTTCATACACATATGTCGGTCTCCATTCTTTTTTTTGTTTTCTTTCCTTCTCCACTCCCTTCCTTCCTCCTGCCTCTTTCTTCCCCCAGTCTCTATTCTTGATTCTCTATTCTCTCACTAATGTCTTTAGTCTTACACGAATCTCATACTAATTACTATAAATTTACATACTATTATTATATTGAGCATGCAATATTCTCATCTCATTCCTCCCAAAAATATCTTAGCTGAAAAATTGCACCTTTATAATGGAGAGATCTGGTAGTCACCAGCTTTATCAAGGGCAACCTGACATTAAGTCCTCCTGATCTGTTGTAATTAAGACGTATAAAAACATCACCTGTGTAATATTCCTTCCTGTCAAACAAGTTTGACCTGAATCTAATCAAGAAAACATAATAAGGCAAATCCAGTATGTGGAACATTTTTGCCTGGATCCTGAATCTGCATCCCAAACAAAAGGCAACCACTATAAAAGACATTTTTGGGATGTTAGATGATGATATGAAATTATACATTAATTTCATTGATATGGTAATTACAATGTGGTTATGCATGAGAATGTCTTTGAGATCTGCATGCTGAAGAATTTAGGGCTGAAGTATCAAGATGCCTACAATTAATTTTCACATGGTTCAGCCAAGAATTATATGTTTGTGTATTACATGTAAATATACTATACCACACAATCATAGATAATCAAACAATGTCCTTTTTTCTCATTATATTTTCTAGTGGGCTATTGACTGTATAAGGAATTGATTTTGAATGTTTATCTTGTGCTAAACCACTATGGGTAGACATCCTATCTTCAACAAATGACCCTTTGTCTCCTTTTTTCTCCTCCTAGTTATTTTCCTTGTTTTGCTGTATTTGCTTGCTGGCACCTATCTAAAGCAGCAGTTCTCACCATGTGACCCGTGAACCCTGAGAGTCCTCCAGACTCATGAGGCAATCTACAAAGTCAAAGCTATTTCCATAGTTTTGATATAATTTGCTTTTCTCCAGAAGGTTGACATTTGCACTGATGGTGCAAAAGCAACAAGTAAAACAGTGGCAAGAAACAAGGCAGTGATGAAAAACTGTACCAGTGGTCATTGTACTCTTTACCACCATGCACTTCCAGTTAAAAATGGCCAGTTTTACTTGAGAATGTCCTTGATGAAGCAGTGCAAATTATTAATTTTGTTAAATTTTTACCCTTGAGCATCAGTCTTTTTAATAATGTATGTGTATAAACGGGACATACATACAAAGCACTCTGGTACTTGAGATTATGATGGAGGCCTCAAGGAAAAGTACTTGTGTGACTGAATGGCAAAGTGAACTAGCTGGTTATTCAGATGTGGGTGGGCCTGTCACTTCTAGGAAAACAACTCCCAGTATTCATTGCCAATATATAACTGGAGCTTCCAGATGAAAGAAAATTAGAATTTTGGCAAACTGTGAACTTGACAGGTTCCCTTGACACTTAAAAGACTGATCTGATGAGATTGGTGATGATATTTACAAATGTGATTTTAAAAATATTATATAATGACACGTGTCAACATTTGGAAGCTTCATAACTCAGTGAACCAATATTTTCCAGATGACCAATGATGATGTTACAAAATCAAGAATAAGTAGAAGATCCAGCCAAGGTACAAGGATATTATATAAAGGGCTTTTACTGTAATAGGATAGGAAAAGTACACATTATTAAAAAGAATATTACGAAATTACTACTTGAAGTTACTTGCAAAGTTCTGATGTAGTATCAAAGAAGAATATCTACAGTCTTCTGAAAAAGTTATTGAAATAGAGCTAAAATCACGCAATTTACAAGTGAGTAAGAAAATATCAATCATAGTTCTTGCTCTGTAAGGAGCGTTCAAGGGGCTTGGTTGTTTCTTGCCAGCTCTCCAGATAGACATCATTTATCCTGACAACTTTAGTATCACCTACTGGCTTTGTTAAACTTTCTGATATGTATTTCCTTTTGAAAATACATATCTTTGTAAGGTAGTATTTTCTTCACATACTTCAGCCAAAATAACACATTACAATAGATCGAATTCAGAAGCAGATATAAGAACCCAGGTGTCTTCTATAAGCCAGACATCAAAGAGGTTTCCAAAATTACTGTACTCAATGCATTTTGTTTTGCAAATATAGTTATTTTTCTTATAAATGTTATTTATCTTAATGTATTTGATTTATTATTTAAAAATGAATAAATACTTAAAAATTGCCCAGCTTTAATTTTAAACATTGGTATTGATAGATATAACCCACATAAACAAAAGCTCTTTGGGGTTCTCAATAACGTAAGAGTGCAAGTATCCTAAGATGTTTGAGAACCACTGTTCCAAGACAATTGAGATAACCAAGTAACAATCCCAGCAGGAATTCGTGTCTTTCAGACTCATGGGAAAGTGTAATTTCACATCCTAGTCTCCCACGGGATCCACCTCTTACAATCTGGAGTATCTTACTTTGCCTGCCATCTTTTATTTACTCCCTTTTCAACATGCTTTTTCCCTATACCTGGGAAGAAGCTGCTAGTTGTCCCTCAATATCTGCTCTTTCTTTTTTCTGTAGTCAAAGAACCCCAGATACTTATCTGCCACGCAACTGCCTATGAAAAAAAAGATGAAATTTCTGTCCTTGCAGCTAGATGTAGACATCAGACTAAATTCTGGCCAATGGGGTACATGAAGAAATGGTAAATACAGGCCGGGCACGGTGGCTCACGCCTGCAATCCTAGCACTTTGGGAGGCCAAGGCAGGCGATCACTAGGTCAGGAGTTCCAGACCAGCCTGGCCAAGATGGTGAAACCCGATCTCTACTAAAAAAAAATACAAACATTAGTCAGGCATGGTGGTGGGCACCTGTAATCCCAGCTACTCGGGAGGCTGAGGCAGAGAATTGCTTGCACCAGGGAGGCAGAGGTTGCAGTGAGCTGAGATCCAGCGACAGAGCAAGACTCCGTCTCAAAAAAAAAAAAAAAAAAAAAAAAAAGAAATGGTAAATGCAACTTCTGGCAAGTTTTCTTTTTTTTTTTTTGAGATGGAGTCTCACTGTGTCCCCCAGGCTGGAGTGCAGTGGTGTGATCTCGGCTTACTGTAACCTCCCTCTTGCAGGTTCAAGTGATTCTCCTGCCTCAGCCTGAGTAGCTGGGATTACAGACGTGTGCCAGCACATCTGGCTAATTTTTGTATTTTTAGTAGAGATGGGATTTCACCATGTTGGCGAGGCTGGTCTCAAACTCCTGACTCAAGTGATCCGCCCACCTCGGCCTCCCAAAGTGCTGGGATTATAGGCGTGAGCCACAGCGCCCAGTCATGGCAAGTTTTCTTAAAGGAAAGGGGTGTGCCTTCCTTTCTGCTAACTGAAATGTGGACTCAGTGTCTGTTACTATATTAGACTATGTAGAAAAGAGTCATACCCTATGATTGGGAGATTTGGAAAACTGGAAGGAGCCTGGGTCCCCAGTAACTCTGTGTAACTACCAACCTAACCAGTGTTATTCCTAAAGAGTACATCAATGCCCACACAAATCTCAAGACAGTCTGGTGCACATGGTAACTTTCCCCAGGGAGAGCAGAACTAGCACTGATACACTAGTTCTTTTACTATCAGAAAGTTTTATGAAGCCAGTAGGTGGTACTAAAGTTGTCAGGATAAATGATGTCTATCTGGAGAGCTGGCAAGAAACAACCAATCCCCTTGAACGCTCCTTACAGAGCAAGAACTATAATTGATATTTTCTTACTCACTTGTAAATTGCATGATTTTAACTCTATGCTGAGTCTTTCTAATAGGTATTAGATTGGACCAATGATTACTGACAGCCTGATGAAGGTACAGCCTTATATCCGAAACCAAAGCACCCTGTGCCTAAATAGTTTATACTAATCTGACTCACAATAGTAGAGGCACCTTATTTCTGTAAAGCACAGAGGAGGGCTGGAAAGAAGAGCAGATTTAACTAATATTTACTAACTAACTGCTACATGCCAGGAACCATGCTGGGTGTTTTCATACACATTATCTCACCAGATTTTCACTATCATCCTCCCACTTTTCCCATGAGTCTATAAGACAATAATTCCTGCTGGCATTCTTATTTTTTTCAATTGTCTTATAATAGTGGTTCTCAAACTTTGTGGTCTTAGGGTACTTTACACTCACACTCCTAAAAATGATTGTGGACACCCCAAAGAGCTTTTGTTTATGTGGGTTACATCTATTAATATAAATATTCAAAATTAAAGCTGAGCATTTTTTTCAGTATTCACTTTAAAATAATATATCTATTATTTACTAGGTATTTTACTGAAGCTAAGATGATTACACTTGATAGATACAGGTTGACTCACATTGGATTATTTCATTATATAATTTCATCCATAAATATATCAGAATACATTTCTAAAAGATAATGGCTTTTAAAAATTAAAATAACAGCAATACTATCACACCTAAAAAATCAACATCAGTTCCTTAATATCATCAAATACCCTCAATTGTTGAATAACTTTTTACAGTTAGTTTGGATAAAGACACAAACAAGGTACCCATTTTATTTGATGTTCCTCAAATCTATTAATTCACAGCATACTCTTCTTTCTTTTCTCCTTGCAATTCATTTGTTAAAGAAACTGGGTTCTTTGTCCTGTAGCATTTCTCACATTTTGGATTTTTGTGATTGCAGCCTTATGGTGTCATTTAACATGTTTCTCTGCCCTCTGTATTTCTTGCAAACTAGTAGTTCTAACTAGAGACTTGATCAGATTCAGGTTCAATTTTTTGACAAGGATGCCCCAGAGGTGGTGGTTTGCTCTTCTTGCATCTTTCTGTGGTATAAGGGTTAATGAATGTGTTGAAACTCAAATGATGATAATATTATTCTATAATCCTTCTAATATATTAGTTACAATTCTTCTGTAAAGTTTTCTTTCATCAATTAATTGGTGACTTTGAAGTATAATTTGTACAGGGAACAGGGTAAATGCTTACTTCTTCCTATTTATCAGTTTTGTGAATAGTGATTTGGTGCTCTAGCATCCTATAAAAGGGACTACCAGGTTTGTTATTATGATTATCATTATGACCTTACAGATTTTAACATATTTTAGGTGTTTTAATCATTTATTTGTTTTTTAAATCAAATTATATCATCTTTGACTAGTGGGAGACCTTTCAAGTGGGTCCTGAGTCTTTCTGAAATGAGTACATTGGTCTTTGACAGTTTCTTTGCTTTCTGGTGTGACAAGATTTTCCAGCTTCTCTTATACATTTCCTGCCCATGTAGTCAAGAGTTTGGTTTGGCCCAAAGAGAGGGCTGGCCTTTGCCTTAGCTTCCAGAAAGTAATGTCATAGAAATGTCTTTGTTTAGGGTGGAGCTGGTCACACCTAAGAGTCTTAGAGTGGGAGCTGGCCATGCCAGAGAGACTAACATGTGACTTAGGGTGAGAGCTTTGGGTTACGTGGTATCAGTCAACCTGGAAACTGAGATCAGTCATGTAATCCATCCATCCATCCATCCATCCATCAATCAAACCTATGTAATGAAACCTCAATAAAAACTTTGAACACTGAGGCTCAGGTGAGCTTCCTTGCTTGGCAATATTCCATGCCTATTATCACACACTGATGCTGGGAGGGTAGCATATCATGACTTCAAACCTATTTAATGAAACCGCAATAAAAACTTTGAATGCTGAGCCGCAGATGAGCTTCCTTGCTTGGCAATATTCCATGCTTATTATCACACACTGATGCTGGGAGGGTAGCATGTCCTCTTCACGGAGCAGAGGATAACAGTGGCTTTAATCTTTGTGTCTTATTTTGGCTGATTTTAGTTTGTATCTTGTCCCTGTAATAAGCTGTAACCACAAGTATAACAGATTTCAGTTAATTGTGTGAGTTCTTCCAGTGAATTATTGAAGCTAAGCGTGGTAGTTTGGGGGAACCCTCTGAACTTGTGGTTGGTAATAAGAAGTAAGGATAGTCTTGGGGACTGTGACCTCTAATTTTGCAGTTTGGCTAACTCTGGGCACTGCTTCAGGTCTGCAATCAGTTCTTACTCTAAGGATTCCGCTCTCCTTTCAGTGAGAAATGGTATTTACATAACACAGTTTTGGCACCGGGGTGCTCACTGCTACTGGGTGGGTGGTCATTGTTTCTAGACCTTTTCTGTGAAGAGAACTAGAAAAAGCTTTTCTCTCTCCCTCTCTTTTTTAAGAGAAAATCTAGCACAACCTCATACTGATGTTTCCAATTCAAATTTAGGATTATAGGTAGGTTTTTATTTCTTTGATTTTATATTTGTAGCTCTTTAAAATTTTCATGTTAAATCTTGGTATTTATATATAGAAAGTATTGCTTGTTTTATCCTACTATATAATATTTTCAGAATAGCAATACCAATATTATTACTAACAATATGATGACTGAAAACAATTTCTTTGTAGTTATTTTTTATCTTTTGGAAATATAGTCAAATTCCAGATCACCTGAAATAGTTTCTTTCCATGTAGCTAAGCCATCCACTCAATGGTTTATCAGGTCCATGTTTTATTTTGCTTGATTTTTAGGTATTATCTTTTCCATTTTAATTTTTGTCTTGGAATTTAGGTGAACTATGTGCATGGTTCTAAATGTCAAAATTACAAAATGAGCTATGTTCAGAAGTTTAGCTTCTACTCTTTTCACATTTTTACATTTTACTCTTTTTAATGACCCTCCTTATTCCATTGCAGTACGTTTTTAACTGTAGATATAAATTCCAGAATCAACAAATTCATCAAATGCAAATGGCATCACTAAAGTAGTGCCTAGAAGGGTGTTTTTTTTGGTTTGTTTTGTAGAGATGAAGTCTCACTATGTTGCCCAAGCTATTCTCAAACTCTTGGGCTCAAACAATACTCCCACCTTGGCCTCCCAAAGTGCTGGGATGACAGGCATAAGCCATTGTGCCCAGCCCATATTATTAAGTTTTAACAAGCTCTATTTTGTACATAATCTGCAAAGGTAATCTTTAATTCTACATGGCTGAATTGTCACATAATCAAAATGCTTACAGTTAAAATTAATTTCCTAAAATAAATTTTAATTTACTAAGGACTATAAGTAAACTAGAAATTCTTAAACAATGAACACCAACATAATATTACTCTTGCACAGGTGACTTTGCGCACAGTAGTATCTAAATACCTCTTGGAGACTTGTGAACTAAAGGGACAATGAACCTATACTGCGTATCCTCCATAGGCGCCTGCTGCCCATTTCTTCATGTTATTAGAGTTTCTCAACATTCAGTTCTCAGCAGTGTCTTACTCTACACTTGTCTCTGAGAGATTTCCTCTGCTTCCATGGTTTCCCATTTCCTCTATATGCTAAAGATTTACATATTTATATCTCCAGCTAAGAATTTTTTCTTAAGTTTTAAGGAAGATTACTCAAAGAACTTACCAACCCATGGGTCCCATTGTTTCAGCTCTAGTTTTCCCACGTTTTGCCTCCTTAAGCAGTTCTTCTATTGCTTTCCTGATAAGAAAAAGGAAAAGATTTGAGAGGCAGTCACCCTACTAAGTTCTGAAAATCAATTCATTCCAGGTCCATGATCTTGGGAAAGGAACTAACTTTTGAAGCATGATTGCTGGGGCAAATTTTTTTTTAAATGGTTGACAATTTTGAACACATAAATTAAAAAGAAACTATTAATATAAAGAGAAGCAACATTGAAGAGAAAAAAATTACAAACTGGAAAAATATTTTTGATATGAGACAGTTAAATCATATATCCTTAATATAAGAATTATCTTTTCTTATTAATTTGAATAACCAAAAGACATGAACAGCCAAATATGTATATATCTATATTTTTTCAAATTCACTGTTATTCAAAGAAATACCAGTGAACTCAACAAGGATAAATGTTTCTGCCCATTAGTTAGTGAGGGGGTAGAGAAATGGATAACTTCTTCTCTACTAATGGGGACTGAAGCTGATATTACATTTCTGGAGGACAATCCAGCAACATAATAAAGAACCTTAAGAATAGTATATACCAGTTGATCTAAAAATTTTTTACTTTGTCCTATGAAAATATTCAAATAAGTATGGAAAAGTATATGTACAAGGATATTCAAACTACTTGTTAACAATTAAAGAAAAAACAGAAAACTTAAATATTTACTGATAAAGGATTGGTTAAATAAATCATAACATATCCACATATGTGGAAGATTAGGCAGTCATTAAAAATGAAGACAAATGAATTTTTGGCACAGGACACTCATAACATATTCAGTATATAAAGCTGGTACAAAAGAATATGTGTAGAATAACCTTAATTTCAAATTTATTTACATATATATTACATAGAAAAACATTTGGAGACGGCTAGGTGTGGTGGCTTATGCCTGTAATCCCAGTACTTTGGGAGGGTGAGGTGAGAGGATCACCTGAAGCCAGGAGTTTGAGACCAGCCTGGGCAACATAGCAAGACCTGGTCTCTAAAAAAAATAAAAATAATAATAATAAAAAAATTTGGAGGGATGTTATCAAAACAGTAAGATGAGTTTTAAGGTGATTTTTTCTGTTTGCATTGCTGCATTTTCTATTTTTTCTACAATGAACATGTATTATTTGTGTAATTTTTGAAGAGGTTAAAAAAACAGAAAACATATTTATCAACCATATTCTGAGACTTTACTATGTGTAAGATACTGTGCAAGGTGCTATGGGTAGCAACATAGGAAGATGATCGTCCCTGACTTGAATATGATGTATCAATAACAAAGTTAAGAAAAAATAAAGTTAAGAAAAAGAGAGGTATAAACAAATATAGTCCAAAACAAATATAGTCCAAAGACAGAACTATAAATCTAATCATGAATTTTTGAAGCTGGATAATTATATAGAGTCTATATTAAAATGTTATGACACTATTATAATGCTACCATATACTATATAATCTTCAAATGATATTAACATTCTGTTTACAAGAATGTTTTATTTCATGTTGATTTTTATCAAAGTAAAGCA
The DNA here is from genome assembly GCF_000001405.40 of Homo sapiens. NCBI lineage: Eukaryota > Metazoa > Chordata > Mammalia > Primates > Hominidae > Homo > Homo sapiens. The sequence goes on along the minus strand of NC_000013.11, from coordinate 27,646,875 downwards.
TGCACATAGTTTAAAAAGACAAATATTATTTAAAAGATTTTAAATACAACAGTCTTCTAAATTATCCTGCCCTACCCACCAAAGAAAACAATTTCAACTTTTTTCATCTGTTTCTCGTTATTTACCTCCATATTCCTAATACTATGCTTTCAAACTATTTCACCACCTCTTAATCTTCAAAAATACATCTGCTTATTTTTGTGTAACTCATTTTAAAATAAACTCTTATTGAGATCTTTAAAAGATGTCTTTTCAGTTAACTCAGCAGCTTGACATTTTCTGATCCTTCTTGGGAAGGCCCACTGCTACAGATCAATGAAAAACTAAAGCGCTTGCCTATCTACTGACATGTTGACTCCCTCAATCACAAGTTTCGCAGCCCAACCTCTTATGGAATCACAAAGAGGTAAGTTCATCTGATGACCACATATGCTGCTTCTTCCAGCTCTTTAGAATAATGATATGGCCTGCTGAAATGATCTGGGGACTTTGTCTCTTACAGTTCAAGCAAAATTTATCCTAATAAGGTCCAAAACAGATTGTTTTTCACCCTTATAGATTTAAGTAAAAAAATTAAAGGGTATAAATATTCCAAATATGCCTCTTCCTTTCCCATAAATTAGTGTGGTAGTTTTAAAATAAAAAGATAAATCATACCTAGATCCACCTATGTGCTCTCCTTCTGTCAAAAGAAATGGTTAAAAATAATCAGGAAAACAACTTTTTGGGGCAGTTCCCCAATTATGAACAAAATATGTATCAGTTACAAATAAACTAGAATGTGTTTTCCCATAAAAACTATGTTAAAATGTTTGCCTAGCTTTCTGGACCAGACTATAGAAACTTATTTGAGTCAGAATCCAGCTGAAATGCTATACATCTGCAGAAGATACTCAGTAAAGATTCTTGCAGAGACCCTGAAGGCATATTCTAGGTGCTTTCAAGAGCTTGAAGTTTGACAGTGACTCTTCTTTAGTTTCGATTCTACTTAAAACTGTCTCTAGCACTGTTATTAATTTTACCTGGCACGCTTAAGGATGCCTTCTGGTTTACGAGTACAAAGAGAAAAGAAGATATATGTATGAGAAAGACTGCCTGCGGTGAAACAAATTCACCAAGGATGGAGGACCATAAAAGGAGGAGTAGATACTGGGTGGGAGGGCACTCAGTCAGCTTGTCTACCGTGTTCCCACTGGTAAAGGGGGCTTAGCTGCTGTTCACAGCCAAAGTGGTGCAGCGTGACCCATTCCCATGGTTCGGATCTACCCAAGTTAGGTATCTGCAATTGGTTTAACAACAACTAATGAAGATATAGAGCTTTAAGTATACCAAGTACTATTCTATATAACCATGATAACATAGTTATTACCACCAATACAGATGTGGAAAGTGATATTCAGAGACATCGACTAACTTGCCCAAAGTAACACTGCTAACGATCAAGGAGAAGGGCAATGAGGAAGAGGAACAAAGCAAACAAAACCCAACCTCTGTTTTTAAGGCTAGGTATCATCTGATCCTTCTATTAGACTATCTCCTCCACAAATATCTGCGCAGCAAATCCTGGAGAAATTGTTTATCATTAAAAGGCAAAAAATAAACTAAATGGGGAAAAAAAAGGCCTAACAGAGTGCCACTACTGCATTCATTCAAAGAGAACTGGGGGATAGGCTGATACTGGAGAGGCGGAAGGAATGAAGGAGGACTGATCACTATTTTGTCCTAAGAATGTTGAGCATTCGCTACTTCCCACCCAAAAGTCTCCTGCATAAGCTCCCTCTACAGAGCTTTACTTCCAAAGAAGAAAACAATTCTTAGCAATCAAGTATCCCAACCTTAAAACACTATAACTACCTTCAAAATTAAGGGGAGAAAGTCAGCAACTTCCCCATTACTGTAGCCTCTGTTGTTTCCTCTAGAAATCTCATTAATGAATTATTGGGTAAGGAAATTATAAATCCAGTTTCTATTCTACATGATCACAGGGGCAAAATAACTTAAATTATCAAAGATTATGAAACATTAACATGCATGAAACAAGATAGTTTTTAATGAGGTGATGAAAGAAGTATAAACTGTAATTAAAATACAGGAAAAGCAAATAGGAGAATATATAAGAACTAAGTATATACAGAACTTGAACAATTAAAAAATTATTCAGACATAAACTTAGTTCTTGGTATGCTAGTTTTTACACTTGGTTCTTTTCAATATCTTGAAGGTTTCTTTGTAAAACTAATTAATTATATTAGAATACTAAGTTCCATGGAGACCCAAGAGAGCTGAGTCATTAAGCAGACGGTTTTCTGGGCACAGGAACAAACCACAATCAATTTTCAATGATCCATGTGTGTATTATCTCCAGCCAATTTTCCATACTAGCACAGCTTCCTCAGGCCTGCCTGTTCACTCCATTAGCCAGCTGGTACATGCTTAAGGAATGTCAACTGATCATAATAGCAGCTTAAATAAAACCCAAGTAGGAATGCAAATCTGGTACAAAATCATCTTAAAATCCAAAGTCAAACAAATTAGTTTTGAGTTATCTGGGTCTGTTTCTTTTTAATCACTTTAATCAACTGAGGGTTAACTGTTCCAGTGTACAGAAGGGGTAGCAAGAAATTGAAGGCAACTGAAATAAAGCACCAGAAATTGAGAGGAAAATTAAATAATAAAGTAGGAAAACAGGAATTTTAAAGGAATAAAATCAGAGAAGCTAAATCTCAAATAACTGCTCAAAAATGATGGAGTCAGCCAGAGGGAACTATAGGCCTCTTCCTGTGATGGTGAAGGAAAGCTAGGAACACAAGGCTGAACGTTAGAAGCTTTCCTCATTTGTGTCTCTCTCAGTCTTTAAAAGTCACCTTTGATCAGCTAGCTGTATAGTACAGTATCTGTCACATGATGGACAGAAAAACAGGTTCAAAAAAGGCAATACATTGCTTAATAAGACTACTCTCTTCTTGATGTGTTCAAACAAGCATGACTTGGTGACAAGAATACAGACTTCTTAGAAAATTGGCAGAAATGAGTACAGCATCATTTGCTGCTGTTGACTGGGAAGTTATCTAAAAGGCCCAACACATTATCAGTGCTGAAGGCAAACATGTTTATACTTGTGGAGTCGTCCACATACGTGTAAAAGAAACCTTACTATGGCAATCTAAATTTCTTCCCATAATGGAATGATAAAGCTTAGAGAGAAAAATGGAACTATCTACTCGATCTTCAGTAAAGTTTTGATGTCAGGTCATTGATTAAAAAAATATAGACAGATGATCAGATCACTCTGAACATCTGCAAACCACTGCTTATAGGTTCACACTGCCAGTAGTAACTAGTGGTTTAGTAGTCATAGGGATCTGTAGAAACCACAGGACAAAGTTTGGGTTCTTTATGACTTAGTGTTTTGACTACAGACACAGGCAAAAATTCAGAAATATCCTTATTTAATTTCAGTAAAATATCAGATTGTCTGGGGTCATGTATCAGCTCTAAAGAAAGGTACAAAAATTCAAATTGTGAAAAGCGTTTTTAAAGACAAGGTAAAACTCAATAGGAACACTGAGGTTATTTGGGAAATGAAAAGACTTATTCACAGACATAAACTAAAGGCACAATAAATTAATCTGCACATTTTGTTAAATTCAGCTAATCTACATTACGCACTTGCTAAATACAAGGTACTGTGATTTATACGGTGAATTAGGCTCTTCCCTGAAGAGGCTATTAGGGCCTGCATATAAAATAAAGAGCCATATATGTACTTTAAAAACAAATACTGGATTATCTAGGAGAATGTGAGGAGGGAGCTCCAATATTCATTTATAAAATAACAAACAGAAAGTCATGAGAAAAGGTGCTGAATTTTTAAGAAGAACTTATGCTGGTAAAAGACTGGAAGGTGATGGAGGAACATGAGTTTGAAAGGAAAATTAATGAGATCCTTTGTTGATTTCATGCCCAACATGAACTAAAGAGATAGATGAAAGTGGTATTTTAAGCAGTGGTGGAAAAATAAGACAAAGATACTGCAGATTGCTTTTTGCAATGATGATAATAATTACTTCACAGGGTTGTTATGAGGATAAAATAAAATATTTGATTTGGATCCAAGTGTTCTGTATTTTATAGGAAGCAGAAGAAATATGATAGCTATTTTTTTACACTCCTAAAGGTCTCGGAACTTGTCTTTTTCAACCTAGTTTTCTCTATGCCTGGCACATACATGGTTAAGTTAAGATCTGGGGAATAAATGGGTTCTGGGTATGTGTGGGACATGATACAAATGCAAGGTTTTAAAAATAAAAATACTGCATCTGTAGACAGAATAGATGATGATGGGTGAGATGGAAGAAGAGGAAAGACAAAGGAGGTGAGAAGAAGATAAAAGAAAAAAATATAGTATGTCACTGGGTAAATAAATGTAATGAAAAAAATGAAGAGCTACAGGTTCCTGAGGGAGCAATCCCCTGTAGTGGCCAAACAAACAGGGGCACAACAGCAACACGTATCCTTAGTGTCATCAAACATTAGGGCAGACTGGGAAACCACAGACACTGACCAAGGACACAGAATGAGGCAGAGCTGGAATATTTCCTGTCAGGATTGAGGACTTTGATCTACTAGGGCTGTCTGAAAATCTCAGCAAGGTTTCAGATCTGGAAAACACTTTTCCCTTCAGTGAGCTACTGATCAGAGATAAATGGCCTTTGTTTAGCTTCCAATATTATTCTTTTGCTTCATTGTATATATATACCTGTTAACATCCTCTGAACTCCATTTCTTAGTGGAGATGCTAATTGTGTTTTGAGATGACAGCGCCTAGTGTTGGAGTGGAGGGTGCCACTACAGAGAGGGTGAGATGTCACAGTGGGGCCACTGGCCTGTCTCTGCAAGGCCTTGCCACACAGATGCTCTGTGGGATAACCACATCTAGGGCCTTGGCTCTGACAGTCCAGAGACATAACATGGCTTAGACACTCCCACCAACTGCCAACACTACATTTGCTGTTACATGCACGGGGGAGCTTTGCCCAGGTTATGCCCTCTGTCCAAATCACTCTCCACTCACAACCTTTACACCAGACACTCAGCTCTCACATTACCTCTCCACCAAGCCTTTCCCGATCTCCCTGTTTGCTCCACATCAATAGATGTAACTGCTCCTTTCTTATAGGCCCACTGAGGGGCACATGAAGTCCCCATACAATATTTCCAAACATGTAAAAGTTATAAAATAAGCTAAAAATATTTAAATATATTTCTTCTTCCTATCTTGACAAATATGCTTTCATCATAACAAAATAAAAAATATTTTCAGCCATTTTTTGAAATGGCTGAATATTTGGATTAATATTAATATTTGGATTAATGGTAATATTTGGATTAATGTGGAAAGACAGAAATATTTCGTATATATTCCATGAAACTTATTTTCTTGCACTGATTTTAATAAAGTCCCTAATTATATTGTTATAATCAAGATTTTCATATAAATTAAAAGTGATTTCATTCCTTGCAAATTATAGGAAAAAGAGCCTTGTAAATACTTTGACTTGGGGCTTATCTAGAAACACCAGATGTGTAGGAATTAATATGGAAGTTTAGCATATGGCCCAATTGCTGTCAAGCAAACGCTAAGAGAGAATTGTGAATTTAGGCATTTGATATTTCACATGAGATGTGAAAGTATGGTTCCAGGCATTTGTATTGAAAATGCAGTGCCCCTTTTTTTGTAAGCACAAGAGTGTACAATCGGCCCTCTGTATCTGTGGATTCAACCAAACATGGATTGAAAATTTTTTTTAAAGAAGCAAAAAAATAACAATACAATGAAAATAACACAAATAAAAACCAATACGGAATAAGAGCTATTTACTTAGAATTTACATTGTACTAGGTAAGACTAGATTATACCTAGTACAATGTAATATTAGTAATAATAGATTACTTAGGTTACAGGCAATCTAGACATGATTTAAAGTATACAGGAAGAGGCATGTAGGTTATATGCAAATACTATGCCATTTTATATCAGGTTTTGGTATCCATGGGGGTCCTGGAAGCAATCCCCCAGGGATACTGAGGGAAGGTTATATGTTCTATAAACCATAATAGTCTAAAAGTATTAAAAAACAAAATGTAAAATAATAAAATGATCTATGAATCAGTGTCAAATTTCTTGTATGTTCCACATAGACCTACACATATACAAATATAAGAGTAATATGATTTAAGATTGCAAAATGTTACTCAGTTTCCAGGTGCAGCTGTTTCAAGTACGGTATTAAATCATGAGTATCTTCAGAGTCATGAACTGAAATAATATGACAAGCAAGAAAATGGAAGCTTAGCACTAGTGGGAAACAATATTTTCTTAGTGAAGGATCTATTGCATTCATGCCAAGATGAAGGATTTGACAAGTTAATGTCTTTTTTAACTTTTCTGCAGTTCAAAACCTTTCCATACTCTAAATTAGTGTCCACTGGAAAGTCAACATTGGTACAATCTTCACATATTTAAACAGTTTCCTTTCATTCAAGGGTGCAGGTCAAAACATGAGTAGGGTGTTTCCTGGGTTATGAATTGCACTGAGCACTGGATCTCCACTGACAGAGGCATCTATATATTTGTGATATATAGGGCTGCTCTCCTCATCCAGGGTCCAGGCAATTCTCCTTTGAATACAGTTATAATATGCATTTAATATGCACCACTGGGACATGATGAAAAATTATAATGGTAACAGTACTTATGTACCATGTACCTTACAGCTAATCCTCACAACTCTATGTAGCTACCGTTTCATAGATAAGGAAATAAGGAGAATATAAGGAAAAGTCAAGAAACTTACCTAAGGCCACAACAGCCGATAAATGATACGGCCTGGGATGTGAACCCAGGCAATCTGACTCTAGGCCCCAGGATCTTAATCCTTACACTACGGCTCTATTACAAAACATGATCCTAGTCCTCAAGAAGCTCAGTCTAGTGAGAGGGGCAAGGAGAGCAGCAATATTTAATGGTACTTATCATGACAAGAACTGCTCTGGCAAAGACAAAACTCAAGTCCCCTCACCTGGACTTCGACATTCTCAAATCTGCAACTATCCATTTATAGATGGCCTCTGAGAGTGGATTACTATTACAGAGAGATCACTTCTTCAGTTAAAATGTGGGTTAATTCTTAACGTTTAGCTCCCAGGGAAAACTTATTTCTCAGTTCATAAGACACCTACTTCACTGTAGGGTCTACTGACCTCATTTTCAAAGCAGCAAGTATTTTTACAAATATTTATTCTTAAATCCTGATACAGAAAATACAGTGATTGTTTTTCAATTCATATTATAAAACCTGAGTAAATGTGCTATGGTAAATTTTTATATAAGCTATGAAGAAAGGCCCCTCTTACTGAAAATAACTTTGTGGGGTGGTGATGATAGGGTTACTTAGGAAATGTTAAACTCTGAATAGAAAAGCCCATGGACAATACAATAACAGGAAGAGCAGATCTGTTGATAGGTCAAATGTTAGGTTTAAAAATATTACAGTCTATGCTCTTCTGAAATATTAGTTAGGGGAAAAATCCACACAGAGAATATAAGGTCAAATAATTATTGAGTTCTTTTACTCAATAAAATGTATTTTGTTATCTCTTTAAGAGAACAGATGCTTTGGAGAACAAAACTGATGAAAACAAAACTGCAAAAGAAAAAGGGATTTAAAGTCTAGAAAGATGGGTGTGGAAGGGAGCCAATACCCAAGCAAAGAAAAGCTAATATGGCAGCTGCTTGAATTTAGTAAAGGATAGGAAAAATGGCAGAAGACCAAAAAGCAGAAATAAAAAATAAAATTCAGACTCTCACCAAATAGCTGTTCAAAATGTAGACAGGAAAAAAATATTGCAGAATTTGTACAAAAGAAAACATTACAACATAAGCCTCTAAAGTTTGCCTCTACAGCTTTTTTTTAATGAGGGAGAAGTTTGGTAGGTGTACTGTTTTTGATAAACACACCACATACCAGAAAAATCACCTCACCAAAAGCTTTGTCTGTAAATCACTCTCTTAATCCTAAAAGAGCTTTATGTTATACAAATCATCTGCAGTTCTCTGTAGACTGTCCTAAACAATACCTCAGAGCTCTTGGATCTCAGCCCCGAGGATGGCCTATTCAGCAGAAAGTCTGGTCAGCCTGCTGAAGCTATTTTCTTCAGCGTGTCAAGGCTACAGTAATCTGCTAGAAAACAAGCTGTCCACCCCTTGTAGATTTCAGTCTCTGATTCAGCAAATGATTATAAATTATACTCAAAGCTAAAAGCCAAAGAATAGGGAAAAAAAGAACATAAAAGAAAGTTCTAGAATGTGTAGGATTTTGGCATCTCATCATTTCATGCTCTTTAAAAAGTGTTTTCATTTAAAAATACACATAGAAATTAGTCTCTTGAAAATGCTATTTCAAGATAAATAATTTACCTGTCATCATCTGAATAAAGCCATTTTTAACCCCAGGAAGAAAACATGTGTATACTTCTAATTCTTAGAAATCTAGCAATACACAATGAGATGGGAAGAAGAGAAAGCCTGCACTCCACAGACAACATCACAGGTTCAGTGACAGTCCTGTGACCGTTAAGTGCAAGGCACAGTCCTGCCTTAGAGGCAAGAGATGATGAAGGGCCAGTGAAATAGAGGGTGTAGCCCACTCTAGAGCAACTGTGCTTCCCTCCTGCTGTGGGGACTGCCAGACCAGGCCTCATCTTGATCACCAGGCATTTTCTGTCTTTCACACTCTAGGCATCAAACATGGCTTTGAGGCATATGGTAGTTTCCTCTACACACTGGCAGGGAGAGATTTTGAAAAAATAGTACATATATACGTAGACAATATTTTCTACATCAATAATTAACTACAAAAATATACTATACAAAAAAAAAATTTATGCCAGTGTGGTGGCACATGCTTGTAGTCCCAGCTACTCAGGAGGCTGATGGGGGAGGATGGCTTGATCTCAAAAGTTTGAGGCCAGCCTGGGCAACACAGCAAGACCCTATCTCTAAAAAAAAAAAATTTTTTTTAATGTATTAAAACCCATCAGTAAATTCTTAACTCTTTAAACCCTACACCGTCAAGTTTCAAGTTGTTTTTCTGGTGCCAATTTATACGGCAATGAAATTAAGTAGGACAAGGTAATTTTAAATCCCATTTTACAATTTTAAAAACTTAGTTAATATATATACAAGTGTTTTGGGAAAATTCCATATTTATATAAAGGAGTAGTTAATAGAGTTAAGCGCTTAAACATACACATAAACCTAACTTTGAGAGCAGCATCCCTTTAAGGAAAATGTTTATAAAAGTTCAAAGTGATGAACTTAGATGGTCCACTGAACAAGTCAGCCAAAAGTGCACAACTGTGCAAATAAGGTTTTATATTGACATTCAAAGCTCCCAGAGATGCTTCCTTCTTAGCTGGCCAAAGTTGTAGAGCTCTGGTACAATGCAAACACATTCTTACAGATGCTGAATTCAACAGCACAGGAGGAACCACTAGAAAGGCTGCAGAGATTAACTGAAAGGAAGGAAGGAAGCAGCTCATGGAGACTAATCTCTATAGTATGGAGAAAAACCCAAGGCATGGAAAATTCTATTACGATTAATCCAACCTTTACCTTTATATCATAACACATATCATACCAACAACACATCAGCTGCCAAAAGAAAGAAACCACAGAGAGTAATACAATCGATGATTCTGGCATCAGAAACCAGCTGCAAGACAACCAAAACCCAGCAAACCACACTTTATCATTCAGAGACTTATAAATTATATGTGATGATATAACTAAGAAGGGAAATGTGAAAGCATGTTCTAGAGCCAATGTTTAACTATGCATTGTTTTAAAAAATATCACAAACTTAAACACAATCTTTTCTTGTCCCTGAATTAAAACTATACTTTAAGTAGCCGTACATATTAGGACCATCTCATCCACTGAAACATAAACAATCCTTAGGGATGGAACAGCAGCTGCAGCTTAATTGGATGGAGCAATGCTAACAAAGAGTTTAGAACTAAGTTAAAAATAGAATAGGTACCCAATTGAGACCGCAGGGGAAAATTCTGAGAGATAGATCATGCTGATTATCCAAACAGCATAATTTGGCTTCCTCCCAAAGTCTAATACACTCTTACGCTTACCAAGAAAGGGGCGCTGCATTTTCAGTACAAATGCTTGGGACCATACTTTCACATCTCATTTGAAATATTAGACCCCTAAATTTACAATTCTCTCTTAGCGTTTGCTTGATAGAAATCGGGACATACACTATATTAATTCCTGAACGCCCAGTGTTTTTAGAAAAGTTTCAAGGATCTTTTCACTATAACTTTCATTTTAATTACCTGAACCAAAATGTTTGGGTAAAGATCCATTAAATACAATCTATATTATTAAAAAATGTAAGGGAAAAGTTTCTCAAATGTTAGAGTTAGAGGCCATCTGGTTTAACTTTGTCATATAAAACCGAGGAAATTATGGTTTAGAGAAGTTAACAACTTGCCTAACACTAAATAATATCTGGTTTTTGAAAATTTAACTCAAAATTACCAATATTTAAGCCTAGATGGCATGTATGGTCACCCTAGGGAGAAACGATGAGGAGACAGATTATAATTATAATATTTTAGCCCAGGATCATTACCTTTAGAGGACAACACTTTAAGTACCAACACTAACACTATCCCAATGCTATGTGATGTGTCTATGATTATTGTGATCTGCAATACACAAGCTTCAGAGCAGAATTTCTTACCCGAAAAATCCAGACTGAATAGACTTACTCAGTAACTGTTCTATCTTTATATAGTCCCTAAAACACCTCTCAGTGCTTTTAGAAGACAAATTATGCAGTTCTTCCTTTACAGTTTTAAATCTAGGACACCATCAAGTAACCTTAAGAGAATAAGAAAGCAGCCACAATATAGTGGTGAGAAAATGAGTCCCAGTTCCGCACCTACTAGCTCTGTGATCCTGTGATATTCAAGGTCACAAAGCTATGCGATTAAAATGAAGATATTTCTACTATCCTTTCAGAATTCTTAGGGGGATTAAATACAATTTATATATATATATGTGTGTATGTATATATATATATATATATATATATATATAGTTACTTTGTAACTATAGAGCACTGAACAAATCTATTAAGAATTTTTAAAAAAATAATCATTTTATAGTTATAATTTTAATAGTAATCATAGATAGACTATTGATAGTTATGTATGTTAACTAAAATATCATGTGCACAGCAATTTACTGAATAATATATATTACCTCACCAAGTCTGAGATGAACCCTTGAAGTTCCTGTTTCCCTTTTATTGTTTAGGCAACCAAGGCTTAGGGAGGCTGCCTTGTCTGAGGTCAACCAGTAAGGGGAACAGCTGACTCTACCCCAGAGCTTTCTGACTTCATATCCAGAGTCCTGTCAAATAACACATACCCTTATTTCATTCAATCCGTGAATAAAAGTTTCTATATTTTGAGGATGATCAAGTACTGCTTTAGCACAATATAGATGAAAAAGTTAAAATGAACATATTTAAAGATAATACTAATAACGTTTAATAATATGAAAAATGGTGTTTTCAGAAACCAAGTATTGTCAGTAAACCTTTATTTGGGTTCTTAACAAGTTACTCTCTCATTCATTTGATTCTTTTCATGTTTAAGATTTACAAAGAACAGCCCCTATTGCCAGCATGTTTCAGCTAGGCCAACAATTTTGTCTCTTAAACTGAACTCCTTGGAGGATATGCTCTGGCAAAGCTGTTATCTTTATGAGTCCAAGGCAGGTAACATCGACAACATCACGCCCATTAAAAGCTAAGTTTGGCCAGGCATAGTGGCTCATGACTAATCCCAGCACTTTGAGAGGCCAAGGCAGGTGGATAGGTTGAGCTCAGGAGTTCGAGACCAGGCTGGGCAACATGCAAAACCCCATCTCTACAAAAAATACAAAAATTAGCCAGGCTTGGTGGCTTGAACCTATGGTCCCAGCTACTTGGGAGGCTGAGGTGGGAGGACTGCTTGAGCCCAGGAGGTCAAGGCTGCAGTGAGTCAAGATCACCCCACTGCACTCCAGCCTGGGTGACAGAGTGAGACCATGTGCCAAAAAAAAAAAAAAAAAAGCAGAGTCTATGGAGTCAGGCCATCTTTCAGTTCCTATCTAATTACTAGTCATATAACCTTAGGCTGGTTACCTAACTTCCCCAGGTCTCAGTTGCCTTTTCTATAAAGGGGAAAAGACACTATCTACCTTGAAGGAGGATTAAACTTGTTTTCCTACCTGGTGAGGCAAATCAGTCTTCTTACTTTACAGTCACAGTTACGTGTCTGTTAGGCTGTCTGCTTTTGGCCAGGAGTAAGTCTAGTTGGCTTCCTCATGTTCTGGCTTGTTCTGATCTTTCATTGCTCTCCGATGGGGACCAACTTATTAGAACAAGGAAATAGGAAGGGAATCCTCTGCTTGCTTGCTACAAGTCTGGGCAGCAGACAGTGACACACCTGTAAGCTAACACTTCTAAAGACAGACATTTTCAGCACAACAGTTCCTAATCATAAACCCCTAGAATCCTTTATGTTTTCCAACCATTTAAGGACAAAGTACAATCTTTGCCATATAAACAAACTAATCATAAGTTTCTAATCATAAGCCCCTGGAATCCCTAATATTTTCCATCCATTTAAGGACAAACTGCAGTCTTTGCCATGTAAACAAACCAATAAACAAAAAGCAGAAATAAAACTGTAGAATCAAGTCTAGAAGGCTTCAATTACAAGGTCTGATAAAGAATATAAATCCAACTCATTTACTTTGACAAGAATATGATGATGGTACTCTCTTACTCCTCATCTTCAGGGAATGAAGAGATAAATGAAGCTTATATTAATTTTATATTACCAATTTTAATCACTTTTGGAAACAACAACAGCAACACAAACCCCTTGTTAAGTATTCCAAGCTCCGGGACTTATGTTTAAGTATGCAGAACAAAGCAGCAACTCAGGATCTGAAATAATGTTAGATGAGGGATCGCAATGTTGGGTGATCCTTCACTTGAAATCTGAATTCCAATGAAAATTTATTCTTAGATCCCATGTAACTTATTAACAGTTGTAGACAAATGCTCATGAGGACCCAAGGGAAAAGTGCAAGAGTCTGTTCAATTTATTGTGGAGCAAACATGATAAAAATGGCACAACAGACATCAAATTATTGAATGCTTTAAGTCTTTGTTTTGTCCTTCAAGTGCTTCAGGTCACCTAAATAAAGACTAGGATTTCTGGCAATTTTCCATGGAAGTGAAGGAAAGTCCATTTCACAAAGTAAGGGCAAAATAAAACTTAAGCAATCCTACATCCTTTCACCCCATTAGATTTTTTTGAAATATTATCGGTCTGGGAATTCCCCAAATCCAAAATCACACAGTAGGTATATGGGTAGAACAGGTGCTCACAAAACCAACATTGTCGGCCTTGGCGGGGGTCAGTTCTCATTAATGTGAGATGCGTTGCAGTCAAATTTGGCCTTGCAGATACAAAGCCCTGCCTTCTTATGTGTGTATAAACAACATGCCCAATTCTTCTTAGCTCAGGTGACCCCTCTGGAATCATCTACCTGGCAATATCTATCAGATCTGCTTGGTTCCTACTGCATAGGCTACTCCTCTGGCACTCTATCTTTGCCTGCTCTGGTCACCCTTTGCCTAAATGAACCTCTAGGTCTGACTCCTCCTGGACAGGCCCAGTCTCTTGCCAACTACATGTGACAAACTATGGAGTTGAAGACACACAACCACAAATTTGTGGTTCTCAATTCGAAGCTTATAGAATAGTTATTTCCCTTTTTAAATTCAAGTTCAGCTCTTGGGGTATTTAATGTAAAAACAATACAGAGTCAATCTGCTATTCATTCATTTGATAAACATTTTTTGAACACCTGCTATGAGCCAGGCATTGTTCCAGGGGTTGTGGATACATCAGTGAACATTAAAACAAAAATCTCTGCTCTCACAGAGCTTATGTTACAGTGTGTGTGTTTGAGGGGTAGAGGGAAAGGCAATATATAATGAATATAATAAAAAGGTAAATTATATATCTCATATGTTAGAAGATAAGTGCTATAGAAAAAATACAAGGTAGGAGTGCTGGGGGGCGGGGGGTGCTGCAATTTTAATGAGGTAAAAGAGTTACAAGAAATGACACCTATCCTTCAGTTCTTTACTACACAGCTCTTTGGTCTAGTCGGATTGCAAACTCTGTGAAGGTAGGCATGAAATGAGATTCGTCTTTGCTTTCTTGGTACCTGGAAAACAAATGGACCTTAAATAGCTGCTGGAAAAACAAATGCATGCATTCTGTTATTTTTCCAAAGCAATGCTATTTGTAGTAAATGGCATAGATTTACGAGACAGCTGGTTAGGAAATGAGTGTACTATTCGGCATTGAAAAAACAGCATACCTTGGAATCAAATCCTTTCAATTCCACTTCATGGTACTCAAAACTACAATCCTACCACTTTTTCCCTCCTAGAGTTCTGTGGGGATAAGATCCCAAGGAAAATTCATATCACTCTCCCATACTGCTCTTGCAAAGTAAAAATATCCATCAATCAACTTCAAGTGGGAGATATTCTACCTTTTTAAACCAATAGACAAGACAACAGATGAGGCATGGGATCAAGGTGGTGAAGATAGTAGTGTTAGAGGCTCTTGAGGACACAGAGAAGACAAAAATGAAACAGAATATAAAGCATAACCACCTTTATCAAGGCTCTCTATGATGCTTACTCCTGCCTCCCCTCAGCTCCTCCTCCCACTGAAGCCACAGGATAGGCATGGTTCCTTGTCCCACTCAATAATTTTTTGTCTTCTTGAAGCTTGTTACTGTGGTGGCTTTCTGAGTTGCAAATGTCAGCTGATAAGTGTACAAAATAATGTCATTATAAATCATCAGTCCTTCTTCCTGTTGTGGTACTCATACTCTGACACTGGTATGTAATCATGCACATTATTCATTGACTTTCTGAAGAAACATTAATGAAAGCCTACTGTGTGCCTGACCCAGTTTTAAGTGCTTGGGGTTCAGAAGCGAACAAGGACAAAGCCCTTGCCGCCAAGGAGATATTTTTCAAGTGGAGTTAGACAATAAATAGATAAATATATAATATAATGTCAGTTGACAATGAGTACTATGAAGGAATATAGCAAGGTAAAGGAATAGAGAGTGATGGAGGTTTGTATGTGGGTGTGCATGCCACTTTAGAGAAGGCGGATGGGTAAGCAGCCGCTAAGATGGTGCCAAGGATCCCCACCTCCTGGTATTCAGACCCTCATGTACTCGCTCTCAAGTGTGGGCTGGACTTACTGACTCATGTCTAACCAACAGAATAGAGCAGAGGCAATGGAATGCCACTTCTGAGAGTAGGGCATAAAAAGACTGGCTTCTGTCTTGGGTTCTCTCTAACTCTGTTTTCCTGGCTCTGGCAGGAAGCCAGCTGCCATGGCATGTAGCAGCCCCATATGAGTGAGCTTGTGGGCAAATCGTCTCCCATGCAATCCTCAAGAGTGCAGCCTGGATGACATCTTGACTACAGCCTTGTCAGAGACCCTGAGTCAAAATCACCCAGCTAAGCTCCACCCAGATTCTTGACCCACAGAAACTGAGATGTATTTGTTGCTTTCAGCCACTAAGTTTTGGGATAATCTATTACGCAGCAATGGACTAATACCCAGTCAAGGATGGTCTCTCTGAGCAAACGACTTTGGAAATGGACAGGCCATGTGAAGATTTAGGGGAAGAGAGGTTCGGGAAGTAAAGGGCAAGTGCCAAGGCCCTGAAATGGCAATGTTAGGCTTATATGCATAAAAGTGAGAAGGCCAGCGTGGCAGAGTCACAGGTGATGCTTTGGGTAGACAGCAGGGTGGGGGAGGCGGGCAGCTCATGCAAGCCAGCCAGGAGGGCTCCTATGGATAACATGACACAACCTGTACTATGAAGACCATAAGTTTAACTCCCACTAATTGACTTGAACAACAACCATATATATCAATAGCAATAGCTAATGTTTGAGTATTTAAGTGTACTAGAAATTGTGCTAAGTGTTTTATTTCATTTATTTCTCACAATAGCCCTATGAAGTAGGTGTTACTATCAGCCTAATTTTATAGGTATGAAACTGAGGCTCAGAAAGGTTACATCACTTGCCCACATTCATAAGATAGGAAGTGTGGAGCCAACAGGCCCTCTGACTTCAGAGTCCCTACCCTTCGCCTCTACACAACACTGCCTTGAAAGAGGTCAGCAGAGAAAGAGAAAGTCTCTCCCACCCATGAAAAAAACAAAAAACAAAAATTGTAACCCCAAGCTGTTGTTTAAGCCAACTAGTTCAATCTCTGTGTAATTAGATGCTCCAGGCTGTTGGATTTTCTCTTGGAGTCCTTTTAATAAAATTGGTGGGGGCATTATTCATAATTTTTTTGAGGTTTGACTCCAGTCAGGAAGGTAAAACTTAGAAAAGCACCAAGGTAGCTTTTGTTTTTGAGATATGCTAAGTGCCTTGCATAATGAACAGGGAATATACTGAGAAACAGTACTAGATAAAAAAAATCAGGCTGGCTATTCCAGCACTTTGGGAGCCGGAGGCGGGCGGATCACGAGGTCAGGAGTTCAAGACCAGCCTGTCCAATATGGTGAAACCCCGTCTCTACTAAAAAATACAAAAATTAGCCGGGCCTGGTGGCGGGTGCCTGTAGTCCCAGCTACACAGGAGGCTGAGGCAGAAGAATCTCTTGAACCCAGGAGGCGGAGGTTGCAGTGAGCCAAGATCGCGCCACTGCACTCCAGCCTGGGCAACAGAGTGAGACTCCATCTCAAAAATAAATAAATAAATAAATAAATAAAGTCTTTTTAATGCAGTTTTTACAATCAACTGACCTAGATTGAGCCCTGGCTACCTACCAATAGTCCAGATACCTGGCACCAAGCCAGGTACCCATCTGCTACAGAACTTGCTTTTCCTTCTGCTTAACCTTTATCTTAAAGCTTAAGGATGATTACGAATGTTCCATCAGAATCTTAATTTCTTTTTAAAAAGAGGAGAAACACAATTTGTCTGCGACTTTTCTCTATATCCTATTAATAAGAATGCTATTTTAAAGTATTTTTCTTAAAAGCTATGGGTTTAACAGACTGATAACCTTCCATACAGGGGTCCTCAAATCATATTACAGACTGAAGAAAACAAAAAAATACACAGGCTACTAAGATTTTTTGTTTCAAAGTTTTCACATGAAGGAATATAAACCAACCCAGCTTGCTCAACATCAATGATATTACAATAATAACATTAATAGCTAACATTGATTGAGAGTATGCTTTATGGTTCAGGTACTGTCCTAAGCACTTTGAATATTATCTAAATTAACACTTGTAACATCCCTATATGGTATTATTGTTATCCCAATTTGCAGAAGAAGAAACTCAGGCACAAAGAGATCAAACAGTATGTCCAAGGTCACATGGCTAACGTCTAGAGCCAGGATCAAAACCCAGGCATTGTGAGTCCAACAGCTCTAAATTCCAATGTTATACTGCCTAAGTTTGCTATGCCTATGCTTACTGAAAAGATACCCAAGATTCCACACATATCAATTTCTGTTCCTAAGGAAGGTCTATTTTGGCTGGGCACAGTGGCTCACGCCTATAATCCTAGCACTTTGGGAGGCTGAGATGGGAGGATCACTTGAGTCCAGGAGTTCAAGACCAGCCTGGGCAACATAGTGAGACTGTCTCCACACACAAAAAAACAAAAACAAACAATTAGCCAGGCATGGTGGCACATGCCTGTAGTCTCAGCTGCTCAGGAGGCTGAGGTAGGAGGACTGCTTGAGCCTGGGAGGTCAAGGCTGCAGCGAGTTGAGATTGCACCACTGCATTCCAGCCTTGGTAACAGTGCGACTGTCTCAAAAGAAGAATAAAAAAGTTCAATTAAAATAAGCCCCTCCAATATACATACATGTATCAGCCAATCGAAAACAACTCCAATATCCTACATATCCTCCTTCCCACAGAGTAGTCCAATATTCTTTACTATAATTGTTAGGTAAATACATATACAGATTAAAAACAGATGATATAAATTTAGGCACTAATAAAAGTCACAAACACAAGGCTGAAATATACAATTTATTCCTCTAGAAAGGTTCATAATTTTTCTTTCATTGCTGAATAATCTAAGCTCAGGTTTTTAAAAAAATTCTGGGCTCATTCTCTTTTATCCTTGGTCTCTCTCTTCTTGTATTTCTCTGCTCAAATGTTACCTCCTCAGAAAGGCCTTCCTTAACTATTCAGTGTTTTCTCCTTGTCATCATTAGTTTACTACCTGAAATTAAATGTTTGCATGTTTCTTTATTGTCTAACTCTGCCATCAGAAAATAAACTGCATGTGGGCCAACTTGTTCACTGCCGTATCCTGGCCCCTAAACTGTGCCTCCGTATAGTATGTGCTCAATATTTACAGAGCCAATTAATGAAAACATTCCCTGTAAAGCAAGCAGCTTGGTGAGTGCAGACCGTAAGAGCCAGGCTGTTCACTGCCCTGATCGCCTCTTCTTAACTCTCAATTTTCACATCTGTAGCCCTGGATTCATATCCTTGTAAAATACATGAATTCTTCTGATATGGGTTGGGGAAGGAGGTAAGGGTGGTTGCACCCACTAACTCCCGTTAGTAAGGACAGGCTGGAGAAAAGAAATGATAAATCCTGCCTTACTGGTTTTTGGTTGTGAGGGAATGGTAGGATAAACAAAGGGGTAAATGAACCTGGATATGGGGCCTTTGGGGTCATCTACAACTCTTCTATTACCCCTCTATAGAATCTGTCTCCAAGTTACTTTTTTTGTTTAAGCATTTTTTTTTTGTATCCATCCTTTTATCTCCTCTCTTACAAGTATGCCCTCCTTACATTATACCTGGACTATTACAAATGTCCCCAGTTCACTGCTGTCTTCCAGTTTCCTTCCACTCACCCATTCTGCACACAGGCATGGGACAAAAAAAAAAAAAAAAAAAAAAACTAAAACTTTACGGCAGTTCTAGCTCAAGAATCTTTAACAGCTCTCTTACACTGGAAAAAAGGAAACCATTTATTCCTGTTATTAATCATAAGCCGCCAATTCTTATTTGCCATCTTCACTGGCCAACAGAATGAGTGCTCATGAAAGAATAGATGTTTCAGCAGTGCCTTTCACCCATCCCATTCTGAATTCATCACATAATACTCCACACTGCACATTCGGGCACTTCATTGTCAATACAATTGGTTTTCTTTTTCATGTGTACAGCTCTTGTCTGCCTTCTCCAAAACCACAGAAGGGTTTTCAGGACAGACTCATAGTCTCTTATTTCCACCATTTCTCAGGACTGTGCTACTATTAGGTACATACTTACTGTATAGTTAAATAATTAGAGATCTAATAATCCAAGTTTGAGAAGAATTTCATCATGAGAAAAAAAAAAAAACCAGACCCACGCAGTAACTGTACCAGGATAGTTTATAAAGCAGGAAAAGAAAATAGCAACATTAAGAATTTGAGCAAGAAAAGGCTGGGTTTGGGGGTCTTAATAAGTACTTGAAAGCAGATGGGTAGATTTGGGTAAACTTCCTAAGAGACCAGTTTAAAGGTTGTTACAAAGAATGACTCTAAATTACGCTAACCAAAAAGAAGACTTTTGTCTAGTGATCTGGAGACCATCTAAAATCTGAATAACGTGTTTAAGGGAAACTAAAAGAAGAGTGGGGAGTGGTAGGCCACGGAACTTGATATGCTTTCCTATCTCTTGAGATGCAAGACACTCTTTGGGTCAGTACTGAAGAGACCACTTTGTAGACACCTTTCCATCTCTCGAGATTCTGTGTGAACCTGTGCATTATGCCAACTAATTAGAGTACTTAGATGTTACAGCTATATGCAATTTGTAAATAATTAGCTTGTAAAGTACTTTGAAAATAGAAAGTACCAGCAAGTACTCAGAATTACTACATGTTAAAAGCCTTTGGTATATATTTAATAATCAGCTTTTTAAAAGTCACAGTACTTTACAGCTGAAGAGAATTTCTGATCTTGAATCACTGGCATGAGTTTATTTAGAATGAAATGCTATTGGAGTGCAAATCAGATGCGGATTAACTTTTCACAGGATGTATAAGATTCACATTCATCTCCCTAGTCCTTTTTGGACCAACTCAGCTTTCCCTCAGGTCCCTACAGACTTTATGCAGATTCCTTTCACATATACAAGACTCTTGGTTAACCTGCCTGCCCCCTTCTCAGTTTCTTCCCTCCACCCAACTGCCTTCTGCAGGTGTTTTGTATGAACCCGTGAGTTTATGGTCACCCTAAAGACATTCAAGACTGCATTCTACGTGATCAGTCTAAATTCTTTTAGGTGCAATGAAGTTGTGATGTGGTGAGCGGTCGCCTCTGGCTGTGTTTCCCACTGTACTTCATCTACTATCATCAGTCTGTACCTTGATGTCCACTAATTAAACTTTGTTTTCATCTCCTGACAGGCCTTGGTTTAGAGGAATTAAACTCCAGGTAAGTAATTCTGTTTACTATCCCCACAGGCAAAGTTTTGGGAGAGGAAAAAAGTTTTTAATCCTTTTCCACATCCTTTTTGAGCTTCCTTTTATCTTCAAAGGCTAATGCCCTTAAACAAACATTGACTTTCCAGAATTTCTTACTGTCACCATAAGAGAATATGCTGTATCCTTGCCCTATGACATCCCTGCTCCCGCCTAAACTCACCTCTTCCAATGTCTTCATGTGATTCTTTTATTGGAAAACCAAACTAAGCCATTCCTCTGTATAATGAGTGGTAATGTTTACTCTTCTTAGGCAGTAAACTAATGCTGTTACTGCCTAGTGACCTCCACGTTAACTCCAGGTGACATTTTTCTATTCCCTATTTGAAACCCTTGGCTTCCACACCCTATTTTTGCACTTTCCTACCATTACATTGACCCAAACTTACAAATACTCTTATCTTTAACTCTTCTTTGACCCAAACTTTAAATACTGAAGTTGCCTAGGGCTTTGTTCTGGGCCCACTTCTTTGTCACCCTCTATTTTTTTTTTTTTAATCAATTTATGTCATCTTTATGGCAAGGACTCATAAAATTTGTCTCCAGCTTAGATCTCTTCCACGATCTCCAACTCACATAGCCACTGCTTACAATGTTCACAAATGAAACTTTTGACTCCTATCATCTTTTCCACCTCCCAATCTATTTTCCATTTTAAGCTTCCCAATTTCAGTAATTGGCCCCAAAGCTAGGCAGTAGTCATCTTTGATTCTTCATCTTCCACAGTTCCTGAAGTGTACCAATTCTGTGCCAATTCAATTCTAAAATATACCTCAAACCTACCTTCTCTTCTCCATCACTAGCTTCTACCCTTCCAGGCCACTTCAACTCTTTATAGTGTCTCTCTCTGCTTCTACTCCAGCCTCCCTATAATTCATCTCCCCCCACTCTGTAATCAAAGTAAAGAAGACGTCATTCCCACTGAACCTAAAATCCAAAATCCCTACTACCCCAACTCTTCCTCCCATGGACTCCAGAGGACAGGCCCTTCTCCTTGTCTACTGTGCTACAAAAACATGCAAATCTTTGTTCAATATCTTCAGTTCCTCATGCCACCAGTTTTCTGCTTTAGGACCTTTGCACATGCTATACCCCCAGAATGCATTTTCTCTCCTCTTTGCACAGCCAGCTCTCTCCCTTCCTGTAATCTCTAGAACACCTTTCCTAACTTCCGTGCCTAAAGTAGATTCCTTTCTTATGTTTTCTATCTTGACCCTACATTTGCTGCTTTTACAGAATTACAAGTTTTTAATTTTATATATTTTTTTGAGACAAGGTCTCCCTCTGTCACCCAGGCTGGAGTGCAATGGTGTGATCATGGCTCATTGCAGCCTCAACCTCCTAGGTTCAAGATATCCTCTCGCCTCAGCTTCCCAAGCAGCTGGGACTACAGGCATGTGTCACCATGCCTGGCTACCTTTTTTATTTTTTTGTAGAGACAGGGACTCCCCATGTTGCCCAGGCTTGTCTCAAACTCCTGGGCTCAAGTGATCCTCCCACCTTGGCTTCCCAGGTGTGAGCCACCATGCCGAGCCTCACAATTTTTTTTTAAGGGGCTCTTATAACACATGCTTTATGAGAACAGGACTTACTCTGTCTCATCCACTATAGCTATATATCTATCCCCAAGGCCTGGAACATACTAGTGCTCAAAAATATGGATATCTCTTTAAAGAATTTGGCTGAGTGTAGGAAATGTAGGCTCTATGGCACGCTAGTGTAAGAGGTCAGGTTTGAGTGACTGAAAAGCTGCATGCCATAACTACTTACATGAATTCATAGAGTATTTACTAAGTGTCCACTACCTGTCAGGTGTTCCAGGTACCAGAATCATGTTGACCTCCAAGTTGGTTTAGTGGGTAAACAAGATAAGCACTACCAATAGCATAGTAAATGCCAAGGCCAGGAAACACAGGGTGTAATGAAAGCACAAAGAAGTACCCAAACTAGGCTGAGAGGCCTGACACATAAGCTTTGACTTAAGAGTACGGCAGGAGTAAGACTGGCCCAGGAAGAGGGGATAGATAAACAAGGGCCCAAAGCACAGAGCACTGGCGGGTGGGATATGTGTTTTCCAAAACAGTCATTTCCCCTATATGGAATTTTCCTTCTCCTTGGCTTTACCTTCTCTCAAATAGGGCTTCTTCTACATTACCCTAGGCTATACCTACTTAAGGACTGAAAATGTTTTCTAGTCATCCCAATTTTCTCCTTCTGTAATATAATCAAAACATCTTACCTTACTTAGATCATGACTAAGTATATCCCAAAATTCAAGCAGTAAACTGGTATCTTTCCTGTAAATGCCTCAAAGATGGAGCCTTACTCCCTAAAACTCTCATGTAAAACCAGAATTCTCACACTTCTTCCAAATTATTCCCACCCTTGCCAAGTCTACCAATCACAGCAAATGATGCAATTCTTTAAAAGCCAAAAAGTTTAGCAAGAAGCCAAGTCCCCACCCCAATCTTCTTTCCTTCTGTTTTTAAACAACAATCTAACTGGGGTCATGGTTTTTGTCTCTTCCCTTACCCCCACCACTCCAACTACAGACATGGATATATACTTCTTTTAATTCCCATGATCACAGTTCTTGTCTAGGCCTCTGATATTCTCAGTTTCCTCATTTTCAATGCTGGCTTAATTAGAAAAAAAGTCATCCTCAAGGACCATTTGGTTGCATGGAACAGAAACCAGTCAAACTAGTTTAAATAAAAGAGGGAATTTATTAGAAGAATACAGAGGTTCTTGCAGAGATTCCAACAGCTGCAAGGGGTCAACAGCTAGAATCACGCCTTTCTGAAGGACAGAGTATGCTGTAACCACAAACTTCTAATTCTGGGTTCTGCACCATCAGGAAGAGAATATCCTACAGGACAGTTCTCCTTGTATACTGCATAAAGGACTAGAATGTGGATTCATTTCTGCTTGCTTTTTGATCCTTATAGTCCTTTATGCTGGCCTCAAACTTGTCAAGCACATGTTGGCAGACATTCATGAGCTCATTCAGGCCTCTCTGAAATGGCTCAACAGCTGGAAGGGTACCTCGAGTCTGAATG
Organism: Homo sapiens; assembly: GCF_000001405.40. Classification (NCBI taxonomy): domain Eukaryota; kingdom Metazoa; phylum Chordata; class Mammalia; order Primates; family Hominidae; genus Homo; species Homo sapiens. The sequence continues at coordinate 27,623,096 of NC_000013.11, read as the reverse complement.
CGTAAATTAATTTTGCTCTCTGAAGGATGGGTCGTAGTGTAACCACAAAATTCCACTTCCGGGTTCTTCATGATCATGTAACGTAGAGAATTTCCTAGGGTATGGTCTTCCTCGTGCAATACAAATGTCACACAGTGTCTATCTGTTCCAGCTGCCTGGACCATTTCCAGGGCTGTCTTCCTCTCGCCTTCAGCCATTGAGGTCTTCAATCCAGATATTTTTCTACACACATATTTTTTATAAAAATGAGATCATACTGAATATTGTTTTGTAACTAGCTTTTTCTCATTTACTATATCACATTGCAACACATTATTATTAATCTACTCCAGCTACACAGAATTATTCGCCTCTCATTTTCCTGCCTCCACAAACTCTATCAATAAATATTTAATTTATTGCCTCCAGTTTTTCCCTGCTCCATTTGACCATCCACACTGGCCACAAGGGGAGTTTTCTTAGAAAAACACAAACTTAAGTGTTTGCAAAAATATTTTTTGGTAGAGTCACAAGCAAGGGATAGGATTAGAATAGGACTGGTCCTGCTAGAGGATGAAGAGAGGGTTGAAAGGCATAGAAATCCCGATTGCTCTAGTATAAAAATAGAGGATACAGATGATCAATGTGCAGGCCCAACTACGGCTTCCATTTTGCAAGAGAAGGAAACTAGGAGAATGGAAGGTTCAGGAGTCAAGCAGCAGGGAGAAAAAGAGCTCAGCGCACAGAGTGGCTTTAGGAGCAGTCTGCACATAGAAAGAAGGTGAGCCGTAGTTACAGGGACAGAGGCACGAGTACCGTCCTCAGGAGCAGAGGCCCGGGGCGTGATTTTTACACACTGCTGTTGTAACGGGGGTGGGCAGTTCGGATACTTAACTCTGGTCTCCCAACTTGTCTTCCCTCCTTGATAGCTAGTGTACCTCTCAGCCTCTCAACTGAAACACATTCATGTCTCCTCCCCACTTCTCTCTCCATGCTTCTTCTCTGCGCCCCGAGTCAGGCCCCGGCTGCCAGGCCAGGCAGCGTGCCCCTCGGCCACCCGCTCCCCTTGGGCGCGGCCCGCTCCGCCCGCCTCCTCCTCGGCCGTTACCTCTCCAGCTCCTGATCCTCTTCCATCGCTGGGGCGGTTTCTGGATCCTCAGGTGGTGCTGGCGGATCGGGGGCTCTGTCCCATAGCGCGAGGCGCGGAGGCGAAGCAGGAAGCAAGGACCGACCGACGGAAGGCGCGGAGGACGGAAGGAGGGAGGAGGAGCCGCAGCGGCGCGGCAGGGCCCAGCCGCGGGGCGGGGCATGAGGCTCCACCCCCAGCCCCCGCCCCGACGCGGGGTGAGCGGTGGCTCGCGGCCCCGCGGCTCACCTGGGCGACCACGCGAGGCCACTCGCGGCGGGAGGGGCAGGGGGCGGGGCCAGCGCCGCCTTACCCCGAGGCCCAGACAGGCCTGCGGGCGCCCCGGCTCAACTCTGGTACCTTTCCCCAGGTGATGGCGAAGGGGCGCGGCCTTACCTGCCGCCCCCAAATCACTTCCCTTCCCAGTGGCAAGTCCGAAAGCGGCCCGACTTCCCAACTGGGGCGGTGTTGACCCAGGATGGCCCTTCCTGGGACCCCGGCCCTCCCGGGCCTTTTGTGGGACGACAGGCTTAAACTGTAGTCGGTCAACACACCTTGAAGAGGGAGGGGGGTCACGTGCGAGATGAGTCACCACAGAATACGAAGGTTGAAGGCGGTATTTGTTTCACCGGGGAGCTTGCAGTTGCATTTTCAACTGGGTCAAAATAGGGCAAGAAAGAAATGTCTCTTTTGGGGGAGTGAGAGTTTGGGAGAAAACTGTTTCCCACCTTATCCTTTCCGTCCTAGGATTCCTTCTACCCCCAGAGCGCGTCCTCTCCGGCTGTAGACTTCCTTTTCCCTTTCTCCCCAGTGGCTCCTCAAACCTCCTCACCTGCGGAACCCGCCCTCACCTTTGTTCCCAGGCGCCCAGCCCCCGCCTCGGCAACCTTTCGCCGCCCAGGCTCGCTCTCCATCCAGCTCCCTGCGTCCCGGCCTTCGCTGTGCTCCCTCAGGTGCGCTTCCTCTCGAATCGGCCCTTCTTGTCCCCTCGCCGCTGGCCCCGACCCTGCCCGACTCCAGCTGTCCAGCGCAACTACGTTTCTGCTTCCCTGCGCCACCTGTTCTCCTGGCCTCCCCCCACCCCGCCCCGCGATTCCTCTGGATGTTCACTCCTTCCCCAGCTGTGCCACTCTTGGCGGCGGCCGGGGGTGCGCGCAGACACCTAGCCAGCGGGGCTTCCGCAGGGGAATCAGGCGGGCGGCGGGGACAGCCCGGGGCGAGTGGGGGAGGCGGGCGGCGAGGGCGGAGTGGTCTCACTCTAACCCGGGAGTGACGGGTCCCTTCTGGCCCGCCTCCCGAGCTCTCGGATAGGTGGAGCCGCCCTCTGGTCCGCCCACCTCCCGCCCTGTGCTACCTCCGATTGGCCCGGGTGCGGGTTGGGCCGCTCGGCCTTGGCGCTGCCCCCGGGAAGGCAGCAGGGGCGGTTGAGAAGTGAAGTCTTGGCCGGAGTTTGCTTTTTGCCAGGAAATCCGCGGCGGCGGCGGCGGCGGCGGCGATTCCTGGCGGAGCGGAGCCGGGCAGGCTCTCCGCTCCCTCAGCGGGCCGCGGAGAGCGGGAGCTGGTGCCGAGCAGCGGCGCCAGGAGCCCGTGCGCGGCCCGGGCAGCCGCGCTTTCCCAGTGAGTAACTTTGCCCTGCCCGCCTCGCTGCGCGCCCTCTCGCTGGCTGCGGGCAGCCGCCTCAGGTGCGGGCGTCAGCTGGGTGTGGGTCAGCGCCGCGCCCCGGGAGGCGGCCGGAGCGGCGCCACAGCTCGCCCCGGAGCCTTGGTCCTTCGCGGCTGTCTTCGCTCGCCCGGGCTGCGGGGCTGGCGTGGACTCGGGTGTGGGTCTGGTCCAGGAGGGAGAGTCGGCGCCCGGTGCCCGCCGCCTGCAGGCGCCCGGGAGGCGGGCGGCCTCCGGCTGTTAGCGTTTGCTGGTTCCGGCCACCGTGGTGCAGAGCTTGGCGTCGTTTGCTTCTTAAGGGAAGGGAGAGGTGGGGTGAGTGTTTAAATTTCCTCTGTGTGTGTGTGGTGTCGGCAATGAGAGTGGCACTAGCTGCCTTTATCGGGTTTTGTTCTCTGGAAAGGGATGGGGAGAGATCATTCCCTCCGCCCCAGCCTGTTGCCTGTGAATTCTCACCTTTCTCTTTAGGCTGGAGAGGGTGGGAGAGAGATTTGACATCTTCCAGGGGGTAATTTAAAAATATGAATCTTGATTTGGAAGCAGTTGCACACAAAGCATCATTCAGGAAATACATCACTCGCTTTTCAAAGCTGTATGCCACGTTTTAAACAAGGACTTTTGACTCATGTAGTGTTTCTTTTAGTATTTCAGTTTACGTTAAGTTTATGAATCCAGACGTTCGTTTGTACCAGGAGCTAAAGTACACTTATGCATGGGCTTTGCTGTGTATATTATGCTTTTTAAAATCACAGAAATCAGAAACAAAGTTGAGTGAAAAGCGGTGGCGGTGCAGGAGGAGGAACACTTGTGAGCTCCAGCTTATTGGAACTGCCTTTAAGAATTTCACATTCTTGCGGCAATAGTACTTACTTGTAAATTGGCCTTCTTCCCAGGACAGGTTTTGATATTTCTTTTGCATGTACTTCGATGCAGCACTAATGAAGTTGGATCTCAGTAGATCAATTTTATTTACTTTGCTAGATTTGATTCCCACCCCCACACCTCTTTAGAAAATGGACTTTGGCAGGTAAAGAAGGAAGCGGGAATCTGGTATCCTTTTTGGCTTGTCAAAGCTTTGTTGAGCCATGAATAACAAAGTTTTGGCTTTTTAGCTTGTCCGAGTCCCACATGTGAGTTTTCCCATGGGGTAAAAGTAGGCCAAATGAGAACCAAAGTAGAATAACATCACTTTTAATTCGGCCCACTTGTGTGTTACATTCTCCATATATCTTGTTTCTCTCATCAACTTTGAAATTTTTTCATTATTTATTCATTTAGCCACTGATAAAGTACCTACTGCATGCCAGCCATTGATGGCGGGGGTTGCTTCTTGCCCAGTTTTCTCATTTGGAAACTGATCCATGCCTTTATCCCACTAGTTACCCTGAAGTAATTTGAACTTAGGGAGCATTTCTGCCTGGAGACCTGTAAGAATAGGTGTTACGTAGGCACTTAGTCTTCAGATTGGTTTGGGATTTCGTACATTGTAGGCACGTAGCACGCAGGCCACTTAAAAATAAATGTATGTGTCTTTGGGCTGTTGTATTACGAGCTTTGCATATGGGCTTGTCTGGCCGAAGGACCCAGTGTCCGAGGTGGAGGTAGTAGTCAGGGACATGTATTATTCATTTCAGAACACTTGGCACCTTTTCTTGCTTACATTGGGCACTAAAATATTTACTGAATTGACTTGAACAGAAAAATGAAGGATTTTTTATACCAGATTAAGAAATTTGGACTTTATCCAGTCAGTGATACTGAGCTGCTAATTTTAAGCAGGAGAATGTCATGATAACGGGTAAGCATTCCAGAAAGATATCTGCAGCGTCTGGAGGATGGTGGGCTTCCAGATGGGCGATATGGAGACTAAGTTGGAGGCTGTTCTAATGGAGGGGTTAAGTGCTCAGGGATTCTCTATTCAGATTACCTGGGGTGGAATCAGGCTCTGTCATACACTGAAACCTCTTTGTTCCTTAGGTTTGTCATCTCAGAGTTTGGGGGATAGAACTTGAAAAAACATGTCTATTACTTAGAATAGTGATTGCCAGATAGTAAGGACTTAGTAAATGCTAGTGTGCTGGCAGTGGAAGGAGAAATGACGTGGTGTTTAAGAGGTATGACTAGGAGGCTGGACTAGGTAAGTGACTGGGTAGGCTTAAGGAGGGAAGGATGAATCCTGGGTTGTTTGACTTCAGGCATTGATTGACATGTACTGGGTAAGCTGGCTGTGAAATTAAAACGGGTCAAATTCTAATTCTATTACTTACCCTTAGAATAACTATCCTGACAGAACTTTGATTTCCTAACATTTGGGAAATGATTGTCGTACCTGTTGAGTAGGGTTTGAGGAATTATGCATGTAATGCCTTTGGCAGGGTACCTAGCACATTCCAAGTGCTCAGTAAATATTAGTTGTTCCTTTAGATGATGACATTAATGAGCTAGTGGAATGTTGGAGGATATGAGAAGGAGCAGTTAAAAACAATTGATGGTAGAGGTGTAGAAGGGAAGATAAGTTCAGTTTTGGACTAATCTAAGGAGGTGCTAAATGGATGGTTGAGAGATCCATGATGCAGTTGTTGGATAGTTGTGTCTCACAGGAGCTAGGAAAGAATAGAAAAGAAAAAGAGTTCACAGAAAGGCTTTATGAGTATGGTAAGCTTTATGAGAGATTTAGAGGAAGGGGAGGGTGAAGGGGTTCACAGTGGAGCGATATCAGAAGTGTTGACATTGAATATTAGGCATTTCTATCCTTAAAATATATTTTGGCCACCATCAAAGAAAGGAGGACTCCAGGCTCTTGTAATCTGGTTGGCTCTTTGGCCTTCTTCCCCTCTTCTTTCTTTCCTTTACAATTGCCACCCGATATCTTTAAATTGTATTATGAGGAACTATTTAACTTTCCTTCCTGCTTACAGGGCTAGAGTTCACAGGCCCACCTTCCTCTATCCAAATGCATCTAGGTTTTTAAAAAAGAATCACAGGTCTCATTTCATAGGTTCTCCTCTATTTAGGAAGCAGTGTTGTTTGAAAAAGTAATACATATGTATCTTGCATGTAGAATTAGAAGACTGGGGCAGGCCTACCTAAATTGACCCTGTAGGAGGGCCTGAGAGTCTTACAAAAGACATCCCTTTTAGCTTTCCTGGCACCTGTTTCTTTTCCTCAGAAAATACAAAGCAGTAGGAAAATCTGTGGTTAATAAGTTATTTTGTTTGGTTGGATTCAGAAAAGGTGGCTATTTTGTGTATTAGCCTTCTAAGAAGTTATTAAGAGGAATTTTTTGGCCAGGTGCAGTGACTCACGCTTATAATTCTAGCACTTTGGGAGGCTGAGGCGGGCGATCACGAGGTCAGGAGTTCAAGACCAGCCTGGCCAACACAGTGAAACCCTGTCTCTACTAAAAATACGAAAATTAGCTGGGCGTGGTGGCAGGTGCCTGTAATCCCAGCTACTCAGGAGGCTGAGGCAGGAGAAATCGCTTGAACCCGGGAGCTAGAGGTTTCAGTGAGCTGAGATTGCGCCACTGCGCTCCAGCCTGGGTGATAGAGCTAGACTCCATCTCAAAAAAGGAATTTTTTAACAAGCAAGTGCTCATGACATTACAATAATAAATTGTCCTCTAGTTAGTATGCTTTTAAAGAAGCAGGTGTTGTAGGTTCTATCCTTTAGAATGTGTGCTTCCTAGAGCTGGGATCCTATCTATTTTGCTAACTGCAGAATCCCTAAGTACTTAAACAAATATTAATGTATTGTAAACCAAAAATAAAATTCTAAGCTTCCCCCTCTCCCCAGCCATCTGAATGGACTTCCTCCTCATCCAGGGGTCTTTTAAAATTTAACCTGAGAGACAGTTTCAGGCCATGAGTGGGAAGTGGAGGTCGGACATGACTTGTTATACCTCTCTGACATTAACATTAACATAGACTTTAAGTCCGATAAGAAACGTTTTACTACCACCTATCGAAGCCTACTACCTGAAGGCTTCCTCTGAAAGTAAGAACTTGGGTCTCCACAATCCTTTGTCTTAACCCAGACATTCCTTTCTGTTGATCCCAGGGCTTTAGACAAACTCAACCGACTGTCAACCAGAAAATGTTTAAATTTACCTATGGCTTGGAATGGCACTCCCTGCTACCCCCCCCAACCCCCCACCCCACCCCCGACCCCCTGCAATTGTCCCACCTTTCTGGACCAAACCAATGTATTTCTTAAAATTTTTTGATTGATGTCTCATGCCTCCCTAAAATGTATAAAACCAAGCTGCACCCCTACCATCTTGGGCACATGTTCTTAGGACCTCCTGAAGGCTGTGTCATGGGCCATGGTCACTCAGATTTGGCTCACGATAAATCTCTTCAAATATGTTGCAGAGTTTGACTCTTTTTGTTGACAGCATGCATTAATGAACAAATTGGATCCAAATTGGCTTTGATCTGGCTTGGCTCACAGACTTCTCCAAATCTTTGAAACAGTCATTGGTCAGAGGGAAAGCAAAAGAGAATTGATCCAGTGAGGAAGCTTGAACTGTTCCCTGTTCTTATAGGAATATAGAAGAACTGCAACATTGATGGCTTATGATTAAGCTTCTGTGATGTTGTGAAATATATATATGGTCTTTATCCCTGTTTCCTGGCATACAACTCTCAAATTCCTTGGAATCTGCAAAGCGCTAAGTGTCTTTGTATGCTGATGAGTTGACTGAACAGCTGGCAGCCCCTAGGTAGCTTCAGGATGGGCCCTGGGCACTGGAAAGGCTGGATTAGAGGGTTAGGACTGTCAGCCCCACCACCACCCTCCAGGGAGGGCAGAGGAGCTGAAGGGTAAGCTGATCACCAATGGCCAATGATTTAACCAACCATACCTATGTTATGAAGTCTTCATAAAAGGCCCAAGAGGACAGGGTTCAGAGAGCTTCTGGACAGCTGATCACATGGAGGTTCCTGGAGGGTAACACGCCCCAGAGAGGGCATGGACGCTCCGCACCCCTTCCCCGTACCTCGCCCTGTGCATCTCTTCATCTATATCCTTTGTAATATCTTTTATAATAAACTGGTAAACCTAAGTAAGTGTATCCCTGAGTTCTGTGAGCTGCTCTAGCAAGTTAATTGAACCCAAAGAGGGGTTATGGGAACCCCAAATTGAGGCCAGTCAGTTAGAATTTTCTGAGGCCTGCACTTGCGACTGGTGTCTGGTGGAGAGGGGAGCGGTCTTGGAGACTGAGCCCTCAGCTTTGGGATCTGGGGTTATCTCCAGGTCAGAATTGAATTGAACTAGAGGACACTCAGCTGGTGTCCACTGCTTTGTGTACTGGGGTGTCGGGGGGAGCCCACATTTGGACATAGAAGTATTCTGTGTTGATGACTGTTGTGTTGAATAAGAGAATAGAAAAAAACACTCCTGAGTGTGTTTTTATTTCCTCTCAGTTTCCAAGGCTCTGTTGTCTATCACTTTGTTTTATAGATAAAAGTAAGGTAAGTCTGGGAAATATTTATACCTGCCACCCCCTTCCCCGTTGGGATTTCGGCTACTAATCTTAAAGACTTAATCGTTTATGAGAACCCTTATCATTTAGACCAATAAATAATTACTGAACCCATAAATTGGAGACCTTTACTTAAATCTTATTTCAGTTTTGTGACTTTTTCTTCTTTAGCTGCCCAATGGGTTCTTCCTGCCTACTGCCCAGATAGAGCCAATTTATCAAGGCAGGGAATTGCAATAGAGAAAGAGTTTTTACACACATAGATCTTGCGGAACAGAAGACTGGAATTTTATTATTACCCAGATCAGCCTACCTGAGCATTTGGGGGCTATTTTCAAAGGTAGTCTGGGGGAAGGGGTGGGAGTGGCTAGGCAATGGGTGCTTGCTGCTGATTGGTTGGGGGCACAATCATGGGGGTGTGGGAAATGGTACTCCTATGCTCTGAGTGGCTTCTGGGTGAGGCCACAGGAGTGGTCAGTGGGTCCAACCAAAAAACCTGAACAGATATCTCAAAAGGCCAATCTTAGTTTCTCCAGTAGTGATGTTATCTGAGGGAGTAATTGGGCAAGTTGCATATCCTGTGACCTCTGGAATAGTGGCTGGCAATTGTTTATGTCTATACCTTAGCTGAATTCAGGTTCCTCTGTTGCCTAGCTTCGTGGTCCCTCATTAGCTTTACAAAGGTGGTTGAATTTTGGGGAAGAGCTGTTACCATTTAAACTATAAACTAAATTTCTCCCAAAATTAGCTTGGTTTAAGCCCAGGAATAATTAAGGGCAGCTTGAAAGCTAAAGGCAAGAAGAGAATTGGCTAAAATCTCCCCACTGCTATGTTTTCACTGATATAATTTTTGCAAAGGCAGTTTTACTTCTATCTGATTTTTAACATTTGAACTTTGACTTCAGTTTAGTTGTATTTAACAAGTACCTAAGAAGTGCTGGGCTTGGGTGGCACACAAAAGATTGTCTCTGCCCTTGTAGTATTTAAAATCTTAAAAGACATTCATTCGAGTAGTTAATCATTTGCAGCCGGGTGACCTTTGCTTCGCCTGTATTTTTATTTTTTTATTTTTATTTTTTTGAGACTGCGTCTCGCTCTGTCACCCAGGCTGGAGTGCAGTGGCACAGTCTCGGCTCATGGCAACCTCTACCTCCCAGGTTCAAGTGATTCTCCTGCCTCAGCCTCCCCAATAGCTGGGATTACAAGCACCCGCCACCACACCCAGATAATTTTTGTATTTTTAGTAGAGATGGTGTTTCATCATGTTGGCCTGGTGTCGAACTCCTTACCTCAGGTGATTTGCGTGTCTTGGCCTCCCAGAGTGCTGGGATTACAGGCATGAGCCACCACGCCCGGCCTGCTTCCACTGTGTCTTAACATTCATTTGGCATCTTGTCGTTTCCCTAAATTTTCCATGTTAGAAATCTTAAAACTTACATATCCTGTAGTTGGACCTCCGTCTCTTCTCCTATCTTTGCAGCTCTCTCAATACCCACACTTTCTATTAGAGTGCCCCCTCCCCCTCACAGCAACAGTGTGCCAGTCCTTCTGTTCCACCTCACCCTCCCCTCCCTGCTGCAGGGACACCTTTTGGCCTTGCAGAGCGTCTCTATCCAGTTTGGAAGCCCATGGTTAAACACCTGGAATATGCTTCCCACTGGCACCTTTGCCTCCCTTGGACTTGTCTTTTGTGTTGTACCTGCCAGATAACGCCCCTGTTCAGATTAACTCTGCTTCTGTCTCCACATTGCTTTGGTATCACCAATTAAATGGCTGGTCCTCAATGCAGGGAAATGTCCCTCAACCCCCTACCCCCATACCCTTCAGTCAATTTGTAAACGTTTGTTTAGCTCCTACTGAGTGCTCTGACACTGAGCCAAGGATGCTGTGGTATCCTCATGGAGTTTACAATCTAGAGGCGATTCAAGATAATATTCTGCATATATTGGGTTAAATAAAATATTAAAAATAATTCGACCAGGCATGGTGGCTCACTTTGGGTGGCCAAGGCAGCAGAATCACTCAAGCTTAGGATTTTGAGCCTAGCCTGGGCAACATGGCGAAACCTGTCTCTATAAAAAATCAGCTGGGTGTGGTGTCATATGCCTGTGACCCCAGCTACTGGGGAGGCTAAGGTGGGAGGATCACCTGAGCCCAGGAGGTTGAGGCTGCAGTGAGCTGTGATTGTGCCACTGCACTCCAGCCTGGGCAACAAGAGTGAGACTCTGTCTCAAAATGATAATAATTCATTCACTTGTTTCTTTTCGTTTTTTAAACATAGCTACTGGTACGTTTGAAATGACACATGTGGCTCAAGTGATCTTTCTGTTGGATGATGCTGGCATAGGGTGTTTGGGTTATGAGAAGGGAAACTGCCCTAGTCTCTGCAAAGTGGGGTATCACTGAAGACTTCCTGAAGAAGTTGTCCTTAAACAGATATCTGGCTGAGTAGGTGTTACACAGGTAAACCCTCAGAGGAGGCAGTCAGAGGTGGATGGCACTTTGAGGGAGGGGGAGGAGGTGGATGAGAGAGAGCTGGGACCATGGCAGGGGCTGAGGCCAGGGAGGTAGGCCATGGCCTGATCATATGGGTCTTGTTAGCCCCAATGAGGGTTTTGTTCTTCATCACTCATGATTTAGTCCAAAACTTCATCATTACAAACCCTTTTATCCAACTCCACCTCTTCTATATAGTCTGCAGATAATCTGGTTATTTCATGGAGGAAATGAGATGATCTGCTGTGATTTCTCTAGGACTTTTCTGTCTCTCCCTTTCCGAACTTTACCTACTTAAGTCTCAGATCTGTTTTTCCAAATGTGCCTGTTATCTCTTCAAGTCTCCTTCAGGAGCGGCTTTATCAATTAACTCCCTTCTTTTCTATGTTTAATCTCTTTCTCCCTGCTTTCTTTTTCACACCAGCCTATAAATATGCTCCAATCTTTAACCTTGTAAAACAAACACAGTTCCATTGACCCCACATTCTTCTCTAATTATTGTTCTTAAAGCATAACATTTTTTAAATTCCATATTTTAAAGCAGTGTGTTCAAAATATATGTCATCAATATGAAATTGTAAATGTGATTTGACATTCTTTTTTCCCATATTAAGTACTGAAATCTAGTGAAATGGTTTGCACTTAGACAGTATATCTCAGTTTGGATGCTGAATTTTCAGTGGTTGAAGTAAAATAAATTCTACCAAAATTATGAATATTTAACAGAATAATATTTTACATTGCTTCAGCTTTTTATTGTGGCAACCACATAAAATTTACTATCGTAACCATTTTTAAGTGTACACGTTTAAATATATTCACATTACAGTGCAACAGATCTCCAAAACTTTTTCATCTTATGAAACTGAAGCTCTGTACCCATTAAACAACTTCCCATTTCCTCCTCTCCCCAGTCCCTGGTAACCACTCTTCTACTTTTTAGAATTTGAGTACTTTAGATACCGCATGTAAATGAAATCATACAATATATGTCTTTTTTTGTGTGACTTGCTTATTTCACTTAGGATGATGACCTCAAGGTTCATCCATGTTGTAGCATGTGACAGAATTTCCTTCCTTTGTAAAGCTGAATAATATACCATTGTATACATATACCACATTTTGTTTATCTGTCGGTAGACATTTGGGTTCCTTCTACCTCTTGGCTATTGCTCATAGTGCTGCCATAAGCATGAGTGTACAGATGTCTCTTTGAGACCCTGCTTTGAATTCTTTTGGATGTATACCCAGAAGTGGGATTATTAGATCATATGGTAGTCGAACTTTTTGAGGAACCTCCATACGGTTTTTCATTGCGGTTGCACTTGTTTTACAATCTCACTGTCAGTGCAGAAGGATTCCAGTTTCTCTACATGCTCTATGTTCTCACCAACACTTGTTCTTTTCTGTTTTAATAGTAGCCATATTAATGGGTATGAGGTGATATCTCGTGGTTTTGATTTGCATTTTCCTGGGATTAGTGATGCTGAACTTCTTATATGCTTGTTGGCCATTTCTGTATCATTTTTGGAGAAATGTCTGTTCACATCCTTGGCCTGTTTTTTTTGTTCTTATTGTTGAGATGTAGGAGTACCTCACATATTCTGGATATTAACCTCTTATCAGATACGATTTGCAAATATTTTCTCCTTTTCATTCTGTTGATGTGTCCTTTGATGTGCAAAAGTTTTTAATTTTAATGTAGTCCCATTTGTCTATTTTTGCCTGTGCTTTTAGTGTCATATCCAAGAAATCCTTGCCAAATCCAGTGTCATGAAGTGTTTCCAATATGTTTTCTTCTAGGAGTTTTATAGTTTCAAGTTTTACATTTAGGTTTTTAGTCCATTTTGAGGCAATTTTTGAATATGGTGTAAGATAAGGGTCCAAACAAAATATTTTGAGCATATTGCTGAGACCCTGCTTATAGCAAAGAGAGGGAAAGGTCTGAAATACATGGAATAGTTTTAAATTGGGAGAATTGATGTCGCTTATTGGGCTAGAATACAGTTTTCAGCTGCTTCATAGTATATTTTAGTGTGAATTTCTCTGTTGTTTTTATTTCTTATAGTTGCAAGATACCAATTTGGAAACAGTCGATAGTCTGGGTTTAGCTGAAGCTGAAATATAAAATTGGTAGGGAGAGGCCAGGTATCACAGTGCATGTGGTTGTATCCTGTGCCTCTGCTACTAAATATGTCAAGCATTTGATCAGTAGTAGCAGTGCATGACCTTTTAAGACCACTATGCGAAGGCTATTTAATAGATTTCAAGTGTCCATAGCAATTAGTTCCCACATGAAATATTTATTAATCTCATGGATTTCTCAGTTTTAGGCTTTGTGCTTTTATTATAGATGAGATGTATTAATTGATACTTCAATAGACTAATTTTAGATTTTGCTAAAAATAGACATAATTCTATTTTGGGACACTGACCTATTCTTTTTCCGGTATATGTAGTACATTTATTAGCACATTTGAATTTCTTTTCTGTTTTTAATGGAGTATGATAACATTAAGAAACCATTCAGGATTTATTTTGAGAGTCTGGATTTTTTTCAATGGTATAGTACCTATTTTTTGAAAGGATTAAAAACTTTTAATGAATCCCTTTTGCAGAATGTAGAAGGATGGTAAAATCTTGAGTACTGTTATTAAACATCAGTCAACTTTCAACTAATTTATGTTGTATTAACTTTTTTCCTATAAAATGATTACCTGTAACACAGTTGCTCTGCATGATTTTAGTCTTTCTAAATGTGATAGTGACTATATTTTCTCTTTCTACAGTTTGGGTTCACCTGAAAGTTGGTGCTGGAGGAAAGCAAACCATTATGTAGTTCTTAAGTTGTTTGTTTATAATATAACTTTCTTTGTCTTCAAAAAGAATCACTCTGGGCCAGGCGCAGTGGCTCACGCCTGTAAACCCAGCACGTTGGGAAGCCAAAGCAGGCAGATCACCTGAGGTCAGGAGTTCGAGACCAGCCTGGCCAACATATAATGAAACTCTGTCTCTACTAGAAAATACAAAAATTAGGTGGGCATGGTGATGCACGCCTGTAGTTCCAGCTACTTGGGAAGCTGAGGCAGGAGAACTGCTTGAATCCGGGAGGCGGAGATTGCAGTGAGCCAAGATCGTGCCACTCTACTCCAGCCTGGGCAACAGAGCGAGACTCCATCTCTTAAAAAAAAAGAAAAAAAAAATCACTGTTGGTTATTTGAACCTTTTGAAAAGAAAATGATTCTGTTAATGAAAAACAGGCCAGGCGCAGTGGCTTATGCCTGTAATCCCAGAACTTTGGGAGGCTGAGGCAAGTGAATTACATGAGGCCAGGAGTTCAAGACAAGCCTGGTCAAAATGGCAAAACCCCGTCACAAAAATTAGCTGGGCATGGTGGTACACATCTATAGTCCCAGCTACTCTGGAGGCTGAGGCAAGAGAATCGCTTGAACCTGGGAGGCAGAGGTTGCAGTGAGCCAAGATCGTACCACTGCACTCCAGCCTGGATGACAGAACAAGACTTTGGCCCCCCACCAAAACAAAACAAAACAAAAAACTCAAAGAAATTGCTCTCTAAGTACACTAGGATTTATGGAAGGATATCTTTCTGGACAATAAAGCTTAATATTCTTAAAAGTAATATTTTAAATTTAATTTAAAATTTAGCAATATCTCAATTTTAAAGAATGTTTTTCTGTTTGGTTACTCTTGGGGATTAAGCAGCACATCTGTTTGATTTACCTTATTGTATACATTATAAACTACATGAAGATATAAGGGATACATGTTGATTTTCTTTTTTAAAATCGCAGTGTATATTTTTAAAATTAATACATGCTTAATGTAGAAAATGCAGGAAATCATAAACTATGCAAAGAGAATAAACATTACTAATCCCACCAGTTATAATTCTTTTAAAATAATATTTTCCAACAAATATTTGAATGCCTATTCTGTGCTGTGTACCATTCTAGATATTTGGGATAGAAAAGTGAATTATAGAAGTTCTTGTTCTCAGAAATCTAGTCTAGATTATAATTTCAGTATGATTACTCTATTTTGATAACATATTTAGATGACAAAAGCATAGAGTTGTGACAAGGCAAAATAAAAATTTATTAGCAGTTACGAGTAAAGAATAGTTTCAAGCAAACATAAATTTTAGCCTTTTCATGACTGCAGGTCCTAAGATAACTGAATACATATATGTCTTCTTTTCCCACTGGGTGTTTATTGAATGCCTGTTATGTGCCTGGCACTGTTCTACATGGTGAGACTATAGCAATGAGCAAGACAGGTGGGATCTCTGTTCTCATGGAGTTTACATGCTGTGGGGCAGGAAGAGAAACAACAGCAAATAGGTAAGCAATTAATGGAGAGGATAATGATGGATGCTAGGAGGAAAATTAGATGATGTGATTAAATCTCAATGGTCTGTTATGCTGGTTACTAGAATCTACAGCTGATCTCCAGGTTTCATTTTAGCTATTTGTCTCTTCACCACGGAAATTTAACTAATAATGCCCAAAGGAATCAAATGGTGTCATCTTTGCTTCCTGCCCTTTTGTACCCTCTCCTGGAGGTTTCCCAGTCAGTGAAATGGTTAAATAGTGAAAACTGGAAATAATTAAGAGTCAAAACAAGGCATATAGAAAATTATTTCTCAGATAATTTGGACTTTCAGGAAGCTAGGAGTTTGTTGAGTTTTTACAAACTTGAGTTTGTACCTGTCAGTATTTCAACAGTGCTTTATGTTTGTATGTTCTCAATTAAGAAAAACAAAACCCTACCAGTTATTAGGAGTCTGAAAAAGAGTAAATAATTCTATCACTCTTTGTGGAATTTGCAGTTTTATTTTGAAGTTTTTCACGCCTTGTTTAAAAACTGTCATCTGTGTTACCTTATAAAGAACTCTTGGTTTGTAACCGAGCTTATTAGGCAGTCTTTAAAATTGGTGTGTAAGACTTTAGTGCCCTGATTTCTTTGGTACATAAGAACTTGGAGTGTGACCCATGACTCATCAGTTGACGTTGTGGTGCGTTTTTAGAAACCAGGAATGCCATAGTAGATTTCCCTTAAGCAGCAGTAGAGGAAGTAAATACAAGAAAACACAAATTTGTCTATTTCTGTGCTGGTGTGATTACAGCTGAATGTTAAATTGATTCTTAGAAATGTATTATAACACTGGACATTTCAATAAGCTTGAATAGAATATGTGTAAACAATGTGTCTTGCAAAAAGATTCTTAAATGTAGCAATAATTTACATTTCTCCCATTTTTATGATAGGAAATAACTTTGCAGATAAATGTGATAATTAATATTTAGATTTGTGTTTTACTTATTTACTTTTGAAACAGAAATGAAGCAGTAAAGAAAAAGCATTGTCTTGGGCATGCAACTTCATTTTTAGTGCTCCATAAAATTGTTCTTATTTTTGATGTGAAGATCTTGTTTCTGTACTTTGCTTTTTAATCATGTATATAAGAACCAATCTTGACTGCTTTCTCATTTCTGCTTTATTTCTTTTTGTGCATGCTCCCTTGCTCCTGCCATAAATATACTTCCATACACATGAAAGTGTATGTGTTCAGATGGATACTTCATGAAAAACAAGCCTGAGGTGAGCTCTTCACCCCAGCTACCTGGTTCGCCTGGAGTTGACTGCTGTTAGTTTTTTTGTATATCCTTCCAGGCATATTTTGTGTGTATAAACTCATGTGTCTGTCTGTATATTAATACATAGATATTTTAAAACTCATACTGTTCTGTACCTTGATTTAAAATAGTGCAAAATTTGTTTTACTTTGCTAATTTTTTTGAAATTTAACTTGATCACCTTTCGTTTGCTGATCCCACCTTAATTAATGTAACCTTAAGGAAAACAGAGGTCTTCTTTGTTGGATATAATTGTGAACAAAATGATTATTTGAGCCTTTTTTTTTTTTGAGCTTTTCTCTCTTTTTTTTTTTTTCGCTATAAATCATGACCTTGTTACTTAATCCTTTTTCAAGGGAATGCTGAACACAATAAAAATTAATCTGGGCATCTTCATGATAACTTAAAATAGGATATTTACTAGGTGGCCTTGGTCTAGCAAATATAGCACAACCATGAAATAAAACATATTTGGTACACTAATTCTGCTAAAAAGCTTGATTATTAGGGAATTTTGTAGTACAAGTTGTGCTTAATTAAAAATTATTTGTTTAACACATCTGTTTGCTAATTGGAAATGTCTTTGTGCATTTTACAGTGTTCATCAAGTCTGCAGATTGTCCCTTTACAGTTTTAATATTTGTAGTGGACACTCTTAGAATAGCTTTCATTTTGAGGATTGTCAGGTGCATCCATTTTGTTTTTCTGAAAAGGGGTGTGGGAGAGGTGGTCTTTTCCTTGAGTTCAATTAGAATATGATGTTAGATCTAGAGGGGAAAAAAAGGTAAATTGTTTTCAGTAATTTATGAGTATTGCCATAGAAAGTTTTAATATTTTCAGTGTTACATTGCTTTTCTTTCTGTGGTGAAATATAAGTGGACAGAATTGTGCAACTGCCAATATTAATCATTGTAATAACTGCCATTTGCGTGACTGCTCTGTGGCTTATCTCTGAGCTAGGAACTTTAAGTTTCATTCAGTAGTTAATTGTCATAGTAACCCTGTAAGGTCGATATTTTTCATTTAAGGACTGGAGCTCAGAAAGTTTCAGAGGTAATATACAATTTGGACAAGATAATATGGTTACCTATGATTGGAAACCAGACTTCTTTGATCTAAAAGCTGTCTTACTCTTTACTGTACTAGGGTTATATGAAAAGTTAAAGTTTTGATAGAATCATAATTGTTTTCTTTCTTCTTGCGGAAAAGGACTTTAAAGATCATTTTAGTTTATGCCACATAGTTGGCCAATGAAGAGATAGGTTCTAAGAGTAAATGGCCACAGTCATATTCTTGGACTCATAATGAGATGATTTTTCAATAGAAACTCAGTGGAATTGTTTTGTTTTAATGCAGTTGAATGATTTTGTAGAAACCCTGGTTTCAGTTTTAAAGGGAAAAGCCTGTTGCTTGCATTATCTATCTCTGTCCACCTGTCTGTCAGCCTGTCTGCCATTCATCTCTCTATTAAACCTAGAGAAAGGAATAGTTACATTCTTTATATACTGCTTCAACTTCTTCGTTGTTTAATTTTGGTTAGTAGTCTTCAAGCTTACGTAGTGAAATATTTGGAAGGGTAAGGGGGTTAAAGAGTAATTGGTTCTTTGTTGCAGAGACTGGACCCGGAAAAAGCATATAATTACCCTGACTTTTGTAATGGGCTATCAGCAAGAACTCTAATTTTATGAAACCCTTCTTGTAATACTTATCTAGTGAGATATTTACCTACATGGTTCTGTGTATTCATTTTGTATGTCGTTTTCTTCAGAAAAGGTCTGTTTTTCCCCCATTAAAATTCAGTAGGTCAGCACCAAAAGGCAGGGCAAAAAAAAAAAAAAATTAAATAGAAATAACTTAATAATAATACAATTCAATAGGAAATGGCAATTTAGGAGCAAGCATAAGAAAAGGGGTTGCAACAAAAAAAGACAAACATCTTTGTTTCAACCCTTTGAGCCATAGATTTCTTTCTTTCTTTTTTAATTTGTGGAATAGTAGAATTTTTTACTTTTTATATTATAAAATAATTAAATGGTAGAACATTTGGTAATAGATATTCGTAGGAAATCTGGAAAAACAGATAAGAGTAAGAAAAAAAGTGTGTAATCTCTTCTACCATATATATATTATATCTCCATGGTTTGCTCTTGCTCCCATTTCTAGTTGTTGGGCACTCTTCTAATCTGCAGTGAAACTTATGGTGGATTAAATTTGTGATGCTCTTTGGAGTGTCAAAGGACTTCCACTAAATCCCTCCTTATTCTTATTCTTTACCCTCTGTTTCTTTGATCACCCATAGTGTGCTCAATAGCTGAGGAGCCATTTGCATGGAGTGCACTGCTGACTCTGCTCATTGTGTGGATCTGCTGGCCATGCCTGCTCTCCTCATCTGAGAGGGTACCATAGCATAGCATGGAAAGAGCGTGGTTCATTTTATACTGTGATTTTTGAGACGGAGTCTCGCTCTGTCGCCCAGGCTGGAGTGCAGTGGCGCAGTCTCGGCTCACTGCAAGCTCCACCTCCCGGGTTCACGCCATTCTCCTGCCTCAGCCTCCTGAGTACCTGGGAGCCCGCCACCACGCCCGGTTAGTTTTTTGTATTTTTAGTAGAGACAGGGTTTCACCGTGTTAGGCAGGATGGTCTTGATCTCCTGACCTTGTAATCCACTGGCCTCAGCCTCCCAACGTGCTGGGATTACAGGTGTGAGCCACCGTGCCCGGCCTTTTTTTTTTTTTTTTAAGGGAAGGAAAACATTTCAGAAAAACAGCAAAACAAATTGGTGCATTGCAGAGTGGTATGAATAAGATAGGCATGTGTTAAAATGGTAGTTGGACATCTCCTTTTTGGTGGAATACATAATAGTCATTTTTTCACCAATTTGAAGTTTGTCATTGTAAGCTACAATGACATTAAGGAGTCAGGAAGCATTTCTTAAAATTTTGTGCCCCATTGTTGACATTTGTGTAGAAGAAAAGTCAACAGTAACTATGTAGGGATTGGCTGCCCCTTGACAGGTAAGAGACTGCATAAAAAATGGGATCTGACCATGAAACTGTTTATCTCTTCAGGCACCGCTAGTGGCTTCCCTAAGTGGCTATTGTTACTATTTCTTTGTCATCAGTAGATGTCTGTTTACTGATGTGGACTGTCACCTGCTGAGTTCTATAATGGCATCGATTATGTAAGCCTACTGTATTGAAAAATATCATAATATATCCAAGAGTGATTTGCTTGTTTCTGGGACAGTTGTGCTGCTTTTACAAGCTAATTCAGAATGTGCAATTGTACCAAGGTGTGTTTTTGTTTTTATTTTAAGGAATGGCATCAGATGCCATTCTTGGTCCCCCCAGAACTTAATTAGAGGACGTAGTTCCAAGATGGAGTTATGTTAGAAAAGGTGACTAAATATTTTAGTATAGCAAATGAGAATTAGATTTTAAAGAGAGACATTGACAGTGTTCTTTTTTAACAAATATCTTTCAATTTATATTATTGATCTAAATTGTAGGTTAAGTGAGCCATAAATTGTTGGTATTATTAAGTAGTAAGAGATAAACAGAAAGAAAAGTTAGTATTTTGATACCAGTTTCCTAAGCAACAATGCTAATATTTGACAGCATAATTATTTCATGAGGCACTGAATGAAAGTGTAGTTTAAATCATGTGACTTCTTGAAAGTAGAAAAAAGTTTAAAGTTATATATAAAATTTATAATATTGTAATTTCTCTTAATGTTGCACTATATCTTATGTACCTCAATTATTTTTGTGCTGTATCTTACAAATAGATTTAACTCAAAAGTAATTAAAATATTAATTGATCACACATAACACAATGGCTAAAATTAAAAAGACAGCATCAAATGTTGACAAAGAATATGGAGCAACCAAAGCTTATACATTCTTGTTAGGGAAGTCAAATGGTACAACCACTTTGGGAAAGGTATGGTGGTTACTTATAAAACTAAGCATCTACCTTCCCTGGGACTCAACCCTTCTACTCTTAGGTATTTACCCAAGAGAAATGAAAACATAGGTTCATAGAAGTTCTTGTTGATAATCACCAAAAACTGGAAACAGCCCAGTTGTCCATCAATAAGGGACACAATACAGTGATATACTGCCAAGCAATGCAAAGAAACAGACTACTGATATATACCACAGCATAGGTAAATCTCAAAAACATGCTGAGTAAGAGAAGCTGTATGCAAAAGAGTACATACTCTATGTTCCCATTTAGGTGATACTCTAGAATAGTCAAAACTAATCTATGATGGAAAGAATATCAGACCAGCGGTTGCCTGTAGAGATAATTAGGGTTGAGATTGGCTGGGAAGGGCATAAAAAAACCCGGAGTAATGATTCTGTTCTCTATCTTAATAGGGATTTGCGTTCCATAGTTGTATGCATTTAGCAAAAGCTTAATTAATGTAGACTTAAGATTTGCACATTTTACTTGGTATGGTGGTACATGCCTGTAATCCCAGCTACTTGGGAGGCTGAGGTAGGATGATTGCTTGAGTGCTGGGCAACATGGCGAAATGCAGTCTTAAAAAAAAAAAGTTTTGCACATTTTTTTTGTATTTAAATTCCACCTCAAAAGCTAAATGTAAACAAATAGGAACTTCAGTTGATATGCATACTGTCATATTTAGGAGTGTACTGACTTCTGCATTTACTTTGAAGATCATGAAGTTGATAAAACAGGGAAGGATGAGGAGATATGTGACAAAGCACATATAGTTAAATCTTAATGGTAGACTTGTAAAGTACAAGTGTTTACCCTGAAAATGTTGAACTTTTTAGTATGTTTGAAAATGTTCATAGTAAATTGTTGGGAAGGTCAGGTGCAATGGTTCAACACGCCTGTAATCCTAGCTACTCTGGAAGCTGAAGTGGGAGGATCGCTTGAGCCCAGGAGTTCAAGACTACAGTGAGCTGTGATTATGGCACTACACTCCACCCTAGATGACAGAACTGAGACCCTGTCTCTAAAAATAAAAATTTTAAAAAATTTTTGGGAAAATATTAATAATGGAACTTTTCATTGTCTGTTCATGCATGATATATTATTTTAGAAACTTTATTTTGTTCCTCTTTGCTCCAGTGATATTTATGAGCTTATGGCTGAGAATTTTTGAGAACTTAACTATACTGTTAATTACACCAAATCATAGCCTTATTTGAGGAGTTAGAATTTAGAGAAGTATCATTCTAGTTTATTAATGCAGTTGTCTTTCTTTGGGGCTGTCATCAGTTTTCTCAGCAATGTCTGCAGATAGGGTGTTATAAATCATGTGGTTTCTGTGGAATTGCATCACGTATTGCTTATATAATGTCTTTCTTATTTTTTCTTTAATGATGGGGAAGAGGGAGGGAACAGTAAAAATATCTTAATTTCAGGTACTGCTGAACGTGGACTTTGGAATTAGATGGACCAGAGTTTGAATCCCATTCCAATCACTGATAGCCTAGTTGTTTTTAATCCCTTGGATCCCCGTTTTCCTCATCTATAAAATGGTAATGGTGATGGTAACTACTTCATAGGGTTTGTTGGAAAGATTAAATGAAATACTGCTTGTAAAGCAATCAGTATAATGTCCAGCCTGTAGTAATAGTGAATAAATTGAGCTATGAAGGAATAAATCACTGGAAATGGACTTTATAAGACTCTTCCGGGTTGTTTGAGTATCAAGTGAAGCAGTCAAGTAATATGGTTAAAGGAAGATAGGCCATACATCAGGCTTATCAGTGTTAAGCCACTTTAGTCTTTGTGATTCTGGGGAAGTTGACTTGATGCCTTGTTACAGAAGTGACCCAGGTCTGGCCCATTAAAGCATCACATGTCCCTGGCTACTGTGATTGGTTCAGCATAGGTACATGACCAAGCCAGCCATTAGAAATAGGAAGATGTAATTCTGGGGCATTTGTTGGCAATATTGTGGAAGCAGAACAAGGGGTCTGACACTGTGCCCCTAAAACTGCTGGGAACTAGCTGCCACATGAAGCCTGAGAATGAACCCAATCTAGAGGAAGCAGAGTTGGGAGAAAGCCCCGAGTCAGTAACACCTATCTTATTTTTCACTTAAGCCACTTTCAGTCAGGTTTTCCATCATTTGCAGCTGAAAGAATTCTACACACAGTTGCTCACCCAGTATCTTATATATTAATGTTTCTTACAGATTTCTTTACCTACTGAGTAATTCTACGGTTATGTTTCTGTACCATATATATTTTGCATGTATAGTGGCTAATCTACTGGTTAGATTTTATGTTCTTTGAGGAAACGACTTACTCCTGATATGCATGCTTTTCGTCCCCATTGGAATATCTGTACCCATGTTGTCCAGTACAAGACACTAGCCTTTTGTTGGCATTGGGTTTGAAATGTGGCTAGTCCCAACTGAAATGTGATGTAAGTATAAAATGTACACTGTTTTTGACATGTAAAATTTCAAAAACATAATATGACAAAAGAATGTGAAATTTCTCGATCATTTTGTGTCATTGGCTAGTAAATGTCTTTGTGCTAGACTGAGCTCTGTGAGCTCTCCAGAGTAACCCTATCCTCTGGTGCAGTGCCTGGCATGCAGCAGATAACCAACACATATTTGTTGAATGAGTCATGAATTTTCTGGTACATAACTGATGTGCCTGTTAGTTATGTGCCATGCTGGCTAACTGATAGGGGAAAACAAGATAAAGTGGTTTTAAAAAATGTATTATTCTTTACTCTTAGGTTTTCTTCATCTAGGCTGTTTCCATGGAAACAGCAACCAAAAGATTTTCAGGATTGGCGTAATGCTCTTTGGGTGATATTTGCTGCCATTGTTAACCAAGACCCACAAGTTTAAATATTTAGATGTGTGTTTCTTGAGTTTGAGATCCAAAGTGTAAAAGTTTGATTTGAGAGAAAGTTGCTAAATATTTGCCTCTTTGGGGTGCCTTTGAAATTCTTCCCTTCCATTAACATAATCTGCAGGAAAGTAAGAGTTGCCAAAGTACAGGTGCTATTCTATTCCTACAAGATACCTTTGTTATTGTTTTACTTTATATTGTCTATTCCTAACTTACTTCCTAATTATAGCTTTGTAAATATGGATTACTAATTGACCTTTACCTGGTTAGAACATAAGTATATTGTCTGTAACGTAAATGAATTTCTTTTACGGGAATCGTAAGTTCAGATTGCAATGAGGATGCTAGTAGATAAGGATAGAGGAAGTTATATCCCAAATTGTTCAAACACCTAGAGCCATTGGCAGGAAAAACCAAGTGGGATTCCAGATCTTGAGGCACTAATTTACAAAGTAGTGGTGAGTGGCCTTAGAAGACAATGTTGTTCCAATGAGTAAACAAAGGCTCCTTTTGGTATCTGTATGTTAAAGCCCTAGGAGAAAAGCTTCAAGCTTGGTTAAAACTTTTCTGTATAGACCCTTTTATATACAAAGGTTGCATTCAAAGCACTGTACAAATTTTGTGCCCCATGACAAATATAAATGAATGTTTTCCAAGAAGCTTTGTGAGAGATTGATAGGCAGCTCAAAATTTGAGATGCTATTCAGTTTTGTGTTCATTCAAATTGATTTTGATATCTGAACACAGAAGCATATAATTATTGAATTCTGTGGATACAAAAAGTAGTGTCAATTTTGAAGCCTCCATTTTATTACAGTAAAAATTAAAAGTGAAAATACAGAATTGTGGAAAATTTTTTGTGAGACTGAGAAATGAGGTCCATCCAGCATTTTGGCCCCCATATAGATGGCAATACATGTTTTCTTCTGGAAAATTAACAATAGAGGGTAACTTCCCCTTGGATCTGTCATTTACTTGTTTATGTAAACATATATGTGTATATGTACATGTTTGTGTATATATATACTGTATATGTGTAGGTATGTATATATTTTGGTTTGTGCAGCCTGCTTATATTTACTATACTGTAAGTACTAGGTACAGTATATACTTTAAAATTATAGCTCTGGAATCAGACTGCCTGATTTGAATCATGTTTCCATCCCTCACTAGCTTTAGGTCTTGGGCCTTACTCTCAGTTTCCTCATTTGAAAAATGGGGAGGAATGTGAGAATAGTATCCATCTCAGGGTTATCTTGAGGATTAAATCTGTTAATTCTCCATCCCAGTTGACACTATGCCTGATATAAAGTAAGTTCTAAATAAATGTTAGCTATTATCATTCCCTCTCCCAATCTATTCCTTTTACATGTCAAAATTGACCCCATGGGTTAATCCCTGTTCAATTTAGACTGTGTATGATTTTGTGACATCGGTCTCATCCCCTTTTGTTTAATAACAAAAATCCTAATATTCTGTCCTTGTCCTGTGTTCTTGTTTTTTCACTTCTAATTTTAGTGGCCTACATCTCAACCTTTTTCTAGCTGTACTGTTTTTCTTTAGGTAATTGGACTTTGATGTTTCAGCCAGATGTGGGCCATAGGTGTTGATCATGTCTTTTTTTTTTTTTTTTAAACAGTGCTGAGACCCTTACCCACTCCTAAGTGGTGTGGTAAGGATGTGCTAAGTGATGTGCTGCAGTGAGCTGGAAGAAGCTTTGTAGATTGTTTAGCACAGTGCCCCAGTTTTTCAAAGCAGAAGGCTAGGGCCTGAGGCTGCAACTCCTGCTGATAATGGACATTTGTTGTAAATTGAAAGACATTTTATTTCTCAACAGTACAGTTTATAGAGTAAAATAGTAAATGGATTATCAAATTTTGGCTTTTTGGAGATACCAGGAAATTCTTATATTTATGAGAAACTACTTTTGAATTGTAAGGAATATAGGGATATTTTGATGGGAAATATGAAGAAAGTTCCCTTATAATTCTCTTTTCTTTGATATGTCTATGCTGGTTATGGTATGCTAACACCTTTTCTTACCCGCTTTTCTTCTTTCTCTCTTTTAAAACTTTTGTATCCTAAAATGTTGCTCAAATCCATTCCTCCTTTGACTGTTCATAGTCATTCCCTTAATTCAAGCTCTCATTACCAGTCATCTTGGCCATTGCAGTAACTTTTTGTTTTACCCCCCTTCATTATTGCCATAACTCTGCTGCCAGAGTTACCTACCCAGACACATGGGTCTAGTCACATCATTTGACTCAGGAACCCTTGCTTTCTCTCTGTACCTAGTCCAGCCCTCAGACTCTCTTTTCTGTCCATCCACCCCCGTTACATGCATATACCCACATAGAGTGCATCAACTATTTCTGAAATATCAATTTTTAAAGCTGTTGTTCCTTGTTCCCCATAACTGTCCATTGAGAGTCCTCGTATTGTTTCTGAGCCCGTGTACTTCTCCAAGAAACTTTTCCCAATTATTGCAATAGAAATTACTCTTTTCCACCTATACTTGCATAACACTTTGCTTCTTTTATTCCACTTGACCCAGATATCCTTATATTGGATGTCTGCCTCTCCTATATGTCATAGCAGGACTTATAAACTGCTGTGTTTCTCAAAATATTGAGTGCCGTTTTTATTGTGAAATTAGGAAGATATGGTTTCAATGAAGTTAGCCATCTACAAAAGGACAGATTGATCTCTGATAAGGATAGGCCTTAGAGGTTTTGATTTCTGATAAGGATAGGCCTTAGAGGTTTTTCCCTGTAGTAGTAATCTAATGATAAAGAAGTTTATGATTGAGACTAGAGAAAACAGGGAGGCTAACAGAAGCCTTATATTTTTGAGGGGAAAATGCCTGCTTAGATGTGGAAGGCAACCTTCAGAGAAGCACTCTCTATTAGACACTTATGCAGGTGGGTTAAACTTTACAGAGACATTTATCTGTATGTTATGACATTGGGAGTAGACTGAGAAAGCCTCTTTGTTATGTTGGCTCTATTCAATTGTATTTCCTTGTCAGTGTCTTAAAGAGTCATTCCTTTAATGTTTAGCTTTTTCTCTTTTCATGTACAAATGTCCTTAGACAAAGGTATATTTTCATAAATCATGTGCAGATCACTTGATTGAGATTTTCTTACAGATTTTGTGAAAGATTTTATTTGGAAAGATTTTGTTTGGAAAGGTGGGTAAGAGTAAAGAATGTAATATTGAAACGGAGGAAGGGAAGAATGAAGAAAAAGAGAAAAAGTTAAGAAAATAACAAAATAAAATTTGTGAAATGGAATTGGTCTAGGGCTGGCGGTATGTGTATGTTTAACATACATCTCCATGGGATCCTTTCCTGTTCACCATCTTTTCTGTTATAATTTGTTTTAGAAATAACGGTGATTTGGCTTTGTTAGAAACACGGTTTATAATAAATGATGAATCTGTAAACAATTGTAATTTAATACTGTATATTTGTTTACATCTCACTCAATTGTGAATGGTGCCATGTACAGTTTGTGTGTATACGTTTTGATGGGTTTTAACTTTTTATAGTTTTTATATGTTTTATGGTAGTAAATGACAAAATGTGCATATATTTTATGCATTCTTGACATACCTAACTTTTTCTTAATTTTTTCAGTATCTCTAGGCTATACTGTTCATCTGTGCGTTTTTTCAAATTGTCACAGATCTCCAAATAATTTTCTAATAAATTCATTGAAAAAAATCCACATATGAGTGAACCCATGCAGTTCAAGCCTGTATTGTTCAAGGGTCAGCTGTACATGGAAAAGATAGTTGAGCACCATAGATACGTGTGTTTAATACCCTGCACTGAAGCCACCTACTTGTTCCTTTTCTGAGCCTCAGTGTTGGCTTCGTCTTAGCATATGGTTCCTAATAAGTTTGAGTATCTGAATACTCAGCCTACAGCAGATTAGCAGCAACAGCTCTAAGTATGTTGTTGGGGGCCAGGGAGAAAAGAGGATGAAGTAACAAGTGACAAATACCATTAGGGGAGGTGGCAGAGAAACTGAAAAGTAGAAGATAATATCCAGGTACAAGAGACAGACTAACAAATATTGGAAACAGAGAGATTTGAATGGTTTAGATGAATGGTTTGAAGTGACAGCTGGCTAGGACACAGGGTTTTCGGGTTTACAGGTGGACATAGAGACAGATATGATAGAATCTTAGTTATTTGTTAAGAGATCACCTTTTGTGATGAGGAAGTGAAATTAGAGGCAATTAGAAGATTATCAGGAAGTAGTAGGAATCTGAATTAGAGCAGAGGTCGTGGGAATAAGAATTCTAGAGACAAAATTGGTAGGATTGGTAAGGCAGGTAAAAGTTGACACATTTGTTCATTCATATTCCCTTTCCTCAGGTTTATTATTAACCACATACTCATGTCAGGCATGGGGGTATAGAGATGAACAACTAAGACTTGGTTTCTGCCTTCTAATGGCTGTTCAGTCTGTAGGGAAGACACATGCAAACAAGTGATTGCAAACCACTGCAGTGAGGTGCATGATAACTGTGATAAGTGGCAGTGGAAGGGACATAGTGAGAGCTTGTGTTTGGGTGGATTGGGTAGAGCTTCACAGCAGAGTGTTTACTTGAGCTGACCACTAAATGGATGGGGGTTCTGCAGATACCCAAGGTAGGAAAGGACATTCCAGGCAGGAAAGAGGATGCTGTGGTCAGGAAGTTGTAAATAATTTGGTGTGGCCAAAGCACAAATGTGTAGAATTGTGTCAGAAAGTGAAACTAGAGTCAGATCTGGGAAGGTTTAATTGCAAGGTTGAATAATTTGGCTTTAATTTTGTAGAAGCAGTTGGGGACCACAGAAGAGTATTCAGGCAGGGAAAATAGTATCATGGCTTTTTGGATACTAGTGTTGTGACGGAAGGTAGGACAGAAAAAAGACGGGAAAACCTTCTGCGTTTGCTAAAAGAGTAGGTGCAACAAATAACTGAGAGAGGTGGTGGGAATGGAAGAAAGGGGAGGCCACATTCTGGAGGTGGAATCGAGGGGAACTTGGTGCCTAGGTATGGAAAATGAGGCAGGGAGTGAGAAAGAGAAACGGGAGGATCCTCTGGTTCTAATTATGTGATACTGGGAATATAGGCGTGCCTTGAGGAAGCGGATCATTTAGAGGGGAATAAAGACCTAGTTTTTGAACACAAGTGTGAGGCAGATATACTGTAACAACTGGGAGAAAAATAAAGTTAGATCTATTCTCATACTGCATACTAACCAGAATAAAGTGATAATAAAAAAAATTTTATTATACAAATGAACTATACAAATGAAGAAAATAGAGGCAAATCTTTATCTCATTATGAAGAAGAAGATAAGAGTGGTGGAAGAACTCTCAAAGGGAAAAGTGAGTGTATTCAATTACATGAAAATTGACAGCATCTTTATGCTGGTAGACAACTAAAAGGCAAACAGGAGGCTTGGGAGAGGTGATTATAATAATGTGATAAAGGGTTGCTGTCTTAATATGTTGAGTTCAAATCAATTGATAAGAAAAACAGTACAATTCAATAAGAAAAAACTGGGGCTAAGGTTATAAACAGACACTTCACAAGATAACTAAGGATAATAATCATATGTTTAATTTAGCTGGACTAAAAAAGATGCAAATTAAAAGAACAATGAAATATTTTCAACTATAAAATTTATAAATATTAAAAGAAAATTGACTAGGCTTAGAACAATTTTGAAAAAGTTAGTATATTTATACATTGCTAGTAGGAGTCCAAATTTTGTTCACCATTTTGGAGGGCAGTTTTATAATGTAAATCAGAAGTCTTCCTTTCACTTTGGTCCAACAGTTTGACTTTTTTGGGGTTTGTATAAAGGAAGTAATTGGACAGCTGTTACAAAAGAGTGATAGGATGAGAACAAGAACAAGAATGGTATAATTTCAGCCAGCAGACTGGGCGTGGTGGCTCACACCTGTAATCCCAGCACTTTGGGAGGCAGAGGCAGGCAGATCGCTTGAGGTCAGGAGTTTGAAACCAGCCTGACCAACAAGGTGAAACCTTGTCCCTACTTAAAAAAAAAAAAAAAAAGAACACACACACACACACACACAAAAACCAGGCGTGGTGGTGGGCGCCTGTAATCCCAGCTACACAGGAGGCTGAGGCAGGAGAATCGCTTGAACCCAGGAGGCGGAGGTTGCAGTGAGCCAGGATTGCACCATTGCACTCCAGCCTGAGCAACAAGAGTGAAACTTCATCTCAAAAAAAAAAAAAAAAAAAAAGTTTCAGCCAGCAAAGAGTTTCAAGGAGAGAGACGTTAGTGATATTGAAGAGAGATAAAGTAGTATGAGGGTCTGAGACTGGCATTAGGTTTAGCAGTTAGACATTCATAACCACAGTGAAACTAGTCTCTGTGGCTGATGGAGGTAGAAGCCCTTTTAGGTAAGGAGTTGACAACTGCAGCATGGTATTTTTCAAAACTATTGGAGATGAAATGGAGGTGAGGGAAAGGGTAACCATTGTAGAAGAATGATTTGTTTTTATTTTTAAAGTTGATAAGACATGAATGTTTTTGTACGTGATGGGGAGAAAGAGATTGGAAGAAGATGAGATAAATGACAAAGGCTTCCAAAGGGATGAACCCAGGTGGAGGAGAAACTAGCTTTTAGAAAGGAGAGGGAGAGATATGGCAAAAGAAGAAAGGATGTAGACAGATGCAAATCATAAACCTGTAAACATGGGGGTGAAAAATGTTTTGTTAATGGGGTGGAATGCTATCACCTCTGATTGTTTCACTTCCTACCAAGATACAAATTTCCCCTTTTCATTTAGCATATTTTCTCAAAAGAATTGTCTATGCTCTTAACTCCTTCCTTCCAATTCTCACTTGAACTCATTCCAGGAGGCTTCTGCTGTCTCCACCAAAACTCTATCAAGGTCACCAATGAATTCATGCTGCTAAATCCAGTGCTTAATTCTCAGTCCTAATCTTATTTTACTTGCTTACAGGATTTGACACAGTTGATTATTTCTTCTTCCTCGGAACACTTTTCTTTATCTGCTTTCTCTGTACAATTCTCTCTTAATTTTCGTCCAATCACAGTGGACACTCCTCCTCTGCCTGGTCCTCTTCGTCCCCCAGAAAGGTGCCAAGGTGGAGTCCTGAATCAGCCCTTCTCTTTGCTGCTTACACTCATCTACACTTTTAGTGATCTTTTCCAATCTGATGGCTTTCCATACCATCTTTACACCAGTGTTTCCTAATTTATATCATCTTCCCATTCCTTGTCTTTGAACTGGACTTGTGTGTGCAACTGTCTATTCAGTGTCTCTTCTTAGAAATCTAACAGGCAGTCCAAATTTTACATATTCCAGCTTGAGCATACCCATTAAACCTGCTCTCTTACAGACTTGTGCATCTCAGTTATGCTAACCCCATCTTTCCAGTTGCTCAGATCAAAAATCTTGGTGTCATCCTTGACTTTCCCCCCTCCCATCAGCCCATGAACACATTTTATTAATCAGCAAACTGTATTGGTTCTACCTTCAGAATATATCTAAAATTGAGTAATTTCTCTCTATCTCAACTATGTTCATCATGTTCAATCTACCATCATCTGTGGCTCAGAATATTTCAGTAGGCTTTTAATTGCTTCTGCCTTTGAGCCCTTCAGATTATTTTCAACATAGCAGCCAATGATCTGTTAAAATCTGACTCAGAGTAAAAACCAAAGTTTTTTAGGCCCTACAAGATTTAGTTAGCCCAGTAACCATTCTGATGTCTTCTCTGAACTTTCCTCATTTTATCTATGCTGGCCTCCTTACTGTTCATTGAACACACCAGGGACATTCTCGCCTCAAGGCCATTGTACTTATTGTTTCATTTGCCTGTAACAGACATTTTTACACCAGATACCTGCATGGCTTTCTAGTTACTTCTTTTTGGTTTTAAATTCAAATGCCACCTTCTCAGTGAGTTCTTCCTTGATCATGCTGTTTAAAATAGCTGTCCTCCCAGTACTGTGACTTCCCTGCCTTGCTTTCCTTTGCTCTGTAAAACTTTTCAGCGTCTAAAATACTGCATTTCATTTCTTCTTATATGTTGTCTATCCTCCACCCTCTCCCCCTGTTAACTTCACAAGGGCAGGGATTTTTGTCTGTTCAGTGCTCAACTCCTAACCCTGGAACAGTAGTGTCTGGCACATAGGAGATTCTCAATAAATCCTAGATGGATGGACGAACAGACAGGAAAAAGAATGGGAGGTCAGATTTGAGGTTAGGGAAAAGAATAATTAGTTTGCTTTTCAATATAGTTGGTTTGTGAAAGTTCACTCCCTAGTGGAGATGTCAGAAAGGCAGGTAATAGCAACTTAACATGTGAAACCTGGGATTTTGTTTGAATCCGTTTTGGAAACACAGGAAACTAATATAATTGGAGGTGCATTGTTGATCATCCTAGGGGCTTCATATAGTACAGCCTCTTTATAGTTCTGGCTTTACAGTGCAAATATTTTATTAATATTTGAATCATGTAACATTATGCATTTGTATTTTGCAGGGATATTTGATATATATGAATCTGTAATGAATTACAATGTATTTTCTTTCTTTTAAGTTTTCTCAGTGTTAGAACTGTAACTTAAGTAAATTAGAAGACATTGTGTCAGCACATGGGAATCATTCTGTGTAAACATCAAGGCCAACAAGGCTCTGGTCCCTGCCCCTGAGGCCATTGTCTATTTAGTCTGGCCTTGAGAAAGCACAAATATGGCTCTTCAAGGTCTGACCCAAAGTTATTCTTAATCTGATGGTATATATGTATATGTGTGTGTGTACACACACATATATATACACACACACATATATATGTATATATACACTTTATAATACATATATAAAGTTATAAGTAGAGCAAATTGAACATCCTAAATATGCTTTTTAAATTATTGGTGTCACTGATTAGCTTTGAAAGCTGCAACATTTAAATTTCTTATATCTTGTTCTTAGTTAAGATAATGAAGCCTGGGAATCTTTATTAGTAATATCACCATGATATTATTTTAGTTCTATTTCCTTTACCTTATTGCATAGGTTGATCACAGAATAGCAGTATCCACCCGATTCTTTTGCATTTATTGGAGAAAATAGGACTGACAAGTTTCTTCTGTAGCTTTAGATATTTTTTATGAAAAAGTATAAGATTGGCTCTGGGGCAAAATCTGCTATCTAAAACCACCTATTTACTAACATCTGGGTTAGTACTAAAGCCATCTATGCTGCTAACATTTACCTGTGCTTGCCTTAAAAAAAAAAACCGGGCTGGGGATGGTGGCTGACGCCTGTAACCCCAGCACTTTCGGAGGCCGTGGGAGGCCGAGGCGGGCAGATCACTTGAGGTCAGGGGTTCGAGACCAGCCTGACCAACATAGCGAAAACCCATCTCTACTAAAAATATAAAAATTAGCCACGCATGGTGGCATGTGCCTGTAATCCCAGCTGCTCAGGAGGCAGAGGTTGCAGTGAGCAGAGTTTGCAGTGAGCCGAGATTGCACCACTGCATTCCAGCCTGGGCAACAGGGTGAGACTCAAAAAATAAATAAATAAATAATAAAAATAAAAATAAAAAACCAACCATAGATGCAGCAGCATCTCCTAAATAGCACTTTTGGCTAACATGTGAAACCTGGCTAACATGGTGAAACCCCGTCTCTACTAAAAATACAAAAAAATTAGCCGGGGGTGGTGGTGGGCGCCTGTAATCCCAGCTACTGGGGAGGCCGAGGCAGGAGAATGGCATGAACCCGGGAGGCGGAGCTTGCAGTGAGCCGAGATCATGCTACTGCACTCCAGCCTGGGTGACAGAGCGAGACTCCGTCTCAAAAAAATAAAAATTGCCCCAACTCAGCTGGCTGGTGAAGACTGCTGTTAATGAAGAAAGCCCACGTGTTGGAGGTGCTGGAGAAGTCTTTCTTGTTGGAGCAAAGTTCTTTCCACAGCGGTCTTATTGGCAGAGGTTCACCTAGATGTTACTGGAAAGGTTTAGCATGATATTTAATATATTTCCTTTTTGAAATAATTTTATGTAAATTCTGTTTCCAAATTAAGGTAACATGATTTAGAGTAACCTTTGAAAGTATAACTTTAGTATAACTGTCTTCAGTGTAGGAATCAGGCAGGTAACCCAGTTTGGTTTTTGCCTTGATCACTTTGCACTAAAAAAACCTTTTTCATCATGGTTTAGGAGAATTTCAAAATTAGGAGAACTAAAGGTGAAGGGGGTTTAAAATTTTAAATTTTCTATTAGCCACAATTTGACCTCCCTTATATAGAATATTTAAAAGATTAAAGTTATCAAAAAATAAAAATGAACAAATACTGAGACTAAAAGGTAAATATACCAATAAGTGTTTTATTATATATAAACAGATACAGAATCGTGTTTTAGAGATAAATTCAAACTCCCTCTGTGTGTGTATGTGATTAATTACTATTTAAGCAAAGCCAGTAGATTATAGTTATAGCCAGTAGTTTATAGAATAAAATTTATGTGAAGCTCCCATATGATACGGTAAATATTTCTATGCAGCTAAATATCCAGATATGCTTCTTCCAGTAGGAAGAGGCTCTGGGGAAAGAACTTTATTCCGGGAAAGACAGACTCCTATAGCAAGGCTCAATCAAGCATTTTTCCATTTTTAGTTTTTGCTTTTCCAAAAGGATTGTTGGTTATTGACCGGTACTTCTTGTGAAAGAAGGGTTTTAGAACTCTTCGATGCTGTATATCAGTCATTTACCCCCTTTTCTTTCATTGAATCCACAGGGTCAAAACTGTTTTCACAATGCCTTTCTCACTCTTTTTGGCACAAGTGTCTAGTAGAATTTTCCAGACCTCACATGTGAGCTCATGACAGATTAAAAACAGAAACATATATGAGACTCCAGATTAACAAACATGTAAAATAATATATTTCTTCTATGTTTTTTACTTTGAAAAAAGTTATTTTCCATAAAAATGTTAATCTACTGGGTTTGTTTTTTTTATTAACATGGATATTTGAATTTTCATTACTAACATAATGAATACAGACAGATAAAAGCTGTTTGGGAGCTTCAGTAATTTTTTAATTAAACTTTTTATTTTGTGATAATTGTAGATTCATATACAGTTGTAAGAAGAAATAATACAGAGAGATCCCATGTACCCTTTATCCAGTTCCCCCCAATAGTAGCATTTTGCAGAACTATAGTACAGTATCATAACCAGGATATTGGCATTGATACAATTTCCGTTGTCACATAACCCCTTGTGTTGCCCTATTATTTGCCCCTAACCCTTCTTGATCCTTGGCAACCTCTAATCCATTTCTATAATTTTGTCATTTCAAGAATGTTATATGCATGGAACAATACAGTATGCAGCTTTTTAGCATTGGCTTTTTTCGCTCATAATCTTCTGGAGATTCATAGAGGTTGTTGTTCATAGAGGTTAATAGTTCATTCCTTTTTATCGCTGAGTAAAACTCTGTGGTATAGATGTGCCACAATTTGTTTACCCATTCATCAGTGGAAGTACATCTGAGTTGTTTTGTAGTTTCTGGCTACTACAAATAAAAGTTGCTAGAAACATTCGTGCACAAGTTTTTGTGTGAATGTAAGTTTTCACCTCTCTGGGATAAATGCTTAAAGGTATAGTTGCTGGATTATATGGTAGTTGCATGAATTTTTTAAGGAAACTGCCAAACTTGTCCAGAGTGGATAAAAGGGTTCTGAAGTCAAACAAGTTTGACAGCACTGCTTTTTTTTTTTTTTTTTTTTTTTTTTTTTGTGACAAGAGTCTCGCACTCTTGCCCAGACTGGAGTGAAGTGGCGCCATCTCGGCTTACTGCAAGCTCTGCCTCCAGGGCTCACGCCATTCTTCTGCCTCAGCCTCCTGAGAAGCTGGGACTACAGGCACTCGCCACCATGCCCGGCTAATTTTTTGTATTTTTAGTAGAGATGGGGTTTCACTGTGTTAGCCAGGATGGTCTTGATCTCCTGACCTTGTGATCTGCCCGCCTTGGCCTCCCAAAGTGCTGGGATTACAGGCGTGAGCCACCGCGCCTGGCGACAGCACTGCTTTATACAGAAGCAGCTATCAAAGCTGATATGTGACATATACCATGAGAAAATTTTCCTGTGTTGATACCAAGTAAGGAAACTTTTTTCCCTTACCCCTTTGTAGATTAAAGGGAGTATTACCTTATTCTTTGTGCATTTGTAAATTAACGGGCTGGGTTCATATGTTGATTCCTTTGAAGTGCCACAAATGCACAATATTTCCTCATATATGAATATAGTTATACATATCAGGACCCTTTTTGCATTTCAGGATCATGTATGAGCCTGAGAACAATCTTTTTTAAATGCCTAATATGTCTTAAGAAGTGGGAATACAAAAGATTAAAAAGGCTATTTTTACCCTCAAAGAGGAGGGGAGGCAGATGAGCAAACATGCACTGTAGGAATTGCTGAAGGGAAAATATGTGTAAAGGGCAGCAGGAGCAGAAGGGAAGGGGGGGAGCGCTCAAGAGTAGGAGGAGGCAGAATTTGAGCTGAAGCTAAGGAATGAGAAGGATGGGCCAGGGGGACTTGAGAGGTAGGGTATTCTTAGACCCCTGGTACCGATGAGTTAAGGGAACCACAGATGCTTCCTGTCTAACCTTCAGTGGTAACTCTTAGCTCATCGTCTTTTTCCCTGGGCTGGATCTCTTAGGTTAGGGCCAGTGAAGACCCTTTAAATCTGAGTCAGGAGTAACATCGAGAGAAATGAACTGAATAATACATAGTTTTGGAGTATGCAAACCGATGGTGGAAAACCATAGTTCTTTCTGAGAGTCTTTGTGGATATTCTTATCCCTTAAACCAGGAAGATCAAGCATGTTAATCTTAACTGGAATTAGGTAGTAAACTCCCTTCCTATTGCACTGGCTGTTTTTCAAGATATTATTTTAAATGTGTTGTAATAATCCCGCCCAAGCTAACAGCTTCCTTCTCTTTACTATTCCAGCAATACTGTTAAATAGATTATACAGTTAGAAAAGATGCACATTATGCTACATTTTATCTTTATATTTTAGGAAATGTTTGAGACTATTATTTAACCTGTACTTTAGTATTTCACACTGCTCACAGATATATAATATCTGAACTCAAACATATATGAACATGGGCATGTCCTCCTGTATACATAGATGTAGTTTTGTTCACCTAAACTTGCTGAAAGAAAGCATTATTGTCACCCAGTTGGTCATTCAACATTTATTGAGCTCCTCCCCTGTGGGAGGCTCACTCTTAGAGCTGATAGTTCAGTGAGGGACCCCAGTGTGAGAGTAGTGTGAGGCAGTACAGCCAGCTTGCACACAAAGCAGAAAGAGAAAGATCTGCCTGAGCTGGGAGAAGAGGGGTGGGATTGGGGCTTAGAGAAGTGAGGTCAGGATGCCTTTCTCCTTCCAAAACTCATACTCTAAAGCTTTCCTGGAATATCTTTCCTATCATGTTATTTTAAAGCCAGAAGGAATGGGTTTATCTTCCTTCTTTCTTACTAAGTAACTATATGCTATATGGCTTTGCACAAATAATAAAATCTGTGTGAACATTTGATTCTCTATTTTTAATAATAGATAGCACTTACATTGCACCTATGATTTGCCAGATACAGCAATATATATGTGTATGTGTGTATATATATACGTATATATATCTGAACTTAGATATTATATAGATATAGATATATGTACTGCCTTATATATATAAGTATATGTATATATAAGTATATATATGTATGTAAGTATATATATATATATAAGTGTATATATATACACTTATTCTTTATATTGACCCTTTGAGATAGACCGCTGTTACTAAATGGGAACATGTTAATTTTCTTCATGAAAAGTTTTTTGATAAAATGAAAATAAAGAACTGAAGTTATTTAGAGATTTAGAAAGTAGCTAAAATATAATCGTCTTAAATACTTTCTTAGTCATCATGTGGGAGGCTAGAATTGTAGTATTTTTCTTGAGGAAGAGAAAAATTAGAATAAACACTATCACAAAGAGGGGTAAAAAATAAGTGAATATTCTTGCTAATTGGTAATTCTTGCTATTGGGTAGGAAACAAGAATCTGCAGAAATTCCGTATTAAAATACCTAGCTTGGACGTGTCTGTCTGGCTGAGATACAGGATGTTTCTCTCCTTAATCTCATGTACTTGCACTGACATGTTAAAAGTTACGATGCTCAAAGGGAGAAGAACATGAATTATAAAATGCGAGAAATGTTTGCTTTCTTGATGTTGGTATTGATAGGAGTTTAGATTACAGGCTGCTAGTATTTTTTTTTATTATTTTTATATATTTATTTATTTATTTTATTTTTTTCCTTTTTGAGACAGAGTCTTGCTGTGTTGCCCAGGCTGCAGTGCAGTGGTGCGATCTTGGCTCACTGCAAGCTCCGCCTCCCAGGTTGATGCCATTCTCCCGCCTCAGCCTCCTGAGTAGCTGGGACTACAGGCGCCCGCCACCACACCTGGCTGATTTAAAAATATAGTAGAGACGGGGTTTCACTGTGTTAGCCAGGATGGTCTCGATCTCCTGACCTCGTGATCCACCCGCCTCAGCCTCCCAAAGTGCTGGGATTACAGGTGTGAGCCACCGTGCCTCGCCCATTTTTTTTTTTTTCTTTTTCTGAGACCGAGTCTCACCCTGTCACCCAGGCTGGAGTGCGGTGGCATGATCTCTGCTCACTGTAACCTCTGCCGCCTCCTAGGCTCAAGTGATTCTCCTGTCTCAGCCTCCTAAGTAGTTGGGACTACAGCCACCCACCACCATAGCCGGCTAATTTTTATATTTTTAGTAGCAATGAGGTTTCACCATGTTGGCCAGCCTGGTCTCAAACTCCTGACCTCAGTTGATCTACCTGCCTCAGCCTCCCAAAGTGCTGAGATTACAGGCGTGAGCCACCGTGCCCAGCCTTGCTGGTATTATTTTATTAGTTCTTAAAAACACAATTTATCTGAGGCCAACTGTCCTGCCTGAATCCTATGCCACCACCTCCTAATTTATGACAGTTGTTAAATCTGTTAAAACATTAATGTTTTTCTTTTAAAATTTTTATTTATTTAGAGACAGGGTCTCGCTTTGTTGCCCAGGCTGGAGTGCAGTGGTGCAAGCTTGCCTCACTACAGCCTCAAAGTCCTGGGCTCAAGCAGTCCTCCTGCCTCAGCCTCCCAATTAACTGGGACTACAGCCATGCACCATTGCGCCTGGCTAATTTTCTTATTTTTTGTGGAGACAGGGTCTCACCATGTTGCCAGGCTGGCCTCACTCCTGGGCTCAAGGGATCGTCCCACCTCAGCCTCCTGAGTAGCTGGGACTGCAGGCACATGCCACCATGCTCAGCTATTTTTTTTTTTTTTTTCTGTAGAGACAGGGTCCTACCATATTGCCCAGGCTAGTCTCGAACTCCTGACTCAAGCAGTCCTCCCACCTCAGCCTCCCAAACTCCTCCCTCACTGCATTACAGCAGTGAGCCTCTGCATCTGGCCTACTTTAATGTTGTTTTTCCAATAAATACTTTAAATAAATAAGCAAATACATATACGTGATTGGAGAATTTTGTTATTGAAATAGAAATGCTAGTAGCCTCAACATGGTATCCTACTCTTAAGGTTCTTGTGGCAGGCACGCTAAGTTCTAGAATTCCCCTCCCTTGAGTGTGTTTTCTTTGCTGCACAGTTTTACCTGCTTCATATTCCCTGAATGTGCTGTGTACCCTCAAGCCCCTGCAACTTAGCTGATGCTTTTTTTCACCCAAGGTGCCCTTGTCCATTTTTTCTCTCTGGCTGATACTTCCTGTCACAACTCAGCAGTCCCATGTTTTTTTTTCCCTTTTGAAAGTATTTCCGGCCACAAAGCCAGAGTTAGATGCCAGTTCTTTTCATGTCTCTCCATAGTCACGTAACACCCTGTGCATAACTTTTCTTAGAGTACTTACTAAATTGAATTTTAATAATGGGCTTTAACTGTCCTCTCCCTACCTCTTCTGTCTCGATGTTCAACGTTTGGTACATTCTAGAGTCTCTTCTTATGTAAATATTTACAGAAGAAGAAATACAGAGCTGCTGCCTTTGGAGTTGAATATTTAATCCCTGATCCCTCAGCAGTAGAAAGATGGAAACCGTTAGATGAGGGGAGCATTCCTGGCTAGGCTCGCGCTACCCTGGAGGAGGCTGCTCTAAGAGTTATATTGGAGGGCCGGGCATGGTGGCTTACACCTGTAATCAGCACTTTGGGAGGCCAAGGTGGGTGGATCACCTGAGGTGAGCAGTTTGAGACCCGCCTGGCCAATATGGTGAAACCCCGTGTCTACTAAAATTACAAAAATTAGCCAGGTGTGGTGGCGGGCATCTGTAATCCCAGCTGCTCGGGAGGCTGAGGCAGGAGAATCGCTTGAACCTGGGAGGCAGAGGTCGCAGTGAGCCAAGTACGCCGCTGTACTCCAGCCGGGCAACAGATCGAACTTAAAAATAAGTATGTTGGAGAGGACGCGCGCACACACACACACACACACACACACACACACACACACACACACACACACACACACACACACACACACACACACACACACACACACACTGCTGCTCTGAGTAAGCAAGCCCAAATCGAAGTATGGAATACTATGAGGTGAAATTGAAATGTATAACATATCTTATCTGTTTAATTGAATTTTGGCAGGTTTTTTTCTTTTAGTGGAATAAAATAGTATTGTACTTTGCAGCATTTGCGCTGTTATTTATATACGCTATGCAGATGTATCTTTCTATAATCTGTGTGACATATGGAGAGAGTATTCAAATCATACATACGCTGAAATTCATTTTTCCCATAGTGCTGAGCAAAGGTCATTTTTTATTATTATACTTTAAGTTCCAGGATACGTGTGTAGAACGTGCAGGTTTGTTACATTAGGTATACATGTGCCATGGTGGTTTGCTGCACCCATCAACCCATCATCTACATTAGGTGTTACTCCTAATGCTATCCCTCCCCTAGCCCCCCATCCCCTGACAGGCCCTGGTGTGTGATGTTCCCCTCCCTGTGTCCATTTCTTCTCATTGTTCAACTCCCACTTATGAGTGAGAACATGTGGTGTTTGGTTTTCTGTTCCTGTGTTAGTTGATTCTGAATTATCCTTGAGACTACATTTCAAAGACGCAATCTTTGATATTGTACTGTAAATGTGTAAAATCAATCAGAAGCAAAGAAGCATGTCTAAGATGACATGCAAATGTATTATATACCTCAAACAGCATTACTATTAGCACAATTAATTGGCTTTAAAACTACCATTGAACAGTGACATATTTGGGGATTTCAGTCAGTAAAACAAATCGATTGTTTCTTATGTCACACTATATAATCTATGGTGTCTTTACCTTTCATCAAAAGTTGTTTTTTTATCAAGAACTTGACAGTGGGAGCCAGGCACGGTGGCTCACACCTGTAATCCTAGCACTTTGGGAGGGCTGATTGCTTGAGTCCAGGAGTTCAAGACCACCCTGGGCTTTCCACCATGGAAACCCTGTCTCTACAAAAAAATACAAAAAAATTAACAGGACATGGTGGCGTGCACCTGTAGTACCAGCTACTCGGGAGGCTGAGATGGGAGAGTCACTTGAGCCTGGAAGGCAGAGGTTGCAGTGAGCTGAGATTGCACCACTGCACTCCAGCCTGGGTGACAGAGCAAGACCCTGACTCAAAAAGCAAATAAATAAAAAAATCAAAAGAGACAATTAAAACTTATAATAAAAAAGAACTTGGCAGTGTAAGTCCTTCTTAGCCAACTAGAAAATTAATTTCTTTTTTTATGACTAATTTATTACCTGATTCAACCTTTAATTTTTTACTAAAAAAAGCTAACCAGTAATATTACATTGATACTTTTAACCTATCTTGATTGATATTAATTACCTTTTTTAATGTGTTTGTTTTGCTTATCTAGAAAAACACACCTTGACTTTAGTCAGATACATCACTGTCTGTTAAAGGAAACCAAGCGTGAAGTGGAAGTCTAACACATGAGGATACAGAATTGATTCAAAATGGGAACAACAAGTGATGAGATGGTGTCTGTGGAACAGACCTCCTCCTCTTCTCTAAACCCCCTGTGTTTTGAATGTGGCCAACAGCACTGGACAAGAGAAAACCATTTGTACAATTACCAGAATGAAGTGGATGATGACCTAGTCTGCCATATTTGCCTTCAACCTCTGCTGCAGCCACTAGACACACCCTGTGGACATACATTCTGCTACAAGTGCCTCAGAAACTTTTTACAAGAGAAAGATTTCTGTCCGTTGGACCGGAAAAGACTTCATTTTAAGTTGTGCAAGAAGTCTAGTATTCTAGTTCATAAACTCCTAGACAAATTATTAGTTTTATGTCCATTTTCTTCAGTGTGCAAAGATGTAATGCAACGTTGTGATCTGGAGGCACATCTCAAAAACAGGTAAGCAAAAA
Source organism: Homo sapiens (assembly GCF_000001405.40). NCBI lineage: Eukaryota > Metazoa > Chordata > Mammalia > Primates > Hominidae > Homo > Homo sapiens. The sequence goes on along the minus strand of NC_000013.11, from coordinate 27,581,285 downwards.
ATATAAAAGAAGTAACTCCAGATTTTGGAAAAAGGTGGTTCAAATGAACATAAAAACTTGATTAAAACAAAACAAACCAGAGCACTAGTAAGTAAATGGGTGAATCAAGTACAGAAGAGATACAATAAATAAGTTGTATGGAACAGTATTTAACATTATTTATCAAAAACATGAATACAAAAACTACAGTGAGGAAGTACTGTTTTATACCTGTTAATATTTCTGCTGCTGTAATATGAAACTGATATATTCAAATAGATGACAGGATATTATGATAGATTCTTTCTATAAAGCAGTTTGGCAGTTTGTTTTTAAAAACTATATGAATGTAAATCTCCTTTTATCTAGTTTATTATCCTAAGGAAATAATCTAAAAGCAGGAAAAATTGTATGTAAATATGTTCAGTGCAACATTGTGCATAGTTTGGTAAATTGGAATCAGTTATTTAAAAGTAGGGAAGGGTTAAAAAATACTATGCACATAAACTCAGTGGGATATTATGCAGCCAATAAAAACGATAATTTTGTTGCAATATGGAAATAAATACATTATTTTATTTGCTAAGATCTTGTAAAGATTCTGGGTTCAGGGACTAGACTGAACAAGAATTAGGAGTTGGAAAACTAAATATTTAGTGGGGATTTCTGTTCTCATAAAAGCTTTTTAAAAGGTTAAGTAATTTATTTAGCTGATGAGTTTTATAATTTGATTTTGCTAAAAGACTTGATCTTTAACTTAGGAAGAGTTACAGTATACGTCATTTGTGTAGAATCACATAAAATGGCAGAAATAAATACTGGTTTCTAATTTCAAGTTAAGCCAGTTTTACAGTATAAATCTGCAGTAATCTCGATTGCTGTGAAAAACAATGCATACTACATCATACTGGACTTAGATGTAAGAGTGTAAGTCTGATATAGAATGGCTTGCTATTATACTCACACATAAAATCATAGACTTGAAGGAGATTATCTAATCCCCCTCATTTTATGAATAAGGAGACTGAGTCACAAAAATTTAGTTAATGCTGTAGTTAGACTCAAGCTTTACTGTTCTTGTTTACTATTCTAATAAACCATGTTGACTCTATCGTAGGTCAAGTCATGTTCTCTGCTGCTATGTAGCAAAAGTTTCATTCATGTGCACATGAAATACACATTCATTTTGTATCAATATATTGTTGATATTTATTTCTAAACATCAGAGTTAAGACATGAGAAACAATGAAAAAAACAAAGATGTTATTAAAATGTTGGAAACATTTAGATTTATAGAATGCTTAACTCTAAACTGTGTTGTCTAGAACTAGGAGGTAAGATAGAGTAGGATAGACAGACTTTTGAAAATGCGTGTAATAATGTAGCATTGCATTTTTTTATATCTTCTGTAACCAGCAAGCATAGAATCTGAACATGATGGCAGAGGCCTCCTGGAAACTGACACTGGTCTTTTGAATATACTAGTCTGAGTCAGGACTAGTTATGGCTGAAGAATATTTCAGGCTGCTTCTTTCAGTAGAACTGTTCTTTTCAGTGTATAGGCTTCTTTTCTAAACATCAGTTATGAGATGTTAGAGGAACTGAATGAAATGTCAGTTCAGTTATTTATGATTTTGAGAGCTGAAAGATAACAGTTTCACAGATTTTCAGGAATATTCCTTTAACATGCATTCAAGAATTTAATTTGCAGTTGAACTATTACTAGTGTTTCTTATCAAACCATTTATAATGAGAATGTAAAAAACCTTGGTAATTGCAAACTGCCTTTTCATTTACATGTTGGTAAAGGCTTATCCAGTTGAAGGTTTCATTTTCCAGCTGTGCTTATTAGTATTGAAGTAACCAATTTTATCATTTCTAAAGTATCTTAGGCCTGTAACATGAAAGATACAGTGAAAAGATGGATGATTGGAAAAGGTGGTGATTTGCCTGATACAGACAGCTAAGAGTGATTACTGAGTATATAAATGTAAAAAAATTATAAAATGTAATATGATTTTTATATGCCATTTGAACAGATAGTGATGAACAGCCTGACCTTTCTCTGTTCTCTTAAATAAGAACATTGAAATTCAGGTAGAAATGTATATTATACAACATTCAACCCTAAATAATATAGTTCATTTGTTTATTCAGCAAATATTGATTATCTGCTATGTGCCAGATACTTTTCTAGGTGTTAGGTAGTCTCTGCAAGTTAGAATCTAATGCCGGGTTGTAGATTCCTTTAGAAACAGAACCATGTCTTTATAGTCTTTCAGTTTATTTGCCCAAAGTTGACAGTCATCTCATGTTAGTCCAATTAAATTGTTGATCTGTGTTTCAGTTATTCATTGCTGAGAAACTAACCACCCCAGACACACTGACATAAAACAACAAGCATTTGTTGATTCTGTGAGTCAGGATGCAGACAGGATGAAACAGGGATGGCTTGTCTCTGCTATCTTTATGTGTGCCACAGCTGGGAAGGAGCTGAAAGCCAGGGACTGCAACAGTTGTAACTGGAGAGTCTACTTCCAAGATGGTTTCTTCATTCACATTTCTGACACCTTGATGGGAATGACTAGGTGCGTGGGACTTGTCAGCTGGAGAGGCTACAGGTAGCCTTCCCAGCATGACAGCCTCAGGGTATTTAAAGTTCTTACATAAGTGGTTCAGTGTCTAGTAGGCTGCATGGCCTCATATGATCTAGCCTTGAAGTTGCCTGGCATCCCTTCTCTGTTGGAAGCAGTCATAAACCCACCCATATCCAAGGAAAAGGGGACATAGGTTTCACCTTGTGATGGGAAGTCAAAAAAATTTGCAGCCATGTTCTAAAACCAACATAAACTAGCAAGAAGAATGATGTTATGCGGCGCAGAATATGATTACTACGACTGTTTGCGGCTTCTCGGTATACAAATCTCACTTGTTTGTTAGAAATTGGTAAGTCTGTAAGTTTCATTGAAATTCATAAGATTTTAGCATCAGCAACAAAGAGTCATTGTATAAAAGTTGCATGGCTGTCATGTGCCTTTGCTCTTGAGCTTTTAGGGTTTACAGGAATCTCTTAATTATTGGTAGAAATAGAGCATTAGCAGTAGTTTGCATAAATTTGATAATTTCACATTTAAGATCACCTTCCTATTTGAATGAAATCCTGCCCTTAACAAATGTGTTTTGATTTGAGAAGAGCAAACATTTTTCTCCTACAGATAAAATATTTATGAAAGATGAACATGTTTAAATAAAACTGCTATTTTTAACTGATTATGTATTAGTGAAATGAAGAATTTTAAGAGACATGGACAGTCTCTATCTTTGAACAGAGAAATAAAGCCTTTGAAAAATATTCTACATGTTGTACTAAATATGTAACATTTTGATTGTTTCTTTGAAATTCTGCCAAGCAACATCAGCTATATAGCATTCCTCCTACGCTCTACCACTCATCTCCAACCCACCCTTAACGATTTAACATTTAAGCCTTTGGTAATTGTAAGTGCTAGTTGTTGTTGTTGTTTTTAAATTGTGTGTTTGTGCCCTAGTTTATGGCAAGGTTCAGAATTACTTTTCCTCTTAAAAATTACAGTTTAATGCCATTATAAAAAGTTTACAATAGAAAACCTTTAAAGAAGCCTCTTTCCTTGCTGAGAACTTTTCTTGTTCATGAGATGGTTATGAAACCTTAAGTTCAAGTTTGTTCAGCCTGTGCCACATGCAGCCCAGGAAGGCTTTTGGGATTATTTTTTTTTTAAGCTTATCAGCTATCATTGATGTTAGTGTATTTTATGTGTGGACCAAGACAATTATTCTTCTTCCCGTGTGGCCCAGGGAAGCCAAAAGATTGGACAACCCTGCTTTAGATGATGGTCCAGGAAAAACTAAATAGAAAAAAAAGGGATCAGGATAGGCTGAGGCATGATTGCACTTTTAAATTCACACTTTAACTTGGAGGGAAGTTTGTGTTTAGCACATTCTTATCAGTATTGTTTTTTCATGTATGGTGTGAAAAAGCAGATATATGTATTTGCAAATCATGTGTATTCTAGTATCCAGAATATATAAAGAACTCTTAGAAATGAAAAGATAAATCCAATTTTAAATGGGCAAAGGATTTGAATAGATAGTTCTCCAAAGATACTCAAGTGGCCAGTAAGCACATGACATGCTCAACATCATTAGTTCATTTTTATATTGGATTATTTGTCTTTTTGCTAAGTTGTAAGAATTTTCTATGTATTCTGGATACTAGACCCTTACCAGATATATGATTTGCATATATTTTCTCCCATTCTGTCAGTTGTCTTTTCACTTTCCTACATCCTTTAAAGAACAAATATCTAATTTTTATGAAGTTCATTGTTGTTTGCTTATGCTTTTGGTGTCATATCTAAGAAAACATTGCCCAATTCAAGGTCACAAAAATTTACATGTACGTTTTCTTCTAAGAGTTTTCTAGTTTTCTCTCTTATAATTCAGTTTTTGATCCATTTGGAATTAATTGCAATGAGAAATCATAATGTGTATTGTTCAATCCTTTAAATTTTATTGAGGCCTTTCTTTTCTTTTTTTTTTTCTGGAGATAGCATCTCGCTCTGTCACCCAGGCTAGAGTGAAGCAGTGCAATCTTGGCTCACTGCAGCCTCCACCTGCTGGGTTCAAGTGACTCTTGTGCCTCAGCATCCGAGTAGCTGGGACTACAGGCGCACTCCACCATGCCCAACTAATTTTTTTTTTTTTTGTGCTTTTAGTAGAGACGGGGTCTTGCCATATTGCACCAGGCTTGTCTCAAACTCCTGAGCTCAGGTGATCCTCCACCTAGGTCTCCCGAAGAGCTAGGATTACAGGCGTGAGCCACCATGCCCAGCCTTGAGGCCTTTTTTAAAATGGCCTAGCACATGGCCTGTCTTGGAAAATGTCCTGTGTGTACTTGGGAATAATGTAAATTCTGCTGTTAATGGATGGAGTGCTCCATATGTCTATTGGGTCTAATTGGTCTATAGTGTTAAAGGGTCTATTTTCTGGTTCCATGTCTAGTTGTTCTGTTAGTATTGAAAGTCGAGTATCAAAAGCTTTATTGTTGATTTGTCTATTTCTCTCTTTGTCATTTTTTACTTACGTATTTTGGGGCCATTGTTTGGTACAATTTCTGTTTATAATTGTCATATCTTGTTATGTTTTTCTGTCTTTTGCTTTATTTATGTCTTTGAATCTGAAGTGTGTCTGTTGTAGACAGTTGGATTATGTTTCTTGTAGCCCATTCTGCCAGTCACTGACTTTTTATTGGGATGTTTCATTCATGTAATTTAATGTAATTACTGATAAGGTAGGCTTTACATTTGCCATTTTGCTGTTTGTTTCTATATGTCTTATTTCTTTTTTCCTCCATTTCTTCCATTTGTGTTAAATATTTTTAATATGCTATTTTAATTCCCGTGTCATTTCTCTTAATTAAAATTATTTTCTTAGTGGTTACCCTGGGGCTTACAATTAACATCCTAGTTTATAGCAGTCTATTTTAAATGAATACCAGCTTCATTTTCACTAATGAATTAGTCAGGGATCTGTAAGGAAATAGAACCAATATATGAGGAGTTGGCTGACATGATTAAGGAGTCTGAAAAATTACACGTTCTGCTCTCTGCACGCTGGCAACCCAGGGAAGTCAGTAGCATAATTCAGACCTTCTCAGTCAGAAGGTCTGAGAACTAGGAGAGCCAGTGATCCCAGTCTGAGGGCAGGAGATGAGATGTCACAACTCAAGCAGTAAGGCAGGAAAATAAGGAATGAATTTCTTCTTCCTCCACCTTCTGTTTTCTTCAGGCACTCAAAGGATTGAATGATGCAACCACATTGGGGAGGGCAATCTACTTTATACTTTATGGAGTCCACTGATTCACATGCTAGAAACAGCCTCACAGACACACTCAGAAACAATGTTTAATCTGGATACCCCATGGCCCACTCAGTTGACACATAAAATTAACCATCACAAGTAGTATACAAAAACTTTCATTCTCTCTCCCCTCCTGTGTGCTATTATTATTATACAAGTTGTATCTTCACACATTATGTGCCCATCAACACAGAATTATTGCTTTATATGTTTTTCTTTTAAATCAGATAGGAGTAAAAGAATTACAAACCAAATAATTCAGTACTGTACTGATGCTCTTCATTTTTCACATGAACTTGAGTTACTGTTTAGTGTCCTTTCACATCAGCCTGATGGACTTCTTTTAGTGTTTCTTGCAGGTTAAGCATGCTACCAACAAACATTTTGTTTTTACCTAGGAATGTCTCAATTTCTCTTTTATTTTTGAAGTCGGCTGGATATAGACTTCCTGGTTGAGAGTTTTCTCCCCTTCTCTGTCTCTCCTTCCCTCAGAACTTTGAGTATGTCATCCCACTGCCTTCTAGTCTCCATGGTTTCTGAAGAGAAATCAGCAGATACTATTGAGGATCCTTTCCTTGTGATGAGCTGTTCCTCTCTTACTGTTTTCAAGATTCCTTATCTTTGGCTTTCACCAGTTTTATTATGAGGTGTCTTAAGTGTGTATATCTTGTGGTTTTCCTACTTGGAGTTTATTAAGCTTCTTGGATGTGTAGATAAATGTTTTTCATCAAATTTGGGAAGATTTTTGGCCATTATTTCTTCAAATATTCTTTCTACTCCTTTCACTCTCTCTCCTTTTGGAACTCTCATTATGTATATGTTTATTCTCTTAATGGTGTCCCACAAGACCATGAGGCTGTGTTCTTTTTTTTTTTTTCTTCCCTGTTCCTCAGACTGGATGATCTCAATAAACCTATCTGCAAGTTTGCCAGTTCTTTCTTCTGATTCAATTCTGCTGTTGAACTAGTGAATTCTTTTTCTGTTTTGTTTTTTTGGAGACAGAGTTTTGCTCTTGTTCCCCAGGCTGGAGTGCAATGGCGCAATTTCAGCTCACTGCCACTTCTGCCTCCCAAGTAGCTGAGATTACAGGCATGCGCCACCAAACCTGGCTAATTTTGTATTTTTAGTAGAGACGGGGTTTCACCATATTGTTCAGGCTGGTCTTGAACTCCTGACCCCAAGTGATCCACCCGCCTTGGCGTCCCAAAGTGCTGGGATTAAAGCACCCGGCCATGCATTCTTTTTCATTAAACTTTTTAACCCCAGAATTTCTGTTTGGTTCTTTATTATGACTTAATGTTTCTTTATTGATATTTTCTTTTTGATAAGACATCATTCTCATATTTTTCTTTAGTTCTTTAGATAGGTTTCCTTTACTTCTTTGAACATATCTAAAATAGCTGATGTAAGTTATTGTCTGATAAAGCTAATGCCTGGGCTTCCTTAGGGACAGTTTCTGTTGGCTGCTTTTTTTTTTTTTTTTCCTGTGAATGGGCTGTACTTGTTTCTTTGCATGTTTCTTAATTTTGTATTGAACAGTGGACATTTTAAATAATATAATGTGGCAACTCAGAAAACTAGATTCTTCTCCTTCCTGAGGACTTGTTATTGTTGTTGTTTGTTTGTTTGCTATGTGACTCTTATGAACTAATTCTGTAAAGTCTCTGCTCATTTTGTGTACTGGACAGCTAATGATTGGACAGAGAATTCTTTAAATGCCTGAGATTAAAAAAATCTCCCCGTCTTCCATGGGGGTTCTGTGTGCATGGTGGGGCATGCCACACCCTCAACACTCACGCCACTGACAGCTCCACCTTAGCCTACACACACAGCCCTGAACATAGCTGAACCTCTGTGGACGTGTCATTCCCTGGCTCTTCCTTGTAAACATTCTGGTTAGCCTTGTATTTGTCTTCAGGCAGCCACAATCTTCAGCAATGACCTCTGATTTTTTTTTTTTTTTTAACCAATGCTTAACAAATGCCCCCAGTGAAAAGGAAGTTTGCCCTGGGTGAGCTCTGAGTCAAGCCAAGTAAAGACAGGCACACAGTCATACAGGAAACAAGTATAGGGGGAAAAAAAAGAAGAAAAAAGACAAGCACACAAGAGGGGAACCATAGACAGGTCAGTTAATAACAGATCTCTGGGAATAGGGCTTTGAAGGTTCTCCAGTCTGCTCTTCCAGTGTCTGCCAGCCTCCTGATTTCCACTGTGATGTGGGCTGTTGCTTTTCCAATATTCTGGGGAGGTGAGGATGGAAATAGGGTAAACTCAAATGCCACAGAGCTCTCTCTTCTTACTGAGAGTCAGCCATTTTTCTTGAACAAATGTTCTCCCTACTGCTATAATTCTTTGGCTAATTTCCACACTTCAGAAATGGCTGGTTCTGACAATTTCTTCCAGTGTTCTTACTGCTTTTATGGAGGAGAGACTTTTCAGATATTCTTAATTCACCATTTTCACTGACATGACTTGAATTAATTTTTGTTTATTCCCTAGCTATTTTTATCATTTTTCTTGATTCTAAGGTGTTCACATTCTTTCAGTGTCATTAAATACCTGGCATTGTGCAGTGGTTAGTATGCATTGTTTTATTTTGTTTCTACTGCACTACCACCACCCCCACTATTAATACTAATATTACTGACAATAATATAGTGTGTTGTTGCACCATGTGTTTCCTAGTGTGAACTAGCTCATATGCAGTTGTTATCAGGGAATGATGTCACTGTAGCATAAATCAAATTAGTCCATATATAATTTTTCCCTTAGGAGGAGAGCCAGAATAGTGGGAATAGAAGAACAACCTTCAGCAGGAAAGGAAAAATCCCTATTTGGGTCTTGGCTGCTGCAAGAGCATTTTGGTTTTATTTAAGAAAATTAAAAAACACACCTACATGTACAGATCCCTCCCTCAGGAGGTGCAGCCCTCAGCCCATGGCAGATTGCACTGCCTCAGCAGCCCACCATCTCAGAGCTCCACTGTATGGTCTCAGCATGTGCCTACCTCAATCTAATTAGATGTCACATGCTGTTCTGTTCTATTGTTTTTGTTTAATTTTGATATCCTCTGTACTAGTCTCCTGCTACACTGAGTCACCTGCCTGAATAAACCAAGTCACCTCCCCCAGTGCAATTTCAGTTTGTGTTCTTAAATGTTCCATTTCCAAAGATGGATAGGTTTTTATTTTTGTGATTTCTGTTTTTTAATGATCGCTAATACCCTTCTAGCCCCAACGTTCTGTGATTGTGTTTCTAGGTACAAATTTTTAGAAGAAATTCAATTTATATTTTCCCAAGGCCTAGAAAAAGAATACCATAGGAATGAATTTAGTATGATACACTGGAAAGAACAGAAGCTAGAAGCCTTTGAAATTAGATCTGAGTTTGTTTGGATTATGGCTCTGCAATTTAATATCTGTGTGATGTTGGCTTAGTTGGTTAAGTCTCAAGTTTCCCATTTTTAAATGGGGATAACAGAGTAATTGTGAGGATTTAATGAAATAATGTATATAAAGGTTGTTACGTAAGTAATTGGCACAAATTAGGCACTCCACAAATGTTGAGTTTTTCCTTTCTCTTTCAGTTCCAAGTATTTGCAGCTTGAGGGATGATGGCTCTGAGCTGTCTGTATTCATGAGCTTTTATCTGCCCAAGTCTGCTCTGATCTACTCATTCCCTAATACTTTTTTTAAAATATAGTTTTATTGAGATTCACATATCATCAAATTCACCTATTTTATAAATTCATTGTAAATTGCCCACTTTAAATAAATTCACTTTATTTAAAGTGTGCAATTCAGTGCTATTTAGTGTATTCACAGAATTACGTGACCATCATCACAATCCAATTTTTAGAACATTTTCAGCATACCTAAAAGAAACCCAATACCCATTAACAGCCATTTCCCATTCCCCGATACACGGTTTTGAGTGTCTACCCCAACTCTTTTTTTCCTTTAAGCCCTGTTGCAGTTTTTCTAGAATGCATATATTATGTTAAAAGAAATGTTTGTAGTATAATCTGGGCTTTTGCCCTCATCAGTGAAAGTGTTCTTTCTGAGGTTACCTTCTAATTGCCAAGTCTACCAACACTTTTTGGTCCTTATTTTATTTGCCCTTTCTGTGGCCATTTGCACTATTGGTCACTTTTTGTTGTTGACTGCTTGTCTCCCTAGTTAAGTTTGCACTCTTTGTCTCATAATCTCCTTCTGTCTAGTTGTTCAATTTCATCTACTCAGGCTGGTCCATCTCATTTAAATATGGGTTTTCCCAAAGGTTCAATCTATGGCCTTCCTCTTCTAATGCTGAGTGAAATAATTTTTCTGTATTTTTACATGATGTCATTTTTAATATTTTTCTTTAGTTCCTGTTAGCAGTTTGCTGTCTCACTGGGACTGTAAGTATACTTGTTACTTTACCTCTCTAACAACTTTAGCTTTTCCTTTTAAAAGTTATTTTTGTGTGTTTAATAACTATAAGATAGGCCTTACATATTTCGTTTGTGAAGGTGTAGAGTTGTTAGCTAGACTGATTCCCAGGTGTACATAATCTGTCTGTATTTCTTCTTAAGTTCCAGTTCCTGGTTCATTTTTTCCATTGAACACTAGCTATTCTTGTGTAGATATTTGTGTATGATGTGATTTTGTAAATTAAATCTTTACCTGTCTTTTCAGTCATATTATTTTTATGGTCTAGTTTTAGCCTCAACTTTTTTTTGAATAAAATATTTTAAAAATATATTTCGAATTAAACCTGCTTACTTGACAAAAGTAATTTTTTTCATGATCTAATTTTCAAAAATACTTGTCAGGCCCTTGCGAGAGCATTCCCTGGAGTGCTGTACAACAATACAGAGGAGAAAACCATTTGTCCCCCTTCTTAACAAGGTGTAGAGCAAACAAGAAATGAGAGAAAGGTGAATAAAGATATTTCATAGTGAATCCCTTTCAAGAACTTGAAATCCAGGATTTAAAAGAAATCTTTAGTTCAGGAGGGAAAATATTACTTTTATAGTTAAGCGATAGCTTTTAGTTTTAATTGTATTTAATTCTGTGTTGTGTTAGAAATTTTGGAGTTTTAAAAATATTGTTGAATGAAGGTCTGCAACCCTAGGCATAAGGTCTGTGATCACCCATCCTACCAAGCGTTACTGTAGCTAATTACAACCAAAGCATGTGTCATCCGTAGAGTCGTGGTAGGCCTCAGGTATATGTGTCCAACTTTCCTTCACTAATCTTTTTGTCCTCCTCCCATCCTTCAAACTAGGGGTTATTAGTCACTGTCCAATCAAGGTGTCCAATGGAAAGGCACTGGCCCCTTGACATCATTTTTAATATTTGTTATATAGAGCCTTTATTTAAATGTTTCCTTGATTATAAGTTTAAAAACAAGCATCCATCGGCTCCTTTTATTTGCTTAAATAAGTAAAAACAAACAGGTTAACGGTTGTGATTTCTGGGTGTTTATGTAAGTTTCCGAGTACTTGGAATATATTCTTCAGTTTACATAGCATATCAATAATTCTATTGAAATTCTAATTTCACAAACTAGGAGGCATATTTTTCTTTCCATGTCTATCATAAAATAAATTATATGGGTCTTTCCTTTGCCTTGCAGTAAGTTGTAAAGCTTCAGATGTCTCACTACCCACTAATTAATGAGCGTGTCGTGTGTCTGTGAAGAGTGTAGAAGCATGGTGGCACAATCAAGGTCTAAGTCAGGACGCAACCACTTGTGGGAGAAGACTGCTGATTTCACTGCTGTGGTTAAGCCATTTAACCTGTAAATGGGTTATGTGATCAGAATTTCAGAATAATTATTGCAGTACAGAGATGACTATGAGGGTGTTTTCTGGTGACAAGTATATACCTGCATACAATTTTTTACTGACGTATTCTTTGGATACATACCAAACCATTGTTCATGCTAATCCTTCTGTTCTTGATTATCTGCTCTATGGAGCAGTAAGAACTTAGTGTGAGTGGAGATTAGGATCAGAACTATGTGCTGCCTATAGGTACTTCTAGCTTCTGGTTCTGTTTGTGTAGAAGCTATTAGTCCCCCTCCCTATTTTATTTGTTTGTTTGTTTTCAAAATCATCTGGAAACCATCTGATATTCTTTTTCTAGATGTCCTGGAGCTTCTCATCGGAGAGTTGCCCTGGAGAGAAGGAAAACTAGTAGAACTCAAGCAGAGATTGAGAATGAAAATGGGCCCACTCTACTAGATCCTGCAGGTACCTTATCTCCAGAAGCAGACTGTTTGGGGACAGGCGCAGTGCCTGTGGAGCGGCACTTGACATCAGCGTCTCTTTCCACATGGAGTGAGGAGCCTGGCCTTGACAACCCTGCCTTTGAGGAGAGCGCTGGAGCTGACAGTATGTGTGGTGCAACTCCTTGTGTATTTCATCTCTATTTCCTTTCTTCCCACTACTTGCCCAACATGTACTTTTTTCATCTTTAAAGAAAAATTTAAAAAATAAAAATAAACAGAAATAAAAGAAACTTCATTGAGATATAATTTATATACATCATTCACCCTTTTCATTGTACAATTCTAACAGTTTGCATTTTAGAAACAAATCACAAATCTTACCCCCGAGGCAGATGGTCCTAACCCATCCCTTTTCTGTTGCAGTCTGTGCACTCACTAGTCATTCGCGTGGTTATTACTGTCTGTGTTCAGAAACTTGTTTGCTTCTTGTCATAAGAAGTCAACATCAAGAACAACACAATTAAATGCTATTCTGTGTCAGGCACTGTGCTAAACATTTTATATGTATTAGCTATTTAGATGCTTGTAACATTTTAAGTTTGGGTTTTTGTTTTTTTTTTAAACAAGAAAACTGAGGCTTGAGAGATTAATTGGTCAAGTTTATACAACCAGTAAATGACTGGGTTTGTATTTGACTCCAAGACCATGCATCTCACCGTTATACACCTCTGGTACCAGCCACTGCTCTGTTACCCACTAGGAAGTTAACAGAAGGCCCGTAGTCATGGATCTTGGGCATATCATGGTAGTGGGCCCTTGATATTTCCTTTTAAAAATGATTTTCTTTTTCCAAGCTCTACTACAAATTTGAATTTTCCTTGCCGCAACTATGCGCCTTCTTCATTTCCTACGTCTCCGTTCAAGACCCACCTCTTCTTACGAGCTTGATGTGGCTACTCTCTCAACACCTGTGCTGTTTCTATGCCACAGAGCTAGTGTTTCCTTTGTACTGCCTCTCATTATGTACAGTTGTTTCGTGGTCCAAATTTTCTCTCATCAATGAGGACAGAATGACTTTCTTTTCATATTTCTTAATCAGATCACTGTGTCGTCCCTAGTGATCTGATACATAGTAGCTATTTATTATTTACTGATCAGTTTTAGTAGAGAAAATTTTTAGATAATCTTAACAACAGATATTTTGTCATTTTGTTTCTTATCCAGTGATACTGCTTAGCTGTTAATCATGTATTAATGTGACATACTTACCTGAAGATAATCAGAATATAAATTGTTGGGTTTGTTTATTTTTTTAACATCTGTTTTTGTCTGTCTCATTTTTAACTTGGCAGCCACACAACAGCCACTTAGTTTACCAGAAGGAGAAATCACCACGATTGAAATTCATCGGTCCAATCCTTACATTCAGTTAGGAATCAGCATTGTGGGTGGCAACGAAACACCTTTGATTAACATTGTCATCCAGGAGGTCTATCGGGATGGGGTCATTGCCAGAGACGGGAGACTTCTTGCTGGAGACCAGATTCTTCAGGTATCAGTTTTAATTATTCTGTTAACTTGTGCCTTTTTGTTCCATTCTTAACACTTAAACCTTAGAAAATTGTGCTGTTTTGGAACCTAAATTATATATAGATTAGTTTTACTGTTTCTATATGCAAAACATCAGAATTTATGTGTAATTTGTGGTATTTTCCCATATACACAGAGTATTTTTTCTTCCTATCTTAATTTTCATTCCTGCATGCGATGTGGCTTGGCACATGATCTCAGGCTTGCTGAGCTAGCTAGACTCTTCCTTGGGCTGACTAGCCTCTTCCTGCTTGGACTTCTTGAATGACTGTTCAAGGGTCACCTTCATCCATGTTGAAATTATCATCTCATTGGTATTATTTTATACCCAGTTTTCCCATTCATTACCTTCATTGTTGGATTTATCCTTTTCTATACAGACTACTAAAATCTAGAAAAGAAGGAACCATGCAGCACTCATAATTTATACCACAGATTATAAGATAGAGTTCAGAAATCTTGCAGTCATCTCCTATCAACTCCCTAATGCACTCTCCTCAGCAAACACTCTAACTCTGCATTTTCAATAATCCCCTTCGCTCCCCTTACTGTTTTCCCTTTCAGAAGATGATCTTTAAGAAGAAACAGGTATTCTCCAGAAATAACTAGCATGGGACAAGATATTTTATTAGAGGGCAAGTTGAGATGAGGGGAGGAGGATGGTAAGAGTTCTACAATCCCGGAGTTGATGTTAATACCGGCCTGGACCATTTTCATCATACAAAGGTGATAATAATTGAAGCTTAAAAACGGATAACTTCTAGGAGAGAGAGGAAATATTCATGAACAAGAAAAAATGTCTCCTGTCAACCCAAGCGCAGGGACTCCTCTCTCTCCTTGGATTTGTGGTTCGGTCCTTCACCATGACCTGTTGATATCTACCCCCTACTTCCATTTTCCTGCCACTTCTTGAGTCTAGGACTTCTCTTCTTCATATCTAATTTAGTAGAATACCCCATCATATACTTCTGCCTCCCAACTCTCCTCCCTTAAATCTGAAACAATCACTGCCAGGTTAATACATCAGTAACCCTGCTTGCCTTGCAAAGGTTCAACTAGGAGGTCAAGTCCAGACTGATTAATCTAATAGTCAGGGTCCTCCACGGTCTCTTCTACAACCTGTCTTGTTAATCTCAATTCTTCATTTCAGGCACACCAGCTCATTCATTTCTCACAACATTCTAGGCACTATACTAGTTGCTGGTGGTACATTTCAGAGCAAAATACTGACCTGTCCTCGTGGAATATACAATCTAGTGGAAGAGCCAGACATAGCAGTCTTCTTCCTTCCCTGCAAACACCTTATTCCCACATTGCAGCCTGTCCTCATCTCATGAGCCAGTTTGTTCACCTTCATCCTTAAAGCTTTTGTTCAGCCATTCTCCCCCATACTGATTCCTCCTACATTAGTTATTATTGGCATTCATCACTTTTCTCTTCATCACTTGGCACGTGATGAGTTACAGAGAATTGTTTGAACATTTTACGTATGTAGGCATGATCTAAGGTAATTGCAACCACCCTAATGGTACAGATTATGATACAGATTTCTCATAGCTTGTAGTAAGTGCTCAGAAAATATTTGCTGAGTCAATAAAAGAGTGAATTTGAATATAAGATGCTGTTGGGAATAGCCATCTCCTTTATTAAAAGAAAAACTTGGTTAGGATTTTTAGTTGTTGAAAAGAAATCTCTAGACTTGGGGCTATGGGAGTCTACAAAGGCAGCCAGGATTGACCCTACTAGGGATTCTTGGGTTTGATTTCCACTCCCGCTTGTATGCTGCTTTTCATGGTGTATTATTCCTGAAAATAATTAACACCAAGCCTAAAACCTTTCCTTCATTACCCCTAGGCATGGCTGAGACAGACTGAGCTTTCAAACAGTGTTTTTTTTACCAAATACTTAGATGTAATAGACGAATACAGGAACATAACTAATCCAGCTCATATAAAATCAGATTTCTGATCCTGTCATAGCTAGCTATTTAGTTATCCTAGCTGCATTTTATGATATTAGTACTTTAGCTGCACAGGCTGGCACAACTTGTAGGACCCCTTGTATTATTTACATCCTAGCTCCTGACTTGATTTTGCAGAGAGCGACTCTTACAGCTCATTTCCCAGGTTCATCCTCCCAGACATCTTGACACTTTGGTGGTCAGGACCAGGAAGGGCAGATAGTCCTTTTCTGCAGCCCACTGAGTGTTCTTTGACTCTCCCACTTCTGGGCTTTTTAGCTGAAATGTAAGTGTACACTTATTTTTTGCTACTAGCCCAGTATTGTTACAAATGTTTTTATTTATATTTCTTTGAATATAACAGATTTGTTTAAGTTTTTTTACTAATACATTTCATCAGTGGGCTTGTTTCTATTTTAGAGAATGGTTCATTAACACTACTGAATCTTTAGACCTCAAAAGATTGTAATTATCTGAAATTATCAACCATATTTTTGGGAATTAATTCAGTTATAAAGTCTACATTGTAGAAATTCCACTGCATTATTACTGTTTATGGAAACCTGTATACTAATAACTCCAATAATGGCAATCTTACATCTAGTTTAATGATTCAAATTGATAAGAAAAGTCTGAGCACATAATCTGATTAATGAATTCACAAAGGGTCTCTCCTATTATAGGCCCTGACTTCTGGTTGGCTTTTAACTGGTGTGTTGGAGCCAAGTAAAGCCACCCCCCTTTCCCACATATGGACTATTTATGGTTATTCAAGAGTAAACACTTGGAAAGAGGCCTATTGGTATTTTTTACTATCTGGTTACCTCCAACTTTGTATAAGCTAAATAAATATAACACAGTGAGCCAATTTGAAAATCTCGAAGAGGCAGTAAGATGGTTGATTTGCAGACCAGAGAGCTAGCTTGCATTTTCATTTTTGCAGACCATATACATAAGCAGTGTGTGGCTTTGGTGGTTTTCCCACATTTATATATATTTATTTACATATACAAATGTTATTAAATAGCCTCTTTGAAAAGGAGAACCATATGCTGTTAGAGCTTTTTGCTACTCTTAGAGTTTCATATGCAGCCTCTTTGAGCAGTTTTGAAGAAAAAAAAATACTGCTATTATAAATTACCTCAATATCATTAATAAAAGTAATATAACTTAGAACATTATTAAGAATAAGTATTTTCAGTTTAATGAAGTCATCAATAATGGCATTTTCAGTTCTGAAGGAAAATAATTACAGCTGTTGATTGATAAAAAAATACATTTAGCTCAAAAATGAGATAGTTTGCTATGCTGATGTTATTTTTACAAAATCTAGAAACAATATTTTATTTGGTTTCTGCTTTCTCTGAATTTCACTGGCAACCATGCATTCCTGGAGGAAAAATCTTTTTCCAGTTGTAGAATATTCCCCAGCCTGCTTCACAAAGATGTTATGAGGCTGCATGTTTACACATGGCTGGATTTTAGCCAGACGTTTTGTAAAGTCATTTGTGATATGTGTGATATGTCTGAATATAAGACAGAAAAATGTGAACCTACAGGTAGGTAGCTTTGTAGCTAAATAGTTGGAAATGGTGGTTTGACTAATGAATCTATATCTGCGTGGATTTTTAGAAGCTGCTTTCTAAATATAATAGAACTTCAGAAGTTCCATTCTTGACCCTGTATTATTCAATACTTTTACCAAGGACTTGGATGACTACCAAATTAATAGATGTTGCAGACTTGGGAGAAAGCAAGTTTGTGTGTGACATCTGTGCATTTGGTGACTGAATTCTGAAAGGTGTTAATAGGTCAAAATCAACAAAATTCAAAATAGTATTTACAACTATCAATCCTAAGTCAATAGGAAGAGGAAAGTCTTGCCTAATGTGGATTTGTGTGAAAAAGATGTAAGAATTTTAGGTGATCATAAACACCTAACTCAGAGCCTGTCATATAACAGATGGTCAGAGGATGTTGGTTTCATCTCAGACCGATTCAGAGAAGAACTCTAATTGTGATAAATGCTAAGAATCATGCTCATCTCTTGTAACTAAAGAAATAATTGAAGTTAGGTGTATTTTCTAAGTGCTGTTACATACCCAAGGATCAGTCACTATACTTTTTTTGAGATTATAAAGGTGAATACATAAATGTTATATGAGTATTGAATAATGCATTAGATATACATTATATTTTACTTTTAATGGTAAAAACCGTAATTACTTTTGCACCAACCTAATATTTCTGTGCTGAAGAATTAGAGTGAAATTACAATTAACCTGGTTTTCTTTCAGGTAAAAGTCACTTATCTAAAATAAGTTTGTATACCTGAAATGTGCTACTTTCCTTAAAATAACAATTTATTTTCTCTAGCTTAAGTGTATTTAATTTGGAAGAAGCAAATTTGTAATCTAGTAAAACTTAAATTTCTGTTCCACTAGAATTAGTATTTATTTCATTAGCACTTGCCCCATGTTAATCTGTTCATTCTCATACTGATCCCATGAAGTAAACACATTTTACAGATGAGGAGACTCATTCAGACAAGTTCTATAATTTGCCTAAGTTATCAGTTAGTAAATGGTAGTACCTAGGACTCTAATTCAAGACCGTCATTAAAGCCCGTGATCCTAGCTACTATTCTCTCCTTGATGCTAGTCACTGTAAGTTAATATTAGAAACTCTGTTTTTAAATGTCTTTAATGTGGTTTTCTTTGTAAATAATGATTGTATAGCATTCTCACCATACTTAGCACTCTCACAATACTTAGTTTCCTGTGGAAATGTCACATAAACATTCCTACAAATTGGAAAAATAAAAGGTTGTCACACTTCGGTCACAATTCTTTTTTTCTAGGTCAACAACTACAATATCAGCAATGTGTCCCATAACTATGCCCGAGCTGTCCTTTCCCAGCCCTGCAACACACTGCATCTTACTGTGCTTCGAGAGAGGCGCTTTGGCAACCGAGCACACAACCATTCTGATAGTAACTCTCCACGAGAAGAGATTTTCCAAGTGGCTCTTCATAAACGGGACTCTGGTGAACAGCTTGGCATTAAATTGGTGCGAAGGACAGATGAGCCAGGGGTTTTTATTCTTGACCTGTTGGAAGGGGGGTTGGCTGCCCAGGACGGCAGGCTAAGCAGCAATGACCGAGTGCTGGCCATCAATGGGCACGACCTGAAGTATGGAACTCCGGAGCTTGCTGCCCAGATTATTCAGGTAAACCCTCTTGGCCTTCATTCCAAAGGCTTGGCCGAAATGATCATATAGTAGTATTTGTTTTCACTGGCCAATAACATCAGAATTCAGGGGACATTTTATATTTCATTAGAAAATCGGGTGTGGCTACCTGAATTCTTTAAAATCCACACTAGTATAACTTCATTGGAGATAGTCTTTTCTAAAAACTATATCCCTGTGAATTTTGGGGATGGTTATTTACAGAGCGTAGGCTCTACTGTTTCACATTCATTTCTCATTTGGGTCCTGGGTTCTACTATTAAGCCAGATGTAGCAGATGATATGTCCACCTTTTAGAAGTGAGGAAAGGGAGGCTCAAAAGAGCTGTGATTACCAAGGATCTGACTTACCTGGTCTCTTAACTCCCTGTCAGGATCTATATAAATAGAGGAAGAATAACTCTTATCTCTATAGTGCTTTGTTGTTGTTTCTAAGGAATTCACAGTGTTTAAAATACATGATAAAATTTGTCCTCATAGCATCTTTGTGACATAAGTAAGGATAGTCATTATTAGAGAAAGAACATGTTTTTCATAAAAGCATGAAGATGGATAAGTTGGAAAGTCATCCAGAGGAGATCTATACATTCTGCAACATGCCATAGCATTTAATGATATGAGCAACTTCTACAGTGATAAGGGTGCAACAAAAAGATGTTTTTCTTAAAGTTAGCAAAACAAAACACTGTAAAGGAAACCAAGAATTATGTAATTGAGGATCAGGAAGTAGGGTAGGCCGATAGTCATTGAAGAATGTGTTTACAACACAGAATCAAATAACAATGAAAATTTAAGACTATAAGAAAATTCAAGTCTCAACTCTCTTTATTGTATTGAGAGGAGATTCTGATATTGGTCTAATTTCATAGACTTGAGGTTTAAAGAAATTGGATGCCTTAAAATTTCCTCAAATCAAAGGCAACATTAGGACCTATATCTGTGGGTATTAGCCAGCAGCTGCACCACTAAAACCCAGCTCATCTTGTAAGAGTGGAGATTAGTGGGAGGGAGGGGAGAAAAGAGGAGGAGGAAGAAGAAAGCTAATAGAGTTATAGCATCTGTTTGAGTAAAAGAGTCAAGTGAGAGGCCAGATCAATAAGATAGAAAATAATAGATGGACTATATGTATTTCAGGCAATGTTTAAATTATCTAATCTAGTTCATTCAATTGGATGATTCTAACTAAATTTCTAACCAAAATGTGAAAAATACAGATACACAGATAGAAAATGTATTTTAAATTGTCCGTGATCATATTTTATATTTGGATGTTATAAATAGTTTCAACGTATTTTGTGCTATAATTTTCTCCAAATAATGGAAAACTAAAGTTGCTCTGTTTCTTTTTGAAAATAAGTAAAAGCGTTATTGTTTTTGGATTTTAAAAAATAACATATACTCCATGTCTTAAAAGGAGACCAATAGTAAATGATTTTAGTAAGGCATTAAACTTGTTTCTTACTTCTTTTCTAATGTAAGATTTGAAAATAAAGTGATTTCTTAACATTATTGACTATAATCATGGGAGAGGTCTCCACTTTGTACCACAATTTCTTTAAAGCAGGCTATCATATTTTCCCATAGGAATTACAGTAAAATTGGGCATTGTGGTCATGACCAAGAGTCAGCATCAAATAAATTAGACTTATAATTTAAAAGGAAGTATTAAATAACTTGTAAAAATGTAACCAATGTAAACATATGTTCAAAATATGATAGCTAACAAGCCTCTAAATTTAAAACGACAGTCATGAACCTCTAAAATAATTTAACACTGGAGACGTGTGTCACATTCACACAAGTATGCTATATATATATATATATATACACACATACATATAAAGTCTTGTTATGCAGGATTTCTGTAGTCATTCTTTTCAAGAATGTTGAAGCCGATATCCTACTTTTGACTCAGACCTATAGCAGCAGAAACAAAGCTGTGCAGAATTTCATTATGATTTCTGAAGTAGCCACCATGGAAATTTATTTCAAAAGTCACAATGGACTTTAATCAAGTTTTGAAGCAGTTCTTCCTTTTATTTCCTTTGCTCTGTCTTGCAATATTAAGGCCAACCTTGAAGATGCAAAGAAGTATTACAAGAAAAGTTACCAATCATGGGGCAATAAGAGCCCAGGCAGTGTGACCACTTTGCCTTGGTCATTTTGGAGGTGGGGTTGCAGACGGCATGCCCAAGATTTTTGTGTGTATGTGCTTCAACTGCTGAAGTTTTAAGATATTAGCTAATGAAATGAACTCATTCCTCTTGCCACCAGGTGCTTGCAGTCACTGTCCAGATGACGCCCTGGTACAGTGATTAAGAAGTTCATTGAAAATTACACTGTGTGTAATCTTTAAAATGACAAACATCATTAGTCACTTATGGTAATGTATTTGTGTTTTCTCCAGGCCAGTGGAGAGAGAGTGAATTTAACAATTGCTAGACCAGGGAAACCCCAGCCTGGTAACACCATTAGAGAAGCAGGAAATCATAGCAGCAGCAGCCAGCACCACACACCACCACCGTATTATAGCAGACCAAGCTCACATAAGGTGAGGATTTTTTTTTTTTTTTATGCCACCATCAAAGGATCATTGTTACAAGCTGGTAAGATTTAAATGAAGGTTTTTTTGTGTGTCAGTCACACCTCAATAAAGCAGTTTTTTTAAAAAAAAGATTCAAATGAGGGTTGTTATTCTGTTGAAAAATATAGGTGTTTGGAATATGAAATGTATATGTTTTGCTACCTTGGAAAGTGACTGCTTTGTTCCTTAGATCTGGAGATAGTTTCTTGGAGGGGAAGTTTCCTTTGCCAGGCGATTAACAAGAAGCGTGAAATCTTCTATCTGTTTAATCCTACTTGAAAGTGGAATTTATCTTGGGTTGCTTATTTAAATATAAGAGTTAGTTGATGAAAAAACATAAGACAAGATTGACAAATCTATGCTTAATAATTGAGCCTGTTGCCTACAGAACCTGAATTAGATACATGAAGATTAAACATATGAATCATGAATTTTGATAGGTACATATATAGCATATTTACGTATTTGATAGGTACATATATAGCATATTTCTTTTTATGTTAAAGCTTAGAGGAATATTACCCTAAATCATTTAAAATTTCCATATGTTAAGCTTTGTTACTGTTTCTTCAGAATCAGTATTTCACTGGTTTTATAATGTATTCTACCTGAGCTGAGAATTTTGATGCTACCTCACTTTCAGTCCAAAAATCTGAAAGGATGATACTTTAGCATTCTTGATATTATTTACTTCATTTCATCCTTCATTTGAACTCTTAACTTCCAGTGGGCCAGAAGTTTTAAAACAATGATGTTATGCTTACCCAATTATGCAAAAATAAAAGCTAAATGTGACCTACCAGAGTAATTCTCCTTAAGTAAAATTAAATTGCTTTACTAAGCAAAAACTTATTTATTGTCACCTGAAAGTAACATTTGAGTGAATAATTAGCTTTGGAGTCTGTCTCTGGTACCCTAAGAAAGCATAGCTTAAAGACACAGTATTTTTGGCCCATTGGGTTTATATGGTTTTCTGAGCTTAAGTTCTCTACAGACTTGTCATTGGTCTTTGATTTAGTTAATACTAAAAAGAAATTATAATCACAGACTTCATTCTCATTTCTGAGCAAAACCAAAATGTATGAAGGAAACCTATAATTTGCCTTTAAATAATGACTGTGGAAAAGGGGTAATTGTTTTAAACAGGACTTTTTGAATAGGTGTTGTTTCATATAGCTAGTCCTTGCTTTACAAGTTTTTTATACATATAAAACTATAATATAAGGTACAAGTTGATAATTGAATCTTTTATGTTATTGAATTTTATAATTTGAGATAGGGGTGTATATAACAACATTATAGTTTTAAGAGAGTTTGAAAAACTGTAATTAATAATTCCAGTATTCCTATAGCAAACTCTCCTTAATTCAATTTGTTGTGGGCACATGTATTTTTCTGTCATAACTATGCTAATTCTCATTCTCTTTAATTTTATATGACAATGTTCTAAATAGTGATGCTGAATTTATTCTATTCCAGGCACTCTGCAAACCTGGCTGGTTAGAAAAACCACTTGAAATGGAATGTGTTCATTTAGCTATTTACTACTAAGATGCTCCATTTGTTTTGTCAAATCCTGATACAGAAAAGTAAAGGTCTCCTAGGGAAAACACATACACATTCACCAAAACAATCTTTTCAGACAATTATAATCATTCTGAAAAAATTAAAGTATATATTAGTCTTCTATAAAGCTTCCCAGTAGCTGTTCTGATAAACATTCATGTTTGTTTTAGGAAGTTCCTTGAAGCAAACTGAGTATAATCTTTGAAGTTTGGTTGGGTTCCTGGGTAAAAATTGCATACATTTTAGACACCTAGAGTAATAAAATACCCACACTTTGCTTAAATATGTAAGGGCTGAACCTGCTTAAATGAATATACTCAAGGTTGAGTTTACCTGAGTTGTCTTCAGAATAAAGTTGTGTTTGTCTAATTTTGAAGGCTGCTGACAAAAATTTCATACCTTTAGATAGGAGATTGCCTTAAAACATTTACAGATTTTCTCCTTGGTCATAACATTTTCTGGGAATACTATGCTGCTATTACACATAGCTCCTTTGGTAAAATTTCAAGAGTATAGATTTCACATCTGGAGAAGGGTAGATAGGCCTAGAATTCCAGGCCCTGATTTAGAGATTTGATAAATGCCATTATTAACAGTTAAATACATGTCAATTCTCTAATGTGATTTAAGGAAATGTTATAATTCTGTGAATGTAATTTGTATTTTTTATATTATTAACAATTTTAATTATCTACAACATTCTCTTAACAGTTAATAAGTGTTAAAACCTTCTGAGACATTATCTTACACTGTACACTTAATGGGATAGTTCTTGTGTAGGTGCATATATACAATATGTACATGTAGTCTATCACACTATATAAACATATACAAAATACTATTTGTATTAATATATAGTACATTCTTTTAACATACGTAAATTTTGAATCCCAGGACAGTTGCCTATATTAACATGATTCAGGACAAGTTACATGACCTCCCTAAGTTTGTTTCATCATCTGTAAAATGGGGTCAATAATAATATATAATTTCAGGACTTTTGTGAAGGTTAAATGAAATAATGCATGTAAAGGCATTAGCTTTTCACAGGCTAAGCCCAAATGTTAATTATTATTTTAATATTAATATTGCATATGTACATCTTATTTTTTACTGAATTCTAATTCAAAAGAAAAGTGATGTTTTAAATTCTTTTTCTTCCAGGAACATCTCAATAATAAGTAGTAGTAACAAATGTCAGTAAAAATAGGAGATATTAATTTGTTGGGAATTTATTTCCCTGTCATTAACTTTTTCAAAAATTCAGTCATTTTATATCCTTTTAGCTTTTCATGAAGATTTTGAAGGTAGATTTGCATCTTCTTCATGATTGAGCACTCATAGTAGTAGTCAGTGAGAATCAGGAGATAGGTCGATGACCTTTTTCTGGCAGTTGCCAAAATCTACACTTTTGTACTACTCTGTCAACTTTTCTGTCAAAGAAATGGGGGAAAGATGGAAGTAAAATTAATTGATTTGTCTTCAGAATCTTAAAACTCAAAAGCATCATTTACTTTTGTGAAGTTGATCAAACATGAAGCTCAAACAAATTATACAAATGATGTGCTTATTTTACTTTGACTGCTGTATTTCAGCAGTCCTGAGTTTTTTCAGCTACATAAACAGTCATGAAAATAACATAGTCCAAAATTTGACATTGATCCACAGCAGACTTATTAAGAACTGTGTATTACTTTCATTTGCAATTAAGGAATAAAAAATAATTACTTTATAAATGCCATGTAAGTTATTACCTTAGTTTGAAGTAATAACTTTACTTCAACTATATTTTATTCATTATCCAATGATTTTTTTCTTGTATGTTTTAGGATCTTACTCAGTGTGTTACATGCCAAGAAAAACACATTACTGTAAAGAAGGAACCACATGAATCCCTTGGCATGACCGTTGCTGGGGGCAGGGGAAGTAAGAGTGGTGAGCTGCCCATCTTTGTGACCAGTGTGCCACCCCATGGCTGCCTTGCACGAGATGGCAGAATAAAGAGAGGTAAGATGGGATCTTGAAAAATTTTACCACATCTTATTTCTGAATTAAATGCACATTTAAAAAAATAAAGAATATCTACAAAGTATCTATTAAACATGACTTTTTTAAGTTCTTTAAACTGTCCCTTGCATATGGAAGCATAAAGTCATTCTATGAGGTTAGAAAAATGCCTTATATAAAGGAAAGTTGCTGAACCTTGATGACAGTTCCAGAATTTGCTAACAGTTACTCAGACTCTTAGATTATTTTATCTTGGGAAAAGATCCTCTAGCATTACAACAGACTTAGATACTCCAAAGGGCCATCTCACTGAAAAATGTTTCTTTTAATAAAGTGTCTGTGTAGAAGGGGACTCAGAGAGGAGGTGGAGCAGAAGACAAAATTAATTTTAGGGATAAATGCATTTGCCATTTCATATTCCCTATCAATGCTATATAATTTGCATAGATGGGGGTTGCAGCTAGCCACTATTGCCATGGTAAAAATAGCAGTCTCCATTGACTTAGTTTGTATATAAGGTAAGAAAAGTGACTCTGAAAACCTATTTTTCCAGGAATGAAGTTGAACCCCTACCTCACACCATAAACACAAATTAAATCATAATGGATGCAAGATCTAAATATAAGAGCTGAAATTCTTAGAAGAAAACACAAATGTAAATCCTCATGACCTTGGATTAGGCAGTAGTTTCTTAGATATGACACTAAAAGCAAAAGCAACAGAAGAAAATATAGACAGACTGGACTTTAAAACTGCAAACTTTTGTGCTACAAAGAATACAACCAAGCAAATGAAAAAATAACCCACAGAATGGGAAAAACATTTGCAAATTATATATATGACAAATGACTTGTGTCTAGAATATATATTCTTACAACTCTAATTAAAAAGACAGAAAACACAACATAAAGATGAGGAAAGAATCTGAATAGACATTTCTCTAAAGAAGATAAATAAATGGCCAGTTTTCCCATGAAAAGATGCTCAGGCTGGGTGTGGTGGCTCACGCCTGTAATCTCACCACTTTGGGAGGCCAAGGCAGGTGGATCGCTTGAGCCCAGGAGTTTGAGAACAGTCTGGGCAATATGGCACAACCTTGTCTCTACAAAAAATACAAAAATTAGCTAGCTGTGGTGGTGTGAATCTGTAGTAATCCCAGTTAGGAGCTGAGGTGGGAGGATCACCTGAGCTCCAGAGGTCAAGGCTACAGTGAGCTGAGATCATGCCACTGTACTCCAGCCTAGCATCAGAGTGAGATCCTGTCTCAAACACAAATCAAAACCACAGTAAGATACTACTTCACAACCAGTAGGATGACAATAATGAAAAAGACAGCCAATAACAAACACTGGCAAGGATGTGGAGCAGTGGAAACCCTCATTAATTGCTGGTGGGAATATAAAGTGGTACAACTGTTTTTGGAAAACGGTTTGGTAGTTCCTCAAAGAGTTAAACTGATTCCTCATATAGTTTCCATATGACCAGCAATTCCACTTCTAGAGAAATGAAAACAGCTGTTCATACGAAAACTTGTATACCAGTGTTCATAGCAGCATTATTCACAATAGCCAGAAAGTGGAAACCACTCAAATGTCCATCAGCTGAGGAATGGATCAATGGAATGTGGTCTACCCATACAGCAAAATATGATTTGGCCATGAAAAGGACTGAAGTACTGGCACAAATTACAAGGATGAACCCTGAAAATATTATGCAAGTAAAAGAAGCTAGATATAAAAGACCATGTATGATTCCATTTACATGAAATGTTCAGAAGAGGCAAATCTGTAGAGACAGAAAGTAGATTAGTAGTTGCTTAGGGTTGGGGAAGGGAAATGATGGGTATAGAGGGAGTGATTAAAATGTTCTCAAAATTACTGTAGTGATGATTGCACAACTGTGAATATATTAAAACCATAAAATTATGTTCTTTAAATGGGTGAATTGAATAGTATGTGAATTATTTCTCAAGCTGCTATTAAGTAAAGGTTATTTGTCCAGTTGTAGTATTGGGGTAATTTTATTTCCTTTTTGTTCTTTTATTGTGTTTTCTAAATTTTCTACAATGAGAATGATTTGCTTTAATAATCTGAAAAACTGATGATAAATTGGGAGAGATAAATTTCTGTAGACTTTGTAGCACAAATGTCTGCTTCCTACAAAACTAATCCTTTCCTAACCTTTGATATAATCCTCATTGCCATTTTTTATTATATTACTTAGCAGAGCAACAGTTCTTTTCTTCCTGAAACAGGGAAGACATTCAAACCGCAAGTTTCATTTCTTCATGTGGGCCCAGGGATAGCTTCTTTGTACATATTCTGATGTTTGCCCTGAATAAACTATACAGGGCTGTCCTTATGTATAGAACTGTGTAAATATAAAGCAGAATACATTAAAGATTTATTTCTAAGGGCAAAGGATCAAGTGATTTTTGATTGGACAGAATTGTAGAAATCTCTGAAACTCTTAAGAAGAGAAATGAACCTGCCCAGGGCCTGTACACAGCTAAACTCAGACTGATGATTCGAACTTCCAATCATGTCAAGGTGCCTCAGGCCACACTTTTTTCTATGTATTATGACATTATTTTAAAATTATGGAATGTTTTCTGTGTATTGGGTTTCTTCTCAATATTATAAAAATTACAAAGAAATAATAAATGCCATTTATTATTATACCTTATCTCATCAGAGTTGGGGGAACTAACTTTTGTTGCTTAGTTTATAAACAACAAGATTTGCAGGTGAAAACTCAGTGGCTCAGCTCATTTTTCTTGTTTCTTCATCTGAACAGGTGATGTGTTGCTAAATATCAACGGCATTGATTTGACCAATTTAAGTCACAGTGAGGCAGTTGCAATGCTGAAAGCCAGTGCCGCGTCCCCTGCTGTTGCCCTTAAAGCACTTGAGGTCCAGATTGTTGAGGAGGCGACTCAGAACGCGGAGGAGCAGCCGAGTACTTTCAGCGAAAATGAGTATGATGCCAGTTGGTCCCCATCATGGGTCATGTGGCTTGGGCTTCCCAGGTACTGAGCGCTTTCTTGTTGCTTTATGGAAATCATAATCATGCTTGCAGCCCTTATCAGTGTGTAGCATGATAAATTTACTCGTTGGGATAAAAAAAAAAGCTTTAATTCAGTAAAATAGCAACATCAAATCAAATTACAAAAGAAAAGGATAATTTTTCTTAGGATATTACACTTTAAAAGGTACACAAAGAAAGCAGTTGTGTCCATTCCTGTCAAGGCTCCTCAGTGGGCTAGCCATGAGATTGGATAACCCAGCCTCTTGCTTAGAAAAGTTGTCGTTTACCAGCACTCATTCCGCTATGTGCTGAGACTTCATGCATTTTTCATCAGAAAACCCAGGCCAATCTTGGGGCTTCCCCCCATCCCAGAAGCCTTTCTTAACACCTTTTTAAATTTATTTTAACTCTCGCTAAAAAGGGTGGCATTTAAAACTCAATTTTTATTGGATACAAGAGTCTATTAAGCCAAACCATTAGTGTTCAAGAATGGCTGCTTCACTTTTATTTTTTATAAATGTGACCAGCCAAGATATGCTGTGGTTGGTCAGTGTCGGGGTCACAGAAGCACATGGAACCTCCAGTGGCATCCCAGGGTACATTCCTTTCCGCGGTTGTTGTTTGACATTTGAGATAGGAAGAATGTGTTCCTATCATCATTTGTTGTCTAATCCGTTTAGATTCTTACCGTACCTAAGAATCCTAAAACTAAGCTATGAAGCATTTTGACTTTTGACCAAGTATGAAAATTATTGATTCTTTAAAATAAAACAATAAGAATTTGCTATTTTCTGAGCCACCTGACTCGTGGGATACATTTATAACAACAACTAGCATTTATATAGTGCTTCAAGGCGCTTTGCGCATAGTGGGTGAGAAGTGGTCTACTCGTGCAGTGGCTGGGCAGCACGTTGCAGACCTCAGAGCTTGTCTGCACCTCTAATGATGGGGCAGGCAGAGAGCAGCAGCGTCCTGGAGAAACTTGGTCCCTAGTGCTTCCTTTAATTTTCCTTATCTGATATACCAGTCTAGTTTGGAGGTTGGCACATTGACCTCTTTTTTTCAGAGCATTTTCTGGTGTGCCAGGCATAATAGCAAAGATTTTAGATGAGAAATACACAGTATAGTAAAATCTGTTTTTGAGCCCACCTGTGTTGAAAGAATACCTGTCGATAAAAGGCTACTATTCAATGTGTGTATGGAGGTCTCTGTTGAATGCAAAGCTATATTCAACAGCCATGTGTCCTCCTCAGTGGGTGCAGGTGGCCCCTATATGCAGGTTTCACACGGCATAGTGTAGCAGCTCTGCTCTGCTTTTCGTGAAAAGGGAGATTCTTCCACTGCGATTTGCTGGGGTATACAAGAAAGCTGTTTGTTTCAGAAGATGCAGCATTAGGAAAATAACCAACACTGTCCCTTTAAATCCAGGCCAGTGCATGGGACCTTGTTCCATCCCAGAAGCCTTTCTTATCAGTGAGCTAGGAAACTAGATAAGATGAGAAGTTCTGGCATGGTAAACATTGCTTTATAGAATTGGCTTTATTAAGAAATAATAAAACAGGATTTTTAAAATTAATTATTTATATTATGTATATTTATTATTTTATTATGGATTTAAAACAGGAAACCTTGCCTTCCGTGCATTTAGATCCAGTTTCACCTAAAGATGAAAGATATTTATTTATTATGAAGAGTTTTTTTTTCCTTATCATTTAGGTGTGCTTTTTTTGTTTGTTTTGTTTTTAAGATTTTACTCACTGCTTGTTCCCAAATCCATAGAGCTATGGAAACATAAGTACATTTTTTTTTTCTCCCTCTCTGGACACATCCTGCAATCTGGCAGTAGCATTCTAACTGTAGTTTCTCAGTGTCTATGATACATTTATATATGCATGTGTGTGTATAGATGTGTATATATTTTCTTTTTTTTTAAAGATGGGGTCTTGCTCTGTCACCCAAGTTGGCATGATCATAGCTCACTGCAGCCTCAAGCTCCTGGGCACAAGCCATCCTCCTGTCTCAGCCTCCCAGTAACTGGGACTACAGACACATGACGCTGTACCCAGCTTGTCTATGATAGAAAAAAAAAGAAAAAGATTTTTTGTTAGTGTTTTTCAGATTGATTTCTCTATTTTGGCAATTAGAGTCTCCCTTAAAATGAAAACATCCTAAGTAAAGGAGAAAATAACAAATAACTCCTCATGTAGACTAAAAGCCTATAGGACCTTTAGAAAAGAGAGATAATTATCTGCCTTCTTTTCGGAAGCTGCGTTCCTAATCTTTTTCTTCTTTCATTTGCATGCTGGGCTTGGCAGTACTAGACCTCTTTCATCCCACATTGTAATTCCTCTTGTAGATAAAAGTGATTAGTAGAATTGAGGACTTTGTTGACAATGCAGTGAGCTGATATAGGTACATGACCTTTTTGTACAGGTTACTGAGGTGTAATTTGTAACCAGGTTCTCTACTTGTGTGTGTGTGTGTATGTGTGTGTGTGTGTCTTCACTTGGGAAGACTGAAAAAAGTTGGAGAAATTTGAGTCTACCTAGGACTGTGTCTCTGCTAGAAGATGGATTGTCAAAATAATCTATTTATTAATAGCCCTTTTTCTTTTTTCCAAGAGTGGTAAATATAACATGGTATGGGGTTATAACAAAAATAAGCGGCTATAAAAGCCTCCATGTTAATTTTTTCTTTATTTTTCTGTTTGTTTATAGCACACTTCATAGCTGCCACGATATAGTTTTACGAAGAAGTTACTTGGGAAGTTGGGGCTTTAGTATCGTTGGTGGATATGAAGAGAACCACACCAATCAGCCTTTTTTCATTAAAACTATTGTCTTGGGAACTCCTGCTTATTATGATGGAAGATTAAAGTGAGTCTTGTTCTAATTAATGATGTGATTCATGTTGATGACATTGGACATGATCTAGACCAGGGGTCAGGGGTCAGCACTAAATCCAGCCCATTATCTTTTTGAAAATAAAGTTTCATTGCAGTGCAGCTACACTTACTGGTTTATGTACTCTCTGGCTCCCACACTACACCAGCGGAGTTGATGTCATCATGACAGAGACTGTATGGGTCTTGAAGCCTAAAATATTTACCATCTGACCCCTTACGGAAAAAATTTGCCAATCCCGATCTAGACTGAAATGTTACCTTTACTGTCTTGTCACTTATAGCTATGTTTCATTAATCTGATGACAGAAACTGAACCTGAGTTATTTCATTGGACATATTTCATTCATCACGTTGTGATGTGACATTGAGCGCTGAGTAAGTTTCCCACACAGCCTACTCAGGTCCAGTCCTGTCATTAGATGACTCTGCTTCATTTTTCTCCATAGCACTCATCTCTACCTGAGATCGTATTTATGCAAGCTCCATAAGGGAGGGATCTTGTTGCATTTATTGTTATATCCCTAGCAGTCATAACAATACCTTGCATAAAGTAAGATCTCCATAAATATTTGATGAATGAATGTACAATAGCTTACAGGATGCCTGGCGCGGTGCTAAGTGCTGTGCATGCATTATGTAATCTTTTTAACAATCCTATGAGGTAAGTTTCTTTATTATCCCTGTTTTAAAACAAACAAGATAACTGAGGCTTGGAAAGGTTAAGAAACTTGCCCACAATGAAATAGCTGAAAGTGGTTGGCTGGCATTCAAACCCAGGACTATCTGGCTCTAGATCCCTGGACTTTAACCCCTCTGCCAGCCTCTACCACTGAGCAAAAGTCCTCGCTCAGTGTACAGCGTCTTATCAAAGCCCGGGCACTGGGAGAAGAAAAGAGAAGGTGTCATGGCAAGACATCATCACCAGCAGAGAGGAGGTGGTTGATTGTAAATTCTTAATACCTGGTTTACGAAGGAAGAACCAGTTCTTAAAAAGTAAATGTTGACATTCTATATAGAATGCTATGCAGATGGAGAATGTACACTGTTTGCAAGGAGTAAGTGACATCTAAATAATGTATGGAAAGGTGATTGGGAGTGGTATGCTCCAGGTCAGCCTATATTGATAAAGATGAAAAAAAATCATTTTAGGAGGACAGAGTAGGGAAAAATGAATTAATCACTCTCTTAGCTAAGTTACTTAACCAGTCTGGGCCTCTGTTAATTATAATTTGTATTCCTCCTACTTCCAAAAAGAAATTGAGGTAGTTAACAATAAAATAGTATATTTATGGTATAAATAGAAGACCAAAAACCATAAGGATAATTATGGTAATTATAAGGCTGGAAAGGTCCTCCAATTCATCATCCATCCATAATAATTCTGCTTAGAGTACAGTGAGCGTCAACAGCTGAAAGAAGAGGAAGTATGGGTCTTATTTCCAATTTAATTCAGCCCTCAGATGTATGAGCTCTAAGAATGAATAGAAAAATAGCAGTCAAAATAATAACCCCCTTCAAATGCATGACTTGGTATTTTTTTAAAGAGAGAGCATATTTACTCTATATTTTGCTTAAATTAGTGTGAAAATTACTCTGCTTGTCCTTGACATTCACCTACTGGTTATGGAGTCATCGGCACAGGGGTTTCCTTGATTGGCAAGGGAAAGCCAGCATAGGCTTAAGGGCTGTCCCAGACAAAGTAGATTATACACCCTAACCATTGACAGTTCAGTGGTAAGTGAAACCGCATTTTTCATGCTACATAAATCTCAATTGGGATATTTTTAATACCATGAAAATAGTAACATTCTGTATCTGTCTCTCTTTGTCCAGGTGTGGTGACATGATTGTGGCCGTAAATGGGCTGTCAACCGTGGGCATGAGCCACTCTGCACTAGTTCCCATGTTGAAGGAGCAGAGGAACAAAGTCACTCTGACCGTTATTTGTTGGCCTGGCAGCCTTGTATAGATTTTGGAAATTGGTTTCAAATCTTGCATCTTCCTTTTTTAGATTTTTGAAAGAAAACCCTTTGGTTTCATTGTGTTTGTGGTTTAGGAGCTGCTGACACTGCTGGTATACACAGGGCCAAAACCCACTAAGATTGTCCGTTTATGTTTATTTAAATGGTTTCCTAAGTTAGTTACATTTCTTTTAGCTTGGAAACAGTCTTCCACTAACCTTTGTGAGTTTATATTTTCAGAATTCAGACTTAGTTGTTAAAATGTTACCTATGGTAATGAGCAAAGCTCACCCAAACTGTGCCCCAGATGGAGTAAAGACCTTCTGGTGGGTCTTTGTTTTCAGTAACTGAATCATAGAACGAGTTCTGTATCCCTCAGGCCTGATGTCAGCAAAGCCAGTAACAACAGCGTGTACTGCCACTGTCATAACCAATACCATGAATGAATATACTTTAAATTTTGGTGATAACTGTTCCCCATTTTTTTTTGAACCACAGTCTCACTCTCACCCAGGCTGGAGTGCAGTGGCACAATCTCAGCTCACTGCAAGCTCCGCCTCCTGGGTTCACGCCATTCTCCCACCTCAGCCTCCCGAGTAGCTGGGACTACAGGCGTGTGCCACCATGCCCAGCTAATTTTTTGTACTTTTAGTAGAGACGGGGTTTCACCGTGTTAGCCAGGATGGTCTCGATCTCCTGACCTTGTGATCTGCCCGCCTCAGCCTCCCAAAGTGCTGGGATTACAGGTGTGAGCTGCCGCACCCGGCCGTTCCCATTTTTTATTGGTGCCAACATTTCAAAACTTCATACTGTTTATAAACTGATTTTCTGGTTTATTTCTACTGTAATCTCTCAATATTCATAGAAGATGAAGAAATAAGTCTGACAACACTAAAGAAATTTCTTAATATACTATTATTAGAATAGTAGAGGATAAAAGATAATGTTATCCAGTTACAAAGGAATTTGGATGATAATTATAACTTAATGTTAGAGATGGTAAAGCTGCACTTACTTGAACAGCCCAAAAGCATTAAAAATCTATTTCCAGAGGAATGTTTTGCTATGTAGGGAAATTTTGAAGTAGTTTTTGCTAAAAAATTATTTCTAGAGTTGTGTTATTCTTAGCAGTAATCTTGGCTAGAAATGTTTTTGTGATTTATGCGATTAAACGAAATGATAAAGATAAAACCATATTATTAAATACCTATATATCACAGCTAAGTAGGAGAAAGGGAGACCTTTTTATTTTGTTCAGGTAGGAGTATTTCTTGTGTATTTTAGAAACAATTATTTTTCCCATTATTTCTTATGAGATTAGTTGTTTCAAGTAGGAGACAGAAAAGTTCTGTTTTGTTGGAAATGTAGGTTTTAGATGTATCTTTCAGTCAGCTCTCAGTCACTAGACTATTTCATATTTTTTGAAATGTTTTTGAAAATTATGACTAGCCCATTTTTTGTCCTTTATTCAACATACTTATCCTCTGAACACATAAATAAGTGAATAAGATAAAAATATCTTTACCTTATTAATATTATACATACTTGAAAAAAATTTCATTTAGAAACCTAGTTCAGAATCTGAGCAAATTTACAAGTGACCTCTGTAATAAATGGTATTGATAATCAGAGAATGTATTTCAGAATACTACAGTACAATATATTATGAAGCATGACCACTTTATTTTGAAACTTAGCAATTGTATTGCTGGGGTTTATTGTATCTGTAGCATGTCACTGATTATTTCAGTTAGTTTTATAATGATTTTTAAAAAACATATCTATTTGGAATAAGATACAGCAACAATCATTGCTACTGACTTGTTCAACCCCTTAGTTACACTGTATGATCAACATATAACAAGATACAGTGGAATGGCCCATACAGTATATTACTGTTGTGTGATGATTGGCTTTGGAAGCAGTTTGATTTTGAAATGCTTTGATATTCTAATTGACATGGAACAAGTTTTTTCCCTGCTCCCCAAATAGAATTTTGTAACCAACTTTGCTATTTTTTTAAAGTTTGTAAGAATGTGTCATTTCTTGGGGAGTAGCCATCCATCAACAAATATCCTGACTGCTACTTTGTTATATACAAAATACTTACATTGAACCTGGTGGCATAATGAGTATTTTGAAAGAAGAAATTTCTTCACTCTCATTTTTATAGAAATCTTGGAATCAGCTTAAGCTGTAGCTTTTATGACAAAAGACAGTCATTTTTGGTCAGAGTGATATTTGGTGACGGAAACTTGTTCATAATTTATTGTTACTATAGAACTATTTGGATTTTCTCATTTTTAGTTCTGATAGTTAAATATTTTGGTTTGTTCTGTGCCTTCAGTTTAAATTATTTCAGGATTTTTCAGATGTTTAAATAATGGTGTGAATCATTCAGGATGGAAATAAAAGTCATCCTTTCTGTAATAGTGACGTTGTCTCTTTTCTTGAACAGCAGCTGTTGACTTAGTCTGTGATCTGTATTTTTGTTGCTGGCTCCACTGTCCTTATAATATACCGAGCACCGAGCATGAAACCTCAGGATCACAAACCCACCTTATTCTCACCCCACAGTTTCTTTTTCTTTTTCCTTTTTTTTTTTGAGATGGAGTCTCGGTCTGTCACCCAGGCTGGAGTGCAGTGGCACGATCTTGGCTCACTGCAACCTCTGCCTCCGTGGTTTGAGAAATTCTCCTACCTCAGCCTTCTGAGTAGCTGGAACTACAGGTGCCCACCACCAGGCCTGGCTAATTTTTATATTTTCAGTAGAGACAGTTTTGCCATGTGGGCCAGGCTGGTCTCGAACTGCTGGCCTCAGGTGATCCACCTGCCTCAGCCTCCCAAGGCACTGGGATTACAGAGGTGAGCTACCAGGCCTGGCCTCTTTTTCTTTTCTAATATGGTTACTAGGAAAA
The DNA here is from genome assembly GCF_000001405.40 of Homo sapiens. Lineage (NCBI taxonomy): Eukaryota > Metazoa > Chordata > Mammalia > Primates > Hominidae > Homo > Homo sapiens. The sequence continues at coordinate 27,545,424 of NC_000013.11, read as the reverse complement.
AAAAAATTTGTAACTGAAAGAAAGAAAGTTGTCTCCTAGTTTTCTGGTAAGTTAAGTTCAAACCAAGGCCTCTGTGGTCAGACTCCTAATTGGATTGTCCAGATGGCTCCATGGTGCCATTTACCCTCCCTTGCTCCAGCAGCCTCCTCAGAGCACACACTTACAGTATTTCCTCCAACTGTAAAGCTTTTTCTTCTCTGCTGGTTCACGTTGTTCCCATATCTGGAGTGAGGGCTTAAGTGACGCTCCATGTGTCTCACTCTCAACTCCACTCCCCACTTTCCTTCCTAATGGTGAATCTCCGTAGGCCTTTGTGTATGCATTTCTTCTGGCCTCGATCTCTTGCTACCTAGTTAGAGTTTTAAGTACCATCTTTAACCTTGCAACTTTGAGCACCACTGACACCTAAGTCTACAGCTCCCACAGTCCACAGCCTGAGACAGACACCCAGATCTCAGCACCTCCAAAACTGAAATCTGTGCTTTCCCAAGCATTTGCCTACTTCCTATCTCTTCATCTTTCAATCCAAACTCTTAAGCCTTGAGAGTAACTTCTGAACCCCAACTCTAATCATATCCTTGCCCTGTTTAAAAATCTTCATTTGGCTGGGCGCAGTGGCTAACGCCTGTAATCCCAGCACTTTGGGAGGCCGAGGCAGGCAGATCACGAGGTCAGGAGATCAAGACCATCCTGGCTAACACACTACTAAAAATACAAAAAAATTAGCCGGGTGTGGTGGCGGGCGCCTGTAGTCCCAGCTAACTCGGGAGGCTGAGGCAGGAGAATGTTGTGAATCCGGGAGGTGGAGCTTGCAGTGAGCTGAGATAGCACCACTGCACTCCAGCCTGGGTGACAGAGCAAGACTCCGTCTCAAAAAAAAAAACGAACAAAAAACAAAAAAAACCATTTGTTCCATGTTGTCTGCAGGATAAATCAAAAGCCTTGGTATAGCACAAAAGGCTTTTTGTGGTCTGGCCCCCAACCTGCCCCTGTGGCCTTATTTCCCATCCTTTCTTGCTTCCTATATAAACCACCCCAGCCCGCATACATCCCCTGCTCTCTGCGTCTGCAGGGGCTGACTTAGCTCAAGTGACACCACTCTTTTAGGAAATCTTTACCAATCTCTCTGGGCAAGCTTTTTCTGGCTCCTTTTAAAGATTTCAGTAAGTTACACATTTATGGTCATAGCTATATGCTAGGAAGAAGAAAACTTTGCCAGGTAGATGCTTGATTACCCCATCTGTGGCAGTGTTTTAAAACTAGACAATAAATATCAGAGATTCTGTCACTTCTGAAGAGCTCAAGATATTGCCAAGATAGAATCGAGGCTTAATTTCTTTTTCTGTTCAGGGAGTCTACAGTACGTTTAGTCGTCATGTTTTCTTATTCTCCTCTTGGCTGTGCCATTTTCTCAGACTCCTTGCTCTTGAGGGTGCTGAGAATGCTGATGCTGGTCAGGTATATTGCAAGTTGCTTTCTATTGGAATTTGCTGTTTTTTCTTATTATGACTGGCAAATGGGTTTTTGGAGCGATATCCCCAAGGTAAAATGTTGTTGTCCTCATATCAAGGATACCTGCTGTCTGTGTGCTTTATGGCTGCTGAAGTTGGCCTCAACTACTTATCCGGTTTCTCTACAATAGTGTGTGCAGCCCATGCTTGAGCAGTGGGAGTTATTCTGTCCGTTTATCTTTGAGCTGGTCAGGAAAATTGAGGCCTCTAGTGCTGCTTAGGGAGCACCTTGTGGGTAGAAGGCAGGTAGAAATCCTTGGTTAAGAGTATCAGGGGCAGTAGTCCAGGTGCGGTGGTTCATGCCTATAATCCCAGCCACTTTGGGAGGCCGAGGCAGGCGGATGACTTGAGGTCAGGAATTTGAGACCAGCCCGTCCAACATGGTGAAACCTCGTCTCTACTAAAAATACAAAGATTAACTGAGTGTGCTGGCGGGTGCCTGTAAGCCCAGCTACTCAGGAGGCTGAGGCACGAGACTTGCATGAACCTGAGAGGTGGAAGTTGCGGTGAACCGAGATTGCACTACTGCACTCCATCCTGGGTGACAGGGTGAAAACTCCATCTCAAAAAAAGAAAAAATATCAGGGGCATATTTCATATTTTAAACAAACTCAGCCAGGCAGAGTGACTCATGCCTGTAATCCCAGCACTTTGGGAGGCTAAGGTGAGAGGCTCGCTTGAACCTGGGAAGTCAAGGCTGTAGTGAGCCGCAATTGCGCCACTGCACTCCAGCCTGGACAACAGAGCAAGACCTTGTCTCTAAATAACCCTCTCTTGACTCTGCTATTCATAGTAAAGTTTCCCAAAAGAGTTGTCTCCATTTTGCATTCTTTAGCTATTTTTAATTCATAATAATTTTTCTGACACAAAAGTCAGAAATAATACAGTGAACACTTGTGTACCCACCACCCAGCTTAAATATAAGCAGGGCCGCTGCCATTTGACTTCCTTCCCCATTTGTGTCTACCCTCTGGCCTTCCCATTGTTTCTTCATAGTTATACTACGTATTTATACATCATTCAAATATAATATTGTGTGTATGGTTTTAAATCTGTAAATGATGTGCATATGTGGTGTTCTGCAACTACTTTTGCTGCAAGATTCATGCATGTTTATGTAGCTCAAATTTTTCTTGCTAGTCAATGATTATGACAATTTTCTATCCATATTTTAGTTACTTGACATTTAGGTTATTTTTTTCTTCTCATCATTAACAGTGCTGGTGGGAGCACCCATAAACAAGTATTCATGTGCATGTGGAGAGTTTCTGCAGGGCAGTGATTCTCATTTAATCCTGGCTGCACACAAGAATCTTTTGGGGAGCTTTGCTGTTTTAGTTGGTCTGGGCTAGGGCTTGGACATCAATTTTGTTTGGTTTTGTGTGTTCCTCAGGGGGGTTACATGCAGCCATAGTTGAAAACCACTGCTCTAGGAGTTGCATTCCTGCATTTAGAGTAGGTGCATCTTTACGAGGTAATTAATTTCCCAAGAGGTTGCACTAATGTTACATTTCCACTAGTAATTGGGTAAGTTTTGTTGATCCACATTCTTGCCAACATTTGGTGTTCTCAAACCGAAGAGGGTGAAAAGGGCATCCCACTGTGACTTCAATTCCCATCTCCCCATTTACTGGTGAAGTCGAGGAACTTCTCACATATTTACTTGTCTTTCAGGTCCCTTCTTTGGTGACTAACCTGTTGGACAATTTTCTAAAGGGCTATTTGTGTTTCTCTTTTTCATGTGTAGACATTCTTTATTCTGGATGTTAATACTTCGTGGATGATGTGAGGTATAAATATCTTCTCCCAATTTGTGACCTCATTTCAGCTGTAATGATGTGATAAACCAAAGTTCATCATTATAATGTGAACAAGTGTATGAATAGCATATAAGCAGATTCTTTTCTGTTACTTTTGGAATTTGTTATTTTGCCAAGGGTTGTCCATGTATGTTGTGATGATTATTATATGTTTTCTTTCCACCCTATATTAATTTCCTCTGCCTCTCTGTGCTTCATGTTTTCTTCTACCGAATTGTAGCTCTGTTTCTGTTCACTTTGCAGTTACCCTTGAATTTTTCTTCGTGCATATTTAACATAAAGTTTCAACGTGAACAATAGCTCTGTCCCCTCTGCACAATACAAGGACCTGAGACCACGTGACTCCAACCACCCTGAGGTCTGACTTAGTGGCAAGTGTTGTGGCTCCTCCTCATTCTCCTGTCCAGTTAGTGTTATTGTAATTGTTATATACTGTTGGGGTTTGGTTAGATTTCATTTCTGAGCTATGTAAAATACTGAAAGGCTGATGCAAGCACAGTTTATGATAGTTCCTAACATTCCAGTAACATCCCACAAAGGACATGTGGGCAACAGAAGGCCAGAGTGGGATTAATGGCAGCACACTGACCCATACTATCTGAAAGTTGAAGTTGCAATCCAGATATAAGGAAAGACTTTATAAAAGCTTGGGACGCAACAACATTTTCACCATTATATTACCCGTTTCCAAGCAGTCTGGAAATCACTGAAGCAATTTGCCTTTTTATGGGAGGGGTTGGGGGAAGGGCAGTTCAGCAAAGGTCACTATCACCAACTTTTCTAGAGCAAATGCAACTTGCATTGTAAATCCAGAGACATGTTTTCATAGGAAATTTTGGAAGGCAGATTTAGAGGGTTTCGTTTTCTCAAGATACTGTGCACAGTGACCAGTTCTCAAACAGCTGAATCCTCCCTCTCTGTCCTAGCTGTGGCTCTTTTCTCACTAGAAGACCCTGAGGTCTGTTCATTCTGTTGCTGTACCTTCAGAACTTGATACCCATTCTTTTATAAATGAAAGTGGGCTGCTGCTTTATGATTCCTCACATGTTTGAAGCTGTAATCAGATACATGGATGGTTAAAATTAAATCTGAAGTTAACCTGAATTTCAGCTTCTGTGGGCACTTCACCCATTTCATCATGCCTGACACCCATGTTACAGTACATTAATGCCCTGTTAATTCAGACTTAACTAATTTGGAATTTGAAAGCTTAAAGAGAGGTGAGGTTAACTTGGCACTTTATATAAGCAATAAGTATCTTTAATCAACATTGAAAAATGGAAAGTGAGATGTTTCGAGTGCATGCTAAAATATACTGTTTCCAAGTTTCCTTAAGCACTATAAAATACCCAGGCTCATTCGAGTGATGGCTGTGTTGCTTTTCCATGGAATTGTTTAAACAGTTTATCCAGCACCTGCTGTGCACAACACATAGTGAGAGGCTCTGGGTCACTTCCTCACAGCACCTAATTTCATCTTTTACAATGCAGATTTTCTTTCATTTGTCCACCTTGGGTGATCAACAAAACCATATAGATGACACACCAACATGGTAAACTGCTGCCCTGGTAACAGGCTAGGAATTCATGAGTTGAGGTTTTTCTCTTAAGTCTGTCTTGTCTTCTTGCTGAGGGAAAGATTTCAGCTCCCTAAGGTCCTTGTTAGAAAGCTCTTTTGCCATTTTATGGTGTAAATATACTACTAATTAATTTCTATGGCAACACAGAAGCTCTTTAGAAGTGAAGTTGTACATGTAAGCACAGTGCCTAATAGCTATAAAGTGCCTAAGTGAGAAATGCTAAAACTTTAATCACCTACAAGAATAAAAGACTAGGCCGGGCGCGGTGGCTCATGCCTGTAATCCCAGCACTTCGGGAAGCTGAGGTGGGCAGATCACAAGGTCAGGAAATGGAGACCATCCTGGCTAACACAGTGAAACCCCGTCTCTACTGAAAAAGAAAAATACAAAAAATTAGCCGGGCATGGTGGCGGGCGCCTGTAGTCCCAGCTACTCGGGAGGCTGAGGTAGGAGAATGGCATGAACTTGGGAGGCAGAGCTTGCAGTGAGCCGAGATCGCACCACTGCACTCCAGCCTGGGTGACAGTGAGACTCCGCCTCAAAAAAAAAAAAAAAAAAGACTAGCACTTGGAGGACTCACACCATCCCCGCAGGTGGCAGAGAGCATGCCTCCCATCAGGAGAAGGTGGCTTCGCTCCATGGCTGAGTGAGAAGCACTTAGAGATTTCCATTTGAGCTCTATTCACTCACTCACCTGCAAATAACACTTTCAAGATGGGCTATTTCAAAAACTTGGATCAGCATTTGCTTTATTTCTTCAAAAGTTTTCAGTTTAAGGGTGAATTCAACAAGAACTCCCTTCTTTAGATTGCCTGAAAGCTGACCAAGAACGGTTAAGTTAGAGACATCTATTCCCCAGACTCTAAAAGATGAGAAGCAACAACGACTTGTCCAATGTCAAGGTTGTAAGGGTGGCGGCAGCTATTAAAAATAAGGTTTTTTTTGAGATGGGACGAGGTGACTCCAACTGTAATCTTAGCACTTTGGGAGGCTGAAGTGGGGGGATCACTTGTGCTCAAGAGTCCAAGACCAGCCGAGGCAACAGAGGGAGACCCCATCTCTGCAAAAAATAAAAAATTTGCCAGGCGTGATGGTGTGCACCTGTAGTCCCAGCTACTCGGGAGGCTGAGGCGGGAGGATCATTGATCCCAAGAGGTGGAGGCTGCAATGAGCAGTGACTGAGCCACAGCACTCCCGCCTGGGCAACAAAGTGAGACCCTGTCTCAAAAAAATGAAGTTTTTCTTTACTTTACCTAGGTTTAATTGAAAGGTCTCCTTTCACTCACCTCCTCTAGAAATGACCTGAGAATGTCTTAGTTCATGGGATGTGTTTAGTCCCATTCTCCTGACTGCTAGCCTCTCCCACCAGGGAAGCAATACCCCAGAGCCCTTTGTAGATTCACCCCTCTGTGCCTGTTCCTTCCTGCGTGGCTCAGTCCTAAAGAGTTGGAGTCTGGGATCCTTGCCTGGTCTCTTGGCGGCTGTGGGCTAAACTCCTGCTCCTGGAGTCCTGGCCTGTGCTGAGATAGATGGGCACCTGTGGAGGATGGGGGGTGCTCACAGCAACAAAACTCCCTCTGTGGATACTTAGTAAATGTTTGAGGAAAGGCAGTCCTTGTCACCTGTCATATGTAAGTCATTCCAAAGGATATGATGTCCTTGTGTCATCCAGGTCCCCAGTCTAGAGCTACTTTTTCCCCCTGCTGATCCCAAGTCATGGAACCTTAGAAAGGGAAGCTCTTGTCCATTTTTCTGGTATACAGGTCCCCGCTGTGATATGGTCATCTAGCTCCTGCTTGAAGGCTTCCCGTGACAGGGACCTCCCTGCTGCATTCCAGGCATCGCCTCCGTTGGGCATGTCTAATTGTAAGTGATTCCTTTTTAGTAATAATTTGTCCCTGTCCCTCTTCCTAGCTAGAGTGTAGAAACAAGGAGGCCAGGCAGGTGGGATGTCTCTTCATTTGTTACTTTTCATATTTAAATGAATATTAGGCAGGCCCAAGACACAAAACACTTACTGATTCATCTTTTCATTGTACTTGGCCAATGTTCTCTTAGCATCTACTATGTGCCAGGCACTGCTCTAGAGGCTCAGAATTCATCCGTTTTTAGGACGGAGTAGTTGCTATCTCTGTGCTTACACAGAGATACACAGGGACATAATCAAGAAATAACATGACTTCAGGGTCTCACTCTGTTGCCCACCAGGCTGGAGTGCTGTGGCTCAGTCACTGCTCATTGCAGCCTCCACCTCTTGGCCTCAATGATTCTCCCGCCTCAGCCTCCCAAGTAGCTGGGACTACAGATGCATACCACCATGCCTGGCAATTTTTTTATTTTTTGCAGAGATGGGGGTCTCCCTCTGTTGCCTTGGCTGGTCTTGAACTCCTGGGCACAAGTGATCCCCCCACTTCAGCCTCCCAAAGTGCTAAGATTACAGTTGGAATCACCTCGTCCCGTCTCAAAAAAACCTTATTTGTAATAGCTGCCGCCACCCTTACAACCTTGACATTGGACAAGTCGTTGTTGCTTCTCATCTTTTAGAGTCTGGGGAATAGATGTCTCTAACTTAACCGTTCTTGGTCAGCTTTCAGGCAATCTAAAGAAGGGAGTTCTTGTTGAATTCACCCTTAAACTGATAAATGCAATGGGGAAACAAAGCCAGGTAAATGGAGAACACAGGATGGAAATGAACCAAGTGAGAGAGGTGTGCGGGGAAGGCCTGAGGAGACATAACAGAGGCTGAATCCAGGTTCTCGGTGGCATGTTAGGTTTTGACGTGTGTGCATGTGTGAAAGGCTTCATGACTATGGGATATTTTTGTCTCAATAGTGATCATTCTAGGAAGGCCGTGCCATTGTGATGGGCTCTGGGGGCACAGCCTGCTGGCTGACTTCCACTCCTTTTTTCCTCTGTCCTGTAACAGAGAAACACTAAGTATGTTGGTGCACACATGATCCAGATCGAGAGGGAGGCCAGTGCTGTGGCACAGTGGGTAGAGCCAGGCAGCCTGAGGTTAATACCTACCTTGCTTGATTGCTGTAAGTTCTAGAAATCATGCATGTAACGTGGCTGACACATTGTGCTAAATAGGTGGTAGTTGTAGATATTATAGACAGATTTTGGCTAGAATTACTCATCCCTGGAAATGACCAAGAATTACACTACAAATGAATTATTAAAACAGCTCCCCTCTGGCTGGGCATGGTGGCTCATGCCTGTAATCCCAGCACTTTAGGAGGCCGAGGCGGGCGAATCATGTCAGGAGATCGAGACCATCCTGGCTAACACGGTGAAACCCTGTCTCTACTAAAAATACAAAAAATTAGCCGGGCATGGTGGCGGACAACTGTAGTCCCAGCTACTAGGGAAGCTGAGGCAGGAGAATGGCATGAACCCGGGAGGCGGAGCTTGCAGTGAGCCAAGATACCGCCACTGCACTCCAGCCTGGGCAACAGAGCAAGACTGCATCTCAAGAAAACAAACAAACAAACAAACAAAAACAGCTCCCTTTAGACTGCAGGGGGAAAAAATCTACTCTTAGAGGTTCCTCTGAACTCAAACTTTTGTTTACTCTCAACATGGTGTGTGTTTTCGTAAATATGACACAGTCAGCAAGTTCTCTCCCGCGCCTTAATCACACAAGTGATGCACATTCCCCAGGCATCACCCTGAGCTTTCCGAAGAGCCAGCTCCTGCTCACACTGTGCCGCTTTTCCAGGAATGCCTTGTCCTGCTGATTCTCTAACCTGACCCCAGCCATCAAGCCCTGCTTATCCTTCTAAGCCCAGCCCAATGCCAGCGGCATCAAGGCTGCCTGGCACCTGCAGCCCCCCTGCCACTCGCTGTTCTTGCACTTCCCTAGAGGCACATGCTGGCTGCCACTTGTCCTGTCTGTGCCCCTCAGCACCTGAGAGCTCCTCCAGGGCCTGGGTGTTCAGCCACCCACACACCTGACAGCACCTGCACGTGGTGTTCATGCAATGCCTGCTGGCTTTGACTCAGCAGTGTCTGAAGCTGCAGAGAAATTGGGAGGGTGAGGATTGAGAAATAGTCTCTGGGTTTACATCCTTGGTGACTTTTCAGAGAATAGGTTCCATGGTAGGGTAGAGCTGGGAAGTCCAATGGCAAAGGGCTAAGGACTGGACACCGAGGCCACAGAGTTGTTCTCGGCTGCTCTTACAAAAAGTTTGGCAAAATGTGCAAGTACCTGTGGATGAAACGACATGATGTCTGAGGTCTGCTTTCAAACCATCCAGGAAACAAAGAATAGAAAACGGGAGTAAGGGAATGTTTGAAGGTTTTCATAATGGAAATAGAACAGCAGAAACAAATGAGTGCAAAAGTTTGGAAATGAGAAAAAAAAGCTGTTGTTAGCCAGGCCCCTGCGGTTTGAAATGGATAGAGTGAGCCTGTATAAGAAATATGTCATTTATTTTCCTTTACCTATGTTGGCATAATTTCTAGGCAGATTTGATTCTTTTATCTTTACATGTTCAAGAAGTGCGGGTGGCAGATGACTAACAACACCATGCGTGTGTCTAACACCCGTGCACTCACTACACCATTTCACTTCTGCACTTTTGTGCGTTCTTTACAAACATTTCATTTGATCCTCATAATAGACTTGTGAGGTATGTTTCAAATAGATTGCTCCCATTGGATAAATGAAAAACACTGAGATTTCATGACTTACTCATTTGCACATAACTGGCAAGTGGAAAAATACACACCAGTCACCGGCACCCCTAGTGACCCTTCCCTGCCCACTGCAAAAGGACTCGGCATCATTACATTTCACATTAGTATCCTGATCACACTGCCCATCCTGAAAACAAGGAAATAATTGCGTCCCACCTCTTCTCGCATTTTCTTTCCCCATGAGGAGCACTCTGCCACGTTCAACGTTCAGACAAGATTGAGCACGTTCAGGGTGGTATGGCTGTAGACTGCCATGTTCAACATTCATTCAACAAACACAGAAATAAGTAAGACAGCCCTGCCCTTTGGGAAGTCCACATTGTAAAGTAGCAAGCTTGGATGAAATGTAAATAAAGTGCATTCTGCCCGACCTTTGGAGAGGCCAGCAGTTACAGTTCTGTGGAGCAGGAATTTTGCAAGGTTGCAAGCTGTGCTAAATCGGTGTCCCAATTTACTTTTTGACTTTGAAAATGATTAGCATTCTTGGTTTGTACTGTATTTCAGCCATCCTTGTTGTCTGAGATATTTGCTTTCAAATTTTCCGTTGTAGTGTCTAAACAGGAGAACTTCACTGGTCTCTTAATTGCTGCTCTTGGCTCTGAAGGTGCATATCTTGGCAGAAATTCTCAAGTGTACTTCAGGATTCAGAGACTGTGGAAGTTGAGAACTTGATATTGGAATTTGGTAAAAGATCTGAAGGACTCCAGGAATGCAGTATCTCAACCTGAAAAAAGTTTCTTCAGCTTCAGTGGTAAAATAAGATTACAACAGCTAACATTTGTTAAAAGTTGAGTATGCACCAAGCATCGTTCACATGTGTTTATCCATTCATTTCTCACGACAAGCTTCCAAAGCAAGTTTCATTAACTTTCCCAGTTCTACAGTCAGAGAGGACAGGCACAGAGAGGTTGGGTCTCAGAGCTGGAAGTTGTCGGGGGAGTCTGATTTCTGGGTTTAGAGCCCACCATGCTATGCTCTCTCCTGTGTTTAACACCAAGGCCACGCCAGGGCCCACACTAGATGCGGGCTTGATTCCTTTGTGAGCACTGGTCAGGGAGTCAGAAATCTGCACTCTGACCCTGCCTTTGACTCTGACTTCTGATCTGACCTTTGACTCTTGTTTGTCATGATCCTCTTGTCACCATCTGACATGAGGTGGCAGTAAAGGAAAGAAGGAAATAGTGCCCAGGTGGGACAGGCCCTGCTGCTGACTCAGCCGCTCCCTGGACAATCCCTGCCACTTGGAAAGAGTCTGTGATCTGCCACGGTTCTGATGTGTCTGCTGCCACTTCATGGTAAGAGCTATGCCCGATGCATGATTATTTTTACTTGGTCTTATAGATAGGATTTCCCATTTTCTTTCTTTTATTTCACCACCACTCCCAGGGGGCAAAAAAGGAACAATTACATTCTCACTTATTGTGGCAGCATCTTTTGCTTGAAATGACAGATTTGTTTGCTTTTCTAAAAAAAATTCTGGTTGGCCTAAGACTGTCAGATCTGCTGAGCTCATCATTGCTTCTCCTGCGGACTGGCTGATAAAGGGGCCTTCCTAGGAGTAAGAGATGCGAGAGCTCTGCTGTTTCCTTTGAGTTCACTTGTGCTCCCGTTACTAATGTTGCCAACCTACAGATTCTTTGCAACCATATTTTTAAAGCTACATATACATTTTTTCCAAATTAATTTAGTTAACACTGAATAATGAAATCCTTAAATCCACTTATCCGGGTGCACACAAAATATAGTAAGTGGCAACATGCTGAAGATGAATGAGTATGTGAGGGTGGGTGGCCTATCTCACCAACCTCATAACGTGTGGCTTTGACATTTGGAGTACGTGATGGTGCCAGCATCATCGATCTGGATTTTAACTAAAAATATATATACACATACATATGTATGTATGTATGTGTATATGTATGTATGTCTGTGTGTGTATGTATATGTATGTGTGTGTGTATATATATGTGTGTGTGTGTATATATATATACAGGGTGTGTATATATATATATATATATACAGGGTGTGTGTATATATATATATATACAGGGTGTGTATATATGTGTGTGTGTGTGTATATATATACACACACACATACACATATATATATATGCACATACATGCTGACACCCTGTCCCCGGTGCCTGCCTCCTTTGTCTCTGTCCCCATGCCAAGCAGTGTGCTGTCACCCCGCTTCAGTTTTGAGCAGAAGTGCACATGTGGTGCCACCTGTGGGAAGTGTGGTGGGGGTGGCCTTGCAGTCACTTGTCACTGCGTGAGCCACTCCCCTGGCCTCCTCTGCCGCTGTCCTTCCTCCTATGGGGGAAAAGGAGGTGGTTCTCTCACAGAACTGTGGCTAAAGGGTGACAGCCCTCACCAAAGGTGAGACTCATGAGCATCGGGAAGAAAGTAGCAGTGGAGTGTCCGGTTAGTTTTCTCTGCGGACTGGAGCAGCCGGGCATCAGAGCCCTGGGAGCTCGGGCACCACCAGTGGTCAGCGCTGGCCCTGGACGTCCCTAGTTCACTGGGCCGCGTTTCAGCGCCCTCTGCTGGCTCGATGGACTGGCCGCCCTCGCTTGCAGCTCCCCGGTGTTTGCAGCCTGTTTGCAGCCGGTGGCTCCCGGTGCAGGAGGTCAGGGAAGCTGCAGCAGGAAGGGTTGGATATCTGAGGCCACAAACAACTTACATATATGAAGGGAGTGCGTCTGTCCCCTTCCCATGTGGCATGAAGAGCCTCACAGTTGGAATAAAATAGCAAAGCAAGATGTGCAAACATTGTCGACCTTCCCCGTGGCCATTTCTCTATCCCTGGGTAACTCAGACCGCAATTTGTCCTGCTCCCTGCATGTGAGTTTCGCTTCTATGGTATAGGGCTCTTTGAATGTCAATGTTATTGAGGTTTTGATAATTACGCACCTTCAAAAGATGTTCAATGTAATAATGATCATACTCCTCTAAAAAAGCCTCAGATTAAAAGCTTTTGCTGGCTCTTTAGACCGTGGGCCTGCAATTACAGAAAATGAACTGCATTTTAGCCTTCCATTGAAATTAATAACAACGGTTCCCCAGTTGACTCTGTGAATAGTTAATGGAACGAACAGGATACTTCAGTACAATATGGGTTGGAAAGCCATTTGAGTGAGATTCTGGGTTTCAAATGGGAAAATAATTCATGCAATGCAAACCTGTTTCATATGCGCTCTGTAGAGTAGGTGTTTCTCTGGAATAAAAATCTAACTATTTAACAAATGATTAACCATACCTCAGTCATCATGAACTCTCATGAAAACTGAACTCAGGTACGTGAGCTAACACATGGTATCCAGTGCTGCAGAAGACCTGAGAGGACAGAGATGGACCTCCTTATTTGACAATGAAGAAACAGAATTAGCGAGGTGGGGCTTTGGAGGCCAGCAATCCTGACAAAGGAGCTGCCTAGAACTGACCCTTTAACCCTCTGGCAGTGCAGGGTAAGGGAATCTTTGGACTATGGGGAGACTGGGATATGGAGGTTGAGGACAAAAGATTGTGTGGTCCAGAGTGTTCTCTGGCTGGGGTCCCCATTTCAATTTATAAGAATAAAACCTAAAAAGCAATTAAAATTATGTTGAATTCAGCAAAGTTACAGGATACAAAATCAGCACACAAAAACTAGTTGCATTTCTAAACACTAACAATGAACAATCCCAAAAGGAAGTTAAAATAATTTCATTTACAATAGCATTATAAAGAATAAAATATTTAGGAATAAACTTGAACAAAGAGATGAAAGACATGTACACTGAAAACTACAGGATATTGCTGAAGGAACTTAAAAAAGACATAAATAAACGGAAAGACATTTTCTGTTCATAGATTGAAAGACTTCGTATTGTTAAGATTAATACTACCCAAGACAGACTCAGTACAATATCACAATCCCAACCATGTTTTCTGCAGAAATAGAAATATCCATCCTAAAATTCATATGGAATTTAAAGGGGCCCAGAACAAAGCTGAGGGTCTCATTCTTCCTGATTTCAAACTTGCTACATAGCTAGTCATCAAAGCTGTGGTACTGACATGAAGATAGACATATAGACCAATGGAAGAGAATAGGGGGCCAGAAATAAACCCTTGCATATATGGTGAGATGATTTTCAACAAAGGGGCCAAGACCATTCAGTGGGGCAAAGACAGTCTTTTCAACAAATGCTGGGAAAACTGGATGTCCACATGCAAAAGAATGAAGCTGGACCCTTACCTAACACCATAGTTTTTAAAAAGTTAACTCAAAAATCTAAATGTAACAACTAAACTATAAAACTCTTATAGGAAACCAGGCAAAAAGTTTTCTGGCAAAGATTTATTGGATATGACATCGAAAGAACAGGCAACAATGATGAAAAGATAAATTGGATTTCACTAAAATTAACAAATTGTATATCAAAGGACACTCACAGAATGGGAGAAAATATATGCAAATCATATATCTGATAAGAGATTAATATCCAGCATATACAAAGAAGCTCTATAATGCAACAATAACAACAGCAAACAAAAACCCAATGAAAAAAATGGGCAAAGGAGGTGAATAGACATTTCCTTAAAGAGGATATACAGATGGCCAATAAGCACATGATAAGATGCTTAACACCACTAATCATTAGGGAAATGTAAATAAAAACCATGAGATACCACTTCACACCATGAGGATGGCTACCATTAAAAAGAAAACAACAGGCCAGGTGCAGTGGCTCACACCCGTAATCCCAGAACTTTGGGAGGCCGAGGCAAGTGAATCACTTGAGTCAGGAGGTCGAGAATAGCCTGGCCAACATGGTGAAACGCTGTCTCTACCAAAAACACAAAAATTAGGCAGGCATGAGGGCGCGCTCCTATAATCCCAGCTACTTGGGAGGCTGAGGCATGAGGACCCTTGAACCTGGGAGGCGGAGGTTGCAGTGAGTACAGATTGTGCCACTGCACTCCAGCCTGGGCAACAAGAGCAAAACTCCATCAAAACAAAACAAAACAAAACAAAACAAAAAACCCCAGCAACAACAGAAAATAACAAGTGTGGAGAAATCAGATCCCTTGTGCATTGCTGGAGGAAATGTAAAATTGTACAGCCAGCATGGAAAATGGTATTGTTGTTCCTCAAAAAATTGAAGATAGAATTGTCCAATTATCCAGCAGTTTCACTTCTGGGTCTATATTGATAAACACTGAAAGCAGGGACTTAAACAGATATTTGCACACCCGTGTTTACAGCAGCATTATTCACAACAGCTAAAAGGTGAAAACAACCCAAGTGTCCATTGATGGATGAATGGGTAAACCAAATGTGGTCTATACATACAATGAATGTGATTCAGTATTAAGAAGGAATGCAATTCTGACACATGCTGTGACATCGATGAACTGCGAGGACATTATACTAAGTGAAATAAGTCAGTTACAAAGGACAATACTTTATGATTCCACTCGTATGAGGCACCCAGAGTAGTCAAATTCATAGACAGTAGAATGGTGGCAGCCAGGGGCTGGAGAAAGGGGTGGGGAGTGGGGAGTTAGTGTTTAATGGGCACAGAGTTTCAGTTTGGGAAGATGCAAAAGTTCTGGAGATGATGGTGATGGTTTCACAACAATGAGAATGCACCTAATGCCATTGAGCTGTGTGCTTTAGAATGGTTAAAATGGTGTTATGTTATGCATGAAATATGTTATGCATATTTTACCACAATGAAAACATTAAATATTTTATAAATGTACTTATTGACATGCAAATATGCTTATGAATATGTTAAGGGCAAAAACAGGATACAAACTGTTCAGATTATACAAATGATTTTTAAAGATTGTGTGTGTGAGTGTATGTGCAATTATCCATTAAAAAGGAATGGAAGGATGTTTCAAAGTGTTTACAGTGGTCACATCTAATTACTAGGGTGATTTTGGTTGATTTCAGCGTATTTTATCATTTTTGCAGAATGAACATGAATTTTTATAATACGTATGTTGTGTCTCAAATGTAAACTGAAAGAAATGTTCAGGGTATGCTCGCATGCAGGCCACAGTCCCCAGGGAGGTGTAAAAGGAACTTACTCGTGGAAATGGAAACGAATTGTTTTATCTAATGCTCACAAAAAACAACCCTGCAAAGTAAGTATTCTCATTTTCATTTTATAGATGTAGAAATGAAGGAAAAGTAACTTGCCCGATGTGTGGCCTGCCAGCCAAGCAGCTCCTCCCCTTTAGAAAACCTGGGGCGAAAAAGATTTTCTAAAAACCTTCTGAGATGTGGAATAGATGTTATTACATTCAGAGCTATTAAGATGTGGTTGAGAAATAATACCTAATTTCCAGCGCTTCAGAGTCAACTAAGAGTGTGTGTAATGTAAAATTTGGATTAGAGCTCTGTCCTGGGGGTTGTCCTATATGACTTGTTACTTCAAAATGTCACAAAGCTAGGCAGAAAAACTAAAAATTTAGATGATGCTGAAACGGAAAGGGTGAACTTTTAAAAGGTAAAGTGTCTCATTTAGGCTCAAATGATTAATTGCATATGAACAAAATGGAGAAAAGTTGGAAATTCTAGACAGCCACAAATTCAGCATGAACTGGTGTGTAACTTGGCTGCTGGTGCAGTAGTCAGCTCCATTCACCCAGTGGAGCACAGCGTCTACATGCAGGGAGGGTGGCCCCCGCTGTCCTCTGTTCTCAGTATAACACATCCAGGTCTTCTGGGCACTCCTAGAGGTGGACGTGGGAATCTGGATCATGTCCCGAAGGTAGCTGTGGAAACCTCATCATCTGAGCTGTAACAGGAAACTGTAGACGTTGACCATGCAGTGGCCCAAGGCACACATCGGCTGTCTTCATAAGCTTCTAGGCCATCCTGCAGAAGAGAGCTGACACTTCCTGCATCACTGCAGAAGGCTGAGTGGGTGCTCGTGTTGAGAATTGTGGGAAGGCAGACGGGGTCACAATGCCAAGACAGGTCGCAACAATTCCAGGCACTCTGGCACGAGGCCAGTGTCTCCAGAAGGCTCCATGGAGAAGCCAGGTGGGCATCCGGAGAGACTCTTCTTGCATGGGAGCGAGGTTGGAGGAAGTGACCTCCAACACTGAGATTCTGGCTGGTGACTTAGGACTAAGGAGAAGGTGTCAGGGCCATGCCTTTCCATCACATCTGCAGGGCTCCTTTGGGTGGGTGGAGGGGTGTATTAGGCCGTTCTCGCATTGCTCTAAAGAAATACCTAAGACTGGGTAATTTATAAAGAAAAGAGGTTTAATTGGCTCACAGTTCTGCAGGCTTTACAGGAAGCATGGTGCTGGCATCTGCCTGGCTTCTGGGGAGGCCTCAGGAAGCTTCCAATCATGGCAGAAGGCAAAGGAAGAGCAAGCACTTCCCAGGGCAAAAGCAGGAGCAAGCACCAGAGTGGGAGAGTGGCGGGAGTTGCCACACACTTCCAAATGGTCAAATCTCTTGTGAACTCGAACAAGGACTTACTTATCACCAAGGGGATGGCCCAAGCCATTCATGAGGGCCTCCTCATGAGCCACCCCCATGATCCAAACACCTCCCACAAGGCCCCACCTCCAACATTGGGAATTACATTTCAACATGAGATTTGGAGGGGACAAATATGCAAACTATATCAGGGAGTTTCTAGTGGGGAACATTGAAGAAAAGGAGTGTCGGGGGGCACTTACTGCTTAAAGTCATGCAAAACAAGAGTGAAGAGCATATAGGACCAAGTTATCTCCTGCAGAGCACTTCTGGCAGCCCAAGGCACAGCTACTGGGGATCATTTTAGGAAGAAGAAAATAGCTGCATTCTACAGAGCACCTCACTGTGCCAGCATTCCTCAGAATGGGATGTCTCGGCACTAGCTGGCTGGCATTGTCTTCCTTAGCCGGCCTTGGCTGATAGTGACAGTGCCTTGTGCCAGGTCATCTGTACCCCCACAAGGGTGGCAGAGGCAGGCAGGTGGAGGGTATGAGAAGAGGAGAGGGTTGTGGATCACGGAAATGTCAGAGTCCTGGAATGCTGCAGGTGAGAACATCTCAGCAGGGGATCACCTGCTCAACCCCCTGGTTTTCAGGTGAGGAAACCAGACTTCAGATAAGTTAAATGACTTCCCCGGAGCTGGGCTGAACCAGCTGGGCTGAACCAGAACCAGGATCCAGGCTCCAGCCTCTAGATCTAATGCTAGCTCCACCTTCCCACACAGGAGGCCAGTGTGTAAGAAAGTGGGTGGTGAGGCCAAGGGGGAAGGAAATCTCATTTAAGATGACCACAAACAAAAGGAGAGGAGACCAAATGCATGCCCTTTCTTCAGAGAAGACACTTCTTCTCAGGCCTGGAGCCCTGATTCCTGGTTCCTTTGGGGCTGGGCACCTCACCTCCTGGCACTCCTGCCTATAGCCTGTAGAGTGGAATTTCAGATCCAGCCACTCTCGGGTTTGAATCCTGGCCATGCCACAAGCTACCTGTGTGAGTTTGGACACGTCACTTAACCTCTTTGAGCCTGAGCATCATCAGCTTTTTCCCAGGTTGGCACATGTGGCATCCTCCCAGCATTGGTGTGTGCTCACGGAGCTCAGCCACAATTCCTCATTACCTACTTCGAGATGATCTGGGTGCCTCCATCCCCTATTCTGCCCTAAGAGGTAGCCTTGTAAGTATTGCTGCTGCTCAGAAGGGAACCCTGAGAAAGGCATCCAGATGGACCTAGCATGAGGTAGATCTGAGAAGAGAGTGTTTGGAGGCAAATTTGACCCTGAATAGCCCTGTTTCCTACTGTCTTTGTCCATTTTCTGTTGCCATGACAGAGTACCTGAGACTGGGTAATTTATAAAAAGAAGAGGTTTATTTAGCTCACGGTTCTGCAGGCTGAAAAGTTCAAGAAGCAGGGCACCAGCATCTGCTCAGTGTCTGGTGAGGGCTTTCATGCTGTGTCACAACATGGCAGAAGGTCAAAGGAGAAATGATAAATGCAAAGAGGAAAAACCAAGGGGCCTCCTGGTTTTATAACAACACACTCTTGTGAGAACGAATCCATTCCTGTGATAACTAACCCAGTCTCACGAGATCAAAACTCACTCACTTCTTTCAGAATGACAGAAAGCCATTCATGAGGGGTTCACCCCCATGACCCAGACACCTCCCACTAGGATTTCCTGTCTTGGAGAAGGAGGAAATGAGAGTATTTGGGCTTAAACACCAAGGGAGAGGCTGATCTGACCTAAGGGAATGTGGGTTTCCCACTGGGAAAGGAAGAAGAGCATCGGAATTGGAATCAAGAGAAAGCTTGATCCAATTCTGGGTTCACTCCTATTAGCTGTGGGCTTTGGGCAAAGCATCTCACCTCTGAACCTCAGTGTCTTCCTCTGTACCAAGGGATAATGATAGCCTTTCCAACCTGACAAAGTGACAGAGGAAACATAAACTCAAAGGAGATAACGAATGTGAACATACTTTGTAAACTAGAAAGAAGTGTGCAAATAGATGTAAGGAGTTATTTTCATTGTTCTCTGTGCTTGTTCTCTGCCCATATGTTGTGTGGAAGAGAATCCTGCAGCAATGATACAGCTGCATCCTGCGGAAGGCCAGGGGCACTGCTCTGCACCCAGGCAGCCTGCAGCAGCCTGTCAAGGAGTCAGATGATGGCACCTGGCAAACTCCAAGCCGACAGCTTTAGAGCTCCCAATGAATGAGTGTCAGGACCCATGCCCATCAGGAGCCAGGGGCACAGAAGCAAATGGGGCTCTGTCTAACCCATCCTAGAAAAAGAGACAAATATACAAGTAGAGACTGTCATTCTACCTTTAGGTAAAACTCAGGCTTCTGTTTGTCTATTCTTCTGGCAATGGTGAGAATGTAGTTCTAGCATCCTTGAGCTAGTCAGGTTGGGACAATTAGGAAGACAAAAACCAAAGGAATAAAAATAGAAGGCAAACAGATGGTACCCAGGAGTGGAGGGGTTTTGGCATGAGGCTTCAAGAGATGGAGTGCGCCCAGGAGGGGATACCCACGATCTCCACATGACACCCCCATCTGTGCAGGGTGAGGATGCCCACCTGCAGTTAGAGAATGGGCTCCTGCTTCAGGGATCATCCCTGGAAACTTGAGCCAGACAGGAGCTTGGAGCTCCTGTTACAAAATCAAGAGAGCAGTGAGCATTTGCATGGAGTACCAGAGACAAGAAAAAATGCCTCACTAACCCCTGTCAGCCACAGAGCAGGATGGATTTACAAGGATCTCACTGAAAGGAGATTCTGAAGTTTCCAGCAGATAATCCATGACCCACATGGGATTCTTAACCCAACAACACAGACAGTTATCAGGCCACAACCTTTGCTGTGACTTGCTCTGCCTGGAATGACTAAAAGACACCATAACAGACCCCAGCTCCACAGCTAACAAGGAATTAAGAAAAGAGAAGTGGTGAATAACAAAGTGTATTAAAACTCGGAGTTTTCTCTCATAGACTTTGCTTACTTTCAGCGGCGGTGGTGGGGGCCAGTCTTGAAACAGATGCACGAGAAGCCTCATCATCATCAAATCAATACTAATCTCCATAATAGTTTCTGCATTTGAAACATGAGGGAGTTGAACAGGAGGCTCTCCGAGTACCGCGCAGCTCTGGCACTCTCTAATGCTCGGATGTAATGCCTCTTAAGCACGGCGCTGCATCTGGGATGAAATGGTCTCAAAGACTTGAGGGACTGCTGAGAGAATGTGCGTCTTGGTGGTACCTGGGTGCATGAATGGACAGGTGGCCCGTGTGTAGGAACTGTTTTACTTTTTTTATTATTATTGTTTACAACAGACATGTTCTAAAACTTTAAAGATTGGAAGGGGGGATGAGAGATCAGGCTTCTGGGGGTCTGCAGAGATTCTGTTTCTTGGCCCAGGTGGCGGCTGCATGGCTGTATTCACTTTGTGATGCACATTTATGATCTGTGCACTTTTATTTATGTGCATTATGCTTTAATGAATGTTTACATTTTTAATGTCATAAAACATCCTATTCCATTTTCAATCCCTTTTCTAACGTTCAGGTTTCAAAACTCAAAATACATCTAAGAAGTCGGGTTTGGGATGATCTAGCTGGAAGCCTTGGGGCCTTGTTGGCATGAAGGTTGATGGGCTCTCCTAGCAGTCGCAGCCCTGCCTTCCTGCTGCCTGGCATGAGGCATTCTCCCTGGTGGAGGGTACCCTCCTCTGTCAGTGGCACTCAGGAAAGAAGCTGGGTGTTGTTCTGTTGCTTCCCACTCGCCTGGCCTGTAACCAGAGCAGCAGTTCTGTGCTGAGCTCCCACGGATCGCCAACTCTTCTGACTGACCCAAAGCATCCGTCACCTTCCTCCCAAGGCCAGGCTCCCCCTCTGTGTCCCTGGTTCTGTCAAGGGTACAGGTGGCCCATTTGGAGACCCCATTGTCTTCCTGGAGACATCTCCTCGGGTTTCTAGCCATCCCACACTTCTTGAAATTGCATCATTTAAAATTTTTTTTTTGTTTTTCTTTGTGTGTAAACTAATTTTGTATAACATTTAAGGAGATTACAAAAATAAAAATAACACACTTGGGGAAGAAGGTTATGCTCTCAAGGAAGCAGGTAGAAGGTCTAGGGATGTTGACAGGGAGGCCCATTCAGCAGAGGTGGTCTGTGGGTGCCAGGATGGGGCTGCCTGACCTCCCCCAGGGCCTCAAGGAAGGGGACCAAGTGTTGATCCCAAGAGCAGGCCTTGCCTGTTAATCTCCATCTCACAGTCTCAACCTATGACCAAGGCACTGCCACAACTGAGCTTCCTCTAAGTTCTGCAGATTCTGAGCTAGTTTGTTCATATTCCACACACACAGGCCCACTTTCTTCACTGGCCACACAGATTTCTGCACCATGTGGCTTTTATCCCCTGGGGCTCAGCATTGTGGATTTGGCAGTCCTGCCTGGGATAGCAAAGGAAGCTGTAACCCTGGAGCTGGAGTCAACAGAGCACTGCAATTTGAACACATGGTGGTGAACAGCCCATTCGAGTTGATGCAGAGCTTCTTCCAGACTGGAAGGCAGCTTTGGGAATGGCCCATGCTAGAACCAGGAAAGGACACAGCACACGCTCCAGCCTCATGGGAAGGAATAAGCTGGGACTAGGTGGAGGAAGAGATCATTTCTACCCAGCACTGCTGCTGCAACCACAGGGAGACACAGCCAACAGCTTGAGGACAACCTCAAATACAGGAAAAGCACCCCAGTGATTGACAGTGATGCATGTCATAGACCCAGCCTCGTGCCATGCCACTTCCTCCTCAAGCCCACCTCTTCCCTCCAAATACAAGTTATCTCTTCCTCTTCTATAGTTTGCATAGAACTCTTAAGACATACATAAAATTAAATCCAGCAAATACTGATTCCACCTCTGCTATGCTCTGGGGCGCTGCTGGGGTTACCATAGTGAATGAGTCTGACACAGTAACCCTGGAGGGGACAGGGGTTGGGGCGCTGTAGATGTGTGCAGCCAGGGGACTTATTTTGGTCCAGGGTTCATGGAATGCTTCTTTGAAAAAAAAAAAAAACAGAATAGGTCAGTGGGGCTCGGCCATGTGTAGGGCAGATGGTGATAGACATTCCAGACTGAGGGAACTGAGTGTGCAAAAGCACAGAGGGAAGAAAGCTCAGGGACATTCCAGGGGCCCAAAGAACTTCAGTATGAGTGTCACATGGAGAACCAAGGGTGAGAGACTCAAGGCACTGAGGGCTGTAGGGGTGTCAGGGCCAGATAAAGGAAGTCCTTGCATGCGTCGCAGCTGAGTTTCATTCCCGGGCTAAGAGGAAGTCCTTCAATGCTAGTAAGCAAGGGGTATAAGACATGATTGCATCCCAAAAAGATCATTTTTGTCTCCCTTGAATATTTTCTTAGTATAACAATGTCCTCTATGACCTAAGAAGCTCCAGCAGGCAGAGCTATATCCACCCATCTTGGCTTCCTCCAGAGGACCGATGGGCCCAGCATGCACCTTTCTTAGGGAAGGTTTGTTGAGTGGCTGAATGGCATTTTCACATGAATCACACCAGGCCCTCTAGATAAATCAGCAGTCTGATTCGTGGCACACAGTTCAGCTGAAAGACACACAGATGGTTCCATTGTTTCTTTTTATATTTTATATTTTATATTTTTTATAGAGTCCAGTGTCTTGCTATGTTGCCCAGGCTGGTCTCGAACTTCTGGACTCAAGTGATCCTCTTGCCTGGCCTCCCAAAATGTTGGGATTTTACAGACATGAGGCACCCCCACTTGGCCTGTTGTCTGTTGAAGACTTTGAAAGATTCCATTTTCCTCTATAAACACTAAGGTTTTTTAAAAAAAAATCCTCTTTGCCCATTGCTTGTTTTTATAAAAACTATCTTTAAATTAAAAAAAATGTAACATTTAATATATACAAAATAATGCATATGATAACATGAGCAATAATAATAAAATGAACACCATGAACCCACCACCCAGCCTGAGAACAAAAGTGTCACCAGAGTCACTAACACCAGCTGAGCGTCCTTTCCTGCACCCATTTCTCCTGCCTTATCCCCAACCCTGGGGGTTACACAAGTCTAAATTTTCTGTTTATTATCCCTTGCTTTTTAAATGTACAGTTTTATAATATGAGGTAGAATTTTGCTTGATTTTGAGATTTATAAAATATTACATGCTGGCTCTTCTGAGACTTTTTTGATTCAGTGTTGTTTCTAAGATTCGTCCTTGCTTTTGCATATTGCTGACAGGCATCGATTTTCACTGTTTTAGAATATTCCATTGTGTGATCACACCATGATTTATTTATCCTATTGATGGGCATTTCATTTGTTTCTAGTTTTTGTGTGTTCTGAGTACTGCTGTGAACATTCTTCCAGATCCCTTTTGGCAAAAGCAAGAGCAACTCAAGGGCATGTAGCTCAGAAACGAATTGCTGGAACTCCAAGTTGTTTCCCAAGTGTCTGTATCATTTTACATTCTTCCCAGCAGTTCACAAGAGACCTGTCAGGATGGAATAGCATTGCAGTATTAATTTACAGTTATCTGCTTGCTAACGAGATTATCATCGTGCCACAAGTTTGTTCTCCGTTTACTTTTTCTCTTCTGAAATATATTTGTGCATGACCTTTGCCCATTTTACTGTTGGGTAGTATGATTTTTTTCTTATTATTTTTAGTAGTTCTTTAATTTTTTTTTTCTTTGAGATGGAGTCTCACTCTGTTGCCCAGGCTGGAGTGCAGTGGTGCGATCTTGGCTCACTGCAACCTCTGCCTCCTGGGTTCAAGCGATTCTCATGCCTCAGCCTCCCGAGTGGCTGGAATTACAGGTGCCCACCACCACGCCCGGCTAATTTTTGTATTTTTAGTAGGGATGGGGTTTCACCATGTTGGCCAGGCTGGTCTCAAATACCTGACCTCAAAATCTGCCCACCTCGGTCTCCCAAAGTGCTGGGATTACAGGCGTGAGCCACCGCACCCAGCCTGCTTTTACTTTTTAAATTGAGATAATCCACAGATCTAGAAGCCACCATTTTAAAGTGTACAATTCAGTGATTTTCAGTATATTCCAAAAATTATGTACCATCACCACTATCTAACCCCAGAACTTTTTTTTATCACCCAAAACCCTTTTCCCGTAGCAACAACTAATTTACTTTCTATTTCTATGGATTTACCTATTCTGGATATTTCATATAAATGGAATTATATAATGTGTGGCCTCTTATGACTGGCTTTTTTCATTTTATACAATTTTTTTTTTTTTTTGAGGTGGAGTCTCGCTCTGTCGCCCTGGCGGGAGTGCAGTGGCGCGATCTCGGCTCACTGCAACCTCTGCCTCACAGATTCAAGCGATTCTCCTGCCTCAGCTTCCCCAGCAGCTGGGACTACAGGCGCCCGCCACCATAGCTGGCACAATGTTTTTAAGGTTCATCTATGATGTAGAACTTTATTCCTTTTTATGGCTGTGGAGGACAAAGCGACTCCATCTCGGATCTAATCTGCCATGTTGACTCCCCTCCCTTCCCCTTCCCTCCCCTCCCTTCCCTCCCCTTCCCTTCCCCTCCCCTCCCCTCCCCTCCCCTCCCCTCCCTTTCCTTCTTTCCTTTCCTCTCCTTTCTTTTTTTCTTTTCTTTTTTAGAGCGGAGTCTCGCTCTGTAGAGGCTGGAATGCAGTGGCGCAATCTCGGCTCACTGCAAGCTCCACCTCCTGGGTTCAAGCGATTCTCCTGCCTCAGCCTCCCTAGTAGCTGGGATTACAGGTGCCCACCACCATGTCCCGCTAATTGTTTGTAGTTTTAGTAGAGACGGGGGTTTCACCATTTTGGCCAGGATGGTCTTGATCTCTTGACCCCCTGATCCGCCCACCTCAGCCTACTGAAGTGTTGGGATTACAGGCGTGAGACACCGCGCCCAGCTACCATGTTGACTTCTGATTAACACCTGGAAATGCCTCTAAGATTTATACTTTATGTAATGTTACCATAATTCCTGCCCTTAGGTAAAACCAACCTTTATTATAAATTATACCCTTAGGCAGATTCACATATCATTCTTACCTTTTCCTGGTCTATACATTACTTGCCTATGGCATATACACCATGGGTCTTGGGGGAAATGGTGTGGGGATCCACCATCTTATCTTGTGGCCGCCCAAGGCTATGGCTTCTGTTTGTAAGACCCCATTAAATGCTTCTTTCTAAGAAACTTGGATAAGTCACATTTTATCTTCAGCCTCTCATCTTCCTAGGACTTTAGGGGTAGCTTTGCATCAACCTGACCACCGTGGAACAATGGTTGAATAACATTGTATGGATATCCCACATTTTCTTTATCCATTCATCAGCTGCTGAACATTTAGGTTGTTTTCACCTTTTGCTTATATGAATAATGCTGCTGTGAACACTGGTGTACAAGTTTTTGTGTGGACATATGTTTTCACTTTTCTTGGGTGTATACATAGGAGCAGAGTTGCTAGGTCATATGGTAACTCTATGTTTAACTTGTTAAGGAACTGTCAAACTGTTTTACAAAGCAGCTGCACCGTTTTACATTCCCACTAGCAATGTATGAGGGTTCCAATTTTCCATATCCTTGTCAACATTCATTATTTTTTTTATTACAGCCATCCTGGTGGGTGTGAAGTGATATCTCATTGTGATTTTGATGTGCCTAACTCTAATGACTAATGATGTTGAGCATCTTTTCATGTGCTTATTGGCCATTTCTATATCTTTTTCAGAGAAATGCGTGTTCAAATCCTTTACCCATTTAAAAAATTTTATTGTTGAGTTGTAAGAGCCCTTTAAATGTTCTGAATACAAGTCCTTTTTCAGATATATGATTTGAAAATATTCTTCCCCTGTTCTATGGGTTGCATTTTTCCTTTCTTGATAGTGAAGCACAAAATTTTTTATTGTAATGAAGTTCTATATATCTGCTTTTTCTTTGGTTGCTTATACTTTCATTGTCATTATCTAAGAAACCATTGCTTAATCCAAGGTTACAAAGAGTCACATCTATGTTTTCTTCTAAGAGTTGAACAGTTTTAGCTCTTAACTTTAGGTCTGTGATCTTTTTTGAGTTAATTTTTGTATGATATGAGGTAGGAATACAACTTTATTCTTTTGCAAGTGGATACCCAGTAGTCCCAGCACGATTTGTTGATAAAATTATTCTTTTCCTGTTAAAATGCCTTGGTTCCTTTGTTGAAAATCAATTACCCATAAATGGATGGGTTTACTTCTGGCTTTCAATTCTATGCCATTGATATATGTCTATCCTATGCCAGTAACAAACAGTCTTTCTTACTAGGGTTTCATAGTAAGTTTTGAAATGAGAAAGTGTGAGTGCTCCAACTTTGTTCTTCTTTTCAAGACTGCTTTGGCTATTCTGGGCTCCTTGCATTTCCATGTAAATTTTAGAATTAGTATGTCAGTTTCTGGGGGGAAAAAGCTCTGTTGGGATTTTCATAAGAATTGCATTAAATCTACAGATTAATTTGGAAACTATGGCCATCTTAACAAGATTAAGCCGTCCCACCCATGAACATGGTATGTATTTTTATTTATTTAGGTGTTCTTTAACTCTTTCAAAGATATTGTGTAATTTCCAGTGTACAAATCTTGTTCCTCCTTGGTTAAATTCATTCCTAAGTACTTTCTTCATTTTGATGCCATAATTTTATAAATTGTAATTTTTTATCAATTTATAAATTAAATTTTCTTAATTTCAAATTATTTCTTGCTATTGTTTAGAAATGCAATCAATTTGTGTATATTGATCTTGTATCCTGCAATCTTGCTGAACTTGTTTATGAGTTCTATAGTTTTGTGTGGATGAGGATCCTCAGATTTTCCATACATAAGATTATGTCACCTGCAAAGAAAGATAGTTTATTTCTTCATTTTCAATCTTTCCCTTTTCCAATTCTTGTTTCTTCCTCCAATTGTCCTGGCTAGAATTTTCAGTACAATGTTGAATGAAAGTGGCAAAAATAGACATCTTAAGTTTTTGCTGATCTTAAGAGGAAAGCCTTCAGTCTTTCACCATTAAATATGGTGTTGGCTGTGAGCTTCTCATAGATGCCCCTTATCAGATTCATGAAGTTTCCTTCTAGCCTGAGTTTGTTCAGTCATGAACAGGTGATAGATTTTGTCAAATACTTTTTCTGCATTGATTGAAATGATTATCCTGTGGTTTCTGTCCTTTATTTTGTTAACATGATGTATTATATTGATTGGTTTTGTATCTTGAAAAAGCCTTGTATTCCTGGAATAAATCTCACTAGGCCATGTAGTAATTTGAGTCTTCTTTCTTTTTTTCTTGCTCAGTGTAGCTAAAGGTTTGTCCATTTTGTTGATTGTTACTGAACACCAACTTTTGGTTTCATTGATTTTCTCTACTATTTGTTTATTTTATTAATTTTCACCTTAAACTTCATTATTTTCTTCCTCTGCTTGCTTTAGGTTTAGTTTGTTCTTTATTCATAGTTTCTTCTTATGGTGGAAGTTTACATCATTAATTTGAAATATTTCTCCTTTTTAAATAGAAGTTTTTAAAAGCTATAAATTTTCTACTTAGCACTGCTTTGGCTACACCCCCTTAGTATTGGTATGTTGTGTTTTGTTTTTATTCATCTCTTTACTTTGCGATTTAGTTGCTTTTTACATATTAATCTTACACATAGGCACCTTACAAAATTATTATTTTTAATAATATTTCCATAGATCCCTTGAGTTTTCTGTGTAAATGATAACATCAAGTGTCATAAAATTTAGATTTATTTATTACTTTCCACCAGTAACCTTTACTTTTCTTTTCTTTCCTTTTTTTTTTTTGACAGTCTACTCTGTCTCCCAGGCTGGAGTGCAGTGGCATGATCATAACTCACTGTAGCCTCAAACCCCTAGGCTCAAGCGATCCTCCTGTCTCAGCCACCTGAGTAGCTGGGGTTATAGGCACAAGCCACCTCACCTCTCCAAAATACATATCTTTTATTTATATTTCTTCTCTTACTACTCTAAGACCTTGAATACAATGTTGAATAAAACATTTTAGATTTTTTAAAAATCCATCATTTTAATGGTAATAGGTCAGATGCATCTCCCTTAAAATTAGGCACAAGACAAGGGTATTTAAAGGCTCCTGTCTTTCTCTGGGAAAATTACAGTATTACATGTCCCCTGGCCATAGTGATTGCTTCAGGAAAGTACATATAACAAGCTGGCCCATCAGCCTTCTTCCACGATCTGTCAAACTGGATTGGGGAGGGAATAACCTATTCGTGCCTCTTTGATTGGAAAACTGTAAGAATTCACTCAGAAATACCAACCCCATATCCTCTGCGGAGTGAAAAAGAACAGTTGCAGGAACAGCAAAATAGACTGCTACCTCTCTCTCTCTCAGACACACACATACACACACATACACACACACAAACACACACCTCCCTAAACCTCAGTTTTCCTGCTGGGAAAATTGGAATAATTCTTACCTCATGGGTTGCTATGGATACTTAATAAAGGAATGATTAATGATTTAAAATGTTTAGCACAAAGACTCAATAAATACTACATGCTAATTTAATGTTATTAATGTTATAAACAAGATTATTCTACATGTGCTTCTTTGTGCTCCCCTTACTCTCACCTGGAATCCCCCACTTACCCACCAGTGTAGCATGTGGAAGGAATACTCTTCCCTTCAACTTACTAGCTTAAGAAAGGAGCAAATGTGACTCCCTTTATCACATATCAGGAGATATGAAAGTTTTGCTGCACTGATAACTTCCATCTGCTCAGGATCTGTTTCCAGAATGGCAACTCCAGCTTATATAATTTTTAAAAGTTATTATTCTTTGTAATTGTGGTAAAATACACATGGTATGCATGGTAACATAAAATATACCTTCTTGATCATCTTGAAGTGGATGGTTCATTGGCATTAAGTATAGTCACATGATTGTGCAACCATCACCACCATCCATCTCCAGAACTCTTCCATCTTGCACAACTGAAAGTCTGTTCTCATTAAACAATAACTCTCTTTTTCTCCAGATCCCAGCCACTGGCAACCACCATTCTACTTTCTGTCTCTATTTGGCTACTCTTGGCACGTCATATTAAGTTTTATAATATTTGCTCTTTGTGACTGGTTTATTTCACTTAGCTTAATGTCCTCAAGGTTCATTCATGTTATAGCATGTGTCAGAGCTTCATTCCTCTTTAAGGCCGAATCGTATTCCATTGTATGTATATATTATTTTTTTTTTATCCATTCACCCATCAATGGACACTTGGGTTACCTTCCCTTCTTGGCTATTGTGAATAATGCTGCTATGAATGTGGATGTTCAAATACCATTTTGAGATCCTGCTTTCAGTTCTTTTGGGTATATACCCAGCAGGTTGTATGATATTTAAAAAAGAAGCTCTAGAGTTGCAGCACAAGCCCTCCCTAGCTGTAGTTGCGTGCCCCCCTTACCAATAAGGACCCTGAGTCTCAGGGAAGATGGAAACTTGCCCGAAGTCTTACATGCAAGTCATGAAAGGAGGTGTGGTTCAGCCTGGCCCATCTGCCCCAAAGCCCATGTCCTTCCCACTGTTGTTTGCTCTCTCACCAAGCAGAAAAATACTATTAGAGACTATCAATGGGTTCCCCAAACTGACACGCTGTAAGAGAAATCCACAAATACAATCACTTTCTAATATAAGGGATAAACTAAGAACAGTGAAGGAGGAAATCCAGTTCACAAAAGTTTTAAAGAATATACTTGGAAATTAACCTGGTATGGAAAAAAATTACAAAATTCTGGAGGGAGAAATAAATAAAGTATTGAAGAATTGGGTGTTGGGCTCTGTTTCAGTCTAGGACAATTTAAAATGCTAAAGACGGAAGAGCTCCTTTAGCAATTAAAATTCCCACAGAAATCACATCAAAATCCATCTGGAAGAATAAATAGTTAAGAGTATTGCATTTGGGAAGGAAAATAACAGCAGAACCAGGATAATTAAACTTCTCAGATAACTATAAAATATATTGTTAAATGACAATCAACAAAACTAGATGATATCAGCATAAGAAGAGGAAAAATAATGATTAAAATAAAGCACAGATTCCTTATATATGCCTAACCTTTTTGGGAGCTATTATTAAGACTAACTGGGAATAAGAAAATAATGGGAAAGGAAGTGATTTTAATAGTGTCATGGGGAACTGGGTGACAATAACAGCTAATATTTAATGAGAATTAACTCTGCACCAGGAGTTCAAGTGCAATAATTAATTTAATACTAATGACAACTTCATAAGGCATATTATATTATTATCTCTATTTTATGGATGAAGAAACTGAGTTACCAAGAGCTTGTATAAACTTGCCCAAAGTCACACAGCAGCTCTGTGGCAGAGCTGGAATTTCCACCAGAGCATTCTCAGTCCAGGCCTCTCAAGCCCCATGCTGTAACTCCTCTCATGCTAAAGTGGGGAGAGAACTTCAGCCCAACAGTTTCAACAGGCTTTAACAACCCTACTAAAAATGCTAAAATAGGCCGCATGCGGTCCTATTTTAATCCCAGCACCTATAATCCCAGCACTTTGGGAGGCCAGGAGTTCGAGACCAACCTGGTCAACATGGTGAAACTCTGTCTCTACCAAAAATACAAGAATTAGTTGGGTGTGATGGTGCATGCCTGTAATCCCAGCTACTCAGGTGGCTGAGACAGGAGAATTTCTTGAACCTGGAAGGTGGAGTGCCACTGCACTCTAGTCTGGGTGACAGAGCAAGGCTGCCTCAAAAAAAAAAAAAAAAACTTACATAAAAAGTGTATTTAATATATATCTCAAATGTAGAAGGAGGTAAATATACTGGCACTTAATAAATAGAAGAAATTATCTGCCAGGTGTGTCAATTACACAATTACAAAATTACAGGCCTGTAATCCTAGCACTTTGGGAGGCCAACGCAGGAGGATTACTTGAGCCCAGGAGTTCAAGACCAGCCTAGGCAACATAGTGAGACCCCATCTCTACAAAAAATAAAAAATTAGCCAGGCATGGTGGAACACGCCTATAGTCCCAGCTACATGAGAGGCTGAAGCAGGAGAATCCCTGGAGGCCAGGGGTTCAAGGCTGTGGTGAGTTAGGATTGTACCACTGCACTGCAGCCCTCACAACAGAGTGAGACCGTGTCTCACAAAAAAAAAAAAAAAGAAAAAGAAAAAGAAAGACAAAGAAATTATCAGTGACAAGTGATTTTTATTTTTATTTATTTATTTATTTTTATTATACTTTAAGTTCTAGGGTACATGTGCACAATGTGCAGGTTTGTTATATATTTATACATGTGCCGTGTTGGTGTGCTGCACCCATTAACTCGCCATTTACATTAGGTATATCCCCTAATGCTATCCCTCCCGCCGCCCCCCGACCCACAACAGGCCCCAGTGTGTGATGTTCCTGTTCCTGTGTCCAAGTGTTCTCATTGTTCAATTCCCACCTATGAGTGAGAACATGTGGTGTTTGGTTTTTTGTCCTTGCAATAGTTTGCTGAGAATGATGGTTTCCAGCTTCATCCATGTCCCTACAAAGGACATGAACTCATCATTTTTTATGGCTGCATAGTATTCCATGGTGTATATGTGCTACATTTTCTTAATCCAGTCTATCATTGATGGACATTTGGGTTGGTTCTAAGTCTTTGCTATTGTGAATAGTGCCGCAATAAACATACGTGTGCATGTGAGTGACAAGTGATTTTTAAAAGGCTGGTAAAAAATAAAAATTTTGCTACCAAGAAGAAGTTTGAAATTAGATACAAGATCATGGTTTGTTAATTTCATGGTGGCTATGCTCCACCACCAGAATGACTGAAATTAAAAGAATGACAATACCCAAGTGTTGGTGAGAATAAGGAGCAACCAGAACTCATTGTTGGGGAGTGGGTTGTAAATTTACTCACCTGCTTGGAAACTGTTTGGGACTACCTACTAAAGCTGTGCAAAATCCACTCTAAGTCATGTACATAAGAGAAATGAGTGCATATATCTTTCAAATAACATGTACAAGATATTTGGAGCATCTTTATTCACCATAGCCAAGAAACTAGAAACAATCCAAATATCTACCAACAGGAGAGTGAATAAGTAAACTGTGGTACATTCAGACAATGGAGCAGAGCTCAGCAATCGAAAGGAGTGAGTCACTGACACACACAGCAATGCGGGTGAATCTTGCAGACACTTAAGAGTACATTCTCCATGATTTCATTTGTAGAATGTTCAAATGCAGGCATACCAATCGAGAGTTTTTAAAAATCAAAACAGGAGTTACTTTTGTGGTGGGGCAAGTATTTGACTGGGGAGTTTTTTAGGGTGTTGGAAATGTTCTACATCTTGCTCTGGATGATGGTTGCACAAGTGGAAATGTAAAAAAATCACGGAGCTGCACACTTAATATGTGCACTTTAACATATGTAAGCTATAGTTTGATAAAAAATTAAAACCAGCAAATCAACAAACAAAAATGTGTTAAATACGTGTGATACAACACTTTTTATTCATTCAACAAACACTTCTAAAATAGTTCTTGTGCCTGGAATGCTGAGGACACCTCACTGACTAAATGAGACCGTCCTCTAGGAACTCAAGATCCTGAGGGGATACGGATCAGCAAATACATATAGAACCTCATGAAATGTGATCGACTGGGAGGCAGGGGTTGTGGGACACTACCTCTGCTTGGGGAAATCAGGGGAATTTTAATAGGAGAGAAGAGGTTTGAGTGAGGTCAAAGATGAGTAGAACCACAGTGAAATACACCACGCACCCATTAGGCTACTATCAAAAAGAATGTAAAATAATAAGTGTTGGGAATGATAGAGCAATGGGAACCCTGTGCACTGTTGGTGGGGATGTAAATGGTGCAGCCACTATGGAAAACAGTATGACAGTCCCTCAAAAAATAGCACTACCGGCTGGGCGCAGTGGCTCACGCCTGTAATCCCAGCACTTTGGGAGGCCGAGGTGGGCGGATCACGAGGTCAGGAGATCGAGACCATCCTGGCTAACACAGTGAAACCCCATCTCTACTAAAAATACAAAAAATTAGCCAGGCGTGGTGGCGGGTGCTTGTAGTCCCAGCTACTTGGGAGGCTGAGGCAAGAGAATGGCGTGAACACGGGAGGAGGAGCTTGCAGTGAGCTGAGATTGTGCCACTGCACTCCAGCCTGGGAGACAGAGCGAGACTCCGTCTCAAAAAAAAAAAAAAAAAAGCACTAGCATATGATCTAGCAATTCCACTTCTGGGTATATATCTCAAAGAGATGAAAGTAGAGACTCAAAGAACTATGTGGACACCTATGTTCACTGCAGAATTTTTCGCAATAGCCAAGAGATGGAAGCAATCCAAGTGTCCATTGCTGGATGAATAGATAAACAAAATGTGAGCTAGATACAGATATAATGAAATATTATTCAGCCCTGAAAAGAAAGGAAATTCTGACACATGATACAATGTGATGAACTTTGAGGACATTATGCTAAGTGAAATAAGCCGGTCACAAAAGGACAAAAACTGTATGATTCCACTTACATGAGGTGTTTAGGGTGGTCAAATCCAGAGACAGAAGTAGAGGGAGATAAAGTAGGGATGGTTAATGGGTACACAAATACAATTAGATAGAATGAATAGGATCTAGTGTTTGATACACAACAGGGTGACTATAGCCAACAGTAATCTATTGTATATTTTTAAATAACTAAAAGGGTAGAATTGGAAGATTCCTAACACAAAGAAATGATAAGTGCTTGAGGTGATGAATATCCCCAATTACCCAGATTTGATCATTACACATCATATGTCTGTATCAAAACATTGCATGTACCCATAAATATATATACCTATTATGTACCCCAAATAATTAAAAATAATTTTTTTTTAAAGAAAACAGAGCAGAGGTTGCAAAGGGCTGAGGGGAAAGGGAGTGGGAGTTAGTGTTTAACAGGTACAAAGTTTCAGTTTTGCAGGATGAAAGAATTCTGGAGATGGATGGTAATGATGGTTGCACAGCAATGGGAATGTCCTTAATGCCGCTGAACTGCATCTTTTTTTTTTTTTCTGAGATGGAGTCTTGCTCTGTTGCTGAGGCTGGAGTGCAGTAGAGCAATCTCAGCTCACTGCAACCTCCGC
This sequence comes from Homo sapiens, assembly GCF_000001405.40. Classification (NCBI taxonomy): domain Eukaryota; kingdom Metazoa; phylum Chordata; class Mammalia; order Primates; family Hominidae; genus Homo; species Homo sapiens. The sequence goes on along the minus strand of NC_000013.11, from coordinate 27,511,112 downwards.
CTTCTGGGTTGAAGCAATTCTTCAGCCTCAGCCTCCCCAGTAGCTGGGATTACAGGCATGCACCACCACACCCAACTAACTTTTGTATTTTTAGTAGAGACGGGGTTTCGCCATGTTGGCCAGGCTAGTCTCGAACTCCTGACCTCAAGTGATCCTCCCACCTTGGCCTCCCAAAGTGCTGGGATTACAGGCGTGAGCCATCATGCTCGGCCTGAACTGCACACTTAAAAATGGTCAAGATGGTACATTTTATTTGTGTATGTTTTATCACAATTAACATTTTTAAGCAGAAAGAAAAAAGAGTAGAGAACGTCCTGGCAGATAAGAGCACCCCTAAGTGTGGAGCCTTGAAAGAGCCCAGGGCGTCTTCAAGGACTGGCGAGCTGGTGTGTGGTGAGTGTGAAGGACACCGGGGGGATGTGGGAGATGGCACCAGCAATGTAGGTGGGCACTAGATGGGAAGGGCCTGAGTTATCATTTAAGGAGATTGAGCTTGAACTGATAGGAGCCATCGAAGGGTCCCAGCCTACAGCACATCTCCCTTGAGACCCCCACAACACTGCAGTGTCCATCTCCACCCAGCCTGGGCTGTAAGCTCCCGAGGGCAGGCGCGTCACCTGCTGCTCCACCATTGCATCTCCAGCACCCTGCACAGCAGATGTTGAAAGAACAAATGGCGCATTTTGCACTTTAGCAAGACCATTCTGTTGGTGCGCGGAAACCAGAATGGAGGGTGGGACAGGAGCCAGAGAGCAGTTGGGTAACCCCAGCAGGGTTCCAGTTATGGGAAGATAACCAGCAACAACAGCAGGAAGCAGAGGACAGTGGCTGCAGGATGAGGCACGTTTATGAGACAAGGATGAGAGGGCTTGGGTTGGATTGGATGTGAAGTGAGAGGGAGAGGTGAAATGTGAGCTGTTTCTAAAGCTTCAGGATGGAACACCTGGGTGGTTTCCTTGTGGGAGGGATGTCCTGGGGCAGGTGGCAGCAGACTGCGAGGATCACTCAGGCCCAGAGCTAGGGTGGACCCCATCAGTCTTTCTCAGTATCCAGGGCCAAGCACAGAAGCAGACACATGGCAGGCACTGAATAAATATTGTAAGAAAGAGAGAGACAAAGAGGGAAGAAGGGAAGGATAAAAATGCTGCCAGGAAGGGACAGAGAGCAATGGGATCTGCTCATTGACCTGGATGTTTTCAGTATCAGGATCACAGGTGAAGAGGACAGTATCACCTATATGATATGTATGAACATAGCATTGAGGCTATGGGACAAAGAAGTAGGGAAAACCAAGTTTGCAAGGGCTGGAGCAGGAGGAGGAATCAATGATGGTGTAGATGGACAAGTGGAAAGATAAGAGGGTGTTGCAGGGAGAAGAGAGCCCTGAGAAGGAGGCACAAAACCAGTACCCACCACTTGTTTGAGGACATGCTGACGACAGGCTGGGTGAAGACACTGGATGTCCAGGCAGGAGGTCATCAGTCACCACAGCAAAAGCAGAGCCTGCATGAAGGGGATGGAGATAGAGGGCCGGGGACAGAACCTGGATTCTTACGATAGCTGAGGGACCCAAAGAATGGCTGGAAGACTGTTGTTTAAGGAATTTATGTTTAGGATTGGGAGGATGGAGAATATCTTTAAGCTGACATGAAGGAGCTGGGTGAAAGAGACAGCTGGAGATAGAGAAGTGGGAAGGGTTGTTAGTGTGAGAATGTGGCAGCAGCAGGCCAGACGGGGGCCAGCACACAGTGAGGGTGGGCTCGGGACAGAAGGAGGAGGGATGAGGATCAGGAAGATGGAGAAGAAAACAGGATGGAAGCACACCTTTGTATTGAGCAAGACCTCAAGAGGTGCTGAACCATTTATGGGCCACTCTGGGCAAAGTTGTTAATAAAGCAACTGTGTGGACAGTAATGAGGCCATTGGCCCTCCCAAGGCTGGCTCCCTGAAGCCACGATGGTCACACACCAGCCCCTAACAGCACTTCCTTGGGAGCATCTGTCCCTGGTGCATCTCCACCAGCAGGAGCTTGCAGGTGGAAACCCATCTCCACTGTGGACCAGGCTTGTGTGTCCACGCACGAGTTCCCGGCTTGCGCCCTGCTGTGCCAGGCCCTCCCCTCTGTGCAGGCGAAGCAAAACCTGCTGCCTAACAGCGCCGTGCCCTGAGATTGAGTCCCGCCCATATTATGAATCAATTGAATTAGAGCAAATTACCCAGCCTTCTCAAGTCACATTTTCCTCCTCTATAAAATAGGGCCCAATGACCTAATGCAAATGTGTGTGGTGGATGAAAACATGTCATGTATTTCATGTATGAAAGCTACATGGGCCGGGCACAGTGGCTCATGCCTATAATCCCGACACTTTGGGAGGCTGAGGCGGGCGGATCACTTGAGGCCAGGGGTTCTAGACCAGCCTGGCCAACATGGAAACCCTATTTCTACTAAAAATACAAAAATTAGCCGGGCATGGTGGCACACGCCTGTAGTCTCAGCTACTTGGGAGGCTGAGACACGAGAATCACTTGAACACGGGAGGTGGAAGTTGTAGTGAGCTGAGATCGTGCCACTGCACTCTAGCCTGGGCGACAGAGCAAGACTCTGTCCCCCCACCCAGAAAAAAAAAAAGTAAAAAAAAGCTACATGGACTTACTCAAATTTCCCTTAAATAGTGTTGGCCATAACTAAACTGTGCACACATAGAGTTCACAGTATGCTCAGGCATAGGATCTCTCGCTTAAACCCCAGAACCTGTGAGTTGGCTATTATCAACCTATTAACATTTTAACATTGAGGAAACTGAAGCTTAAAGATGTTCGGTGGCTTGCCCAAGGTTTCTCACCTAATAAGAGGCCAAGCCAGGGGCCAGATGACTTTGCTTTTCCCTATATTTGTAGTCACATATTGAATAAAAACCTTTCCCTCCACCAGTAGTTTTCAGAATAGAGCTAGATCCTGTTGAATGAACATAGGCAATTGAATGTTGGTGTGGGTTTTACTTCACACTAGTGTGCTTAGAGCCCTCAGGGCTCTCCAGGCAGACTGAGAGGCTCTTTCCTAGTGCTCCCCTGCCCTGGGCACCATCCTTTACTCCAGCTTGATGTCTCTCCCATACACACAAAGCTCCCCAAGGCAGGATCCTTGTGTTTTCATCTTTGTGTTGCCAGCACTTAGAACAGCCTGGTACATTGTAGCTGCTCAGTAAACACCGGTGACTGAAGAAATTGATTCTGGGGTCTTCAGAACTGGCCCAGAGATTTTATTCTCTTCTCATAAGGCATCTGCACAGAGCTGCAGCTATTCTTCTTCTAACTTTGCCTGCCAAGCCTAGGAATACCTTCGTTTGCAATTTGTCTCCTCTTGCTTCTCATTGAATTCTGTAAAGATCACAGTAATTTGTTTGTGTATTAATCGGATATTGTTGAGCAGCTTCTGTGTGCCAGGCACTCTGCTAGGTGTTGGGGATGTGGCCCTTGAAGGGAGGCTTCGCACAGTTGTGTAGATTGTAGACTGCACTGTCCCGGGGCACACCATTCACAGCACAGCCTTTCCCTAAGACATCACTGTGTGCTCCAAGCCTGAGGACAGAGGAGCAGATCAGACATAACACCCTTCCCCCAAGCTGGGAAATGTTCGCTTCCATCAGATCTGGTGCTTTGGTGCCTGGGAGGCTGACTTAGGTGAGGAAGGGAGTGGGGCTTGAGTCTCTCCAGCATCATGACTCCTAAATCACTCAGCCTTGGCCTTTGAGGACCACAGCGCCTCTGGGGAGATTCTTTCCCTTCAGTGCCCCACCTGGTACTAACTTTCAGCCCCAGCCAAATTTTTCCAGATGGATTTCTAACCATGGAAATGGAGGTTTCTAATGGAAATCCCTGCAACCCTTTACTTAGAGCCACTCTGGGAGGCACCACTCTAATTATTCAATTGCCTAATTCCATTTATCTTTCATGATCCATTATGCACCGCTGACAGGCTGCGTCTTCCTTAGCAGATACATAACCTAGTCTAATGGACTCTGGGTGAAGCCAACTACATTGACTAAGGGATCTAGCTGGTACCTAATTCCCCTAAACTATTATTTTATAAATGAACAAGGCAGACAGACACATTTTCTGTTTTAGGATAAATATTTTATGAATTGCCCCGCTGATACATTACATTATTAGTACATTATGCTTCATCCCTCCCTGAGGTTTGAAGAGCCTGGGTACACACTCAGGAGTACATTTGGGTGATTTTATTGAATAGGCTGCTTTTAAAATCTGTTTGTATTAGTGGAAAAAGAGGAATAATTTTGTCTCATGAAAAGAAAAGTTCTTTAAATGATGATTTTCTGTTTCAGTGTAAAAGTCGTCATCCAGGGACTTTTAGGTTGACAGAAATGTCTAAGGTCTACTTAAAAAATATCAGCAGTGGGGTGCAGTGGTTCACACCTGAAATCCCAGCACTTTGGGAGGCTGAGGCAGGAGGATCACTTGAGGCCAGGAGTTTGAGACCAGCCTGGGCAACATAGTGAGACCTCATCTCTTAAAAGAAAAGAAAAGAAATAGAAATAGAAAAAAAAAATAGAAAAAAAATAGCTAATCTTTCCTCCTTGGCATTCCCCAATAGGACCAGACAATACTGGGAAGAGTTTTGCACAATTCCAGAAAGGAGACTCTTCCTTTTTCAGAAAGCAAGGCATCCTAAGAAAGCCAACATTTCTTTTTTCTTAAGATGCCTATTTCTCCCCAGATATGCTTGTGTTTTCTTTATACTCTAGATGGGCATTTTAACCTGGAGTGAAAGTGGGGTGGGTTGTACCAGTCTAAGAATTAATGTAGATAAGCCCTGAGCTTTCAACATCATTCTACCCAAATTGTAGAAATAAATTGGATTTGGGTCTCAATGTCCTTTCCTTTGTACAGGATAGATATTGCACACATTGTTTTCATGTTTGTAATGTACATGTTTTACATACATTATTTAATTGATATAAAGCTCTAGTCAGCCTCTTTATTGTTTGGTGGCCTTCATATGACAACGCGAAAGAAAGTAGAGGAGATGCTTAGAAACTGCAGAAAGACTGAATCAACTGATGATGCGGCCTCTCCCAACCCATAATGAATGAAAGACAAAGATGTGGAACTGAAAGTAAGCATACTAAATTCTAGGGGTTTTTCTAGTAAAAAAGAGTCCTCACATTTGTTCAGATGTCAACATATCTGCTTACAGAAATGAAATTAGTCACCATATTTCTTAGGGATTAATTAGAATCAAATTTATAGAGAATGCTGAATAATAACCTTTGATAAAATGCCATGTGAAGTTGAAATAGGAGGAATATGAAAGGGAGGAATGAATGTTATTAGTGCATTTACACCTTCTTCGATTCTCCCTGGAGTGTGTTTTACCTTTGCCATAAAATGAAAACATTTAAATTTCTTTAAAATTACATTTGACTTAATTATACCCAGGCCCTGATACCAGTAAGCCCCATTTTGCCTGCTTTTCTCTCAGATAGAGCAACCAGGCTCATCATTTCATAAAGAGTTGTTTTTCTACAGGATGTTCGCTATGTGCAGAATGTTAATAGCCGGCTGAATATGAATAGGCTCTGTGGCTCCACTTGAAATATAGAAAAATGGCCCAGACATTAAAAAAGATAAAAGGGAAAAGGGCAGTAATGAATTTAGAGGAAAATGAACATTAATGGTACTAGCATTACTCATGTTCCACATAACAAATTATTGGAAATTTGTCAAGCACACCAAATTATCTACTCGTCGGCTGCTGTGGGGCCCTTTGCAGCCATCCAAAACCAGCAAAAGCAAGACAATTTAAGCTAATTTTACTATTTATAACAATAGAACAGGCCATTAAGATAAATTAATGTCATTATCAAGTTTCTATGAAAATGACAAATACCACTATTTCGAGCAGCTTAGAGGCTGTTGACTATAATGAAATCCGCTGCACAGGTACTAAAGAGAAACACTCCAAGTAATTATTTTCTAGTAGCCTGTTTGTTTCCTGACCATTCATTTGCTTTCACCACAATTAGTTCTGTACACAATATGGTAGTGACTAAACAGTCAACACTACGCAGCATTAGGACTAATTGGGCCATTAGGACGCAGTTTCCAGCCTTTTCCTCCCTGAAGAGAGCTGGGAGTAAACAGACCAGGGGCAACAATGAGAGCGCCACACTGGCATGGATTGTTTTAATTTAAAGGAGCTCCAAACAGGATAATAAACCATAAACCACACGGGGGAAAGCTCTGCATAGAACCTCCTTGAATGAGAGGGATGATCACAAACTAGACAGTGCTGGACTGTGTGCCCTGGTCCCCCGGGGGATGCCACGATGGGGGTGACTCCTGCGGCAGCGGCTCTGGGCTTGGAGTGGTGCCATCCAAAAGTGTTAAGGATTCCTTGTGGGTCTGAATCTGGAAATTCTTCTTCCATCACTTAGGTCAGTGATTTCTGAGTTGTTCAAAGCCACATCATGGGAAGGCCCTGTCTCCCCAACAGAGCTGTGCCTTTGATTGCTTCTGGGTTATGGTTTTAGGATCAAATTACTCAGAGACTGTTCACAGCAGCAGTCGGCTTTCTCTAACTCAGATATCAATGGGAAAGAATTGTCCCAGACAAGCCAGTGAGTGATTTATAAGGAATAAATAGTCACACGATTACACTCTTTTGAGATCCTCATTGCATAAAGTAAGTGGTAAACTACATCAGGCCACCACGTGGCCAGGAGCTGGGTACACTCAGCTGATAAATGGCTGGGCATGCGTGAGGCCCTCAGTGTGGCACACGGTGCTCCCAAAGCCACATCGCCTTCCAGCTCTGAGGACAACACTCACAAGCTGCCCCTTGGCCAGTCCCTCCCCTCTCTCCCCTTCTCCAGCTGAGACAAGATGCCATTTGTATTCTCAAGGGATACAAAACTCAAGCACACACATTAGATCGCCAAAAAACCCAGAGGATGTAAGGAATTCTGGCAACAGCAGAACTCTCAAGAAGCAGTAAGGTGATGATGACCCCATCTGACCATTGTGACTGTTAAGATAAATTAGTTCCCATTCCACAGCCAGCACAGAGCCTCTTTGACCCGGTCTGGTTGATTTCAGGGCTTCTGGTGCTGCCCGAACCGATTACTGGCTGCAAGAGTCTCATTCTGCAAAAATCACACTGGCTTTTACAGGTCTTTACGGGAAGGAAATAGGCTAATGCACTGCTTCCCATGTGTGTCAGCAGCCCAATCTCTCCCTAATGGGCTCCAATTGCAGTTTTACTATGAACTTAAACTCTCCTACACACACGCACAGGACAGGCATCCCCACTTCTTATGCTTCCAGTGAAAATCAAGACAGAGAACAACATTTGGTCCTGCCTTCCTCTGAATAGTTGGGCTGAAAAACAGGTGCACCACGGTGAATGTGACCTCGATTGAGCTTGTTCTTCCTAAAGGTGAGCAAGAGGGAAAGTTTAAGTTTAACCTTCTGATTTTAAAACTTAAAACAGCATTAAACATAAGTCTGTCTCCCCTTCAAACTCCTGGCCTCCCCATTCTGCTGCAACCCCTATCTTGATGACTCAGGAAATGCAAAACAGAGCCTTTGGGTCAGCCTGGGGGTCAAGGACCACATCTGTTCACAGCAGGCTGTTGGCCACGTCGCCTTCCAGCTCTGAGGACAACACTCGCAGACTGCCTGTTGGTCAGTCCGGTGTCACCTTCCTGCCTGACACCAGCCTCATTTTTGAACTCTGCTACTTTTTTTTTTTTTTTTTTGAGACAGAGTCTCACTGTGTCACCCAGACTGGAGTGCAGTGGCGCAATCTCAGCTTACTGCAACCTCCACCTCCCGGGTTCAAGCAATTCTCCTGCCTCAGCCTCCCAAGTAGCTGGGACTATAGGCACGTGCCACCACACCCAGCTAATTTTTGTATTTTTAGTAGAGACGGGGTTTCACCATGTTGCCCAGGCTGGTCTCGAACTCCTGACCTCAGGTGATCCACCCACCTCGTCTTCCCAAAGTGCTGGGATTGCAGGTGTGAGCCATCATGCCTGGCCAAACTCTGCTACTATTAATATATTTCTGTGACACTCCCCAGGCCCTCTGTGCTGCTTAGATTAGTGTTCTTGTTAATCTTGCTTTCAACAAACTGAATTTCTGGCCATGAACTCTTGGTGCGCTAACAGCCAACACTCCCCATGTACCAGGCTCTGTGCAAGAGCACCAGTTCATTGGAGGCTCACAGCAGCCCTACAAAGGAGACACTACCCCGCTTTCTACAACTGCAAAGACAGACCAGGACATGCTCAGTTACCTGCCCAAGGTCACAAAACTAGAGAGTGACAGGGAAAAAACAGTGACCAGAGCAGCCTTATTCCGGAAGTCACCCTCTGAATCTCTCGCTGTCTAAGCCTCCAGCCTAGATGGATTCTGCTCCTGGCCTTGGCTAAGCTGACCTATCCTGTTAGTGCCCATGTTGGCATATTGGCTAGATTGGCTAGGCAAGGCAAAGGGAACACTTGTCACCTAATCCATTCACTGTGGAGATGATTATTTTTCTTGCTCTCCACTGCTGGATTGAATGCTCCTTAAGGACAGAAATTGCATTCACTTTCCTCATCATTTTATCCCCAGCCCAAGTACCTGGCACAGAAAATGTGGTCAGTTAAAGGCTTATGGAATAAATGGATGAATTGCTGAAGGGTGAAAATCACCAATTGGGCACACCAACGGTGTTGTGGGCAGGGCTTGTGCATTTCTCCTGGTAGTTTTGAACATGGTCCAGGAGTAGACCAGTAAATAGTCTCCCTCTCAATGCTCATGTGACCCGGGGACTTCTCAAAATAGACCCCAGGACACTGACCATCAATGGTCCTTACTTTCTCATAACAGCAAAGCAGAGGCCACTCCTGGTTCCAGCCAGTGCCCCTGAACTTGGTCTGGCTGGAGTGAGAAAGCATCATCATGTTCCTGGCCATTCACACACTGTTTCTTCTAACTTGTAGCAATAATTTTCTTTTTCTTCTTCTTTTTTTTTTTTTGTGAGACTAAGTCTCACTCTTGTCACCCAGGCTGGAGTGCAATGGCGCAATCTCAGCTCACTGCAACCTCCGCCTCCTGGGTTCAAGCGATTCCCCTGCCTCAGCCTCCCAAGTAGCTGGGATTATAGGCACCCCTCATCATGCCCGGCTAATTTTTGTATTTTTTTAGTAGAGACGAGGTTTCACCATGTTGGCCGGGCTCCTCTCAAACCCCTGACCTCAGGTGATCTGCCCGCCTCAGTCTCGCAAAATGTTGGGATTACAGGCGTGAGCCACCGCACCTGGCCAAGAATTTTCTGAACACTTTTTCAAAAATTATCCAACTCCCAATAATCAATGTCATGGAGTGGAGACCAGCACACATTTTTCTTCTCAGCTTGATTATGAAACGAAGCATGGCTCACTGTTTCCTGCCTTCCCAGGACTGGTGAATTAGGAAGGAGTCCCCAGCAGACACAGGGATTGCATCTGGTGAAGCTGCGCTGCGTCCTGACGTGGCAATACTGGTTCTCCATTTTGCTAGATTTGCTCCACTTGTCTGAATTTAGCAGCCTGTTGACTCCAAAGACTAGAATCCAGCCAAGCCTAGGGCGATGGGCCACAGCATTCATGCCCGGGTCCCAGAAGTGTGCACACCAGCAGACTGGCAAGAAAAAAGCAAGTGGGCAAATTTCCCTCTTGGGTCATGGGGCCCCTGCAGATTAGGAGCTGGGTCTGGACATCATTCTGTTGTAGCCACCTGGCTTGGAGCCAATATCCCAACTCCTCTATGCCTGGGTTTTCTCATCTGGGTGATGAATACTTGATAATCCCAAATTCCATTCTGGTTCTTAAAAAGAAAAAAAATTGTGATTTCAGGACTATATAAATTCTGTGGTTATACTGGATTTTTGTGCTGCATTTAGAATCTATCAGAATATCATACCCGATTAACTTGGTTTTTGAGTCATTGTGGGTTGAGGGGGGAAATTCCACCTTATGTATAAAAAAGTGTCCCTGGAATGTGATGATTTGCCTCCCCCGAAAAGACGTCATACGAAGACGAGGTGGGCGGGATCTGCTTTGAGAATTGTGCAGTTCCTCAGAGTCATATTCTGATATCAACGCAGATTTATAAGGTACGTGATGGTGACAGATCTCTGGTGAGTGTGGCCGACACCCAATGAGGAGGGAGTTTGCACCAGGCACAAACAGGTCATCTTGACCTTCGTCTCTGTGTCCCTTAAGCAACAGCAACAATTGTGAAGCGCTTTTCCATTTTGATTATTAAAACATTGAGTGACAGGCCAGGGCATTTCTATTTAACTGGATTTTTCAATTATTTTGAGTCCAGCTGACAGATTTGTTAGATTGAGATTTTATTGTCAAGATAATGGTTGTAATGAATCTGGACTTGTTGTAATTGCTAAAGTTTATTGATCCACGGCCAGGCGTGGTGGCTCATGCTTGTAATTCCAGCACTTTGGGAGGCCGAGGCTGGTGAATCATGAGGTCAGGAGTTTGAGACCAGCCTGGCCAACACAGTGAAACCCCATCTCTACTAAAAATACAAAAATTAGCTGGGCATGGTGGTGCATGCCTGTAATCCCAGCTACTCAGGAGGCTGAGGCAAGAGAATCGCTTGAACCCAGGAGGCAGAGGTTGCAGTGAGTTGAGATTGTGCCATTGCACTCCAGCCTGGGCGACAGGGCTAGACTCCGTCTCAAAAAATAAAAAATAAAAATAAATAAAATAAATAAAGTTTATTGATCCAGAGCAGTTTGATTTTATTGTCATGTGACTCCCCCCTCAATAGGTTCGCACAAGCAAATGCTCAATAAATCTCTTTGCACCAGGTACAAATGGGTGATCTTGTCCTTCATCTCTTTTTCTCTAAGCAATAGCAACAATTGTGGTGTACTTTTCCATTTAATTCTCAAAACATCGAGATGAGCCCATCTGGAAAGCCTGGAAATGTGTTTTCAAATTGAAGCCTAGGTTCTCACCCTGTCCTTTGTTTGCCTGACTGTGAAGGAGGAAGATAACACTGAACCCAGAGGGTTGGTTAAAAAAACAGAACTTCTCTTAGCTCCCTATCATGACTGGTGTTGTTTAAAGTCTGTAACCAACTACCAGCAAATTATTTCTTAAAGAAATGATGACTTTGGTGCATTGCATTTCCTAGCCTAGAAGGCACTTTCTTTTAGACGGTGTCATTGATCTTGCTTGGGCAACATTCTGCCCCTTTCTGTCTACTCAGAGAGAGAGTGGAAGGCATTCACCTTCCCTGGGATTAGAAACTGGTGGAGAGAGAGAGCCCACTCGAGGCGAGGCGGGAGGTCCCCGTCCTCCAGAGGGAGAGGTCTTCTCATTTCGGAAGCAACAAAGAGGAGTGACAAAGAGCCTCAGGACACTGGGAGGTGGGGAAGGATGTGGAGTTCTTGGGCTGTGAAGAGATGAATAATACATTGGAAAGCAAACACAAGCATTATTTCTCTTCTAATCAGGATCATGAAACATTTTACAAATTAACCACTTTCCTCCGACACTTACCATGTTGAGTGGCTCTAGGTAGAGCCATCAGGGCGGACTCTGCCATCTGCATTTAGAAAATTGCCTATACATTTATTAAAGTGAAATTCACCCATTAATTAATGCCGTTCTCCCTGAAGACTCTCATTAGCACATTGAGCTAATTACTGAAAACACAGGCCCAAGGGTTGGGTGTTTTTTTTTTTTTTTCTATTATGGTAAAATTTGCTCCTGCCTTACCTTTGTAGGATTTAGAAAGAGAAACAGCAGCGTCAGAATAACCTTTGGATGCAGGAATTAAATCAACTTTCTGATGACTTTTCTTGCTGGTCGTCTTTTCCTTCTCTGGGGGAGGCATATGCAGCTGCTATTTCAGCAAGAAATATTTCCAGTCTAGGAAAGGCCTAAACATCTAGCCACCACCAGAATCTTCTGATAGCTCAGCTGCTGGGCACGGATGAGTTAGGAAATACATTTGGAATGAGACCCAGGCCAGTGTCTATGTAGCGTGTCCCCTTACACATTTATTTTCTCTTCTCCACCATCAATGTGGCTCCTGCATGGCCTTTTCATCCAGCAGAAAACAAGAGGGACCCAATAGACATAAAAGGCTTAGACAGATTTCCAAGACTTTCAATTGAAAGCATCTTAAATTGTTCCAGGAACGAGGCATCAGGGGAGCAGAGCCTGATGTTGAGGGAGGAATTGTGACACAGACCCGGCCCAGAAAACACAGGCACAGCCTTGTGCACATCTGTTAACCTTAGTGGGTCTTTGGTGCTTAAAGGAAGCCTCTTACATCACCCTCTTTTACATTAAAGAATAATTTAACATGAATTCTGAGTTGCAATTATCAATAGTTTAAAATACATGTGGGCCGGGCACAGTGCCTCACGCCTGTAATCCCAGCACTTTGGGAGGCTGAGACGGGCGGATCACCAGAGGTCAGGAGTTCGAGACCAGCCTGGCCAACATGGTGAAACCCCATCTCTACTAAAAATACGAAAAAGAATTAGCTGGGTGTGGTGGTGCACGCCTGTAATCCCAGCTACTCAGGAGGCTGAGGCAGGAGAATCACTTGAACCCAGGAGGTGGAGGTTACAGTAGGCCGAGATTGTACCACTGCACTCCAACCTGGGCGACAGACTGAGATTCCGTTAAAAAAAAAAGTGATATTAAGTGAAAAAAGCAGAACAGAAAATTGTATTAATCCTATCACTGCAATTATATAAAATTACCTCTGCATTTAGCCAAGGACAGGAAGGGAAACAGGAAAAGTAGAAATGGTCAATTCATTCAAGTTGCAGTGGGATGATTTTTCTCTTCTATCCTTAAACAAGTGAAATGTTGGTATTTCCATTTCCAAGTTCATTCTCTTCCTGGCATGTTGACCCTGCCCCTAGGCCTGCCCACACCAGATCTTTGCGGTGGTGCTGAATGTGGTTGGCTGAGTGATGGCCCCCATAGGACGCCCCTGGCCTAATCCCCAGAACTTCGAATGTTGCCTCATACAGCAAAATGGACTTTGCAGATGGGACTGAGTACGGATCCTGCATTATCCAAGTGGGCCCCCATCATCACAAGGGCCCTCTCAAGAGAGAAGCAGGGGAGATTAGACTACAGAAGTAAGAGACGGGGCAAGGGAAGCAAGGGGTAGAAGGGGTGTAAGGCAGGGGGATCAGCCAAGGAATTCAGCAGCCTCTAGAAGCTGGAATAAGCAAGGAAATGGAATCCCCCCAGAGCCTCCAGGAAAAACCAGTTGGCTGACAGCTGGATGTTCGCTGAGCGAAACTGAGCCTGAACTTCTGGCTTCCAGAACGGTAAGAGAATACATGTATGTTGGTTTCAGTCACTCGGTTTGTGTTCATTCGTGACAGTGGGAATAAGACACCAACACACTGGGTGTCCTTGAGTGGGTGGTAAGGGGGCTACGTGTCACCCTGCAGCCTGGGCTGCAGCTCCACTTTCTTGCCTTATACAGCCTGGCTGACTGTAGGATGAAATTTTTTTGACATCCAAGAAGTAGCTGCAACATAATAGTAATGGAGCTTGGGGACAGGAGGGATTCAGTGTCCTCAACGTGCTGAGGGCTTTGGCCCTGAGGATTAGATATCTTAGTGAGTTTATACACTTTCTTATCTCCAAGCAGAACAACACTCCAAGCCTCTGTTTCCTTGTCTGTTAAATGGGGCTACTTAGCTAATTCTCACTGGGTAGTTTGTGAAGATAAAAGGAGATCATGTACATCAAAACACTAGCACATAGCATGGGGTAAACATTCTTCTGTCTCCTAGACATCATTCCTTCAATACCCATGGGAGATGCCTCCATAGCCACCTGCAAAGGGGTACAACCAAGCCCCAGCCTGCAGTGGTTGGCGATGTTCTGCTAGGGGTCTGGAAGCACCTGCAGACCCCATGCGTGCACCACACTCAGCTGCCTCACTCCCAGACATCACCGTTCCACAACAGCTATGGAGTGCTGACCAGGTGATGGGGTTAATGGTGTGGAAAACAGCACAAAGCTTGCCGTAACCAGGCAGGCCATTTACTGGTGGAAGATTCATATTTGTAAAAGCAATAACAACTGCAACGTATGAGGAGTGACAGTGCCCAGGGGTGCCTTAGGGGGCCTCTGCCACCCCTGCTAAGCAACTGTAAATACATCTGTGATGTAAATAAAAACAAACACAGCTTCTAGACAAGGGCCCTGAGCCCTTTCCTGGGTAGAAATTCTGAAGCTGCCCTTTGTAATGGGAAATGAGATAGAACATGGGACAGGACAGCCTCCAGGAGGTTGTATTGTCCACCTTGCTTTGAGTAATTGCCTCTCAGTAAATACAGACTACTTAATTCCATCTTACAGTCAGCCAGGCTGTATAAGTCAGGAAAGTAGAGCTGCAGGCCAGGCTGCAGGGCGACGGGTAGCTTTCAACTAGAGACTGGTTTTCTGGAGGTAGATCTCAGAATGCATTTTTTTCCTTTGAAACGATGTTACACGTTTTCACTCGAAGTAGGTCACCACATTTAGTGGCTGATCTGGAAACTTTACAACTAAGAAGAAATTCAAGAAATCCAAACAAGTGACAAATGACTCTTTGGAGCATGATCCATTTATATAAATTGGGTCCTGCCTATGATACACTTTTTTTTGAAAAGTTTTTTTACAGGTTATTGCAACGATCATTTATTAGTTTCATTCTTCTGTTAATTCATAATTCATTTATTCATTCACCAAACATTTGCTGAGCACCCACTCTGAGCAGGCTGTTGTGCTAGAGGCCAGGCACACAGGGAGAGTAGGCATCTCTGTTTCCAAGGAGTCAGATTGCACATTGTGGAGCCTGCACTTGGGCCCCCTGCCCGATGACGGAGATGCTCATGGTTACAATACTAAGTTCTAGCCCCCTGATGCCAGAAGGCAGCAGAAGCCTGCTTATCCAGGTCTTTCTCTGAGAAGAGCCTCGGAGAGAGGAGATGCAAACTAAAAACCCAGTGGCATGAAAGAGAAGGGAGAAATACTTTTTGAACAATTTTTAATTCTAGAAAATTTCAAACATACAAAATAAACAATAAAGATAGTGAACCCCATGTTCCAAGTTCTCATCCACCAGCTCCAACAATTCACAACATTCTGTCATTCTTGTTTTATCTCTACAGCTCCCTCATTCCCCACTCCCCACACTCAATTATTATTGTAAAAGGTGCATACACTCAAACGCACTGACAGCTTAGCAGTATGATTTTGACAAATAGACACACCCTTGTAATCCACACATTACACAAAATAGAACATTTTACTTCTCCCAGAAAGCTTCTTTGGCTCCTTTCCCAGGCAATCTCCACACCCCTTATGGGTAGCCACTGTTCTGAATTTTTTTCCACCTTTGATTATTTTTAGCTGTTCTATTTATCGTCATATAAAGGCAATCATACAGTATATACTCTTTGCAGTATGCTACAAAAAAGTAGTATGCTGGCTGTGTTCACGCAGCATAATATCATTGGTGACATTCATCTATGTTGTTCCACGTGCCAGTAATTTGTCCTTTAAATGCTGAGTAGTATTCCATGAGAACACATATTTTTTAAAAATATCTTTTTAATCTCCGTTTGGACAGGCCACTCTAGTGGATTCTAAGAGGGGATCATAAAGGCACAGAAGACAGGACCTCTGCACTCTAAGGAACAAGCACCAAGGAAACTGACTCAGAGCTGAGGGGACAATGGCAGGTGCTATTGGTTTTCTACCCAATAACCATCCTTCCTGTCTCTTGCTCTTGGAATCCCCTTTTGTCTGGTCAGTAGTATGCTCAGCCATGCCAGTTGACTTGTGATTGATGTCAGCCATGCAGGCTGTTTTGTGACTGCTCTCAGCCATGCAGATTGACTTGTAATTGGTCTCAGCCATGCAGGTTGATTTGTGATTGGTCTCAGCCATGCAGATTGACTTGTAATTGGTCTCAGCCATGCAGGTTGATTTGTGATTGGTCTCAGCCATGCAGATTGACTTGTAATTGGTCTCAGCCATGCAGGTTGATTTGTAATTGGTCTCAGCCATACAGGTTGATTTGTAATTGGTCTCAGCCATGCAGGTTGACTTGTGATTAGTCTCAGCCATGCAGGTTGATCCATGATTGGTCTCAGCGGTGTAGGTTGATTTGCGATTGGCTAGTCTCCTCTTCTTGTTGCGATTGTTTAATTTAAGACTGGGCTGTGGCCCAATTCTGGCAGTGAGACATATGGAGAAATATGTTGGGGGCTCCTTCTCTAAGAGAGGTGCAGGGAGAGAAAGGCTTTGACAACCATCCCTTTCCTTCATGGGTGTTGTCAGGAGAAGCCAATGCTTGTGTCCATGAAGAAAAAAGACACCCAGTAACACTGTTGAGTTGCCAAACCCACCCTCAGGCTGCCCACCTCTCAACTTTTTGTTAAGTAAACAATACATATTCTCCTGCTTAAGGGCCACTAGCAAAGTATTATATTATGTGCAGCAAAGCAAATATGGGCCAGGTACAGAGAATGGTTAAACATGTTTCAGGGAATATACCTGGAGTTATGGCAAAGGCAGCCTAGAGACCACTGTTCCATCACACCGTGTGTGTCTCAGTCACAAGAAGTAAAGCAAAGCAGAAATACAGCATGGGCTTGAGCACAAAAGAACTGGGGAACTCGAGGGCCCAGGGAAAGCCAGAGCTGGGCCTGGGCAGAGAGAAAGCTTTGTGAGGGATTGGAATAATTTTTTAAATATCCACACTAATCCAAAAATATGGAGCTTTGTGGTTTTGGCCAGTGCTAGGGTGTCTTGTCACCCTGTCGCAATTACTCACAGGATGCAAAAAGAAGCCCTTATTTCTGGTGGAGAAACTACAATTTGAAGTGTCAACTCCCACTTCCTGGGAAGTACCAGAATAAGAGTGTCACACCATGTTAAAAAACATTTTAAGAATGCTCTATTTATGAAGAATTTTGCAATCAAAGTTTAGAATATGTATTTAATGAAAACCAGGTTTTCCGTGGTGCCTGGGAGTTTTTGTGCCATAAGAATATTAAAGATACAGTCCCTGAGTCTGTACACATGTGGGGGAGCTTGTTCTGTCCTACAACCTTCTTCCTTGCCTGTCTGACTCCAGGGCAGAACTTTCCAATCAGCATCTGCAAATGGGTTACAGGTGTGACCGAGAAATTGATCCCTTCCACCTTTGCGGCAGCCAAGTAGGATTTGGGCCAGCCATTGCCCCATATCCAGTTGGCAGTAAGTAACATCAAACATGTACCCCTATTTTCTATGCATCACATGGCATGAAAATGTTTGGGGGGCCCTGCTCTAAAGGCTGTAAATGTTAATAGATGCTCAGACTTCCAACTGCCTTTGCAGTTGGGGGTAGTCATACGACACAGCTCTGGCCATTGAGCTTTAAGCTGAAGGTGCTGACTCTGGCCCTTGCTTCCTCCTCCTCCTGGATATGGAACAGGGATCCGCAAACTGTGGCCCACGGGCCCAGTTCCACCTGCTGCCTGGTTTCATAAATAAAGTGTTTTGGAACGCAGCTATGCCCATTTATATACACGTGTCTGTGGCTGTTTCATGCTGCAATGGCAGACTTGAGTAGCTCTAGCAAAGACCTATGGCCCCCACTTCATGGATTGGAGTAGGGCTCTTACACAAGGGCTTAGGAGTGGGTTTGCCCTTTTCTGTTCTTCACCACGTGAGGACACAGCGTTCATCATCATTTGGCCCCTTCAAAGTTTGCTGACGCCCGATATAGAAGATGCAACAGGCAACTTATAGCCATGAGGACAAACGCTCCACAGGGAGGACAGCAGACAACGGTGAGAAAGGAGCCTGAGTCCCTCATAAAACCCCTTGTACTAGGCCGGGCGCCGTGGCTCATGCCTGTAATCCCAGCACTTTGGGAGGCCGAGGCGGGTGGATCACGAGGTCAGGAGAGCGAGACCATCCTGGCTAACACAGTGAAACCCCATCTCTACTAAAAATACAAAAAAAAAAAAAAAAAAATTAGCTGGGTGTGGTGGCGGGCGCCTGTAGTCCCAGCTACTTGGGAGGCTGAGGCAGGAGAATGGCACGAACCCAGGAGGCGGAGCTTGCAGTGAGCTGAGATCGCGCCACTGGACTCCAGCCTGGGCAACAGAGCAAGACTCCGTCTCAAAAAAACAAACAAACAAACAAACAAACAAACAAAAAAAACCCTTGTACCCACCTGGCCAGCCCAAGTCAAGGATGCCTGGAGCATGACACAAACTTTCCTTGTATTTAAGACACTGCAGTCAGGTTTTCTGCAATGCTGTCTTCTACAGAAAATTACTGTATCGATTGGGGGTATTAGGTGCAAATAACAGCGGTGTTTAAGCAGAAAAGGAACTTTTGATAGGATGTTAGGTAACTCAAGGGTCTCTGGCAGGGCTAAAAAACCAAGCTCTGGAGCTACACAACTAGGGACGATGCCCAATGACATCACAGGGTCTATTTTAGCAAAAACACCATTGCTACTTGTTCACTGATGATATTCAGAACCAGGTACCAACTCTGCACCATTGCTGTCCCCCAAATAAATAGATGCCTCTGTCAGCATGTGGCACAGACTGTGTGGCTTAAAAAACAGAAATTTAGGCCAGGCGTGGTGGCTTATTCCTGTAATCCCACCACTTTGGGAGGCCAAGGCGGGTGGATCACCTGAGGTCAGGAGTTTGAGACCAGCCTGACCAGCATGGCAAAACCCCATCTCTACTAAAAATACAAAATTAGCCAGGCATGGTAGCACATGCCTATCATCCCAGCTACTCGGGAGTCTGAGGCAGGAGAATCACTTGAACCCGGAGGCGGAGGTTGCAGTGAGCTGAGATTGTGCCACTGCACTCCAGCCTGGCAACAAGTGCAAAACTCCGTCTCAAAAAACAAACAACAGCAACAAAAAACAGAAATAAATTTATCACAGTTCTGCAGGCTGGATGGCCTAGATCAAGGCACCAATAGGTTTCGTGTCTGGTGAGGGCCTGGTCTCCTCCGGGGGGGATGAACACTGTGTCCTCACACAGTGGAAGAACAGAAGAGGGCAAACCCATTGCCTCAACCCCTTTTATAAGAGCCCTAGTCCAATCCATGAGAATTTTGCCCTCAAGGCTTAATCACCCCCAAAAGGCCCCACCTCTTAACACGATCACACTAGCCATGAAGTTTCAATGTATGAATCTGGGGGGTAGCATTCAGACCATAGCAGCAGGCCTCTCTCCTTGGCTTGCAGACAGTGCCTCCTCGCCGTGTCCTCACATGGCCTTTCCTCTGTGTGTCCACATCCCTCCTGTTTCTTCCTCTTCCTGTAAGGACATTAGTCCTATTGAATTAGGGCCCCATCCTTGTGTTCTCGTTTAACCTTAATTGCTTTCGGGTTTTTTTAGTTTTTTGTTTTGTTTTGTTTTGAGATGGAGTCTCACTCTGTCGCCAAGGTTGGAGTGTAGTGGTGCGATCTCGGCTCACTGCAAGCTCCGCCTCCCGGGTTCACACCGTTCTCCTGCCTCAGCCTCCCGAGTAGCTGGGACTACAGGCGCCCACCACCACGCCCGGCTAATTTTTTGTGTTTTTAGTAGAGACGGAGTTTCACCGTGTTAGCCGGATGGTCTTGATCTCCTGACCTCGTGATCTGCCGGCTTCAGCCTCCCAAAGTGCTGGGATTACAGGCATGAGCCACCGCGCCTAGCCCTCAATTGCCTTCTTAAAGGCTTTATCTTTACGAGGGCTTCAACATATGAATTTTAGGGGAACACAATCAGTCTCTGACACCTTGCTCACCCAAGTCCGCGTCTCATGGGGATACACCTGATTGGCCGAGACAAGGTCCCATGCCTGGAGCCTAGTTTCAAGGAACTCCTGGAATGCACATTTTCTGGCTTCTGCTATGGGAAGGCAAGACTCAATATGGAGAATTACCACAATGAGGGCAAGGTGGTTGTCTTGGTCTGTTTTTCTGCAGGTATAACAAGAATACAGATTGGGTAATTTATAATAAAAAAATATTTCTTTGGCTCATGGCTATGGAGGCTGGGAAGGCGAAAACCAAGGGGCCACGTCTGGTGAGGGTCTTCTTGCTGCATCATAACATGGAAGGTATCACATGGCAAGAGGCCAGAGCAAGCAAGACTGAGAGGGAAAGGGGTCCAACTCTCGCAGTAACAAACCCACTCCCATGGCAATACCATTGCTCCATTCCTGACAGCACAGCCTGCATGACTAATCACCTCTTAATACCATCACAATGGCAATTACATTTCAATATGAGTTTTGGAGGCATCATTCAAACCATGGCAGTGGTCAAAATATTAAGCAGCCACAAATGACAAATGTTCACTCCAGCATACATGCAGCTCCATACCAACACAGTCCGGATCAGCAGCATTCTCAACTTTGTCACACTGTTTTCTAGGCTGCTTTATGAATGAAACTGGTTCCCTCCCTCCAATGGAGCTGTGCTCCAGGAGAGGCCATTCACATAGATAACAATGTGTCTGTCCTTTTTTTTCTAAAGAGAAAAATAAAAATATTTTTTTAAAAAACCCAGCAATATGAATGCTGCCCCTATAGTAGTGTACTGTGGCAGCCCTGTGGCCAGTTTTGCCTGCTTCTGGATCTGGAGCCCAGGAGGCTTGTGGTTTTATGTAATAATGCCTTCACGTTTCTATCCTGACTGTGGTTCCCAGATATGTTTATCTTGTTTTTGAGATAGTTATGTCTTTCACATGTTGCTAAAGATGTTTTGTCTATCATTGTTATGTATTTAGAGCACAAAAGGAAGTGGGGGATGATTTCCATGTGAACCAATTTTTCTACCATAACCGAAACCATATATAGCAAAGTTGTTTAACTTTGCTATATATGACGTTATTTAAATTCATCATCTGTTCAGCTTTTATATAAAAGTAATTTTTTTAAATTAACATAGATTTTTCTCATGGAACATAAGATTACATAAACATAGTGCCAATAAAATAAAAGAGAATAGAAAGCCCAAAGACAGATGTATACAATAATTTAGTAGATAATAACAAACACAATTCCATTTATTGAACATGCAGGTGTTGGGAGACAATTCTCCATGGGTCTTTCACTTTTCTGCAAGTCTTGTGGGGGACTAACTCTCCTTTGTTTTAGATTATCTTTTTATGGCTGTTCATTTAGCAAACAGCCTTGGAAAATAGAGGTGCTCCCACAGAGCAAAGGGCAGGCATGCTTACTGAACGCTTTAGAAGATTTGGATAAGCTAAACTCAGAGTTCCTCTCCTATAATGCAACCCACTTCATGTTTAGGTAATTATCTGGGCTCATCCTTTCACCACCATGGGACTTCAGTCAAGGAGAACTGATGCACATATGGTGATGCTCTTGCTGCCTGCTGTGCATTAGATAATAATAAAGTCCTTTGTTTCTGATCCAGGAGTCTTGGGTCTTCTGCCAGCATCTGTGAAACTGGCAGGCTAACTTGTCAGCTGGCAAGTAGGGTAAAATCTCAGGCTCTTCACAGTTATTAAACAGGATACTTGTTAGGAATTTTGCATTTATTATATTATTTAATTATTATAACTCTACAAAGTAGGTGTTATTATCTCCATTTTACAGATGATAAAAGCAATGTTTAAAGAGATTAAGTAACGTGTCCAAGGTCAAGCAAGAATTCATCTCTGGGCCAGGATTCGAGTTCAGGACTGTATCGGTGTTGTACAAATTATTACTTATTTGGGGAAATAAAGTTAAATTCCCATTTCATCATATAGGTTAAAATTTCACATGGAATATAGAGTAAAATATAAACAAACAAAAACCAGTAAATATGCATATCTGATTTTTAGATGCATAAGAACTTATCTAAGCACAAATAAATTTTAAGACCAAATTGAATCATTCTGAATATGTCAAAGGGCACTACTGAAAGGCAAATGAAAAACTGGGAAAATATTTGAAGGAAATAGGATAAGGAATTAATGTCTTTAATATGTGAAAAGTTTACGAAAATCCACAAGAAAAATATTAAGTCTCTTAGAAAAATGAGTAAAAGACTTACAAAGCAACTTACACAAGTTATATAAATAGCAAAAATAAAAACAATCTCCCCCAATTCCATATATGTTCTACAGTTTCAAATAAATGGAATTATAATTGACAAAAATAAGTATATAGAAAAAATGTTAGACTTCAACATTAATGAAGTGCTACCCCTAAATACTCTTAATTTTAACAAATTGGCTAATTTTTGTTTTGTTTTGTTTTGTTAGCCGTGTTAGCCAGGATGGTCTCCATTTCCTGACCTCATGATCTGCCCGACTCGTCCTCCCAAAGTGCTGGGATTACAGGCATGAGCCACCGCACCCGGCCGCTAATTTTTTAAAATTAAAATATGCAGTATTGCTGCAGTTACAATGAAATGGTTATTGTGCACTATTGATGAAAGTGTACATTATACAACTGTTCTAGAGCAGGGATCCCTGTACCAGTCCGTGACCTGTTAGGAACTGGCCCACACAGCCAGAGGCAGGCTGCGGGCCAGCAAGCATTACAGCCTGAGCTCTGCCTCCTATCAGATCATTGGCAGCATTAGAGTCTCATAGGAGCACAAACTTTACTGTGAACTGCACACTCCTTGTAAGAATCTAATGAATCCCATGTGGTGTTTAACTTTCTGTTCCTGGCTTATTTCTCTTAACAGAATGTCCTCTAGTTCCATTCATGTTGCCACAAATGACAGGATTTCATGCTTTTTATGGCTGAATAATATTCCATGGAGTAAATATACCAGATTTTCTTTATCCAGTCATCAAAAATATGGAACACTTCACAAACTTGCATGTTATCCTTGTTCAGGGGCCGTGCTCTGTGTCATTCCAATTTTAGTGTATGTGCTGCTAAAGTGGGAAATGAAACATTTTAAAAATCCTGTTTCAATTCTAAAAGACATATCTGAAAATGTATTTTTCATCAGTGTCAAGAATTAAACAATATAAATAACTCCCTCGATTTAAAAAAGGGTGATTCACATACTTCTAATTCCTCTCTGCCTCCCCTGCTGGGTATTTCCAGCTCTGCTGAAATCGTCCAGATGTTTAGATTGATGTTATTATTTTTTTTACATGATGCCTCTTCTACTTTAAGAAAGCTTTAAAGGCCGGGTACAGTGGCTCACGCCTGTAATTTCATCACTTTGGGAGACCAAGGCAGGTGGATCACTTGAGGTCAGGAGTTCAAGACCAGCCTGGGCAACATGGTGAAACCCCGTCTCTACTGAAAACACAAAAAAATTAGCTGGGCTTGGTGGCGCATGCCTGTGACCCCAGCTACTCTGGAGGCTGAGGCAGGAGAATCGCTTGAACCTGAGAGGCAGAGGTTGCAGTGAGCTGAGATTGCACCACCGCACTCCAGCCTGAGCGACAGAGTGAGACTCCGTCTCCAGAAAAAAAAAAAAAAAAAAAAAAGCTTTAAAATGTACTAAACAGCCGTGTTACCAACAATTACTTAAACTTTACAGGTCTTATTGTTTATTACTGTTTTTTGTCTTCATCTTTTCTGAATTATTTATTTTGATGCTTTCCTTTTTTTTTTTTTTTTTTTTGATCCAGAGTCTACCACTGTTGCCTGGGCTGGAGTGCAGTGATGCAATCTCGGCTCAGACAGCAACCTCTGCCTCCCGGGTTCAAGTAATTCTCCTGCCTCAGCCCCCCAAGTATCTGGGATTACAGGCTCACGCCACCCGGCCCAGCTAATTTTTTTGTATTTTTAGTAGAGATGGGGCTTCACTATGTTGGCCAGCCTGGTCTCAAACTCCTGACCTCGTGATCTGTCCACCTCAGCCTCCCAAAGTGCTGGGATTACAGATGTGAGCCATTGCGCCTGCCCTATTTTGGTGTTTTGAAATTTTTTTTTCTTTTTTTTTTTTTTTTGAGACGGAGTCTCACTCTGTCGCCCAGGTTGGAGTGCAGTGGCGTGATCTCAGCTCACTGCAAGCTCTGCCTCCTGGGTTCATGCCATTCTCCTGCCTCAGCCTCCCAAGTAGCTGGGACCACAGGTGCCCGCTACCACGCTCGGCTAATTTTTTTGTATTTTTAGTAAAGACGAGGTTTCACCTTGTTAGCCAGGGTAGTCTCAATCTCCTGACCTCGTGATCCGCCCGCCTGGGCCTCCCAAAGTGCTGGGATTACAGGCGTGAGCCACCGCGCCCGGCCTTGAGGTTTCTTACTGTTGTTTTGTTTTTAGCAGAGGAGGTATATAGGATACTGACTGCCTTCCTTTACCCTGACACAGGATAGATAAGTTGAGTGGGTATGGAATGCTACTAACAATCTTTTCCAAGAGGAAACCCTAGGAATGTGGTTTCACAATCTTCTAGCATTTGGTTTGTAAGTTAAAAGTTTGATTCTCTTTTCTATGACGGTATTTTTTTTTCCTGTCATGAAGCTTATAAATTTTTCCCTTTAACCATAGGCTTGAGAAATTTCATCAGACTATGTTTAGGTAGTTTTTCTTTTTTTCTGTCTCTCTTTTCTTTCTTTTTCTTTTTCTTTTTTTTTGAAACAGAGTCTTACCTCTTGTGCACTATTGACGAAAGCATACATTATACATTCACCCAGGCTGGAGTGCAGTGGCACTATCACAGCTCACTGCGGGCTTATCCTGGGCTCAAGCGATCCTCCCACCTCAGCTTCCTGAGTAGCTGAGATTACAGGTGTGTGCCACCACATCCGGCTATTTTTTTTTTTAATAGAAATGAAGCCTTGCTGTGTTGCCCAGACTGGAGGTAGTTTTCTGAGAATTCCTACTTGGCATTCAACGGCCTCTTTTTCTCCACTCAGGAAACAATTTATTACATATTCTCAGTGATTTTTTTCCTTCTATTCTCTCATCATGAAATTCCTATTATACAAGTGATGGTGACACTGCATTTATATTTCACCATCTCTCATGACTTCCATCACCTTTTCCTCTAATTCACTAATTCAGTTTTCAGCTGAATTACTATAAGTCAGAGTATATATAAAGGCGTTTTGTTGTTGCTGCTGTTGTTTTTGAGAGTGGAGTCCATTCATATTAGTCTTTGCCACCTTTCTTAAATTCCTGTATAATATTCATACAATAGAATGCACAAATTTTAAGTGCACAGTCAGTTGTAATGAATGCATACATATAACCCGTATAGCCATTCAGTCAAGATGTAAAACACTTCCATGACCCCAGAAAGTTTTTTCATCTCCTTCTGGTCAATTCATGACCCCTCCCCAGAAATCACGAACGATTTCTAATATCATCAATTAATTTCGCTTGTGTTCGAGTTTTATATGAAAGAAACCATATAGCATGCACTTTCTGCAACTGGCTTCCTTAGCTCAACATAATGCTTTTGAGGTTTATCCATGCCGTAGAGTGTATCAGTAATTTTTTCCCTTTTTATTCCTCAGTAGTATTTCATTGTATGGGTATATCATCTTTTGTTTCCATTGGAATTTTTAATTTCTAAAATACGCTTCTTTCTTATCTAATTGCTCTTTTCCAAGTCTGCTCTTGCTTTATTGAAGGAATATCTGCTTGGATATATACATATCCAAAAACTATACACACACACACACACACACACACACACACACACACACAGAGAGAGTCTCCCTCTATTGCCCAGGCTGGAGTGCAGTGGCACAATCTCTGCTCACTGCAACCTCCACCTCCCAGGTTCAAGTGATCCTCCTGCCTCAGCCTCCCAAGTAGCTGGGACTACAGGTGTGCACCACCATGACTGGCTAATTTTTGTATTTTCAGTAGAGACTGTGTTTCTCCATGTTGGCCAGGCCGGTCTCGAACCCCCGGCCTCAAGTGATCTGCCTGCCTCAGCCTCCCAAAGTGCTGAGATTACCGGCCTGAGCCACTGCGCCAGGCCATGCCTGGATATTTCTAAGAATACTACTTATAATTGTCTTATTTCTTGTTTCCTGAAATAACTCTATAATATGTAGGGATAGGTATTTATATTGATTGCTTGAAATACTTTCTTTCCTTCGAGGTGCTGATTCTCCACAAATATCCAGTGATTCTGTGTTGTTATTGTCTGCTTCCATGTATCACATGCCATGGTATACAAGCATCAGCAGTTCCCTCAGCAATTGCATCTGATTCCAGATGGACACACTCTCCTCAATAACCAGCATCATGTGTGGCTGCAGATGGCAGACAGCAGTTTTTGCCCTGCTGTGTTTATTATTATTATTATTTTTTTTTTTTGACAAAGTCTCGCTTTGTCGCCCAGGCTGGAGTGCAGTGGTGCGATCTCGGCTCACTGCAAGCTCCACCTCCCATGTTCAGGCCATTCTCCTGCCTCAGCCTCCGGAGTAGCTGGGACTACAGGCACCCGCCACCACACCCGGCTAATTTTTGTATTTTTAGTAGAGACGGGGCTTCACCGGGTTAGCCAGGCGGTCTCGATCTCCTGACCTCGTGTTCTGCCCACCTCGGCCTCCCAAAGTGCTGGGATTACAGGCCTGAGCCACCACGCCTGGCTGCTGTGTTTATTCTTAATATCCTTGGAAATTTCCTCTTTTTAAGCCTGAAACCCCTCTACCCATTATCAAAGTAATAATTTCTCCTCTATTTTGAAGAAAAGATGAAGCTAACAAATAGCAATTAACAAATATATTCTACCAAGGTATATGCGTGCCTTTTTCCAACAGAAAGATTTTGCGTGTGATGATTGCAAAACTCTTGTTCAAATATGTTGCTGGGCGGCTGCATGATGTTACTATGGATGAACAGAAACAGATCAGTCCATTTAACCTGCCCCAATTCATCACAGGAGTTACGGCTTGACCTTCCACTGCCAATCATTTACACCCCAGGTTATAAATGAGGTAAGGAAAACACCTGGTCCACTTTGAGGTTGTCATTTGGTTGCAGGCAAGACCCCTTGGTCCACCTCCAAAAGGTGGGCAACTGAGATCTGCTGCTGAAGGCAGCTCTCCTTCAGGCAGAACGCTGAGCCAGTGGAGGTCATGGCAGGTTGTCCTTGAAAATGGTTTTGGACTGAAAATCAAGGGCAGTAAGGACAAAACCATAAGGAGCCTTGACTGGTCTCTGTTCATAGAGTCCTAAAATTTTCACCTCCCAGCTCACTGGGAAAGAAGAAAAGGCCCAGCCAGGAAAAGGAATTCCCCTGATTTTGGCAAGTGAAACAGCATGGCAGTGGGTCCAGGCACCTGCTGGAGGGTTGGGGCACTGTGGGGCCCCTGTGAGGGAAGCCCAGGAGACAGCTCGCAGTCAAGAATTTCCAACCAAAGTGCTCACTCTGCACCTGCTGAAGTTCAGACAACGGGAAGGGGGCTGCATCACCTTGTCCCCGCATCGCTGGAAGGAGTTCTGAGGAGGTGGAGCATCTGGGTTTCCAAGCTGAGCTTCGTCCTCATGAGTAGACTGAGTCCCCGGTCCTGCGTTTGGGTGCCTGGCTTGGAGAGGGGTCCCGGAAGCGCACTGACACGTTTGCCCTTCAAACCATCCCCGCACCCTCACAACACCCCATGAGCAGCCCACACTTGGGCTAAGCTGGGAAATGCATCCAATGAGGTCTCAGAGGAGCCCTCCTCTTCTTTTCCTGTGTGAAAAAGGAGAAACAGTAGTGTTGCTTGATGTGCTGTATTAGTCCGTTTTCACACTGCTATAAAGAACTTCCCTGAGACTGGGCAATTTATAAAGGAAAGAGGTTTAATTGACTCACAGTTCTGCAAGCTGGCAAGGCCTTGGGAAACTTATAATCATGGCGGAAGGGGAAGCAAGCACACTCTTCACAAGGCAGCAGAAGAAAGAAGAGAAAGTGAAAGGGGAAGAACCCCTTATAAAACCATCAGACCTGTGAGAACTCACTATCTGGAGCACAGCATGGGGAAACCGCCCTATGATCTAATCACCTCCCTACCTCCACACATGGGGATTACAGGTCCCTCCCTCTACACGTCCGGATTACAATTCTAGATGAGATTTGGGCGGGGACACAGAGCCAAACCGTATCATGTGCCCAGCAATCCAGTTCCATTTGCTTGGAGCTTCCACCTATCTCATATTCTTTGGTGAGATAATGCATGCATGTAAAGGCATTGAGCAAGGCTGGGTGCACAGTAAACCCACATAGCCATTATTATTACATCAGAACGTCTCCATGTTTCTTCTCTATCAATGGTATGTTTTCCCACTATCTCTCTCTGCCAGAGATTTCCCCCATTGTTTACTTTTTTGTTGTTGTCATATATTTCAGTAAGATACCAGGAGGGAGTGGAAATAAACACATGACAATTTGACATCTTTAAGCCAAAAGTCAGCATTATTTATTATTATGACTTTTAAAACATAGTAACAACTTGAAGTCCAGCAATAGAACAACTACCAGGTCATGGGGTACATAGAGGATGAGATTTTTATTTACAAAGAAATTTTAACACAGGTATAGATAATCACACTGAAACAGATCTTCGATCTATAAAGAATTGTGTCAGTGGTCTCTTATAAACAGAGGACAAGGAGGCACCCATTTAAAAACAAAAACAAAAACAAAAAACCATAAAACATTTTGTTTCCCTGAATGGCTTAGCAAAATCTGACATAGTCCTTGATTTGCAGAGCTGTTGGCTGGGGAAGAAGTGGGCTGATTTCCCTGAGAAGCTCAGGGTTTTCTAAAGGGGCCAGCAGTCTAATCACCACTTTCTCAAATTTGAAATTAGAAAGGTCTGATTTGAAATTAGAAACGTACAAAAGGGGGACTCAAATCTAGTAAGAGGGAAGTGAACAAGACGTTGAAATAGTTATCCTGCAGGAAGGAGATTCAAGTTTCATGTCCCAATTTCACAAGGGCCAAAGAATTGGTAGTGGAATTGATTCCAGAGCATTAAGTATATGGCTGACCTTGGAAGTACCTCCGACCCGTAAAAGCCTTGCCTAGTGGCTGTGTCTTAGAGGGCAATGTCTGAGCATGGAAATGTAAACGACAAGGGGCTAGACGCGGAGGGACATCCCAGGATGGATGGTCATTGCCGGCTGCAGGGTACAGGACTACTCTTCAACACTGACACCACGTGGCAACCACCGGGAACTGCAGGCTGGAGCCCCGGCTGTCATTTTGCTAGCCTGTTACCTAGAGTCCTCTCCGGGCTGAGGAAGGATCCAGCATTCTTGGACAACTTGGGTGAAATGCAGGGAATTTTGAGAGGGACAAGTTGGACTTTCCGCTCAAAGGGCCTGGGAAGCTTCAGCAATTAATTTCAAAAGAATATAGGCTGGGCACGGTGGAGTCACGCCTGTAATCCCAGCACTTTGGGAGGCTGAGGTGGATGGATCCCTTGAGGTCAGGAGTTCGAGACCAGCCTGGCCAACATGGGGAAACCCCGTTTCTACTAAAAATACAAAAAACTAGCCGAGCGTGGCGGTGCATGCCTGTAGTCCCAGCCACTCAGGAGGCTGAGGTAGGAGAATTGCTTGAACCTGGGAGGTGGTGGTTGCAGTGACCCAAGGTCGTGCCACTGCACCCCAGCCAGGGCGACAGGGCAAGACTCTGTCTCAAAAACAAAACAAAACAGGAAACAAAAAGACAAGTTGGTGCAAAAGTAATTGCGGCTTTAATAGCAGAGGTATGACCATATTTTTACACTGTGTAGAGCAAGTCTTACAATCTACATTTAAATTTTGAGCAGCCATTCGATGACCTGCTATAAACCTACCAATATAATGTTTTAGAATAATACTTACTAATATACAATATATAACATAATGTTATTTTTTAAAGCAGAATTTAAAACTATACATATGTATGATCCCTTTGTATTACATTTACCTATCAAAAATAGGACCATCTGAGGAACTGGAAATAAATGTAAACATGAGGCTAAATGAGGTTTATGAGAGATAAACAGATTATCTCTCATCTGTTTATCTCTCGTTGTCAGGTATGGGTGGGTTTATTTTGTCCTACTCCGTTTGCCCCAGGTAGCCTTTTTTTCTATCATGACTACAACTTCAATGCTGAGGGAGCCCCCAAATGCCCCAAGTTATCTTCACAGTTGAGGGTGGAGGTGTGGGTGGGAGGAGGCCTCCCTCCTGTTTCATTTCTTTAATTCCTGCCTTGGCTCATAAAATAGGATCTTCTATGTACATTTGTACCACTCAGGGAAATATAAAGGGAGCTTTGGATGCCTCACCTCTTTTTTCACTCCTTGTCCTAATCTGTTTTCTGTTGCTTATAACAGAATACCTGAAGCTG
Organism: Homo sapiens; assembly: GCF_000001405.40. Taxonomy (NCBI): domain Eukaryota; kingdom Metazoa; phylum Chordata; class Mammalia; order Primates; family Hominidae; genus Homo; species Homo sapiens. The sequence continues at coordinate 27,480,776 of NC_000013.11, read as the reverse complement.
GGTAATTTATAAAGAAAAAAAATTTCTTTTTTACAGTCATGAAGGTTTAGAAGGTCAAGGTCGAGGGGCTGCATCTGGTGAGGGCCTTCCTGCTGGTGGGGATTCTCTGCAGAATCCCCAGGCAGTGCAGGGCATCACATGTGAGGGGCTGAGCAAGCTCACATGCTAGTTCAGGTCTCTCTTCCACTTCCTGTAAAGCAGTCAGTCCTATTATCATAACTCATTAATTCACTAGTCCACGAATAGATTAATCCATTCATGAGGGTAGAGCCCTCTCATGATCCAGTCATCTCGTGAAGGCCCCACCTCTCAATACTGCCCCTTTGAGGATTAAATTTCAACATGAATTTTGGATGGGATGGACATTCAAAGCATAGCAGTCCCCTACAAGGGAGAGATAGTAATCTAATTAGCAAGACCTTCTGTCTATTGGACCACAGTGGCAGAGGTAAGATCACTGTGCCCAAAAAGCAACTCCAGCCCCAGCCCTCCTCTCCTATTCCTTGGGTCTATATGCTCTTGGGGACGCCCCTCCTGAGTTAGAGGATTTCCCCTTCCTGCTTCTCGGCCTGCTGACATTCAGGACTTTCAGTTGGTGACTTTGGGAAAGGGAGAAGAAAGCCCCTACCTTGCCCAGGGGCAGACTAGTTTTCATATGAGCTTCAGTTATAAAGCTGATCCTCTCTGGCCCCTGAAGTTGTTCTCAGTTTGGTGGAACTTGGAAGCAAGGGCTGAGAGGGACTGCCATTCTGAAACTTCAGTTCCCTCATTTATGAAAATGACTACGAGGTCGTTTTTAACTAATGTAATATTTTCATCTTTGTGATCTGGCACAAAGATGATATAGACTAGGAAAAAATTACCTGGCATGATTCAAGTGCATCCTGCTAACAGGCAGGGGAGTAGGGTGGGAGGGAAAGGGACAAGCTGGCAGCTCCCAGGCTCTTTGACCCAATGATAGGTGGTGTCCAGTCTGTAGCTTCCCTGCCCTCAGACCTGTTACTCCTCCTTCCCCTGCCCTGCTTGGTATCACAGTGGGATTCAGGGGCAGCTGCTGCCAGCTGGGTTTGGCATGGGAGGTGCTGGTAGAAGACGAGAGGAAGGAAGGGAGAAACCAGGACATTCCTTCCCTCCCTCTGTGGTTTCTTTAGCCGTGGGTTTACCAGAAACGATCAGTCCAAGTGCATGGAGTGGCTTCCTGCTGGTACTAATCTCTCAGTGGCTTCATGGTCCCTGTTGGCCTCTTAGCTCTTCCTTCATTTATGAAGCCAATTCTTAAATTTATTTTCCTCATTTTAAATATTTGGAGATATTTTCATTTTCCTGGTTGGACCTTGACTGCTAATATCTGCTATGATCTGAATGTGTCCCTCAAAATCCATATGTTGGAAACTTAATCTCGATGCAACAGTGTTGGGAGGTGTTTGGGTCACAAGGGCTCTGCTCTTTTGAATAGATTAATACTGTTTTAAAAGGGCTTGACAGCAGAAGTTGGATTCTTTTTCACTCTTCCGTCTTCTGCCACGTGAGGACTCAGCAAGAAGGCCCTTGCCAGATGACAGTGTCTTGATCTTGGACTACTCAGCCTCCAGAGCTGTGAGAAAAAAGTTTATGTTCTTAAGTATTCTGGTATAGCAGCACAAAATAGACTAAGACAGTATTAGTTTGATTATGGCCTTAAAGCCTGGGCATGGAGGTATTCCATCTGCTGGATTGAGGGCTGCTCAGGGCTGAGTGTCAGAACTAGGAGATGGCAGAAGAAGAGGCTGTGTGTATGTGTGTGTCCCAGATAAACACCAGTAAGAAAGCCATGGCATTGGTAAGATCATCCTGCATGGCCAAGCTCCTCTCCTCTTCCATGTCACCACTCTATCTTTCCCTCAACCTGGAATATTAATGTCATGTTCTATTTCTCCAATGCCTTGCTCTAAGCTAGCTGTTAATTAATTCCTCTGAAAAATTTGCCTGATGACTACTTAAGAATTAATCAGTTTCCAGGGTATTTTTATAGAGGAAAAAACATTAAAAGATTTTATTTTATAGAAGAAACAAAATAAAAGGTTACTCTTGTAACCTTTTTTGATTACAAGAGTAATATAGGCTTCTATAGACATTTTGAAAGAAAAAATAAAAAATAAACTAAAAACCAATGATAATCCCAGCCACTCAGAAGAAGCTTTCTTAACATTATGATGTATCAGTATGAAGTCTTTTTTTAAATTGCATATATGCACAAGCCTGTGTGTGTGTTTGTGGGTGTGTCAGGGTTGGTTGTATTCATAGCTAAGATTATATCATATATGGTTCTGTACCCTGTTTTATCACATAAGAATCAAAGGCTCTTTGAAGTCAGAAAGTCCCCCTACCTCCCACCCCAAAACATGAAATTAATTCAGCCTAACAACATCGAGTGGGTTCTCTCCTATGTTTCCCTACGAAGTGCTGGTACAAAGGAAGAATGAATTGGAAACACGCCGACATCACCATATACAGACCCCAGAAGAACGATCTTGTGTGTTTGTGTGCACAAATCAAGTGAGAAACTGTAAAAAGGTGCCATTGGGAGGAAGTGGTCAGTAGCAGAATAGGACTGTGGGGTGCCCACCCCATCCACCTGACCCTACCTGGCAAAGCAATGAAGCATGCTCTCCCAGAAAGGGTGGTGTAGAAACCCCCACTTCAGCCCCCTCCTACACAGAATAACTTCTCCATCCAGAGGAGATGTGTCCTCAGTAATAAGTGTCTTTTGCAAAGAACGCATCCGCTGCACAATTTATTCTTAGGTTCTACCTAGTATCTGGCCCGTCTCATAGATAACAAGCATAGTATCGTGTACTGTGTGCATACAGGTAGAATTCACAATTTCCTTGAGATTTTGGGGCTTCTGAATCCAGGAGTAGATCATCTCAGCTTTATTTTGTTCTTCACTAAAAAATAAAGCATTTTGGATGTGGCTATGGCATACAGTAATATATAGCAGGCAGAGGAGACACGAATAAAGACTACCGCCTTAACAAAGACGCTGGTATCACCCCTCTTTCTGTTGAGCTCCGTTTGACTGTGAAATGTTTAAAGGAGAGAGGCTAGGGTGATGGCTCAGGAGATATTATGTTAATGAAAAGCAGGATAAATGCGCAAATGATTTGCATAGAAGGAACCTGATCTAGCTGATATTTGAAGAGGAAGTCCTGGGGGAGGTGCCCCACGTAATGGGCCTTTCTTTGTCAGCCCTGGATCTGAAAGAAGTGTCTGAGCCTAGAAAAACAAGTTCACAGTTTCCGTCTCACCCAGTGAATGCTTGCAAGACTCCACACCAGTGTTTCCAATCAGAGCAATGATTCTGCAATTGTGTGTGTACTTGTACTAATGTTTGCTCTAGTAATGACTAATAATGGCGGGGGCACTGCCCCTGGAGGCCGGTGACGGGGCCAGCTGCCCGTGTGTGCAGATGTTCGTGGTTCTGAGCTCAGCCTGCTCAGGACAGTGTAGGAAAAAAGGGATTCCTGAACCACCGTGATCTTACACAGTCATATTGAGGCTTTCTCCTGCTGGGTGTCATTCCAGTTGTAGTTCTAGGGAGAATTTCACCCCTGCCCCAAGCCCTTGCTCCTGTATCCACAGCTAACACCAGGGCTTATGGCTCAGGACAAGGTCAGGTGGTGGTAATGCTGATGGAGCTGAGGTAGGGCATTCAGGCCTTGCCAAGAGGGTTTCTGGACCTTATAAGGTACCCAAGGCCCCAGACCCTTTCCACCATTCTTCTCTCCAAGGGAAATGCTGCTTTACGTGTCAGCCAATACAATTCAGGGTAATTATGGGAGCAAATGTGTTCTCACCCATATCTCCCTTCAGACTAGATTTAGGGTAAGAGAAAAGAAGGGCGGTGATGTTGCTGAGTGTCTACTATATGCTGGGTGCTGTGCTGGTGTTTTATTCTCTAAATTCTTCAAGCAATGGCCAGGCACAGTGACTCACACTTGTAATCCCAGCACTTTGGGAGGCTGAGGTGGGCAAATCACCTGAGGTCAGGAGTTCGAGACCAGCCTGGCCAAAATGACGAAACCCCATCTCTACTAAAAATACAAAAAGTTAGCCGGGCATGGTGGTGCATGCCTGTAGTCCCAGCTACTTGGGAGGCTGAGGCGGGAGAATTGCTTGAACCCAGGAGATGGAGGTTGCAGTGAGCCAATATTGCACCACTGCACTCCAGCCTGGGTGGGAAAGCAAGATTCTGTCAATCAATCAATCAATCAATCAATCAATCAATAATAAATTTAGCCTGCCTCCAGCCCCATGCTCCTTCCAACATTTATTCTTTCACCACATTCACATCTGTGGAGCGCCGCCTATCTGTCAGGCATTCAGGACTGCCGGGGTGAGCTAAACATTGGGTTTGGAGTCCACCGGCAGAAACAGGGGTCCACCGGCAGAAACAGGGGTCCCCCACAGAACCAGATGTGTAATGACAGGTCTGAGCTGTGCTGGGAGGAAGCACAAGGGGCCCTGAGAGAGGAGGCTGTGCTTCTGACTTGGATGGGACCCTGGGTTTGGATTGGACTGGCGTGAGGAGTTAACCAGGTGAAAAGCTGTGGGAACAGCTTCCCAGGCCCAGGCCCCAGAGGAATGAGAGGACACTGGGGGCCTGGGATGGAGGGAGGCTGGTGATCCTGCAAAGGGGGCACAGCCTGATGGCTTTTTAAAGATTTGGGCCTCATCCCACCTGCGGTCATACAATCAGTCTTGCGTTTTTGCAAAGAACATTCTAAAACCACCCAGTGTCCATCAACGGATGAACAGATACACAAAATGTAGAGTATGATTTAGCCTTAAAAACAAAGGAAATCCTGTCACATGCTACGACTGGATGAACTCTGAGGACATCATGCTATGCCAGGCACAAGGGGACAAACACCGCAAGATTCCACTTATGTGAGGTACCAGAACAGTCAGGTTCCTGGAGACAGAAAATAGAACGGTGGTTGCCAGGGGCTGGGGAAGGCGGGAATGGGGAGTGGTTGTTTAATGAGCACAGAGTTTCTATTTGAGAAGATGAAGGGGGTTCTGGAGATGGATCATGGTGCTGGTTGCACAACAAAGTGAATGTTCTTAATGCTGCTGAACTTCAACTTAAAAATGGTTAAAATGGTAAATTTTATGTTATGTGTATTTTAACCAGTTTTTATAAACAAAGAACATCCTAGCTGCCAGGTGGAGAACAGATTAGAAGGAGGGTTAGATCGTGAAAAACAGAACCAGATATGACACTTTCAGGAGTGCAGGTGAGAGATGATACTGTATTCATCTCCTTAGGTAGGAAGTCCCACCTAAAAATTCCTCGGGGGATGTTCTCTGTTTTCCACAATGTCTGATTGGGTGTTTGTTCCAATGGAGGCTGCCTCTTTCAACCGTGAGCTCCTGTACAAACCCAGCAGAGGGTTGGAGCTCCGTAAACTGGGGGCATCTGAGCTTCCACGGCATGCCGTTAGCTGTCTTTACCTGCCAGGTGGGCTGGGGCTGAGCCTGGCTATGTTTGTCATCATAGGCCTTTGAGGATGAAAGTAAAAGACTGTGGCTAGGATCCCCAATGAATCACCTGGGACAAGTCCTTTCTACAGTTTTCAGGCTTCTGGCGATTTAAATATAAAAATGACTAAGTGATGCTGGTCGTGGGTGGGTACCCAGACGTGGGCGCGTGGGAGATTTGGCTTCCGGAGCTTCACTAGACCTTCCTGGGTCTGTGTTCCAGGAGGAAGAGGAGGCCCTTCCCAGGGAGCACCCTCTTCCTTCTCTGTGTCCCTGACCAAGGCCTGAGGTGTGCCGTGGCGGCCACGCTCTCCCTGGATGTTTTCGCTGGGGAGTATCCGAGGCTGGTCCATGACGGTGAGGCAGTAGGTAAGTGGAAGTAAATACTGTACCAGCTTAACAATGCATATATGAGACTTGGTCTCATAGAAGTGTAATGTTCTGATTCATAAGCAAGTGTGCAGCTAGTCTTGGTAATTTCCTTCAGCCCTGCTGCCGTTTCCCATTCTAACGAAACCATAAGGCTGTCTCTTTTTTTGAGACAGAGTCTCACTCTGTTGCCCAGGCGGGAGTGCAGTGGCGGTTCTTGACTCACTGCAGCCTCCGCCTCCTGGGTTCAAGTGATTCTTCTGCCTCAGCCTCCCGAGTAGCTGGGATTATAGGCGCACACCACCACACTCGACTGATTTCAGTATTTTCTTTTTTTTTTTTTTAGTAAAGACGGGGTTTCACCATGTTGGCCAGGCTAGTCTTGAACTCCTGACCTCAAGTGATCCTCCCACCTTGGCCTCCCAAAGTGCTGGGATTACAGGTGTGAGCAACCATGCCCATTAGGCTGTCTTTATCTCAGAAGTAGATGAAGCAGCAGGAAAGCTGAGGCTGCTCTGTTTCAGAAGCCAGCACATCTCTGTATCAAATGCCACGGTCATGAAAAACTCAGGCCTTAAACCCCAGATTTGGAAGAAAAGTGAGCAGCCACAACCAGTTGTCCATGCTCTGGAAGAGATAATGATGTATTTTGCTCAGGAAAGAAGACAGTCAGAGAGTCTGAGTCCTTCACCAACTGGTTCTGGCCATTGGCAAGCAGTGTCACCTGTCTGGGCCTGTTTCTTCATCTATACAAAAATCCAGGAGATCATGCACTACCCCTGAATCCAGGGGGACACACACTACTCTCCAGATCTAGGGGGTCACAAGACACTCCCAAATCTAGGGGATCATACACTATCCACGCAAGCCAGATGGTTGTCCGTGGACCGTGAAGTTGGAAAACCCTCAATTGAATCGTTCCTTCCAGCTCTGATATCCTGAGTCTCTCCCCAACATATCTGCACTTCCTGCAAATTGGAGCCCAATTCTTGCCTCCACATGGATGCTACCTTTGCTGGAAGGGCAGTGTGGGGTAGTGGGAAGGACATAGCATCGGGGTCAGACAGAGGCAGGTTTAGAAATCTGAGCCAATCACATGTTAGCTTTGTGATACCAGGCAAGCTATTTAACATCTCTGAGCCCTGATTCCTCATCTGAAAAATCAAGATAAACAATATCTTTCAGGGCTATCTTCAGGATGAGGAATAAAATGGAAACCACCCAGCACAGTGCCAGACACACATAAACAGTAGCATTAAGGCATATTGGTTAAATCCACTTTCATCACCCCTAGCTGTGAGATGATTGGCAAGCACTAAATAAAAATTAATATTAGCTGTTATTGGGGCAGGGTTCTAGTTCTGTTCACAGGTTAAGAGGGGGTTCTTATTTTCAGGTGGGTTTTAAGGACAGCAGCCATAAATCAAAGTGCATTATGGTGCTCCAAGTTGACAAACAGAGCACAGGAAACATAATCTAAAGAACAGATGTCACGAATAGTAGCAATTTTATACAGACAAGCCTTCTTCAGTAAGCCCAAAACTTCCTTCCTGCCCAATAATCTCAGTGTCCTCTTTTGGGAAAGAATTGTTTCAGCTCTTGGGTTCTGTGCCCACAAAGCCACTTGAGAAGAAGCATGTAGTTTCCAATAAAGAAGCCCGGGTTAAAACCTGGGACTTCTTCACCCACTATGTGGCCATCCACAGGGGCTGGGTTGCTACAGCACAGCTGGTGGTTAACGCTATCTTATCATTGGGGCCTATGTGGATGGGTGCTCCAGGTGCACACCACAGAGGGGTGGTGCTGCTCCAGCCAACCCCCAAAGGCCTCTGCTGGTAACCCATCAAACCAATCTGGTTCAACTTTCATTTAACAAACCTGTGAGTTTTTCAGTTGCCACGGGCTCCCAGGTTGAAGATCACATAACCTGAGCATGCCCAGATGAACCAAGCATGTAACCACTGGTGGGACCTAAGTGCTTAAGGAGCTGGGATTGAGTTAAGATGCAAACATTCCATGGAAGGATCCAGTCAGATCATGCCTTCTGGCATCACCTCATTGCAAGATCCAATCAGATCACACCTCATTACCTTGTGCTTATAAAAACCCAACCCAGCACCCAACTCAGGGAGACAGATTTGAGCATAGCCCCCTGTCTCCTTGTCAGTCAACTCACAATGAACCTTTCTCACAGCCAAAACCTAGTGACTCAATGTTTGGCTTTCTGTTACACACAGGCAAATGGACACAGTTTGGTTTGATGACATGCTTTGCTCCCAGCAAGCAGTGCACAGGCCTGGGCCAGCCTCTCAGGTGCGTCCTCAGCAGAGCTGCTCACCCTTTAACACAGATTCTGACTCCGTAGTCTGGGGATTGCAGAGCCTGAGAGTCTGCAGTTCTCATGAGCTTGTAGGGGGTGCCCATGGACCCAGAGTCCTTATGGGGGAGACGGCTCTTCCTTGAGACTCTCCTAGATGAGTCCCAGGCAATCCAGGCAGAGGGGAGGCCCTGGAGCTGCCTTGGCCATGCTGCAGAGACCATAGGGTCTGCACATTAGTACTAGCATACTGGGCATTCTCAATCAAAAAGAGAAAGGAGGCAATGGCTCACACCTGTAATTCCAGCACTTTTGGGAGGCCGAGGTGGGAGGATCACTTGAGGCCAGCAGTTTGAGACCAGCCTGGACAACACAGGGAGACCCTCATTTCTCCAAAAAGCAGAAAATTAGCCAGTCGTGGTGGCACACTCCTGTGGTCCCAGCTACTCAGGAGGCTGAGGTAGGAGGATCACTTGAGCCCAGGAGGTCAAGGCTGCAGTGAGCCATGATTACACCACTGCACTCCAACCTGGGTGACACAGTGAGACCCTGTCTCAAAAAAAAAAAGAAAGAAAGAAAAGAAAAGAAAAATAAATCTCAAAGGATTTAAGGAAATGGATGTGTTTTCAAGGCTAAAATAAAGCAATTTTGGAGGAAGTTCTACCTTCTAAGCATCTTTAAAGGTAACCCATTCAACTATTTAAAAAAAGCAAAAACAGAATCCCATTGGTTTCTGGTCTTTTTTTGTTACCCCTCCCAGGAGAAGAAACTGAAGACAAGATTCCTGGCCCCCTTTTCCAGTTCTCCTGCGGTGCTTCCATCACACTGAGGGTGATGAACAATCTGTATCCAGACAGACCACTCTCAGTCCCTGGTTAGCAGGAGGGGTGGCTACTGGGCTGAATTCAGATCTGTGTGATTCCACAGAGTAGGACCGCCTTCCTTCTAAGGCCAACTGTCCTGTCTTCTTTCCTGCAACCTTTACTCGTTTTATTTTGTTTGTTTGTTTGTTTGTTTGTTTGTTCAAGACAGGTTTGTTCTCTCACCTAGGCTGAAGTGCAGTGTTGCAATCACAGCTTACACTACAGCCTTGACCTCCTAGACTCAAGTGATCCTCCCACCTCAGTCTCCCAAATAGCTGGTTCACAGGCGCATACCACCATGCCCGGCTAAGTTTTAAAGATTATCTGTAGAGATGGAGTATCCCTATGTTGCCCAGGCTAGTCTCAAACTCCTGCCCACAAGCAATTATTCCACCTCAGCCTCCCAAAGTGCTAGGATTACAGATGTGAGCCACCATGCTCAGCTTGCAACATTTACTCTTTTGTTGATTTATTATTTTGAAAACTTCCATATATAATACATATATAAAAACAAATAACAGGCCGGGCACAGTGGCTCACACCTGTAACCCCAGCACTTTGGGAGGCCGAGGCGGGTGGATCACTTGAAGTCAGGAGTTCAAGACCAGCCTGGCCAACATGGTGAAACCCCATCTCTACTAAAAATACAAAAATTAGCCGGGCATGGTGGCGCATGTCTGTAATCCCAGCTACTTGGGATGCTGAGGCACAAAAATCACTTGAACCCGGGAGGCAGAGGTTGCAGTGAGCTGAGACTGTGCCACACTCCAGCCTGGGAGACAGAGCACGACTCCATCTCAAAAAAAAAAGAAAGAAAGAAAAGAAAAAAAAAGAAACAAATTAAATAACAAACAGATGATTCCAACCAATTCCTTAAAAAATTAAAGTGATGATTAATTATAATTGAACTCCATGCTATTTTTTAATAGACTTTATTTTTTTAGAGCAGTTTTAAGTTCATAGCAAAATTGTACAGAGTTCCCATATAGCATTGACCCCATTGACTCACAGCCTTCCTTACTATCAACATCTTGCACAGAGTGGTGCATTTATTACAATCCATGAACCTACACTGACACATTATCATCCAAAGTCCATAGTTTACATTAGGGTTCACTCTTGGTGTTGCATGTTATGCATTCTGACAAATACATTACATATGTGTCTACCATTATCGTGTCCTACAGAACAGTTTTACTTCAGTAAAAATTCCCTGAGCTCTGCCTATTCATCCCTCCCTTCTCCTTAACCCTAGGCAACCACTGATCCTTTTACTGCCTCCATAGTTTTGCCTTTTCCAGAATGTTATATAGTAGGAAATCAACCCCACGCTACTTTGTTAACTAGTTTTCCTTACTCATGTAAGCCAGGAACCAAAATGAAATTGGCAGATCCAAGCTGGCCTGATGTTGGGACAGTTGCTCATTCTCTTTACGCTTCAGTTTCCTTATCCATAAAACAAAAGGGGTGGAGAGCTGAACTTTGACGTGCCTCAGCACTCAAGGTTGGTAGAAATTAGTTTAACTCTACAAGTCCCTTGAAGGCAGGACCGGTAACATTCTTCTAATCCCAGCTGCCAAAACAGGATTTGAAACATAGTGGGTGCTCAGTAACTGAATAGTGAATGAATTTTATTTACATTTTTAGTTTAATGGTCATAATTTATCCAAATATTAAAGAAATTGATATTGAAATCTATATGAATTGATACCTCCAGAGCCAAACTATAAATTTCAACATGACCCCTTATTCTAGTTGTAAAGATAAATTAGACTCTACTAAATTTCTCTACCAAAAAGTGCAAAAATTATCAAAAAAGGTACAAATGCATCACAAGAATAATCTATGTGATTAATAATTCATGTGATTAAATGTCAGAAAGATATGGATTTTGTTTAGGGGCTACTAAACCATTACCATTTTACAAATAAAGAAAACTGGATAAAACTCATCCCTGGGATTACAGACATAATTGTATAAATAAATCCCACATCACTCATGTTTCACAAAATTAAGATTCACTAAGTAAGTACTTTCCACAACCTTTATAAGTTATTTTCATAAGTTTCTAATAGGATTGGTGTACACAGTTCTTTCTTAGCCCTGCCCTAAACCATATAATGAATCTATCATAGACAACTGGTATACTTCAGGTTTGAGTATGTATTTGCATTGCCATAGGAAACAGCCCTTTCTTGGTCAGTTTTTGGAACTAGGTTCCTGAGATAAACCATCCCAGTCTTTGTCTACATGGTTATGAAACCGACCCAATCGTCCCAGAGATAGTTCTTTTGGATAAACATAGAAATGGACTTTTCTGGCTGGGCGCAGTGGCTCACACCTATAATCCCAGCACTTTGGGAGGCCGAGGTGGGAGAATTGCTTGCGCTCAAGAGTTTGAGACCAGCCTGGGCAACATGGCAAGACCTCGTCCCTACTAAAAACACACAAAAAATTAGCTGGGTGTGGTGATGTGCACCTGTGGTCCCAGCTACTCAGGAGGCTGAGGGCGGAAGATAACGTGAGCCCAGGGGGTGGAGGTTGCAGTGAGCCAAGGTCCTGCCACTGCACTCCAGCCTGGGTGACAGGGTGGGTCTTTAAAGCTTGAAATTTACTTTTGTTTTATCTGAGTTCCTTCCTCAGGAAAGGACCCCCAGGCCTCTCAAAAAGTATCAAAGATCTCAACCTCACCAGATCACTGCATCCAGACAATGAGAGTCAGGCCCCTCCCTAGTTCCTGTTTTCCAACACATTGTTACATTTCTTCCCTGCTATATAAACTCCTAATTTTAGTATGTCAGGGAGATGAATTTGAGACTGATCTCCCTTCTCCTCCTCGCCTACAGCACCCAATTAAAGCCTTCTTCTTTGGCAGTAATCATCGTCTCAGTCATTGGCTTTCTGTGCAGCCAGCAGCAGGCCCTAAACCAAACCCCAGGCATTTCAGTAAGTTACATTTTTTTTTTACTACTTTTTGCCATCACATTCTTACATTTTGTATTTCTTTGCTTAACATTATAACATAATGCTTCTATATTACACAGTATTCACGTTTAGAGGAGAAGGCCTCTTTACTGCCTTCCGCTGAACCAGCCACTCATGGTACCTGCCAATCTCCATGGCCTCTGCTGAGCATTCTCTCTGACAGCCCCCAGTCAGGGACACTGGAGGACCGGAGGCTGTGCTCTGGTGCACACCCTCCCCAACTTGTGCTTTCACCTATTGGACTGTCTTCTAACCAAAAGTCTGTTGTGTTTGTCCCCATACCTGTTCTTGCTATCATATTTGATTTTATAATTGCAAAATTTAATTAAATATTACATAAACCATTAAAATGTGAGTGCAAAACAAAATTATAAAGACTAAGTTGCAAATTTCAATAAAAATGAGTCACTAAAAATAAAGGCTACTGAAATGGATATAGTGAGATAACTATAAAAGCCTGGGGGGAGGGCAATCTAGGTGATTCTGCATTCATATAGATCCCCAAATGTCTTCAATTTCTTACACCATGGTAGTGTACAGATGTGATTATGCACAAGATAATGTGGAAGTCAAGGCAGCAGACTTACACTGGAAGAAAAGCTTGGGCTCTAAATTGAAAGACAGGAAAGTAAATGTAACTGTGTATTCTCGAAGTAAAAATAAATATTTAAAATATGTTTTTTTAAATCACTGGTTTCAATTTAGTTGCGCAGGAGGGATTTATTTTAAAAAGTACATCAACATTCCCATGTGTTGATGTATCATAATTTAGTAAACCTGTAATTAATTTTCACTCCATTAGATTATTTGTAAATTTTTTTTAAAATAGTACTACACTGAACACTTTTCATACTATGGTTTTTTGCTTGTTGAATAATTTTTAGGATAATGTTAGAGTAGTACAATTTCTGCTTCCAAGGATATAAATATCTTTTTAGATTTTGGTAAGTACTACCTTTTTGCTTTCCAAAAGAGTAATAGTTTCATCTTCTTAACAGTAGTCTAGTGGGTTATGTTTTGGTTATCTATTATTACATAACAATCTAACTTTATAGCTTAAAGCAACCACTGGCTGGCCAAGGTGGCTCGCACCTGTCATCCCAGTACTTTGGGAGGCCAAGGCAGGAGGATGGCTTGAGGCTAGCCTTTGTAACATAGTGAGACCTCATCTCTATTTTTAAAATAATTTTTAAAAAGCGACCACCATTCCATTAATTCTTATGTTTACAAGGATTGATCAGTGCTCAGCTCGGAAGGTTGATTCTTCTGCTGATTCTTAGGCTGGGCTCACCTGGGGCTGCTTATTCAGCTGCAGGATGAAAGCACTTGGGCATGTCCTGAGTCTCTGGCATGACATCTCCAGGCTCTGACACTGCTTCCAGCCTTCTGGTAAATAAACTGCCAAGGTAGGAATGGGAGGGAGGCAGAGAATTCAGGAGTGCGAGAAGGAAAGATTACCTTTAAGATCAAACCTTTCAGTTTACCTCTGCTCCCCTCCCACCTCACCCCCACCCTGGCTTCGTTCCACGTGAAGGAGGAGAGATGAAAACATCACAGTGCAAAAGTCAGAAGATGGACCTGAAAACCCAAGATAGCCTTATTGCATTTCAGGGGCATGGAAGCCTTTATTTATTTTAAGAACCTTGCTTTAGGATTCCAGATTCCCCTTGAAGCAGTGGGAGTAGAATGCTTCTCTGCAAGTCTTTGTCTGCGTTCATTCTGGTCCCCACATTTGAGTGTGCAATCAATAATTACTACTTTCTTTTTTAAACACGACTTCAGCAAAGCTGGAGTGTCACCAATATAAGAGGCAACTCCGAAACAAAGACTAAAATATATAAATAGCCCCTCTGAAAGCACAGCAAAGGCTGGGCTGTGACCTCCACAGAGGAATCAATATTTCAAATGAGCCTCTGTGCTCTGGGAGCACAATTCTAACCACCCGGCCTGTCTCCACCCTCCTTCTCATCAGCTTCCTCCCCACTTCCCACCTCCACACAAAAGAACAGTGCCAGAAAGCTCAGACATCACCAGATAAGATCTCTGGCAGCACTGCCACACCGTGGCTGTCAGCTGAGACCTTCTGGAAGGAATGTGACCCTCAGCAGAGGACCATGGATGGCATCAGGCCTACATTTAGGAAGTTGGCAATGTCTTCAGAATGTAACTGGAAGAGTTCCAAATGATCAACCTGTCAAAAACCATCTCCCCGGGTGCGGACCTGAAATTTTTCCTGGGTGTAGAATGCAGACAGAAGAGAAGATAAGGGCGAGTTATGGGTGGGAAGACAACATTAAAACGTGGGAGAGGAAAGACAGCCCTTTGTAGGGAGGCAATTTCAGGGGCCATCAAACGTAAACTTCACCTTCCTCTCAGCCTCATCCATCCTGGCCTCCACTGTGGTCCTGCTGAAGGCTTTCTTACAGGTCAGACTCAAGGTGCATGGTTCTTTTGTAGCAGTTCCAACATCACCAGTTTATAGAAACCCTGAACCTGCCCCCGACAGCACTTCATGTAATATTTTATCATAAAGCAATAATAATAATACTAATGTGGTATCTAACATTTAGGAGACATCCCAGCTATATGTTAAAATCACTATCTTCATTTTATAGACAAGTGAGAAACATTTGATAACCTGCCCAAGTAACAGCTAATGAATGTCCCAAGCCCAGTTTTCCCAGATAGCAAAGCCCAAGCTCTTTCCCAGGTTGTCAGGGAGCTCCTGTTCAAGAAACATGCCAACTGGAGGCAGGCCGGGAGGACCCTCAGGCCCGGGAGAGCTGCTCAGCGTCCACCCCTCTAAGAATACCATACGCACATCCTGTTGTTTGAGCTTGTCTGTTTTCCTAGGGAAGAGCAGAAGAAATGGCAGCCACTTGGCAGTGCAAGCAGGTGTCATCTAGGGCATACTGCCAAAACTTGAGCTTTCTTGAAGCAACATTCTAAGAGGAATGTTGTTTACCTCATTTTCCTCCTCATGTGCCTCAGACTCTGGACAGCAGTGATCAGAGTCGGACCATCAGTTTCAGTTGTGGATTATCACCAATACTCAGCAGAGACCTTTAGCAGTCACCCTAACTCAATCATGTTCAACCAAAGCTTTCATTATCCTAACAATGAAAGTCACAGAGCTCTTTTCCCTTTTTATTTTTTTGAGACAGGGTCTTGCTCTGTCACCCAGGCTGAAGTGCAATGGCACCATCATAGCCCACTGCAGCCTCGACCGCCTGTGCTCAAACAATCCTCCTATCTCAGCCTCCCAAAGTGCTGTGGGCTGGGCATTATCCTAATAATGAAAGCTTTGGTTGAACATGATTGAATCTGCTCTATAGATTGAGAATTTTATACCATTTATTACATAGTCTGCTTAAATATAATTTTATACAACAAACTACAGTGATAGGCGTTGTGAGATTCATTATTATATATCTCTTCGGGAAGGCTGGGTGGAAACCCTTTGCGGCCTGGACTCTTCAGTTTTCACATAGAAGTCAAAAATCCTCAGATTAAGTATTTTAGAGAGACCTGAGATCAAGAGATTAATACTCTCTTACATTTGTGTATTCCTTTATAGTTTTCAAAAGAGTTTATCTTTTTGACGGTTGCAATTCTGTGACATTATTATCTTATTTTACGGATGAAAAAGCAAGGGACCAGACCCTCAAAATTACTTGCTCAAGGACCCACGGCAGGTAAAAATATGGAGTTGGGAAATAAATCCAGGTCCTCTGACTCCCACTATGGAGTTCTTTCCTCCACACTAGACACAATTTTGAGAATGAAAGAAATACTGGTATAAATATTCCTTCATGGTAGGTGATTTCCATGATCACCTTTCTAACAGTATTTTTGAGATGTCAAGGAAGTTCTGGGATTATACTCACTAAGAAATACCTAGGTATATATTCAGTTGAATAAGAATATATTATTATTATTACACAGATAACTAGGACACTATTATTTTAGCTACCGTTTATAGAGCAGTAGCTAAGAGCATAGACTCTGGAGACAGATTCCCTAAATCCTGATCCCAGCTCTGCCACCTATTAGTTGGGTGACCTTGGACAAGTTACTTAATCTTTCTGGCCTCAGTTTCCTTACCAATGAAAGGATACATAATAAAAACAATATTACTAAATTATAGATCTTTTAATGAGAACTAAATGAGTCAGTATATGTAAAGTGCTTGGAAAACTGACTGGCACACATGGTAAATCCTGTATGCATTGTGTGTGCAGGGATGTGTAATGTTATTTATTTATTTATTTATTTATTTATTTATTTATTTATTTTTAGTTTTGAGACGGAGTCTCGCTCTGTCGCCCAGGCTGGAGTGCAGTGGCGCGATCTCGGCTTACTGCACGCTCCGCCTCCCGGTTCACGCCATTCTCCTGCCTCAGCCTCCTAAGTAGCTGGGACTACAGGCGCCCGCCACCATGCCCGGCTAATTATTTGTATTTTTTTTAGTAGAGACGGGGTTTCACCGTGTTAGCCAGGATGGTCTCGATCTCCCGACCTTGTGATTCGCCTGCTTCAGCCTCCCAAAGTGCTGGGATTACAGGCGTCAGCCACCACACCCGGCCCATGTTATTTATTAATATATGTCCTGAAGCCATTCTGCTTTTAGGCTGGGGCTAAGTGGGATCTGTAGGAGGCCTTAATTTAGAGCGGGACTCCTGGGTGTTGAGGCCATTTTCTGATCCAGAATTCTCTTTCCCACAAACAAGACAGAATTCCTCCATCAGAAAGACCAGAGAGATAGTGCCCCTGAAAAGGCATGTCAGGAATGGCCTGACCTAGCCCTTGTCTTAGAGGCAGGACAAGGCCAAAGGGGGAGTGGACATGGGGGAGCCCTGCAGGTGGGGAAAGGCCAGGCAGTTCCTGCTGGCTGAGCACCCTAATCTGCTGCAGCTCACTTCCCTCCAATGTGTACACGTTGCTGGGTCACAGGAGGTGTGAGGCTGTGACGGTATCATTTCCAAGAAGATGCTGAAGCTGAAAATTAGCTGGCCAGCAAATGTAGCACAGAGTATACAATGCTACCACCCAGAGCACCACGTGGTTCTGGGCCGCCTGTGGCTCCAACCACAGGCTGCTGGGCTCAGAGGGCTGCTTCCCCGGGTTGATGGAACCCTGCTGTCCCCTGTCCCAGGGCCTTTTGCTAACTGTTGGTTCCAGCTGACGAGTCCTTTCTGTTGGCAGCTCCTCTCCTGCACAGATTTCTCATTTGTAGCTTTCCTACGGCTGTGTGTGCTGCCTCCTCAGGAAAGCCATGGGTCATTTGTCACGGAATTAGGGACAAAAGTCACCAAATCATTTTGCTTCTTTCCTCAGAAGCCTAATTCCCATTTAGTACAGTATCTTACAGGCAAGTAAGAATTATTCAGTAGCAGCACATGCACCCCCACACCCTAAACTAGAGAGACAGGACATTCACTGAAGAGTCGAATGGAAGAAAAGAAATTCTAGAGGATTCTAGGACAAACTTCCAGACCCAGCTTCTACAGAGCACCTCAGACACTCCGACACTTTACTTAGGAGTAATTTGTATAGAAAGTGCTAGCTCGGCCGGGCGCAGTGGCTCATGCCTGTAATCCCAACACTTTGGGAGGCCGAGGCGGGCGGATCACGTGGTCAGAAGATCCAGACCATCCTGGCTAAGATGGTGAAGCCCCGTCTCTACTAAAAATACAAAAAATTAGCTGGGCGTGGTGGCGGGCGCCTGTAGTCCCAGCTACTCGGGAGGCTGAGGCAGGAGAATGGCGTGAACCTGGGAGGCGGAGCTTGCAATGAGCCGAGATAGCACCACTGCACTTCCAGCCTGGGCGACAGAGCAGACTCCGTCTCAAAAAAAAAAAAAAAAAAAAAAAAAAAAAGAAAGTGCTAGCTCTAGTCCAGCCCCTCTCATGAGAATATTTTAGACAATTGTCAGTAAAAAACAGAAATCTGTATTCTTGTGAAATAGTAAGCTTTATTGTGTGTGTTAACAAATAAAACAAATTCCATTTGCACACTGACTGAATTTATAAAATCTCTCTCACCAAAACGGATATACAATCTAATGCAATATTAGCTATGTTTTCATTTTCATTTTCTGTAATATTATATCAGCAGTAAGCAAAATAAAGTTATGACATCTTTTGAAAATAAATGTCGTGAGAATTGACTGTTTTTCTAATTGCTAAGGCCAAAGTATAAAATCTGAGCACCCTCAATCCTGTGGGATATGGACTCGCTGGGGAAAACACACAGCAGATGAGCCAGCCAAAGCCTGACTCCGAATCCAGCAGGCTGCCATGTGGCTCCGCAGACCTCTCCACATGCTTAGAATTCTCTACTGCCCTGTGTTTTGTCTTTGAGTTTGTTACATAACAGTGCTAATGTTTCTCAGCCCCAGTTTTGTCCTTCTGTCCACACTTACTGCCTTTGCCTGGGAAAGTGGTTCTCACCCTGTAGGAGCAGACACACACACACGCACACGCATGCACACGCACATGGCAAAGCTCATGTGTGGGCCCTCCTGCCACGCTCCAGGTGTCCAGGAAGCAATCGAAGGTCTCGCCTAACCAGGTTTGGGGTAAGATGCAGCTCCTGTGATGCGAACTGTCACTCAGCACTTCTCTCACCCATTAAAGCAGCAAGTGGGCCAGGCACCGTGGTGCACTTCTATAATCCCAGTGCTTTGGGAGGGTGAGGTGGAAGGATGGCTTCAGCCCAGGAGTTTGAGACCAGCCTGGGCAACATAGTGAGACCTCTTCTCTACAAAAAAAAAATTAAAAATAAAAAATTAGCAGGACTTAGTGGCATGCACCTGTAGTTCCAGCTATCGGGAGGCTGAGGCAGGAAGATTGCTTGAGCCCAGGAGGTCAAAGCTGCAGTGAGCTATGATTGCACCACTGCACTCCAGCCTGGGCAACAGAGCAAAACCCTGTCTCTAAAAATATAAAAAAAGAAAAAAAGAAGTAAACGAGAGGCCAACTACAGACAGAATAACTTTAAATCCATTCTAATTTGCAAAATCAGGTAAAATCAGTGGCAACTTCTATGACTGAAACTATTATTAACACAAATGACACACACACACCAGTGTGTCATGACATGATGGTTGAGTGTGAAAGGAGGCGTGATGAATTGCCAGTGATTATAGATTATAACCTTTAAGTGATGCATCATCGTGAGGCACACATTTTTTTCATTAGCCCACATTATTCAGTTACATGCTCTCCTAGTAATAATTTGAAGTTGCAGTTATAATTACTAAAGTAAATCCATTTTATGGTGTCTGTTTTTTACTGTGAGTGTTAATACCAAAACATTTGTCCAAGTCGGTCATAAAATCTGCCTATTATATACAGAAAATGAAAGACGTGGTTAGACTGGATTTTCTTTTCTTTTCTTTTCTTTTTTTTTGAGATAGAGTCTTGCTCTGTTGCCCAGGCTGGAGTGCAGGGGCGCAATCTCGGCTCACCGCAAGCTCCTCCTCCCGGGTTCACGCCATTCTCCTGCCTCAGCCTCCCAAGTAGCTGGGACTACAGGCGCCCGCCACCACGCCCAGCTAATTTTTGTGTATTTTTAGTAGAGATGGGGTTTCACCGTGTTAGCCAGGATGATCTCGATCTCCTTACCTCGTGATCCACCCATCTCGGCCTCCCAAAGTGCTGAGATTACAGGCGGGAGCCACTGTGCCCAGCCTGGATTTTCTTTTTTGAGACAGTCTCGCTGTGTCACCCAGGCTGGAGTGCAGTGGCACGATCTCGCTCACTGCAACCTCCGCCTCCCAGCTTCAAGCGATTCTACTGCCTCAGCCTCTGGAGTAACTGGGACCACAGGCACACGCCAGCACACCCGGCTAATTTTTGTATTTTTAGTAGAGACGGGGTTTTACCATATTGGCCAGGCTGGTCTTGAACTCTTGCCCTCAAGTGATCTGCCCACTTCAGCCTTCCAAAATGCTGGGATTACAGGAGTGAGCCACCACGCCCAGTCTAGACTGGATTTTCTAACACACTGTGAGCCAGATCTGATCTTCCTGATTTGGATGTAGAAAGCTCAACCAGAGTTACACATATGTGATCATTTAATAACCCTTTTGACAATTATTATGATTATATTGAATGTAGGTTGCAGATTATTGAGTCTATAATATAGTAACTAATGCAAGCAAATCCAAAGACCTCACTGTTTCTCCTTTATGAGACACAGACTTTCTCTATGACTTTTTCATAAATTATTTAGACTTTCTGTGCTTCTAATTCAGTTATTATATGTTACTACAGTCATAAACATGACACTTAACACAGAAGTTTATTTCAACAAAAACCCCTATTATCTCAGCAGAGCTTCCCATGATGATTTAGAAAGTTTCCTCTTTTAACACTGCAGTAAAACACCTAGTGGCATCTATGCAGTACTCTCAACTCAGCCAGAAAAACAAGAGGAAGCCTCTAAAAGACACAAAGACCTACGCCAAAGCTTGTATACTCTACTCAGAGACAGCCTGTTCTCTTTTTTTTTTTTTTTTTTTTTTTGAGACGGAGTCTCACTGTGTCGCCCAAGCTGGAGTGCAGGGTCGCGATCTCGGCTCATTGCAAGCTCCGCCTCCCGCGTTCACGCCATTCTCCCGCCTCAGCCTCCGGAGTAGCTGGGACTACAGGCGCCCGCCACCGCGCCTGGCTAATTTTTTGTATTTTCAGTAGAGACAGGGTTTCACTGTGTTAGCCAGGATGGTCTCGATCTCCTGACCTCATGATCCGCCCGCCTCAGCCTCCCAAAGTGTTGGGATTACAGGCGTGAGCCACCGCACCCGGCCTATTTATCTATTTATTAACTTTGAGTCCAGGATATGGAACCAGTTAGTTTTTGTATTTTTTTAGAGACGAGGTTTCACCATGTTGCCAAGGCTTGGATCGAGGGATCCACCTGCCCTTGGCCTCCCAAAGTGCGGGGATGACAGGCGTGAGCCTACCGCACCCGGCTTCCCCCCCAACCCACCACTTGTCTTCCCGACAGTTTCACGGCAGACTGTTTGGCTGGCTTGCTTAAATTCATTCTAAATAGAAATTTAGGATGTCAGCTTCTGGCCTCATGGACTCTGAGCTGAGGAGTCCCCTGGTCTGTCTATCACAGGACCGTAGACGTATGGAGTAGAAAAATCAGCCTCCCAAGTAGCTGGGACTACAGGCGCCGGCCACCACGCCCAGCTAATTTTTTGTATTTTTAGTAGAGACGGAGTTTCACCATGGTAGCCAGGATGGTCTTGATCTCCTGACCTTGTGATCCGCCCGCCTCAGCCTCCCAAAGTGCTGGGATTACAGGCGTGAGCCACGGTGCCTGGCCAGCCTGTTCTCTCTTATCCAGAGACCATTCGAAAGTCTTTGTTGTGTATTTTATAGTCCACAACTGTTCAACAAATGCTTAGTGTACACTAAGGATACACAGACGAGCAGGCCAGCTGCTGCAGACAACACACAAATTAGTAAAGGTGTCGCCCTGCCTTCAAGGAGCTGACGATGTCAAGGGTGGGATATGTCAAGTATACAAGTAACTATGTTGAGAGACAGAGAAAAAGAAATGCCACAGGATGGGCAAACAAAATGGCGGAGGTCCAAAAAAAGGAGAGAAGCATCCCGCTGGGCTAAGGGAAGGCTTCATGGAGAGGTGGTATTGGGTGAGGGCAGGAAGACTGCATTCCAGGCAGAAGGGAGGGCACACACAGCCACAAAGACAGAAAAGTACCAAACACAGTTAGGGAACAGCAAGCAGTCATTTGGGTGGTCAACAGGGTTGGGTGAAGAGAGAGTTAAAGCTGGAGAGGTGTGGTTGCCATGAACAGAAAGTTGTAAAAAAAAACAAATCCACCTAGGAGTTATCTACAGACAGAAAACAAAGACCAGTAGACCCCACTGAAACTGGAATTAGAAAGGTAGAAAGGAAGTCTCCTTCCCCGATTTCTCATGAGGCCCCTCTTTGTGCATGGTTCTTTGTCCATGTCTATTTCATTCTCCTCTCTGCGGACCAACTCATCTGCTTGAAGAACTCCAGCACGCACAAGGCATTGGCTTGTATCGTGAAAGAAACAACTTTATAAGACTTTTTAGTTCAAGTACTATGTTGGTTAGGAGTAAGTTCAACTGCAGTATAAGAGCGTGTTTCTCTCTCACATTCAAGAAATTCAGAGGTAATGAGCCTCTGGCTGGTGTGATGTGCCATGGTGTGAGCCCCCAGGCGCCTTCCATCTCTCTGCACTCCTGTGCAGGATTTCCATTCCATGATCCCTTATAAAAAGCAAATTCAAAGACCATGATGGGATGCTCCAGGATGACTTCGAAGCTCCGCTGTTGCGTCTGCTTTCCAGCCAGCAGAAAGGAGGAAGAGGGGAAGAGGACTCCCTGGAAGCTGCACATACCATGCCTGTTTATTTAAGGTGACCATATAATATGTCATCTAAACTGAAATCCTTGTGTGGATAACAGGCATAAAGTAGGATTTACCATTATCTGCCTCATATAAATTGCTGGCCAGAGCTTGGTCCCATGATCACACCTTTCTGTAAGAAAGGCTGAACATACTGTTTTTATTCTGGGCAGCCATGTGTGCATAAAACCTGGGAAAGAGGAAGATGGCTATTGGACTAGGATCTCTGCCACAAGTACCCTTTGACACCCCCCCAAGCCCTCTGACAACACTAATTTCCCAGAGCAAATTCGCAAGCTGTCATAGTCTGTGAACTAGTTTCCTATAGGCCAGGCTTCTATCCCAGTCTCATCACAATGTACAAGAGGAGGAGGTGGGACACAGGACATTTAGGTGCAAGGTGCCCCTTTCAGAGGCTGTGTGCAGGAACAGAGACTCTTAGAAAAAGGCCTGAGTGTTGTAGTGAAATTGACTTGTTTCACTACAACAGCTAAAGATCTGTTGCAGACAGCAATCAATACTAGAGTGGAAAATCACAATCCAATAGGGCAGGCAGGCCGTGGAAAACCACCAAAGTTTTGTTTTTTGTTTTTTTTTTCAAGGAGATAGTATGCATGAAGCTTTACTAAGACAAAGTTATCCTGGCAGTGGCGTGGGGGCTGATTTGGATCAAGGCAAGATGGAAAGCTGGAAGACTCTTTGGGCAATACCTGTATCAGGCCAGGTGAGACTGAATTTGACTTTGAGTAGAACGTTAGAAGGGGAGGAGAACTATTAAAACTGGGTAGGCAGTTATAGCAACAAGAAGGGCCAGATGACAGCCTAATGGCAAGGGAGGGGTAGGAAAATCTATAAAAAGCAGAATTTCAAATTCAGAAACCATGATGGTTTGGCCATGTAGTTAGTGGCACTTAATACACGTATGAAGTGTTGTATGTCACCATATCATAATGTACAATCATGATACTCCCAGTTCTTTTTTTTTTTTTTTTTTTTGAGATGGAGTTTCGCTCTGTTGCCCAGGCTGGAGTGCAGTGGCACAATCTCGGCTCACCGCAACCTCCGCCTCCCAGGTTCATGCCATTCTCCTGCCTCAGCCTCCTGAGTAGCTGGGGCTACAGGCATGCGCCACCAGGTCTGGCTAATTTTTTGGTATTTTTAGTAGAGATGGGGTTTCACCATGTTGGTCAGGCTGGGCTTGAACTTCTGACCTCAAATGATCTGCCTGCCTCGGCCTCTCAAATTGCTGGGATTACAGGCATTGAGCCATCATGCCTGGACTGATACTCCTAGTTCTTAAAAAATATCATACCATACTTCAGAAAGCAAGAATGTTTGTAATACATTATATAAAATACTTTCATTCATAATGGTAAAAATATAGAAGTTTGTATTGATTTGAGAGGTAAGCTTAGGGTATCTGGAAGATTGCCTTATATAAAACATCTTATTTCCCAAATAATACTTAAATGAGTCCTCACCATACCTGAAACAAACACATTTTCAAATGCAGATTATAGTTCAGCACTTAGATGTGTAGATTACATTTTCCTTGCTGACCGTCAGGTAGAAACATGGCTCTGAAAACCCAAGTTCAGCATTTGAAAATCTCAGCTAAATAAATGATTAAACTCATTCAAAAGCTAAGCCTCGTATTTATCAGAGAAATGCAGCTGAAAAACACATAAGGCCTTAGTATGATGCGCGACACTGAGTATCAGTCCTAGGTAATCATACATTTCCAGTTGAAGCGCTAGAATTTACATGACTCTCTTTTGAAAGCCCAATTTCCGTAACAGTTCAGTTCTTGAACAGAAACTGCAGAGTAACAGAATTTTAAGAGCGGGCATAAAGGACATACGCAGAAATCTATGGCTATCTTTCTTTGCTTACATAGAAATGCAATAAACAACTAGTCCTGCCCAGTATTATGTTCTAAATTTGAAGAAATGCACCTACAGAGAAGGCCGCTTTGATAATTTTGAATAACTGGGAAAAGTTTACTAGGATGGCCGAGAGAAAAATTCACACAAAGAATCTTCTAGAAGTTGGAGCTCTGCATCTGACTGCTGGAGCGTTCCTCCATTTCCAATAGAGGTTTTTTTTTCACAGATTATTTTTGACTTAGCCAAGCAGGGAGCCTATTTCAAAGCTCCCAATTTGGAAATCATGGAAGCTTTATGAAGTTTTCCACCTGCATCTCTTTTTAGGAACACAGTTCTTTATTCTCTAAGGGATGAAAACCTTTAGCATATAAAAACTTTGTTAAGCTGTCACTATCAATAGGGGGAAAAAAATAACAGTGGACAAAGAAGAAACAAATTGCATCTTCGAATAAGTTTTCTTGAAGCTCTTGTTAAAAGCTATAACCTCTGATGTTAACTAAATTTAACCCATTCTGACCCTCGTGGCGGCCCTTAACCTCTTCTTTCTTCTGTTTCCTGTGGCTGCTGGAGAGAACTAGCCCAGTTATTGGAAAAGCGTTCTCTGTAGCACACAAAGGCCCAGCCTTCCTGCTACCCCATCAGGAGGCCCCGAGTCGACCGAGGGGTCAGCACCTGTGCCGAGAAGCAGGTGACAGTGAACTGCCTGCATCCTTCTTGGGCAAGTTTGTAAGAGTGTCTACCCTTCAAATATCACACTGCAGTTTCAGGCATTCAAGCCACTGAAGTTTAGATTTTCTTTGTGAATGCAGACTTTACACAAATTAATCTATTGCTGTTCAACTGACTGTAAAATTAGTAGATTTACTGTTGCAAAAAAAAAAAAAAAGAAAAACTAAGAGCTTTCACTTTCACTTTGGTAAGGTCATGGATGTGTCCTAGGCTGCTAACAAAGCAGGCTTTAAAAATCTTTGCAGCAGAACCTAGCAACTTGCAAGGTGAAAAAGCAGCAAAACAATGACTCCAATGTACAGTTGAAAGTCTACTTCCCTATACAGTAAACATCTGAAATTCCACATTTGAGGAACTTTCAAAAATGGAATAATTTGCCTTTAATTCCATTTGCCTCAAAGATGGGAAACTGTGAGAGCACAAATTTATTTTATCACAAACATTCTATTTGCTGTCAGTCCTCCCCTCCTTAAACAGCCTTGTAACTACGTCTCACATAGGTGTTTAAAAATAGTATAGGGTTGCATTCTTTTTTTTTTTTGTTTTGAGATGGAGTCTCCCTCTGTCATCCAGGCTGGAGTGCAGTGGCGCAATCTTGGCTCACTGCAACCTCCGCCTCCCTGGTTCAAGGGATTCTCCTGCCTCCGCCTCTCAAGTAGCTGGGACTACAGGCACACACCACCATGCCCAGCTAATCTTTTTTCTTTTTTTTTTTTTTTTTTGTATTTTTAGTAGAGATGGGGTTTCGTCATGTTGGCCACGCTGGTCTTGAACTCCTGACCTCATGATCTGCTTGCCTCGGTCTCCCAAAGTCCTGGGGTTACAGGCATGAGACACTGTGCCCGGCTGGGTTGCATTCTAAATGTAAAATGCTAACTAATCATTTGGTACTGTTTTGCTTTATCTACACAACAGTCAGCATGGTACACTTTGTACTAGCTCTTTGTTGTTCTGCATGATGTCCTATGATGGTAATAGAAATTATTTTCATTGTTTCAAAACGATCAAAGTTAACTGAATCACCTCAAAACTCAACACCTCTGAAATGGAAAGACATGTCTCTGTTGTGTTCCAAATGAAACTTCTGAACCTATTTTCTGCTTCTGCAGTTGCACAAGAGACTTTTCACAGAAGTGGATCTTCCATATACAAATATTTTTATTTGGCAGATATGAAAGTTTTTAAAACTTTATTACAATATGTCATTCATTTTAGACATTTTGCTGATTCACAACCACCACGTTTTAATAACTGAGGCCATCATATTCTGACAAGAGAAATGATTAATCTGGAGTCTAATGTTATGGGAAATCTCACTCATGGTAAGGAAATTTATTTTGAATCTAGCAAATAGTTTGAGAGCACACAAAGGGTTATAACACAGATGTGGTCACCAGATGTTCTCCAGCTCTACTGCAGAACCAGACTAAGTAGCAACATGATGGATTTAGGTTATGTAAAGGAAAAGACTCCCGTCTTATAAAACATTGAAATGAGAAGCTAAATCTCCTGGCCTCGAGTTTTGTTTTGGCTTGTTTTAAATATAGAGATGTTTTACATGTTTGGAATGGATTAATTATAGTCCTGCCTGAGGAAAATGGTAGAGATTTCATAAGAAGGCTTTCGGCTTTAATAGTTTCTAACAGACAATAATAGACACACAATATTGGGCTGACAGTATCTTCAGGAAGCTTTGAACGAGTTACCTAACACTCAGCCAAAGCCTCTTGCATGCCTTGTTTCTATGACTCTTGACAAGTCTGTAAACATCAACTAAGGAGAGCATGGACCCTTTTGGCTATTAAACTGGCCTTGTAATGACAGAGTTGCTGCTGTTTAAGATAACTGCTCTCAGCTACATTTAGTTGGCACTACATAGGATCTCACACATAATAGACTTAAATTCCCCCAATTTTAGCAAAACTGCCCAGGTAAGAGTTTATAATCTGGAGAGGGAGGAGTATCTAATCTATGAACAATTATTTGTTAAAGAATATGCTGAATATCTGAACCCACATGGGCTTTAAAGTTTGAAGATGCTTCGTATCTTCAAAATAAACCCAAGATTTTGACTGGGCATGGTGGCTCATGCCTGTAATCCCAGCACTTTTTGGGGCCGAGGCAGGTGGATTACCTGAGGTCAGGAGTTCGAGACCAGCCTGGCCAACATGGTGAAATCCCGTCTGTACTAAAAATATAAAAACTAGCCAGGCGTGGTAGTGGGTGCCTATAATCCCAGCTACTTGGGAGGCTGAGGCAGGAGAACTGCTTGAATCCAGGAGGCGGAGGTTGCAGAGCCGACACGGTGCCACTGCACTCCAGCCTCGGCAGCAGAGTGAGACTCCGTCTCAAAAAACAAACAAACAAAACAAAAAAACAACCACCACCAGGATTTTTATTAGTATTAGATTTTTAAATGAATTGTTAGTCATTGTGGCATTATAAAGACGCAGCCCAGTGTTCATAACTTTTTAAAGAAATCACCCACAGACTGATTCTTTTGTGGATCAGATATGTTGTACCTCAATGACCTTGGGCTAAGCAAGTAAATCTCACATACAATCCTGTTTTGGAAGGTCCCCTCGGCGTTGGGGAAAAGTGGGAGGACTTGGAAAGCTAACAGGCAAAGAGAGGGACGGGATATTTCCATTATTCCTTCATCAGAGCAAATCACCAATATATTCATTGAAAGAGAAAGTTCATGGGCATGCTATGGAAATTAACGTAGAAATTACTATGTAATAGAAAATATAGGCATTTTTAGAGTCACCATGATTTGAGTCTTATTGAGTTACATTTTTTGAGGGGGTTAAATTATATGTAGAAACGATAACAATTGGGAAAGCTCTACACATGTCTCAGAGTCCTCTTCTATGTACATAACGGAGTAGTTTATTAAAGATCTGTGGCATAGTAATAGCATTTCCCCAAACCTCTTCATCTTTATTCAAGGATCTTCAAAGTCTGCCCCCACCAAGCACAGCTCAAGGCTCTCAATGACTCTTTAAAAGCTTCCAAGTGGCCGGGCGTGGTGGCTCACACCCGTAATCCTACCACTTTGGGAGGCCGAGTGGGGTGGATCACCTGAGGTCAGGAGTTCGAGATCAGACTGGCCAATATGGTGAAACCCCGTCTCTACTAAAAATACAAAAATTAGCCCGACCCAGTGGCACGCGCCTATAATCCCAGCTACTCGGGAGGCTGAGGCAGGAGAATCGCTTGAACCCGCGAGGTGGAGGTTGCAGTGAGCCGAGATCGCGCCACTGCACTCCAGCCTGGGCGACACAGAGAGACTCCATCTCCAAAAACAAAACAAAACAAAACAAAACAAAAAAACAAAAAACCCCACAAAAGCTGCCAAGCTCCATTTCGGCTGGAGGTCAAAGAAGAGTTCAAGGGAAAAGATGAAAAAAATGGCTTCTCTCCATCTGTGGGCATGTCTGTAATTGCCACCCCATCTCTGCATGTCTCCTCCCAGGAACACTAAAGCACCATCTTCTAGGCGTGGAGACATCTGACAATGGAAGTCTAGAAAGCTTCCTAAACCACCTGCTCTGGACACAGCTGCCTTCAAAGACGGACTGCAAATGGATGCTGGCCGGTAGCTTCAGTTACCAGTGATTACTTGGTGTGAATCTACCTGTGCTATTACCTTAGCAAATTTTAAGTCTTTAGTTTGGGCATTAAATGTTTCAGTTACTTGTACATACTTCACATCCTTTTAATGTTTTCATGGACTCGTACTGTTTACTGTTTCTCTCACTACTTCAGTCTAGCAATGCAAGGAACATTTAAAGTTTGCCTGGGTTTGGGGTTTTTTGGCTTTTTTATTCTTGATTCTGCTACTAGTTGTGCGACCTTGGGCAAATTTGTTTCAGTTCCCTCATCTGTAAAATGGGTAATAATAATAATTGGCTCATAAGGTTGTCCTGAAGATTGAATAACTTGAGATATGTTCAGTGCGTAGAACAGTGTCTGGCACATAGGCAAAAGCAATCACAAATGTGGGCAATTATAATTGCTGAGCACCTAACTTTTCCCAGGTATTGTGCTACTCAGTCTGTCCCCGAATCTACGTCACACAAAATATCTTGGCATTGAGAAATAATTTTGATAGAATAAAATGAATCCTTAATTCTTCTTGATTAACTTGGAAATGGCCAAGATGCACACCTGGACTTTCGGTCTCACACAAGAGTTGTTTCATTACCTCCCTATTTTAACAGTGAGCGTCGAGCTACCAGCAGCTAAAAAGGAAATGGAGATTTCGTCTTTGCTCCCAAAGAACTATTTAAAGCTTTAGTAGTTGTGTCATCTGTAATAAAAGACGTAATGCTGACTCAAGGAGTTAATGAGAAATAAGACAACGCCTTCCAGTGGACAAGTAGCCAATAAATGTTAGTTTTTCTTCGTACCAGGAATCCAAACATTCCAGGTATGAAGCCAGATTAGGTGGCTTCACGACTGTGGACTCGCAGTCTGCCCTTGAGGAATTTCTTATTGAAGAAGAAAAAGAGGGGGGACACGGGGCCCAGACCCCCAGCACCCGGCTTTCGAGCAGGCTCCACGGGTCCGGGTCCGGGTCCGTTTTCCCTTTCGCCAGCTGGGGCCCCGTTCGAACCTCTCCCAACTACAACGCGGAGGCTCCGACGCCCCGGCCCCAGCTTTGTTTTGCCTCCGGGAGCCGCGCGCCACCGGGGACCCGCGGGGAGCCGTTCTCACTCCGAAGCTGTCTGCTCACCTGCAAATCGGAGACAGCGCCCTTTCACTTACGATCCTTATAAAAGACGCTTATAAAACATTTTATTCAGTGTTACATTAAAAAGACGTTTATGAAAGCAATTTATAAAGCCCTAGTGGGAGACCGAGATTGGTGTTAATGTAACTGGAGTAAGGGCTGCTCCGATTGCTGCAGAAATTCGACATTAGCCTTCACCGCACCTGCGGAGCAGCGGGAGCCAGGTGAGCAGCAATTTCCCCTCAGGGACTTCCTCCGCGTTCTCCGCATTTTCTGTCGGCGGAACTGAATCCCAACAGTAGAAAAACGTGGCTCCGCCCATCACCTTTCCTTTAAAGGACGCGGGGTGAAGCCCCGCCCACTACGGAGAGCGAAGGGGACTCGCCGCAGATCCGCTGTACTTGCGTCCGCTACAGTATGTCAATCGCTTGCCCCAGCACAGGTAATGCTAAATATGAGGCGTGCGGAGCGGTGCGCGGACCGGCATCGGGAGGGCGTGGCCTTAGGGGGCGCCCCTGTGGAGGAGGCACCCGGAAGGTCAGGGCTACCCCGTCCCGCCGGTACCGAGGGCGGAGAGGCTCCGCAGGTCCTGCTGCGGAGTCGGAGGGTTCTGCCGGGCTGTAAAGCCATTTTCAGCGAGGCCGCTGCACGAACTTCCGAGGGATGTTAGACCTAGAGTTGCCGCCAGCCCCACTGAGCTTTTCTAGTTCCGTCCCGACATGCGCGCCCTCGTTTGTGCGCACGCACGCACGCAGTACGTCGCTACGTCCCGTCTCTAGCCCTGGCGCTCCGCCGGTCCCGTTCTGCAGGTGGGCGTCGCCGCCGACTTACCAACAACCGGGTCGGGGGCTCCCGGAAGTGCTCTTGCGGCTTACTGCCTGGCACAGGTGGGGCAGAGCGAGCCAGGCGAAGGGCGCCTGCGCAGGACATGCTGGACAAATGCGTTGTTCTTGCTGCCTGCTGTTGCGGGAGGAGGCCTTATGGGGGAAGGTCGCGAAGTGACTGGGATTTTTTTTCTCATTTGTCATTTAGTGGGCTCCGTGGCTTAAGACTTGAACCAAGTAAACGAAGTTCTCTTACTGAGAAGTCTCAGTTTCAAGTACGTGTTGTGAAAGGCCTAAGTCTTAGAAAAGTAGAGGATGGAGAGAAGAATCTGAAAATCGACTACTATTCATTCTGTCAGGCACAACACAGTAACGAATAAGTCCATTTTGTTCCTGCTTCGTAGAGTTTACGGTCTAGTGATGGAGAACAGCAGTGCTAAGATCATCACAAAACTGTAATTGTAATGAATGTTTTAAAGGAAAGGTCAACTGGACTGTAGAAGCATTCAGTGTTAAGCTCAGTAAATTGGGGGAGGGATGGGAGAACTGGCTTAGTTTGGAAGGTAATCAGAAGAATGCGCTAAGGATCTGGCGTTTCCTAAACCAAGGACGAGAGTACTGTATTTCAAAAACCGAATGGCCAGTGTGGCCTAGGCATAAAGAAGAAACTGGAGAGGTGGGAAGGGCCTTTTGGCCTGGCGAAGGTGTAGATCTTTAATCTCGGGGCAGTTTTATTTAAGGTGAGGAAGGTCCTGGGTGTAGTGACCGCAGTGCAGTGGGAACTGGTTGCCAGGGCTCAAGCCGAGTTAGGAGACTGGCAGGAATCCAAACGAGGTGGTCGATGTTTTAAACTGACGGTGGTGACAGTGGATACGGAGAGGACTGGATGGATTCGAGTGGGGTTTAGGAAATGAAGTCGATGAGGCTTGGTGTTGGGTTGACTGGGAAAGTGGAGGCGTCAAAGGTGTCTTGGAGGTGACTGGAGGTTGTGGATGGGTAGTGATCCCATCACTAGAGTTCTGGAAGAAGACTAACATAGGATTAACATAGGAGAATAAGTTAAAAAAAAATTTTTTTTGAGAGTCTCACCCTGTTGCCTAGGCTGGATGCTTAGGCTGGAGTGCGGTGCACGATCTCAGCTCATTGCAACCTCTGCTTCCCGGGTTCAAGTGATTCTCCTGCCTCAGCCTCCCAAGTAGCTGGGAATACAGGCTCACGCCACCAGGCCCGGCTAGTTTTTTTGTATTTTTAGTAGAGATGGGGTTTCACCATGTCGGCCAGGCTGGTCTTGAACTTCTGACCTCAAGTGATCTGCCTTCCTCAGCCTCCCCAAAGTGCTGGGATTACAGGCGTGAGCCACCGTGCCCGGCCGTAAGTCCAGTTTTTAATACAGAGTCTTTAGCTCTGGGTTTAAAAGCTTTTTAAAACATATGGTTATTATTTCAATTTAATAGCTAAAGAAATAAGGTTAAATAGTTGGCCAAAGATATAATGTTGGCTTTTTCCAGTGTTCTAAATGGGAGTTCTAGCACGTAAACAGCTCAGCCTCATTATGGAGAGTACACTTTGTGCTCCCTATGGAAGAGCAAAACCAGAGCCAAGGGAGGGGAGCATGAAGGCCCAGTAACGGTAGCGCAGGCCCTCTGGGATTAAGGCTGCACTGCTCAGGCCAGAATGGGGCAACTGGGACAGTTTGCAGGCAGAAGCAAGGACTTTATGAAACTTCTTTGGAAGGTGTAAAAGAGTTCTTAGAGTCATGAGAATTGGCAAAATTAATTTCACAAATATTTAGTCCGCTAGAATCTATGCAACTTTGATCCAATCTCCCAGGAAAGAACAGATAACAGTATGAGCTTGTGAATATCAGCTGTATGAGAAAAGCAGTGAGTGAACAAATAATAGAAGTTATTTTCGTCTCTTCAGTCCACATGATTTCAAATGCATGCAAGCAATTTTTTATAGGACGAGAATGCCCACCCACCCACCCCTCATATCTACTAAACCACATATTTAAATCATGTTCCAGGAAGTTTCCCTGCAAATATTTTATCAGTACTTCCGGTAGAATGCAAAATAATGAATTATACAGGGAATACAGCTGTCCTTTGGAGCAGTAATAATTGTCTTTTTTTTGGTACAAGAATGTTCACAGCAGCTATTCATAAGAGCCAAAAATAAATAAATAAATAAAGGGAACAGCCTAGGTGTTCATTAACGAAAACTAGATTTAAAAACTGCGATATATTCATATACTTGGAGGACACTTCTTAGAAATAAAAAGGAACAAGGTAATGATCCGTACAACGTGAATGAATCTCGAAACATGCTGAGATGTCTTACAACAAAGAGTAGATATTGTTTGGTTCCATTTATATGAAGTCTTAGGACAGACTGATGGGAAAAAATCAGAACAATAGTTGCCTCTTGGGGATGGAGATTGACTTGGAAATGGCAAGAGGGAACTTCCTGGGATAATGGTGATGTTCTGTCGATAGGAGTTTTGGTTACAAAGGTATATGCACTTGTCAAAACTCAGATAAAGTCTGAGTAATCATCGAATTAAAAATGGATATCATACTATAAAGTTATGCATTATAAGTAATTGACATTAAGATAATTGGTTTTTAGAATATTGTGGCTGTCTCGGAGAGTATAGTTGTGGGAGTGAGTGCAGCAAATGCAACAGGATTATCATAAGAACGTAAGCGTTTGTTTCTATTTTGAGTTAGTCTCCTGGCCTCTTCAGCCTAGTGTTGTTTACCTCACAGAGGCATCAGAGATTTTCATCAGAGAACATGGCTTCCTATTTTTATTCAACTTTGAAAGGTTAGGGGTAGTCTCAGGCATCCTAGCTCAAACTACCCTTGACCCCACTTATAGTGTTTTCTTACTCTTTTTCTTAAAGTTCATCTTTTTTTTTTTTTTTTTGGCCTAACCCACTGGTTCTGAACAGGATAGGGAAGAGGAAACATCTGTGTTTTGAAAAGCATCCCCAGGTGATGCCGACAGGCCGTGGTTTCTGAGAAACACCACCCCATTGTAGACCAGTTAACTTTTAACCGTTCACTAGCAAAAAATTGTACAAGTTCTGCCTCAAACTGAAACCATCACCATTTGTTTTATTCTTCTAAAATTTTTATTTCAGTAGCTTTTGGACTGCAAGTGGTTTTTCATTACATGGACGAATTATATAGTGGTGAATTCTGAGATTTTAGTGCACCATCACCCGAATCGTATACATTGTACCTAATGTGTACTTTTTTTATGCCAGCCTCCTTCCCATCCGCCCCCATCACCATTTATGATGAGACTTTTAGACCTGAGTTTAAGGAAAACTAAATGAAGAAATAAAGGCACTATGCATTACAAAAAAATCAGAATTTTAAGTTTATAAAGTTCCTTATTTATGGGTCACTTAGATATAGGCTTGAAACGAATAAAGGGAATATTTTTTAAAATTATGTACAAAGCCAGAATGTCAATGTATTAAATTACAGTGAAATTTAGAACTTACACAGACTAGAATAGTTACATTGGCATTACCAGTGAACCATTCCTCCCTCTAGGCTATTGATTTGTTCTTTAAAAATGTATTAATTATTGAACACCCGTATAACCATAACCTAGATTTAGCAAATGCTGCCGTAAGTGCATTGTTTATATTTTCTGCTGTATGGTTTCAAAGCAAGTGATAGATGTCATGACACTATCCTAAATACTTCAGCATTTGTTTCTTAAGAATTCCATTTTCACACCTAAGAAAATTAACAGGCGGGTGCCGTGGCTCACGCCCGTAATCCCAACACTTCAGGAGGCCAAGGCAGGTGGATCATTTGAGGTCAGGAGATCGAGACCAGCCTGGCCAACATGGTAAAACCCCATCTCTACTAAAAATACAAAAATTAGCCAGGCGGTAGTGGTGCACACCTGTAATCCCGGCTACTTGGGAGGCTGAAGCAGGAGAATCACTTGAACCTGGGAGGCGGAGGTTGCAGTGAGCCGAGATTGCCCCACTGCACTCCAGTCTGGGTGACAGAGTGAGAACCTGTCTCAAAAAAAAAAGAAAAAAGAAAATTAACAATACGTCTCTAATAGTATCTAATACCTAGTCCCTATTCAGATTTTCCCCTCATTCCCAACATTTCTTTTCAGCAAAATTATGTCTCCTTGATTTTTTTTTTCACTCAAGAATAGCTTCCCTCTTCCCTTTTCATTCCCAATGGCATTGGCTTTTTTAGACACTAACCAGGTGTCTTGTTCCATCTGGATTTGTCAGATTGTTTCCTTGTGGCATCTTCTATTGTTTCTCTGAGTCTGGCCCTTGTATCCCCTGGAAACTGGAAGCTAGACCCTGCATCAGGTTCAGGTCAAACCTTTTTGGCAAAGCTGCTTAATAGAAGGTGCCATGCACTTTGGGTAGCTTCCCATCCAGAGATGTGGCAAGGATGGCAGGTTGTTCCACTGTTGGAGATGCTGAGTCTGACGTTGGCTTAGGATGACAGACAGCTGTCTACCCTCAGCAGAGTGTGCTTTTCCCTCTCAGTCTGAAAGTAATCTGTTTGTGACCCTTTGGCATCAGCTCTCTTGCATCCTGCCTGAATCAGTAGTTTCGTTGGGGTTGGAAAAATGGTGATTTTCTTTTTTTTTTTTTGAAACAGGGTCTTGCTCTGTTGTCCAGACTGGAGTGCAGTGGTGTGATCAGAGCTCACTGCAGCCTCAACCTCCTGGGCTCAAGTGAACCTCCTTCCTCAGCCTCCCCAGTAGCTGGGAGTACAGTTGCGTGTCAACACACCTGGCTAATTTATTTTTTGTAGAGACTGGGTCTTGCTGTGTGTCCCGGGCTGGTCTCAAACTCCTGGCCTTAAGTGATCCTCTCGCCTTGGCCTCCCAAAGTGCTGGGATTACAGGTGTGAGACATCGTGCGTGGCATGATTTTCTAATTACTTTTACTTTTCTTTTGTGTTTATTAGCTGTCATTCTTCTCTACAGAAGAGCTTCTCCTCATCAACTGGGGATGATTACAGTTCTTCCTAAAAAAGGTAGGATAAATGCTCAGTTCTTTTTATTTAATTAGCAATTTTCAAAGTAAAAAATCAATATAATAGTCCCATGCAGTTGTGGCAAATTATCATTTTCATAGATTTTTGTATATTCAGTATATTGAAATGAATGACAGTGATTATGCCTTACTGTTTAAATTACACCAAAATTGACCAGTGGGAGTCTCTTCATGCTGCCAAACTGTAAATGACATGTAAACAAACAAAATCATAATACCATCATGGAAATCTGAAAGCTAAATATTTGATGAAATAAAGGAACGTTTTTTAATTGGGATAATATTGTGAATACTAAAAAGATTAAGGAGTACCTCTTAGAGATACATACTATTTCCTGAAAAAGTAGGATTTACTTTGAAAGCATTCCTGGATGGTTGGGGGGAGATAGTTGAGGGGTAAAGATGAAACCCAGCTGCTGTTTATTATCCAGTTCTTTCTGTACAAGGTTAAAAAGTTCCCTAATAAAAAGTTTTTAAATTATGAATTTATGTTGATAGCTGCAATTTAAATGTAATATTACAGGTTGTTTTAACTTTGTATTTATATTTTTATCTATAAGGGCCTGTTTTGAAGAAACGTATATTTTCAATTTTGCTGATTTAAAGCCAGTATTGAGTTAGTATTAAAGCTTAATTGCAATGAATTGCATTGTTTGCTGTATACATCAATAAAAATTGAAGTTTCTTAAAAATTTAAACTAGTGGCAAAGAACTTTAAAAGTTATATACTTCCAGTGTTTTTCTTTTTTTTTTCGTTTTTTTTGAGACAGAGTCTCGCTCTGTCGCCCAGGCTGGAGTGCAGTGGCGCAATCTCGCTCACTGCTAGCTCCGCCTCCCGGGTTCACGCCATTCTCCTGCCTCAGCCTCCCGAGTAGCCGGGACTACAGGCGCCCGCCACCACGCCCAGCTAATTTTTATTTTATTTTTTAGTAGAGACAGGGTTTCACTGTGTTAGCCAGGATGGTCTCGATCTCCTGACCTTGTGATCCGCCCACCTCAGCCTCCCAAAGTGCTGGGGTTACAGGCGTGAGCCACTGCACCCGGCCCTACTTCCAGTGTTTTTCTATTCTTTCCCTTTCCTTTGTTTCCTTCTTGGAAAGTGTTTTTAAAGCTTTTTTAAAAAACCTACGTCATTTTTCTGAAATAGTCTTTATTTTGTAAATAAAATTTATTTTCAAGTATAAAAATAACACTTATAAAAAAACTTGAGAAATACTGGCAATTAGGAAAAATAGGGGAATGAATTGCTTTTGTCTTCAACATTTTTATAAATTTTTTTCATCTTTTCCTATATCTAGTTATTTTGTTTGCTTGTTTGAAAAAAATCAAATTTTGAAATTTTTTATATTTTAATATGTTGATAATTTATTAAACAAGGCACTTTAGCTCTTATTCATAACTACTAAGGGAAAAAGATAGCCAGTACTGAGTTAGTATTAAAGCTTAATTGCAGTGAACTGTTTTGTCTACTGTATATATCAAGAATATTAGAATTTATATCTATCTATTTAGTAACATGATTTTACATGTGATAACTTCTACATCATTGTCGCTAATACAGACTTTGGAAAGAAACAACACTGATTTTAGACATAAAGTTTATAGAGCAGGCTTGTGAGCAGGAACTTAAGAGTCCCCTAGCAGAATACCTAGTGACATTTGGGACTGGATGCTGCTGCTAGTTTTCTGATAAGTGAAAAAAAAATCTTCTGTGATCTTTTCAGATTTTTCTTCTTTTTTGGTTTGGGGGCTTCCTCCATTCACAAAAGATCTGACTTTTTATTAAACAGTATGTCAGTGATTTAAAATCACTTTGCTCCCACCTTAGAGCCTTTACAGCATCTACAGCTGGAGCCACCAGCTGGGTAATAACCATAAATCAATGCATGTCATACACTGTGGATGGAGCATCTGGCCACAGATACTCACCATTACTGACGGGCATCTGAAATGCCAGCTAGAAATGTGAAGGGTGTAGTTTGTAGGCATTCGTGACACATCCGAAGGTGTAGAGGTTAAATGCCAGCAGCCCTGCCATAGCTCCTTGGCTGTTTCCTTCGGCCCGTGCATTCATTCGACATGTGCATGCTGAGCCAGGCTCTGAGCTGTAGTGCCGGGGAACACAGCAGTGAACAAAATGGACAAAGTCCATGTTCTCATGAAGCTTTCATTCCAGTGAGGAAAGATTATGAACATATATGCAAATAAATATAGAATGTGTCCAGCAGTGATGAATGCAGTAAAGTTTTTAAAAGGCAAGGTAATGGGTTTGAGAGTGTTGGGGTGTGCTCTTTTATGGAAGGGTCAGGGAAGGGCTCGCTGAGTAGGTAGCGTTTGAGCAGAGACGAGGTAAATGAACCATGAGGCTATCTGAGGGAAGAGTGTTGCAGGGAGAGAGAACTTCTGGGTGCCAGGACCCAGAGGAGGGGTGTGTTCACTGTTCACAAGGAACAGCAAGGAGGCTGGAACAGAGTGAGCCAGAAGAAGTACGGTCGGCACAGGCCAGTGGGCATGGTAGAGAGCTTAGCTTTTACTTGGAGTGAGATACTAGCCAGGGGAGGGTGTGGGCAGAGGAGGAACGTGATCTGACTTACGCATTTTTAAGGATTGCTCTGTGTGCCCTAGCAGTAATAAACTCCAGGCTGTGAGGGCAGAGGCAGGAAGAGCAGTCGGGAAGCTGTTACTGTGATGCGGTTTTACTGTGATGCAGTTGAGCGGCGCGGCGGTTTGGGAGTGGGATGATAGCAGTAGAGAAGGTGAGAAGTGGTTATACTGGTTGAACGGTAGGTTTTGCGGATGGGTTGCTGAGAGAAAATAAAGAGTCAAGGATAACGTTGGTATTTTTGGCCTGAGCAACCAGAAGAATGTGTTGCAATTACATGAGACAGGGAAGACTGAGGGAGGAGCAAGTTTTGCATGGAAGGCAAAGCATTGAACTTTGAACACGTTAATCCTCAATGACTATTACATATCTAAGTGGAGAGGTTGGGTAGGCGGTTAACCCTACAGGTGTGGAACTCAAGAGAAGAGACTGGCACCAGAGCTATAAATTAGAGTGTTGGGTGTTACCAAACTAGGTAAGGAGGGTGTTGAGAATATGCATGTCCATCACTTTCTGTTGAATTTACCATATTTTTTTGCATATCACTCTTGAACATGACAGGTGAGAGATAAGTGGGTTGTACAGCCCAGTGGGCTCAAAGCCAGGGACCAGAGGGAACTTCCAGTTTTAAACACCCCAGGAGATTCTGGGACCATTCTTTGAGAAGCACCCTGAAGACACCTTCTGTTTTCCTCTTTCATCTTTGACAAGTCACACCTCTCCAAGTTTGTGATTCTCTAATGATTCCTAGCATGCCCTAGATGAGATGAATGGGTCCTCTCAGCACTCTTTCAGCCTGTACTTCTAAGATTTACCAAATACATGAATGGAAGGACAGAAAAGCAATTAAAAAATCAATGTGCCATTTGTAAGTGCTTCAAATTCAGTCTCATAACCATGAAGTAAAACCACTGTCACCATACATGCCTCTGTTAACATTTGGTAGTAATTAACACCTGCCTTACCTTGAGAATGATCTTTATAGTTTATGAGGTTAGCACTTTGATTTATGTCACAGTGTTTTCTGACAGGCTCAGTTATTCTTGCAGTGGGCTGGCTTCCTTCCTGGAGAGGTCCCTTTCCCATAGTGTGTTCCTATCTGCTATATACCATCAGATGTATTGAAAAATTGTTAACAGTTAATTATATTAGAAGTTTATCAATTGGTGTTTATGAATCACCAAGCATTTTATGTACTGCATCCTCATAAATAAAGCCCTAAGATGACACTCGCTTTTGGAGTTGGCACTACAAGATGCATGAGAAATACAGTTGATCCTAGAACAACACAGGTTTGAACTGCATGGGGTCCACATATATGTGGATTTTCCTCCACCTTTGCCACCCCTGAGAGAAGACCAACCCCTCCTCTTGCTCCTCCTCCTCAGCCTA
Organism: Homo sapiens; assembly: GCF_000001405.40. Classification (NCBI taxonomy): domain Eukaryota; kingdom Metazoa; phylum Chordata; class Mammalia; order Primates; family Hominidae; genus Homo; species Homo sapiens. The sequence goes on along the minus strand of NC_000013.11, from coordinate 27,441,073 downwards.
CTTGATGTGAAGACAATGAGGATGAAGACCTTTATGGTGATCCACTTCCACTTAATAGTAAATATATTTTCTCTTCTTTATGATTTTCTTAATGACATTTCTTTTCTCTAGCTTGCTGTATTGTAAGAATACAGTATATAATACATATGGCATACAAAATATGTGTTAATCAACTGCTTATGTTATTCATAAGGCTTTCAGTCAACAGTAAGCTATTAGTAAGTTTTTGAGGAGTCAAAGTTATACACAGATTTTCAACTGCACAGGGGGTCTGTTTCCCTAACTCCCAAGTTGTTCAGGGGTCAACTAAGTAGTCAAATGAGATCATGTGTACAGAAAAAAAAAAAAAGTGAAACCAAAATGCTATGTAAATCTGGTTTATTCTAATAGCCACTTGTCTTGGGGACAGTATCACCATGAGTTAGTCTGGCCAGAGTCACCTGCTAGTCCGCTTTATCAGTGTAGACTTCCTGTGTGTGGATCTGAAAGTCTAGAGAACAGCATTTCCCTCACACTTGCAGTTACAGCCTCCACAACCTCACACACACCCTGCCATGTACCACAATGTCAGACCAAGGGAATAAGTGATTGAATTTTAATGAACTCTTCTTACTACTTTCTTAGGATGGCTGCTCTTTTTCTAAAGAGGTTAACACTACAAACTGTAAAGTCTGAAAATAGTTGCATTAGATGTTTTGGTAAACACATCCTGCAAAAGACAGCACCAGCACAGTTGTCCCCTATTGCTTCTGCCCCAAGACTCTCCTTCCTAATTCATGCAAAAGCCTTTAGTACCGCTGAAGACACCCAGAATGAAGGAAAAAAGACAAAAAAGAATAAAACAGCTTTTAGTAACGTTGGAAGAAAAATTAGTCAGCGAGTTATTCACTTATTTGATGAGAAGGGCAATGATTTGGGAAACATGCACCGAGCAAATGTGATTAGACTTATGGATGAGCGAGACCTGCGACTGGTTCAAAGGAACACCAGCACAGAACCTGCAGAGTATCAGCTCATGACAGGATTGCAGATCCTCCAGGAGCGGCAGAGGCTGAGGGAGATGGAGAAGGCGAACCCCAAAACTGGTAGGTATTTTGCTGTTGGCTCCCTGAATCCTTTAAGAGCTACAAATCAGCAGTTTAAATTCTAGCATTTGTCAAGGTGCCTGTGACAAGAGGGAAATGAGAAACTAGAAAATTCATGATTCAACCACCATTCCCAGTGTCTGTCTTTCCTCCTTTATCCTGCACTTACTCCTGTTCCCTTTTTTTCACTGTTTTTCCACAATACCCTGCCCATTATCTCTTCCCTTTAAACCTGTGTAAAATGTGGGAGAAACCAGGCAAACAAACCAAAGTGAAGAGAACTCTTTCCCCTGTCCTGTGGCCTTCTCCCAATGCCGCAGCAAGCTGAGTAGCCGATGGGGTGAAACAGAGTGAGATTAGGAGGGGTACATTCAAGTTCCCTGCCCTCTGCCGGGCCACTCATTTAACCTCCCTCCTTTTGTTTTTCTTCCCCTTCTTCAACTCTAAAGTGGAGGTGTTTGGTTAATTATCTGGAAGCACCTTTTTATTTTTTTGAGATGAGTCTCTGCCTGCCGCCCAGGCTGGAGTGCAGTGGTGCGATGTGTGCTCACTGCAACCTTCGCCTCCCAGGCTCAAGCGATTCTCCTGCCTTAGCCTCCCCAGTGGCTGGGATTACAGGCGCCCGCCACCACGCCCGGCTAATTTTTGTATTTTTAATAGAGAGGGGGTTTCACCATGTTGGCCAGGCTGGTCTTGAACTCCTGGCCTTAAGTGATCTGCCCTCCTCGGCCTCCCAAAGTGCTGGGATTACAGGCGTGATCCACTGCGCCTAGCCTGGAAGCACCTTTTCGACTCTGAAGTGATTCACAGAGCATCTCCCATGCCAAAGCATTGTGTTGCAATATCAGTAGCAACACTCTTAGATATACAACCAGTCACTTGACGAGGCACTTGTCATTTAAGCCTCACAGAAGTCAGGAATTGGATATTAAGCAAAGATGTTTGTTTTTCATAGTTCCTAAAAAGTGCCAATCATTATGAAAGTTCAATGGATGGCGCACGGGGACAGGCATCAGATGACTGCTCCCAGCACTGCATCGTGAGGTTGTGTGCCTTCAGAAAACCACATGTTATCTGCGGCTCAGTTTTGTAATGCCACATTTAACAAGGATGTTGACTGGAAAACAATATTCAGAAGAGACCAACCAGGGAGGATAATGACGTCAAACTATGTCACTTAAAAAAAAAAAGGTCACTGGGCGTGGTGGCTCACGTCTGTAATCCCAGCACTTTGGGAGGCCAAGGCAGGTGGATGGCTTGAGCTCAGGAATTCAATACCAGCCTGGGCAATATAGCAAAACCCCATCTCTACAAAAAATTTTAAAATTAGCAAGGTGTAGTGGTGCAAACCTGTGATCCCAGCTACTTGGGAGGCTGAGGTGGGAGGATCACTTGAGCCTAGGAGGCAAAGGCTGCAGTGAAGAACCATGATCATGCCACTGCACTTCAGCCTGGGTGACAGAGCGAGACCCTGTGTTTAAAAAAAAAAAAAAAAAAAAAAAAAACAGTCTTGCTCTGTTGCCCAGGCTGGAGTGCTGTGGTGTGATTTCGGCTCACTGCAGCCTCCATCTCCTGGGATCCAGCAATCCTCCCACCTCTGCCTCCCACACAGCTGGGACCACAGGTGCACACCACCATGCCTGGCCTTTTTTTTTTTTTTTTTTTTTTGTAGAGATGGGGTCTCGCTATGTTGCTCAGGTCTTGAACTCCTGAGCTCCAACGATCTGCCTGCTTCAGCCTCCCAAAGTGCTGGGATTATAGGCGTGAGCCAGCACACCTGGCCCCCAATCTTTATGATGAACCCTGGTGCATACTCTAGGGTCTATGAACCTAAATGGATCAAACTGCTCAGCAGCAGTGTATGCAGTTTCTCTACCTCCTCCCTCATTTGTCATTTTAATGGTGAGAAATTAATGTGTATTTCACTTTTTTCTTCTGTGAATTGCGTGTTTATATTCCTTTATTTTTCTACGTAGATGGTTTTTCTCCGATTTATAGGGTTCTCTGTTGTGTATGATGGAAAAAACCGTATCCCAGTTAGATTTTTCATTTTGCCTTTTTTTCTTAATGAGTTCCATCCCCTATCCTGAGATCACAAACCATTCTGTCTTTTCTTCTGTTTGTTTTAAAGTTGTATTTTTCACCTGTAGAACATTAGTATACCTGGGGAGACCTAACTTTTTGTCATCTATAAACTTCTCAATTGTCCCAACACCTTTATTGAGTGGCCGGTTCCTTCTCTATAATTTTCCAGTAGGCAGGATTTCTGGAGACAGAGGGCATGAACACAGGATGTAGGGACCCTTACCTGTCCAACAGTCTGGCTGACCCCTTATAGCAAGGAGAGCATCTCAAAAGGAGTGGGTAGTGCACTCCCAGATGCCAACCCACAGCTGATAGATAAGGATGTTAAGTGCACCATGAAGCCAAACTTGATCCTTTAAACGACTATCTTTTGGTGTTCTTTCAACAAACGATGGTTAACAATAAATGGAAGCATTTCAGATTTTAAGTACCCTTCCAGGGCAGGTAAAAAATTGGTACCTTTATGTGTATCTTCCCCATTTGAAAAGACATTTACTGGTCTGTGAAACTGAAAGCCAGATGAGAAGATTGTCAGGTGGCAACCTAGGATTTTATGATGGGCATGTTGGGAAGTTCAGGGTTCACAGTGGACTAGTCAGTAGTCCTTGCACCCTATCTGTTTCAAACCAGGACCAACCCTGAGAAAGGAACTGATTTTGTCTTCAAATATTGGACAACATGATTTGGACACAAAGACTAAACAGATTCAGCAGTGGATTAAGAAAAAACACCTAGTCCAGATTACCATAAAGAAAGGAAAAAATGTAGACGTGTCAGAAAATGAAATGGTAAGTAAAGAAGGTACAAGCCACTGCTTGTGCTTTGGGTCTTCTGATCTAAAAATACAATTGTAGGCCAGGCGCGGTGGCTCACGCCTGTAATCCCAGCATTTTGGGAGGCCAAGGTGGGCGGATCACGAGATCAGGAGATTGAGACCAACCTGGCTAACATGGTGAAACCCCGTCTCTACTAAAAATACAAAAAATTAGCCAGGCGTGGTGGCGGGCACCTGTAGTCCCAGCTACTGGGGAAGCTGAGGCAGGAGAATGGCGTGAACCCGGGAGGCGGAGCTTGCAGTGAGCCGAGATCGCGCCACTGCACTCCAGCCTGGGTGACAGAGCAAGACTCCGTCTCAAAAAAAAAAAAAAAAAAAAAAAATTGTAGAAAATCTGAAATATAAAGACAAAGTGACTGGTAATTCTTCCACCCAGTGATGTTAACAGCTTTCTAGTTTGCTTTTCAAAACTAAGCATACTGTAGATATAGTTTCCATTACAGCGTATTTTGCCATATGAACACATTATTCCTTAAAAGCAATATACTATTGTTTTATAAATTGTAGAATAACCCTTAAACAGGAAAATTAGAAACTTTATAGATTTTTTGTTTCTTCTTTGTACTTATAGGGGCATTAATTACGTAGACTGTCTTCTAGAAAGTGTGTAGTTTCCAATCCCATAAGTTTATGGAATACCTATTTTGCTTTTTTTTTTTAAAAGTTAGATAACTTTATCATCCACTAAGGGTATCCTTAGTAATCCAGCTCCACAGTAGAGTCACTTAAGCATAGGTCGCAACCCAGCTGATGCAGAATTTCTTGAGCCCAGGTATCCATTTGTTTCAGTCACTGAGAGAGACTCTGTTAGGGGCAATAGAGAGTGCTGAGAACTGCTCGGCTGACACCTTGGGGATGAGGAGGTATTTTGCCAATGCCCAAACCCAGTGCTTTCTGTTTGTGGGAGAGGGTAATGCTGAGCCAAACGTAGCCTCTTCGTGCCATGACGAAGTGGAGATTTAAAATTAGGAAGCATTCAGCATGTCAGTTTAGTTACATGGTGTTATTGTACAGATTTCAGTCAACTTAACCAGATACGTATGAACTGATTAGCTAATCACTTAACCGACAGCAGCAATTCAAGGGTGCCAGTTTTTGTGAATGTTCAAGCAGAACATTAGAAAGCACCAAAGCCTCTGATTTTAAATTAATCTTTGGCTGTTTCCCTTTTTTAGGAGGAGATATTTCATCAAATACTCCAGACTATGCCTGGAATAGCTACATTCTCATCTAGGCCACAAGCTGTTCAAGGAGGAAAAGCTTTAATGTGTGTTCTTCGTGCTTTCAGCAAAAATGAGGAGAAGGCATATAAAGAAACTCAAGAGACCCAGGAAAGAGACACTTTGAACAAAGACCATGGAAATGATAAGGAATCAAATGTTCTGCATCAGTAATTTTAATAAAGAAAAGCATGCTCTGAGAGAAAGCTCGCTCCTTGGTCTGCAGTCCTTTAAACAAAGCAGTGCAGTTCTTAGCCAAGGGTAAGTACTGCAACTGTCGAGAGCATCTTGTCTTCCACACAGTTGGGTGACTCTCCGTTTTGACACAAAGATAAGCCTTGCCCTTGTTTCCTTTTGGGAGGGATATATCCACTGAGATGAGAGGCCAAACTCCGTTTTTCACGAGATTTTTTGACCTTTGGGAATAAGGAAGACACACGATTAGAATTCAAAATCAAAACTGTCTGAGTTAATTTTACGATAGTCATATGTACCAGCAGATATAGTGTACAACATTGCTTTATGAGGAAGTAAAGTCTTCAACAGTAGTGCAGACTCAAACAGTAAAGCAGGTGAAAAGAATTCCAAACAGACTCCTTCTGGCCTTAAACAATTTCCACTTGAAAACTAAGCTTGCCTAAGTAGTTTCAACTTACTTTGAGCTTCATTTTCTTCTTGTCAGGATCATGTACAACAGCATGCCTAGTGAGACTTTGCTACAATGAAAGAGAAAGTTATTAATGAAATATTAATATGAAAACCATGTTGTGAAAGCATAGACTATAGGACCATGAGTATGAGGGTGAGTGCTTACTTTCATTGCAAATGTTTTGCCACAGCCAGCATGTTCACACACAAAAGGGCGGCTTTCCTCATGGAAGGAGAGGATATGGCTTTGGAGATTAAACACAGTTGTATAGGTTCTTCCACAGCCTTCTCTTGGACAGCGACATACATCCCTTTCTGGGGCATGAGTTTTCATGTGTTGCTTAAGGTAATCTTTGCGTTTAAATGTTTTCCGGCATACTTCACATAGTATTTCCTCTGGTGGGACAGACAGACAAATTTCACAAATTTCCCCAGATATTACCATTTAGAAAAAATTAATACCTAATATATAAGTAACATTCAGTGCCTGAAACCTGATCACTATATACAAATCAGAAATTCCCAAGGAAACAACCCCAGTTTTTATCACCTAGGAAGTTTGTCTCAATTCTCTGAAGTTCTTAAATGCCACACAGTCATTGTTCACTTGCCAAGAGGCAGGGCTCTCAGGAAGGTGACTGTGGGGAGGTACAGAAAATGAAGCAGACCAGTGTCCTTCCTTGTCCCCCAGTATGCAGGGTACTGTTTCCCAGGCGGTCCCACAGAACAGCAGTGCCTCCCGAAATTCTTCACTACAGACCTGCCACCGCCTTCAGCATGCTAATTGTGCATGGTGGGGTGGCTCAGAGACCTGGCACAGCTCTGCTCACCTTTCCAACAACATCATACCCAGCACTTCACAAAATATCATAGAGAAACCCTTTTACTTTAAAGCACACAGCATTTCACTCTTGAAAAGCACTAAATCAGTTCTGTGGGGACAAACATTTACACCATGCCTGCCATTCATGCCTGCCTTACCTTTATGGGTTTCTCTCACATGTTTCAGAAGTTCCGTCCATGTTTTTGCCACAAAGGAACATCCTTTTTGACATACATAGCCTATTAAAAAAATTGGTGCATTGTCTGTCATGAATACTCAGTGTAAACACTGACCATAACTAGAAAGGAAACTTAGGTGCCTATATAATTTTCCATTCCCCGCCTAATAGTATTCAACTCAGCCTCTTGAGGTGGGAATAAAAACTAAAAAAAGATTGATGTTATAGTAAAACTGAACAGTGGCACAGCAAGGTGCCTCCCTTTAAGGATTTTACCTTCCTGTGAAGCAAACTTCAGAGTTCCCATCTTCTCAGCGTGATCACGGAATAGGCAAACTTCACAGGAAGGATGCCTAAGGATGCCTTTTCCTCTCTAAGAGTTCTCAGGAAGTTGGGTAGGCTGTGTATGGACTCCCAACTGCTTTAACCTCCTATCTCCATGTCTTATTTCCCTTCCCCTGCCTGCTCTATCCTCGCCTCTATTTTCCTCAGCAAACATACTCTGCAGTCGGTCCCTTGTCCATGGCACACCACCAACTTTTCAGTAGTGTTACCATGCCCACCTCTGGCTTCCTCTAGTCTGGCCATCTTGTAAGTGTCATACTGCACAAAAAAAGTAGGGTACATTATATTTTAACTTTATCACAAAAAAAAAAAAAAAAGTTTTTTTTTGTTTTTTTTTTTTAAAAGAGTACAGCTAAGGAAGAAAATAAACTGGAAGGACCCAGAGAAAAACACTGAATAACAATGGATATGTGCAAAGCACTAAAATGGGATTAATAAGTATACAACACTAGGGCTGAGTTCCACCCAACTAGAAACTAAAAACAATGAGGCTGCCTCTCACTGTTAGCTACTAACCTCTTAAAAAAAAAAAAATCATAAATTCTAGGACCTGGGAAATTGAAATACAGATTAGCAAAAATCCCTCAAGGAAACAGATCATAGATTCAAATAGTTAATATAATCAAGTCTTTTTTTTTTTTTTTTGAGAAACGTAACATCTGATGGCTCTCAAAATGTCACACGATTATCCAAGCCTTGTGAATGGCCAACAAGGAAAAGAATGGCACAGGCAGTAAATATTAATAGAAGAGGTTAAAAATGACAGAAGCATCAAAGCCATGGCTGGAGCATCAGCACATTCGTCAGTGTAATGTGTAACCAGGCGCTTGTTGTGAACAAACAACACATTACATGTGAACAGCAATGATACGGTAGTGGAAAAACAGACATATACAGTGCCTCTTTGGACAAGAGTGTAAGACCCAAATAAGCAGGATGGTGTCCCCTGTTCACAGGGTTCCCATCTTTTCAGCGTGATCACAGAACAGATTCAAAGGCGCCCAGGATTTGGCATCCCCCTCGGAGCACACCCAGGCTATCCGTACACACCCTCGTGGGCCTTGGCATGTCGTTTCAGCTTGCTGGGTGATGCAAAGTGTTTCCCACATCCTTCCTGGGTACACCTGCATTGGCAACACATGAGGTATTAGCCAATCCATTTTCACAGAGAACTCCGCTCAAGGTCAATGGCACTTTGTCCTGTTTCTCCCACCAAAGTCTTGCCTCTTCCCATAACCAAACCCATGTTAAAATGTAGCTCTCATCACAGGTGAGATTCAAGTTACTTGACCAGCTTTAGGACAAAACAAACTGTTGGAGAAAAAAGTCACGTTACTTTTTTTGACCCATTTAAACAGTTTTCATCTTTATACCTCTGGAAATATACTCTGCTTTCATGGCTACAAAAAGATAGTTCAAGAGGTTATCTGACTTGGCTTAGATAAACCCCTAAGCCATTCTGAATCACTTGTGTCTAGCTTTCCTAATGATGCTGCATAGGGGGTGTGCGAGACAGCACAGCAGTAGATGCATCTGCCTCTGGTGAGCAATAAAAAGCACGGGCCCCCTCTGTGCTAAAGCCATCAGCAGCAAAGCAGCAGCAGCAGACCCACAAGCAAGGACAGGCAAGGTCACTGCAGCAACTCCAAGGCACAGGGCAGCCTGTGCAAGTCAAGGGAAAGTGCCGGATGGCCAGAGCCATGCAGAGAGCCGCTGGCCCTTTTGCAGGTCTACCCAACTTGTCCAGCCACCCTCACGTTCCTCAAAAAACCCTAATTGCAGATAAACCCAACTACTTGTTTTGTTCTACAGGAAAAGCATAATGAGTGTCTCCATAATGACATTTCATATAGTTGCACAGGCTCTATTTGAATAGTTAAGTAATTTCTCAGCCTTTAAGCTTAACCACAACTAGAATAATCTCAAAAATTATTTTGAAACACATTAAATATTTCTTTCAGAGCAAAGTAAACCTTTAAAATGCTCCCAATATATAAATGTGCATATGCAGTACATTTTAACAGAAAAATGTTGATTAGGAAGCTTTCAGAAGATTTGTCCCACCGTTGCTTTAAATTTCAATGGCTTTTGGGGTTGCAAGTGTTTTTTCGTTACGTGGATGAATCCTATAGTGGTGCTGAGATTTTAGCGCACCATCACTCAAGCAGCATACACTGTACCCAATATGTAGTCTTTCATCCCTCACCCCCCTCCCCAAACTCCCCACCCCAAGTCCCCAAAGTTTATGAAATCACTGTGTCTTTTTGTCCTCATAGTTTAGTGCCCACTTAGTGAAAACTATGGTATTTGGTTTTCCATTCCTGAGTTACTTCACTGAGAATAATGGCCTCCAGCTCCATCCAAGCTGCTGCAAAAGACATCATTTTGTTCCCTTTTATGGCTGTGTAGTATTCCATGGTGTATATACATCACGTTTTCTTTATCTACTCATTGGTCGATGGGCACTTAAATTGGCTCCATGTATTTGCAATTGTGAACTGTGCTGCTGTAAACGTGTGTGCATGTGTCTTTTTCATATAGTGACTTCTTTTCCTTTGACCAGACTTCAGATTATACTACGAGGCTACAGTTACCAAAACAGGGTGGCACTGGTTTAAAAATAGGCACTTAGACCAATGGAACAAAACAGAAATAAAGCCAAATACTTACAGCCACCCGATCTTCAACAAAGCATATAAAAACGTAAACTGGGGAAAGGACTCCCTATTCAATAAATGGTGCTGGAAAAACTGGATCCCTATCTCTCACCTTATACAAAAATCAACTCAAATTAAGTTTATGACCTGAAACTAAAAATTCAAAATGAAAACATTGGAAAAACTTCTGGACATCAGCCTAGGCAAAGAATTCTTACTAAGGCCCTGAAAGCAAATGCAACAAAAATAGAAATAAATAAATGGGACCTAATTAAACTAAAAAGCTTCTGCACAGCAAAAGAAATAATCAGCAGAGTAAACAGACAACCCAGAGAGTGGGAGAAAATACTGGCACATTATGCATCCAATAAAGAATGTATATCCAGGATCTACAGGGAACTCAGATCAGCAAGAAAAAAACAATCCATCGAAAAGTGGGCAAAGGATATGAACAGACATTTCTCAGAAGATATACAAATGGCCAAAAAACATGAAACAATGCTCAACACCACCCTTGCATTTCCAATCTTATTCACACCTAGAATCCAGGCATTTTCAGCCACATGAAGTACCTACTTGAATAGAGGTTCATTGGTATGCTGGCACTGATGGATTTTCAGCTGCTGATGTTTCTTAAAGGTCTTCTTACAGTCTTCAAAACTGCACTGTTAAATTGTAAAGGCTCGTTAGTCTTATGGAAAGTCAAAACAAAATGAACAGTTCGTAACAGAATCCTCAAGATAAAACAATTTTGGAGACTGTATAAAATTTCTGCTTTCACCCATTTTGTTACTGTAAAATTCTGCTTTATCTCAAAAAGGTTTGAAGAATCATATAACATTTGAAAAAGCAAAACTGTTTCAGTTGGAATAGTCTCCCAATACACTAATTTGCACAATGTCTGCTTCCAAATTAAAACCTTTATCATTATGATGGCATTAAGTAAATTCAGACATTTGGCAGACAAAATTTGGTTGACGAAAACTTTATTTTTCACTTTTATTTTTTAGAGACAGGGTCTCTGTTACCCCAAAATTTTTTGTTTTGTTTTCTGTTTTTGTTTTTTTTTTTCAGAGACAGCATTTCACTATGTTTCCCAGGCTGGTCTCAAATTCCTGGCCTCAAGCTACGATTATAGGCTTGAGCCACCGCACCTGGCTGAAAATGTCAGAAACATAGGCAGTAAGTGTAAAAATACTCAAAAAATTTAAGCATATAAAATCATACTTACTATATATTGTTTTTGTTGATTTTCATGTTTGCGTTCAAAATGTTTCTTCAAGTTTGATTTTGTGTTGAATTTTTGATCACAGCCATTGGCTGCACAACTGTAAGAAGTTATATAAACCAAAATATTAATAAACCAAGGGAGAAGAAGTTTTAAGACACATATATCTTCCTACTTTATAGAAGCTAATTCTTCCAAAGAATAGTAATACTATAAAATAGTCTTAGCGAATTCCAGAGTGTTAAGCCATACCACATAGACTCTCAACCTGATGACTATCATGTAACAAAATGCTTTTTCATATTAGGCTTCTGAAATTATACACACTACATCAGTCATCTTTTATACACACTGGGCAGATGGGAAGGTGAAATACACTAGTCCCAAAAGCCTACACTAGGCCTAAATCATGCTTAAGACAAATTATTCTCAGCTTAGAATCTGACAACCTTAATGCTGCTTGAGATGTCATTATGAACTGGATTTCCAGAAAGGCCTCCATAAAACTTGTCTTGGCTTATCATTAGAGGTAAAACAGATACTTAGAGCAGAACCATAACCATTATGTTCTCTGGCTTACCAAGCCATTCTGGTTCCCCTTATCTTGGCATCTTGGCTTTGAATGATCTAAATCCTCTGCAAAGCCTTTTCCTTTTTTTTTTTTTTTTTTCCCAAAAGAAAATTTGTGCCTCTTGTGATGAGCCTTCGTAAGCTTGAGGGATGAAGCAGGACTTCCTTTCCCAGGCTCAATCTTAGCCATCACTCACTGATAACCCTGAGGCAGGCACTGTCCCATTCCTAGGGCCAAGCAGAGACAAACAAGCCAGCAGTGACCATGGGAGGCACAGCACAGAGGCCCACAAATGGGAGGGGCGCTGTGGCAGAGACCCTAGAAGCCCCCCTAACTGCAGGGACAGAATGCTGAGTGTTAGCTGGGCAGGTGGCCGACAGAAAGTGCACTCTCCGGCCTCCCCTGCAATTAGGGCGGCTCATGGCTGAGTCCAGCCCATCCTGCTCAACCCCCACAAAGTCTCTAAATAAGGGGGCATGCCTCTTATGCCCTTTCCTCCTTCCTGCCAGTGGCATGCTTATGTGACAGATGGGCCCAAACAGGCATCACAGTGAGGTTAAAGCCCAAGATGAGGATGGCAGAGACCAGTCAGAAGAGGCTCCAGAGCTCCTGCCTCTGTATTTCTGTATTTCAGTCGCACAAGACAAAGAGCCCATCTTGTTTAAGCATCTCTTGTGCTGGGGTTCCTGCCATTCTTCACTCTAAACCTGACACAGGCATCTAACCCAACCGGGTATGGGATAGGAGGACAGGCCAGGAAGAGTCCTGACAAGACCCAAGTGGGCGTGAGAGACCCCGGCACACTTGGAGAGGGGGCTGGTTAGTTAGCACAGCTGGACCACAGCTTCATGCCTGCAAGTCAAGCAAATGGGGCAAGATAAGCAGAAAAGGGCTAAATCACGCAGGTCATTGTAGGACACACTTGAAACCTGGATTTCACATGTAGGCCGTGCTTGAAAGCACTGCACAGCTTTAAGGGAAGCACACGGGAGGGCACTGGGGGAGAGGGCTGGCCTGCAAACTGTCATTCCAGCCAGAGGAAGGGACCGAGATAAGACAGTGGCTGCTGGATCTGATGGGTCAGTTACAGGATCTGGCAACCCACCTGTTGCAAGGGATGGGAGAAAGAATGGAGAGTCCAGGGAGCTGCCTTATCTTTGCTATGGGTCACTGGACAGACAGCGAGGCCACCTCTCCAGACAAGAACATGAGAGAAGATCAAACAGAAAAGTGAGCTCAGTTTGACTGTGACAAATTTGGGCCATGTGGAATTTTTTATTTATTTATTTCTTTAATAGAGATGGACCTGACCATCTTGCCCAGCCTGAACTCCTGGCCTCAAAGCAATCCTCCCACCTCAGCCTCTCAAAGTGCTGGGATTACAGGCATGAGCCACCACACCCAGCCTACCACATGGAATTTAAGAAGACACAGAGATAGCCAAGTAGCACTGTCCAGCGAGCAGTGGGAAACGGGGAACTACAGCTAAAGAGGGGCAGGGTCTGGGTTAGATCATGAGCTGGAAGAGTCATGTCCAGTAGTTCCTGGTTGCATGGCATTTCCTACCATCCCCACCCCCTACTTGGCCAGGATCCCCCACTGCTCCCAAAACAGATGACATTTTTAGTTTTGTTATGTAACTTTTAAGACTTCTTTACAAATAGGAACAAATACAAATATAGTTGCTTCCTGCCTACCCAACACCCACTACTCACCCCTCCCCCTACCCCCTAGCTTTTTTACACACATAAAAGTAGCCTAAAGAGGACTCTTCTGCACCTTGGTTTTTCAATTAAAGTGCCCTGGTGATTTTCTCATGGCTTTGCAGAGAGCATCTGCATTCATTTTCCTGGCTGTAGGGTATCCCATTGTGTTGATATACTTTAGCTTGTCCCCACCCATGAGCATTTTATGTTAGCTCAGCCTCCTGGGTAGCTAGGATTACAGGCACAAACCACCATCCCTGACTAATTTTTGTATTTTTGTACATACGGGGTTTCACCATGTTGCCCAGGTTTGTCTCAAACTCCTGGGTTCAAGTGATCTGCCCATCTCCGCCTCCCAAAGTGCTGGGATTACAGGCATGAGCCACCGAGCCCTGCCAGGCTTCACATTCCTGATCTCGTGAGTTAACATCAATCTTCTTACTGGGTCTATATGCCCAACACAACCCACTTCAAAAGCCTAAAAACAGGTCTCTACTTACACAAACGGCTTTTCTCCTGTGTGAGTCAGAATGTGGCGGCTCAGATGGTAGTCCCTGATGAAGGCCTTGCCACACCCTTCATAGTCACAAACAAATGGTCTCTAGCAGGAAAAAAGAAAAAGCATGTCACTTCTGCACTAGTTAGTAACTCTGGTATTATTTAAAAGCTTAAACTGCCTAGTGTTAAGGCCACAGGCTTCCTATGAAGAGGTGGTTTCTACTCAGAGCTGTGCACCCACTGCAAGACGCAGTGTTCCTGCACAAAGTTACACAACATAAACATCACAACTTCTCACAAAGTCACTACACAGATTTTTGTTCCATGAACAGCATTTAAAATAAGCAGGCATAGCATTTTTAACCTGCTCCCAACCCGGCAGCAGGCTTTCACAGCAACCCCCTCTTAAAGACGCCCTGGCTGTTAGCATGGCTTGTCTGCATGGATCCCCACCACCGCATGATTTAACATGTAAAAAAGCAAGCCTAGGGCAGAGGAACGAGGGAGGCCTGTCTCATCCCAGACAAGCCCAGGGTCTGTGCTAGGATAATGCCAAGCACAGCTATAGGAAAGTGTGTCACACCTGAAAAAGCTCACAGGTGCCAGGGCGAAGCAAAGAAAACAGCTCAACACCCTAAATGCAACCACCTTTTGTAACCCAGGAGTTGGGAGGGGGTGACTCATTTTGAACCTATAGTAAAAGCCAAACACACACCCCAAATAACCAAATAACCAGTTTGGTGCATCAAACTATGAAAAGCATACTACCAAGGCGTCCAGGAGGGAGGCACCGAGGCCTCCATGAGAGTACTAGGAGCAAAACAAGCAAACAGGAACACAGTGAGCTACATACCACCAGGGGCGGAGCCACAGAACCTTGCACAGCGGCAGGCGTGGAGTAGGCTCAATAAACATTTGTCAAATTAATCTGCATGAGAGATCTGGGACAACAAAGATGACTCCAAGTTTTTCAACCTGTATTAAGGAAACTGGTAGCGCCAGTATCCAAAATACAGCACACCGGTCTAAAAGGAAAGGCAAGCTCTTACGTGGATCTACTGGTAATACAGAGCCCAGAATTTAGAGGCTAGAACGGGCAAGAGGAAGGGCAGAGGGGCAAAGCATAAAGGATGTTATGAGTCATGCCGGTGGCTATGTAAGACCGCAAGAGGGAGCTGGGCGGGGTGGAACATGCAGAGGGCAGAAGAGGATCCAACGAAAAGGGCAGACGAGGAAGAGGAAAAGAACCAGAGAAGGTCTCAAGGAAGAAGCGGTCGGCCTTCCAGTGCTGGAGAGGTTAAGGAATGAGGCCCCGGAGGACACCTGGAGAAGGTGGCCCATAAATTAGAGGAGGTGCAAGGGGCAAAGGTATGGACTGCAGCCCAGTGGTTTAAGAAATTAAGGGCTTTAAGCTGAGGCAGTGTGAAGCCTAGCTCTGCCAAAAACTGGGAAGCTGGGCAGATTCCTTGACCTCCATGACCCTCGTTTTCCTCACTTGTGTGTGACATGGGCTGCCACGTCATATCATGGTATCTGACATTCTCCTGCCCTCAAAATAAAATCCAAACTCCTAATGGGCCTACTTCTCAGACCTCATATGGTGATCTCCGCACCCAAACACACCCACCTGCCTCCCACCCCAAGGGTCACAGGCTCCCTTTGTGTTCTCTCTACCTAGCACAAATGTCTGCATGGCTAGATCCTTCCTTCTTACACGGCTCACACAGAGAGGCCTTTCCTGACCACAACACTGCATGTCATTCCCACCTATCCTGTGGTCGGCTCGACCCAGGAACAAAGGTCCATGGCAGCAGAAACCTTGGGTTTGCCTGTTTTGCTCACTGCTCTCTCCAGTGTGGAGTTACGAAGAAATGAGCACATGCTGCTTTCACGACCCCTGGTACATGTAACCCATCTTCTGTACCAGCTCCAGGGGCCAGTGTTTGGCAGGTGTCTAGTAGCGGTGGGCCCCCTCAAACCTCACACTTATTTGCAGATTACGGGAGGCACTTGGCTGGCCGAGACTCACGATCAATGACTGCTTAGTAAATCCCGAGCCCCTGCCATGGATATCAAGGTCGCAGAACGAAGGTCCTACAACTTCCTGTCTACTTCCTCAGCTCCTTCCCCAAGTCCTGGATGTCAAAGCTGAACGCGCTGCACAGCGGGGCCTGCGGCCCTGGCCACGACTGCAGTGGCTACCCCGGGGCCACGCGCCATCCCTAGGCCCAGGGTTGGCAGCCTCGCCCCCCTCACCTCCCCCGTGTGCTTGCACAGGTGCGCGTCAAGCTTCCAGGCTTTGCTGTAATTGGCGCTGCAGTCAGGGAAGGAGCAGATGAACCTCCTGGGAAGCGCGGGGCGCGGCGGGGTCGGAGCTGAGCTCTCGCCGGCTGCAATGAACGCGTCGGCGATGGTCAAGGACGACACCGACTCGGCGACCACGGCCGGCGGATCCAGGGCGCCGGCGCCTCCAAGCCCAGGGCCAGGCGCGCTGCCACGTGCCGAGACACGTGCCGGGAACCGGCGCGCCCGGCCCACGGCTCCCTGCTGAACCTTCGCGCGACGCCGGCACACTTCCGGGAGCGCGCGCGGTCACCAGGCACCGCCCCGCGTCGGCGCCGCTGCTGCGCATGCTCCGGGAGATCGCGCATGCGCCAGGAGGCCCCGCCGCGGCTCGCGGCCCGTGCCCTGTCAGCCCTGGATGAGAGGCGGGGGTTTCTGCGTCCTCGGCAGAAGGCTGCTGCGTTTCACAGGCAACTCAAATCCCGAGGCACTGCTTAAATGGGGCTTGTTTCCCGTCCTCCAGTACACTCTGGAAAGCACTAGCCTTACATAATTTAAGTTAGCCTGTTGCCACATTACTAGTGTGACCTGTGTGGTTTCGTTTCTTTGCGTGCTTTACGTGCTTCTGCTGCAAGCCCCAGTTCAGAGGTTCCTAAGCTCAGATTCACGTGGAGAGCTTTACAAAATCCCGAAGCCTAGAGGATACTTGGACCACTTAAATCACAATTTCTGGGGGTAGGAAACAGGCATCAGTATTTTTGGAAACTTCCTAGGTGATTTCAATGCGCAGAAAAGTTTGGGAACCACTATCCTGGCACAGTAGTGCGCACCTGTAGTCCCAGGTACGCGGGCGAATCGCTTGAGCCCAGAGTGAGACCCCGAGCTCTAAAAGAATAAATACAGATGTCTCCCCATCCTACCCTTCCCCACCCCGGCAAACTGACCAGGTGGTTGGAAAAAAAAAAAAAAAAAAAGGAAAAGTTTGGGAACACTGCCCTAGAGCCTTGATGACCTACTTGAAACAAATCTCCAGGTGATTCAGTGCATATCAAAACCTGAGAAGCACTTTTGAGAGGCCTGAATGAATATGAGTATCTTAGTTTATGAGGACCACATGCCTAAAAAATGTCCTTGGATACAGATAACTGGCAGGATGACTTGGGGGATGTTCGCCAGATCCATATTTTTCACATCCTGCATTATTCCGAATCATTAAGCCCTTGTCGGAATGTGATGAACAGGTCCCTGCACAGCAGTGCAGTTCTGGAAACAAGCCAGGGCTTAACATCAGTGCTTATGAACTGAGTATTCCAGTTCATAAACACTCCTTTGCCTCAGTCTGCTCATCTTGAAAGTGGGAAAGTTGATAACGCCTGTGTCATCCTCCGTCTCAAGATAACGGGGCTGTGAGAGTGTCTATGCCTTGGGTCCACCTGTTGCTTTCTTCATTTGCCACTCTAGCCCCTGTCCATGGATGGGAGAATTCTACACTCATCCCTCCCACAACTCCGGAATTCTAAAATGGTTTCTCTTGCGCCAGTTCTGGTTTTCTCCTCCCCATGCCTCATGCCCAGGGCCAGGGTGCACGGTAAATCTCTGAGATCCTCCTTTCTTTTGGCCTTTCTTGGCCACTGACCCCATGCAGCATAGCCATACTCATGGCTTCCCCCTGCCTTCCTGACTTGTCCTGTCTCCTTGGACAATCGTTCTTCCACCTTTTTAGGTTGGTGCTTAGCCCTGTGCGCTGATGTATTATAGCAGGCGAGCGCTGGCTTTCAGCCTCAATCCCCTGACGTTGAATTCCAACTCTAAATTTACTAACTAGGATTTTGGATAAGGGCTCTTTGAGTTTCTTATCTTTAAACTGAGACTGTTAATACCCACCAGTAAGGGTCATTTTTAAAATTAAATGAAATTCTATTAACCAATAGTTGTATTTATTATGTGCCATCCCCTATGCTAGACACATTTACCACCAATCTACAGCTCTTCCAACAACTCTCCACGTAAAGCAGCTAATAGGATCCAGGTCACTCTGTATACTCAAAAACTTTTGGTCTTTTTTCTTTGTTCTTTCTCACCCTGTGATCCACAGCTCCACCTCCTTTCTCTCTGCAGTTTACTTCCCAATGTGTTTTTCTTTCTTTCTTTCTTTCTTTTTTTTTTGACAAAGTCTTGCTCTGTTGTCCAGGTTGGAGTGCAGTGGTGCAATCTTGGCAATCTCGGTTCACTGCAACCTCCACTTCCCGGGCTCAAATGATTCTCCTGCCTCGGCCTCCTGAGTAGCTGGAAGTACAGGTGCGCACCACCACACGTGGCTAATTTTTGTATTTTTAGTAGAGATGGGGTTTTACCATGTTGGCCAAGCTGGTCTCGAACCCCTGACCTCAAGGGATCCATCCGCCTCGGCCTCCCAAAGGGCTGGAATTACAGGCGTGAGCCACTGCGCCTGGCCCCCAATGTGTTTTTCTAATTTTTCTAATATCCCACATTTCTAGATGACAACTGGGGTTTGGTTTGTGTGTGTGTGTGTGTGTGTGTGTGTGTCTGTCTGTCTGTCTGTCTGTCTGTGTGTGTTTTACTTGAATGTCAGGCAGTCACCTTAAACTCAACATTCTTTGTAAGTCAATCTTACTGCCTTTTTCTGGCCACACCTCTTTTTGCCCTTTTTCTCTCTGTCAATGGTGGCATAATTCTGTCTCCAGCCACGAAAACTTATAACAGTGGTTCTCAACCCTGGCTGCACATTAGTCACCTGGAAGCTTTTGAAAATGCTGTTGCCACCATACCAGTGAAATGAGTCTCTTATTCAGGGTTGGAAACCATTGACAGTATCACCTGCTCTCTCCTCTGCACTTCCCTAGCTGGCCTCTGTACCTGTCCTTTCCATTTTCCTCCTTCCCCACCTCTGCTAGGCTTTTCTTTGCTCTAGGCCTTGACACCTGTAACAGCCTGTCAACAGATTTTCCTGCCTTTACACTCTCCCGCCTTTAGTCTCTCTTGCCTATAGCTGCCCGTGTCATCTCCCTAAAACACCCGAGACTTTATAGGTTTAAATTTACAACACTAGTATTTGCAAAGCATTTGTATTCCTGCTAGCTATTATTCCTACAAATCAGGTAACAATGCTCAGGTGGGACATGGAAGCCCAGGGTGCAGGCCTCCTCCAGGCCCCTTCCTACCTGAGGCTCAAGTCCAGGCCCAGATCAAGTTCTGCCTCCTCTAGATAAGCCTCCCCTGGTGACTGCAACCCGCACCCGCCCTCTCTTCCTTTGAACTTTTGTGGCCTTTTCTTTCTATAGTAATGCTCAAATGTGTTGGGCTATTTTTAACTATTTAGGCACATAATTTCTAATTTCTCTGATCTTGATTTAACCTCTATAAGGCTAGAGACTGGAAGATACTCTTTTCGAGTCCTCAGTAGCAAGACGACATGCATACATGAAGGGCTAACCTTATTATTTATTAGTTGAATGAACAACTATGAACTCATTGTGTGAAGCCTTAAAGATTTTACATGAATGTCTTCAGCAAGGAATCTTTTGTGTGCACGGAACATAATTCCATTCAAACTAATCTAATGAAAAGGGAGTTATTGTAAGGATACAAGGGGATCTCACGGGACCAACTACAGAAAGGCCTCAGGGTGGGAGAGTTGTCTGCAAACGCTTTGGGTCTCAGTCTGTCACTGTTGGGATCTGCTGTCCTCCTTAGTCTCACTCCCCCTTTGCTCTCCAGTCATCTCTTAGACTGCTGCATTCATGTCCTGTGTGCACATGTGTGTGCGTTGCTCAGCTCTCCCTCCCATGACCTTCCCTTTCCTCCCTCCTGCCCACCTACCCTCCCAGGTTTCATGTCCTCTCAGGCCCAGGCCTCTCCTTACCTCTGCCTGTCTCTCCACTCTCTTCTCTGCAGATCAGCTTCATCGGTAAGGATGAGTTTCTGCCTCTGTGATTGTAGTTTTCTGAGGGCTTTGGCTCCACTCAAGCAGCCCAGACCTTATGTAATCTGTTCCCTTAACTCCCCATGGCTAATGCCCCCTGAAAGAGAACCTTTGGCCCAATAGGGGTTCAAGCTCTTCCCCAGGCCCAAACAGCTTTGGTCTGGAGGGGATAAAACTGGGAGTCATGAAGGTCAACCTCGAAGGTGAACTTAAACAGAACTATGGTGTGCCTGCTCAAGTGAGTAAATGTCATGTATTAGCTGCCTTTTGCCATGTGGCTTTGTTTTGCCCGTAAAGAGGGCTGGAGATATTTTCTCACCCATTGTCTACGAGTCCATCCACATGACGTGCTTCCATTCTGTAAGTTGGAACTGACGGTGTGCAGGTTCCAAGCCTAGGCCTCAAGAGACCTCATGTATTGCTCCCTGTGCTCTGCCATTGCCACAAGGACCACATTTCTGCATCAGTCTGTCTCAGGAAAAAGACAGATGTGAGGGGCAAAGCCGAGCCATCTCAGCTGAGCCTTGCCTCCCATCAGCTGACCATCAGCCAATCCACAGATCTGTGACCATAAATGACTATAAGCCAATAGCTCTAGGGTAGTTTTGTTATGCAGCAATTTTGTGGCAGTAGCTAACTTCTACACCCTCTTTGCTGGTGCTTCCCCTCAGCCAATATATATGCTCAGATCTCTTTGTCTTAGCCTATTTTACATTGATATAAAGGAATACCTGAGGCTGCGTAGTTTATAAAAAAAAAAAAAGAGGTTTATTTGGCTGATGGTTCTGCAGGCTGTACAAGAAGCATGGTGCCATCATCTGCTTCTAGTGATGGCCTCAGGAAGCCTCCACTCACAGGAGGAGGGAAGGGGAGCCGACATCACATGGTGAGAGGAAGGGAGCAAGACAGAGAAGAGGAGATGCCAGGCTCTCTTAAACCAGCTCTCGCTTGAACTAACAGAGCAAGAACTCTGAACTTGCTTCTGAACTCACGGCCTACCTCGCAATGGCACCAAGCCATTCATGAGGAATCTGCCCCCACTACCCAAACACCTCCCGTGAGGCCCCACCTTTAACAATTTGATCCCTTTGAATTTGAATTTGGGGATCAAATTTCAACCTGAGATTTGGAGGGGAGAAATATTCAAACTATATTACTCTCTCTTCTCTTAATCAGACAACTCCCTTTTATGCCTCTCGTAGTCATTGCTGGATCTCACTCCTTCCCTTGATGGCCAGGTTCACTGAAAAGATTAGTCCATGCTCTTCTTCTTGTTTGCCTGTTCACACTTTCATCATCATCACAGAAATTTTAAGCATATACAAAAACATAGTAGTACAAAGAACCCCTTTGGACCCATTAACCAGTTTCAACAGCCAATTTTTTGCCATTCTTGTTTCATCTAACTGCCTCCAGGCCCAATCTATGACTCACAGACCTCAATGTCAGCATATTCAAAACTGCTCTCCCCACTGACCTCAGGGTTTCCTTGTCTCCATGAGCAGTGCCACCATCCACCCAGCTGAATAAACCCATGGCTCCTTCCCTTCTCTCACCCTTGCATTTATTAAATGATCTGTCTCTGTTGATTTTATGTCCCGATCTTCAGTTACACCCAAGGGAGGCTCTGGTCCTCTAGTTCCCATAGTCAGCTGTGATTCCATCAGAAAAGGAGTGTCAAGAGAGCAAACCAGCCACCCCCCAGCCATGTGGAAAGAGTCGTGCTCAGAGGCCATTCTCTCCCAAATGGCTCCACATCTCCCCAGTTCTCCCATTATTCTGCCAAGCCTGGGCCTTCTTTCTATACCATCTGAGTGGGTGTGATTTTACCATGGGCATAGCATGTGGAAATCCACGTTAGCCTCCTCCCTTGCCACTATCCAACTTATGAACGAAGTTGCATCAAATAGAAAGCCAAGATCCCTTCCAGCTCTGACATTCTGATTCTTTGATAGGAAATAGGGAGATGGTGAGACTTTTTTGAGCTGGAAGTTGGCAAGATAAATGTGATACTTCCAGCTCTAACGTTCTATGATCCTATGATAAGAAAGAGGGAGGTGGTGATAACTTTTTGAGTCGGGGCTTGACAGGATAAATATGGTACTAAAGCAAATGAGGATATAGAATAGGATTAGGAGAGAGCCGTAGAGTAGGAAGGCACACTGCTCTCCCGACAGTATCATCATTATCATCACCAGAGTAGGAGGTCTGGACTCCAGGGGGTGACCATGGAACCACAAAGAAGGAGGCAGGTAGAAGAAATTTGAGTGTTTCGCTTAAATGGCAGTTCAGTAATGGTGGTGGCTGAAGGCATGGGCTTTGGAGGTTGGTAGACCTGACTGAATCCTGGCTCTGGCATTTACTATTTGACCTTGAGCCAGATATTTAATCCCTCTGGAGTTCAGGTTTTCTGCACAATGGAGATAATATTTATGCCACATGGTGGTCGTGAGAATTATATGAGATAATTCATGCGAGGTGTTTAACACAGAGCCCAGCACATAGTAAGCAATCAAAAAATAGTAGTCTATTTTGTTGCAATTAGATTACAGAAGGTTGAGACTTCCATCTCGCTAGCAGACTCTCCTCCTTGCCTCCTTGACCTTCTTGGCTTTGGCTTCCACACTTTGCTTTAACCAGCTACCCTGTTGGAGAAGTCTACAAGGCAAATAATTGATGGTGGCCTCTGAGCAACAACCAACTAGGAACAGAGGCCCTCAGTCGGGAGCCCGGGAGGAACTGAATTCTGCCAGCGATCATGCAAGCTTAGAATTGGCTTCTGCTGCAGCCAGACTTTCAGGTGAGACCCTTACCTGGCTGATTTCTTCATTGCAGCCTGGGAGAGACCCTGAAAGAGAATTCATTTCAGCCATGCCCTGATTCTGGGCCCACAGAAACTGTGAGATGATAAATGTGTTTGGTTTAAGCCACTGCGTTTTAGAGTAACTTGTTATGCCGCATAACTAATACACAGAGTCCAGGCTTTTCATGCCACAAAATGACTGTAGGCCTGGTGGTTCTGAACTCACTCACATGGAGGAGAGAGCATTTGAACAAAGGGGCTTCTGGCAGGGGGTGAGGCTCTGACACAAAGTCCAGCCATTTTACAAAATGTCTTCCTAACCATAAATCAGATACAATAAGTCCTCACTTAATAATGTCAGTAGGGGCCGGGCACAGTGGCTCAAGCCTATAATCCCAGCACTTTGGGAGGCCGAGGCGGGCAGATCACTTGAGGTCAGGAGTTCAAGACCAGCCTGGCCAACATGGCGAAACCCCTTCTCTACTAAAAATACAAAAATTAGCTGGGCATGCTGGCGGGTGCATGTAATCCCAGCTACTCAGGAGGCAGAGGCAAGAGAATCGCTTGAACCCGGGAGGTAGAGGTTGCAGTGAGCCGGGATCACACCACTGCACTGCAGCCTGGGCGACTGAATGAAATTCCGTCTCTAAATAAATAAATAAAATAATGTCAGTAGGTTCTTGGAAACTGCAACTCTAAGGTAAATGACTTTGAAAGAAAACATTTTCTTTTTGCCATCAACATTATAGAAATGACCTTCTCCAAGGACCAAACGTATGTCATTTCACTGTAAGTCGTGGTTTTCAAAAACCTATTGACAACATTAAGTGAAGACTTACTGTACACAGTGTGACAAGAATGAGTGTAGTTATGATGATAACTGCACAAACTGTCTCAAATATGGACTGTCCTGGAAAATTCTCCAATGGGTTGTCCCTTGTATGCCAGTTTTCCTGTTATCTCCAACATTATCTCCTCCCAGATGGATAAGGCACAGCCAAGGTGGTTAGTGAGAGCCATTGTCCTTGCAGGTCAGGCAAGGAACCAGGACGTCACCACAGAAACACACCTTTAACTAAAGAAGCAGACCACATGCTCTGTTTCTCCTCTTATAGGCCACATGGCATGGTAGAAAGACCTTCAGATTGGACCCTAATTGCCATTTGTGACTTGAGTCTGACCTTAGGCAACTCTATCCAGCCTGTACAACCTCTTGTGCAGAATGGAGGAGACCCTGCCTGCCTCACTCACTGAGGTGTTACAAGCATCCCATGAGTTCTTGGCAAGTTAACCTCTCTCTGCCTCATCAATCAATGATAATGGTACCTACCTCCTAGTTTGTAAGGATTCAACAAGAAAATACATGTGAAGCACATAGCAGAATGCACAGCAGAGAGGAATTGCTCAGGAAATGTTAGCTCTTTGCATTGTTATCATTATGATCTGCCTGAACACCTTTGTCAGTGACAAAGTGCCAACCATCCGTAAATGGTTTCTGACAATAGTTTCTCAAATATTGGCCCAGACAGAAAGTGAATGAGTGGATGAGCACCATTATGTTGGCAAGGTGAGCTGGAAGACAAGGGGTTAAAAAAGTGCTCTCCACTTTGCCTCTGGATTCAACAAGAAAGATTCTCACTTCTAGGCCACTTTCCTGCTATATCTCAGTCTCTCAGGAAGCCTCAAGGAGTCACTGATTGTCTAATCGCCCAGTTAGGACAGGTCCCCCAGGCTGTCACCTGTGCCTTTGTCCTGGCTCCCAGCTGAACTCATCAGCAGATTTCTCACCCTCTCTCAGGGTCTGCTCTTTGAATGCTCCCCACCACTTCCCTTGGATGTTTGCTTATCTGGAATCACCTAACAGGTGGTGTTTAGACACAGTACCATCTTGCCTTCTTGATGATGGGCTCATCTGCGATTCTGGCCCAGCTTCTCTAATTAGCCCTCCTCTCACTTGGTTGGAGCATCACGTTTTCCTGCAGCTGTAATTGACCCTGTGGGGTACCGCCACAGGCCTGGGCTTAATCACTGCCATCCACTTCAAATCCATTTCAGTCTGTGGTGGCCAGACTCCATCTACTAAGTGAGGCCTAATTGCTCTCTGATTACCCACAGGATCAGGTGCTTGAATGTGCACAGTTCCATCCACAGCACATGCAAGATCCTTGTGTTCGCTAATTTCCTCTGACAGCTTTTTACTCTGAGCCACCAGAGATGCCCCTGGCAGAGGTGAGCAGTCACCTTTAGGGAGCCCTCACCCCATTTCTGGATGGCTTCTTGGCTTACTTTAGGGGTAGAATCCATCCATCTCTCCTCTCCTCCTGAAGAGGATGGGGAAGCCCAGGCTCTCAGCGCAGACTACCAGGTGCCTGGTGGCCTCCAGCCCCTGCAGGGGGAGACTTAAAACTTGATGCAAGTTCTCTCCCTCTTGGAACTTTCAAACTAATGGGTTTGTTCATATTTGCTCAAAACAGTTCATTTTGAGGAGATTCCAGCCTCTATGTTGACCTCAACAGCAACGTAAGACAAAAGAGATGAGGAAAGTACAGGCTGGTCCAGTCCTTTCTTGCTTGTCGCTGGGGCCAGCTTCAGAGATAGGAACCATCTCTCTTGCAGTGGAGGGCTGGATGGAGAAGAGATAGAAGAGGAAGGGTTTCTATTCTCCTTGGGACATCTGGGGTCATGTCTGAGAACTTGCAGGATGTATCCTGGAAAACCACTATTCTACTTTACGCAATGATACAAACTTGCCCCAGAATCTCAACAGGACTTCTATAAATACTCTCTTACCCATGGAGAAGAGAAAACAGCTGGTCTCAAATGTTCCTTCTTCTAAAAATAGGGATTAGAGCAGATGTAGGCACAGTTGCTACTTCTCCTGACTGTGTGCTGCCCCTCCCCATCCAGAGGGAGAAAAGAATTGAAAAAGGGAACATGCCCTCATCTACTTGCAGCTGGAGTGGGATGGGATGAAGTGTTTCTATTCAGCTTTTCTCCTTTGCAGTCCTTTTGTCATTCTTTTCCCCAATGGAGATAGGGTTAAAGACATTGAATTATGTGGGCATTTCCTTTAGCAAATGTAGAAAAAAAATACAGCACACCAAAAGCTCTTCCTTTGTCACCCTTCCACTGCATCACTGTATCACTACAGCTGGAGGACCACCCCAGGGCCGTCTCCCCACAATATACACACAGAAGCAAAGCAAATGTCATGCAGTTTCATGGACTTCAGACCTCAGGTTCAGAATTCCTGCTCCGGAAGTGAGCAGAAAAGGATCTTTCTTTCACCCTTCCTTTCCTCTCCTTTCTCCTCTCCCTTCTCCCCTCTTTCAAGACAGACTCTAGTACAGTAGTGATCATGGCTCACTGCAGCCTTGAACTTCTAGGTTCAAGCAATCCTCCTGCCTCATCCTCCTCAGTAGCTGGGACTACAGCTGCATGGTTGTCTTTTAAATTTTTTTGTGGAGATGGGGTCACACTGTGTTCCTCAGGCTGATCTCAAACTCCTGGGTTCAAGTGATCCTCCCACCTTGGCCTCCCATAGTGCTGGGACTACAGGCATGAGCCATGGCATGCAGAAAAAAAAAATTTTTCAAAAGTAACTTAGGGCAGCTGAGATAGAATGGGGACAACAACATGATGTGAAATTTTAGATCTT
The DNA here is from genome assembly GCF_000001405.40 of Homo sapiens. NCBI lineage: Eukaryota > Metazoa > Chordata > Mammalia > Primates > Hominidae > Homo > Homo sapiens. The sequence continues at coordinate 27,414,507 of NC_000013.11, read as the reverse complement.
GCCGGGGGCGGTGGCTCACATGTATAATCCCAGCACTTTGGGAGGCCAAGGCGGGTGGATCACGAGGTCAGGAGTTTGAGACCAGTCTGATCAGCATGGTGAAACCCCGTCTCTCCTAAAAATAAGAAAGAAAGAGAGAGAGAGAGAGAGAGAGAGAAAGAAAGAAAGAAAGAAAGAAAGAAAGAAAGAAAGAAAGAAAGAAAGAAAGAAAGAAAGAAAGAAAGAAAGAAAGAAAGAAAGAAAATTAGCCAGGCATGGTGGCACACACCTGTAGTCCCAGCTACTTGGGAGGCTGAGGCTGGAGAATTGCTTGAACCTGGAAGGCAGAGGTTGCAGTGAGCCGAGATCGTGCCACTGCACTCCAGCCTGGGCGACAGAGTGAGACTCAAAAAAAAAAATTTAGATCTTTCAGTTGGTCTTCATTGTCACAGTTTAAGTCCTAGAGCTGGTGACTGTTTCCAGCTCAGTACCTTCCTTCAGCATCCCAAAGGTGGGTGACCCAGGATCCTCTGGAAGGGAGCCTGTCCTCCCATGGGATCGTTTGTGACAAGGAATCCTGTGCGTAAGCAGGTGGTTGTCTTACCCGTGACTTCGCCTCCCTCAGCGACTGCCACAGAAAGACATTTGCTTATGGTAGCGGTGACAATGGAGTAAACCTGCATGTAAGGGCTTCAGGTTGGTTCTTTCCATTTTTTTCGTTTTGTTTTGTTTTGTTTTTTTGAGATGGAGTCTCGCTCTGTGGCTCAGGCTGGAGTGCAATGACACTATCTTGGCTCACTGCAACTTCTGCCTCCCAGGTTCAAATGATTCTCCTGCCTCAGCGTCCCAAGTAGCTGGGATTACAGGCACGCACCACCACACCCAGCTAATTTTTTGTATTTTTAGTAGAGATGGGGTTTTGCCATGTTGGCCAGGCTGGTCTCAAATTCCTGACCTCAGGTGATTTGCCCACCTCGGCCTCCTAAAGTGGTGGGATTATGGGCGTGAGCCACTGTGCCCGGCCATCTTTCAGATGTTTTTTGGGCATCTCCGTGTGGCATGCTGTGCCAGCCCCAAGGCGATGCTCAGGGCATGTGCCACAGAACCTTCCAGCTCCTCGCTGTCTATTAAAGGCATTGAGACAACTGGGGCCAGTGCCATATTAGTGGTAAAAAGTATTTAAAACATTAGAGTGTGAGGTCACTCATTTATAGCAGGATTGGTAAAGACAGACTTCATGTGAACTTTGTTCATATCACATACAAACTTTTAATTAAGCTTCTGTTTAGTTTATTTTGCTTAATAAATGAAAGCATGTAAATCTGGGAGAAATTTAGGTTATAGTCCTCTGGAGAAAATTAAAGGGCCAGTTTTTCTCTTTCAAAGTTATTTTTGTTGCTGTCTGTATTTGCAAAAAAAAAAACTTTCTGAATATTATAATTATTCTAAAATTGACTTTACTGAAACACTACTGTTTTTACTTGAATAAATTATATAGCAGTGGCAATAAACAACAAGAATTAATCTCCAGAGTGTAGCCCACTCATAACATTAATGCCCACCTAGAAGTAGTGAGTGGCTGTCTCCATGGAATGAATTTGGGGGTTCAAGAAAGAACCCTACCCCACAATCATTCCTCTCCTTCAAGCTTGAAGGCACACAAAGTGTTGGGTACCTGGAAAAGCAAAGTATATCTTCCTGGGAAGCTGCACATCAGCACCCACCAGCACAGATCTCTGGGACCCCCTGTGGTTGAACAAGTTGGGTTTATTGCCAATCCCATGTGATGTACAAATCTGGAAAAGTCTGGCTGGGAGATGCAAATTGCAGCATATTGAACTATATTTTAGGACTCGTAGGTATTTCGAGGTCACCACCCAAACCCTCTCAGATCCTCTTACATCTCAGAGGTATGTCACCAGCCTTCTGGGTGCCCTGGGGTGCAGGAGACTTTCCACCTGTGGCCCTTGGTGCCCTTGGCCCTCTCCATCTCAGTGCCTGGCCCTCCAGAGGTGCTGGAGGGAGTGACAAAGCCTGGCAGCCTTGCCTGGAGCTGGAGCAGGGTCTGGTGCAGTCTGGGATGCGCTTCTCCTGCCCTTACCAGTTTCCCCTGGGAGCACTTTCTCAGTAAATCACTTGCGCACCAATCTCCATCTCAGGGTCTGCTTCTGGGGAACTCAGATTCAAATCATTTTGTAAAGCTTATTGTGAAAAACAATGTGCCATCATCCCCTGGATTCCCTTCAGTTTCTTGTTCTCCAGAAGCAACCATTCATTCTACATTCGTTTTAGCTTTTTTTCCCCCTATGTTCCTTCAGATCTCTAAATAATATTCCTATAGTGCTGCTTCCTGATTTTTCAGTTTTAGGCATTTCTATTTATTTTCCTCTATGGAATATGACAGACAATTAAGTTCCCACCCTCCATCCTCACCCCCACCCTTAGCTCACCTCTTTCTCTCCATTTTCCTAATATGATTATAAAACAATACTAGGGGCCAGGCTCAGTGGCTCACGCGTGTAATCCCAGCACTTTGGGAGGCTGTGGCGGGCAGATCATGAGGTCAGGAGATCAATACCATCCTGGCCAACGTGGTGAAACCCCGTCTCTACTAAAAATACAAAAATTAGCCGGGTGTGGTGGCACATGCTTGTAATCCCAGCTACTCGAGAGGCTGAAGCAGGAGAATCACCTGAACCCAGGAGGTGGAGGTTGCAGTGAGCGGAGATGGTGCCATTGGACTCCAGTCTGGCCAACAGAACGAGACTCTGTCTCAAAAAGACGAAAAACAAAACAAAACAATACTAGGTTACTCTTAGATAGAACTTACTACATTCCAGGCATTGTTCTAGGCATTTTACATGTGTTAATTCACTCAATACTGCCCCAAGCCCTAGACAATAAGTTCTGTGATCATCCCCGTGTTACAGATAAGGAAACTGGGTCACCGAGTGGTTAAGCGAATGGCCCAGTCACACAGCTAGTAAGTGGTGGATACAGATTTGAATATAAACAGTATGGTTTCAGAGTCTATGCTCTCAATTGCCACATCATATTGCTGGGATTATGCCATAATTTTAGTTAGACCAGTCTTCAGTATTTATATGTACTAATATGATTACATCAGTGCTATGTAGGTGGTAAACTGTGATTTCTCTTTCCTTCTTGAAAAACATTTTATTTTACCCAGAGTTTAAAATTTTTTTTTGTTCGTTTATCTGTTCTTTTGTGTCTTATACATTTATCACAAATTCAACTTATCTGAATCGCAACTCAATATTGCATCAGGTATTTGACCAATTTTACCTTTGGGAGAAATTTCTCTTGGAGCACTTCTTGAACTCCTGACTTCAAGTGATCTGCCTGTCTCAGCCTCCCAAAGTGCTTGGATTACAGGCATGAGCCACCACACCTGGCCTTTCCTGGAGCACTTCTGACCTGTTCCCATGTGGACTGGGAGCTCCCAGAACCTGCTACAGAGCCCTTATCCTGGGATCCCCTTTCCTCATTTTCCATGGGCTTCCCTTTGCCCCTCTCCTATTTCCTGGATCCCAAGTCTTTGTTTTTCCTGGTTTACCATTTTGTCTTGATGGAATGCTCTGTAGCTTCCTGGGGATGGGAGGAGTCAACACAGGAAGGAAAATTTGGGAAACCTTGTATATCTAAAAATGACTTTTGGTAAGGTGCAGTGGCTCATGCCTATAATCCCCGTGCTTTGGGAGGCCAAGGTGGGCAGTTCGCTTGAGCCTAAGAGTTTGGGACCAGCCTGGGCAACATGGCAAAACCCCTCTCTACCAAAAAAAAAATAAATAAATAAAAATTACCTGGGTGCGATGGCACCCATCTGTAGTCCCAGCTACTTGGGAGGCTGAGGAGGGAGGATCGCCTGAGCCTGGGAGGTCAAGGCTGTAGTGAGCCGTGATCACACCACTGCACTCCAGCCTGGTGATGGAGACCTTGTCTCAAAAATAAATAAATAAATAAAAATAAAATAAAAATGTGTTTTGTCTGCCTACCCCCATAATTCATTGATTGCTTGACTGACTATAGAATTCTAAGTTTGAAATATTGTTTCCTCAGGATTTTGAAGACATTGCTTCATTGCCACCTAGCTTCCAGCATTCTGCTGGAAAGTCTGAAAACATTTTGACTCCTGATCCTTTATATGTGCCTCTACTGGCTTTGTTTTTCCTCGAGCACTCTGGAAATGTTTAGGATCTTCTCCTACTTAGTGTTCTGAAATTTCACAGTGACGTGCAATGATGTGTCTTGGTTTGGTCTATTTCATCCATTGAGCTGGGTACAAAGTGGGTTCTCATGATTTAGAAATCTATATCTGTAGTTTTAGGAGATATTCTTGAATTACTTCTTGGTTGATGCCCTCTGATCCTCTAGTGTTCTCATCTTTTCATTAGAGAATGTTTCATTTCTTTTTCTTTTTTCCTTTTTTTGCTCTATTTTCTGGGAGATTCCTCCAGCTTTATTTTCTAACCCTTTTATTAAGTTTTTAAAATATTCTAAAATATTCTATCATATTTTTATGTTTTAAAATTTCTGCTACGTTTTAAATTTAAAATTTTTAAATTTAATCTCTGCTTGTTACTTTTTCATAGCATCCTGTTCTTGTTTTATGCATGTGCTATCTTCTCATCTATTTGAGGATATTAATAGTAGTGATTTTGAAATTTGAAACTCCCTACATGATCTGTTTCCTCCACTTTGCATTGTTCTCTTCGTATTTGTCCCTGTCTTACATCAGAGAATTCTTCAGCTATTTGGTGATCTTCTGGGACTCAGAACATACCACCCCAAAATACATAGGAGATTAGAAGATAACACCGCAAAAATGTACTTCTTTGGCATGTTTTGAGCTGATTATTCTGAGAAACTGCAGATACAGGAGTAGTTCTGAAAAGCTGTCCTTTTGTAAATGGAGGTAACATCTAGAAAGAAAATCTAGTAAAAGTATCTGTATCAGGCCTGGCATGGTGGTACACACCTATAGTCCCAGCTACTCAGGAGCCTGAGTTGGGAGGATCATTTGAGCCCAAGAGGTTGAGGCTGCAGTAAGCTATGATCACGCCACAGCACTCCAGCCTGGGTGACAGAGCAAGAACCTGTCTCAGAAAAACAAAGAAACAAAAAAACTTCTGTCTCTTATAATGTCATAACTTCCTTTAAAAAGTGAAAACAAAAAAGTACCTGTATCAGGAAGAGGGATGCTCCAGACAACTTTTATTACCTGAAAGACCAGACAACTTTTATTACCTGAAAGACCTTTTATCTGCACAAGACAACCTTTGTTCACCATGCATTTCCACCCCTCTTCCTCCCATACCTTGTTGCCATCTCCTGCTAGAAGCCCTGAGGCCCTATTTCTTTCTGTAGCTCAGGATGGGATATAAGCTTCGGTCATCTGGCCCTTCTTCAAGTCTCATATATTGTGGGACTGCTGTGCGTATGTACATAATTAAACATGGTTTTTCTCCTGATAATCTGTCTTATGTCCATTTAATTATTTGTAGCCCAGCCAAAGGGTGGAGGGAAGCCCTTTTTCCCTCCCCTACAGATCCCTGGCTGCTTTCTCATATTTAATTAAAAACTAATTGAAGCCCTGGACTCATGAGGGATGACCAAGAGCTGGGCTGTTTCATTGGCAGCCCCGGTGTCTGTAGGGCTTTCCTCTTGGGGTGGTCACAGCCCTCAAGTCCCTGCACATTGCGTTCTGCTGGCTGCTAGTTGTGGGGAAAGAGAGTGGGGGTTGCCCTGTTCATTGTATAAACTTTTCCTTAGTTTCTGTACCCTCAACTGTACCATTCCCATCAATCCAGAGACCCGGTGCTTTTACGTCTTCATTGGGTATAACTATCTCCAGGCTTCTTCTGGAAATAGAAAGGTGAAATTACCCACAGTGAGGAGTGAGGGCATTTGTGTGTGTGTTGTTGCATGTTGTAAGACCTAAAATGTCATGTGCTGCATGATGTCTTAGAGCCTCACAGGGCCCCAAAGGCCTGACTATGAGTTTCCCTGCTCTGGCCAGATATGCTCCCCCGAGCAACAAATCTCCTCCACCTGGCCAGTTCCCCTCTCAGCCAGACCAGCAGCACTCCACCTGATCCTCCACCTAACAGGCTTCACCTCCTTGCCAGTCTGTGGAATTATTCAAACAAACCAATCACATCCTCCCCTGGAAACCAGGGAGCACCTCATCCTCCTGTTACTACAAAGCCTCCTCTCACAGCCCCTACTGGTTCATCCAGTGCCGCCGCTGTGTGGCCCTGCACAGTGTGTGGCGTCCTCCTCCCCTGGCTGTTTGAGTATGTGTGACTGATGAACTGTTGTCATCTCATCAGCCCAGTGCTGGGTGTCATGTGTTCAGCCACCTTACACTGTTTAGGGCAGAAGATCCCCCCTCACTAACATGGTAAATAGAAGAAAATCCGTACAGAGTGTGTGTCTCTGTGTGTATGTATGCATGCATGCATGTGTGTGCAGTGTGCTTAGGGGTCTAACTACTTCTTAAACAGACCTTCAGTCAGTTTTCTATTTCTAGCACCTCCCCTCTTCTAGAGAAAAAATGATAAATGCTGGAGTCAGACTGCCTGGAATTGGATTCTAGTTCTGTCCCACTTCCTGACGGTGGGGTCTTGGCAAGTTATTCAACTTTTCAGTACCTCAGTTTCCTCATCTGGGAAATGAGGATAATAACAGTGCAGGATTATTGTGATGAGTCAATGACACTACATGCAAAGGGCTCACTTTGGGCTCCTTATAAAAGATGTTGGATTGAATATAAGCATTTACTTGTGCTTCCTCTGAACCCTCAAATAAGTAATGGTGAGGTCCTTTTTCAAAAAAGCATATTACCCCAGAAGGACAAATGAACCAGAGACAAGAGACTGTAGCAACAACATTTTTGGATGCTGGAAAGCAAAAATTGAATGGTAACTGATTGAGCAGAGGCAAGAAGCCATGGGGAGAATTGAATAAGTTAACACATACTAGGCACTGCAAACAGTCAAGTGCAGTAAAACTGTTGTGGAAAGCTTTAGGTTGGCAGAAAAAGAAAATATTTTGAAGAGGCTGAGATAAGTCCACAGACTTCCTGAGAAAAAGAACTGACAGCAATCAGTACTGCCTGGGAATGGTAGGTGAAGAAATGTGAATAAGGCTGACTTATTCCCAACTGAAAGTAAGTTTTGAACTACACAGGGTTGGGGACTTTGGAAAGGAATTATCTTAATATAAATAGACAAATGAAAGAAGTTGTATATTAAAATTATATAAAGCTTGACCACCCTTCCATGCAGGGAATGAATTTCAGGCAGTGCACCCTGAAATGGAGGTGGATACAACCTGGAATTGACACTGACTCCCATGGGTACTGCAGCCTCCACTGGCACACCCCAAATTTCTAAGCGCAGTTTCAGGCACTGCTGTAAGCACTGGGAAGACAGTGATGAACGAAATAGGCAAAGTCCCTGCCAACACAGAAGGATCCAGATGCTGGTGGGTTTTTTTTGTCGTTGGTTTTGTTTTATTTTGTTTGAGAGACAGGGTCTCACTCTGTCACCCGGCTGGAGTGCAGGGGTGTGATCGCGGCTCACTGCAACCTCCGCCTCCTGGATTCAAGTGATTCTCCTGCCTCAGTCTCTTGAGTAGCTGGGATTACAGACACGTGCCACCACGCCTGGCTAATTTCTGTATTTTTAGTAGAGACGGGATTTCGCCACATTGGCCAGGCTGATCTTGAACTCCTGACCTCAGGTGATCCGCCCACCTCCCAAAGTGCTGAGATTACAGGTGTGAACCACCATGGCCAGCCCAGATGCTGTTTTAGCCTCCGACAGAGGGAAGCCAAAGGCACCGGGTGCTTGGGGGAGAGGGTGGGAAGGAGAGGTTTCTCTCAGCAAGGAAGGGAGGCTGAAGTCACTGGTTCAAACCAAATGTCCAGTTTCCACAACACCATTGCCCAGAGTGTGTGTGCTACTTCACAACCATGAATTTGTCCTGCCACCCATGTGGTTTCTGAGAAGAAACCACCACAGAGCCATCTTGTGGTGGAAAAAAAGACACACAGGTTTCACCATGAACACTTTATTGGATTTTATATGGCATTAGCAGGTGTAAATACATCTGCATGCTATTGTACCCTTGAATCCTCCCATATGGTCCAGCAGCATTTTAAAGTGGTCAGCAAATGTTTACAGCAATCTACACTTGTCCCACTAACACATTTACCACAGGTAATTAACTTAACTACCTGATAAAAATGTAATTGGCGTGTTGTAATGCGAGCTATTGTCTGAGAAGACTTTGACTGACAGTTACTTACATTTGCTTCTTGGTTATCTTTATAGGCACATAATTAAATCCAAATTCGATCATTATTTTGTGATTTGATTAAAGTAAACAGTCAAATTGGGTAATCATGGTCCAGAAAGATTTATTATTTGCCTCAATTATGCAGTTTGGATTTTTTATATTGTTAGAACATAATAAGAAATTAGTCTGATTGCTCTCTCCATGCTGTCAGATGCTGTGTGGCCACACCCTCCATGTCAGGGAGAAACCTGATTCAGCAGAGATGACTTCATGAGGCTGTGGAATATGAATTTGTATGATTCAAGGACTCATGTTGCCTCTCCTGGAAGCATCCATCATTGCATCTGAGCCATTGAGCACATTGCAAACAGCAACAACACACACTGAGTTCAATGACACCACAGAGAGCATCCCCACCCAGCACAGGGGACAGAATTTCAGTGCATGGATTACAAAGCAGCTGCTGCCCAAGCATGGCTCCTCTGCTGCTCCAAGCACTAGTGTCACCTGTGGATACACAGCTGTTATAAACAGCTTGAACAACCGTGAAAAGCCTCCCCAAGTTGCTTCGGCTACGACTGGTGATACACACGCACCGCCAGTCTTCATACAAACTTCAGCCCTCAAATAAGCAAACAGCCTCCTGCATAAGCTCAGCAGATGCCCCCATCTTCAACGCTCATAAGAGACACTTCAAAAATGTGGCTTCAGGGTTCTTCTCACTCTGCTTAGAGAGTGCTCGGGATTCACCAGGTGCTTCCACAGATTTGGGCAAGTTTGCAGTGGCCTGCCCAATAACGACGCCTTTGCTGAGCTGTGTTTATGAAGGCCAAGTCTCAAGACCACGAACAATGGAACCATAAGAGCCTCAGCTTGGTACCAATGTTTCCAGGCACTAAGTTACAGTCCCAAACCCAGTCCATGGGGATACTCTGCTACAGATGACTTTGGCCATGCCCTGGAAGTTGGTTAAGACAGAATTCAGTTCAATTTTTCCAGCGGGTGGAGGTTGCAGTGAGCCGAGATCACACCACAGCACTCCAGCCTTGGTGACAGAGCAAGACTCCATCTCAAAAAAAAAAAAAAAAAGAAAAAAAGAAAGAATTCAGTTCAATTTTTAAAACAACTGGTTTTTCCCATTTCCTTAGGGAAACCTGGAATGTGTTTCCTGCTCCTCCACACCTGTCCAGCCTCCCACCCCGGCGCCAACCTGATCTTTGCCCAGCAGACGCGGAGGCGCCTGCCCAACCTCAGCCCTGTGCCCACGAGGGCCTCAGAGCCCGCAGACTTCCTGCCGGGACCTGCTGGCCTTGCCCATGTTTTAGCTCCTGGCTCTGCTAGTCTTTTCCTGCTGTCTCATGGTCTCACGTGTAACACTCACATCTCCCCAGTGAGACCGTAAGTGACGTGAAGGCAGCAAGCAACAGGTGTAGAGCAGGTCATACGATCTGTGTGTTCGCTCAGCAAATACGGAACGCCTGCTCCATGCCAGACCCTGCTCTACACCCGAGGAAGACGGTGATGAACAAATAAACCCATCATACCCTAGATGCACAATCTGAAGGATGCTCCCAGGTCACCCAGGATGGGAATAAAACCAGAGCCTTCAGTGATGCCAGTTAATCAGACCCTTGGCTTTCGGTTTTACTGTGCATCACTGTGAACTGATGTGCATGCGTTAGATGGCACATTTCCTGACGAGGGACAGGCTCCGGGAAGTCCATGGGGCTGCTAACATCTTAGTAATCCAGTGGTTCTCACAAGATATGCAGTATTTGTCCCACTGGGGGGACTTGATGACCATGAGCCCTGCAGCACTCACCTCAGCACAGTGCCCAACAGCAGGAGGAAGTCAGGGGGCCATTTGCACTGCCGATTTCAAATTACCCTTAGCAAATATGGTTCACTTCATAGAGCAAACAGGATCAGCCAGTTAATCTATGGAGCAAGAGAGAAAGAACTTTACCCATAATTAATGTTTTACTACCTCTCTCAAAAAGCGTAACCTTTAACCCCCAAATCAACTCTAAAATGAGGCGAAGGAGGAACAGCTCCTGGTCAGTCCCGGTGCTGGCTCTGTCCCTCTGCCAATGCTGTTTCGATCTGGAGAAACAAATAAACGGAAATATAAGCTCTTTACAGCACACGGTGAAGCAGACCCACAATTTCCAGACCAGAGGCAGCCTCGAGTGGAGTGATATATGGCTGTCTTCCTGAGTGCTCTCCTGCCTGAGACCGAGCTAGGCCCCAGGAGTAAACTGGTGGTGAGGGAAACCCTTCCATGTGCCTGGAGAGCAGTGTGGCAGGAGGTGGGCCTGCCTAGAGCTGACTGCAGAAATTCTGTCGTGGACTTAGCTCCAGCAGCAACTAATTGACTACCTCAAGGAGTTAATGCTTCCACAAATATGCCAGACAGTGCCAGTAACTACCAGGAAGGATCTCATTTAGCACAAGGATTGCATTGACTCCAAAGTTGAAATCAAACTTGGTGGTGATTAGAAATGGCCTTAGTGAAGCCCAAGCCAGGAAGAGAGCTGTTCTGTGTAAGATATCAGTTATGCGGTAGAATTCTCTAGAGCCAGTACTGCTAACCCAATGCCCAGCCTGCCTCCTGCTAAGCAGATCACTCAGGTTCTTTTTGCATGCCTATTGTGTCAATGACAGGCAGTTCCAGACACTTTCATTTTTATATAAGCCTAAGTATTTGTGACCTAAGAAGTGAGTCATTAGGAGTCGGTACAGCTTATTATTCACACACTAAAACTAGCACAGAACTAGCATTTACCAAGGGTTTAACTTCAGTTCCTTCCCAGAGATCTGGCTGCTGTGCACGGCTTAGCTCTGTGGCCCACATATGCAGCATAGTTGGAATTCCTGCAGTTTGGAAGAGGAACAATTTGCTATTAGTGCTGTCTTGAGGTTGTCATGCTTTATAAGTGCTGCTTTTCTTGCTTTTGAATTATAACTTACAGTTGGTTTTGTGTCTTTATTGCCAACTTAGTTCACTGTGTGTTGTCTGGTTAGTGTGTGATGGTATATTCTAGCATCTGCCTATGCTGTTCTGGTAACTACACTTGAACACATAAACACACTAGGTTCAAATATGAACCACGCATGCCGCTATTGCTAAATGAAAAATGTATGTGATTCTGCCAGATGTATGTGGGCATCCCTTTTCCTACGCCATATGGAAAGTGAATGAGGGAGGTAGGCCATGAAGTTTCTGGCTTGTCAAAGTAGGGTGCTGTCAAAAAAGTTTTGCAGGCTCCAGTCCTAGAAGTCTGGAATTACATTACACCAGTGTATGCAGTGGTGTGCTAGTAGAGATGTTTGCAGCCAGCTTTCAGGGGTAAAAAGTGTGTCTGTGTGTGTGCGTGTTTAATATGTTTATTATAAATGTTGATACAGATGTGTGATGTGCAACTTACAAATAAACATACAATTAAATATACAATACTCTTAATCACAAATCCCATATAACCGACTCTCACTAAATGCTTTCAGTTGATTTTTGTTGAATCTTGTATCCATAGCCAAACTGTAGTTGCAATTGATGAACAAGTGCGGTTCCAACATAAATGTTAGTTGTCATTTTGTTTAAGAGTAAGACAAAAGTGGGTGATCGAAAGGTAGTGAGTTATCTCAACCGATAGTTCATAGTTAGTTACAGATCCAACTCTTTATTCTACACTTTCCTCCTTCTCACTCCTGCACTTGACTAGTCTAAAAAAAAAAAAATGCCAGGCGTGGTGGCTCGCGCCTGTAATCTCAGCACTTTGGGAGGCCGAAGAGGGTGGATAACTTGAAGTCAGGAGTTTGAGACCAGCCTGGCCAACACGGTGAAACCCCGACTCTACTAAAAATACAAAAATTAGCCAGGTGTGGTGGCGGGCAACTGTAATCCCAGCTACTTGGGAGGCTAAGGCAGGAGAATTATTTGAACCTGGGAGGCTGAGGTTGCAGTGAGCCGACATCACGCCATTGCACTACAGTCTGGCCAACAAGAGCAAAACTCCGTCTCAAAAAAAAAAAGTGTGAAATAACAAAGACTATGTCAAAATTTCAGTCCTTTATCAATGATGTGACTGTTTTGCCAAATCAGATAGTATTTTCAAAAGCTAGAAGAAAGTATTTTCAATGTTTAAGCAATCTGCAATGTAATGGCTATGAACATTACAGTTTTAAGTTTAATTTGCATCATTAACATTTTCTCCATCACTTTCTTAAGTCCAGGCAATCAACTAAACCATCAAGCCCTGGCTTGCAGTGTTTGCCCTTGTTCTGGTAAACATTCCCACCATGGCTGATTTCAGTCTACTGACAGGCATCACTGACCTCAGAGTTGGGGAAAGATTCACAGTAATACACCTTTCTATAGTATTCCTACCATACACCTTCAGTAGCCTAAGTAACCTCAAGAACGTAAATTGTAATACAATGCAGCAAAAAACAAATTAGGAAGTAATGAGCTTTGAGCATTTTACCTTTGTTTTTTATATACCTTATTTCAGCGTACCTTTATAAAACTTAATTATCAACAGTGGCTATGTTTAATAACTGGGAACTTACTAAATATAATATTTAGATTCGTGAAGATGCTTGCCAGCCTATGCCAGCCAGCCTCGGCACACCATTGAGTGCAGCAGTGGTTTAGGAAAGCCTGGTTTTTCCTTGTTTCCCATTCCTACTCCCCTTGGCACAGTCACTGAGGGTGTCCCACTCTGGGCCGAGCTGTGGCTAAGCAGTCTGTCTACAGCCAAGATGGGCTGGGCAAGTCTGCACTTCTGGAGGTGCCGGAAGCCCAGCCCCACCATAAAGAGGAAGTGCTGGAAGCATTTTGAGAATTAGGAGGAAAGTGCCAGCCAGTGACTAAAAGCCTAGTGCAGTCATAAAACTCTGCCCTGGGGTATGTCCTGAGAAACAAGGTGTTGGCTTTGAAAGCTTTTCATTTTCTCTCCCTTAAAAACTTAACCAGAAACTTTAGTTATAAGCAGATCATAAAACTCAAATTCCAATACCAAAGGACATTTCCAAGGACATGTATACATGATTTATACATTTTATGATACCGATCCAATGACTAAAAATGCTTTTTTCCTCCATGCTAGTAACTGTATGAGTCCTTTTATTGGCCAAATGTGGATTTTTAAAGTTTTTTTTTTTTCATGCTTTTTTTTTTTTGAGACAGGGTCTCGCTCTGTCGTCCAGGCTGGAGTGCAGTGGCTTGATCTTGGCTCACTGCAACCTCCGCCTCCTGGGTTCAAGCAATTCTCCTGCCTCCCCGGTGGCTGGAATTACAGGTATCCACCACCACACTGTGTCCAGAGTTGGAGTTTCTTCCTTCTGGTGGGCTCCTGGTATTGCTGACTTCAAGAATGAAGCTGCAGACGCAGCGAGTGTTACAGATCTTAAAGGTGGCAGGGACCCAAAGAGTGAGCAGCAGCAAGATTTATTGTGAAAAGCCAAAAAACAAAGCTTCCAAAGCATCAAAAGGGACCGGAGCAGGTTGCCGCGGCTGGCGGGGAGGGGAGTGGCCAGCTTTTATGCTCTTATTTGTCCCTGCCCACATCCTGCTGATTGGTCCATTTTACAGAGTGTTGATTGGTTTATTTTACAAACCTCTAGCTAGCCAAAGAGCACTGATTGGTGCGTTTTTACAGAGCACTGATTGGTGCATTTTACAAACCTCTAGGTAGCTACAGAGCAGTGATTAGTGTGTTTTACAATCCTGCCTATGCTGATTGGTGCATTTTACAATCCTCTTGTAAGACGGAAAAGTTCTCCAAGTCCCCACTCAACCCAGGAAGTCCAGCTATCTTCACCTCTCAACACCTGGGTAAGTTTTGTATTTTTAGTAGAGTCGGGGTTTCACCATATTGGCCAGGCTGGTCCTGAACTCCTGACCTCAGGTGATCCACCCGCCTCAGCCTCCCAAAATGCTGGGATTACAGGCATGAGCCACTGTGCCTGGCCCATGTTATCTGATTTTTAATGACAGCGGATCTGAATTTCTTTCAAAAAGGATCCATTCATTTAGAAATAAGACAAAAACATTCCTTCCATCTTTTGCTTCCACTTTTTTGTTGGAATGAGTGAGGGTGCTGGAGGTGGACGGGCCCTGTTTCCTTGCCCTGCTTCCATTAAGGGCTGTTTCTGACCTGTTCCAGGTTCCAATTCCTACCCCAGGTTATTTCAGTAAGGAAATAAAGACTTTGAAAATATTCTTTTCTCAGAGGAGCTCTCATCTGGGATCTCCTTGAGATAAAAATGCCTATATAAATTTGGAAGCCATCTTGAAGTTTTGAGTGCTAAAAATCTGCCCTTTGGAAAATGCTACAGAAAAAATATATTTAAATAAGCACCATCTATTCAATAATATTTAATAATAAGTTGAACAACAACAAACCAACAAACAATTCTTGACTTAAGAAGCCCGAACAAAGTGGGCAGAGGCCTAACTTCCTTTCTTTAAGTCAGGGGAAACGGCAACCTTTTGAGATCCACCAGTTTGGTTTCCAAGAGGGACCTACCTGGAGAAGGAAGAATGAAGACAGCATTGGCAGGAATGGAACTGTTACTCACAGTCTGAATAACATCGACACTGATAGCCTTTGTGTACTTCCAAATAGACTCGTGTCTTTGTGCCCAGATGGTGCCTTGACACAACTGCTTTAAGGAAAAGGTCTTTTAACAGGAAATGCATTTTGGTTTTTGAAATGCTTCTGCATTTCTTGCCGGCTGGGCTTCATTGATGAGTTTTAAATGTTCCTTTGTTTCTAGTAAACCTAGCTCTCAACTTGACCCATTTTGGTAGTGACCAGGGTGCAGGGAGCAATGGACTGATGGATTTTGAGATTTGCCTACACCTCCCAGTGGCTCACTGAATCCTGCTTTCTGGGGTCTGCTTCCTCGGCACCTCCCTACCCATGTGTGTTTTATGGGTATCCTAACAGAACAGTCACTTCTCCCCTGTTTCTGGGGAGGCTGTGAGCCCAGTAAGACAAGACAGGTGAGCATACTTTATCGGGAATATGCTTCAGTCCTTCATCCCTGCACCAGCCCAGGTGGCGGCAGAGTTCTCCAATGGGCCAAGAATATAAAACTGGTTATTTGAACAAGACTCTTTTACAAGCTTAGGCAGGTGTCTCCTGTTGGGCCACAATGAGTACATTTGTCTTAAAAACTGGAAGTCCTGAGACTAGTGGATGAGGAGGATGAGACGTGACCCCTTCCTGGACCCCCTTCCTGAATAAAATGACAGCTCTCGTAGCAGCATTTTGAGGAGACTACCTGTGAATCTAGAATATCATTCATTCAACAAGTTACTGACTAAATAGTGCTTAACCTAAAGTGGAAAATGATTCTCTGAATGTATGCCAAAAATACATATGGGCAAGTGACTAAAATAGTTGAAATAAAAATCTTGTTTAAATAGTCCCATCTATATTTTGGCCAAATTTCAATATCTGAGGATAAAGTTATATGTTATAGCAACACCAGCCTAAATTAATAAAAACACAGGAAAAAACTTTAACAGAAACTGGACATTTCTGTCACATTTGCCCAATCCAGAAATGTGGGGCAATGTAGCTGAGATGTCACCTACAGGAGCTGGCATTGACAGCATCTCCTAGGACATGAGTCATGGGTTCAGCCAAACGTGTTTCCACTTTTTGGTCACATGGCTCCCCACTATACTCAAAGACAAAACGTCGCCTTTACTGCTGGGCCCAGCACACAACAAAAATGAAAACTGGATATTCAATAAATACTCTCGATGCTAATGAGAAGTATTTTACAAGTTTGGATCAGTATGGTAAAATACCTATATGTCTGTATCAGCCATATACTTTAGACTTTCTTGTCTAAAGTGCAAAGAATAATACTTCATTTCAATGTGTGTACAATATCCGAGGCTCTCACATTCTGTGTACATGGGCATATGCCGTACCTCATGCTTTTAAAGCACAAACTCATATATTTGAAACTGACAAAAGAAAAAAGACCTATAAGAAAACGTGTTGTTATTCCCAAGTGATTGATACATAAATTAGAACATGGAAGTTTTTCCAATGTTGAATGAATATGGGGGAAATGATTTCCCCAAAGTTAAGTAATTCCGTAGTTCAGCTGAAATGATACCTCAAGTCTCTGGGCTCCTGGGTCACTGAACCTTCGAATCCCCTTCAGAGCACTGTCCAGAGAACCTTCGCAGGTTGGCAAAGGCCTGAAAGAAACGTGGTCCTGTCATCGCCCTTTCTGGCTCATCCTTTGTCTGGCGTTCTGGGGCTTCAAGGCCAGGAGGGTTATAAGATTTGATTTGAGAAGATATTTGGATTCCCCTAACTACTTGATAAGGGAAACACACAAAAGATTTGTTTTTGCAAGAGGATGACGTTGATCATTGTAAGTGGAATAAAGAAAAATGTTTTCACTCTAATGATTGAGAATTATTTGCAAATATTTATATATACACAAAAATTAAAAAGAGAGAAGACAAGCAATGGGTGGGAAGAGAAAAGAGAACAGGGAGGAAGAAAGTGCTCTGGGAAGCAGGGAAGAGCAAGAGGAGACGAGGTGAGAATATAAATAAACATTCTTTCCTGGTTTCCAGACATCGAATGAGGACAACTCTGATAGCAACTCTTCAGTTCTTTCAACCAACATATTCTCTCTAATACATGCTTATGTTTGTCATCACCAAATGAAATAATGCAAGTGAAGCTCTTATAAGAATAAATGTTAGCCCGGGTGCAGTGGCTCAAGCCTGTAATCCCAAAACTTTGGTAGGTCAAGGCTGGCAGATCACTTGAGGTCAGGAATTCAACAACAGCCTGGCCAACATGGCGAAACTCCGTCTCTATTAAAAATACAAAAAATGAGCCTGTCATGATGGCGTGTACGTATAATCCCAGCTACTCAGGTGGCTGAGGCATGAGAATTGCTTGAACCCAGGCGGCAGAGGTTGCAGTGAGCAGAGATTGCACTCTGCACTCCAGTCTGGGCAATAGAGTAAGATTCTTGCCTCAAAAAAAAAAAAAAAAAAAAAAGGCCGGGCACGGTGGCTCATGCCTGTAATCCCAGCACTTTGGGAGGCCGAGGCGGGCGGATCATGAGGTTGGAAGATTGAGACCATCCTGGCTAACACGATGAAACCCCATCTCTATCAAAAATACAAAAAATTAGCCAGGCGTGGTGGCGGGCGCCTGTAGTCCCAGCTACTTGGGAGGCTGAGGCAGGAGAATGGTGTGAACCCAGGAGGCAGGGCTTGCAGTGAGCCAAGATGGCACCACTGCACTCCAGCCTGGGTGAAAGAGCGAAGCTCTGTCTCAAAAAAAAGAAAAAACAAGAATAAATTTTAGTCAATAAGTATTAACTAACAATACCAACAATTGCAACAATACAAGTAGTGTAGTGATGCAATTGAGTGACAATTTATGGAGGACTTTGTATTGTGGGGCACTGTGCCTGGCACTGTGAATGATGCAGGGACTATAGCACACTCCCTTTGCCTTCACCATGCTTACAGTCTCCCTGAAAGGATGAGCGTATGGGCATCTAACCAATAATTTAAGCAGAAAAAAGCGGAAGTGCATGCAGAGGCATGCTGAAGCCAGTGCCCACCTCTCTTCCCAACCCCAGGTTCAGCAACGTCACCGTGGTGGCTTGGAATCAGCCACAGGAGAGTGTTTACACCACAGGAATGGCAAACACAACAAAGCAGGCCTTATTCTTTTTCTCCCCAAAGAGCTAGTTGTTAAACATTTACCATTACTGTTCAAAGGTGAGAAGACATTTGCACTAGGCTCATAGGCGAAGAGTGAGTTCTGTTCTTGGGAAGCATGTACTCCAGCACTCTGCCCTGTCTTGCCATTTGTCTATCAGTTGCGGATTTGCTTCTCAGCTGCAGGCTCTGAAGGAGAGAAGTAACAGTGGACGCAGGTCTGTGGAGCACCCAGTACCCTCCTACACATCCCTCCCAAGTCAAGGCTGAGGTGCACAATGCTGACCCGTGTGCTGGGATCACATCTAGCGTGAGAGTGTTTAAGCAGAACGTCTCTAAAGTGAGAGGCCAAAAGCTGATGAAAATACAGCATTGTGGACAGGAAAACTCTCACTGTCCTGGACATTTTCCTATTCAATTTAACCTAAATTATCAAAATCACTGAAATCAAATTTGTCCTTCAGAGATAACTGGATGTATTGATTTGCATTAAAAGAAAAGAAGTGGAGGTCCGCAATCTCCATTAACTTCATTTTCTTCTTGCTGTAATTATATAAATTGCCTTTAAAACAATTATTGAACCATTAAGGATTTATGGGAAAATGTTCATTGTCCAAGACACTATTGCTTTTTTGTAGCTACACATGCAGTCTTAAATACAAACAAGAGGAAACCACAGTTATATCCATGAAGTGGGAAAGGGATGTATGCTTATTATATATCCTCTGATGAAGAGTTTTGAGCCAGCTGGAGTGTCCGGTGAGATTACTAAAACGTTCTCAGTAACTACCTATATTTGACTTTGGCACCTTTTTAAAAGTCAAAAGAGGCATTTGCAAGCAGCCATAAAAAGTCATTACATAAGCAGAACAATTGAGGCTCCTCAGCATCTGGGGAAGGCAACACATCTGTCTTCTGTCTATTTCTTCCCTAAATGTCTCCCTGAATCAACTTTTATGGTGGTGGGGGAGGTAGGAGGCTGTCGTAAATATCCCATTCTATTTGAATCCCAGAGTTAACAATACCCCCTGTGACTATAAACACAAGATGTTGCATTCAGGAGAGAGGTGCACTCAAGTAAGCAGAGATCTTTGTGACAGTGGTCTCGGTGTGGGCCACAGGCCAGCTAATCACATTACCATGAGAGCCAAGAGGTGGCCCCCAGACAGTGAAATAAAGAGGAGGGGAAAAGCAAGACTAATCTCGTTAAAAGGAAAGCCATGGTAGACGCTACTTTTACACAGCTGCTTAAAACGCCCCGTTTTCCCAGGACTGGATCACCTGGGCGTCCTCTGCGGCCGGGCTAGTTTCGAAGCATTGTTCGGTCCCGCCAAATGCTGGAGCCTCCTGAGTACATGCAGACCTTGTCTTCAGAGTCTTGTTTATAAGAAAAAAACAGACTTCACCGCCTCATCCCAAAAAAAGCCTTCTGGAGACGCTGTCTTCCCTCATTATCCTATTTTCAGTTGACTATTCCCCAAATTTTCTAAAAAGACCACGTTGCCCAAAGACTCCAATAAAAAAGTCCAGCTTTGCATATCTACTGCAACCTAGAGGAAAGATCAAACCAAACCTGAGGAAATCCCCTAGATCAGCCATTCTCAAAGTGTGGTCCAAGGATCCCTGGGGGGACCCAAGACACTTTCAGAGGTCCCCAGGCTTCTCCCTTTCCCAACAGCATATCTAGTGATGCTGGGTGTTCTTAATATCCTGCAACTCAACAGCCTATTACAAGAGATGGAAACAGACGTGAGAACCAGCTGTTAAAGGGATTTGCAAACTACAAAGCAAGACATTAAAGAGATTTGCAAAAATGAAAAGCAATGCTACTCTTTCCACTTAATGTTTTGTTTTGAAAACTATAATTATTTTTTATAAGAATATGTACGTTGACAAGTAAAGGATTTACTACTGTTATTTTAAGTGAATTAACAAATCAGTATTTCTTTTTCTCACTGTCATCCAGGCTGGAGTGGAGTGGCACAATCTTGGCTCACTGCAACCTCCGCCTCCAGGGTTCAAGCAATTCTTGTGCCTTAGCCTCCCGAGTAGCTGGGATTACAGACGTGCGCCACCACGCCCAGCTAATTTTTGTATTTTTAATAGAGATGAGGTTTCGCCATGTTGCCCAGGCTGGTCTCGAACTCCTGACCTCAAGTGATCCACCCACCTCGGCCTCCAAAAGTGCTGGGATTACAGGTGTGAGCCACCATGCCAGCCTCAAATCAGTATTTTTACATTTCTCTGTTCATGGTAAATAGGGGTAGATGTATAACCCATGCAAATAAAAGCTCTTTGGCCGTGTAAAGAGGCCCAAAGACCAAAAAAATCAGAACTCCTGCATTAGAAAGACATCAGCCTGAGAAACATACCAAGACCTCATTTCTAAAAAAAAAAAATTAATTAATTAATGAAAGACAAAGAAACACATGAAAATGTTCACATGTAGATATTGCTCATTGCTCTAGACCTTAACTGTGAAGACTGTGGCTGACCTGAACCTTTGGACGACGATAGGGGTTTTCCTCAATCTGCTCATCAGGCCTTCTAAGACCAAAGCCTTAAATTAACCTTTGATCAAAGACACACGATGTTCAAAGAATAAACTGTAGAAATCTGGTGAAGTCAGGAAAATGACAAATAGGCAAGCTAAGTCGTTTACCAAAAACGGCCCTTTTTATTAATACCACTTCCCACCAGTCCCCGCCACTCCTTAAGTTCTGGCAACCACTAATCTATCTGTTCTCCATTTCTATAATTCGGCCATTTCAAGAACGTAATGTGAGTGGAATAGTACAGTATGTAACCTTCTGAGATTGGCTTCTTTCACTCAGCACAATTCCCAGGAAACTCGTGCACATTGTTGTGTGTGTTCACTGTCTATTCCTTCTTATTGTTGAGTATTATTCCATGGTCTAGATGTTCCACAACTTCACACATTCACCCACTGAAGGGCATCGATGTTGGTTGCAAATTTTTGTTATTATGAATAAAGCTGCTATAAACATTTGTGTATCAGTTTTTCTGTGGACATAAATCTTCATTGTTCCGGGATAAATGTCCAGGAGTGCAATTGCTGGATCATGTAGTAATTGCATGTTTAGTTTTTAAAGAAACTGCCAAAATGTTTTCTACATTAGTGGCGTCATTTTCCATGCCCTCAGCAGTGTGTAAGTGATCCAGCTCCTCTGCATGTTTGCCAGCATTTGGTGCTGTCACGTTTATTCATTCATTTAGTTAGTCAGTTAATTTTTTGAGACAGAGTCTCACTTGTTGCCCAGGCTGGAGTGCAGTGGTGAAATCACAGCTTACTGCAGCCTCGAACTCCTGGGCTCAAGCAATTCTCCAACCTCAGCCTCCTGAGTAGCTGGGACTATAGGCACGTGCCACTATGTCCAGCTAATTTTTGTACTTTTTTTTTTTTAGAGATGGGGTCTCACTGTGTTGCCCAGGCTGGTCTCAAACTCCTAGACTAAAGCTATCCTCCTGTCTCAGCCTCCCACAGTTCTGGTTTTACAGGTATGAGCTACCATGTCTGACTTTGTCACTGTTTTTAATTTTAGCCATTCTAAAAATTTCATGGTTCTACATTTTACATTTCAGTATGTGACCCATTTAAAGTTAATTTTTGTATTAAGGTGTGAGAATCAGGTTAGGTTCTTTTTGAAAAGGGGATGCTTCCTTCCTCCATAGCATCTTTTTCAAAAATTAGTTTTGCATTTCATATGAGTCTATCTTTGGGTTCTCTATTTTGTTTCATTGATCTGGATGTCTATCCCTCCACCAATACCACCTACTCTTAATAATTGTAACTACATAATAAGTTCTGAAATCAGGTAGACTGCAACGGATTACCTGTTGAATATTTGTTTTACTTAGGCTAAGTGCTTAGTCTTGATTTATAACAAATATATTAGTTAAAGCATCTACATTTTCTTAACATCTTTTTTGAGGTGGAGTCTCACTCTGTTGCCAGGCTGGAGTGCAGTGGCACCATCTTGGCTCACTGCAACCTCCGCCTCCCAGGTTCAAGCGATTCTCCTTCCTCAGCCTCCCGAGTAGCCAGGATTACAGGCACACACCACGACACCTGGCTAATTTGTGTATTTTTAGCAGAGAAGAGGTTTCACCATGTTGGCCAGGATGGTCTCGATCTCTTGACCTCATGATCTGCCCACCTCAGCCTCCCAAAGTCCTGGGATTACAGGCGTGGGCCACTGCGCCAGCCATAACATCATGTCTATTATCACAATTTGCATTTTTATTATAATTTTTACCTTTCCCCTGGTTCTGCCACTCACTTTGCTCAGGTTACTTCACCCCTCTGAGTCCCAGTTTCCTCATCTGTAAAATGAGGAGAGAGTGGTCCATCGCTTGGTGTTTGTGCATGCTTTCTAGGAGGTATTGGCAGTAGGAGTATACGAGAGTACATGTCAAAGCCACCAGCACGGTAGCAGGTATGCAGTGACGTTTAAGTACTTCCAGTCCCCGTGTCTCCTGCCTCAGAGTTATTCCATTGCTGATGTTGAGAATATGTGGAGTTGTTACTTGCATTTCTGTAACTTATTCTCATTTCTAAACGCAGCACCACATGCCTGATACACAACTCTTTTGTAAAGATGTATCATGCAAAGGCTATGTATTATATTAATGAATGTAAAATCTATGAATGCATCTTAAATGAACCATTCACTGGCTGATAGCTGGGATAATCTGATTCTTGAAAAGGCCTCCCCTGCTGCCTAGAACAGGGCAAATCCATAGAGGCCTCTAGAGGCTGCACTTGCAATAAAAGTAATGTCATTTCCCCTCATTACTCAAGAGTCCTTTCTTCCTTGCCCTGCGCAGACACCGTTTGACTCAGCAATTCCTCTTGTACAAATCTATCCCAAAGGTACATTGGCCAAAACATGAAAATACATCAGCATTATTTGTAATGGCAAAAATGTGAAAATGATCCAAATGTCCATCAGTAGGGGACTGGTTGAATAAATTGTGATACTTCTTATGGTACTTTTATGCAATGCAGCTGTGCAAATGAATGAAGGAGAGCTCTACTGATAGGGAGGAATATCTAGGATTTATTGTTAGTGCAAAAAGTAACGTAATGTGTTTAGTAGATGCCACTGTTATCTTAGAAAAGACAAACACACATTTAAAAAGGATGAATTTTTTTTTTTTTTTGAGACAGAGTCTCACTCTGTCACCCAGGCTAGAGTGCAATCACGTGGTCTTGGCTCACTGCAACCTCCACCTCCCGGGTTCAAGTGATTCTCCTGCCTCAGCCTCCTGAGTAGCTGGGACTACAGGCGCATGCCACCACACCCAGCTAATTTTTGTATTTTTAGTAGAGACAGGGTGTCACTATGTTGGCCAAGCTGGTCTCGAACTCCTGACCTCGTGATCCACCCGCCTCGGCCTCCCAAAGTGCTGGTATTACAGGCATGAGCCACTGCACCTGACCAGGATGAATTTTATGGTATGTAAATTATATCTCAATAAAGCCCTCATAAAAGTATATACAAATATTTAGAAATGGAAGAATAAGCCATAATTTTTTTTAACTCTTGCTAATAGAAGAAAAGAATAAGATCAAAGATGCCAGGAAAAAAGGTGGACCTTTTTCTTTTTTGTTTTTTTCCTTTCATACTCTGTACAATCCATGGGATGAACTTTTTTCCTATACCAAATTTTATAGAGTTTATTTTGGAGCCAGTAAGTATTCTACATAATTACAAAACAAAATTAAATCAAGAAGCAATTTCTAAAAATTAAAAGGAAAAGGAAACAAATGGACCCAAATGTGTCCCCACCCAGGCAGGAATCATTGCAATTGACTTGAAAGCACTGTCACTTGACTGTCCCTGCTCAGTGGGATATACCCTGAGGACAAAAAGAGCTGCAACCAGAGCCTTCCATGGCTTTCAGTAATCATGTTGTTGATGGGCACACAGATATTGTTGTTCTGAGACTGTTGTCTGTGTATTTGTGGGACAAATCAAATGAGTAATTGTGCTCATGTCTTTGAGAACTTTTCTCTGTGATTGAAAGGAGATAGGGTGTAAGGCTAATGAAGTTAAGTACAGTCCTTGTAATACTGGGTTTGCATTGAAGTATCAGAATAATACTTTATGGCGAGTTCTATCTTTAATAAAGTATACATATTTTCTACATCTGTTCACAGAAAAGGCCTAGAAAAGATGATCCCCCTGGGGATCATTAACACTCCCGGTACCCAGATCATGATCTCTATACAGCATTTCCCATGAAAAGCAACAAGGAGTCCCTGGAGAAACAGCCCACTGCATGTCTGGGGCAGAAAAAGTACCATATTTTCTCATACCAGAAAGCAAGCAAGCTCTCAAGGCTACTCGGGTGGCGCCAAAGACTTGGAGCCAAGCCATCCTGACCAACATGGTGGAACCTCATCTCTACTAAAAAAATACAAAACTTAGCGGGGCGTGGTAGCACTGCAGTAGATTAGCTACTGGGGAGGCTGAGGCAGGAGAATTGCTTGAACCCGGAAGGCAGAGGTTGCAGTTAGTCAAGATTGCGCCACTGCACCACTGCACTCCAGCCTGGTGACAGAGCAAGACTCCATCTCAAAAAAAAAAAAAAAAAAAAAAAAAAAAGACTTGGAGCCAAGCTTGAAGAGGCCAAAGATGTTTAAGTCCCCAAGTTCACAGTAATACAAACACCACCACAACATAACAGCAGCTTATCTGATAACTTTGGAGGATTTTAAGGAACCGAATCTTTATTTTTGAACTGGTAAATCAAGGGGAAAAAATTAGGCATTTGTTCTTTATTTTCTATAAGATCTGGACCTCAGGGTAACCAACGAGTTGATGAGGGAAGCTTTGCTTTGTAGTATACAGTATTGCTCATAGATACAGAAGGATTGCTAGAATTAGAAGTCTGGGTGCGGTGCCTCACGCCTGTAATCCCAGTACTTTGGGAGGCTGAGGTGGGCAGATCACTTGAGGTTAGGAGTTCAAGACCTGCCTGGCCAACATAGTGAAACCCTGTCTCTATTAAAAATACAAAAATTAGCTGGGCGTGGTAGTGGGCGCCCGTAATCCCAGCTACTTGGGAGGCTGAGGCCCAAGAATCGCTTGAAGGTTACAGTGAGTGGAGATGGCACCACTGCACTCCAGCCTGGGCGACAGAGTGAGATTTTGTCTCAAAAAAAAAAAAAAAAAAAAAAAAAAGAAAAAGAAAAAAGAAAGAATTAGAATATCATCGTTTTGCAATCCAAATAAATGAATAGCCCTAGGCAGTGCCCATCAATAGCTAGTAACATTACACAAGGGGAGAAAAGTAGTCATTGTGTACTTCCATTAAGGATGTACACCACCCATGAAGCAATCTTGCAGACACACACCTGACCAAGCCTCTAGTTCTGGGAATACAAGGGACAGGGCACACGTTAAAGGCCCCTAGAGGAATTTCAGCAGCAAAACTTAGCCTATAGGCAGCGCTGCAGGAGAAACAATTCAGTTTCTGAGGGAGGGGGGCAGGTATCTACATAGATTAAAAGATACTCAAGAGACATATCCCAATGCACAGACCTTCTGTGGATCTCAATTCAAACAGGTAAACTTTAAAATAATTAATGGCAATAGGCAATTAAAGAAATGTGAACATTGACTGGATAATTGAATGATATTGAGGGGTTATGGTTAATGTTTTAGATGAGATAATACTGTGGTTATATTTTTTAGTTTTAGGATTTAGAAATACTTATTGAAATATTTATCGATGATGAGCTATATGGGTTATAATTCATAATAATAATAAAATATATTTTGAATAAAATGTATTTCAAAATAATCGGAGTGGGGAAACAAACTTGGCCATGAGCTGACAACTGGAGTTGGGGACGGGTACATGGGGGTCATTATACTATGCTCTCTGTTGAAGACTATCTAGCCTCTTGATAACTCCAGCAAGGCAGGCAGTAGTAATTGCTGAGGCCTAGGAGATTAGGAACAGGAATAACAGGATGGTCTGCACACTTCCATGGGTTGGAGGCAGCAGACTCCCTGGCCACCCAGCAAGTCCCTGGCCCTCACACAGATGAGTGTATGTTAAGCAAAGGAGAGGGCCAAGGGCTGTGAGGTGTGGCAGGGTGTGAAGAATGGGAAGACAGTTAGCATCTCCCCGTCAGGAGATAACAGATCTTCAAATAACTGGATAGTAATCTGAACTCAGTGGCTGGGAAGCCTTATTTAGATACCAAAGCAGATGACAGAGGAGGCAAAGTAGGTCAAACTTGCCTGGAGAATAAAAAGATGCAAAAGGACAATTTTTGTTTTTATCTGCACTTTCTCTCTCTGCATCCCATCCATTCCCGTCTACAACTCTCCCCTCCCCCTCTCTAAACCTTCCCTCTCCCTCTCCCATGCTCCCTTCCTCTCTCTCTCTCTCTCTCTCTCTCTCCTGCTTCCATGTCCCTCTCACTCCTGGCTCCTGCAACGTGGTTCTGTGTGAGGAGGGCTCAGGGCACATACCCACAACAGAGCAGCGTTCAAGTGTCTTTTCCACAAACCTGAGGCCTGTGTAGCCTCTGCTGTGTGCCTCTGCCTGTTCCTCTCTGCATCTCTGTTTCTCCTTAGAACATGTCACTGAGAAGCCAAAGTGAAATCAGAACTCTTCTGCTCAGATGCGCCAGCATCTGTTTGTAAATCTATCTTAAGAGACCATAGCTCTGAGCTCTATTTCCAAGTCACCCAGCAGAAAGCGAACATCCCCTTTTCTTTTATTTTCTATCCCTTTTCAAAAACAAGAGGGAGAGATGGGGGGGGTGGGTCACTGTTGATGTTTCTGCAGCTGGAGCATGCACATTACACGTTTTCAGAAAATCAGACTCAGAAAAGTTGCTGTGCAGCATCTCAAAGACTTGAGCACCAGACTGTGGGCTCTGGGCGCCCCAGCCTGCCCGTCCCTCTGCAGCCTCCTATGGCCACACACGGCTGGGCCAGAGGGGAGCTGCCAGCCAGAGGCGACAGGAAATGGGCATTAGCACCTGGCGCAGTCCTCAACCCTCGCCTCCTCCCCAGCGCCTCAGCCCTTTGCACACTGGTGGTGCAACCAGTTACCAATCGCATAAGACTTAGGGGCTAAAATGAAGCAAGTAGATGGCCTGCCACAGAATTTAGGCTAAAGTGAAAAAGCAGGCCAGGCGTGATGGCTTATGCCTGTAATCCCAGCACTTTGGGAGAGGCCAAGGCAGGAGGATCCTTTGGGCCTTGGAGTTTGAGACCAGCCTGGGCAACATAGTAAGGCCCTGTCTCTACCAAAAATACAAAAAAGTTAGCTGGGCTTGGTGCCGTGCACCTGTAGTCCCAGCTACTCAGGAGGCTGAGATGGGAGGATCACTTGAACCCAGGATTTCGAGGCTGCAGTGAGCTATGATCACTTCACTGCACTACAGCCTGGGTGACAGAGCAAGACACTGTCTCAAAAATGAATAATTAAATAAATAAAAAGATGTCTGTAGACATCCAGCTGCCTCCTCCCTCCAGTCTCTCCTGTGCTAACAGCCCACCTCCTGCTTCCAGCACCACAAAGTGTCACAAACCCACAAGCAAAAGTCTCATAGCAAACCGAAGACTTAGGTCCTTTAATAAATGGATCCCCATCTTGCCATTAGCAGTTCATCTCCTCCCCAGCAGTCCTCCTTACTATCCAGCCTCCTGGGGTCCACACACTACACATCAGAGTGCCGCCTCCAGGATTCAGGATTCTCAGACTGTCACCCCTCCTCTGCAGCCATCCACACCCGCCTCCCCTAAGAGGTGCTCCCCTGGCTTTGCCAGCCCTCCAGACCTCTGGCCCTCCGAATTCCTGTTGTATTTCTAATGCTCGTCACAGCATTCAGCACTCAATCAAAGCACTTTCCATGTGGATCACGGCAGATGTGTGCATATCTTGTGATGAGCAAGGCAGGCTCAATCACTGGGCTCTGATTCAGAGTTCCCAGGGAGCTGGAATGATGCAGGCACTTTGGGTGCAGGGATGGGCACAACGGAAGACAGATTGATAATAAAGTTCAAATGTCTTTGAAGATCATGTTTTGTTTTGTTTTATTTTATTTTATTTTATTTTATTTTATTTTATTTTATTTTATTTTATTTTATTTTATTTTATTTTATTTTTGAGACAGAGTCTCACTC
Source organism: Homo sapiens (assembly GCF_000001405.40). Lineage (NCBI taxonomy): Eukaryota > Metazoa > Chordata > Mammalia > Primates > Hominidae > Homo > Homo sapiens. The sequence continues at coordinate 27,386,301 of NC_000013.11, read as the reverse complement.
TGTCACCAGGCTGGAGTGCAGTGGCATGATCTCGGCTCGCTGCAACCTCCGCCTTCTGGGTTCAAGCAATTCTCCTGCCTCAGCCTCCCGAGTAACTGGGACTACAGGCGCCGGCCACCACGCCCGTCTAATTTTTGCATTTTTAGATGAGACAGGGTTTCACCATGTTGGGCAGGATGGCCTCGATCTCTTGACCCTTAACACACACATACGTGTTGCATTCTACTCCATGATGTGTTCAAGTCTGATAGAGTATAAAACTGAGGTTTACATCATGTGCTGTAATGAAGAGAAAGTGACTGAGATTTGGCCCTCATCTGCCAGCACCCCACTAAGCACATATGGTGAGGCGTAGGAAGCACAGGTGTGCAAAGAATGCGGAGCACACAGGTGGAGCTCAGGCTCGGCTCCGAGGTTCACTGGGTCTTGGGACAGGTTTCTCCAAGCCCCAGCTCCCCGAACTGTAAGAGGGACCATGCCCATCTCCAGAGCCCATGTCACCGTTCAATGGAACGTGCCTGGCTTGCAATAGATGCTCACTAAATGTTGGGTTTCTTCCTTTCCCTCTTTCCATCTGGAGCCCACCTCTCAAGCACCATCAGGCCGGGACTCTTGGAGGAGGCTCAAGGAAAGAAATCAGCATGCAGAAGTCGGGGGAGGTGGCCAACCTGACCAGACGCCTCTGATCCTGCATCTCCTTTGCCCTATCTAAAGTCCTCCCCAACACTGCCTGGCCTGGACCCACTCCCCAGTGAATTCTGTAAGATGAGTGCCTCACTTCTCTGGTAAGTGTTACTGCAAACCGTTTTACAAAGAGATAGGCTGTTGCTGCCCAGCCAAGAGCAAATTCTGAGATTCCAATCACCTACATGCAGGGCTGGGAAAGGAACATGGACCTGCAAAGAGTGGCCCCTAAAATAATTTAGTGGCTGAAAACTAGGAACTTTGCAAATGAGAAGCCACAGTTTCAATATACTTTTTATGCACTTCTAGCAGAGAATCAGCTACGCTGATCACAGTGTTTTTCACTTGCTTGTTAGAATACAAGCTCCTTGGAGAACAGGTCATTTCTTATTCATTTTTATACATTGTATCTCCACATCTGTGCAGTTTCATGAGTAGACACCCAGGAGCTGTTTGTCAGGAGACCTTATACAAAGCAAATCCTTATTCCTATTGAATCCACCACTAATCGTTTCTAAATCAATTTTGTTGATACTTAGTTGACATATCTTGAAAGTTTAGAGATTTATTTTCTACAAAAGACATCACTTTCTCAGGAAGACTAACCTCACCAGAACCCCATTCTCCCAGCTCCTGCTCCAAGTCAGGCAGGGCCCTCCACTGTCTTCCCCCAAAATCCATCATGCCTTTGAAATTGTCTGTTTCTGTGTTCATTTGCCTTGTGCTTAATGATCGTTCCATTCATTTTTATACCTCCATTGTCTGTTCCAGTGCATGAACCGGAAGTACCACTTCAACACCATTCGGTGTATACGGACAGTGAAACTGCATTCCTTTGATGAAGGAATTTAAAATGTTTCATACACAGGAAGGGCTCATCTACAGGGTTTAGTATTTTTGTTATAATTCATTTTTCAGAATTTGTGGGGAGTGATACTAAATTTTGTTTCACAGGAAGAAAGGGAGGAGGGAAAAAGGAAGAAAGGGAGAGAAGGAAGGGAGGCAGGGAGGGAGGGAGGGACTCACAACGCCAGGAAGCTTTATAGACATCATCTCATGTAATCCTCATAACAAGATCCTGGGAGGGGGTACTTATTATCCCCATTCTGCAGATGAGAAAACTGAGGTATAGAGATGTTAAATAACTTGTCCAATTACTAAGTTGCAGAGATGGGATTCAAAACTGACTCAAATCTGAAAGTTCATGCCTTTTCCCTGCACTGTGTTTTCTCCTCTCATAAAACAGATCCTTCAGGACCCGGGGGGCACGATCTCCATGTACTGGCTTCTCTCAGGATCTTCCGAGCTGGCTGAGCTGGCTCTCCTGATGCTGAAACGTAAAAGTTCCCCTGTCCCCCTCGCAAGGCTTGCGATAGAGGGTGCGCCTCGCCTTTTCAATGCCGCACTGCTCAAACCTCTAGAGGCGCATACAGACGGGCAGGCTGTGGGGCTCCAACCCTACAGCAGTGGCTAGGGGTGAATGTTTACAGCTCCTGAAGCCTCAGTGGGCATGTGTTACACGGTACTCTTTTAAGAGTTTAGCTGTCTGCAGGCAGCTTGTGTTAGCTCAGTTAGATCCCCTTCCATATTATCACAAGGACAGAAGGATTTCTGTATCCTGGGGTTTCCTGCCTTGGTGTACTGGAAGAACCCGATCACACGTGAGCTTGGAGAATGAGTGCAAGGCTTTATTGAGTAAAAGTACCTCTCGTCAAACGGGGGAGCCAGAAGGGAGATGGTTTTCCTTGTGGAGCTGGGCCACCTGGCGGCCTAGGCTCTCCTCAGACTGCCCCGTCCAAACTCCGCCTCCTTCCGCGGGTCAATGGCCTGCCAGCATCTGTCTGAGTGCTCTTCTGCCGGCATGCTCCCCTTGATGTCTCTCGATGTCCAGCCGCTTGTCTTCTTTCATCGATTTGTTTTTCTCCACGTACAGCGGCTTGTGTGTCTGCCTGCTAGGGTCTCGGGTTTTTATAGGTCCAGGATAAGGGTGTGGAAGGTCGGCCAGGGTGGTCTTGGGAAATGCAACAAAAATGCCTGTCCTCACCAAGGTCCATGGGGGTGGAGCCCTAGCCAGGGACCACGCCCTCCTCTACCCTGCACTTCCCTTACCCCCTTCTGTATCATTTAAAGGGACCACGCTCTTCCCTTCCCAGCACCCCCATATCAAGGGTTGGTCCTCCTCCAGCAGCTATGTATCTGAGAGGCTCCTGATGCAATGGCTCAGCATCACAGTTGAAGGACACACACTCCTGCCTTAGAGCAATGGGGAGACCGGTTCCCACAGGAACCGGTTCAGCAAAGGCAGCAAGATGCCAGCCATCAGAGATAAAGGCTGCTGCCACCTATTGAACCTCACAGTGCACAGTAAGGACAGTCTCCAGGACTTCTCCCCCAGGGAGCTGAGCTTTGGGAGAGTAGAGAATTTGCATCAATCACTGAAAGAGACAGAGGGGCCCGTGCCTCTTACACCAGTAAATGGTATATATTACCAAATGCTGGAGGGCGCGAAATGTTTCCTAACTGTGTGATTAGGAATGTGATTCCCACCAGCGCAATTGATCAGGCCACTATGCTACTTAGAATCCTATTTGGGTTTTGTTGTTGTTATTAACGAAGCAGGAATGCAGAGATTATAAATATGATTATTTTACAAATAAGGAAATGGTCCTAGGGAGGTCACCAGAGTGGCCAGGCTCAGACTAGAATGTGTTTGAAATCAATTTATAAAAAATGAAGTCATTTTAAAGATGAAACTGGCATCTTTGCTTATTTTCTGAACTGTTCTCCTAATGAAGAAAACATATTGGGTATTACAGAACAAAGCTCATCTCTTTAACTGGCCAGGCTGATCCAAGAATTGAATACATGAACGACAGAAGGGACATTTTCATGGGGACTTTTCTCTTTAAGAGGCCCCCACGTAGTTGCCCCACTTCCACAAATGTTGCAAGCTAAAGAGCCATACAAATGTCTTAAGGGAGAATAGGGGCCTGATCCGTCTTGTGCCTCTGACTACTCATTTTCCTTATTAGTATAGGTGTGACCTCAGTGTGAATTTTTGCAGAAAAGTCTGGCAACATTTCCTGCTGAGCACAAACAACAAATTACGTGGGGAGGACATCAGCACGATATTCTTCCAAGGACCATGTTAGTCTTATTTGGTACTGCCATTCTCCAAAGGTATCGTGTTGCATGGACACATATATTCTTGGGGAGCATTAATTATTTTAAAAACATGAGTATATGCCAGCTGACATGTCCTGAGAATATTATTGCTAGTTATCCCCAAACTGCCCTACTTTCAGGACAGAGACTGTGTCCTGTACCTCTGTGGCCCCTGCCCTGGTTGTCTGCCCTACCGGAAGTGCTCGTTAAACTTACGGAATGACTGACTGATTGTGTGATGTTTATGTATTCAGCATTGCTAAACAGAGCGGAGGACAGAAATGGTGGTAGGTGTGGGGGGCTCAGGGCTGGGGACATGTCAGATATAACCATATTACTCCCTCGGGCCCTAACCCTAACTTTCCCAGCCTGATAAGTGGGGACTAAGAGGCATGTCTGTGAGAAACAACTGTCCTCACACCCTCTTATTAGTGTAACTCCCTCAAGTCCATTATGAAGGAATTTGTAGAGAAGCAGAGAAGCTGACTGTAAGCTCTGCGGCCCCAGGCAATTAATCTCTAGATGGTGCAGACCCGGGCTCCTGCCCCGTGCCCCCAGGTTGGAATGTGGGATTGCCCCTCGACTGCAGGTGTGGGTGGGGAGGGCCGCCCCTCGTCGGGCTTGAGTCTGTGATGTTGGAGCCGCCCGGCACTAAGAGGAAGCCCATTCTCCAAGCCCAGGCCAGGCCAGGCCGCACCGGCCCCGCTCCCGCATTGATCCTGGCCAAACGAACCCCCCAGCACCTGGGTCTCCCTTGCTGTAAACACTTTTATTTCACCCCTCGGTTTATGGCCTCCCCTTCCAAAGGATCACAACTTGTTTAAACCGGCTCTAAACAAAGGGCTGTCACGATTACAGACCTGCTGCTGGTTTTATGGTGGGCTTCCTTTGTCTAATTCTCTCCCACTCCCTTCCTTCCTCCCCACACCCCACGGCCAGGTACCCAGGCCTTTTAAGAGAGGCCTTCTAGCCAGCTGCTGGGAAGGGAGGGTGAGGGTGCGCTTCCGACTCTCACATCTGGTACCCCTCAGCTGGGGCTGGTTGCCCCCACAGGAGGGGGGGATAGGACAGGTAGGAATCCCAATGTTCCTGGGGTCAGGCTACAGCACGTCCCCCGCCCCCAGGAACGAGAAGAGGGTCTGAGGGTGTCCTCTGGGGGTTCACCTACCACACTGCCTTATAGGGGCCGGGTCCAGCGGGGCTGGGATAAAGAAGGATACCACAGGTACTGTTCTGTTCCTTCAGCCATCCAGACAAAGCCCACACGCCACTCAGCACTCAGGGAATGGTGGAGGCAGGTAGGACTCCTCAACAAGCCAGCTCCGCCCTGCCCAATGTGGGGCTCTGCCCATTGCAGGGACATCCAGACTCCGCTGCAGACACTGAGGACCCTCCCCAGGCACCTGGGCTGAACAGACTCCAGCTAGCATCCTTCTCTCCTTTGCTGCCTGCCTGCCGCTTTTCTCAAGAGGGTGCTAACTCCCCTACCGCCCCTCCCCCACCCCCCCCCCGACTGGGCTTCCTCTAGGAGGCTAGATGGGCAGAAGTGCTCAGGGATCCTGGGGCACCTGAAAGCAGGAAGGTTCTCCAAGGTTTGTTTGGGGCTCACTCGCACTCAGGAGAGTGGGCCATGGCTTTGGATAGAGGCACCACCTCTGCTAGACACTGGCCGCTGCAGACACAGGTCTCCCTCCCAGGGGCTCCCTGAAGACCAGGACAGGACAAAGACCAGGACAGGATGAAGGAGGCAGAATGACTTGTGGGAGGCAATGCAGTGGGGTCACATTTACTTCCCCTTGTTTCAGCCTGGGGAACGCCTCTTGGGAAAAAAGTATTTGTTCAGGGGACTGCAGTGAAAGCTTTGAAAGAAACCACTGGAACTGGCAGGCTGAGGCTGGGAGTGTGGAGAGAGGAGGTGTCAGACCCTCGCGTTTGCTAAACAGGCTGACTCCAGAGAAAGAAGGTTGTGTCCCCTTTATGCCCTGGTCACATGAACACACAAATGGCCTTAGGTTGGCTCAGGACGTGCTCCAAGGAACAGAAGGGGGACCCTAGAGACAGTGGGGGGTCACGAGGGACTGTCTTGATGCCCTTTCCCCATTGGCACATCTGGTCCTCTCTCCAAGTGTGCCATTCTGTACAGAACAAGTGGGGAGGTGAATCCACCCAGAGCTGGGCCTGACACACGGTGGACACATTTGAAAAATAAAGGTAATGTGATTGCTCTGCAGTTTCCAGTCTACAAAGAAAAAGATGCAGGAAGGCAAACACACAATCATCAGAAGGAATGTGGCGCCCCCCTGGGGATGGGATGGGAACAACGGTGCAGGAAAACCCCACGGCCTCTTCTTCCTGGACTCAAGCCTCTGAGTTAGAAGCCAGCCTGACTCCTAACCAGCGGCAGCCGAACAGCCCGTGCTCCAGCAACCTGGGCCAGTGCCGCCTGAGGGCAACCAGATTCCAGAGTCACTCCAACCTTCTGGAAATCCACTGTAGGCTGACCTTGCCCCAGTCCTTGCCTGTGTTCCTTCTCATTTTATAATAAAAATCCAGCATTTCTGTAGTGATTTTTTCCAGTTTAAAAATTGCTCAGTCACCATTTTTTCTTTTTTTTTTCAGAAGAGAAAAAGGACTTAGAAAAGTTAAATTACTTATTTTCCAAACTGAGCTATAGATTCAATATAATCCAAATAAAAATGCCAGAACGCTTTTTTTCTTTTTTTAGAAATCAACAATCTGTTTCCAAAATTTATATGGAAATACAAAAGCCCGAGAATAGGTAAGACATTCATCAAGAAGATTACAATTGAAGTTTCTACATTACTGGAAACCAAGACTTATTATAAACATACAGTAATTAAGACCAAGAGGTATTGATGCAAGGATAGAAAAATAACAGGCCAGGCACAGTGGCTCATGCCTGTAATCCCAGCACTTTGGGACGCTGAGGCAGGAAGATCATTTGAGCCTAGGAATTCAAGATCAGCCTGGGCAATATGGTGAAATCCTGTCTTTACAAAAAATAAATAAATAAATAAAAAATAAATAAATGCAGGCGTAGTGGCATGTGCCTGTAGTCCTAGCTATTTGGGAGGCTGAGATGGGAGAATTGCTTGAGCACAGGTCAAGGCTGCAGTGCGCCATGATCACACTACTGCATTCCAGCCCGGGTGTGCAGCCAGATTCTGTCTCAAAAAACAAACAAAAAACCCAAAGAGTCCAGAAATAAATCCACACATACATAGACAAAACTGGATTTATGACAAAACTTGAAGCTCAGAGGACAGAGGAAAAAATGGTCTTCATAATTGGTATTAGGGAAATTGGCTATTGGTATTTCTTTTTTTAAAATAAATTTTGGCCCCATCTCATACCATATACAAAAATCAGTTGCAGATGGATTGGTCATCTAAATGTGAAAGGTAAACGAATAAAGTTTCTAGAAGAAAATAGGAAAATATCTTCCTGGTCTTGAGGTGAGAGAAAACTCTTCCTAAACAGGACACTGAAATCCCTAACCATAAAAAAAAAAAACAAAAAAAAACAGATAAGTTGAACTATATTAACATTAGGAACTTTTGTTCATCAAAAACACAATTAAGAGAGTGAAAAGGCAGGCCAAGCGCAGTGGCTCACACCTATAATCCCAACACTTTGGGAGGCCGAGGAGAGTGGATTACCTGAGGTCAGGAGTTCAAGACCAGCCTGGCCAACATGGTGAAACCCTGTCTCTACTAAAAATACAAAAAAATTAGCTGGGTATGGTGGCGGGCGCCTGTAATCCCAGCTACTAGGGAGGCTGAGACGGGAGAATTGCTTGAACCCAGGAGGTGGAGGTTGCAGTGAGCCAAGATTGTGCCATTGCACTCCAGCCTGGGCAACAAGAGCAAAACTCTGTCAAAAAAAAAAAAAGAGTGAAAAGGCAAGCCACACAGTTCAACACTATATTTGTAATACATAAAAATGATAAGGACTTATATTCGTAATATATAAAGAACAGCCACAGATCAGTAAGAAAAAGAACACACACAATGCCCCTAGTATTGGGTGGCATTGGAATGGGCACAGGCATTTTTGGGATCCTGCTAAGAGAAAGTTGAATAGGGATACACTTAATTTGGGTTAGTGAGACGTATCTGTGTGGCTCGCAGTCACTTCTGTGCACAGTTGTTGCCAGCTGTTCTGCTATAAGAATGGGTTCCAGAATGTGCTTGCTTCCCCTGCACAGTGTTCCCAGCATCAAGGCCCAAGGTACAACACTCTTCTAATCACAGGCGTAACATTTTTAGTGGAGAAGCCAGTCTTCAATGACACTGGGTCTAAACAGAAGGTTTCTCCCTCAGGGATATACTCAATAACGCAATGATTATAAATCCAATGCATTGTATTTTTATTTATTTATTTATTTAATCATTTTTTTCTTTGAGACACAGTCTCACTCTGTTGCCCAGGCTGGAGTGCAGTGTCTTGATCACAGCCCATTGCAGCCTTGACCTCCTGGGCTCCAGCCTCAGCCTGCTGAGTAGCTGGGACTACAGGCACGGGCCACCATGCCCAGCTAATTTTTAAATTTTTTTGTAGAAACAAGGTCTCACTATGTTGCCCAGGCTGGTTTTAAACTCCCAGGCTCAAGTGATCCTCTCACCTAAGCCTTCCAAAGTGCTGGGATTACAGGTGTGAGTTACCATGCCTGGACTATTTTTATTTTTTATGACAGTCAAAGTCAAGTGTTTATCAGGATTTCTGAGTTTGTAGGACAGAAGTCTATAGTAGTGCTATATATGGTGAATATGGCTGTGTGAAGTCACATATTTATAAATCCCAACCACTGTGCTAGAAGAAATACTGAATTGACACTCTATAGAAGATATTACAAAACCGTTGACATGCAAAGAGGAAATAGAAAAGTATGAAGTCAAAAAATGAAGGAACTACTTCACCCATTAGAATGGCTATTATCAAAAGACAGAAAATAACAAGTGTTGCTGAGGAGCTGTTAAAATGGGAACACTTGTACATTCCTGGTGTGAATGTAAAATGGTTTAGCCACTGTGGAAAATGGTATGATGATTCTTCAAAAAAATTAAACTTAAAATTACCATGTGATCCAGCAATTCCACTTTGAGGTATACACTCAACTGAAAGCACAGACTCAAATAGATGTTTGTACACCCATGTGTGTATGGCAGCATTATTCACAACAGTGAATAGGTGAAAGCCACTTAAGTGTCCATCAATGGATGAATGAATAAACAACATGTGGAATGTCCATACAATGGAACATTATTCAGCCTGAAAAAGGATGGAAATTCCGATACGTGCTACAATATGAAGAACCTTGAAGATATTAAGTGACGCAAGCCAGTCAGAAAAGGACAAATACTGTATTTGTCCACTCGCACGAGGTAGTAAGGCTTTGGGGAGAAACACAGCAAAATCAGCATAGCCCACCAACTCCACTGCATTGAAACTGCTTCTGCATCTGTCAACCTGACTGCCGGGCACAGCGTGGCAAATCCCGGGCATTCAACAAATATTGTGGACCGCCACTACACTGGGGCCACCAAAGAAATATGATCAAAGCTGCATGAAGCAGTGCATTGAGGATTGACTGCTAATGAGTTTGGCTCATTTAAGACTTAGAGTAGTTACATTCATAGGGACAGAAAGTAGAATGGTGGTTGCCAGGGACTGCAGAATGGGGAGTTGTTCCATGGCTACAGAGTTTCCATTCCACAGGGTGAACAGAGACCTGGAAATGGTTAGTAGTGATGGTCGCACAACAGTGGGAATCTACCTAATACTACAGAACTGGACACTAGAAAACGGTTTAAATGTGTGTGGTTTTTTTGTTTGTTTGTTTTGTTTTTTGAGACAGAGTCATGCTCTGTCAACCAGGCTGGAGCGCAGTGGCTCCATCTCAGCTCACTGCGATCTCCCGGGTTCAAGCAATTCTCCTGCCTCAGCCTCCCAAGCAGCTGGGACTACAGGCACGTGCCACCACGCTCAGCTAATTTTTGTATTTTTAGTAGAGACAGGGTTTCACCAAATTACCCAGGCTGGTCTCGAACTCCTGACCTCATGATCCACCCGCTTCAGCCTCCCAAAGTGCTGGGACTATAGGCGTGAGCCACTGCGCCCAGCCTTGAGCCACCGCGCCCGGCCTGTGACTTTTAATTTTTCCAAATTCATTAGCAGTGGATCCTCAGTGCACTACTTTGTGCAGCCTTGATCATATTTCTTTGGTGGTTCTAGTGTAGTGGTGGTCCACAATATTTGTTGAACGCCCAGGATTTGCCGTACTGTGGAAAGCAGGCGGGCCGACAGACGCAGAAGCAGTTTCAAGGCAGTGGAGTTGGTGGGCTGTGCTGATTTTCCTATGTTTCTCCCCGAAGCCTTAATGGCTAGATCGTAGACCAGGTGGGAAACAAGAAGGGAAATGGGGAGAGTGGAGGGAATCTACTGGGGGATGGGTGAGTGGAGTTGGGGACCGGTGGAGGATGTAAAGAGAATCCAAGCGGAAAAGAGTGAAGCCCCCTGGTGGACAGAGGTGGTAGGGGTTGTGAGGAGCAGCCAGGGCCGTTGTCCAATTCCAAGTTAAATACCCAGGAAATCAGCCAAAAGCTGACTTGCAGGGCTGTGCATCTTAGAAAGTGTTTCAATTGCCACTATCCTTGCCTGGGCCAACTATGGCAATGTATGGACAACAAAGCCCTTTCCCACATAGTATCTGATTTTATTTTATTTCTACTCACTTTTTTCGTACATACTACATTGTTATCTTTTGAGGGTGTGGGTTGTTTTTTTTTTTTCAACTTTTTTTGTTCTGTGGTTGGTACCAAAGTGGTGTTATTATTGATCCCAAATTTTCTTCTGTTTCACATTAGGTCAATGTTAAAACTAGAAACAAGACTGCTGAATATTGTTTTCTAATGTTTATCTTCCATAAATCTAGGTCTTAAAAAACAGAATAATGCGATACTTGGTTTTTAACACAATGTTTGCTTATCAGTATCTAAACATATACACACATGCAATTAAAACTGTATATTCTGTTCGTATCCAGGCTGGCCAACATGGTGAAACTCCATCTCTCCGAAAAATAAAAATTAGCCGGATGTGGTGGCATATGCCTATAATCCCAGCTACTTGGGAGGCTGAGGCAGGAGAATCGCTTGAACCCGGGAGGCAGAGGTTGCAGTGAGCCAAGATTGCACCACTGCACTCCAGCTTGTGCAACAGAGCAAGACTCTGTCTAAAACAAAACAAAACTGTATTCTAAGCTTATTTGGGGAAAATGGACCAATTTTCAAACTAATTGAGGAAATTCAGGAGCATAACGAGTTGGTGGCAATATCATTTATATCAATATAGTCATTTATATCACTATATATGTATTATATCAACATAGTGATTCCAACCCAAACCACTATATTCATTTTCACTTCAGCAACATAGAAATAGCCATTGATCATTTCAATCAGAAAAGATCCTGCTAAATGTGTCCCCTGACTTTGTGAAGATGTGGTGACGTGGCCGTTTCATCCAAGTGTTCTGGTCCAGCCCAGAGGTAGGTGGAGTTAGATTTCTGGAGCCTCGTGGAGGCGTTCTGTGGCTACACAGTGACCCCTACTGCTCATTACGGGAGTGAAGAAAGCCTAGAGCGAAATCAGGAAAACAACGTGCTGATTCCTGAGCCTCAGAAAACTGAGAAGTAGGCAGGGCTATACCATTTTCTCTGCACTTTATGAGCATAATAATTCTTCAAAGGACTGGCTGCATCTACAAATACCTACTAAATGGAAACCGTCAAATCAAATGGGAGGCTCACAGCAGATGCCAACTCCACCGAGCGGATCTGGGCCAGGGTGAGTCCAGGAGAACACCTGGTTGTCGCTGCAGAGGCTGGGCACATGTTTGCTCTGTGGGTCAAGAGCTGATGGAATCAGGAACAGCAGGGAGAAACTGACCCTCCCTTCACCTTTGCCAGGAAGTGACACCTCTTGGCACCAGAATGTCTAGGGCTGGGTTTGGGAACCGGGGTGTGACGCTTCTATTGCTCACCGGCAGATCTTCCACTCCTTTCCAGAAGAGTCACCGGAGATGTGTCAAAGTCTCTATCCCTGGTCCCTGTTGCCAAGTCAGGACTTTGCTGGGCATTCCTAGAGTAGGTGTGGCAGCTCATAGGTCACCTTTGGAGCCAAGGTAAAGATGGCAGCTTGGTCTGACTAAGGAGGAGTCCACAGATGCGGCTCGTCCGCACAGCAGGCAGTGCAAACCCAGGCAGGAGCTCATCATCTTTGTAAGCCTTATTCAATGAGCCCCATTTTATTTTGCTGCTGATTAAAGCTATGTATCATAGAGAGGCATTGCCTGATGTTCAGAGTGCAGGGCCTCTGGGAGCCTGGCATGAAGGGCCCAAGGACAACCAGCTTAGCACTCAAGTATCCACCTGGTACCTGCAAGATGGAACAAGAGAATGTATGAGGAAACCCTCTGAGCTGCACAAATATAGGAACGGTGGGATATACAGACACATACTGTCTTGCTGGTCTGGAAATGGTCCCTGGGATGTGATGGGGAAGGATGGGGTAAATTCAACTGGGATAAATACAACAGAAGTGAGCGCAGAGCCAGAGGCCTGGGGCAGCCAGCTGTTAGCGCTCCTCAGCCTCTCTCCGTCAGAAACTGTCTTCCTGTTCCAGCCAAAGTCTCTGCTACATCTGTGAAGTAGAGGTACTGACAAGCATTTCACCCTGCTGATGTCCTGCCTGGAAGGACCTTACTCTGGAAATAACACACCACCACCAATGCCAACAACCTCATCACTCAGTGCTTTTAGACAGCAGAAAGACAAATAAATTCTACTATTTAGAGAGAGTCTATCGTGTACCAGACCTTGTTCCAAGTACTCCATACTTCTTAGCTTATTTAATTCTTCCAACAGAATTCTTATCCCTATTTTACAGGTGAAGAAACGGAACTGCAGAGAGGTTAAGCCACCTGGGGCAGGAACTAGGATGGAAATCCAGGCAGTCTTGTTGCTGAGACCATCTCCATAATCCTCTGCTAAACTTCTTCCTACCGAGAAAGACATGTTCTGGGAGAGCAAGGGCTAAGAGGCTGCTCCTTGGTGGGTATATTACTGTTCTTTCCACTCTCCATGACCTCTTTTTACGTGTTTGTATGAGTGCTTTATTTCTTGCTGTCATTTTTTGAAATGATGAAGCAAGGTAGCCGTCTGTTAAGGAAAAGCTGGAAGAGTTTTCCATGTGCCTGCTGCTCCGGTCCCGGGTGAGGAGCGCTCCCAAGTGGCTTGTTCAAGGCGGTCTGTTTGCTGACAACATACAATGCAAACAAGGGCTCCGGTGGGGACGTCAGAGGAGCAGCTGCTCGGTGTCTAGGAGAGCTTGAGTGTGGTTTGCAAAGCAAACTGACTCTAATTAGGACAAATACTGTGGTGGCCTGGGACCTCTGAAAGATAAAGCAGCAAGGAAGTATTGACCAGGACGTTTCCATGGGCCGAAGTGCAGAAATAGAGGAGCAGTCCAGGGATGTAAGGGTTGCTCTCTCATTGACTCTAAGTCTACCTGTGTCAATGACTCTGTCTGTGGAGACCCAAGAGGAAGTCAACCTGCAGCCATTTGACACCTTTGGTATTTAAGGGGACAGCTTTGCAGAAGGAAAGGTGAAGGCTACTTAGGAGGAGGCGGCGCTTGATCAAGGTGTTGTTTAAATGTTTTTACCAGTTTAACAACCTCGCAGGTTAACACAGGCCCACATCGCACAGAAGTAAGCTGGCGAAAGGAAATAACACAAGCAAAAGTTGTTTTCAGAGAGAGAGGAAGGGAAAAAGTCTCAATGTCCTTTCCCCTACAGTGCTTCCTGGACTTTAACATTCATGCCTATCATCTGGGATCAAGGCAAGGAGATCCAGGTTTGAGCCTGGACATTGCCAGCCTTTAGCTGTGCATCTTGGGCAAATCACTCAGCTCTGTGGGACATCAATTTCCTCATACAATTGGCACCTACCTCATAGGGTTGTGGTAGAGACTGAATGAAACGGTGTAAGCAAAAGAGCACAGGGGCTGGCACAGAGTGAACGTCAGCAGCTAATTTTGTTTTCATCATTAGCAGCTAATTTTGTTTTCATCATTACTATTGACAAGCATTCATTGAACAAGTACTCACCTGTGCTGTAGTAGATGATCTTGGTTCCCACCTCCCCCCCCCCCCCCCCGCCAGGTGTGTGAGTGCCGGCTGCAGACACAGCTGCCGACTTCCCAGAGAGCTGCCCTCTGCAAAGGGCATTGTACCACCTGGCTATGCCTGGAAGGTTGTACCCAATGACTGACTCATACAGGTGCAAAAACCTGGCCCCCAACGCATGGCGGGACAACTCTGTGGTGCATTCAGGTACCAGAACTCTTCAGGGGAATCAGGTCAGGTTAGACTCATCTGAAGCCACAATTTTGCTTAGCTTTTCCCTGGATAACTTCCCTCTCCTCCCTGCAGATTCCCCCTGAGTGCCCGCCCTCCAGCCCTCACTCCAGTGAGGGGCCTGACCTGAAACAGCTGTCTGCCCTTGCCAGGCTCAGAGGTGAGTGGTGAAGAAGCAGTTGCCCCTGCCCAAAATGAGCCTATGCTCTGCTGGGGGAGACTGATCAGTAAAGGGACAATTTTTTGTCATAAGGAATTCCATGGAGGTAACTGAGGTGGCACCAAAGCTCATAGGATGCTACTGCAGGAAGCAACAGCTAAATCAGGCCTTCTTGGGTGGGGAGGACTGGCCAGGCAAGCAAGGGTGAAGGGTACGGGCAGAGAGAGCACCACCTGCAAGGCTCAGAGAGGGCAGGATGGGTTTTCAGACTTGAAGGGGTCACTTAGAGGCCCCAGGACTAAGGAAAGGGTTTGCCGCCAGAACCTTTTCTTTCCGTGGACCACAGAGGTGACCCCTGGGCAGAATCTCCATGGCAACAGCCCACATTCCCTGAGGCTGACTTTTGGGCTGATGCTGTTGGGATAACGTAGAGCAGCAACCTTCAAACAGATTAATTCCTTCCCCATGGATGGCTTGGTCTGGTCGGAGCCTCAGTTGCAGGTGGACTCAGTCCTCCTTCCCACACTCAGCAGAAGGAACACGGCTACCGTCACAGCATGACAAATACTATACGATTCTGCTCATGGCAAATACTATGCAATTCCACTCATGGCAAATACTATGCAAACCCGCTCATGACAAATACTGTGTGATTCTACTCATGACAAATACTATGTGAATCCATTCACGACAAACACTATGCGATTTCACTCACAGCAAACACTATGCGATTTCACTCACAGCAAACACTATGCGATTCCACTCATGACAAATACGATGTGATTCCACTCATGACAAATACTATGTGAATCTATTCACAACAAACACTATGTGATGCCGCTCGCGGCAAACACTATGCGATTTCGCTCACGGCAAACACTATGCGATGCTGCTCACGGCAAATACTATGCGATTTCACTCACAGCAAACACTATGCGAATCCATTCATGAAAAATATGATGTGATTCCACTCGTGGCAAATACTATGCAAATCTGCTCATGACAAATACTATGCGAATCCATTCATGACAAACACTATGCGATTCCGCTCACGGCAAACACTATGTGATTCCGCTCACAGCAAACACTATGCAAATCCACTCATGACAAATATGATGTGATTCTGCTCATGACAAATGCGATGCGATTCTGCTCATGACAAATACTGTGCAAATCGGCTCGTGACAAATGCTATGCAAATCAGCTCACAATAAACATTATGTGAATCTGCTCATGACAAACACTATGCAATTATGCTCATGACAAACACTATGTGATTCTGCTCATGACAAAAAACTATGCAAATCTGCTCATAACAAACTCTATGCAATTCCGTTCATGACAAACACTATGGGAATCTGCTCATGTGAGGCATCTAGCAACAGATTCACAGACAGGAAGTGGGACGGTGGTGACCAGGGGCAGGGGGGCGGGGGTTGTTGTTTAATGGGTGCAGTTTCAATTTGGGTAGATGTAAAAAATTCTGGAGGTGGATGGTGGTGATGGTTGCACAACAGTGCCAATGTCCTTAATGCCACTTTAAAATGGTTAAGATGGTGACCTTTATGTTATGTATATTTTACTGCAATAAAAAAAAAAATCTCTATTGTGGTGCTGACGCTTGCCCAGCAATGTGACCCTAACTGTATCTGTGATGATTCTTCTGCCCCAGGAAGCTCTTTGTGGCATCTCTGTCCTCCTCATCATTTTTTGTTTTGGTTTGCTTTGGGTTTTTTTGGGGGGGGAGGGGCGGGGTTTGTTTTGTTTTGTTTTTTTTTACAATAGAACAGAACTGAAAGCCATAAGAAAAACACTAACAGAGATTCTTGGTCCTAGTTTGGGTTCACAGAACAGTGATGTCATTTTAAGAGCTTCCTATGTCACAGCCAGAATAGAAATGACAACTCCAGCATCCGCATGTGTCTTCCCCGCCTCGCCCTCCATGTGAGTTCTGTTGTGGACCAGTCACTTCTTACTGGCCACAGTTTCACAGGAGGTACTCAGGGGATGTTCTGGAAGGAGGAAAGTGGGGAAGGGATGGATGGCTCTTAGACCCTCCGGTGCCTTAGAACCCCTCCTTGTTCAGATAAAGAGAAGTTTGCAAGAGCCAGGGAGGTGAAGTCCAAAGTCACTCTCTTTGCTTTTGTAAGTAAGCGGTGACCCTGGCTGGGGTCAGAATCAGGTCTCCTGATTCCTAACGCAAGACTACTCCCACTGAGTTATCCTAAAACTTGACAGTCCAGACGCCATTTGATGACTTTAGTTGTCTAATTAACTCCCACCTGGAATAACTAAACTTTTGTGTTTCTCTTATTTGTTTCTTTGATACCTAGTGTTTGCCCAGCTAAAGTAAACTTTTCAAAGATATGGAGCGGGGTGAGAGGACTTGTTTTTTATACCCTGATAAGTGTAAGAGGGTGCCTAGGTCTCTACAAAGTCCATTTGACTAACAAATTGAGGGTTCATGAATCTACATTAGACTCCCAAACTGCCTCCCTTGTGTTGGGCCCAAAGGAAAAAAGAAACAAAAATGTATTGAGCACTACCGAGTGCCGGCCCTGTGACAGTTTTCATAAAGCCCTCACAGAAACCCGGAGGTGGCATTGTCTGCCTTGTTTCAGGTGAGGCAGCCGTGGCTTGGGGCTTAAGGAACCAGTCCAAACCCACCCCATGGCCGCTGTTGGGTGAGTGGCACAGCTAAGAGTTAGGCAGCATGATGCCTGGCATTCAGCAGGCCTCCAGTGAAGGTTTGTTGAATGAATAAATGAACTCATATCCATCTGTCAATAACACCCCTACTCTCACCCCTTCCCCATTGTCATTATTTGGATAGTGGACCCTAGACAGTGTCCTCAGTCTCAACCACTAGGGTGACAACATAGTCAAATAGGAGACAAAAACATCTGAAAGAGGAAAAAACAAGGTTATTCTTGCTTTATTAATCAGTTTTATTAATCATTGAAACACATGGAGGTGAAGTGAAGGGTTGGAAAGGATGTTGCACAATTAGAGAGTTAATTTGTGTTCGAACAAAACATTTTATATATGTATGTATGTATTTATTAGAGACAGAGTCTCACTACGTTGCCAAGGCTGGTCTCAAATTCTTGGGCTGAAGCAATCCTCCCATGATGGCCTCCCAAATGTTGGGATTACAGGTGTGAGCCAGCATGCCCAGCCAGGAACATCACATTTTAAAACAACAAAGAGAGGGGGAAATTGATGTCTGCATGTCACCAGGTTGTCATTGTTTCTGTCACTATGAGTAAGGACCAAAACCTTTTTTTCTTTTTTTTGAAACAGAGTCTCACACTGTCACCAGGCTGGCGTGTAGTGGCGCAATCTCGGCTCACTGCAACTTCCACCTCCCGGATTCAAGCAATTCTTCTGCCTCAGCCTCCTGAGTAGCTGGGACTACAGGTGCGCGCCACCATGCCCAGCTAATTTTTGTATCTTTAATAGAGACGGGGTTTCACTGTGTTGGCCAGGATGGTCTCCATCTCTTGACCTTGTGATCTGCCCACCTCGGCCTCCCAAAGTGCTGGGATTATAGGCATGAGCCACTGCACCCGGCCCTAAACCATTTTTTTTTTTAAGTTGGCAGGGCAGCAAGCCCAGGGTGTAGACTGATGAGACAAGGTCCCTCTGAAATAGCTCTCATGGCTCTCCTTGTCTTTCCCACAAACAGAACAGAAGCTAAAGCAGAAAGAAGTTTAATGGAGACCTGGAAGCCTCTCCGTAAAGACTCTGGGGCAGGAATGGGATCTGTTTGCAGGGCTCAGGGAGGACCCACGGCTCCTGTGGAGGCTTACGCGGCACCTGAGAAGTGATCAGTCAGGAAGAGCTACCTGGAGTACCTGAGCCCAACCAGATATTCTTTTCCCCGCCGTCTTCCCCGGGATCCAGCAATTTATATTCCCTACCTCAGGAAATCTTGGAAAAGTTATTCCAGCAGAATGAAGCAATGTACTATTCCAGCAGAACATAGTCAGGACCTGGTGACGTGGGGGTTTGGCAATGATCAATGACCCTGGTGTCATACTCTAAATTTGTTTCAAAAGTGGCAGCAGGGGAGAAGGAGGCAGTGAAATCAATACTTGAAGTTTGTCTTGATTGGATGGGGTGTGTGTTTTCTTTTCCACCCTAGTTGTTGTTGAAGCTGTTTACCAAAAGGCTGTGCAAATAGGATTAGTCAGCTCCAGGGCCATTAATAACCCGCTGGACAGAGCTGGCTCCATTCCAATTGATTTTTGAATTTTTGAAGCTGTCCATTTTTTTGGAGCAGAGATGAAAGCCCCAGAGGGGCTGGTATGAAAGCATGAGATTTTTGCCTGTACTGGGGCTGATCCCACAGATGCAGGAGATGAAACGTTCTTCCAGTGCCATTTGCTTTCCATCTGAATGAGGCAGGTCCTGCGGCAGCTCTGAAGAGGCAGGGGCCATCACAAACGAATATTGCAGCAGGTCAAGGGGACACTGCTATTGTGTGCACACTGATGGAGACCCAGAGTAAAACGTGGCCTGAGGTTTGCCAGAATGTGCTTAAGAAGCAAACCTCACATACCTGAAACTCTCTTCGTGCCCTCCTGTCCTTCCAAAAACTATCAGTTCGAATATCCTGAGAAATGTCACATAGGTAAGCTGTAGGACCATCCTTGAGAGGTTGCTGTTGGTAAAAACCAATGGGGCCAGAAAACATGAATTTATATCCCAGCACTCTGGGCTATAACTTTGAGCAAATTAATCTCTCTGATATTCTATTATAGCAATTGTGAATTGACAATGTCATCATAGCCCATTTCTTATTTCTGAAAAAGTGCTTTTTCTGGATCTCATTCACTTAAGAACTCAAATTCTAAACATGGAGACCATCAGAGCCAAGGTCCTTGTTAAAAGAAATGTATGTTTTATATATTAAAGTTTAAAAGAAATATACATATACATTGATTTTAGAGTCATTTGTGCTATTCTACTTAGCATTTTATTTTAAAAAGCAAACTTTGCTTTTTGTGTGTCTCTGAATCTACCCTAAGACGTGAGGAGAAAGATGTCTTTTAAATGAAGGGAAGAAAACTGAGGATGATTTGCAGAAATCTACCCATAATATTCATGTTGACTATTTCTGCTTTGTGCTGTGAACAGCTGCACCCTGGGATAGCAATCACTGTCTAGCTCTTTACAAAAGCAGATTCATTGTAAGAACCAAGACTGGAATTGTTGCACAGAGGTAGCAATTTAGACGTTTTTCCTCTCCAACAACTTTAATAATTCTACACTTGTTGATTCATTCAAAATACAATTGAAAGGGGAAGGAAGGACCAGGCGTGGTGGATCACACCTGTAATCCCAGCACTTTGGGAGGCCGAGGTGGCTTCATCACCTAAGGTCAGGAGTTTGAGACCAGCCTGGCCAACATGGTGAAACCCCGTCTCTACTAAAAATACCAAAAAAATTAGCCAGGCATGGTGGCACATACCTGTATTCCCAGCTACTCGGGAGGCTAAGGCAGAAGAGAATCGCTTGAACCCGGGAGGCGGAGGGTGCAGTGAGCCAAGATTTTGCCACTACACTCCAGCCTGGGCAACAAGAGCGAAACTCCACCTCAAAAAAAAAAAAAAAAAAAGGGCGGGGAGGAAGGAGAAAAACCAAGATCGGAAGACTACAGGGCTCAGAGGAAGCCCTGTGTGAAGGTTTCAGCCATCTGCTCAAGCTGAAGCCCCCAAGTTTGTTTCAAATGAGCCCAACCTATTGTACGTTACCCTAAACAGTACTGTAAATTAGCCCCAAAGAGCTTGGCTTCAATATACCTTGTAGTTTTACTTTGCAAAAAATTACAAAGGAGATAGTTCCTGGGGAACATTTTTCAGCTGCATTCACAATAAAATAAAGAAGGGCCAGGTGTGGTAGTGCGTGCCTGTGGTTCCAGCTACTCAGGAGGATGAGGTGGGAGGGTTGCTTGAGCCCAGTAAGTCGAGGCTGCCGTGAGCTACGATTGTGCCCTGTACTCCAGGTTGGGCAACAGGGCAAGACCCTGTCTCTTAAAAAAATAAGGTAAGGCCGGGTGCGGTGGCTCACACCTGTACTCCCAGCACTTTGGGAGGCCGAGGCAGGTGGATCACCTGAGATCAGGAGTTTGAGACCAGCCTGACCAACATGGTGAAACTTTTCTCTACTAAATACAAAAAAATTAGCTGGGCCTGGTGGCAGGCTCCTGTAATCCCAGCTACTTGGGAGGTTAAGGCAGGAGAATCGCCACTTGAACCCGGCAGGCAGAGGTTGCAGTGAGCCAAGATTGCACCATTGCACTCCAGCCTGGGCAACAGAGCGAGACTCCATGTCAAATAAATAAGTAAACAAAATAAAATAAAAATAAATAAAATAGGCCAGGCACAGTGGCTCATGCCTATAATCCCAGCATTTTGGGAGGCTGAGGCAGGCAGATCACCTGAGGTCAGGAGTTTGAGACCAGTCTGGCCAACATAGTGAAACTCCGTCTCTACTAAAAATACAAAAATGAGCCAGGTGTGCTGGCGTGCGCCTATAATCCCAGCTACTCGGGAGGCTGAGGCAGGAGAATCGCTTAAACCCGGGAGGTAGAGGTTAGAGTAAGCCAAGATTGTGCCACTGCACTCCAGCCTGCACAACAAGAGGTAGAATCCATCTCAAAATAAACAAATAAACAAATAAAGATTTTGGGAAATTTGAAAAATTAACAAACTCCAGGAGGAAGGCAGAAAGCCACTCAACTACCCGATGATTTTGCCTCATTTTCTCTCTTCAAGGAGAGAATAGACTCAAACAGGCAAGGACGGAAGGAACACGGCAGGGCGGAGCAGGAGAGAGTGCGCATCCCCTGTTCTTGCCAGGTGTGTCCCATCACACTCAGTCAGGGCAGTCAGAATCCCGGAAGTGAAGGGGCATGGGGGATGCACTGGGACCTGGAAGAGGTGGTTGCTGACCAGTTTTCTGCACTCCCTGCACTGTCATTTAGCATCCCTGCCACTTAACTATGTCAAAGCTTAGGAGGGATGACAAGCAAATAGGGGGTCATCAGGAGACCAGGCCGGGCAAACTCACCTCAGTCCTTTTCTGAAGGGGAAGTCAGCAGGACCTGTAGACAAAATAAATCCAAGAATCGTAGAAAATGGCACCTTAGACTCATGCACAGATGGGAACCCAGGGCTCACTGAAATGAGGCAAAGTGCTCTGGTCACAGCTGGCGAGTGGCAGAACTTGAACTTGAACTTCAGTTCCTTACTGCTTTAGTCCAGGGGCAAGAAGAGAGTTGTCATTTGATGTGTGCTTTACATGCTAGGCACTTTGTCCATTTTCTCAACCAATCCCCACAGCAGAGGCACCATTATCCCCATATTCCAGATAAGAGAATTGAGACTCAAAGAGGATAGAAAATTTGCCCCATGTCCACCGATAGAAAGTGGGGAGATGGGTGACAAATGCCATCTCTTCCTACTGTATCATGCCCTCCCATTTTTAAACCTAAGCATGTTCAATGTCTTTTAGGATTTCTTTGTGAGAAAGATGGAGAAAGGTGAACTTGATGATGCTGTATAAAAGGACACACACTGTCTGCGAGTCAGGAATACAGATGTTCTCTCTACAGACTGCTCTCTTCCGGGAGATGCCTGTGTTCATTCCCCTTGGTATGAGCCTCAAGCACCCTTCAAGCCATCCATAAGGTGGATTTGTGAATGGAAGTGGGTAGGGCTAACATGGGCAGGAGGAGAGAGCTGAAGAAAGCTGAGTGGAGAATGAGGAATATATCTGCTAGGACATCCAGCAACAGCATTCATCCACAAAATAAGTCAGTGACTTCACTGCCCCTTTCTGCAAGACAACCAGATCCTATCAGGGTCTCTGTCCCTCAGAGGCCACTTTAAAGTAGACTGAGTCAGAAAAGCGAACTTTCCTACAGGCTCAAAGCCACCCTGCTCTACCAGGAGGCCTAGGAATTCTGCCCCACTGCCTCACCCTTCTTTTTTTTTTTTTTTTTTTTTTTTTTTTGAGACTGAGTTTCACTCTTGTAGTCCGGGCTGGAGTACAATGACGCAATCTCAGCTCACTGCAACCTCTGCCTCCTGGGTTCAAGCTATTCTCCTGCCTCAGCCTCCAGAGTAGCTGGGATTACAGGCGCATGCCACCACGCCCAGCTAATTTTTGTATTTTTAGAAGAGATAGGGTTTCACCATGTTGGCCAGGCTGGTCTCCAACTCCTGAACTCAGGTGATCCACTCGCCTCGGCCTCCCAAAGTGCTGAGATTACAGGCGTGAGGCACCATGCCCGGCCCCCCGACTCTTAAATGTAGAGAATTCTATGATCCTGAGCAGATGTGGGAGTGCATTAAACTGTCACTGGCCTGTGTTTAAGAGTTGTGGACAATCACAGTATATAATAACAACCTTTTTTGGTTTGATTTTGTTTTAAAGTTAACCCCAGAAACACTGAAAGCTAGAAACGCAGGCTTATGAAGGCAGCTGAATCCAGTAAATGTCATCAGGCCTTTGGGAAATGTTTGTCCCTGCATCTCTTTAGTTCCTCCAGGCCTGCTCCCCACACATCATAGACAGCAGGACCACCCCTGAGAGCCTAGCCTGGCCACCTGGCATGGCCTCATGCCTGCAGCGAGGACATCTAGGGAAGACCACACTGCAGGCCACTGGCTCTGGCCAGGAGAATGTCCTTAAACCACACCTGCACCCCGCTAGGTACAGTTTATTGTGGGAATGGAGATCTGACCTGGGGTTGGTGGGGGATGGCGGGGGTAAAGGACAGAGGTGCAGCCCCTCTGTCCACCTTCCCCTGATCCCTGTCGGTTGGCACAGTAGGGCACAGTTCACCTTGCAGGTGGAAATGTCCACTGCTCCGAGCTGAGGAGGGAAGCCAGGACACACGGAAGGAGTGATGGGAGATTTATGAGCTGGCTTAAGACGGGGTTCTTGGGGACAGGCGTGGTGGGGCAGGCCTGCCTTCCCTCCCTCTGCTGGCCTGGAGAAGAGGTTCCATCAAGCTGCACCCACCCCTCGGTCTCCCTGGGACGTCTGATCAGTGAGTGACTTGTGCACACTTTCGATTATCCCACGCAGGACACAATCGTCAGCCACCGGGGCCCTGAGCAAAAGCCCTGCTCTTGGCAACCAGCCTTCCTAGAAGGCCAACGAACTGCGCCACCCAAAGGACATCTAGGTGAGGCAGCGATTCTTCAAGGAAGATGTCAGATGGGGCCGGAGGCAAGGCCCCCCGCCTCTGCAGAGGGGCGTCCAAGTCCCCAAACAGCAGCGGCGACAGGGAGAGAGGGGACAGTCCAACCTAAGAGGTCCAGGACAGACCTCTGTGCAGGCAGCGACCGACCTGTGAGCGCCGCTCTGGGCGCGGGAGCGAGGCGAGGCGGAGCCACGGGTCAGGGCGGACCCCGGGGAGCTCTGGACTCTGAGAGCCAACGGAAAAAGGGGTCACAAACCACACGCACGTCCCCCAAAAGAAAACAAAACCGGCTAACCAGGCTCATTAAAAGGTGAAGCCCCAGAGCCAGGAAGTAGCTGATTACCTTCAGGTCGTTGAGTAGCAGGATGTGAAGGACCCCAGAGAGCGCATTGGCTCCAGCTTTGTTTGGGGACTAGCTTCGCGGCCACTCCTAGGCGCGCCTGCGGCCAGCGGGTCATGCCTTGGGGCCTGGCGCCATCTGCTGGCCATCGCTGTTCCTAACCCACTGCCCTCCCTACTCCTCACTTAGTTTCCTGTGAGACCTGTATGCAACAACAGGGAGACAGGGAGGCTTGTATCCGCGGCTCACCTACCTGCCTTTGGGCTCTTTTAGTCTCCAAAGCAGCGAAGATTTCCTAAGAAGTGCCCATACTGAAACGCCCTTCCTCTAGGGTCGCTTGAGCCCAGGAGATCGAGGTTGATCGAGGTTGCAGGAAGCTATGATCGGGCCACTGCACTCCAGCCTGGGTAACATAGCAAGACCCCTTCTCTACACACACACACACACACACACACACACACACACACACACACACACACACACACACGACAGAGGCCGGACGAGATGGCTCACACCTGTAATCCCAGCACTTTGAGAGGCCGAGGAGGGCGGATCACTTGAGGTCGGGAGTTCAAGACCAGCCTGGCCAACACGGTGAAACCCTGTCTCTACTAGAAATACAAAAATTAGTTGGGCGTGGTGGCGGGTGCCTGTAGTCCCAGAAGCTCAGGCAGGAGAATCACTTGAACCCAGAGGCGGAGGTTGCAGTGAGCCGAGTTCGCACCACTGCACTCCAGCCTGGGTGATAGAGCGAGACTCCCTCTCAAAAAAAAAAAAACTGAATTTCAGAAATAAATAAATAAAAATAATAAATAAAACATGCTTCCTCTCCTCAGCCCGCACCTGGGTTATGGGGGCAGGGTGCGAGCACACAAACACACACACAACTTCATAGTGGAGGGAACCGACCAGCAATGGCTGACTAACTTGGAAAAGGTAATTGGAGAAGGATATGAATCTCTTCCCAAAACAATCTAAACCCAGCCTCATTGGACAGCTGCTCAGTGAGCCAAATAATAAAGTCAGTGAGCACCTCGAAAACATGCCAATCTATATGTTCAACCATCTCACTGCTTCCTGCAAAATAACGGCTTAAAGGGGGACACAGGCATCTTTGTCATTCCTCTCATTCCCTGGTCCCTGGTCCAGCACACGATGGGATGGGCAGCTGTGCTGGCAGAGGAACCCAGTTCTTCTTCTTCTTTTTTTTTTTTTTTTTTTTTTGACACGGTCTCAGTCGCCCAGGCTGGAGTGCAGTAGCATGATTTCGGCTCACTGCAACTTCCGTCTCCTGGGTTCAAGCGATTCTCCTGCCTCAGTCTCCCAAGTAGCTGGGACTACAGGTGCCCGTCACCAAGTCCAGATAATTTTCGTATTTTTAGTACAGATGGGGTTTCACTCTGTTGCCCAGTCTGGTCTCGAACTCCTGACCTCCGGTGATCCACCCGCCTCAGCTTCCCAAAGTGCTGGGGTTATAGGAGTGAGCCACTGCGCCTGGCCGGAACCCAGTTCTTAAAGATGGAATTAGTTGATTCATTCAACAAATAAGTACTGAGTGCCTCCGAGGTGCAGGCACTATTTGTTGCCAAGAAAGCAGAGAACAAACATGGAATGTTAATGATGCATGCATGGTAGCTGGGAGAGGCAGATGAGAAATAAGGAGACGAGAAATCAGCTACACTGATGAGTGTAGCTGTTACAAGGGAGATGAAATGTCTGGTGATGATTTTATAGTTGAGAGGGCCCAGTGAAAAGGGATCCCTTAGAGTGGCTCTGAATGACTCTGAAAAGCCAGCTTGGGTGCAGAGTGAGCATTCCAAGGAGGACCCCTGAGGCAAGAACAAGGTTAGGTTTGAATGGGACACCCTGCTGTGTGTCTGCAGGAAGAGGAGGAAAGACATGAGTTGAGCATCTTACCTGTGCAGGTATCATTCTAGAACATGAGGTATTTTTTATGAGAGAAACTGGCACTTCCATACAATAGGAGGGAGTACCAGATGTGTAAGTAAGTAACTGAAATGCAATTTCAAAACAGTATCTTCCCCTGCAGAAAAGAATGTTTTCCCAAGATGAAAATCTCATTAGGACAAGAATGAACATTATGTTTCCAGTGTTTTATGATAGAGAAAGTAAATTATTATGATTATTTTTATTTATTTATTTATTTACTTATTTATTTTGAGACGGGGTCTCTGTTGCCTAGGCTGGAGTGCAGTGGTGAGATCTTGGCTCACTGCAACCTCCGCCTCTTAGGTTTGCTTCAGTGATTCTCCTGCCCCAACCTCCCGAGTAGCTGGGATTACATGTGTGTGCCACCACGCCTGGCTAATTTTTGTATTTTTAGTAGAGAGAGGGTTTCACCATGTTGGCCAGGCTGGTATCCAACTCCTGGCCTCAAGTGATCCACCTGCCTCAGCCTTCCAAAGTGCTGGGATTACAGGCGTGAGCCACCGTGGCCGGCCAATTTTTATCATTATTATTTTCAGAGACAGAGTCTCACTCTGCCAGGCTGCCACTCATTCCCAGGCTGGAGTGCAGTGGCATGATCACAGCTCACTGCAGCCTCAATCTCCTGGGCTCAAGCGATCCTCCAGCCTCCAGAGCAGCCAGGACCACAGGTGTGCACCACCATGCCCAGCAGATTTTTAAAAATTGTTTTGTAGGGATGGGAGTTTTGCAACGTTGCCCAGGCTGGTCTCCAACTCCTGGGCTCAAGCAATCCTCCTACCTCAGCTTCTGAAAGTGCTGGGATTACAGGCATGAGCCACCATTCCAGACCTAGAAAATAAGTTAGATATTCCATTCAGTTTTTAAATTATGGACAAATTTTTGTTTATAAGAAGACAGTGATAGTGTGGGCTACAGCAAGACAGACACCCGTGCGGGTGATGCCACGAGGTGGAGCTGTAGTCTCAAAAAAGCAGAGCCTGGCCCTAAACCGGCAGAAGTGGAGCCTGGAGTTTCTGTCTTTCTTCTCTTTCCCTAGAGGGAAGGGTCATTTTTAAACATCTCCCTCTTACACATTACCCAAGGCCTGACTTTACCTTTTCTTTTCAAGAGCATGAGTTATTTTAACCCCCTCCCATTGTCCTATGTTCCACTGTCTCCTCCAGCCCAAAGGCCCCTCAGTCACTTGGAGCCTCCCCAAGGGAACGAGGTAGCAGAAGGAATGGAAAGCTTGTCAAATCAGACTTTCTAGTTCCCATCAGAAGAAAGGCTTGCAGGAATGTGCTTGCTGGAAGTGGGGGTTAAAGAGGGGTGATGATTGCGTACAAACTCCAGAATAGAAGAAGAGTTACCTGTAATAATAATGTAGGAGTCGGAGTGAAGAAGTAAGAAACAACCAACATTTGAGCACTTAACAACTTGCCCAGCACAATGCCAAATGCTCTGCTCAACTCCATATCTTAATTTCGTAATTCCACAAGGTAGGTGCTGTTATTGGCCCCAACAGAGATAAGAAGTCTGAGGCTCAAAGAGGTTATGTCATTGGAAGTAAGGGATTTGAATCCAGACACCCTGACTCCAGAGCCCAAGAAATTATTATGTGTGAAAAACCCCAAATTGGGCTTTCCAGATGGGCACAAGTCAATTCAGGCTATTCAATTAGCTATGCACTCCTAGCAAGAGGTGGAAGGTAACGTCCAAAACAAAAGACACCTGTGGTTCCACCCCCAGCCCCACTCACTGTAGCATTCATCTGCTGAGCTACCTGGATTGCTTGGATGCATCTCCACATTTCCTCCTTCCTTTCCTTCCTTCCTTCATTCTTCTCTCTCTTTCTTTTTGTTTTGTTTGTTTGTTTGTTTTTTGAGACGGAGTCTCACTCTGTCGCCCAAGCTGGAGTGCAGTGGCGTGATCTCGGCTCGCTGCAAGCTCCGCCTTCCGGGTTCACGCTATTCTCCTGCCTCAGCCTCCTGAGTAGCTGGGATTACAGGTGCCCGCCACCACGCCCGGCTAATTTTTTGTATTTTTATTAGAGATGGGGTTTCATCGTGTTAGCCAGGATGGTCTCAATCTCCTGACCTCGTGATCCGCCCACCTCAGCCTCCCAAAGTGCTGGATTACAGGCATGAGCCACTGCACCGGGCCCATCTTCTCTATTTCTTCTTTCCTTTCCCTTCCTTTCCTTTTCTTTTCTTTCCTTTCCTTTCCTTTCCTTTCCTTTTTCCTTTCCCTTCCCTTCCCTTCCCTTCCCTTCCCTTCCCCTCCCCTCCCCTCCCTTCCCTTCCCTTCCCTTCCTTCCCTGTCCTGTCCTTTCCCTTCCCTCCCCTCCCCTCCCTCCCTCCCTCCCTCCTTCCTTCCTTCCTTCCTCCCTTCTTTCCCTTCCTCCCTCCCTCCCTCCTTCCTTCCTTCTTTCTTTCTTTTCCTTCCTTCCTTGCTTTTTACAAAGCCTCACTCTGTTACCCAGGCCAGTTTCAAACTCCTGGCCTCAGGTGATCCTCCTGCCTCAGCCACCCAAAGTGCTGGGATTACAGGCATAAGCCACCATGCCCAGCCTGCATTGCATTTCTAATGCTGCATTGAAACTCTTGGTTTACATGTATATCTCCCCTATTTACTCAGAGGTTAGTATTGGCAGGAACTTTTTTACTATTTTTGTATCCCAGCTGCTATAATATCCCCAGATATTAAATAGGTATATCTCACCTAATTAATATGACATTTAAAATTTTAATTTTATTACAGAAAATTTCGAACATACATAAAGTTTTTAAGTTTGATAAACCCACAAATATGCGTCACTCAGTTTCAATCATTAGCACTTTTTCATGTTGCATATTTTTAAGTGCAAAAAGAAAAAGAACAATCATCTATTGAATGTTTACTGGATGTTACTCTGTTCTCAGCCTTTTACTGCCCACAGCCTTGAAGGAAGACACCGAATGTCAACATTGTCTAGCCAGTAGGCAGTAGGGGCAGGATCTGGCCCCAGTCAGTCTCACTCTCGAATTCATGCCCAGAATTACCTTGACCTGCTGCTTGTCTCATAGTAGACCCAAGAAATGTCGTTTGAGCAGAATGTAATTGAATCCCAGTTTACATATTAGGAACCGTGATGAGTTAAAGGAGGTAACCAGATAGTCATGGGAAAGTCACCTAAAAAATACTGAAAGGGGGCTGGGTGTGGTGGCTCATGCCTGTAATCCCAGCACGTTGGGAGGCCAAAGCAGGCAGATCACGAGGTCAGGAGATTGAGACCATCCTGGCTAACATGGTGAAACCCCGTCTCTACTAAAAATACCAAAAAAAAAAAAAAATTAGCGGGGCGTGGTGGCGGGCACCTGTAGTCCCAGCTACTCAGGAGGCTGAGGCAGGAGAATTGCTTGAACCCAGGAGGCGGGGCTTGCAGTGAGCTGAGATGGCACCACTGCACTCCAGCCTGGGTGACAGAGCGAGAATCCTTCTCAAAAAAAAATTAAAATTAAAAAAAAATTAAAAAAATTTAAAAAAATACTGAAAGGATGTTTAAGCGGAGGAAGGTGAAGAATCCCATGACAAATGTGTTTAGAAGAGAAATGAGACTCACTCTGTGTGGCTGGAGAGGAAGACTTCAAAAGGGGCCCAGGGAGGCAGATTTTCATTCAATATAAATAATTTTTAAGCAATTAGAGAAGAATGAAAAATAATCTGGAAGATCATTGGTCAGAGATCTGATTGCTATAAAGGTTGCTCTAAAGGAGATGCCTGGATTTGTGGCCAGTAAATTAGACAATATCCAAAGTCCCTTCCAACTACTATGGCCTGCAGTTTTATGCTTTGCACATACAGGGTTTGAGGGTGATGGCAAGACAGGAGGAATGTGTGTTTTTAGACCTCAGTGACTGGAAGAATAGCAGGACCATGCCCAGAGACAGAAAAACCGAGAAGGAGCTAGTTTCAAAAAGGAAGATAAACCTGGTTTTAGACAGATTTGTTTTTTAGTGTGAAAGGAGGAGAGCGTTTGTTTCCAGAAGTATTTTAGGAAGTCTCCATGGGAGGCAAATGTGGAAGAGAGGAAAGGAAATGGATAGGAGAGGAGGCCATGTCAGGTGCGCGCTGGACAAAGGCCTGGGAGCAGGACCAAACCTAGGACAGGCTCCAGGACAGCCCTGCGTCCTCACACAGAGCAGCTCAGCAGTCTGCTGTCATATGTGTCCTGCTGTCATCCACTCTGCACCTCCCACCTTTCCAGCGCCTGGAGTTCCGAGGCTTTCAGTTTCCAATCCCTGGCTGAGAGTTTTCAGAGGCTTGTGCTGGTTAAAGGGTAGTAGCAGAAATCTGCCCAGCAGTAGGTGGGGATCAGGTTGCACAGTGCCTGGGCACCAATCAAAACATTGGGGTTTTTATCTCAAGCCACGAAAGGTTGGAACAGAAGAGTGACATGGTGGGAACCGGTCTGGAAGAAGAATAATCCCATGGTAGATTTTGGCTTGATCAGCAGTGGGGCGATCTGGAAGCACGGGGTTGCCAGAGGATTACTGGACCACCCAAGGGCCTGAGATTTCTTGTCTGTGCAGTTTACACTGGCTGCTCCCTCAGACTGAAAACTGCCTTCCTGCCCTGCAGTCCTCCACCTGGGGCAGCTCCCATTTCCCTTTTAGATCCAGCTGAAGTTTCTCTTCCCTGAAGTCCTCCCAGGGCCCTGCCAGCCCAGCCCAGCCCCTAGGCAGGGAGCCTCCATAGACCCTTTAATGCGTCAATCTCATTTCTAGACAATTAGTAGCTTGAGGACTGGGATTGTGTTTTATTCAGTTTTAAATTTTCATTTGTAAATATTTAGGGGATACAAGTGCAGGCTTCTTACAGGCACATAGTTCGCTGTGGTGAAGTCTGGGCTTTGAGTGCACCCATCACCCGAACAGTGAACACTGTACTCAATAGGTAATTTTTTCAACCCTCACCCCACTCCCACTTCCCCACCTTTTGGCATTTCCTGTCTATTTTTCCACTCTGCTTGTCCATAGGTATCCATTGTATAGCTCCCACTTGTAAGTGACAATATGCAGTATTTAACTTTCTGAGTCATTTCACTTAGGATAATGGCCTCCAGTTCCATCACTGTTGCTACAAAAGACATTATTTTATTTATTTATTTATTTATTTATTTATTTATTTATTTATTTATTTATTTATTTATTCTGAGACAAAGTCTCACTCTGTTGCCCTGGCTGGAGTGCAGTGGTGTGATCTCGGCTCACTGCAACCTCCACCTCCCAGGTTCATGCGATTCACCTGCCTCAGCCTCCGAAGTAGCTGGGATTACAGGCGCCCACCATGCCCGGCTAATTTTTGTACTTTTAATAGAGACGGGGTTCCACCATGTTGGCCAGGCTGGTCTGGAACTCCTGACCTCAAGTGATCCTCCTGCCTCAGCCTCCCAAAGTGCTGGGATTACAGGTGTGAGCCACTGTGCCCAGCCTTAATTTTATTTTTTTAAGGGCAAGTAGCATTCCATGATGTATATATACCACATTTTTAAAATAATGCCCCGTTGATGAACACTTAGGTTGATTCCCTATCTTTGCTATTGTGAATAGTGCTGGAATAAACATATGAGTGCAGATATGTTTTTGATATAATGAGTTATTTTCCTTTGGGCAGATGCCCGGTAGTGGGACTGCTGGGTGGAACGGTAGCTCTATTTTTAGTTCTTTGAGCAATTGCCATACTGTTTTCCACAGTGAATGAACTAATTTACGTTCCCACCAGCAGGGTTCCCTTTCTCCACATCTTCACCAACATCTGTTGTTTTTTTACTTTTTAATAATAGCCATTCTGACTGGTGTAAGATGCTCTCTCATTGCATTTTATTCATTTTTATAACTCTAGGGCTGAGCATGGCATCTGACAGACTAAATGCTGCATGAATGTTGAGTCATGAATAGACAGGGGCTGGATGCAGGAAGGAACAAATCAAAGCATGAAGGAATGAATGAATGAATTTCATGGTGACAACTCCGAGGAGAGTGATATGAGGATGTTAGGGAAAAGGAGTGGAGAGCATAAGGGATACTCCTTTTCCCTATCTGCCCATCCTCAAAAAGTTGGAAAGTTCTTTGTGCTGGTTCTTTCTGGTGCCGGGGAGACGGCAGCAGTGAGTGGGCAGAATGCTTGCCTGGCTGTGGGGCGCAGCAGCCTGGAGGGCTGCTCTGAGCAGGACCAAGATCTGCCCATGCACCTTGATTCAACCGGCTCTTTTTATCAACCAGGGTCACAGGGCATGGGAGTCTCCTTCCTCTGGACTACTAATTTTTTTGTTTTAAGAGACAAATAGAAATCCCTCTTTGTACATGATATCCTCTGTGCTTCTTATATAAACCATTACTGAGACACTATGTCACTTTTATGGTTGTGTCTCTGTCTTGTCACACATCTGGACATTCTCTGTCAGTGATCCTGATCTGCATAGACTGAGGCTTTTGTTGTGTGTAACAGACACTGTTTGAGCGTGGGGAAATTGCAGTCAGGTCTGTACTATCTTCTTCTCTGAATAAGCAGAAAACAAAGGAGAAGAAAACTCCAGAATTGGATGTGGCCTTTACTAGCACAAACCCCTACTTGTTTCGCTGAATTGTTCCCCCGATTATCTAGCTTTAAAGTCTCCCCCTTTAGGAGAGACCAGACAGCAGAGGGGTCAAGTACTGCTATCCCTGCTCTGCTAATCATTGGCTGTGTGGCCTTGGGCAAGTTACTGAATCTGTCTGAGCTTCAGCCTTCGAATCTGTCAGATGAGGTACTTTTAGTAGCTACACAAAGACAGTGCATAAAGCGCTTAGCAGAGTGCTTCACAGCGCTCAGAGCCAGAGCTGTTCTTACCTCGTTTCTGAACCACCCTTTCTGGTGCCTGCGTCTGAACATTTGGTCTCTGTTCCACAGCTGAGATGAGGCTATCCTGGGTGCTGCAGACTAATGACTGAAAAGAACTGTGCCTTACAAAATCTCGGTCACCTCAGAACGAAACTGCTTATGCGGAACACAATGAGATCTTTAAGCAGACCTGCAAAGCAGTTTCTCTTTTAGTATAATCAAACGTGAGTCATGGTGTTTGAGATTCTCTTGCAGTGACTCCAGCTTTCCTCCCTCCAGCTGAAGGCCCCTCTAAGGGCACGAAAGACCTCTCTGCTGGGGTGGTGCCTCCCAAATCCACATCTTCCCATGAGAGACATCTCGTTCACCCCAGTCCTCCTAAATCCCACAAACCTGATGTGGGGTTTCAGGCAGCACCATATGAAGAAGAGTGGCGCCCGGTCCCAGATGCACACACAGCACCCCCAGACACATACAGCACCCCAGACGCACACACAGCACCCCCAGACACACACAGCACCCCAGACACACACACACAGCACCCCCAGACGCACACACAGCACCCCCAGACGCACACACAGCACGCCACTGGCTCGGGTGCATCGAGAACACTTGAGGCCTGAGGACTCTCCGTAAATATTTATTGAATGCATTGCACTGCAGGCACAGTCCTTGACTATAGCCCTCTCTGGAAAAATAGTAACGATTTCCCCAAACACTAAGTCCAAACACTAAATCAGCTTGTGTTTATCCTCCGTATTATTTTTTTTGTAAACCAAGACATGCTATGGTTTCCCTTTATGGCAGCTAAGGCTCAGCAATCCCATTACTTTGGATTTATTCCATTTGGCATAATCTTTTAAATTGGATTTTTGCCTCTTTGCCTCCTGATAACTCAGCCAAGCGTCAATTTTATTGCTTCTGTTTGTAATACCTGAAGCCTTGAGCTTATTACTCAACTCATTCCTTTGCCTCCCTGTTTCTATGCACAGGAGGAACCTGGCGCAGGCTTTTCCAGGCCTGAGAGTTGAAAGCTCTGTCTTGCTTTCTTTACTACAACGTTCTCTCCTTTGACTGAGACTTTGCCCAAAGGATGCAATGCCAGGGCAATGCCACAGCATCTGCTTTCACAAAACAAATGTCATGGACTGGGCAAGGCTGGGTTTCTGTTCCAGGGCGTGACCTCCATGGGTATGGCTGCCTCCATCACGGAGAGGCAGCCTGTGCGTGAGGCTCAGCTCCCCGCTCACCAGCCTTGCGACCAGGGCAAGCAACCCGAGCTTCTCAGACTTCAGTTCCTCATAGCAAATTGAGGGTGACAAAGGGCACCTACCTTGCAAGGTGGTTTTACAAATTAGAGATAATTGCCAGGCACAGTGGCTCATGCCTATAATTCCAACACTTTGGGAGGCCAAGGCAGGATGATCACTTGAGGTCAGGAGTTTGAGACCAGCCTGGGCAACATAGAGAGACCCTGTATCTACAAAAACTATAAAAAATTAGCCCTACATGGTGGCTTTTGCCCCTAGTCCCAGCTACTTCGGAGGCTGAGGTGGGAGGATTGATTGAGCCCAGGAGGTGGGGGCTGAAATGAGTTCAATGAGTTGTGGTTATGCCACTGCACTCTAGCCTGGGAGAGACAGAGCAATACCCTGTCTCAAAAAAAAAAGAAAGAGAAGGAGGGAAGGAAGAAAAGAAGGAAGGAAGGAAGGAAGGAAGGAAGGAAGGAAGGAAGGAAGGAAGGAAGGAAAAGAAAGAGAGAGAGAAAGAAAGAAACAAAGAAATCAGATATTATTATGTTTGAACTGTGTTCCCAGGCCATGCCCCCACTGGACTTTATTTGAAGCTCCCCAGAACAATAACTCTCAGCATTTCCTTATTGGTCAATGTGGGCCTTCTTTCCTCATCAAATTCTTCTCCAGTCGCTGGTCATCCCCTGGCAGGGACCCTCACATCCTCATGAACAGCACCCCAGCTTTGGCCCAGGGTTTGCTATTTCCTCCCCTTCTGCCCAGCTTACTTTTGTGGGATGGGAAGACAAGGCCAGTAATACTTGCCCAAAGCCTCCGGGGTTCACAAAACTGAAGCCATGGGAGAAACCCAAAGATCCAGTGCTGTTGAGGACATGGGTGCCACCTCCCACACTGTGGAACCTGCTGACCCCCCAGGAGCTGTTCTTTCCATTCCCATTGGCCATATCATTGTGCCCTCCCCTGCTCAGGCTGGGTTCAGGATGGCAGTAGAGTGACAAAGGTGCCAGTGAGAGGTGAAGCCACCTGGACTTCCTGGGTCTAGTGGGTACTTGGAGAACTTTTCTGTCTAGTAGAGGATTGTAAATGCACCAATCAGTGCTCTGTGTCTAGCTAAAGGATTGTAAATGCACCAATCAGCACTCTGTAAAAACGCACCAATCAGCGCTCTGTGTCTAGCTAGAAGATTGTAAATGCACCAATCAGCACTCTGTAAAATGGACCAATCAGCACTCTGTAAAATGGACCAATCAGCAGGATGTGGGCGGGGACAAATAAGGGAATAAAAGCTGGCCACCGCAGCCAGCATTGCAAACTGCTCCAGTTCCGTTTCAGGCTGTGAAGTCTTTGTTCTTTTGCTCTTCACAATAAATCTTGCTGCTGCTTATTCTGGGTTTGTACCACCTTTAAGGGTTTAACACTCACCGCGAAGGGTTCATGGCTTCATTCTTGAAGTCACCGAGACCAAGAACCCACCAGAAGGAACAAACTCTAGATACACCAGCGGCTCTTAGAACGCTGCCTCTTCCGTCACCCAGCACATTCATCCGCTTGTCCAGCCCAGCAGCTCTTAGAATGCTGCCTCTTCTGTCACCCAGCCCATTCATCCACTTGTCCAGCCCATGCGTGTTCAGCACCCACTCTTTGAGGCTTTGTGCTTCATGCCAGGGGTACAGCAGTGAGCACAGTGAGGGACTTGAGCTCACAGGCTAGGAGGGGACGGTTACAACCCAACGTCTAAGTGCCCTGATAGGGAGCATGGAGTGCTCTGTCTTCAGTACCAGGCACCCCCTAGGTCAGCTTCGCAGAAGCTCTGAGCCCTGGCACCAAACTTCAACAGCTCTCTTTCCTTTAGGGAGCCCTTTCTCCAGTGTCTCCCACAAAGAGAGTCTATGCAGGGTGCTTCAGTACTCCTGCAGGCCAGCCTGGAAGCCCTCCGTGCTGTGGAGGCTCGAGCTGGCACTTAGACAAATGGAAGGTGCCCAGCCAGTGCCTGGCCAGGGAAGGCAGTGAAAGGGAACTACTTATGAGCTTTAAGCCAAAGAGGAGTGGATTGCAATTGTTTGCTAACTGGTCCTACGCTCAGATTAGGAGAAGTGCATGGAGACAGAGGGAGAAGGCCACACTCTGGGGACCTAGGAGACTGGGCTCTCACTGAGGCACAGGCACAGACACGCTTCCCTTGTGACACTGGGGTTCCCAAAAGGATTATGAATCTATCTTCACCCATTCCTCAAAATTTACATGTTGATTTTGGTGATTTCTTTCCATTTTATTTTTCTGATAGAATAGCAGTAACTTGCCTTTTCTATAGAAACATGATTTCATTCTTTTCCTCTTTTCGCTCTTGTTCCCCTGTTTATTTTTCCCATCCCCTAATAACTTCTCTTTTCTACTCACTCAGGAGGAGTAGAAAAGCAAATTAAACAGGAAGAAAATCCTCTCAGTAAAGAGGCATCTTGATCCGCCAGCTTTGAGCAAAGAGAAAATTGCATCTCTTCAATTCCTCCTAATTATTCATTTCCTTTTTCCCTTCTGCTTCTTGAAAATAATTACTGCAGTAGCTTTTCCCTAGATAAGAACTTCAAGCAGCTAGGAGCCAACACTGACTCAGCCTTATTTTTCAGAATTTTCAGTGCCGGTTACTTGTGACCAAGCAATCCAGCATTCCTGAGAAGCTATGTTGGCCAGGCTGGTCTTGAACTCCTGGGCTCAAGGGATCCTCCCACCTTGGCCTCCCAAAGTGTTGAGATTACAAGCGTGAGCTACCACACCTGGCCTGTTTGTAATTTTTGTTGTTGTTTAGAGATAGGGTCTTGTTCTGTCACCCAAGCTGGAGTGCGGTGGTACCATCACGGCTCACTACAACCTCCAACTCTTGGGTTCAAGTGATCCTCCCACCTCAGCCTCCCAAGTAGCTGGGACTATGGGTGCATGCTACCACATCTGGCGAATTGTTTTTTTGTTTTAGCTTTTTTTTTTTTTTTTTGGTAGGGACAGGTGTCTCCCTATCTCCCTATGTTGCCCAGGCTGGTCTTGAACTCCTAGTCTCAAGTGATCCTCCCACCTTGGCCTCCCAAAGTGTTGAGATTACAGGCATGAGCCATGGCACCTGGATGTAATTTTTAAAATTAATTTAATTTTGCATCTTATTTTATTTTGGATACAGGGTCTCAGTCACCCTGACTGGAGTGCAGTGGTACAATCTCGGCTCACTGCTACCTCCGCCACCCAGGCTCAAGCGATCCTCCCACCTCAGCCTCCAGAGTAGCTAGGACTCCAGGTTCACACCACCATGCTCGGCTAATTTTTTAATTAATTTTTTATACTTAATATGTATTACCCACTTCTAGTACATTTGGTGTTAGATAGAACTATATATGTCCAAAGTCAGTAACAATAGTCATCCCTTGTCTTTGCATTGCTTACAATTTGGCCTCACATACACTTTACAGGCTGTGAAGGTACGTGGCTCAATCAAGTGGCAAAGCCGAGATTAGAGCTCACTTCCCCAGAAGGTAGCCATCAAATGGAACTCACGGACTTGCCCTGCCTCACCCTCCATCCCCAAAACGAGCTCAACTGCCTGTTGCCATGGTAACATTGTGATCCACTTCATCCTTTCTAAAAACCAGAACCTTACTGCTAGTGACTCCCCATCACTGTACCTAACTCAGACCTGTCTCAAGTTGCAGGCTTGTAGGTATCATTGTTCCTGGGCATGTCCCCTAGTCACCTCACACACGATCTGTTTAAAGCTAAACTAGACTCTGCCCCACTAAAACCTGCTCGTCTGCCAGTCTCCCAAACTACATGCCTGAGTGTCATCCTCAGCTGCCACCTCCCCTCACCGCTCAGGGAATGAAGGAGCTCAACAGCAGTTCTTTCACAGGGCACTATCCATGCCCCATTGACCCCCACCCCAAACCACTGAAGGCTATGGTTAGAGGAACTTCAAAAGAATAAGCCAGCTGGGTGTGGTGACATGCACTTGTAGTCCCAGATACTTGGGAGGCTGAGGTGAGGTGGGAGGGTGGCTTGAGCCCAGGAGTTCAAGGCTACAGTGAGCTATGATCACACCACTGCACTCCAGCCTGGGCAACAGAGCGAGACCCTGACAGACATACATACACACACACACACACACACACACACGGAAAGAAAGAAAATGGTGAGTATTGAGGACTGTGCCGAAATGGAGCTGTGGGCGGCTGCCAATGGACAGCTGTAGTCTACATGGTCGGTATGGATCTCTTTCTCACTGACACTCAGGCAAATGATGCGGTGTGGCTCGCTGACTGGTGAAAAGTGGAAGAGGTAGCCGGGTGTGGCAACAGGTGCCTGTAACCCCAGCTACTCAGGAGGCTGAGGCAGGAGAATCACTTGAACCTGGGAGGCAGAGGTTGCAGTGAGCCAAGATTGTGCCACTGTACTCCAGCCTGGGCGACAGAGTGAGACTCTGTCTCAGGAAAAAAAAAAAAAGAAGAGGAAGAAAGAAGAAGAGGAAGAGAAAGAAGAAGGAAGAAGAAGAAAGAAGAAGAAAGAAGAAGAAAGCAGGTGCCTTGGTGATTTGTTGGCGGTGGCTTTCGTGCCCGCTCCCTGCCTGGTCCATTGGTCCCCTCTTGCCCCCACAACTCCCACGGTTTTGAGCGGTCTATTCCAGTGCCCCAGAAACGCCTCTGCAGCTGTGACCCATCCCCAACGCTGACTTTGATTCTGAGCCAAATGCCGCCCACCCTCCTTGGCTCTATCTTTGATTGCACTGTAACTGCTAGCCCACTGAGTCAGCATCATTCTCTAAAGAGATGTTTCAGCAACTGACCACAGTAATTGGTTTTCCTATTAGCTTTATGCTCCAAACAATATGTTTATAGAGGGGCACAGAATCGAAAGCTATGCGTGGAGATCCAGAGTGAAGCAGCCCCTCGAGTCTTAGCTGTAGCGTGGATGGTCTCAAAGCCAGCTGTCCTCTGATATGCAGCATTTTCACTACAAAAGAGAAGCCTTCTTTGGTTTGCTTGAGGGGAAGAGAGTGTGGGACGGGGGAGTGTCTGAATTCTTAGGAGGATTGCTGCTTCATTGTAGGAAGCCTGGGGAGGCAAGGTGGATGGGATGGGTCAGCCCTCAACACCCACTCCGCCTTCCTCCGAGTGTCCCTCCCAGGACAGCACAAGCTGGAACCAACAGACTGCAGTTCCTAGACCCAGCGCAGCCAGGGCTGTGAGAGTGATCTCGGTTTGGTAGTGG
This sequence comes from Homo sapiens, assembly GCF_000001405.40. Lineage (NCBI taxonomy): Eukaryota > Metazoa > Chordata > Mammalia > Primates > Hominidae > Homo > Homo sapiens. The sequence goes on along the minus strand of NC_000013.11, from coordinate 27,347,005 downwards.
TTAGGTGGAGGCTGCCCTTCTGTACCTGCTCTGCCCGCAGGCCAGTTTGCCCCTGGGGGTCTTGAGCTTTTTCTGTGGCAGATGAGCAGAGGCTGCCTCATGCCCAGCATCTGGTCACTAGCCTCCTGAGTGTCCATGTGGACTGTAGCAGGTACAGTGTGATCCAGCAACCAGTTGAGGTTCGTGGCACCTTCTATTTATTTGTTTATTTATTTATTTATTTAAAGATAGGGTCTTGCTCTGCTGCCTAGGCTGGAGTGCAGTGGGGCAATCATAGCTCTCTGCAGCCTCAACCTCCCAGACTCAAGCAACCCTCCCACCTCAGCCTCCTGAGTAGCTAAAACTACAGGCATGTGCCATTACACCTGGGTAGCTTTCAAAATTTCTCATAGAGACAGGGTCTCGCTATGTTGCCGAGGCTGATCTCAAACTCCTGGCCTCAAGCAATCCTCCCACCTCGGCCTCCCAAAGAACTGGGATTATAGATGTGAGCCACCATGCCAGGCGGGGGCCTGGCAGCTTCTTGATTATAACCTAAATTTATGATTCTGAAGTTGGAGGCTGCCTGCTCTTAGAAGATTGGAAAACCAACTCTAAGGCATGACTTAGCTTATAATCAATTTCTTCAAATGGCATAGTGTTTTTATACGTACATTAATATCCTAAATCCCCTCGTAATGAAACCTATTTGAGAGGATTCTGTCCTCGGAAAGCCAGCACTGCCCATGTAGAATTTGAAGACCTCAGAGTTCATGCGTGTGTGGCACTGCAAAGAAGAAACTTTATTGGAAGATGAAATTGTGTGTGTGTGTGTGTGTGTGTGTATGGTTGTGTGTGTGTGCTTGGGAAATTACTTGTTACACCACAAATATATGAACATTCAAAAAGACATTTTGGCCAGGTGCCGTGGCTCACACTTGTAATTCCAACACTTTGGGAGACTGAGGCAGGAGGATTGCTTGAATCCAGGAGTTCCAGAGCAGCCTGGCCAACAAAACAAGACCTTGTCTCTACAAAAAGTAAAAAAATTGTCTGGGCATGGTGGTGCATACCTGTAGTCTCAGCTACTTGGGAGGCTGAGGCAGGAAGATCACTTGAACCTGGGAGATCAAGGCTGCAGAGAGCTATGATTGTCCCACTGCACTCCAGCCTGGACAATAGAGCGAGGCTGTCTCAAAGAAAAAAAAAAGACATTTTGTTTTAAAATAGTCATTATACAGTGGATAAGTCAGGCAACACAGTGTCTAGATGATGAAAATGACCACCATCGAGGGTCGCATGGATATCATGTGCCTCCGGACGTGGTGGCTTGAGGACACCAGCGTCACCTATGCAGTCTCCCATGGCGAATGCACAGCCTCAATCTAATCACGAGAAAACATCGAACAAACACAAAATAAGCAACATTCCATTAAACAGGAACTGGGGGATGGAACTCTTCAAAAACATTGATTTCCTGAAAGGCAAAAGGTGACACAAATGTTACAGATTAAAGGAAGCTCAGGAGACATGGTAACTAAATGCAGTATCTGATCCTAGACTGGATCCTATTCTGCAGTGGGAGAAATGCTATAAAGGACATTATTGGGCCAACTGGCAAAATTGGAACATTAACATGAATTTAACATTCAGCTAAAAGCATCGTGACCAGGCATGGTGGTACACGCCTATAGTCCCATCTACTCCAGAGGCTGAGGCCAGAGGATCACTTGAGCCCAGGAGTTCAGATCCAGCCTGGGCAGCACAGCAAGACCTCATCTCAAAAAGAAAGCATCATAGCAATGTACATTCATGAAGTTAATAACCTCAGTTATGGAAGAGAATATCCCTGTTGATATGGTTTGGCTCTGTGTTCCCACCCAAATATCATGTTGAATTGTAATGCCCAGTGTTGGGGAGGGTGCTGGTGGGAGGTGACTGGATCATGAGGGCCGATTTCCCCCATGCTGTTCTTGTGATAGTGAGTGAGTTCTCTTGAGATCTGATGGTTTCAAAGTGTTTGGCAGGTCCCCACTTGCTCTCTCTCTCTCCTGCTTGCTTCCACTTCACCTTGCTCCACGATTGTAAGTTTCCTGAGGCCTCCAGGCATGCTTCCTGTTAAACCTGCAGAACTGTGAGTCAAACCTCTTTTCTTCATAAATTACCCAGTCTCAGCAACCTCTGCCTCCTGAGTTCAAGTGATTCTCCTGCCTCAGCCTCCAGAGTAGCTGGGATTACAGGTGTGCGCCACCACGCCTGGCTAATTTTTGTATTTTTAGTAGAGACGGGGTTTCACCACGTTGGCCAGGCTGGCCTCAAACTCTTGACCTTAAGTGATCCTCCTGCCTCTGCCTCCCGAAGTGTTGGGATTATAAGCGTGAGCCACCATGCCCAACTCTGGTAGTTCTTTATAGGAATGTGAGAACAGACTAATACGCCAGTTCTTAGAAAATACCCATTGAAGTATTTAGGAGTAAACAGCCATGACACATGTAACTGACTTCCAAATAATGTTTAAAAAAATTATGAGAGAGGAGTGGGGAGCACATGATCAACCAGTAAAGCTGACGGGTTAAAATGTTAATAATCAGTGAATCTAGGTAAAGAGTTTATAAATGTTCCTTGTACATTTTTTTGTAAACTTGAAACTACATCCGAATGAAAAGCTAAAACAAAAGCCATTTCTTTATCGCCGTGTTTTGGGTTCTGCCATAATCAGAATGTCTGCCCCCTAAGCCAACTCCATTCCCACTGCGATGGGATGAAAACTGGGGACACCAAGAGGCAGAGCCCAGGGTTGCCCAGGCTTACTCTCCTTTTATTTCCCATCTGTGCTTTGCTGAGCAATGTCCAGGAATTTTTTGCATTGCTCTTGCCCTCTGTCTGAAGGTGGGATTCTTCAGGTGCCCAAAGTCTCCTGGACCCCAAAGCAGGTACTGCTCCCTCTGTGTCTGAAGAGGACACAGCAAAGCTGCCTCTCCCTTTTAGCACAATGGGTTTGGCATGTTTCCACCCATGTTTTTTAACTGTGGGCCTTTGGGACTCATCATCATCTCTGATTACCTTTTCCAGGAGACTGAGGGACATGCTTCATCTTAATTTTTAAAGAAACTTAAGACCCAAACAAACAGGTAGTAATATTTCTTAGGACTTGGTGAGGCTTCGTCCCCAGGATTCACTTCATCATCAGGACCACAGGAGAGACTCAGGAAAGGAACGCTTGGGGAAACAGATCCAAATACAGATGCTGAAAGTAGGCTCCAAGGCAGTAAAGCTGCACCTGCTTCGGCAGCACATATACTAAAATTGGAACGATACAGAGAAGATTAGCGTGGCCCCTTAAATAAATACATAGAAACAAAAGCAGTAAAGCTGTGATAAACACGCCAGTGCCGATGTCTGGTGGAACTACTCACAATAGCAAAGACATGGAACCAACCTAGGTGCACACCAATGGTGCATTGGATAAAGGTAATGTGGTGCATATACACTATGAAATTCTACACAGCTATTAAAAAGAATGAAATCGTGTCCTTTTGTTTGTTTGTTGAGACGAAGTCACCTAGGCGGGAGTCTAGTGGCATGATCTTGGCTCACTGCAACCTCCACCTCCTGGGTTCGAGCAATTCTCCTGCCTCAGCCTCCTGAGTAGCTGGGATTATAGGCACATGCCACCACACTCAGCTACTTTTTTTCATTGTTGTTGTATTTTTAGTAGAAATGGGGTTTCACCACATTGGCCAGGCTGGTCTCAAACTCCTGAGCTCAGGTGATCTGCCCACCTCAGCCTCCTAAAGTGCTGGGATTACAGGCGTGAGCCACCGTGCCCGGCCTTGAAATCATGTCCTTTGCAACGGCATGGATGCAGCTGGAGGCCATTTTCCTAAATAACACAGAAACAGAAAATCAAATACTACATGTTCTCACTTATAAATAGGAGCTAAACAAAGAGTATACAAGAACATAAAGATGGAAACAGTAGACACCAGGGACTCCAAAAGAGAGGAGGGAGGGAGGGGGCGAGGGTTGAAAATCTACCTTTCAGGTACTATTCTCACTATTTGGGTGGCGGGCTCAACAGAAGCTTGAACCCCAGCATTATGCAACATATCCACGTAACAAACTTGCACATGTACCCCTTGAATCTAAAAATCCTAGAAAAAGCAGTAAAGTATGAGTTTTATGGGGCACAGCAGTAGATGATGTAAGTCAGCTTCACCTGCTTCCTTGCTGGGCACCTGCAGTGCTCAGAACCACCTGGGCCCTCCTGGAAGAGAGCTGTCGGGGAACATCCCCTCTCTGTGATGGAAATGGCCTGAGAGGCAGATGGTGGGCCAGGTACCAGGATTGGAAAGAGAACACTGAAGTGGAGTAAGGAAAAGGGGAGAGCAGCCGAGCACGGGACTCAGTGGCCGGGGCTGCACTCAGGAAAGCCTCCTCCCCACTAAAGTTGAGTCCTGAGAAGGGTCCAGCTCTGAAGACTGGAGGGAGGTCTGCATGTGGGTGGGGAGGAAAGCGCACAAAGAGAGGAAGCATCCGGGGACCCGACCCCTGTGACCAGCTGTGTCCACAGCACATTGTTCCCAGGCCACACCTCTGCATTCTGAACGGCAAATCACAGGGCCATTCATTCATTCATTCACTGTTTAACTAGTATTTATTAAGTGCTTGACATATACTGAGTTCTGTGTTATAAAGACTATCCTGGGATAGAGTTGGGAGAAGAAACAGGCACATAAGACTTAACAGGATCAATACTTTAAGGTAAGTATGAACCAAGTGCCAGGGAAAGGTAGGTGGGGGCAAGAGGCCTCTGGAACCTGTAAATCAAGGGCAGCTTCATGGAAGGGAAATTTGAGCCCAGCTATGAAAGATGAGTTTGAAATAGTCCACAAAGTGTGGTACAGCAAAGAAGAACACAGACTCCAGCATCAAGATACCTGAGATTTTATCCTCAGTCTGTGACCGGGGTCTGGGGTAGGGTGAAGCAAGAAAAGTGTTTAGAGTTCAAGATTTGAAGTGACTCTCAGGGTTGTGCAAGGGCAGACTGAGCAGCTCCTCACATCACGCACCCGGGCGCCTCTGCCCTGGCTCTCTGTACAGCTCCATCAATCACCCCAGCCAGGCACTATCACCTCCCTGGTCTCTGTTTCCTCATATGCTGGGCACTGGGCCAGGGAGGTGATGGGAGGACACCTCTCTCCCCCGCATGTCTTTTCCACTAGCAGACACTAGGGAAGAGTCCCGGAGGTGTGCCCAAAGAGCAGAGGAGCCTCCCTGAAGCTGTGAACTACGCCCCAGGGCCTGGAATAAATATTAGGTTTGTTTTCATTCTCTCTGCCTTTCCTGTTTACTTGTGGCTTTTGATGCCTCTTTCCCCAACTTAGCAGGGGAAGCTGAAGTTATTGCATTGTCATTTTATAGTGGAGGAATTAGATTTCTAATAAGGTTTAAATGGGAAATGAGCTTCTTAAGTATCAGGCTGAGCAGTTCCACATTATAACCGGGGGAAAAGGAGCCTGAAAAAAATCATTAAACTCTGTGCTTCGGTAAAGAAAGATGGACCATGGGAGAAAGGCCATCCACTGACTCAGTCTGCAAAATTACCAGGGTGTGGGGGAGATTCTGGCCCCTCCAGTCAAGTAGAAGAGGAAGTAACTACAGTCATGATGGTGTTTTAGTCAACAGTGGGCCACATATAGGATGCTGGTCCCATAAGATTATCATGGAGCTGAAAAATTCCTGTTGCCTAGTGATTCGTGTTACAGTTCCCTACAGGATTCAGTACAGTAACCTGCCATACAGGATTGTAGCCTAGGAGCAATAGGCCAGACCACATCGCCCAGGTGTGCAGCAGGCTATGCCATCTAGGTTTGTGTACAAGCACTCTGTGATTTGCGCATAATGACTCAATCGCCTAACAATGCGCTTCTCAGAACATATTGCCATCGTTAAGCAATGGATGAGTATACTTGGAGCAATCTTTAGCTGGTGAGCTTTTTTTTTTTTTTTTTTTTTTTTTTGAGATGGAGTCTCGCTCTGTCGCCCAGGCTGGAGTGCAGTGGCGCGATCTCAGCTCACTGCGCTCCGCCTCCCGGGATCATGCCTTTGTCCTGCCTCAGCCTCCCGACTAGCTGGGAATACAGGCGCCCGCCACTACGCCTGGCTAATTTTTTGTATTTTTAGTAGAGACGGGGTTTCACCGCGTTAGCCAGGATGGTCTCAATCTCCCGACCTCGTGATCCGCCTGCCTCGGCCTCCCAAAGTCCTGGAATTACAGGCATGAGCCACCGCGCCCTGCCGCTGTTGAGCATTTTTTGAAGACAGCTGCTCCTGACTCTGCTGAGCTACAGTCCCCTTATTGACTGACTACCGGACACTCCACTTGGATGTTCCCAGAAGCACTCCAAATTCAACTCGCCCTAAACAAAAGGTATCATCCCTTTCAACCCATTCCCCTGCTGCCCCACCCACCACAGACTATGCAGTCTGCTAAAGGAAACCCAGGGGTCATTGGAGTTCTGGACAATTCCCTCGTATGTATTCAGTGCAACGGCAGGTGCCAAAGCACTTCGTTTCCACCACCTTGGGGTGTGAGGATGCCCTCCCCGCTTCTCCATTCTCTCTGCCAGTGCCCAAGTCCAGACCCTCACCACTTCTCACCTGGATCTGACAGGAGCCTCCTAACTCACCTCCTTTTCAGCCCAGCTCTTTTCCAGGCAACCCTCATATTGCTACTTTGGTTTTTCACTTATTAAAAATATTATGAAGTCTATCATCTCTGTATTAGAAAGTCAACACCAGAGTCACCACCACCCAGGATAACAAATAGAACATTGCTTTTTCCTTAGAGCAGTTCATGCAGGAAGGCAGGTGAGACTGGCAGGCAGAAAGCCAATGAGAGACGCCTGTAGGGAGTGAATGAACCTCCAGAGAAACCAGACTGCCCCAAGAAGGATACTTTTTTTTTCCTTTGGGACAGAGTCTCACTCTGTCACCCAGGCTGAAGTGCAGTGGTGAGATCTTGGCTCACTGCAACCTCTGCCTCCCAGGTTCAAGCAATTCTCGTACCTCAGCCTCTGAGTAGCTGGGATTACAGGTGCGCGCCACCATGCCTGGCTAATTTTTGTATTTTTACTAGAGACAGGGTTTCACCATGTTGCCCAGTCTGGTTTCGAACTCCTGGCCTCAAATGATCTGCCTGCCTCGGCCTCCCAAAGTGCTGGGATTACAGGCATGAGCTACTGTGCCCAGCGACTTTTTTTTTTTTCTAGCTGAAGATATCTCCACACTGGTAGAACACTCATGGAGAGGTGATGGGCCAAAAGCTATACATTCATCCTTTAGCCAGTGGGACACACCATCTCCCCAGGACCTGGAGAAGTTGGGGGCCCTGGCCCAAGGGAATGTTGAGAATGGGTGCAGCCCCTGCCACTGGGAGAGGCAGAGCCAGATGAAGACAACTCTATTGCTTGTCTCCTCATTACCATGCACTAAGCACCCACCATGCACCAAACAGAACAGTAGGGGCGCTATGCGGTTGGCCCTTACCTTCACAACAACCCTTTGAGACATATGGAATTCTTCCTATTTCAATCGCATGAGCCCGAGAGGCAGAGGTTACCGTGAGCTGAGATCGCACCACTGCACTCCAGCCTGGGCAACAGAGTGAGACTCTTTCTCAAAAAAAAAAAAAAAAAAAAAAAAAAAAAAAGCATTTAAAAAAATAATAGTCATTCCTATTTCACAGATGAGGAAATCAAGCTGCTTGTCAAAGGTTAACTGACTTGTAAATGGCAGAGCCAGGATAAAAATCCACGTTGTGTTATACTGTACCCTAATGTAATATTAAGTAAAAAATTAAAAAAATTCCAAAGAAAATAAAATTCAGTGTGTTTTAAACACATATGATTTTCTTAATGATTGATGTACTAGCAAACTATGTCTCCAAGCTGGACCCCTTTCTCTAGCCAGGACACCCACAGTGAAGGTGTTGTCTTGCTTATGGCCACTGAATGGCACAGACAGTGGGGAGAGACCCCTGGCGGTTGCTAGAAGTGAGGATTGCACGGGTTTTGGTTTTTTTTTTTTTTTTTTTTTTTTTTTTTTTAGTGACTGAGTCTCGCTTTATCACCCAGGCAGCGGCACAATTTCGGCTCACTGCAACCTCCGCCTCCCAAGTTCAAGCGATTCTCTGGCCTCAGCCTCCCAAGTAGCTGGGATTACAGGCGCCCGCCACCATGCCCAGCTAATTTTTGTATTTTTAGTAGAGACAGGGTTTCTCCGTGTTGGCCAGGCTGGCATTGCACGGGTTTTGGAAAGACCTTACAAAACTCTGCGAATGTAAAGGTGGTGTGGTGTGTGTGTGTGAGGTGTGAGCGTGCTATGTGTATGTGAGGTGTGGTGTGAGAGTATAGGGATGGGTGATGTGAGTTGTGCATAGTGTATGTGTGTATGATGTGTGGTATATGAGTGTGTGGGGTGTGGGGATGTGGAGGGCATGAGGAGTGTGCTGTGTGTGTGGTGTGGGTGTGAGTGTGCATGTGTTGCATGTGTGATATGTGGTATGTGTGTATGTGGTATGGGATGTGGAGGTGTGAGTATATGTGTGACTGTGTGTGTGTGGTGTGTGATGCATGTATGTAAGTGTGTGTGCATGTGGTGTGACGTATGGGGGCTGAGTGTGTGGTGTGTGTGAGTGCATGGTGTGTGTGCACATGTGTGGTTGTATTGTGGTGGGGGTACAGAGTGTAATGTTCTGTGGGGAGTAGATTAGTGGGACCAGAGTGAGTAGGGCATGGCCTTGACTGCTCTTGAGCCTGAGATATCTCCCAACCCAAGGCTCACCTCAAGAACTCCAGGACCAATCATGTGGGCTTAAAGACTTTGAACTGAGGGAGGGCATCTGAGCCGTAGGGAGAAATCAGAAGCCCCTAAAGCAATCCCCCTACTCACAGTTTATTTGAGACACCCAGGGCCTGTAACTACCCACAATATCAATTCTGAGCACCATCAGCATTCGGGGTGCAAGCTGAGGCTCCGTGGGCCCAAGAAGCTGAGCCCATGGGCCTCAGCCAAAAGGAGCCCCCTACGGGGAGCTCCATTCTCTAGGAGAGGGGCAGGGACAGGAGTTCCGCCGCTGCCAGCCACAGGCTGTTTCTCCTGCAGTCGCCACACTCCAGTCACCAAGAAAGACAAATTGGGTCATGGAATGCTTGAAGTGGGACCTTGTGTCAGGTTCCTGGGAAAAAGAGACTGGCCTCGATATAGCAGGATGATCTGTCATCGTTTTCTGAAGGCTAATTATAAGTCTGAAACCAGAGCTTTGCCAATTTTGGAAGCTCCTCAGAGGACAGCAAAAAGCTGACAAAGCCTAGCTTTCCGTTCACTTTGGACAAATGGCCCACCATGCCATGGCCTAGATTCCTGGGCTGTAAAATAAGACTGTCTAATTACTTGCTTAAAACTGGGTCACAATAATATTTTGAAAGGGGCTTGTGGAATGGTGGGATCTCAGACACCTGAAGAGGTCACCAAACTCTAGGTGAGCTCATCCGCATGCAGTCTGTGCAGGCAAAGGGGCTTCTCACCGTGCAGGGTCTGCCAGCGGATTTCAGCTTCTGTTAGGCTCCGTTAATATCCAACAGCTTGTCAGGAAATTCTTCCCACATTGTCTCAATTTCTGCAAGTGGTGTCCCTGGTGCTGTCGCTGGACTCTGTGCTGAGTTATGCTGGGCGCTGCCACTGCCCAGGTAGAGGCCACACCTCCAGGGCAGGAGGGCAGCCTCTCCTCCAGAAAAAAAAGAGGCAATCCCATGACCTCCGACAGGAAAGGAGGACTTGAAGGACGTTGTAGTCACACAGCGGAGGCAACTCTGGCTCAGGGCTGTAATCCTCGGGGCTAGACTTTGAGGGTCTAAACACGCTTCAGGGACTCTTAGGGGGTAGAAGTTACCAAGAGGCAGCCCAGGAGCTCGGCCAGGAGGGGTCCATGGCAGGGACCTCAACACAAACCCGAAGCTGGCTGTAGGAAACCGGGCCATGAATCGCACATCACTAAATGTGCCTTATTGTCCCGAGGGCTCCACTCCAGGCCCCCTAGTCTGAGCGTGCCTTCCGCCCTTCTCTTAGGAGAGCTATTTCGATGGGAACTTTGAGCAGCACTGTATCATAGCATTTCATTTGTGAGAGTATCTTCCACTCTCCCTGTTTATCTTGTTGACTCAAATGTTTCCTTGTCCCTCTCTGATTTCTTTGTCCATTTAGCCAGTATTAACTGAGCACCTGCCATGCGCTCAGTGCTGAGGACCTGTCAGCAGGACACACACGGGCCTGTCCTCATGGCATTGACATGCAGAGATGTGACTTGCAGCCCCGGAGACTGGGCCCTGTGCTCTCCCCACCAAGTGTTTTGCCCTCCTGTGGGGACAGCAGCCGGCTGAGCAGGATGAAACGCCCCTGCCTGGACTGCACCCTGCTGCCCACCACCAGAACTTTCTAAACATATGCATGCTCTCTCACTGTGAGTCCAAACACTGGGGAGCTCCAAGCAAAACAGTCCTGTGCTGGACCTGCCAGGCAATGTCGGGAAGGTACATGGCCCAGGGACCCCAGCATGGTCAGCAACTGTGGATGCTGGGCAGCTGCTGGGCTGGGGATTGGCCTGACTCAGAACAGTCAGAATTAATAAGGGATCGCTTGGCCTGACTCAGAACAGTCAGAATTGATAATTGATTGTCCACTAGGCTGTAGTTAAACTAGCTAGATGCCCTCTTATGCCTTAGCCCTCAACACTGAGTCACAGTTAATTCCCAGACTTGAGTGAAATAACAAATCCTGATGAAACCCTTGGTTCCATGAACAGTGGGTGGGAAGATAAGAGGCTTTAGTCATAATGCACCACCAACTCTTCACCAGGCAGTCTCAGGCCATTGACATGGGTGGGCCATCACCTTCATGCTGTCACTCCAACCCCTGTGCTGATTGTCACCCGGCAGAGGAGGGATGGGAGTTCAACAGACCACATGGGATAAAACAAGGCAATGTCTCAGAGGCAGATCATGGACAGCTTACCCACCCAGGTGCTTCACTTCTCCATTCCTCTCCTTCTTATCCACCTTTAGACCTCACCACCACTGTCTAGTGCATTTTCTAAAAGGGAGGAGGGAAAACATTTATTTTCTATGTCCTATGAAGTGCTCAGAAAAAGATGAAACTCAAAAGTTGCCTAAAATGAGGGCTTGGAATGTTCTCTTCCTGCTGATTACCGAAAGCATTTCCAGAGGAATGGACCTGCAGCCTTTGGCTGCAGCCATTTGCGAGCATACAACCCTGGGTGAACAGACCACTGCCTGGCAGAAGCCTCAGGAACCCCCAGCTCAGGCAACATCATCCGATGAGTGCTGGGCGCATGCCCAGACATATCCCCCAAATCTGTCACATTTGATGTGAGGTAATTATTTACAAGATAAGAAACGATACTTGGGAAGTCAAACTGCCTAAACAGCCATGCTGATTATTTTTCTTTACTCCTAGCTATTTCTTAAAAAAAAAAAAAATTCTCAGACAATTTTAAAATGAATCCACTGCTAAGCCCCAAATAGCTAAGGTTTCGTGGGAACAAGTACATACAGTGTCATAACACTAACAAATGATCGAATTAAACTCTGACCAGCAAGTCTCGGGGCGATAATCCAGGCTCAAGCATCAGAGAGCTTGCCTCTTGACCTGTTGAATCATAACATCTGCTGTGAGTATCTGCTGTTAACTCTGGGGTAAGTCAGCATCACATCAGGTTCTACACCAATCCCATCCATGCCAGGAGAGAAGCAGCTGCTATGGTGCGTAACAGGGCACCGGATGATTATTATTTCAGATGAAATAGACATCTAATATACTGCTTAAACAATTGCATTCCGGCCTGGAAAATCTACCTGCTGATTTCACTGCCAGGCAAGGCGTCCTCAGAGGCAGCTGCCGCTTTCCACAATAGCACTGGTGATTTCATGAAATTGCATCTCCTGATTTTATTCCCACTTAAACTTCACTTGCTCATGCCAGTGACGGTGGAGAGACAATTGTCGCCTCCTACCCCACCTTCAGCTTAGTCATCTCAAGTGATTTACTTGTATATGCGTAATCACCCTCTTCTCAAAATGAAATAAAATAGGAAATCTGGATTCTATTGTTGAAGTGTCTCCTTACTACCTCGCCCTTTCTGGTTTCTTTTCTTTTCAGATGAATGCATTGCTTCTTATTCTTTTCCTCCTACTCAAAAAAGTCCACGCTTGTGTTCCTTTCAGAGTTTCCACTAGAAACCATACTTGTTTTCCAGAGCAACACTTCTCCCATTTTTTTTTTTTTTTTTTGCCCAAATGCCTGAGCATTTGATTAAGCCAGAAGTGGTTCCAGGATTAAAAATGAAAGGTTTCTGGGTTTCAATCAGAGACTAAGTTGTTCACTTTTTTTTTTTTTTTTTTGAGACAGGGTCTCTCTGTCACCCAGGCACGTGCAGTGTCACGGTCATGGCTCACTGCAACCTCTGCCTTGTGGGCTCGGGTGATCCTCTTGCCTCAGCCTCCCCAGTAGCTGGGACCAAAGGTGCATGCCACTATGCCTGGTTAATATTTTTTTAAATTTTTTGTAGAGACAGTGTCTTGCCATGTTGGCCAGGCTAGTCTCGAACTCCTGGCCTCAAGGAATCCTCCCACCTTGGCCTCCCAAAGTGCTGAGATTACAGGTGTGAGCCATTTCACTCGGCCCCTAAATCTTAAGAAAATTCTGAGTTCTTGTTTTAGAGTTACTTGTTTAACTATTTGTGTTGTTTTGTTGCTGCTATAAAGAGTTTTTATAGCAGTTGAAACACAAGTAACTAGAAACAGCTAAGTTTACTAAGCTATTGGAGAGTGGCTTAGTAAAGCAGAGTATAAGTATACCAAAGAGCCAATGACACTAAATAGCCATTAAAAAGTGTGGATGTGAAAGTTGTTAAACATTTTTTTTTTTTTTTTGGACACAGAGTCTTGCTCTGTCGCCCAGGCTGGAGTGCAGTGGTGCAATCTTGGCTCACTGCAAGCTCCGCCTCCCGGGTTTACGCCATTCTCCTGCCTCAGCCTCCCAAGTAGCTGGGACTACAGGCACCCACCACCACGCCCGGCTAATTTTGTTTTTGTGTTTTTAGTAGAGACGGGGTTTCACCATGTTAGCCAGGATGATCTCCATCTCCTGACTTTGTGATATGCCTGCCTCCACCTCCCACTCCCAAAGTGCTGGGATTACAGGCGTGAGCCACCGCGCCCAGCCAACATTTTTAAAAGTCAGATTAGATAACCTGATCTCAGTTTTGTTGATATGTGACTAGATATATATATATGTATGTGTATATATATATATATATATATAAATGTGCTTAAAATGCATAGAAAGGGGACTGGAGAATTGCACATTGAGCAGTCTGTGGGAACAGAAACATTTGTATATCATTGGATCTATTACTAGAAGAATGTATTACTTATGTAATATATGTGTGTATATATGTATACATACATACATGCATATGCATGCAAGAGAGAACAGCAACTTCAAATTGTATAATTGTATTACAGTTCCACAATGCTTATAGGTTATACTTCCACTATTTATATAGTCGTATTATCACTCCTAGAGACTGATAATTGTTATTACCCTTTTTTTTTTCTTTTTTTTTTTTTTTGAGACAGAATCTCACTCTGATGCCCAGGCTGGAGTGCAGTGGCGCGACCTCCACCTCCTGGGTTTGAGCGATTCTCATGCCTCAGCCTCCCGTGTAGCTGGGATTTTAGGCACATGCCACCATACCCCAGTCATTTTTGTATTTTTAGTAGAGATGGGGTTTTACCATGTTGGTCAGCCTCGTCTCGAACTCCTGACTTAAGGTGATCCTCCTGCCTCAGCCTCCCAAAGTGCTGGGATTACAGGCATGAGCCACTGCATCCAGCCTTCTTCTTCTTCTTCTTCCTCTTCTTCTTCTTCTTCCTCTTCCTCCTCCTCTTCCTCTTCTTCTTCATCTTCGTCTTCGTCTTCATCTTCATCTTCTTCTTTTTTTAAACACAGATGGGGTCTCACTATGTCACCCAAGCTGATCTCAAACTTCTGGCATCAAGAGATCCTCCTGTCTCAGCCTCCCAAAGTGCTGGGATTACAGGCATGAGCCACCATGCCCAGCCATTACTACTCTTTAGCTTACAGACTTCTGGGGACTTTGTCTTTCCTTTACTGCAATTGTTCTCAACTTTGGATGCACATTAGAATCACCCAAGAAGTTTCAAATCTCAATGCCTCAGGCCACATCCTGGACCAATTTCATTCAGGATCTCAGTGGGTGAAACTGGCAGCAGCATTGTTTGAAACTCCCTGTGTGATTTCAATGGGTAATCAATGTTGAGAAACACTGCTTTATTCTGTAAACTCAAGAGCAGGATCTATGTCTGGTTGGTCTTTTTGGCTTCAAAGCTCCTAAGTTAGTGATGCATATTAATATATAATATAATGAAGAGATCTAGACTTTCCTATATTCCCAAAGAGACAACCAGGAATTGAGTAACATGTTAGAACTATCAAGAACACGGCACCCAACAGACAGCAGTCACACTCCTACACTCCTGCTGGTGTCTCCAGTGGGCCAATGGACCTCTTGGACATGCATATTTTTTGCAAACACACACACACACACACACACACACACACACACACACACACACACGCTGAGTTCTTCCTCTGTCCCTAAGAATTTGGTGTTGGCTTTCTTGGGTCAGGCGATAACCCAGTAAAGAAAAACAGAAGCCCTCAGCCAGCTGTTCCATTAATTGATGTCAACGAGAAGATCATAAAATTAATCTCTGAATCATCACTGAGCAGAAGGCCACCTGTCAGGAATCCCTCTTCCTCCTCATTCCTGTGTCCCACAGTTGATGACATGATTTTGGAGATAGTTTCAAACTGTAACTGGCCTTTCCTTGGGACTCGTTAAAAAGACCTCATGAAAAGAGAATGCTGAAAAATTGAAGTTCTTCAGATATATAGTCATCCCTCAGTATCCATGGAGGATGGGTTCTAGGACTTCCCTGGGCCACCAAAATCCAAGGATGCTCAAGTCCCTGATAGAAAACAGCATCATATTTGAATATGACTTACACACATCTCCCCAAATACTTTAAATCATCTCTAGATTACTTATATCTAATATAATGTAAATACTATGTAAACTGTTGCTGTACTGTATTTTTTAGGGAACAAATGACAAGAAAAAGAAGTCTATACATGTTCAGCACAGGTGCAATTTTTTTCAAATATTTTTGATCCAGAGCTGGTTGAATGCACAGATATGGAACCCATGGATACCCATGGCCAAGTGTATTCTGAGTTTTTTTGTAAGGATGATGCCAGAGGCTACTTCTTTCCACCTGCACAGCTAATGTTTCTGGCTTCAATGGTCTTATCTAAAACTTGATAGCTTTAAATATTATTGATCCCTGGCCCTACCAAGCTTGTTTTAAAAGGGTCAATGCTGAGGGCACAGGGTCTCTTTTTATCGGGCAGACACTTGGAATTGTCCATGCTTGACATGGCCCTCTGACCAACCCAAGTGGCTATATTAATTGTCTAGCTGTCAATCTCTGGATGACAAGATTTCAAGGGCAGAATGTCTGGCATATGAGTGGATTATAGTTCCATTCAAAATCTGTAATAGATTGATGCTGTAATTTCTAAAATAATCCATGCAACAGTGAATTTACCTCGTTCCTTCTTTAATTGTTATAAGATGCTTAGAATATTGTTCCATTTTCAAATATTCATAGGATGCTGTTGCTGTTGTTTTTCAATCCTGCAGGCCATAGCACCAAAAAAAGATTTTATAAAACTGTATCACTTACTAAACCTCTAAAATGAGTAATCCCATGTATTTTTAAAATCAAGATACTCCCTAATTATTTGGAATAGTATCTGCCTTTTATATCATTTAGGAGTACATGTATTTATGAGCTTACAATTCCAAACACAGAGAAATAATGGTATTAAATTCTAGTATTTTGGAGAAAAAATACATTAAATCAGTTATATTTTATAGATGTGATTTACATATGCAAGTCGATTCTTTCCTCTGTAACAGTATAAAAATTGCAAGCTTTTCATAGAGACAGAAACTGAAATTAAGAAAAAACTGGCCTGCCGCGGTGGCTTACGCCTGTAATCCCAGCACTTTGCAAGGCCAAGTGGGGGCAGATCATCTGAGGTCAGGAGTTCAAGACCAGCCTGACCAACATGGTGAAACCCCATCTCTACTAAAAATACAAAAATTAGCCAGGAGTCCTGGCGGGTGCCTGTAATCCCAGCTACTCAGGAGGCTGAGGCAGGAGAATCTCTTGAACCAGGGAGGCGGAGGTTGCAGTGAGCCAAGATCTTGCCACTGCACTCCAGCCTGGGCAACAGAGCAAGAGTCCGTCTCGAAAGAAAGAAAGAAGGAAAGAAAGAAAGAAAGACAGAAGGAAAGAAAGAAAGAAGGAAAGAAAAAAGAAGGAAAGAAGGAAAGAAAGAAAGACAGACAGAAGGAAAGAAAGAAAGAAGGAAAGAAAAAAGAAGGAAAGAAGGAAAGAAAGAAAGAAGGAAGGAAGGAAAGAAAGAAAGGAAAGAAAGAAAGAAAGAAAGAAAGAAAGAAAGAAAGAGAAAGAAAGAGAGAGAAAGAAAGAAAGGGAAGGAAGGAGGGAAGGAAGGAAAAGAAATTTGGTCCCTTTGGCATGTGTTCTCTTTGGATGGCATTTTCAGAGCCCATTATTACTGGACTGGCGTCTGCTCACCTGCAACACACGTGGCTTTGTTCATGTCAACTCTTGCACAGATTTCTTGCTTTGTTCATTCCTTTGACATTTCATTCATGGTTAGTGTGGTTTCTTTCATAGTAACTGTTTATCGAAGTCTGTGCTAAAACAAAGTTATCTCTCCCCTCTCTAGTTCTCCCAGAGGCTCTGCTTTTCCACTAGCCTCTGTCCGTTTGAGTCCATCCCACTCCTCCCTTCTGTCCATTCACTACTCATCCTTCCTGGCTTCAGAAATCTGGGGAGAGGCTGAATGGGAACCAGCATCAGTGTCCCAGGATAGGAGAAAGCCCTGTGCAGAATGATGGGTTAGGACCACCAACAGCAACACAAATGAGGGCTAGCCCCCTTCACTCTGCAGTCCACGGCATGCTACCTTCCATAGAGACACCACTCAGTAACCACCAGATAGATAAATGAAGGAACAATAAGCCAGTATGAATCGTGACTTGGTCTTCTTGGACATGATCATAGGTGTCTGAAGAGCCCCAATTCTTTACTGGTTTTGAAATTCAGCTCAGGCAGCTCCTCTTCCTGGGACCTTCACCTTCTTCAAGGGAAGCAGAAGGATCTAGGATGCTGAGCGCTAACTCATCCTGGGCTGAACATTGCACATAGGGCACCTGGATTCTTTCTCATCACGACTATCTTCAGAGGGAAGAACTAAGGCTCTGAGAAGTTAAATACTTTTCCGAAAATTATCCAGCAAGTAAGTGGCAGAGCTAGGCGGGATTCAACCCAGATCCATCTGATTCCAAAGTCCAAGGTCACTAAAGGCAGGAATTTATCCAGTGCGTGGCAGACTTTAGCACAAACATTAAATGAAGGTTTTACACAGTCAGCAGCCTGAGAAATAGTTACCAGTGCAGTTTATAAAACTTTGCATTTAACCCCTTTTAATGCTTTTCTTACATACCCAAAAATGAAATTAAATTAAATCAGAGAGTTTTTTATTTGTTCAATATATTACATTCAGTTAGTTTGTTTTTGTTCTTGTTTTGTTTTGTCTTGTTTTTCCCAGACGGAGTCTTGCTCTGTCGCCCAGGCTGGAATGCAGTGGTGCGATCTCGGCTCACTGCAACCTCTGCCTCCCAGGTTGAAGCAATTCTCCTGCCTCAGCCTCCCAAGTAGCTGGGATTACAGGCACCTGCCACCACGCCCGGCTAATTTTTGTATTTTTAGTAGAGACAGGGTTTCACCAGGTTGGCCAGGCTGGTCTTGAACTCCTGACCTTGTGATCCTCCCACCTCGGCTTCCCAAAGTCCTGGGATTACAGGCATGAACCACCGCACCCGGCCTACAGTTTGGTTTTTTAATGCTCAAATTGTTCCTAATTTTAAGTAAGGGGAAAGAAATCAGCATTTACCATCTTCTTAGGAGCTACGGATCCACCCCAGTACATGAAAGAAAGCTACTTTTTACTGAAGAATGTCAGCCAGTAAAGAAAGAAGGAATGATAGAATTAGCAAACCACTATTTTGCAGCCTCCTGTGAAATAACTGATTTAGGCATTAAAAACAATTAAGTTGCAGACATCATGGCACTTCTAAACATTTCAATAATTGTCTTCTAACAATAAGAATATTGTCTTACATAACATGTATTTAAGAAATTCCTCATTGTGACCTAGTATCCAGTTCATGTTTAAATCAATGAAAGTTACGATCACTGGGTGCATGGTTGTGAGGAGGCAGAATCTTTGCTCATTACCAAAGTAATGACTTAATCCTTTCAAGGTAACAATGTATTTCTAAAAAAAAAAAAAAAAAAAAGTCCTAGTGGTCAATAGCTCAAACAAGGGAGCAAACTGAACATCTTCATCAATGCACAGCCTGTTACTGTGTGCCTGCTGGTGTGAGGAAACAGGAAGTGTCTGGTATCACCCATGAAGTGTTTTGTCCATATACGTTTAACCTGCATTTAGCCAAGCCTTTAGACCTAACTTTCAGTGCACGGGAAACACAATAGCTAGAGTATCAAGTTAATGACACTACAAGGAAACAATTAGACATCTGGGATATTCTACAAGACAAACTGGCCAGTTGCTTCAGAAAATCAATATGATAATGGAAAGAAGATCAATGGTTGCCTGGGACAAAGAGCAGAGGGGGAATGATTGCAGAGGGGCATAAATGAGATTTTCAGGGTGATAGAAATCTATATCTTGATTGGTGGGACAGTTACATTAGTGTATACATTTGTCAAAACTTATGAAGAGTACACTTAAAATGACCATTTTATTCTGTTTAAATGATACCTTAACACGGTGGATTTTAAAAATAAAAACAAAATGTTAATGTCACCGACAAAAAAAGTAAGGCAACTGTTTTATTTATTTATTTATTTATTTATTTATTTATTTTTGAGATAGGGTCTTACTCTGTTGCCCAGGCTGCAGTGCAGTGGCACAATCACAGCTCACTGCAGCCTCAACCTCCTGGGCTCAAATAATCCTCCTGCCACAGCCTCTCGAGTAGCTGGAGGCATGCGCCACCATGCCTGCCTAAATTTTTTATATTTTGTCGAGATGGGGTCTCACCATGTTGCCCAGGCTAGTCTTGAATTCCTTGGCTCAAGTGATCCTCCTGCCTCAGCCTCCCAAACTGCTGGGATCACAGGCATGAGCCACCGTGCCGAGCCTCATTACACATTTTAAAAGACTAAAGAGCCATAGTAACCAGTTATAATGGGAGAAACTTGCTTAGATCTGGGCTCAAAAAAAAAAAAAAAAAAGAACAACTAAGAAAAACATTTGGGGGGTAACTGGGGGGATTTAAACATGAACTGGATACTAGGTCACAATGAGGAATTTCTTAAATGTATGTTATGTAGGACTATGTTCTTATTGTTAGAAGACAATTATTGAAATGTTTAGGAGAAAAGTGCCAAGATGTCTGCAACTTAATTTGTTTTTAATTTTCCCTTAAGTTCTGGGATACATGTGCAGGACATGCAGGTTTGTTACATTGGTAAACATGTGCCACGGAGGTTTGCTGCACCTATCAATCCATCATCTAGGTATTAAGCCCCACAGGCATTAGCTATTTATTCTGATGCTGTCCTTCCCCCAACCGCCCAACAGGCCCCAGTGTGTGTTGTTCCCCTCCCTGTGTCCATGTGTTCTCACTGTTCAGCTCCCACTTATAAGTAAGAACATGCAATGTTTGGTTCTCTGTTCCTGCGTAGGTTTGCTGAGGATAATGGCTTCCAGCTCCATCCATGTCCCTGCAGAGGACAGGATCTCACTCCTTTCTATGGCTCCATAGTATTCCATGGTGTATATGTACCACATTTTCTTTTCCAGTCTATCATTGATGGGCGTTTGTGTTGATTCCCTGTCTTTGCTATTGTGAATAGTGCTGCAATGAACATACACGTGCATGTGTCTTCATAATAAAATGATTTCTATTCCTTTGGGTGTATACACAGTAATGAGATTGCTGGGTCAAATGGCATTTCTGCTTCTAGATCTTTGAGGAATCACCATGTTGTCTTCCACATGCGACTTAATTTTTATACCAAAAGACATATAAATATGCAGAAAGATAAAGCAAATACAGTTATGGGATGCATAATGACATTTCATTCAACAATTAGCTGCATATATGACAGTGATCTCAGAAGATTATAATGAAGCAGAAAAAGTCCTACTGCCTAGTATTTTTATTATTTTTAAATTATTATTATTTATGCATTTATTATTATTTTTTATTATTAGAGTGTACTCCTATTTATTTTTTTTAACTGTAAAAACAGCCTCAGGCAGATCCTTTGGGAAGCGTTCCAGAAGGCACTGTTATCACAGGAGATGACAGCCCCACGTGTGTTATTGCCCTGAAGGTCTTCCAGTGGGACAAGACGCGGAGGAAGAAGATGGTGATATTGGTGGTCCTGACCCTGTGGAGACCTAGGCTAATGTGTATGTTTGAGTCTTAGTTTTTAACAAAGAACTTTAAAAGGTAAGGAAGAAATAAAAAATTAAAAAATAGAAAAAATATTACAGGATAAGAATATAAAGAAAGAAAATCTTTTTCAACAACTGTACACTACATTTGTGTTTTAAGCTGAGTGTTATTACAAAAGAGTCAAAGAGTTTTTTAAAAAAACCCGAAAAGTGTATAAAGTAAAAATGTTATGGTAACTTAAGGTTAATTTATTATCAAAGAAAGAAAAAACTTTAAAAAAAAAATTCAGCGTAGCTTAAGTCTACAGGGTTTATAAAGTCTACAGTAGTGTACAGTCATGTCTTAGGCCTTCACATTCACTCATAAATGCCATTGTGTTACAACTGCCTACAGTATCCAGTACAGTAACAAGCTGTGTAGGTGTGTAGTCTAGGAGCCTATCGCTCCTGCACACTTGAGTGCTTAAACTAAAAATAAAATCCTTGCCCTGGGTGTGACTATTGTGTAAATAAAAATAGTTAAAATAAAAATAAAATCCTAAGTGCCACCACCGACATAACAGACTCCCTGTGGCCAAGGGGACCCCAGAAAAATGTTAAAACTGAGTTCCTGGTCATGATGGGATGGGAAGTCAGACACACCTCGCTATACCACCCTCGCTTTTATGATTTAGACACAACAACTGACCAGGATTAGTGTTAAAATAGAGATCACAAGACTGACAGAACAGAATTTGTGGCAGTAAGATGAATTCTAAACAGGACCTAAGGCCATGCGAGGCAAGGGTAAAGTCACACACCCCTACACCTAAGGAATAAACTATGCTCCAGCTGCCCCAAGGTTTTTCTTTTTCTCTAAAAATAAACAAGCACTGGCCTCGAGAAAAGCAGTATTAAAACAATCTGCTCACCCCCAGAGTCTGACTAACTGACCCCCCTTCCACCAGCCATAACTACAGCTTTGACTGGACGAAAGACTAATTTCAGTAACTTTCTCCTGATAAGACCCCTGACCATGGTCTGGTTCTGGCCAGTTTATAGAGGCTGCACACTTGAGTGCTTTTGGGCCCTGAAAACACTTGTTGACATATAGGGTCTAATTTTAGTACATTGAAATGTTAAGGCCCAACCCCAGGGTGAACATGGGTCACATGTTGCATGCGTGTTTATTGAATGCGCATGCGTCAGGACCACCTTCATGATTATTCTTAGCTCCTTCTATAACCTGTAGAATATGTGTGTTTAGCCGAGCCATTCAGTATAAAGCTCCTGCCCCAACCCCTCCTCCTTCAAAGTGCCTGTCCCTGGCTTTTTCCATTTTTCCCAGCCTGCAGGATGGCCATCTTATAGGCTATATTCCTTATAAGGAATAAAGTCTCCTTTTCCAAATGTATAGATTGTGTGGGGTTTTTTTTAAGTTAACCAGCCTATAGCATATAGTCTAGGAGTGTAGTCGGCTTCACCATCTAGGTTTGTTTAAGTACAGTCTATTACATCCACACAGTAACAAAATCGCCTCATGCATTTCTCAGAACATATCCTCATCTTTAAGCGATGCATGGTGATAGAGCATAAAGTTAATAATTATTGAAGGAAGAGGGAGGGCAGGTATTCATTGTACTATTAGTCTTTCAACAGTTCTGTTCTTTTGAAGTTTTCTTTTAAGACTATTTTTAGAACAGTTTTTAAGTTCACAGCAAAATGAAGGTACAAAGATATCCCTTATACCCCCAGGCCCCAGGCATCACAGCCTCCCCGACTATCAACATCCTGAACCAGAGTGGTATATGTATTACAACTGACAAACCTACAATGGCACATCATTATCCCCCAAAGTCCATAGCTGACATCAGGGTTCACTCTTGGTATTGTACATTCTGTGGGTTTGGACAAATGTATACTGACATGTCTTCACATTATAGCATCTTGATTGCTTCAAAGTTTTGGCAATTATAAAGCTGCTATAAGCACACATGGATGGGTTTTTATGTGGACCTAAGTTTTCAACTCTCTTGAGTAAATACCAAGGAACATAATTGCTGGATCATACAGTAAGAGTATGTTTCATTTTGTGAGAAACTGCCAAACTGCCTTCCAAAGTGGCTGTGCCATTTTGCATTCCCACCAGCAAGTGAGAGTTCCTGTTGCTCCACATCCTCACCATCATTTGGTGTTGTCAGTGTTTGGATTTTGGCCATTCCAATAGGTGCATAGTGGGAGGTCATTGTTGTTCTAACATACATTTCCCTGATGACATATGATGTGGAGCATCTTTTCATATGCTTATTTGCCAGCCGTATATATCCTTTGGTGAGGTTTCTGGTGAGGTCTTTGGCTCGTTTTTAATCAAGTTTTTTGTTTTCTTACTGTTGAGTTTTAAGAGTCTCTGTATGTTTTGAATACCAGTCCTTTTATCAGATGTATGTTTTGTTTTGTATGTTTATTCCAAGTTTGTGGTTTGTCTTTTTATTCTCTTGCACTTTTGAAATGTTTAATAATGAAAATGTGGGGCCAGGTGCAGTGGCTCATGCCTGTAATCCCAGCACTTTGGGAGGCCAAGGTGGGCGGGTCACTTGAGGTCAGAGGTTTGAGACCAGCCTGCTCAACATGGTGAAACCCCGTCTCTACTAAAAATATAAAAATTAGCTGGGCGTGGTGGTGCATGCCTGTAATCCAAGCTAATCGGAAGGCTGAGGCAGGAGAATCACTTGAACCCGGGAGGCAGAGGTTGCAGTGAGCCGAGATCGTGCCATTGCACTCCAGCCCAGGTGGCAGAGACTCTGTCCCAGAAAAAAGAAAATGTGGAAACTTGGGAATGCCATTCTTGTGATGATGGCCCCTATGGTTTGGAGTTAGTCTTCAGGAACTCTAGCATCACTTTTGCAGGCGAAGGCACTCTAGCAGAGCCCAAGGGAGCCTTTTCCATAGTACTCTGTGACCTGGAGGACTTGGGGCTCCTCCCAAGATCCTTCACTCCTACTGGGCCACGATGGTGTTGAGAAAAATATGAGTAAATGGTTATGTTGCTCCTTGAGTAAATATCTCAATAAGACTAAAAGAAAAGACAAATTTACTCCTGGAATTTCTTCATTAGAATGGGGAAGACAGAAAAACATATACTAAGAAGGTTTTAGCACTTATTTGACAAAGCTGAATGAAAACATAGGTAATATGTATGTGAAGGTATAAGTTCTTGAAACATCAAAGAAACTGCTGTTATTACTAGGATTCTAAATATGGAAGGAAGGTGAGGGTTCTGTTTAACATGGTGATGGCTGTGATGTTACTTTTGCTAAGGGAGGTGATCCCCATTCAAATTCTTCTCTGTCAGAAGGTCCAGCTCAAATTGCTTCTCTGGCACAGAGTCATCCCAAATTAATTCAACCCATGGGGATCCTTCCATTCCCAGACTCCACTTGTTCTTGTCATCTGTCTCACCCTGTCTGGGTCTTAATCATTGATATGGTTTGGCTTTGTCCCCATCCAAATCTCATCTTGAATTGTAGCTCTCATAATCCCCACGTGTCATGGGAGGACCCAGTGGAAAGTAACTGAATCATGGAGGCAGGTTTTCCCCATGCTGTTCTCATGACAGTGAATAAGTCTCATGAGACCTGACGGTTTTATAAAGGGCAGCTCCCCTGCACACGCTCTCTTGCCTGCTGCTACGTAAGACATGACTTTGCTCCTCCTTTGCCTTCTGCGATGATTGTGAGGCCTCCCCAGCCATGTGGAACTGTGAGTCCATTAAACCTCTTTTTCTTTATAAATTACCCCGTATTGGGTATTTCTTCATAGCAGTACAAAAATGGACTAATACAATCACCTACTAGTTTATTTAAATTGCT
Source organism: Homo sapiens (assembly GCF_000001405.40). Taxonomy (NCBI): domain Eukaryota; kingdom Metazoa; phylum Chordata; class Mammalia; order Primates; family Hominidae; genus Homo; species Homo sapiens. Next base: position 27,322,424 of record NC_000013.11, on the reverse strand, counting down.
TCCATTTTTCCTCTTTTTCCTCCAAAGCCAGGACAGAGTTTGGTTGGTATACCCCACCGAGCCCTGACTCCTGGCTCCCCTGCCTGCTTCTGCCTGCATCCTCCACACAGTAAGTGCTCAAGGCCAGAGGCCATGGCTAAGCACCTCTGTATCCCCAGTCCCCTGCACAGGGCCTAGCCTATAAAGGTTTGACAAGTGAATAATTGCTTTCTTCCTAGCCCTCCTGTGGTTCAGAGCATAAATCAAGACCCAGGGGAGGTTCTCCATTAAAATTTCCTTGTTGCAATGGATCAAGTGAGGTGGCATCAGGAGACTGGAGCGATAAAGTCTCCTGAATTGTCTGTCATGTCAGATAAGGCCCTTTATCTTCTGTGACCTGGTCTGCATGTACACAGTGCAACCTGTTTTCCACTTTCTCATCGGGTGAAGTCACTGAAAAAAAAAAATTAACTAGCAGATTCTCTTTTTTTTTTTACTTCAAAACCATGTTTGATAGATTAGAAATATTTTCCAATAGGCTGGCGCTCAGGGAGGAGAGAGAGCCCATCAAGACATTTCCTGGTAGCGTTTCTACTTACCCTGAAAACCCACATGTGGGTTAGAAATAGTAGGTGCTGCATTTTATCAGGCATAGAGGGTATCCTAGAAGGGAAACAGTTTGTTAGACTCTAGGCTGGCACAGTTCAGCTTCCCTGAAGCATGCTGATCACCACGAGTGCATTGGGGTTTGCAGGCTGGTTGCCATGGTGACCTGAGGGACCACATCCCCATCCCACAGCCCAGCCATGGGGCGCTGGCACCTGGTCCCCACTCCGCACATCAGGCAGGGTTCACAGATCTTGGCTCCCTTCTTTAGACTGTATTCCTCAGAAGAAACCTTGAATACAAAGGCTGCAGCTGCATGTGTGGGTCAGTTACTCACTCAGCAAAAAATGATCAACACAGAAGCACTGAAAATTACTTCTCAAGGACTGTGGAAAGGAAAACATGCTGCGTAGCATTACTTGATAGGCTTGGGAACTTTTTTTTTTTAAATGGAAAATTTATGGAACATGCAGAGCACCTTTTTCTCAGTGCCGTAAAATGTTAATTTTATTCATTCTTGCAAATCACAAAAATTATCTTAAGTCTCCACAAAATGTATTTAAAAGAGATTAAACTAGCTCCTCAATAAGATCTGCACTCGCATTTTCTCTTCTTCCTCACTCCTTCTCCTTCCCGGTCACCTGCCCATGCAAGGTTTACCCATTTACCATGCCAGGCTTGGCTCTCCCGACCCACTGCCTTACATGCTCTTCACTCTTACCACTGAATTCCTCCATCACGAGACTTCTCTTTCTCTTGTCAAGTCTAGCACACATATGCACCCCATCCACAGCCGCCCTCTCCCAGCCTCCTGCTCTCAGCCCTGCACTCCGCACTGAGCACCCTGGGTGCACTTCCACACCAGCATCCTTCCACTTGGCTCATCATTCCCTCCTCCTTGAAACAAGGTCTTCTCCTAGCTTTCTTTCTCCTGATTTTTCTCCTACTTCACTAACCTCTCCTGAGGCAGCTTGTATTGTCCAAAAATGACCACAGCCATATGTATGGTCATATGTATGGTCTCATATGCTCTTACGGAAGTTTACTGCTTCCTATCAAGGATGTAATGATTTCCTCTCCCCTTGAACCTGGTTGGGCTTGTGGCTGCTCTGACCAATAGAGCCTGGCAGAAATAATGCTATGGGTTTTGGAGGCTAGTCATAAAAAAGATATAGTTTCCACCTGGTTCACTCTTCTCTCCCTTTTCTTTCTCTTCTTCCTTCTCTTCCTCCTCCTTTCTCTTCCCCTTTTCCCTCTGCTTACCAGCTCTTAGAATCCAGCCACCATGTTGGGAGGAAGCCCAGGCCACATAGAGAGGCCACATGAAGAGGTTCCAGCAGATGACCCTGGCTAAAGAGTCAGCGAATAGCCAGCATCAACCGCCAGACATGTCAATGGGTCAGTGAGTTCAATGAGTCAATGAACCTTTAGATGATTTCAACTCCCAGCCCTTGAGTCTTCTAGCTGAGGCCCCAGACATCATGGAGCAGAGCAAGTCAGGACCACGAATCCCTATCTAAATTCCTGAACTACAGAATCTGCAGGCATAATTAAAGACTGTTTTATGGCACCACATTCTGGGGAAATTTGGTACACAGCCACACTCAGCATTTCCTTTGCTTCTCATCCTTCCCTACTTGTCATCTAAATATAGGAGTGTCTCAGTTAGGGTTACCAAATAAATTACAGGATGCCCAACTAAACCTGACTTTCACATAAACAACAAAAATTTTTTAGTATAAGCATGTCCCAAATATTGCATGGAACATACTCATTCTAAAAAAATTTATTGTTTATCTGAAGTTCAAATTCAACCGAGTGTCTTCTATTTTTATGTGGTAACGCAAGCAACTCTAACTTCCACTCTAGACTTTTTTATCTACACTCAATCCTTGGGTGAGCTTATCCAGTCTATATCTTGGGTGAGATCATCCAATCTATATCTTGATAACTCTCAAATTTGTATCTCCAACCTGGAAATCTGCACTAACCTCCACACGGAACATCTAACTACCTACTTGATAATTCTTTTATAGTTCACAGTCATCTCAAACCTAAACAGAGTTGTTGATTTGCAAACCACCTCCCACTGCCCACCTAATCTGCAGCTCCTCAGTCACTCCCACCTCAGTGAAGCACACTAATATCTACCTAGTTGCTTAAGCCCCTAAGGTAAGACTCAGTCTTGATTCTTCCCTTTTGTGGACTCTGTATCCAGTAAATCAACAAATCCTATTGACTCAACTACCAGGTCATATTTCCAACTGGGTCATGTCTCTGTATGTCTACTACAACTTCCCTAGGACAAGCCATACTCTTCTCTCACTAGAGTAACTGTACTGACCACCAAGTAGCTTTTCTACTTCCTTCTTGCTTCCCAATAACTCTCTATAATGCATTCTGCACACAGAAGCCAGAATGGTCTTTTTAAAGACAGATCTGGTGGCTCATGCCTGCAATCCTAGCACTTTGAGAGGCTGACGCAGGAGGGTCGCTTGAGCTCAGGAGTTCAAGACCAGCCTGGGCAACATAGCAAGACCTCATCTCTACAAAAAAATTTTTAAAAACCTAGCTGGGTGTGGTGGCGGCACACACCTATAGTCCCAGCTACTTGGGAGACTAAGGTGGGAAGGTTGCTTGAGCCTGGGAGAACAAAGCTGCAATGAGCTGTGATAGCACCACTGCACTCCAGCCTGGGTGGCAGAGCCAAACCTTATCTCAAAAATAAAAATAAAAATAAAGAAAGACAGATCATGTCTTTGACTTGCTTGCTAAGAACTCTCATTGCACTGAAAATAAAACGCAATATCCTTCTACGGCTTTCAAGACTCTTCATGATCAATTTCTTGTACCACTGTTTCAACAGTTCACTAACTGCCTGTGATCCCAGCATTTTGGAAGGCCAAGGCAGGCAGATCACTTGAGCCCAGGAGTTTGAGACCAGCCTGGGCAACATGGTGAAACCCCACCTCTAAAAAAAAAATACAGGAATTAGTTGAGTGTGGTAGCACACACCTGTAGTCCCAGCTACTCAGGAGGCTAAGGTGGGAGGATGGCTTGAGCTTGGGAGGCAGAGATTGTAGTGAGCTGAGATCATGCCACTGCACTCCAGCCTGGGCGACAGAGTGAGACTCTGCCTCAAAAAAAAAAAAAAAAAAGAAACTTCCATCAGTAGTTCTTCCAGTGAGGTTTTGTGAGGGGTGACCTCTCTTGGTGTCTACGTCTAAAGATGTTTTTATTACACCTTATACCTTGGGTAGAATTCACAGGTAAGGAATTCTGGTTTGTGGTTATTTTCTCTCAGCAGTTTGAAGATACCATTTAGGTCACTGAAGGCATCTATTATTGCAGGTAAGTCTGCTGTAAGTTGAAGTATTATTGGTTTTTGTTTGTTCGTTTGTTTTGTTTTGAGATGGAGTTTCGCTCTTGTTGCCCAAGCTGGAGTGCAATGCTGTGATCTCGGCTCACTGCAACCGCCACCTCCTGGGTTCAAGCGATTCTCCTGCCTCAGCCTCCAGGGTAGCTGGGATTACAGGCATGCACCACCACACCCAGCTGATTTTGTATTTTTAGCAGAATCGGGGTTTCACCATGTTGGTCAAGCTGGTCTCGAACTCCTGACCTCAGGTGATCCACCTGCCTTGGGCTCCCAAAGTGCTGGGATTATAGGCGTGAGCCACCGCACCCGGCCCAGTATTATTGGTTTTTAGATTACTATCTTTCTAGCGGTGTGGAAGATTTTCTCTATGCTTTTGATGTTCTGCTATTGTACTCCGCTGCGTCTGTGTGGATTTACTTATAACTCTTTGGCTTAAGACTTGGTGTGCCCTCTCAATTTAAATGCTCATCTATTCTTTGTTTTTCTTTTTATTACCATGGCCATGTCCTACATTCAAAAGACTGCATGAAGTGTATATATGTAGATTTAAGGGTAATAAAATAAGCACATGTGTATTCACCAACCAGCTTAAGAAACAGACCTTTACCAGCATCTTAGAAGCCCATGTGTGTTCTCCCCTGAGCACAGCCCTGTCCTCCTCCAAGAGGTACCTGCATACTGAACTTTATATCAATCATTTTTTGCGTTTTTTGAAGAGTATTTCACAATTGTATGCATTTCTACACAACATGTTGTTTAATTTTGCTTTTTTTTTCTACTGTATACTCCTAGAATCATACATTGCTCTATATTTTTGTGACTTACTTTTTTCATTCAACATTATGACTTTGAGATACATCCATGTTGATACAAGCAACTGTAGTTTATTTATTTTTATATATTTACTTTTTTTAGACAGTGTCTCACTCTGTTGCACAGGCTGGCATTCAGTGATGCAGTCATAGCTTACTGCAGCCTCAAACTCCTGGACTCAAGCAATCCTCCCACCCCAGGCTAAGTAGCTGGGACTATCGGCACACACCACCATGCTTGGCATTTTTTTTTTTTTTTAATTTTTAGTAGAGATGTGGTCTTGCTATGTTGCCCAGGCTGGTTTCAAACTTCTAAGCTCAAACAATCCTCCTGCCTTGGCCTCCTAAAGTGCTGAGATTACAGGCATCAGCCACTGTGCCCAGCCTGTACTTAATTTATTTTTTGCTGTTGTATAGTACTCCATTATATAAATATACCAGAAAATTAATATTTGTGGAGTGAATGGATAAGTGAACACATCCATCATCATACAAAGCCCCATTTCTGACAACAGAATTTTGCTCTGGACATAAACATTTGCTCTCTTCCAGTCGTTGCCCCTAACACATCTTCTCCATCACATCCCAACACTGTTCTTCAGCTGAGGGCTGGCCCTGCCCCTCTCCACTGTACTAAATCCTGGGGTTTATTTCATTCTAAATCTAAGTTACCCTTCTTCGGGACATCTTCTGCGGTTAATCAATCAACCAGTCAATTACTTTTGGAGGCAAAAAAGACTTTAAAGGGCATGTAACTGGATGCCGATCTACTATGATGTCCTCTGGCAAGTGGACAGCCAGGTGTGTGAGCACATCTAGTGTGGAGGAACCCACTGCTTCATGAGAACACCCATTCCACTGGCCATTGTAACTTTCAAAGTTCTTCTTTCTCTTGAGCTGAAACTCATTCCCTGTAACTCTCACCCATGGATCGTTGTTCTGCATTCTGGAGAGACAAACAAGAAACCTAGCTCCCTTTCCCCATCCTCCCCACCAGTGCCTGCAAAGCATTTGCTGGTTCCCTTTGCCCCACTTATCACCCACCCTCTACACCCTCACCACAGGTTCTTCTTTTTTCAAAGTTGACCATTCTCAATTCCTTGTATCATCTCTTGTTTAATATGATGTCTAGGTTCTTTTTGTAGACTGGCCACTATCCTCTGATGTCCCTTCTGTTTGTCAACATGATGTATGAAATAATCTCAGACAATGATTTCCTGCCCCAATGGTGTCTCACTACTTTCAGCATGAATATTCTGTATTGTTGTCTTGGTGCTTCTTGGTGTGGTAGAATGTGTTACATGTGAACACATGCAAGAAACATTAGACATCAAGTAACCACTCTACAACCACACTTTAAGCATCCTATCCTGGGCATATATATACATATATGAGGAAGGAACAGACATTTAAAAAATCACAAGGGTTCTATGCTGAGTAGCTATGACGAAGTTCAGGTTTCTTGTTCTAGGTAAATTTGCATAAAATAATTGATTCATTTATTGATTTCTGTTTATCAATGTGTCCATCTCATTTCCCCACCAGAATTGCAGGTTCATAATAGATTGGGGCTGTAATTAACCAAATATTCAATGTTTTTCTCCTTAGTACAGCCCCATATACCCTGTGAGTGAGAAAAGTGTCTATTAACATTGATAAAAAATATTTTAGTGTTTCAATGTGAGGGCAATCTGACTATGAAATCTGTCACCCCATTTACCACTAGTTGCTAATAACAGCAGCTAACCGTTATTTAAATCCCTACTGCATTAGTTTGATCATAATAAAATATAGTAGCTCTAAAAGCACACTTCATCTCCAGAGCTAGCCACGTGTGTCATTCGGACATAGATATCATTAAAGGGAAAGGAAATATTTTAGACTAGGAGCAGTGTTCTCAGATCTAACTAGGCACACTGAAAATTAATTAAACATTTGGGACCCTTGACAAGGTCAAATGATCAACTGAAGAACCACCTGACATTAAAGAGCAGCTCAATTAATTTATATTCTTGTTATAAACATATTCAGACAATCTTGAAGAAAAGGAACATTTTCAAATATAAAGATCTATTAAAAAGTTATAATAAGGAAGCCCTTTTTAGCCAAATGATGCTAAATCAACTGGGCATGGTGGCTCACGCCTGTAATCCTAGCACTTTGGGAGGCCGAAGTGGGTGGATCACCTGAGGTCAGGAGTTCAAGACCAGCCTGACCAACACAGTGAAACCCCGTCTCTACTAAAAATACAAAAAATTAGCTGGGCGTCCATGGTGGTGTGAGCCTATAATCCCAGCTACTCGGGAGGTTAAGGCAGGAGAATCACTTGAACCCGGGAGGTGAAGGTTGCAGTGAGCTGAGATCATGCCACTGCACTCCAGCCTGGGTGACAGAGTAAGACTCTGTCAAAAAAAAAAAAAAAAAAAAAAAAAAGATGCTAAGTCATATGGAAAAGGTGTCTTGTCTCCTTTTTCACACTAGATTTAAAAAATCCAACTGGATAACAGATCTAACTGTGAAAGGCAATACAATAAACCTCTTAGAGGGAAGCCTCTTCATGATCTTGAAAGAGGCAAAGATTTCTTAAACAGGGAACAAAAAAACACTAATAATAAAGAAAAATAATGAATTAGACTACACTGAAATAAATAATTCTGTTCACCAAAAGGCACTATTAACAGAGTAAAAAGAGAACCTATATATTGGAAGAAGATTTTGCAACATATGATCAACAAATATTTATGTTCTGAATATAAAAGGAACTCCAAATTGACAAGAAAAAGAATATTCAAAAGAATAACAAAAGACTTGAACAGAAACTTCACAAAAGAGGACATCCAAATGGCCAATAAACATATAAAAATTAGCGTGGGCATGATATCAAGACCCTATCTGTACAAAAAAATATGAACAAAAGTATCCCAGCATGGTGGCATGTGCCTGTATTCCCAGCTACTTGGAAGGCTGAGGTGGGAGCATTGCTTCAGCCCAGGAGGTCAAGGCTGCAGTGAGCCATGATCACACCACTGCACTGTAGCCTGGATGACAGAGTGAGACCATGTCTCAAAAACATAAACATAAACATAACAATTGCTCAACTTTGGCCAGATGTAGTGACTCACACCTGTAATCCCAACATTTTGGGAGGCCAAGGTGGGAGGATTGCTTGAGGCCAGGAGTTCAAGACCAGCCTGGGCAACATAGGGAGAATGATTCAGTTTCTACAAAAAAAAATTTTTTTAAATTAGCCAGGCGTGGTGGCATGCACCTGTGGTCCCAGGTACCTGGGAGGCTGAGGTGGGAGGATCCCTTGAGCCCAGGAGGTCAAGGCTGCAGTATGCCATGATACCACCACTACACTTTAACTTGGGTGACAGAGTGAGATTCAACTTTAAAATATATGCATATATGTATATACATATACACATACAGATATATATATACACATATACATAGATGTACACATATATATATACACATATACACATATATGATTAATTGCTCAACTTTATTAGTCACCAAGGAAATGCAAACTATAATGATCATATCATGCCAAAGCAGCCAAAAGGAAAAACACCAAATATTGTGAGGACGCAGAGCTACAAGAACACTCACAATGCTTCTGGCAGGGTGTACATTTGCAAAACCATTTTGAAAAACTGAATATAAACTGAATTGAAGCTGAACATATGCATACTCTGCAGTCCAGAAATTCCATCACTAGGTAAAGACTCAACAAAAATGCATACTTATTACACTCAGTGCAATAACAGTCAAAATTCCAGAGAGTTATTTTATAAATATCAACAAACTGATTCCAAAGTTTATATGGAGAGGCAAAAGCCCCAGAATAGCCAACATGATATTGAAGGAGAAAAACAAAGCCAGAGGTCTGACACTACTTGACTTCAAGATTTAATAAAGCTACAGTAATCAGGATAGTGTGGTATTGGGGGAAGAACAGGCATAGATCAATGGAACAGAATAGAGAGCCTAGAAATATGCTCACATAAATACAGCGAACTGATCTTTGACAAAGAAATAAAGGAAAGACAACACAGCAAAGATAGTCTTTTCAACAAACAGTGCTGGAACAACTGGACATCCACATGCAGAAAAATGAATCTAGACACAGACCTTATGCCACTCACAAAAATTAACTCAAAATAGATCATAGACCTAAAATGTAAAGCACAAAGCTATAAAACTTCTAGGATATAAATATCCTAGAAGATAATATAGAAGAAAATCTAGATGACCTTGGGTTTGGCGATGACTTTTTAGATGTAACACCAAAGGCAAAACCTATAAAGGAAATAATTGATAAGCCCAACTTCATTAAAATTAAAAACTTCTGCTCTGTGAAAGACAACATCAGAAGAATGAGAAGACAAGCCACAGACTGAGAGAAAATAACTACAAAACACATTTCTGATTAAGGATTGGCATCCAAAATATACTTTAAAACTCAACAAGAAGACAAACGGGGACAGGCGCAGTGGCTCATGCCTGTAATCTCAGCACTTTGGGAAAACCGAGGCAGGCGGATCACTTGAGTCCAGGAGTTTGAGACCAGCCTGGCCAACATGGCGAAACCCTGACTCTACTAAAAATACAAAATTTAAGGTCGGGCGCAGTGGTTCATTCCTGTAATCCTAGCAATTTGGGAGGCTGAGGCGGGCAGATTGCCTGAGCTCAGGAGTTCAAGACTAGCCAGGGCAACACGGTGAAACCCCGTCTCTACTAAAATACAAAAGAAATTAGCCAGGCGTGGCAGTGTGCACCTGTAGTCCCAGCTACTCGGGAGGCTGAAGCAGGAGAATTGCTTGAACCAGGAAGGCAGAGGCTGCAGTGAGCTGAGATTGCGCCACTGTACTCCAGCCTGGGCGACAGAGCGAGACTCTGTCTCTACAAAAAAAAAAAAAAAAAAATTAACTGGGCCTGATGATGCGTGCCTGTGATCCCAGCTACTTGGAAGGGAGGCTGAGGCATGAAAATCACTTGAACCTGGGAGGCAGAGGTTTCAGTGAGCCGAGATGGCACCACTGCACTCCAGCCTGGGCGATACAGCGAGACTCTGTCTCAAAACAAACAAACAAAACCAAAAAACTATGCACAGATATTTACAGCAGCAGCTTTATTTGTAATTTCCAAAACCTGGAAGCAACCAAAATGTCCTTCAGTCAGTGGATGAATAAACAAACTCTGGTATATTCAGACAATAAAATATTCAGCAATCAAAATAAATGAACTATCAAGCTACAAAAAGACATCAAGGAACCTTAAATGTATATTAGTAGAAGCCAGTCTGAAAAGGCTACATACTGTATGCTTCCAACTATATGATGTTCTGGAAAAGGGAAAACTATGGAAACAGTAAAAAGATTAGTAGTTGCCAGGAGTTATGGGAAGAGGAAGGGATGAATAGGCAGAACACAAAAGATTTTTAAGGCAATGAAACAATTCTGTATGATTCTATAATAGAAGATACACGTCACCACGTTTGTCAAAACCCATAGAATGTACAATGCCAAGACTGAATTATAATGTCAACTATGGACTTCGAGTGATAATCACATGCAAATGTAGGCTCGTCAATTGCAACACATACGCCACCCTGTGCAGGATGCTGCTAGTGGGGGAGGCTGTGCTAGCGTGAGGGCAGGGAGCACATGGGAACTCTGTATTTTCTGCTCAATTTTGCTGTAAACCTAAAACTGCTCTGAAAAAAATGTCTATTAAAAAAAAATTTTTGGCCAGATGTCTGTAATCCTAACACTTTGGGAGGCTGAGGCAGAAGGATAATTTGAGGCCAGGAGTTTGAGGTTACAGTGAGCTATGATTGTGCCACTGCATTTCAGCCTGGGTGACAGAGCAGACCCTGTCTCTAAAAAATAATAATAATAATAACAAATAAAAAAATTTTATAAAATAAAAAATAAAATAAAATAAAATAATTATTTAAAATAAAAAATTTTAAAAAGGTGTGAGTAGATGAGACTGTAAAGATTTATTTGTTTTATCACCAAGGATAGACAGTATCTTTATGGCAAGATTAACTTGGAGAGTCACCCTAACTTAGTGTTATTCTCATGTAAACCTCCAAAACTACACTATAAAATGCAGCTTTCTGTGGGTGATAAATGGGAAAAGACAGAACCTGTTGTCCAGCTTGTGTTAACAATTAACAATAAATGATAAAAACAACAACTGGGAGTGAAAAAGAGGGAGATAATTTTGTCAAGGAAAATCTTGGGTGCAATGGCTGATTTGACAACTAGAAGTATTGCTACGTGATCTTGCAATTCAGTTCTCATTCATTTCAACATTTCCTTCCATTTTGTGTTTTTTGTTTTCTTCTCTGCAGGATATTTAAAAGTGTTCCAATGGTGACAAAGAGTTCTTTACCTATTTGAAATGGAATGCCACTTGAGCCACTTTGAGACTTCATCCCATTGTCATTTCCATTTGTCTTCACTGCCTCAGGAAAGACAAGCATGGTTCAAGGACAAAGCCCAGGCTCAACGAGCTCCAAAGAGGAACCCACAGAAAACAGAGGCAGCCCAGAGTGTCTCAGCTTAGTGCTGCTGAAGCCTGGGCCCTTAAAAGCTTCTAGCAGATTCTGTTTATAGATAAATTGTGACAGAATCACGCATGTTGCATATTTACAATGGAGAGGAGATTTGGGGAATACAAAAGGCCTTTCAGAGAAGTTGATACGTGGTAAGAATGGGTTATCCTTCCTCCCTAGGCAAGGGCAGGAGATCCTACGCTGGGTAGAAGTGGGGAGGGGTGCCACAGGCCATGCCTGAGGGGAGATGGCTGGACCGTACTGGACTGGACTGGAGGAGAGGTGGGAGATGGCTCAGGCAGTTCTTCAGGAAGATGGCATTCCCCAGTCTGGCCAGAAGCTCAGAGGCCTGTCGGACCAGGCTGCCCACAATGACGGCCGTCTCAACAGTGATCGCCGTGGGCCCGTCATTGGTGACCAGAGGACCCCACCCCTCAACTTTTATCTCCCCTCACTTGGCAAAACAACACGGTGCCTGGCACGTGGTAGACATTCATTGAAAAAGTTTTTGAGTGAATGAAGAAAAGAAACATTGTGTAACATTGTGTGACTTTTTATAATGGACACTTTTCTACTAGAGAACCTTAAGCTTCTTTCTCTCATTTGGTACATAAACACAAAATATCTCCTAATAGGGCAGGGCACAGTGACTCACACCTGTAATCCCAGCTGACTCATGCCTATAATCTCTGCACTTTGGGAGGCCAAGGCAAGTGGGTCGCTTGAGCTCATGAATTCAAGACCAGCCTGGGCAACATGGCGAAACCCCGTCTCCACAAAAAAAATACAAAAATTAGCCAGGCATGGTGGCAAGCTCCTGCAGTCCCAGCTACTTGGGAGGCTGAGTTGGGAGGATGGCTTGAGCCCCGGAGATGGAGGTTGTGGTGAGCCAAGATCATGACACTGCATTCCAGCCTGCATGACAGAGTGAAACCTTGTCTAAATAAATAAATATATCCTAATAAATACAAAGTGGTCCACTTACTCGTTTTCAAATCTTGGACTTTCGCAGAAGTGATCTTCTAAGAGACTCTGACCCGTCCCCTGATAACTGATGTTATATATAAGCAGGCAGATACGGTTTTAAAACAAAGTGAAAAAAGTATTTTCTTCCCACTCAAAGAGAAAAATGTATTCGACCTTAATTCTCTGAGCTCTGGTTCATAAAGTCAAATGAGCTTCTAGTTATCTAGCCAGGAAAGGAAAGTGGGGCCGAGAAGCAGGCCGCTCATTTATAGGAAAGTTCAGCTTGAGCTACCCGCAAACAGCCCAAGCCTGCTCTCAGGGCCCTGCGGCTGATGCCTCAGAGGTCCTGCCAGCTCCAGGGCTGAGGAGCTGTTAGTAGGTGGTTATGGAAGGTTATAGTACCATTAACAAGTTGAAGGGGGAAAGAGGCACGTCATGAATTGGCTCTGACCCAGTGTCCCAGTGACTTCCATCCACTCTTCTTTCCTTGTCACAGCCTTGCCTGCTTCTCTGTCCTCCAGGGCTGTGTAGTCATCTAAAGCCATTAGTAGGGCACCTGCCACACCCAGATTGCTGCTGGTGTTGTCAGAAAGAAACCCCATCAGCTCTGCCCATGTGTTTGTTCCCTGTCTGCGCTTGGAGGGCTTGGGATTCATTCCCTTACACAAAGGTCCCAGTCTGGCTTAAGGAACTGGGGCTTGGTACTGATACAGGAGTGCTGGTAAGAGAAGAATGTGGCATGGAAGTAGGGAAAGGAAGTGCTGGGTAAAGGAGGGCGTGGTCCCTGGCTAGGGCTCCACACCCACGGACCTAGGTGAGGACAGGCATTTCCTGCCCAAATGTTGCATTTCCCAAGACCACCTTGGCCTGCCACGCCCGCATCCTGGGCCTATAAAAACCCTCAAGACCGTAACAGGCCGACATTGCAGGCTCAGCAAGTGGAGACGGGCGCATCACCGGAGGAACCGAGGCGGCTGGAACACGCAGGCGGCTGGATGTTGACGGGAATGGACCCACAGGTACTAGGAGACAGGACCGGCAGAAGCGGAAGGATGAGAAGTTTGGCTGGGGCAGTCAGAGGAGAAAGCCCAGGCCTTTGAGCGGCCTGACTCCATGGGAAGATCTCTCCACTCTACTCCCTTCTGACTTACCCCGAGTTACTTCCACTCGAAACCTTGCACTCGTTCTCCAAGCCCGGGTGTGATCCCATTTTTCAGTACACCAACGGTAGGACCTGGGCTACAGAAAGCGCTCTTTGTAACAACGTAGAGGATATAATTGAATTGGTTAGCACAAACTGCCTCTAGACAGCAAAACTAAAAGAGCACTGCGTAACACACGCCCGCTGGGGCTTCAGGAGCGGTAAACATTCACCCCAGACACCGCTGTGAGGTTGGAGCCCCCCCCCCACCCGCCAGCCTGCCCCTCTGTATGCTTTCCTTAGAGGTCTGAGTAGCGGGGCACTGGAGAAGGGACCACTCCCCTGTCACCCGGCTTGCGAGGGGGACAAGGGAACTTTTCCCATTTCTGTTGTAGATGTTTGTCGTGGAGTCATTATTAGTGTTCTTTGTTCTTAAGAGAACTCTGCTTCCCACTGGGCAGAAAACACGTGGGTTAGATCCTGTTGCCCCGGCTCCAAACACCACCTGGCACCTAGGCAAGTTCCTCTCCCTGTGCCTCACTTCAGACCATTCACATGGTGGATCTAGTCACAGCTTGTCTATCCCACGGTAGGAGAGAGATGGCAGCAGGCAGCCTAGCAAGCCTTCACTTGAGGGTGAAAAGTGTTGGCAGTGGTCCTAGTGGTCGTCTTCAGCGCTCTGCCCAGCCAAGCAGTCAACACACACCTCCCTAGCAGTCAGGAATTCCTTCTGGAAGGGCTCTGGGCTGTGGAAGACCAAGCAGGTTCACTGAGAAATTGCAGGGCTTCTTCAGAGGCAAATCCTAAGCTTTCAAGAATGGTAGCGCCTTTCTGGTTAGAGAAAGCTAGTTGTTGCCCAATGCCCGTTCTCCTATGTTTTGTTAGTGACAGACCCCAATATTTCAAGGGCGGCAATATGTCCAGAGAGAAAACTGCATTCCCCAGCTTCTCTTGCAGGTACATTTGGCCTTGTGCCTAATGAGATAGAAGTGCAAGTGTTGGGTAGGACTTCTGTAAAGGTTAATGAAAGATAGGTCATTGGGGCTACTCCTGCCTGCTTTCTGGAACTTCCTGGTACTCCAGCGGCCATCCTGGACCACGATGGTGGGGGCCACACAGTATAGCTAGCAGGGCAGGAAAAGAACACGTTCCTGGGTCTCAGGCAACAGCCGCTATTCCAGCCCTAGTAGCCTACCTGGATTTTTTTTTTTTTTTTTTTTTGAGACGGAGTCTCGCTCTGTCGCCCAGGCTGGAGTGCAGTGGCGCGATCTCGGCTCACTGCAAGCTCCGCCTCCCGGGTTCACGCCATTCTCCTGCCTCAGCCTCCCGCGTAGCTGGGACTACAGGCGCCCGCCACCACGCCCGGCTAATTTTTTTTGTGTTTTTTAGTAGAGACGGGGTTTCACTGTGTTAGCCAGGATGGTCTCGATCTCCTGACCTCGTGATCCGCCCGCCTCGGCCTCCCAAAGTGCTGGGATTACAGGCGTGAGCCACCGCGCCTGGCCGGATTTTTTTTTTTAATCAATAGACTTACTGTTTTTTTTAGCAGTTTTATGTTTACGAAATAAGGGAGCGAAAAGTACTGAGTGCTTTAATGCTGAGGACGCCTCCTTGCTAAGTCATGTTTGCCCGAAGCCTGCATTCCCAGTCTCAATGTGAGTGAGTCCCCAGCAGACTGGAACCAGCAAAAAGGCCCCCGGAGAGGTGGAAACGCTGCTGGTTCTCTCACTCTGACTGATGGAGTGCGCCTGCGGCAATGTTCCTCGAAGCCTGTTCTGGAGATGGTCTGCATCAAAACCTCCTGGAGTGGCTGCTTTAAAGCTCAGCTAGTGCTTTAGAATGTTGGGGTTGGAGCCCATGGATACAGACTGAGAATTTCTAGAAGCTGCCAGTGCTGAAAACGCCAAATAATTTTTTCTTCCAGACATTAATGAAAATGTAGAGGCAACCAGCTTCATGACTTGAGAGTCAAACCATCCAAATAATGCTTTGAGCATCGATGGCTCCCTAGCCCCCCAACTTCAGTGGTCCCTCTATCAGCTGAACACGTTTGGCCACACCTGGCTCATATGGCTAAAAAAGAACAACTATTTCCTGTCCCTTACAATTTCCGTTCCTCATCTTTTCATCCAGGGCAACTTCCTTCTCACTGACTTTTCTGAATATAACTCATATCTGCCCTACCTTCTGAGAGTCGCTTATCTAATAAGTTTGTTCTCGCTTTGTGAAGGACACCCCAATCCCTGCTAATACTGATGCCTAGAGTAAACCAAGAGGAGGGCATTTCAAAGGGCTTGTTTGTACATAATTATAGACTGGAGGCCGATGAAAGACTCAGTCAAATCCTTTTTAATCACTGTGATGACACAGAGAGAGAGATAGAAACAGAGAGAGGGGGAGGCTTTCATACAAACCAAAATGACACAGACAAAATATTCTTTCCCCCGATCTGCTCACAGGCCACCCTATATAGGGTTCAGTTCAATAACTGACAGGATGAGGAAGGGTGGAACGGGAATCTGTCAATATCAATGCAGTATATCGCATATATTGATATATTCATAGCCTTCTCCCAATATGGGTGGGAGGTGCCAGGAGATGAGGAAGGTAGGAGAGCCCACATGTGTACACACACACACACGTACACTCACTCAATTGTGCCTTTAGGGCTCCCACTTCTGTGGCATGCTGATGGCCTTAGTATTGGTGAGCTGTCTGTATTGCCCTTCAAGATGACTTTCAACTCTACAAGCAAAAATCTTTTCTCTTCTAAAATTCACAGGCTTCACTGCAGGCAGACGTGACTTAGCAAGGAGGAGTCCTCAGCACTAATTACAATCCATTTTTGTTTTCCGCTATGTTTATGGTACATTTTGTGTGCTTTTTCTTACCTGTTTTTTGCTATTTTTTTCCCAGTTATTACTAACACCATTGAAATTCTTCTTTTGTGAGACTAAATAGCCAAAAGAGGAAATTATACTTCACAAATAGAACTAAGGCATGTGATGTTCCTCTCAGGAAGAAAGACAGCTATATAAGAAATTTCCACCTAGTTTTCTTCTTAAAAAAAAAAACTGCTGCTATTTTTTCCCTCAGAGATTAATATTTGTAAAAGCTTTATATTGGAGGTTCTTTTAAAGAATGCATCATTCAGCTGGGCACGGTGGCTCACGCCTGTAATCCCAGCAATCTGGGAGGCCTAGGCGGGTGGATCACTTGAGGTCAGGAGTTCAAGACGAACCTGGCCAACCTGGTGAAACCCTGTCTCTTCTAAAAATACAAAACAAAACAAAACATTAGCTGGGCGTGGTGGCAGGCGCCTGTAATCCCAGCTACTCAGGAGGCTGAGGCAGGAGAATCCCTTGAACCAGGGAGGTGGAGGTTGCAATGAGTAGAGATTACACCACTGCACACTCCAGCCTGAGTGACACAGCGAGACTCCATCTCAAAAAAAAAAAAAAAAAAAAAAAAAAGATAAGCATAGTCTTAGGTCCATAATTATAAGTGTCTAGACTTTTGGAGAAAGCTTATGCAAACCAACCTCCTAAAGCTAAACCTTATCGACCACCCCTGCAGAAGTTTAGTGAATCAAAACCACTGTGATGATTATTCCCATATTCACTATGATTTGCCACCCTACGTTCTTTTAACATACATAGCGATAAATCCAATGGAAACTCCCAAATACTTCTATATTACAAAAGAAAGCCACACACAGCAGAACTTTTTTCTCAGTTTAAAACTTTTAAAAATTCAATTACATAGAGACAATTCATGAAAGAAAAAAACAGTTTATAATTTAAAAAATCAGTGTTAAGTGGCGTGAAAAATTAATATTGAATACAGAGTAACATCTGGACTAACACATGGAAGTTTCTCATTCAGAAAATGTTCCCCAAACAAGAAACAACCCAAGAGAAAGGTATAGCAAGTATCTCCACATGCCAGACACATCAATCATGTTGCTTCTGAAGAATTGCTCAGGTTTTATTCTCAATCTAATAATTCTTATTTTAAATACATCTTTTAAAAAGCCTTTAGGGGAAAAAAGGGGCTGTTTCTCAAGTCCATGTTTCATTTCAAACTGCTGATTAGAAGGATAAAGACAGGTTGAGTTAGCCATGCACCGACAGCAAGGCTGCTGGAATGCACTCCCCCTGGGCGCAGGCCTGTGGTCCACTTTTTGTGTCTGTCTGTAGTCAGATTGTCAGCCTCCTGTTTTACTGTTTCTGTGTTGTGATGATTAATTTTTTGTGTCAACTTGGCATTTGGTCAAATGCTAATCTAGAGGTGGCTGTGGAGGTATTTTTTTAGGTGTGATTAACATTTTAAGTCAGCAGACAGCCTGGCACAGTGGCTCATGCCTGTAATCCCAGCACTTTGGGAGACCAAGGCAGGAGGATCACTTGAGGTCAGGAGTTCGAGACCAGCTTAAACAACACGGCAAAACCCCATCTCTACAAAAAATACAAAAATTAGCTGGGTGTGGTGGGGCGCCCTGTAATAATCACTTGAGCTGGGAGGCGGAGGTTGCAGTGAGCTGAAATTCAGCCACTGCACTCCAACCTGGGTGACAGAGCAAGACTCTGTCTCAAAAACAACAGCAACAACATTTAAGTCAGCGGACTTTGAGTAAAGCAGATGACTTCAGTAATATGGGTGGGCCTCATCCAATCAGTTGAAGGCCTTAAGAGCAAAACTGAGGTTCCTGAAAGGAGAAGGAATTCTCTTCAAGACTGCAACATGGAAGGCTGGGTGGGGTGGCTCACACCTGTAATCACAGCACTTTGGGAGGCCGGGGAGGGAGGATTACTTGAGGTCAGTAGTTCAAGACCAGCCTGGCCAATGTGGTGAAACCTTATCTCTAATAAAAATACAAAAATTAGTTGGGTGTGGTGGTACATGCCTGTAATCCTAGCTACTCAGGAGGCTGAGGCAGGAGAATCTCTTAAACCTGGGAGGTGGAGGTAGCAGTGAGCAGAGATCATGCCACTGCACTCCAGCTTGGGTGACAGAGTGAGACTCCATCTCAAGAAAAAAAAGAAGAAAAAAAGACTGCAACATGGAAACATGTCTAAATTTTCAGCTTTCTATCTCAAGATTGCAGCATCATCAACTCTTACCTGAATCTCCATCTTTTTATCTCACTCTCAATATATCTATGGATTGAAAATAGATTGATAGATCTCTTATTGGTTCTGTCTCCTTGGAGAACCCTGACTGATATATATGTTTGCATCATATTTAAAAAGATCTTCACGGCCGGGCGCAGTGGCTCACACCTGTAATCCCAGCACTTTGGGAGGCCAAGGCAGGTGGATCATGAGGTCAAGAGATCGAGACCATCCTGGCCAACGTGGTGAAAGCCCGTCTCTACTAAAAATACAAAAAAATATTAGCTGGGCATGGTGGCGGGTGCCTGTAGTCCTAGCTACTTGGGAGGCTGAGGCAGGAGAATCACTTGAACCCCGGAGGCGGAGGTTGCAGTGAACCAAGATTGCGCCACTGCACTCCAGCCTGGAGACGGAGTGAGACTCCGTCTCAAAAAAAATAAAAATAAAAGTAAAAAAATAAAAAGATCTTCACCATTCTGAGATTAGTAAAACAATTTTCTCTCACAATTTCCTTTCACATTTTCATGTTTTCTTTTTTTATTGTTTAATGTTTTATCCATTTGTTTTTTATTTTGGCATAACATGTGATTAAGAATATAACTTTATTTTCTCCCAGATAGGGAAATGCCATTTTGATTTGTACATCTGGCATAACTATAAAGTAAAAAGACTGATTTTATTACACAGTTTGTAAGCTGGTTCAGAGAACAATTATGAAAGAAGAGTTTCAAAAACACTTTGAAGAGTACTATCAGCTTTGAGAAAAGTGGATTACTTCACAGGAAGTACTTTGAAGAACAAAACTCACTCAGATATAGAAGTCTTGAAGTGTTTGCATAAGAAAAGAAAACCAGTAACTTAAGAAGATCTTCATGTCAAACTATATTGCCGAAATTAAACTATTTAAGGAGCTCCTGCACAGGCATTAATCTGGGGCCGAGGAAGCTGTTTTGCCCACCAGCTCTTAATACATTGTGTCTTGTGATTTTCGTTTTGCACCAGAGCAGTGACACACTGACTCAAACCAGTGGGAAACTGCATACACACAATTTCATTCTGCCCTTTATTAAATCCAAACCACACACTGAAAGCCCTTTGGCAAAAGGCAAATGGTACTACTCCAATGGGAAGATGATCTATTGAATGAATGTTTTCAAGATGCTGATTCAAGAGGTATGACTTTTCCTTCCACAAATTTAGTTTGTTCACGATGCTGTTTGAACATTATGAACATTTTAACAGTTTGGAACTAGTTTCCTAACAGAGTAAAAAGAGGAACCCAATCCTGTATCCCCCCCAACAAAAAATACTACTTACAGAGTTTATAATAATGCCTTCGATTTGAATTCAAGGCACAATTCAAAGTCAAATTTTAGCCTCAACAGGTACATTTTTCTCACCAAACTATTTGACATTGTCAAATGAACACACATTCCCGAAAAAAGGGACTCAAATCAAGCACTGAATGTAATACATTTGACATAACCACCAGGCACACACACAGGAGTGAGCACATCCAGTTTCCAATTATTTACGCCATAGCGTGGTCATTGCAGCCTGTCTAACCCTTGGCAGTAGCTTTTTTTTTAATTAACATTTTACAAAAGTAATCAGTTTTTGGAAGAAAAGCCATAGAAATGCACATAAGCACAAGGAAGAAACACCATAATCTTCCCACCCAGGGATGCACACTGTGGGTGTGTTCAGGTGCGTCCTCTTTCTCTCCTGTTCTGCACATTGATTATTTAAACAGATACATGGCCTCCATACTGTTTCTAACCTGCTTTTTCTAGTTAACCACAGATCGGAAACATTTTCCTACATTACAAAATAGTCTTGTATACCAACATCTTAAAAGCTTCAGTACTACATTTTTTTGTATATGTGTAACAGCATGCCTAGCTCTATTAGGAAATAAAATTTTGTTACATAAAGGAAAAACACCAACCTGATTCAATGTTAAATCAGTCAAAACTACTGGATTGACCAGGCGTGGTGACTCATGCTTGTAATCCCAGCATTTTGGGAGGTGGAAGTGGGAGGACCGCTTGAGGCCAGATGTTTGAGACCAACCTGGGCAACATAGTGAGATCCCATCTCTAAAAAAAAAAAATTTTTTTTTTTGAGACAGAGTCTCACTCTGTCACCCAGGCTGGAATGCAGTGGCGCGATCTTGGCTCACTGCAACCTCTGCCTCCTGGGTTCAAGCAGTTCTCCTGCCTCAGCCTCCCGAGTAGCTGGGATTACAGGTGAGTGCCACCACACCCAGCTAATTTTTATATTTTTAGTAGAAACAAGGTTTTGCCATGTTGGCCAGGCTGGTCTCGAACTCCTAGCCTCAGGTGATCCACCCACCTCAGCCTCCCAAAGTGTTGGGATTACAGGAGTGAGCCACTGCACCCGGCCGTCTACAAAAAAAAATTTTTTTTATTAGCTAGGTGCCATGACTCATGTCTGTAGTCCCAGCTACTTAGGAGGCTGAGGCAAGAGGATTACTTGAGCCCAGAAGTTCCAGGTTACAGTGAGCTGTGATCTTGCCAGTACACTCCAGCCTAGGTGACAGAGTGAAACCCTGTCTCTTAAAAAAAACAATGTTTTTAATTAAAATAAAGCTATTGGGTTCCTCTTGCCCCTGTTGAAATGTGGGGTGTAAGAAACTGGTTCTAGGATCAATGCCTAGTCCTGAGCTTCCAGAAGCTGCTGGTGACTGTTGAGGCTTGCCTTTTCTGCTTGTACTCAGACAACTCCTTCTTTCTAGAGACCAGCTGTCTCCAGGCCGTGAGTCTGGAGCGCTGAGAAAGTGCTCTCAAGTCTGGGTCTCTGCTCTTGCTCCCACTGAAAGAGGTCTGGGTGCTATTTGGTCTGCGGGTTGTAGGGGCCAGCAGACTTTTTTTGTTCTTGTTTGTTTGTTTGTTTGTTTGTTTGAGATGGAGTCTCGCTCTATCACCCAGGCTGGAGTGTAGTGGTGCGATTTCTGCTCAATGCAACCTCTGCCTCCTGGGTTCAAGTGATTCTCCTGCCTCAGCGTCCCGTGTAACTGGGATTACAGGCACATGCCACCATGCCCAGCTAATTTTAGTATTTTTAGTAGAGATGGGGGTTTCAGCATGTTGGCCAGGCTGGTCTCCAACTCCTGACCTCAAGTGATCCGCCCGCCTCAGCCTCCCAAAGTACTGGGATTACAGGCGTGAGCCACTGCGTGTGGCTGGGCTGGCAAACTAAACAGCTTCATAACTCTACTGCATAATAGCTTCATGGCAGAGGAGGACAAACTCGCTCCTTAATCCTGCATTGCTTCATCAGTAATAGAGGATAATGATAGTGCCTCGTCAGGCTGCTGTGAACCTTAAGATAGCAAATGTGGAGTTCTCAGTTTAATATCTGCGGGAAAGCTGTCATTACTTGCTGGACAAGACCCTTGTGGTGAATGAATATGTATTGAGATTTTGCAAGGTGTCACAGGGAACACTAAGATAAGCCAGAGGCCTTGCTTTCAAGAAGATGATAACATCCTAGAGGGCAGGAGTCAGTACGGTTTGCAGGCCAAATCTGGCTGCTCCTTGTTTTTGTATAGACCACAAGCTGAGAAAGATTTTTACATTTTAAAATATATTTTTTTAAAGATCAAAAGAAGAATATTTTTGTAATGTAAAATTATATGGAATTCTAATTTCAATGTCCATAAATTTTATTTATTTTTATTTGTTTTTTGGAAACAAGGTCATGCTCTGTCACCCAGGCTGCAGTACAGTGGAGCCATTATAGCTCACTATAGCCTCAGACTCCTGGGTTTAAGGGATCCTCCTGCCTCAGCCTCCCAAGTAGCTGGGACCACAGGCACATGCCATCATGCCCAGCTAATTTTTTTTTTAATTTTGTTTACTTATTTGTTCATTTATTTTGTAGAAATGGGGTCTTGCTTTATTGTTCAGGCTGGTCTCAAACTCCTGGTCTCAAGCAATCCTCCCGCCTTGGTCTCCCAAAGTGCTAGGATTACAGATATGAGCCACCATGCCCAGATACAATGTCCATAAACTAATAACATTCTTTTCATTAGTAGACCTGAAACATTATACTCAGTTATTCTTGTATTTTGAATTTCATCAGTAACAATGTTGTGGAAATCTATTCTCTTTTGTCCTAAAGACATATATAATTGCCTCAATTTTGCCTCTTTTCCCCTAAGCCTAAATATTTACTATCTGACCCTTTACAGGAAAAGTTTGCTGACCCCTAACATACAGGCAAACAGCTCATTATAACATGGGGTACTCTCTCACACAGGTGCCAGCAAACTTAGGAAGTCAGAGAAAGGAGCAATGGGACCCAGTGGGAGGATTAGACACTGGTCTATGGAGAGCACAATGTTTGAGCTGGAAACTAATACAAGCGGTTACCTTTGGGTACATGGGGAGGAGCACAAATTGGGTGGATGAATACAGGAAGAGAAGTGAAGATTTTCACTTTATACCTTTTTACATTTTTAAAAATTTCTAACCATATGAAAACATACACATTTCAAAAAACAAAACTTGAAGTTTGAGCTACACCAGACATATTGGCTGTCGTCCCCCACGGAGAAAGTTCTGTGAAGGGCCCAGGTGAGGAAGGAAGAATGAGAGCCCAAAGCTCGTGGTGAGGACCTGGAAGGATGTCCTTGAGGTGGAAATGGCAGAGCCCGGTATCTACCTTGATGACAAAACCATGCCCTGCTCTCCTGGATGGCAATCCTGTCTGATAAAGCTTTGCTCAAATGTTGAAAGCTGCCATGGTGCAAAGGACACTTAACTGGGGAACGAATCCAAGTGAGTGATCTTTCTGAACACCAGGAAGCTGGCAGAGCTATTAACTAGATTGCTCACTGGTTTTCACGTGTGTCAAACTTCTCATTCTGCAAATGGGCTGTCCCTCTGGCCGGGAATAGGAAATTTGTGGCAATTCTCAGGAGGGAAGGGAACATTCTGTTTCAAACCACCAACCCTACTCTAAGTGGAAAATAATGTAAAACTTATTGTATTTGCAACATTACATTAAGAATGATGCAAAACTTACAAAAAACAGAATTTGGGGTATTTTTGTATAAATGGAACTTGAACACAATTCCATCTAGCAGTTGAACTGGTAAATAAGTTGACAATTTTACTTTCACAAACATTAACTGGAGAGACTACCACAGGAAGGATATACAAGGACCCGGCAAAAGTGAGTTGGCATTGAGGGAGTGAGTCCAGGTGACTGGAGTCAGAGCTTTCCCTTCCACTTTATTAAAAAGGAAAAGGAATTCAAAAGAAATAGGAGGAGGAATTCTGTGTATTAGAAAAAAACAAATGTCGCTGAAGAAGGCTAAACTATCGGGCTGCCACGTAATCCTGTTGACCACACCCCATAACTTGGCACTCACGCCTTCCCTGACTTCTAGGACAATGCTCTCTTCTGGTTCTTCCCTCACCTCTCTGATGTTCCTTCATAGCCCTGTCATAGGCTTTCTCTTCTTCACCCATCCATTAATTCCCACAGCCTTGCCACCCATCCTGGTTCTACCCTTGGTTCATCCCCCTTCTTGTCCTCCCACTACACACTTCATTTTGGACAAACTCATTCACTCCCAAAGGTTGATTCCCCAACTTTGCCCCAAGCTTCAAACAGGTGTACCCAAGTGCCCAGATACTTAATGCTTCTCAGTCTCAATATTCCCACTTCTGAATGCACCTAAAAGCCAAGGGAAGACCATTGGGTTGTGGGAGCAAAGGGAAAATTTTCCTTTGTTCTCTGAAGGTTTGCTGAAAAATCAACTGACAAAAGGTGATTAACAGGAAACAGGCATGTAAAATGTATTTACATGCATGTGTGCCCACAGGAGTCATACACAATATGAACTCAAAGAGGGCCGGATGGTTGAGGCCTAAGTACTCTCTTCATAGGGAAGAGACTTAAGGACCTGGGAGGTGGGAGGCAGGCATTAGGGAAGGTGAGGGATGGGGCTGCACAGGAACAAAAGGTGTCTTATGCAGACAAAATCTCCCAAGTCATCTCTTGGAGCTGGCCTCAAAGGAATAGATGAAAAATCTGTCTGGGTGTGTTGATAACACCCAGCCTCTTCTCTTTCAGTTTATTTTTCCTGGTTACTTGATGGGATCCCTAGGCAGGAGGTCTTAAAACAATTTCATATCCTTTGGAAAGAAGCTTTATTGGCCAGATAAGGAAATTTCAGAGAGCTCTTCTCTGCACTTGATGTAGGTAGGGGGAAGAGGACAAGGTAAGGTTACAGGGACCTTGATTCTTGGGCAGCTTCTAAGTCCTCTCCGCATATCAAAGTGCCAGACTTTGGGGTATTGCTTTCTGAACCCCAGTGGGGGCCTCACAGGGGTCGCTTTCTCCATGTGGGGCTTGGCAGGAAAAGGCTTAAATGGCTTGGGAGACAACAGAGCGTAGTTAGCCTCAGGTGGGGACCAAAATGTCGTGTTCACTACTGTACCTCCCCGTTGGCATAGCGTCAGACAGATGCTACAAATATTTGTTGAGTGGAAGGAAGAGAAAGAGGAAAGAAAGGAGAGAGAGATAGGGAGGATGGGAGGGAGGAAAGGAGAGAGAGAACAAGGAACAATCTTGATCAAATCCTAGCTGTTTACTAAATGTATGACCTTGAGCAAATAACTCAGCCTCCTTGTCCCTGGACCTCAATATCCTTATCCATAAAATGAGGCGCTCTCCCCAGGTCGTTGTGAGGATTGAATGAGACCATATATGTAAAATGCTTAGCAAAGGGCCTGATTCATAACAAGTGGCCCATAAGTGCTACTGTGATGACTATACTCTCCAGGGTCATACAGCCGGTGAGGAGCTGAGGCTACAAATATCCAAGGTCTTTCTCTCTGCTGTTGGAAGCTCCCCTGGCATACCCTGGGTTCTCACTGCCCTAAGAGCCCTTTCCCCTCTGGTGAGCACAAGTTCTGTACTGAAAACTGCCAGCCCCATTGTTTCCGTGAGCTTGAAAACCTCTTCGGAGCAGCAGGCTCTGATACATGCAAAGAAGGAGCAGACAGAACCATTAAGACACACTCAGCCTGAATCACTGTCCTCCTCAGCAGGGCTTTGCGGCAGCCTGAGGAGATACTGTTCTCAGCCACTGGACCAGATTGCTCAGGGAGCAGGAGGATGCAGGAAGCACAGGCCACCCGCTCCTGCTGTTACTGACCTAGTTTGGACCGCTTTGCTGGGAATGTGAAGCCAAACCAGATGGAGGGACACCAGGAACCGCTGATGCTAGCTGGAGGGATAGGAGCTCGGGCTCCAGGGAGCTCAGACTTCGGGGCATTCCAGGGCTTGATTTGGGGCACAGAGTGCTCACTTGGTGGGGGGGGATGGCAGTCGTCTTAGTCAGCCCGGCTGCTATAACAAAACACAACAGACCAGGCGGCTTACATAACAGTAGTTTCTTGCCATTCTGGTTACTGGGACATCCAAGCTCAAGGCTCTGGCAGATTCGATGTCTGGGGAGGGTCTTCCTCCTGTTTCCTGGATTATACCTCCTCACCGTGTCCTCACGGGGCAAAGAGAGGAAGCCAGCTCTCTGGTGTCCCTTCCTATAAGGACACCAATCCCGCTATGAGGGCCCCACCCTCAGGACCCCATCTAATTCTAATCACCTCTAAAGGCCCCACCTCCCAATACCATCACATTAGTGGGGAAGGTTTTGAATTATGAATTTTGGAAGGACACAATGGTTCTGTCCCTGTGGCAGGTAACAACCTTCCTGGCCTCCATGTGGTCTTGACCATCCTGACCACAGACAGAGGCCTCTCAGTGAGGGGCAGTTATGGCATAGTAGCAAAGAGAGCAGAGCCTGCAGCCAGACTGCCTGGGTGTGAAGGTTGAGTCTGCCTCTTGACAGCTGTGTAATCTTGGGCCAGCGATATAACTTCTCCACACCTCAGTCTCTGCATCTGTAAAGTGCAGGTGACAATAACAGGACTTAACGTCATAAGGGTGTTAGATGTGAATCCATGTACAGCATTTACATAGAAAGGTGCCTGGATCATCATCAGCACTGCATAAGTGGTTGCTGTCAAAATCTTACTATGTCACCAGATAAGCCAGTTTAATGCTGGTGACGGGACAACCAAGGGCACAGAGTTCTTAATGTTTGCCCAAGGCTTGGGAGAGCGTAGGAGTGGTGACTGAAAGAAGGCTCTCATCTCTGTGCTCCCTCATCCTTACTATGAGACCCTGCACGTGGCACCTCATCTTTCTGAGCCCCAGTTTCCTCCTGAAAATGAAAATAATAGCTTCACTCTGCCTAAATCGCAGGGTTCTTTGATGACTAAATGAGTTAGCATTCATGAAAAATGTTTGAACACTCCAGAATGCCAAGTGTGATGACCAGCCTGAGACTCCTTTTGCCTCTAGGGATGGCCGTGCCATCAGCGGGTGGATGAGCCCAGACCCCAACACTGGCAATTCATTCCTCACCTCTTCCCATGCCCTTGGAAGTGGCAAAGCGTGTGCACGTGAGCACCTATGTTGGAGTGATGAGACAAGCCAGCGGAGACAGTGGATCAGAGAACACTGAATCAGCTGGGAACGTGGGAGTTGAGTGGGTGGGCCTGGAGAGTCATGCATTTGTCATTTTCTATTGAACAAAGGTACAAGCAAATATAAAAATACCTAAGGAAGACACATGACTATTATTAAAAGTTTAATGGCAAAATTCTTCCAGCTCCTCTTTGTTTCAAAGTGGAAAGAGTCACTTCGAGATGGACATTTGCATCCCTTCCATAAGGAAAGAGAACAGCCCCAGGTCCTCCTTGGAGTGCAGATTATGATCTGGAGGCATGGGTTTGTGCACGATGCCTTCCAGCATTAGAGAGGGGATGAGCCATGTATGTATTTCTCCACAACAAACCTCATCAAAGGAGTATCAACTGGCTGGGGCTGCCATTACAAAGTACCATAGCCTGGGAGGCTTAAACAACAGACATTTATTTTCTCACAGCTCTGGGGGCTGGAAGTCCAAGATGAACATGCCGGCAGAGTTTCTTCTCCCAAGGCCTCTCTCTTTGGCTTGTAGATATCCCCCTTTTCCCTGTGTCTTCACACCATCTTCCCTCTGCATATCTCTGTGTCTAAACCTCCTCTTCTTATAAGGACACTAGTGGTATTGGATAAGGGTCTGCCTTAATGACCTCATTTTAATTCATGTACCTCTTTAAAGACCCAGTCTCCAAACACAGTCACATTCTGAGGTGCTGGGGGTTAGGACTCCAAAATGTGATTCTGGAGGGGGACACAATTCAGTCTATAACAGAAGGCAAGGGCTTTATTTCTGGCATCTATTCCACATCATGCTATAAGCCCAATATAATTATCCACAGCTACAGAAGCTTAGCACAATCATGGGCATGATCCGGCATAGCTTCTTGAGCACTGCAGAGCAGTGTGGTGACTGGGGACAGGGACTGAGGGTGAGAGGCAGGAGGAGGGTACAGCTTCCTGTGCCCCTGAGCGTGCAAGGTAGAGTCTAGCTGAGTCTGAGCAGCTTGATCTTGTCATCTGCCATGGGCATGTTATACCTGAACTCTCAACACTTCTCAGGAAGAACTTACACAAACAACCTCTACACTTAATGCTTCCATTTAAAGAAATATTTGCAAACATCAGACTTCTGTTTCCTGAACAAACTCAGCATCAGCAAGACCACATCCTTGTCTGCATAAAATAGAAGAGTCGGGGCCAAGGGGCCCTGCGAAGCATACATATCTCTGTCTCCAGTTTCCCAGCACAGACAGAATAGGAAGATGTAAAATTCAAATTAATTTAGTCCACCAACCTGTGACAGCCTTCAGCTGTCATACCCTGACTTACAAAATAACTCACCTCCTGTGGACTGGATGTCCCAGGACCACTTGTACTCTAATACTCTGTGACTTTAACAAGAGTTACATAAAGCAACAGAGGCAATGAAAGTTTCATTCTTCCTTCCTTCATTCACTCATTCAACAAGTAATACTCAAGCAACTCCTATGTGCTAGGTGTCCTGGGGGAGGAGCAAAGATTTCAGAGGAGGCTGCCTGTAGGAAGTGGCATTTGAGTTTGCTTTTGCACGCAGGCTAAGACTTTGGTGAGCAGATGAAATTCCAAGTGGAAGGATGAATAAAAGCCAGGAAATAGGAAAGACAAAACCTAGTTACAATCAATGAGTAGGTAAGTTCTGATATGTAGAGAAAGACCATTGCGTCAGGAAAGAGTGGGCCAACCATCCAGATGTGTAGGCAAGAAGCTGATGTGCCTAAGAGAGAAGACTCTCCACCTCGCCTTCTGTTCTTCACTTCCGACAGGCTTAAAGTCAACCTGCAGAGATCAAGGAGAGGCGGGGAAGAATGAGGAGGGAGGCAGATGGTTCTTCCTTCCGATGAAAGGATGGAGGGAGGAAGGAAGCAGTGACGATTACAAGCTGTTTGACTATAAACAGCACAAGTAGTCTTCTAGTTGGAATCTCGGTAGCTCTTGTTCTGGCCATTCTAAGTGGGCGTCTGCATTTGTGTGGGGGAAAGTGACATGACTGCCTATTTTTGAACATTTAAATCTGTCACTGGTTGAGTGATTTTGTTTCATGCCACTCACAGGATGAAGAGGATTGCTCATGCTGATACTGCCTTGCCAGCATCAATGGGTGGAAACCAAGGGAAATGTATGGTGTACTCCACTATGGCCTCTAACATGGGAATTAGTGCCTATGGAAAGACTCCCTAAAATAGAATCACAAGGGAATATCATTGACTGCCTAAAGTATGCTAGGGTGAGGGGCAATGAAGAGGGGACTGTGGCTGCCCAACTATACCCTGAGAGGACTGAACAGTTTTCCAGGGCAGCTGGATTTTTTTTTTTTTGCTCTGTCACCCAGGCTGGAGTGCAGTGGCACCATCACTGCTCACTGCAGCTTCAACCTCCCCAGCTCAAGCAATCCTCCCACCTCAGCCTCCTAAGTAACTGGGACCACAAGTGTACACCACCACTCCTGGCTAATTTTTTTCTTTCTTTTTTTTTTTTTTTGTAGAGATGGAGTCTCACTACATTGCCTAGGATGTCTTCAACCCCTGGGCTCAGGCAATCTTCCTGCCTTGGCCTTCCAAAGTGCTGCAATTGCAGGTGTGAGCCATTGTGCCCGGCCAGGGGCAGCTGGATTTTTGAAGAAAGAGGGGGCTTCTTGTTTAATCCTGTCGGTCAGGCACCTCCTTCTTGTTTGTTTGCAGGATTCGGCACTTTCAAGGCACTCAAGAACTGTAAAGGGAAGCTTGTAAAATGCTGTGTCCCTTCTGTAGTATGAAGAAAAACAAAAGGAGTGGTTTGTGCCAAGAAAATGAGTGAGGTGCTACCTCAGAAAGACCAAGGATACTGTTCGTGTAGGTTGTTTTGAGAATTCAAAATGCTACTTAAAGTATATTATTTTCTAAAAATGCCTTTGCCAATAAATGTTGGGCTTTGAGGAAAGGAATCTAAAAATATTAGAGCTAGATTAAAAATGACTAAAAAGACATGACAATTGAATACAGTATGTGACTGGATCTTTCACTACAGAGCAAAAAAGTGCTATAAAGAGCATTCTGGATACTAGACCCTTATCAAAACCACAATGAGACATCACTTCACACTCACTAGGATCGCTACAACCAAAGACAGATAATAACAAGTGTTGACAAGGATGTGGAGAAACTGGAGACTTCACACATTGCTGGTGGGAATATAAAATAGTGCAGCGGCGGCCGGGCATGGTGACTCACGCCTGTAATCCCAGCACTTTGGGAGGCCAAGGTGGGTGGATCACGAAGTCAGGAGATTGAGACCATCCTGGCTAACACGATGAAACCCCGTCTCTACTAAAAATACAAAAAATTAGCCGGGCGTGGTGGCGGGCGCCTGTAGTCCCAGTTACTCGGGAGGCTGAGGCAGGAGAATGGCATGAACCTGGGAGGCGGAGCTTGTAGTGAGCCGAGACTGTGCCACTGCACTCCAGCCTGAGCAACAGAGCTAGACTCCATCTCAAAAAATAATAATAATAATAAAATAAAAAAATAAAATAGTGCAGCGGCTTTGGAAAGCAGTCCAGCATTACAGTTTATTATAAAATAGAGTTATTATATAACCCAGCAATTACACTGCTAGGTAAGAACACATATGTCCAGACAAAAACTTGTACATATTTGTCTGCATTATTCATAATAGCCAACAAGTAGAAACAACCCAAATGTACATGAACTGACAAATGGATAAACTGTGGTACATCCAGACAATGGAATATTACTCAGCAATAAAAAGAAATGAGCTACTAAGCCATGAAAAGACACAGAGGAACCTTAAATGCATATTGCCAAATGAAAGAAGCCAATCTGAAAAGGCTACATACCCTATGATTCCAACTATATGACACTCCAGAAAAGGCAAAATCGTAACTGCTTCAGATCCACCTGGGTCAACTTTTTTTTTTTTTTTTTAATGGAGTTTCACTCTTTGTTGCCCAGGCTGGAGTGCAATGGCACAATCTCAGCTCACTACAACCTCCGTCTCCCGGGTTCAAGTGATTCTCCTGCCTCAGCCTCCCAAGTAGCTGGGATTACAGGCACACACCACCATGCCCAGTTAACTTTTTTGTATTTTTAGTAGAGACAGGGTTTCACTATATTGGCCAGGCTGGTCTTGAACTCCTGACCTCAGATGATCCACCCGCCTCGGCCTCCCAAACTGCTGGGATTACAGGCGTGAGCCACTGGGACTGGCCCCACCTGGGTCAACTTTTAAGTAATAAAGTTGTGAGTTGCTTTTCAGTTGCCATCGACCCTCATGTAACCTGAGCATGCCCAGATGAACCAAGTGTGTAACCACAAGGGGAACCTAAGTGCTTGGACCAAGGGGAGGGGACCAAATTAAGAAGCGGACAGCACCTGGCAGGATCCAGGATCCAATCAGATCAAGCTCTGGCATTACCCCATGGCAGGACCCAATTATATTATGCCTCCTGGCATCACCTCATTGCAAGATCCAATCAGGTCACACCTCATTATCCTATGATTACAAAATCTGACCCAGCCCCCCGGGGAGACAATGATTTGGGAACTATTCCTGGTATTCTCCTTACTTGTTACAAGAAATAAAATTCCCTGGCTAAATCCTCCTTGGTTATGGTCATTGGGTTGATAATCTGCCAAGTACTAAGCTGCCAAACTCACCCACTGTGGGTAACAAGACTATAGAGACAGTAAGAAGATCAGTGGTTTCCAAGGGTTCAAGGTGTAGGTAGAGCACAGAGGATTTTTAGGGCAGTGAAATCATTCTGTATGATACTGTAATTGTGGATTCAGGTCCTTACACATTTGTCAAAACAAAAGACAGAACCCTAAGGTCAACTGTCAACTTTGGTTAATAATGATGTCTCAGCGTAGGTTCCTCAATTGTAACAAATGTACCATCCTGCACAAATCTTGCTGGATGTTGCTAGTGGGGGAGTGTATGTATGTGTGGGGGCAGAGGATATATGGGAACTCTCTGTACTTGCTACTCAATTTTACTGTGAACCTGAAACTGTTCTTAAAAATAGAGTTTAGTAAGCCAGGTGAGGTGGCATGTGCCTTTAGTCCCACCTACTTGGGAAGCTGAGGCGAGAGGATCATTTGAGCCGGGGAATTTGAGGGCAGCCTGTGCAACACAGCAAGCTCTTCCTCACTACATAAGTAAAATAAATGCAGCTAAAAAAAAAAGAAAAAGAAAACAAAAGTGGAAGGAGGCCCCAGGCCAAGGAACACAAGCAGCCTCTAGAAGCTGGAGATGACAAGGAAACATTCTCCCCTAGAGCACCAGAGGGAACACAGCCATAGGGATATCTTTATTTATTTTTTATTTTTTATTTTTTTCTTGAGACAGAGTCTCACTCTGTCACCCAGGCTGGAGTGCAGTAGCGCCATCACGGCTCACTGTAGCCTCAACCTCCTGGGCTCAAGCAATCTTCCTGCCTCAGACTCCCAAGTAGCTGGGACCACAG
Source organism: Homo sapiens (assembly GCF_000001405.40). Lineage (NCBI taxonomy): Eukaryota > Metazoa > Chordata > Mammalia > Primates > Hominidae > Homo > Homo sapiens. Next base: position 27,289,827 of record NC_000013.11, on the reverse strand, counting down.
GCACACACTACCACACCCAGCTAATTTTTGTATTTTTTGTAGAGACAGGGTTTTGCCATGTTGCCCAGGCTGGTCTTGAACTCCTGAGCTCAAGTGATCCACCTGCCTCAGCCTCCCAAATTGCTGGGATTACAGGTGTGAGCCACTGCACCTGGCCGACGTCTTGCTTTAAGCCCAGTGAGACCCATTTTGGACTTGTGACCTCCAGATGTGTGAGATAATACATCTGTGTTATTCAAAGCCACCATGTCTGTGGTAATTTGTTATAGCAGCCATAGAAAACAAACACAATAGCATTGTTTCACTAAATGCACCATGGTTATATAAGATAATAACAATAGAAGCTCAGTGAAGACCACACAAGAAGCCTCTGTGCTATCTTGGGAATGCTTCTGTAATCTAAACTTATTTTAAAATTAAAGTGTTCTTTTAAAGAGGCTAGGATTTGCCAAAAATAAGCAGGTAAGGCTGTTACTGAACTGAACTGGCCCCATTTGCCCACACACTTTGGAAAGCCAAACACTGAACCGAGTTTCTGTAGAAAGAGTAGTTTATTGCAAGGCTGCCAAACAGGGAGACAGGAGTCAGCCTCAAGTCTGTCTCCCCAGTCTGGGAGTTGGGGCAGGTCTGATAGTTAGAGGGTAATGAGGCATGATCTGACTGGATCCTGGATCCTGCTGTCTGGTTTCTGCTTCCTTTTTTTTTTTTTTTAGAGTGAGACAGAGTCTCACTGTGTCACCCATGCTGGAGTGCAGTGGCACAATCTCAGCTCATTGCAGTCTCTGCCTCCTGAGTTCAAGCGATTCTCATGCCTCAGCCTCCCAAGTAGCTGGGATTACAGGCACGTGCCACCAAGACCAGCTAATTTTTGTATTTTTAGTAGAGACAGGGTTTCACTATGTTCAAGCCAGGCTGGTCTTGAACTCCTGACCTCAGGCGATCCGCCTGCCTCAGCCTCTGAAAGTGCTGGGATTACAGGCGCATGCCACCACACCCAGCTAATTTTTGTATTTTTAGTAGAGACAGGGTTTCACTATGTTCAGGCCAGGCTGGTCTTGAACTCCTGACCTCAGGTGATCCACCTGCCTCAGCCTTCGAAAATGCTGGGATTACAGGCATGAGCCACCATACCTGGCCAGGTTTCTGCTTCTTAATTCATTCCCTGTTCCTTGGTCTGAGCAATTAGGTCCTGCCTGTGGTTGCGCACTTGGTTTATCTGGGCACGCTCAGGTTACATGACCTTCAACCTGGAAAAACAACTCACAACTTTGTTACATAAATGTGGAGTCAGATTGGTCGGATGCAATTACAAGACTCATGGCCTGGGTCCCAAGCAGCAGGCAATGGAGACTTTCCCCTCCCAATTCTATCCCACCTCCTTATGACAAGGAGCCCTGACACAGAAACCAGAAAGAAAACCAAGAGTTTCCTGAAGGGACTACCCAAAGGGAACCTAACCAACTGATGATGCGCCAGTTTTAAAGAAGAGGCAACTCCTTTGCAGCAGGGACTGCGTGCCCCTTGCAAGAGAGAAATTGAGTCATTATTCAAAGATTAGAGTTTGAGCAGTAATGAAGTAGAAAATGTGCTAAACATCTGGCACAAGATCAACAGATACTGGTTATGGACAATGATGATGCTCTGCCAGCCCTATGTAGTGTCATTTAGTAAGCATAGCAATGGTTTCTAGACATATATATGTATGTATATATATAATATATATACACATATATGATATATATACATATATCATATATATGATATATATACGTATATACATATATCATATATATGATATATATACGTATATACATATATCATATATGTGATATATATACGTATATACATATATCATATATGTGATATATATACGTATATACATATATCATATATGTGATATATATACGTATATACATATATCATATATGTGATATATATACGTATATACATATATCATATATGTGATATATATACGTATATACATATATCATATATGTGATATATATACGTATATACATATATCATATATGTGATATATATACGTATATACATATATCATATATGTGATATATATACGTATATACATATATCATATATGTGATATATATACGTATATACATATATCATATATGTGATATATATACGTATATACATATATCATATATGTGATATATATACATATATGTACATATATTGTGTGCGTGTGTGTGTGTATGTGTAACTATTCCTTGGATTGAGAAAAGTAGAGTCTTAACAAACTAGATTTTCCATTTTAAAAGTTATATTATTGCCGGGGACAGTGACTCGCGCCTATAATCCCAGCACTTTGGGAGGCCAAGGTGAGCAGATGGCTTGAGTCCAGGAGTCTGATACCAGCCTGAGCAACATGGCAAAACTTGTCTCTACAAAAAATACTAAAATTAGTTGGGCATGGTGGTGGGTTCCTGTAGTCCCAGCTACTTGGGAAGCTGAGGTGGGAGGATCACTTGAGTCCAGGAGTTTGAGGCTGCGGTAAGCCATGACTGTGCCACTGCACTCCAGCCTGGACAACGGAGTGAGATCCTGTCTCAAAACAACAACAACAACAACAAAAAGTCATATTATGATTATTAAGAAATTAAGCAATTTTACCAAGATTTATTAATCTTGGTAAATCTTACTAATCTTGCTTGGTACCAATGTTACCAAGCAACATTACCAAGATAAAAAAGCATTAACATTAAATTCTAAGCTATTTGCATCACCCAGCCTGCCCTTCAGCATGAGGAATATCACACACTCCATGATTACTTCTACCCCAGGGCTTTCAAAAGGACTCAGTCGGCATCGCGCCCCTCCCACCTCCCAAATCTCTCGCCCTGACTTATCTTCTGAGCTGAGGGCATCTTCGAATCTCTTCAATTCAACTTCCTCTTCCACCCAGCCCCTCTGCTGGGGTACCTTCCACTGGAACAGAATGTTTCTTTCCATCCAGTTCTGCACTCGGAAGTTTGGGTCATCTTCAAGACCTCTGTCTCCTTTGCTCCAACCTCTAGGTTATAGACACCTCTCTCCTGCGGACTCTCCTTTTAAACTGTCACTCCTGCATCTGCCTCATCCCGTCTGTTCTCTCTGCCACGGCCGTAGTCCAGGGGACTTTTTATTTTATTTATTTATTTATTTATTTATTTATTTTATTTTATTTTTTGAGACGGAGTCTTGCTCTGTCGCCCAGGCTGGAGTGCAGTGGCATGATCTCTGCTCTCTGCAAGCTCCGCCCCCCGGGTTCACGCCATTCTCCTGCCTCAGTCTCCCGAGTAGCTGGGACTACAGGAGCCCACTACCATGTCCGGCTAATTTTTTGTATTTTTAGTAGAGATGGGGTTTCACCGTGTTAGCCAGAATGGCCTCGATCTCCTGACCTCGTGATCCGCCTGCCTTGGCCTCCCAAAGTGCTGGGATTACAGGCGTGAGCCACCATGCCCAGCTATTTATTTATTTATTTTTGAGATGGATTCTCACAATGTCGCCCAGGCTGGAGTGCAGTGGCGGGATCTCAGCTCACTGCAACCTCCACCTCCTGGGTTCAAGTGATACTCCTGCCTCAGCCTCCCCAGTAGCTGGGATTACAGGCATCTGCCACCACGCCTGGCTAATTTTTGTATTTTTAGTAGAGACAGGTTTTTTGCCATGTTGGCCAGGCTTGTCTCAAATTCCTGACCTCAGGTGATCCACCCACCTCAGCCTCCCAAAGTGCTGGGATTACAGGCATGAGCCACTGTGCCCAGCCTTCAGGGTACTTTTGAGATGGCCACAGTTTCCTCTTCTCTCTAACACATTCTGCTGTATTGGCTGCCCCTGGGGCTTCCACTGCCTCTTTCCTGTCTTGGAAGGACATCAATGCTCTTCACAATCTGGACGCAGACTTGCCTTCCCTCCCACTGAGTCTCTCTTATATGTGTCCGCACCAAACCAAAGGACCTGCACCTTGGAGAATGCCCAGTCACATCAGTACCTGGTACTCTGAGCACAGGCCACTGTCTCTGGCTGGAAGCTCCCCGCCTACCCGACCCCTGACATGTTCCTCAATTTGGGAGCCACATTCAGTGCCTCCTTCTCTCAGATGCTCACTTTAACCCCTCCTGTCAGAAAGACTGGAGCCCCCTTGTGGACCACCCACTCTGCTCCCAGGGCACATTGCTCTTCCTTTCTTGGGCTTCTTTGTGGGTCAGCCTTGTATTCCGTGATTTGAGCATCAATCTTAGCTTCTTTACTAAAGTTCAAGCTCCCTTGGGGCAATGTTTATTTACAGATCCAGCAGAAAGGCTGGCTTGTGGTTTATGACAGCGTCTTGTTAAAGCAGTAGCAAAGAAGGCCAGGCACGGTGGCTTACGTCCGTAATCGCAGCACTTTGGGAGGCCGAGGCGAGTGGATCACCTGAGGTCAGGAGTTCGAGACCAGCCTGGCCAACATGGTGAAACCCCGTCTCTACTGAAAATACAAAAATTAGCCAGGTGTGGTGGCAGGTGCCTGTAATCCCAGCTATTCAGGAGGCTGAGGCAGGAGAATCACTTGAATCTGGGAGACAAAGGTTGCAGTGAGCCTGGGCAACAGAGCGAGACTCTGTAACAAAAAAAAAAAAAAAAAGCAGTACCAAAGAATGCAAGATTGGCAGGCAACGTCACAGGCCTTGGGTCTCAGCTCTGCGGCTCCCTAATTGTATGACCTGGGGAAAGTCTGTCAGCTGCCATGTGCCTCAATTTGCATATCTGTAACATCAGGATGATAAATACATACCTCACAGGTCTGTTGTAGGATAAAATGAGTTAATCCAGAAATAAAACTCTTCAGAACAGTGTCTGACACATGTCAAGTGCTCAGTAGGTTTTGGGTATTATTATTCTTGGGCCCCAGCTGGAATTGCTGTGTCAGGATCTCTCTCTTATTTTTTTTTTTTGAAACGGAGTTTCGCTCTCATCACCCAGGCTAGAGTGCAATGGTGCGATCTAGGCTCACTGCAACCTCTGCCTCCTGGGTTCAAGTGATTCTGCACCCTCAGCCTCCCGCGTAGCTGGGATTACAGGCATGTGCCACCACGCTCTGCTCTGCTAATTTTTGTATTTTTAGTAGAGATGGGTTTCCCCATGTTGGCCAGGCTGGTCTCGAACTCCTGACCTCAGGTTATCTGCCTGCCTCGGCCTCCCAAAGTGCTGGGATTACAGGCGTGAGCCACTGCACCCAGCCTGTGTCAGGATCTCTGACAGTGCATTTAGACAAGTGTGATTCTACTACATGCTAGATTCTGTGGAGCATTAATGTAACCTCAACCTTTCATTTTATAAATGAAGAATTTAAGGGCCAGGTAGGCGAAATAACTTACCCAAGTTCCAAAAGGACTTGCATAATCCACTATCTAGTCTACCTTTCACAGGTTTGAACAGCTCCAGCAGCACCAATCAAGTTTGATTTTCAGATGCCTTTCCCACCCCACCCAGGGGTGCTTTGATCTCAGGGCCAGGCTAGAGGGCACCAGAGCCCATGGAACTGGCACAGAAAGGAAGCCCAGCTTTGGCCACTACACCCAACTCCTTTTACATCTCCAGATAGAGAACCAGAGCCCATGAATTACCACTTCTCTCATTTCCTCCATCCCAAGCTCCCCACATTCATAAATGAGGATGACATTGACCATCAGATGTGTTCTCCAGTCTGACCACACCCAGCTGAGGCTGGGGACCTTGCTGTGATTGGTGTGGGTGACTCAGGAGATGCTGAGACAGGCGCCCTGGAGTCTCCAGGCTTCTCGGGCCCAGAAACAGAGAAGCCACTGAGAAGACACAGGACAATGCCATTGGGGAGCAAACATCCACTTCCTTTTCTAGCCAGACTTGAAAGAAAATCACCCCTTCTCTTTTTCGTCCCATACAAACCTGCAAAAACCCAAGAAACTCTATCTTACAATATTCTCAGCTCCTTAAATAAATTGTAATTTTCGGTCAGACAAGAGCCGCCATGCTAAGGAGTGCATTTCTCTGTCACATGGTGGAAGTGAATGAAGGGATATGGTTAAGTTCAGCGCCCTTGCCTTAAAGGAAGAAAGTCTGGCTCAGGCACGGTGGCTCACGCCTATAATCCCAGCACTTTGGGAGGCTGAGGCGGGTGGATCACCTGAGGTCAGGAGTTCGAGAGCAGCCTGGCAAACATGGTGAAACCCCATCTCTACTAAAAATACAAAAAATTAGCCGGGCGTTGTGGCAGCACCTGTAATCCCAGCTACTCGGGAGGCTGAGGCAGGAGAATCTCTTGAACCCGGGAGGCAGAAGTTGCAGTGAGCCAAGATTGCACCACTGCACTCCAGCCTGGGCAACAGAGCGAGACTCTGTCTCCAAAAAACAGGAAGGGAGCCTGCTCTTGCCCTGCCCTTTCCAGCCCCCTTTCTGCTACCAGGAATGTGGACGTGGCTGAGAGCCATCGTGAGGGTGGCACCTGGGAAAGGCAGAGAGACAGAGAGGGGGTGCCAGGGCCCCCAAGAATCCCCAGAGCGGAGCATCAGTGCCCAGCTTACCTGCATGTGTGGGAGAAAGACACTTGTCTCTTATGGGAGCCATTTGGATTTCATATCAGCTAAACCACACTCTAGTCTAGAATTCAGGAATCCAGTACAGAGTCCCATTTTCTTCTGCTCTGGGCTGCCCGAGCCTGGCAGCGAGGCATGGATTTGGATTCTGAAAGAGCACTGGCTTTAGATTCAGAGAGATTCAGGCGTTAATGTGGGCTCTGACATTTACTACCTGTACCAGTTTGCTAGTGTTGCAGTAATCAAGTACCACAAACTTGGGGGCTTAAACAACAGACATTGTCTCCTGGTTCCAGAGGCCGAAGTCCAGAATCAAGGATTGGTAGGGCTGTGCGCCTTCTGGAGGAGCTAGGAAAGGATCTGCTCCCGGCCTCACTCCTGCCTTCTGTGGTTTCCTTGGCTTGTGTACACATCACCCCTTCATCTCTGCCTTAATCTTCACGTGGCATTCTCCCCCAGTCTCCTCATGTAGGCTTCCCTCTGTCTCTGTGTCCAAATCTTCCTTTTTTATAAGGACACCAGCCACATTGGATTAGGACCCACCCTAATGACCTTGTTGTAATTTAACTATCTCTGTAAAGACCCTAACTCCAAATACGGCTGTACTCCGAGGTCTTGGGGGCTGTGCATATCTATTTTGGGATAACACAACTCAATCCACCATAATAACTCTCTGCACTAACAGACTTTGGTTGTTAACACCCCAGTTAAAAATCTCAGTTTCCCCAGTAGAAGCCCCCAGCACACACCTTGGAGCTGGTCACTGCAGTTGTCATGTTTACACTTGAAAGTAGGTGCCACCTCCCATCAGCCAATCACCACTAAATATGTGTGGTGGCCTTTGCTGTTTTTTCTGGCTACTCTCGGTCTCCAGACCCCCTTTGCCTTATGATCCTGGGTGACCGGCAGGGCCCCTCTACCACAAAGATGATACAAATGCCAGATATTTAGGATCTCAGCCTCCCTTAGAGCTGCACAGCCTCCACTGTGGTCCTCCAGCTATCTCAGTCAGTGACTCTGTGAGTTACTCAACAGCCTTTTAATATAACCCCTTTTCACTAAATCAGCCAGTCTGTTCTATTGCTTGCAAGTGACAGCCTTGACAGATACCATATAATATTCAACGTCCAAATAGTTGATTAGGAGAGTGGTAGCAGCTTCCAGATGATCCATGAGGATGCATACAGTAAGACAATTGGCTTGGAAGCCACACAGTATAGTGGCTTTCGAGTCAGGAAGACTCAGATTCAAATCTCAGCTGTGCCACTTACTAGCTGAGAAACCATGAGAAAGTGAACTAGCCTCTTTGAGCCTCATTTTCCTCCTCTGTGAAATGGTGATTATAGTAAACTACTTAATAGAATTGTTGGGGGAATTCAACGAGATAATGCAGCTAAAACCCATACTGCATATGATTATTCATTTTATGTGTCAACTTGACTGAGCCATGGAGTGCCCAGATATTTTGTCAAACATTATTCTGGGTGTGTCTGTGAGGGTGTTTTTGGGTGACATTAACACCTCAATTCAGCAGGCTGAGTAAAGCAGATGGCCCTCTCTCATGTGTGTAGGCTTCTTCCAATCATTTGAAGGCCTGAATAGAACAAAAAGGTTAACCTCCCCTAAGCAAGAGGGAATTCTGCCAGCAGATGGCCTTTGGACTTGAATTATACCATCAGCTCTGGTTCTCCAGCTTGCTGAATGCAGATCTTGGAACTTGTCAGCCTCCATAATTGCATGAGTCAATTTATTATGATAAATTTCTTTCTATATCTATGTCTTTACCTATACCTGTTACCAATATTGACGTCCATATAGGCATAGCTATAGATATAGACATAGACAGATAGATATGGATATAGATTAGATATAGATACAGATATAGATATCTCCTATTGTTTGTTTCTCTGAAGAAGGCTAACACACTGTGACACATGGAACAATAGTGTATACTTAGTAACTATGGCAGCTAATTGTGGTTGTTAATTTTATTATGATGCTACAATGTGGCCAGCATACAGGGCCCCAGCCACAGCCCCTCAAACACTGTGGCAGCATCCTCATATTTTCCCCAAGTGTGGGGAAAATCAATGGCCTTTCTTTTTAAACTCTGAACCTGTTACCTCTCTCTTGCCTCTCCCAGCACATAGACAGGTGCATGTGCACACATACGGCATGCAATTCCTGGAGACAGTGCTGGATAAGATCAATGGAGGGGGCAGGAGTGGGAGGGGGAATGCTTTGAGCTCTCAAAGGTGCATTGCAAATTTCTGCTCTGGCATAGTAACCATTCACTCCCACAGCCCTGGGACACGGGGATGACATTCGGTCACCTCCTCCTCTTCACAAGATGCTAACCTGCTGCCTCCTAGACAAAAGAAAGCACATGAACCACCAAGGGCTGCCGTAGAGGCTGCCTCTCAGGGCTCTGGTAAGAGAAGAGAGAATGTGGCCAGTGGGAGGGTGTCCCTGGGGCCCGTTGATGTAGATAATACCCACTACCCCCATCTCCAGCCCACTATGCCCATCCTAGAATGGCTTTCAAAGGGGTGACTCAAGGTCACCTGGCCATGGAGAAGGACTCAGCTCTGCCAAGTGGTACTGAGGCAGTCTGGACGCAGCTTGGCTGGATCAACTCACCCAGCACCCAGCCTCATGGCAGGACACCCAGCAATTCCTGTCTTCTTCCCATCAAGGCTTTTGCTGTCCAAGTCTGACTGCCCCTTGGATAAACAAGAAGCCTGGAACAAGTCCAGACCAGGGTCTTGCTCACAGGCTTCAAAGCTGGACGTCAGGTATCAATGCCAACCAGGAAGTTTGCTGAATTGCAAGTTCCCCACCAACCACAGCTCAAAAACATAGCAACAGAACCCCTGGGGCTAGACCCTGAAGCTGCATTTTTTACAAGTTCCCCACAAATATGTCAGCAGGCACAAAGACCTGGGCAGAGGAAACAGCCTGAGCTGCGGGGGATTATCTTCCCTTCCTGGAGCCAGAAATCCTGGTTTCTGGGCTCATATGACTTTAGGCCATTCATTGCTTGACTTCTCTGGGCCTCAGTTTCCTAATCTGAAATATGGGAGACACTTTTTTGGGGCATATGTGAAAAAACAAAATATGCTGAAACAGGGAAACTTCCCTTGTCCCCCTCACAGGGCATGTGACGGGGGAGTGGCTCACTTCTTCAGTGCCCCACTGCTCAAACCTCTAGGGGAGCATACAGACAGGCAGGCTGTGGGGCTCTGACCCCACGACAGTGTCTAGATGCGAACGTTTACAGCTAAAGGCCCAATGGGCGTGTGTTACAGGGTGCTTTTTTAGTTTGCCGTCTATAGGCGGCTTCTGTTAGCTCAATTAGACCCCTGCCTTATCGCAAGGACAGAGGGCTTTCTGTATGCCGGGGTTTCCTGCCTTGGTGTACTGGAAGAATCGGATCACAGGTGGGCTTGGAGAATGAGTGCAAGGTTTTATTGAGTGGAAGTAGCTCCCAGCAAATGGGGGAGCCAGAAGGGAGATGGCTTTTCCCTGCAGTCAAGCTGGCCCGGGCTCTCCTCCAACTACCCCAGCCAAACTCAGTGTTATTCTGCTGGCCTGCCGGAGAGCAGGTGCCTATGGGTGTGTTGCTCTGGACATCCAGCCACCTGCATGTTCCTTAACTGATGCGCTCCTCTGTATATCCAGCTATGTGTGTGTCTGCTTGCTGGGGTGTCAGGGTTTTTACAGGCACAGGATGGGGGCGTGGCAGGCCAGGGTGGTCTTGGGAAATGCAACTTTTGACAGAAAAGCAAAAATGCCTGTCCTCACCCAGGTCTGTGGGGGTGGAGCCCTACCAGGGACCACACCCTCCTCTACCCAGCATTTCCCTTCCCCTCTTCTGTATCATTTAAAGGGACCACACTCTTCCCATCCCAGCACTCTCATATCAATGGGAGCGATAATAGTTCTATCTCAATGGACTACTTAGAAAATTAACCCAGCATACATAAAAGATCAATAATTGTTAGGTGTTATTATTGAAGAAACAACTATTCCCTTGCAAACCTTCTTTTTCCCAGAAGTGAAATGGGAAAAATCATGTACTTCAAAGCAACTACTGTATCTTTTAGAGTATACAAGCAAGCCCAAGAAACACTCTTTTGCAAAAGCAGCTTCATAATGTACCAAGGTATTTTACTTTTATTTATTTATTTTTAAAGCTGGGGTCTCACTATGTCGCCCAGGCTGACCTTGAACTCCTGTGCACAAGAGATCCTCCCACCTTATTCTCTCAAGTAGCCAGGACTACAGGCCTAAAATATTTAAAAATAAATGAATAAACAACTACAACTTACTGACCAACTTATTTGTGTCAGATTCCACAAACAATTCTGTCTGATGGGTAGTATTATTTCCATTTTAAGATAAGGAAGCTTATATCACCAATGGCAAAGTTGGGATTTGAACACAGACCTCATTCTGGAACGTGTGCTATTCTGTCTCCACAAAGCTGGTTAGTAACAGCCTATTCATTGGCAGGAGCTTCTGAAGCATCCTTGTTTTCCCAGTTATAAATCCACATTAGTATTGCTCGGCGAAATTGGGTTATATAAGTAAGCCCTGCAGTTAATAGTGTTTTTCCAATATAAGCAAAGAATGCCAGTAAGAAATGGCAGTAAATATTTTACAATTTTAACTCATTAATCTTGAACTGAACTCATGCCTCTAAGGAAATGATGCTTTACAATTTGTAAAGTAAGAAACATCCTTTCTTAGTAAGGATACTTTCACACTCTTCGGAGTTTTTGCTTCCATCCGCCCTCAGCTCTGTGATCTGCATCCTCCATTGATTTTGTCAACACCCTCAGGTAGGGTCAGAGTTTAAATTTACATCTCTCGGAAAAAAGTCACACCTTCGGAGGTGTGACCCAGAACTCCCACTGAACTCAGTTCCTGGGAAAGGAGGCTGTCTTGGTCACAACAACATGTAGCACAGGGCTTTTTGCACAAAGTGGATTCTCAATGGATGTGATTTAAAATAATGCAAATCACTGTTGTCATGGTTTTTCTAAAGATATGAGGAAAACTGAAGGCATCTATTTTGTTCAAGTAGCCTTTCTCTGGAGAATGTTCTCTGAGTTAAAGAAGGGGAAAGGAGGCCAGGTACAGTGGCTCACACCTGTAATCCCAGCACTTTGGGAGACTGAGGCAGGGGGATCCCTTGAGCTCAGGAGTTCGGGACCATCCTGGGCAACATGGTTGTTGAAACCCTGTCTCTACCAAAAATATAAAAATTAGCTGGGTGTGGTGGTGCGTGCCTGTAATCTCAGCTACTTGGGAGACTGATATGGAAGGATTGCCTGAGCCTGGGTAGCAGAGGTTGCGGTGAGCCGAGATGGCACTATTGCACTCCAGCCTGGGTGACAGAGTGAGACCTTGTCTCAAAAAAAAAAAAAAAAAAAAAAAAAAGAGGCCAGGGAGATGGTTGGGAAAGGAGCTGTCTCTGACAGTTTGACGAAGAAAACTCAGGATATAGATATATACCCCTTGTTATGGTTAATACTGAGTGTCAACTTGATTGGATTGAAGGATACAAAATATTGATCCTGGGTGTGCCTGAGAGGGTGTTGCCAAAGGAGATTAACATTTGAGTTAGTGGGCTGGGAAAGGCAGACCCACCCTTAATCTGGGTGGGCACCGTCTAATCAGCTGCTATTGCGGTTAGAATATAAGCAGGCAGAAAAATGTGAAAAGAGAAACTGGCCTAGCCTCCCAGCCTACACCTTTCTCCCATGCTGGATGCTTCCTGCCCTAGAACATCAGACTCCAAGTTCTTCAGTTTCGGAATTCAGACTGGCTCTCCCTGCTCCTAAGCCTGCAGATGGCCTATTGTGGGACCTTGTGATTGTGAGAATTAATACTTAATAAACTCCCCATTACATACATATATCTGTTCTTTAGTTCTGTCCCTCTAGAGAACCCTGACTAATACACCTCTGTTCTCGTGAACAATAAAAAAATAACTTTAGGGACCCCAATATTTTTAACAGTTCAGCTTAGCCAATATTTTTGAGGATCCTGCTGTGTACTGGACACTTGAACAGGTGCTGTGGAGCTGAAGATAAATGAGGACTCAGTCAAATCCTAACAGAGCTGATTTTCTACTAGAGGAGAAGTACACAAGAAGATCCAGACATGGGAGGCTTCTGGACATTTCATCTAAGATAGGCACATTTCTACTCTGTTATGCTGAAAACTGCTTTGCCATTGCAACCAAATCATCACTTCCATAGATTAATTTTTTTCTAGGGCCCTAGCTCAATTAATGGTGTTTGGAAAATAATCTTTTTTTTTTTCCATATCACATCTTTCTTCCTAAGTGCCACAGTAGCTTGAAACTAATTTTAACAAAGTCTTTCAAAATATTCCACCTTTTGGAGAGAGAGTAAATGGTAATAATAGTTTATTAATCACAGAAAATATATTTGCATTGTAAATCTGAATTGGTAACTTTGCATAATGAGAAGTTGAAATCGCAACATATACAAGGAACAAAAAAGCAATTTGAGCCCCAATTTATGACTAAACAGTCATCTTGTCTTTTTTATTTGCTCTATTGTTTACCACTGCCTTCCTCAGTATTTATTTTAATCCATTTCTCTAAACAGATATTAATAAACTTTAGAACTTCCATTGTGCCCTTCGCCTAAACACAAGCAAAACAAATTTATTTTCTTCTATTATAATTGACTTATTTTTCCATTATTCGAGTTTGCTTCTCATGAGTTGCATGTGAAGTACGGAATGTTTGCAGGATGTACAATTTAGCCATTTTGGATTGCATCCATTTCTCCAGAACGACACTGATTGCAACATTAATTAAATCATTCTGCAGAGTTTTAAAGCAGAATCAGTGACTGAGCCTTGACCAGAAGGAGAACGAGTGCCAGCAGTGGAGGCCTGGGGGTTTCAGAGACAGATTTTCCCACTGAGACAGGGATGCTTCCCACAGAGGCAGGGATGGAGGAGGGAGGTGAAGTGGGTGGGGGAAGCCGCAGTCCCACCTCTCTCATGAGGATAGAGGTAAATTCTTGCACCGGCCGTGACACCTCAGAGGTAAGGCAAAACTATTGGATAAAATGCACAGATACTGTTCTCTCCACATCCACCAAGTTTTTTTTAATGTTCTACCCAATGTTCTGTCCAGTGTTTCAGGACTTCTGACCCCGCCTGCAAAATAATGACACCCATGGCTCTCTCAACTATGCCCTCCCCATTGGTGAGGGAAGGGGATGTTGGCTTAGAGCTCAGCTTCCCCTGTTAGGGCTTCCTTAGCACTCAGCCAAGCCCATATCCTCAGCTCTCTTCCCTACACAAATTCCCCATCTAACCGCTTTCCAAAAACTCCATGCTCACCTCTTCCATCTCCGGGGCTACCATCCCAGGAGCCTTCCAGATGCTCCCTAAGCACCATGCCATGATCCCCAAGAGACCCCACTGCTGATCAGCAGGAGGCCTGGGAAAGAGCGGTCACAGGCAACGAAGTTTCTCCATGACCAGCAAGCCAGCTCCTGTGCTGGGCCAGTTCCAGGGACCAGAGAATAAAGCTGGCCGTGAAGCCCTGGAGGCCAATTATTTATGATGCTGGGAGAGAAAGAAGACAGGGTAGGGTGATTTCTGCTTGGCCCATCAGCCTGCCTGAGCCCACAAGGCTGTGAGTCCCTTTGAAATGGCCTTGGGACTCATCTTTTGACCCTTCTGATCCACAGCCTGCTCCCCTAAAGAGCTCAAGATGACTTTCTGTTCTTACCATTCACTCATTTGAAACTTGATCATAGGTGGCCTGGGGACATCTCTTGTCTTATTCTTTAGCTTTTAGATTATGATTTAACTTTTTCCCATGGGATGTTTGATCTCAGTTCCTTGAAGGCAGAGAAGCCCCTGGTGACAGGTGGCAGTCTGGACATGTTGTAGGCATGGCAGGGACTAGGAGAATCAGTTGTTCTTGGGTCTACACCTACAATGTTAAGATGCACGGCAGGAAGCAGAACAGATGACAGAGCTTTTGTTTTGAGAGCACGCAAACAAGGAGAATGTGAGGCATTTTTTAAAAGATGGAATCCAAATTAATATTTTATTTGGACACTCTTTTAGACATGCATCATCTAATTTTCTTAACCCTTCATGCCATTTTGTATAGGTAGACTCCCTTCAACTACAGGGAAAAGTGGTGCTGACATCACAGGTCTGGACAGAGCTGTCCTTTTGGAAGGGTAATGGTCTGTGATTGCCAGAAGCTGCATATGTCAGTCCCTTTCCACCACAGCTATCTTTAATTACTCAGAACACCTGTCCTTGCCCTGCAGAAGTAACAATTTGTTTCATGGTAATCTCCCATCATTGACCCTTGGCACCATAAGTGGTGCATTCATTCATTTATTCATTATATGTTTACTTAAAACTTACCACTCTATGGGGAAGCACTGAACTAGAAGATTGGAAGACAGGATCATAAAATGCAGCTACTGCCCTCGAGGGGGACTCCTTCTAATGGAGTAACAAATAGCTACCTGACAGGGTTGGGTTATAACACAAATGCTCCAGGAATAGAGGAAGACCAGAGAAGGCATTTCAGAGCTGAATATAGCATGTGACTTGGGTTTTTAAAGATGAGTTAGCAAGCCATTATGTGTAGAATCAGAAAAAATATTTGAGGCAAAGGGATAGTTTGTGCCAAGGCAGGAAGACATGAAAGAGCCTGGAGCAGCTGAGAAAGACAATCTGTTGGAATGGACTGACTGCTGGTGTGTGTTTTGGAAGGAGGGGTTGATAAGCCTGGAGAGGTGGTAAAGAATCTTGATGCCATGTCTCATGTCTATCTTAACCAGTAGCTAAGGGGAAACCAGCTGGGTTTTTTATAGAAATAAAATGATTAGGGTTAGTTTTAGTAGCATTGTTCTGATGTGAAGAGACAATTAGGAGATGTCATTCTAGAAGGCAAGAAACATGAGTCTTGCCTAGATTCTTGCCTGCCAGTCAAAGGGAGGTCTAGATTAAGGGACAGTGAGGCTTTAGAGAAAAACAGGAGTGAGGATGGACATATCTGGTGCCCTATTGGAAGGGAAGGAGAATTTTGAGGCAACTTTTGGGTGGTAGGGTCCACTTACTGACATAAGGAATACTAGAAAAGGGGTTGTTTTTTAATATGGGTAGAGTATAAACTTGCATTTGCACCAATAAATGTTACTCATGGCTTGTAACGTTTTAGCATTGTACCCCTTCCCTTGAAAATCACACAGTGTCAATTTCATGACTGGTGGCAGTGTCCCATTTAAAGACCTCCTGCCGTTATTAAAATCCCTCTCCTCCTCCACATACTTTCCTTTCTCCCACAACAGACTCCCTCTACATGAACTCCTCCCCACTGCGAGACACCAATCAGAGTTCAGACTGAGGGCAAGCATGGAGCAGCACTGGGCGCTGGTGCAAGTACAATTTCTATAAAAAGACATTGAGAAAACAATGAGCAATGTTGCCATTTTGCCTTTAATGGAAAAGTGGCCAGCAGTTACAGTAAAAAAAAAAAAAAAAAAAAAAAAAAAAAAGTTCTTTTAATAAAACAAAACAAAATTTTATCCAGCTTCTAGGCAATCACTGTTTGAATTTTCAGAAATACACATGTACTTGAAAATCAATTTTTTTATAAAAATAAACTCTGAATGTGTGATTAAAAAGCGAGAAGCCCAGTCTTTTAGCTGCACAAATGCGTATTAAAAAGGAGAGGCATCTGTCTGAGATAGTTCACCCCAGTGCAGAGGGGGCTTTGACTTTGGGAGACAGAGCCTGCTTGAAGCGTCTCTTCAGGTCCTGCATGTTGGGAGAGCGGGGCCGAGGGATGATGGAGGCTCTTCTTCTTTCCCCACTGAGGCCGTGCATCTTGCTCACTTCTTTGCAGAGATGCTGAAACACATCACAGACATCTTCGTAGTTTTCGCTAGTGGAAATTTCAAGGAACAGGCTGCCCAGCTCATTGGCTAGCTGAATACCGTCCTGTGTCTGCACCTGCCGGGCATGCAAAAGGTCCCCCTTGTTGCCCACGATGATGACAGGGGCTTTAGAGTCAGGGTGGACCTTCCGGATGTGCTGATAAAGGGGTCGGATGGACAAGTAGCTGTCATAGTCTGTGATGGAATAGACCAGCAGAAAACCCTCGGCCCACTGCACGCATTTGGACAGGGAATCGACGACCTGGGGGAGGCTGTCTTGGATCTGAGAAAACATCAAAATGAGATCCAGTCAAGGAAACCCTCAGTGGGAGATAAACTCAAAACAACATCAAGGCAACCCTTGAAGAAACACTTGAAAAAGAAATCTCTAAATACAGTTTTCAGTTTCCACCCAGCTTCTGCAGAAGCAGGCTTTTGATATGGAAAGAACAGATTCCCAGGCAAACTCCCTGCCTGAGTTACTTTATTAGCTGTTATCCCTGCATTATTTTTAAACCCCTTGCTTGTCAGGCAGTCTCTGGTGAACCATGGCTGACTGAAGAATGACCTCAAACCAGAATGGCTCAAGTTTTAGGAAACACTAACTCATAATAAACAAAACTTTGAAAATAAGCCAAGATAAATATCTATTCCCAAACTCATAAAAACATTTTTAACATGCACTTCTTAAGAATGTTACAGAAAGAAATTCCTTTCTTAGGGTTCTTCCACAAGACCTTTCCTCTGGAGAACGGAGTAGCAATTAGTAACTGGTTAATAAACAAGTTACATTCTAGACCCTCTGCCAAGGGGTTATCTGATTGCAATTACTGACTTGAGGGAACAGCCATTAACAGCAGCAGTTCAGCAGTGCTTGGGCCGGGCGCTGTGGCTCATGCCTATAATCCCACCACTTTGGGAGGCCGAGGTGGGCGGATCACTTGAGGTCAGGAGTTCGAGACCAGCCTGGCCAACATAGTGAAACCCCATCTCTACTAATAAATAAATAAATAGATAAATAGCTGGGAGTTCCGGCGGGTGCCTGTAGTCCCAGCTACTCGGGAGACTGAAGCAGGAGAATCGAGGAGAATCGCTGGAACCTAGGAGGCGGAAGTTGCAGTGAGCTGAGATCCAGCCACTGCACTCCAGCCTGGGCAAGAGTGAAACTCCGTCTCAAAAAAAGCAGAGCTTGCCAGGGGAGAAGAGTCTCTCCCATCAGAATCCTACCTCTTTTTTTGTTTTGTTTTGTTTTGTTTTAAACGTTTTTTTCTTTGTTAATGGTTCCATGGCTACCTCCGGAAGAAATGGTGAGACCTGCTTAAGTAGTGATGGCCCACCAGGGTTGCAAAGTGAAGTTAAGTCAGGTGCTTAACAAGAGGAGGCTGCTTCTAACCATGCCTCCCCCTTAGAGAGTTTCTAACACCCCAACCACTGGCCCCACCTGTGGACAGCCCATTCCTCCCTCTAAACGCACAGGTCGGTTTAGATGCCTTGCTCAGACCCCTGCGCCCAGCATGGGCGCCCTACGTGCTGTGCCCACTGGGGTGGTCTCACGGGTGGGGGTGAGCTGTTTGCCCCTGGCGGTTCTTACCTGGACGCCCCCGGGAGTATCCTGGATCTGCAGGGAGAGCTGGTCCCCCTCGACATAGACCAGCCGTGAATACAGCTTGCCTGGAGAATGAAGTAGAGTTTGCTTTTTAATTCTCAAACTCCCATCCGTAAAAAGAAACACGCAAGCATAAAAGCAGGGAGCGTGAAAGTATTCTCACCTGTATTCGGTTCATAGTCTCCAATGAATCTCTTGGTCAGGAAGCGCACGATCATTGCTGAAAAGGAAATAGGAAAATCAACCGAAGGAGTAGAACAAGCCTGTCAAACCCAGGCACCTCGGACAAACTGGGGGGAGTGAAGGGTGCAGAACCGTGGGCACTGCTCGCTTCCAGAGGCTCCGCAAAGCCGTGGTGCCGCGGGCTTGGCCGCGAGTACGACTGGCGGGACACCTCTCCCGCACCCCATCCCCGAACAGGCGCCAATCCCGCCGAGATCCCAGGAGTAGATGCACCAGGAAACGCCAGGGAAGCAGGCCGGGACGGACCGGGACCCACCCAGCGCGAAAGCAGCCCGATTCTACCTGCACCCGCGCCCTCTGCTTCGGCCGAGGCGCCCTCTCTCCGCAGCGCCCCCAGTGGTCGCGGCCGGAGCCGGGGAGCGAAGCCGCCCGGGGGTCCCCGCCGCACTCACCGCTCTTGCCCACGCGGCCGGCGCCCAGCACCGCCAGTTTGATGTCCTTGGGCAGTAGGTAGTCCGAGGAGGACTCGGGGATGGGTGCGAGCAGAAAGTGCCCGGACATGCTGAGCGGCCGCATGGAGCGCGTCCCGGGGTCCGGCGCGCAATCCGAGAGGGCTGGGCCTCGCCGCACCCGGAGCCGGCTCGCCAGCTGGGAGTGCGGGACTAGAGGTCCGGGACCGCGGCGGCTGCCTGCAGAACTGTCAAGGCCCGCGGCTTTTAAAGGGCTTGGTGCGCCCGGGAGCGCGGCGGCCGTCCCAGCTCCTCCTCGTCTCCGCCCCTTCCCGGAGCGGCCGGGAGGGGCGGGAGCAGAGGCCGCGGAGCTGACTATCGCCGAGGCTGTGCGCTTCGCCGGGCTGCTAGCTGCTCGCGGCTCCAGGCGCTCTGCGGCAGGACTGCGGCTCCGGGGCTCAGACCCTGGAGATACGGCCACCGTCCAGAGCGCGCGAGTGGCCTCTAGTCAGGCATTCTGCGAGTCTCCTCGCCCCGCAGCAGCCAGCCGGAGTCACTAGACCTGTGGGTGAACTTGAGATAGGAGTTACGAGTTGACGAGAGAAGAAGAAAAAGTGCAATCAGTTGGATGTTTCTGCAACAATGGGACAGATTGCTGTAAAACGCTGCCCTTTTTATTTTTAAAAGGTGCTAAGGGGCTGGGCGCGGTGGCTTACGCCTGTAATCCCAGCACTTTGGGAGGCCCAGGTGGGCAAGATCATCTGCGGTCAGGAGTTCAAGACCAGCCTGGCCAACATGGCGAAACGCTGTCTCTACTAAAAATACAAAAATTAGCGGGGCGTGGTGGTGGGCGCCTGTAATCCCAACTACTCGGGAGGCTGAGGCAGCAGAATCGCTTGAACTAGGGAGGCGGAGGTTGCAGTGAGCCGAGATGGCACCACTGCACTCCAGCCTGGACCACAAGAGCGAAACTCCGTCTCAAAAAAAAAAAAAAAAGAAAGAAAAGAAAAGATGCTAAGGGGTAACATTAATATGGGAAAAGGGCGGGGGGCGGGGGGCAAGAGCTCTGAATTAGTATCAGTGGAGGCAACTGCAGTCACTGTGACCTTGCTAGGGATAGATGAAGTCCCCTTAGGGGCAGTGATGGTTAGCATCTCAGTATCCATGCCCAGCCCCTCCTCTGCAGGCAGGGGTTGCACTGGCTCATTCCTGAACACTCATGAGCACTCCACTGGCTGGGGGCCCTGGCCCTGCACTAAGTGTCCATCATTAATACTATCCTATGTGCTTGAGTCATGCATTTGCTTCAGTATCCAAATATTTACTTCTAGGTGCATGGTGGGGTCTAGGGTGGGGTGGGGGGCAGTGTGAGGAACAGGACACAGAGCTATAGACTGGTTCTTGGATTTCTGGAGCCCACCAGAAATAGCACAGCAGAAGCCTCAGGACTTTAACCTTGAACAGTTAGAAGACCTTCATGCCTCTGACCTCCTGTGTTCCAGCCTCACTTGCCTAATCGCCTATTAGACAGCCCCACCCTAATTCATACCTTTCTCTACCCTGGTTGTACCAGTTTTTGCTGCATGACAAGCCACACCAAACTAGATGGCTTAGAACAACAATCACTTACAGTTGTTGAGCCCTTTGATGCATCTGCAGGGAGCTTCCAGGTTCTGGAAGTGGGGGCTGGCTGCCCTTGGATAGCCTTACTCATGTCTGGCAGCTGTTGGCTGTGATGAGGGAGGGTAGTGACTGAGTTACATGTCTCTTCTCATTCAGCACGTTGGCCAGGGCCTGCCTTCATGGTAGCTGAGCAGAGTTCCAAGAGAGTGGGTGGAAATGGATAAGGCCTCTTGAGACCTAGGCCTTGAGAAGGAACCCATCCCTTCTGCTGCATTCTGTTGGCCAAAGCAAGTCATGGGGCCAGCCCATATTCAAGGAGTAGGGAAATACACTCCGCCCCTTTGTGGAAACAGCAGAAAAGTCACGTGTGAAAGGGCAAGGAAGCAGAGAGTGATGGAGAATGGGGTCCATTTTTGTAATTGACCATGCTAATGAATGTGTCTCCATCCACCCAGTGGCCCAAGCCTGGGAGACATCCTTGACTCTACCCACTCTCTCACTTCCACATTGATTAATCGCCAAGTTCCATCATTTCTCCTCCTATATTTCTTGGTGTCTCCCTCTGTATCCCTACTGCTCTCATTTCTTTTTTTTTTTTTTTTTTTGAGACGGAGTCTCGCTCTGTCGCCCAGGCTGGAGTGCAGTGGCGCAATCTCGGCTCACTGCAAGCTCCGCCTCCCGGGTTCACGCCATTCTCCTGCCTCAGCCTCCCAAGTAGCTGGGACTACAGGCGCCCGCCACTACGCCCGGCTAATTTTTTGTATTTTTAGTAGAGACGGGGTTTCACCGTTTTAGCCGGGATGGTCTCGATCTCCTGACCTCGTGATCCGCCCGCCTCGGCCTCCCAAAGTGCTGGGATTACAGGCGTGAGCCACCGCGCCCGGCCTCATTTCTTATCTGCAGAATTCTGAATAATCCTGAAGTAAACTAATCTAGACTAGATGGTGACTTCAGTTTACATGTTCCTCCCTTGGAGAAGCCGTCTCTGATCACTGCCACTGTCCCCACCCCTATCTTGCAGTTACTCACTCTCAGGGCACTGATCTCAACTATCATTACTTTCTGGTGGAATATTTGTTTCATGTCTGTCTCCAGGAGGACAGGGACTCTAGCTTGTGACTCTAGTACCCAGCACATAGTGGCACCTGGGACTGGCAAGGTCCTTAATAAATGTTTGTTCACTGGCTGACTTTCCAAATGAATGAATGAATGCTGTCTTCAGTGTATGAACTGGAAAATACAGAAGTCATGTTTCTGACCATTTTCCCATTGCCTTGGTTTTGAGAGCAGCTTGCTCTCAGGAAGACGTGTGCTGGGAGATGTCCTGAGATAAACTGCCATATTTAAGTTGTACTGACTTTTGACTGTTCATAAGGCAATTTTCTCTGTTAAACTGCAGTTTAATTGAAAAGACTTGAAGCAAGGCACCTTCCTCCCTGATGGGGGAAAAGGCACCATAAAGACAATGACTGTCTAGGGAACAACTGGAAGCTGTTAAGTTCCAGGGTCACGTGCAGCTCCGTGATGGGGGTCTGGGCTGTTGTCTCTGATTCCTTTTGACTTCTCCTTTATGGATGCAGGGTGGCTCCTGCAGCATCAAGTCCTTACCCAAACAGGAAGGGAAGGAAGTACTCTCTTAGTTGTTCTCTTTATGAAATAAAGCAGTTCTCACAAGAACTCAGCAGACTCTCTCTTACATCTCACTGGCCAGAACAGAGAAACTGGGAAAGAGATTACTCAAGTATCTAGCAAAGAAGACTGGGATGGCCATGACTAGTTTAGACAATCATGATTCCTCCCTCTAGCTGGACATACCACCACCCCCATCCAAAATCAAGAACTCACAGAGAGAATGACTGCCAAGGAGATCTGCCATAAACCCTATTCACCTTCCTGGAGTGAAAATCCAGCACTTTCAAGGGAAAAGAGTCCTTTCTTGGTGGAATGCTGAGTATCTCTGTCTCTCCTCACCTCCTTCTCTGTTTTACATTCCCAGTCTGGAATAAGACCATTGTAGCTTAAGGTCAGCCAATAAGGAAGATTCCTAAGACTGTTCTCTGCCCAGTGATAATTATGTTCCACTTTGCATTTACATTGCACCTTTGCTCAGAAGAGCTCAACATGTTATTTCATTCTCCTTGGAAAAGCTCTTTGCATTTATAAATATACAAAATAATCCATGACCTTCTAGTGAAGACAGTAAGTGACTGAACTGTAGAATTATAAATAGCCTTGCCTAAATTGTTGCTGCTTGTGTTCTGCCATTTCCTTTTAAATTTGTGTCCAGAGTTATGTAAAACTATGGTGCAACCAATATAACAGGCGTGCTGAAGTGGTTTTAAAAAGATAATAGAAATGCGTAGGCATGGATACAGATATACAAATCTGTGGGTGTTTAGAATGAGCATAAAGGCCAGAGTTTGGTAATATGCAAATAATAGCACACTTGGGAAGTTATTAACTCTTTCCCAGTCAAATAAAAGCTTGAATTCTAGTCATCAGGCAAAATTTTGCCAAGGGTCCTCCTCTTGTTCACAAACAACTCCCCCACCCCAGCCATAACCCAACATCAACTCCCTCTCCTGTATATCCTAAGTCCTTGACTATTGAGTTTACCGGAGCCTCAGAGCCCCTGCCTTTGAGGTGCTCTCCCTAAACAGGAATCATGGCTCTGCCCTCTACCAGCTCCCTATTTTACTTCAACTCAGCAGGCACAATTACTGAAAATTGACTCTGTGAGGCTCTGTGATAAGTGCTTGCGCAGAACATAAAGAGCAGCGAACATTTACTAAGACAGCAAAGTATAACACACTCCTGCCTGCCTTCACAGACATCCCTGTAGTGAAGAAATTTATCAAATTCACTATCATTTATAAATTACTGTTGAGTTTACCAAGAAAATTCTCAAATATTATCTTAATTTTTAATTAATCCTGTGAAACAGGTAAAGAATATCCTCTAAATTGTGGTTTAGACAAATTGAGTAACTTATCCAGTCACAGAGCCATATAGTGGTGCAGGCCTCAAGCCCTCTGAGTTTTAATCTTGGCACATTCCACGGGTATGGAGGGCAGGGTGCAGAGCCGGGCACTGTGGCTCCCACCTGTAATCCAGCACTTTGGGAGGCCAAGGCAGGAGGATTGCTTGAAGCCAGTGTTCAACCCTGTCTCTACAAAAAAAGAAAAAAGAAGGAAATAAAAGAAAAGAAGGAGGGAGGGAGGGGAGGGGAGGAAGGAAGGGAGGGAGGGAGGGAGGAAGGAAAGGGGAAGGGAGGGGAGGGGAGGGGAGCAGAGGGGAAAGAAAAATTCGCCAGGCATGGTGGTGCATGCCTGTTGTCCCAGGTACTCAAGATGATGTGGTGGGAAAATTGCTTGAGCCCAAATCAAGGATGCAGTGAGCTGTGATCATACCACTGCACTCCAGCGTGGGCCAGAACAAGACCCTGCCTCAAAAAATTCAAAATTCAAAAAAAAAATACAAAATAAAGAAAGCAGGTTGTAGAACACTGTGTTGGTAATGGAAGGCCAGAGCAGGTCAGGATGCAAACTCCAACAGAGCTGCCACAGGGAGAGTTAGGTCTGATCCAAGTATCAGGGAAAGCTTCAGCATGAGCTGGGCTGCAGGTGAGTCAGGTGTGATCGGTGGAAACCAGGGGAGGGCGAAGGCCTGTCAAATTGAGGGAACAGCATGCGCAAAATCATGGAGGTACATGACAAGTGTGAGGAATTCTGAGTAGTCTCAACAGTGAGAAGGGTGTGGTAAGTGACCCAAAAGGCTGGGGGCCAGACTGTGAATGGCATGCTAAAAAGTTTATCCAGAGGCTATGGAAAGCCATTAATCATTTCTTGAGGAGAAGAGCTCCTTCTACAGTTGTTTCTCGGGTTATCTGTAGGGCTTTAGTTCCAGGACACACTGAGAATACCAAAATCCAGGGATGCTTAAGTCCCTGATATAAAAAGAGTGTTGTATTTTCATATAACCTATGCACATCCTTCCTACTTTATTTTTTGAGATGGAGTCTCACTCTGTTGCTCAGACTGGACTGCAGTGGTGTGATCTCGGCTCACTGCAACCTCCACCTCCCGGGTTCGAGCAATTCTCCCGCCTCAGCCTCCTGGGTAGCTGGGATTATAGGCGTGTGCCACCATACCCGGCTAATTTTTGTATTTTTAGTAGAGACTGGGTCTCACCATGTTGGCCAGGCTGCTCTCGAACTCCTGACCTCAAATGATCCACCCACCTTGGCCTCCCAAAGTGCTGGGACGATGGGCGTGAGCCACTGCGCCCGGCCCTTCCTTCCTACTTTAAATCATCTCTAGATTACTTATAATACCTAATACAATGTAAATGCTATGTAAATAGTTATACTGTATTGCTTAGGGAATGACAAGCAAAAAGTTTGTACATGTTCAGAACAGATGCAATTTTTTGTCCCAATATTTTCCATCCCAGCTTGGTTGAGTTCATGGATGCAGAACTCACAGATACAGACACAAAGAGCAGACTGTACATACAACAGTATGAGTACTAGGAGCTTACAAATAATAGGATATGGGCCTGGTGTGGTGACTCATGCCTGTAATCCCAGCATTTTGGGAGACCGAGGTGAGAGGAACCCTTGAGCCCAGGAGTTCAAGGCTGCAGTGAACTGTGATTGTGCCACTGCACTCCAGCCTGGGTGACCCTGTCTCAAAAAATAAAAACAAAACAAAATGATATGGTCTCTGACCTCAAAGATCTTAAAACTGTTTACTTACTCATCTCCCATGAGCAATTAATTTAATCTGAACCTCTCTTCCTTCTTAGGTGGAACCAAAAAAATCCAATCATCTTCACTTGAGCTAAGCCATCATCTCATTTTACAGAGACAGTAAAGAGTACCCCATTTATTTTCCAACCCAAATGATTTCCATAAATCCAAGTCTTGCTGGAGAAGTGTGTACGACAGCATTTGTGTGCCTCTTCCATTAGTGGCTTTGTGTGGTGGCCTGTCAGCAGCTCCTCGCCACACACGGCTGTTTGAAAAGAATCACAGTGCAGAGCCTCGGCTGCTTATTCACTCCTCTGTGCACATTTTCCACCTCAGCAACAGCAGCTGCAGCTGCTGCCTCACTGTTATTATTCATAACCTAGCAACTGGTCGAACAGATTCTGTGGAGAAGGATTTTTGCTATCAATTTTTTTCTAAGTGGAGCTGGGGTGAAGAAACATGCTATAAACACTCATTCCAAATAAATCCAACCCAGTTTTAAATCCTTTGTCTTGTGCACAAAAAAAGAGTAAGATAAACCTACCTTGTTCATATTTTAGCAATTCTTTATATTTTAGCAAATTTTCCATCCTAGTACAGAGAAAATGCTACTACAGGAGTGGGAATATGGAAGAGACAAGAACCTGAGTGTGTGTTTCTGCCACAACATTCAGAAGAAAACTTCAAAAAACAGTGTGATATATTTTATCTAACCCTTTGGGACTGGTTTCAACTGAATAAAAATAGAAGGCCTTAGAAAATACCTGGCTAGATCAGAACAGACTTCAGTTCAAAGTTCAAGGAACCACACAGCCTCACTTACAATCATGGCTATTACTTAAAAATAGGGTGAAAAAATTTATAGTTAGGATATTTTTCTTCATTTTCACTGACAAGTGTAAGAAGGGAAATTGGACAGTAAGAGGTTAATTTATAAATTCACAATCTGTGGTGGTTGCTCAGGACCTGCATTTCAAGGCAGACATGTAATCAGCACACACACACATTACTCAAAGTTCGGAGGTTCCAATTTAATTATCTCCCCACTTATAAAACCTAATCTGCAGGACATCCAGATGGAGCTGCCCAAGAGGAAGATGGAACTACAGATATGGGGCTTCAGAGAATGTGAGCTCTGCAACTGAGCCTCAAGTATCAGAGAAGGCTAAAGACGTAGACCAGTGGTTCTCAAAATTGAGCATGCATCTTATTCACTCAGAGAGCTTGTTAAATAGAGTGCTGGGCCCCATCCCCAGTATTTCAGATTTGGAGGGTCTTGGGCAAGTCTGCATTTTTTTTTTTTTTTTTTTTTTGAGACGGAGTCTCGCTCTGTCGCCCAGGCTGGAGTGCAGTGGCACAATCTTGGCTCGCTGCAAGCTCCGCCTCCCGGGTTCACGCCATTCTCCTGCCTCAGCCTCCCGAGTAGCTGGGACTACAGGCGCCTGCCACCACACCCGGCTAATTTTTTGTATTTTTTAGTAGAGACGGGGTTTCACTGTGTTAGCCAGGATGGTCTCGATCTCCCGACCTCGTGATCCGCCCACCTCAGCCTCCCAAAGTGCTGGATTACAGGCGTAAGCCACCGCGCCCTGGCCAGGTCTGCATTTTTAACAAGATCTCAGATGATGCTGATGCTGCCAGCTGGGAGATCATACTTTAAGAACCTCTGGCTTAGATAACCCAGGAATAATTTATAAAGGAGAGAGAGACAAATGTGGAACATCTAGGAGGGGCCAGAATGAGGCTAGAAGGGGGTCAGATAGGGAGAAGAAACAGTAAAGTATGATGGCAGAACCCTCTGCAAGAGAAAGCATTTGTTGGCTGTGTCAATTATTATGTGGATAAAATTAAATTGGAAAAAAGTATCTACATTTGTTAATTAGCAAGCTTTTCGTAACCTTTAAGAGTACAGTTTCATCAGTGGTGGAGGCGGAAGCCAGATTTGCAGTGGGCGACCAGGAAATTTAGCTATGAAAGGGAGGAGGAAGGCACAACAGGAAGGGCTGCTTGGTTTATTTGCTGGTTTTTGCAAGCCTGCAGGCTGAAGTCAAAAAAGCAGCAAGTTGGGCTGGGCGTGGTGGCTCACGCCTGTAATTCCAAAACTCTGGGAGGCCGAGGCGAGCAGATCACCTGAGGTCAGGAGTTCGAGACCAGTCTGGCCAACATGGCAAAACCCCATCTCTACTAAAAATACAAAAAAATTAGCTGGGTGTGATGGAGGGCACCTGTAATCCCAGCTACTCGGGAGGCTGAGGCAGAATTTCTTGAACCCAGGAGGCGGAGGTTGCAGTGAGCCAAGATCACGCCACTGCATAGACCAGGATAATCAGTGAAACAAGAGGGCAGAGGCAAGAGCCCTGTCAATACCAACTCTTTCCTCTTTTACCCTCCTTGATACCTTGTTTTATGAAGGGATTTAGGTCTTACTGTTCCTCCTATACTGTCACCTCCTTAATAAGGCTTTATGATGTGTCTTTTTTCCCTTCATTCCACAGTAGAGTAGGTACCAGTAAACATCCCCTTACTGGCCAGGTGCGCTGGCTCACGCCTATAAATCCCAACACTTTGGAAGGCCGAGGTGGGCAGATCACTTGAGCCCAGGTGTTCAAGATTAAGTCTGGGCAATATGGCGAAACCCCATCTCCACTAAAACACAAAAATTAGCCGGGCGTGGTGGCATGCTCCTATAGTCCCAGCTACTCAGGAGGCTGAAGCAAGAGGATCACTCGAGCCCAGGTATTCGAGGCTGCAGTGAGCCTTGATCGTGTCACTGCACTCCAGCCTGGGTGACGAGGGAGACACTGTGAAAGAAAAAAAATTCCCCTTGATAAAGATCTATAGATACAAGTTGATAAAAACTCAGACGACTAAACAAAACATATATTGTGTAATGATAAGTACTATAACTTATAATATAGAAAATGAATAAAGTCTGTATAGGATATTGAGATCTTGATAAAATTCGAGCAGAGGCTGACTAAAGGGGACAAATCATGGGGAAGGATGAAGGAAATGCATTCCTTCATAGCATAACACGCTCCTTCAAAAGCATTCCTTCATATTTTGTACTTCAACTTACTTACAAAAGCCCTCAGGCACGAATGCACTTGGCATATTAAAGGCACAGCGAGAAGGCTCATGAAATTGGATCTGACTTTGGGGCAGGAAGTGGTACAAGACTAGGTCGCAAAGGTAGCTATAGTACAGATAATGTAGGGTTTTGTAGGCCATGATAATCATCAGAATATAAATGGTATTCAAAGCCATGAGGCTAAATCTCACCTGAAGTATAAAGGTACTTCAATATTTGGAGGTCAGAAAGACAGAACCAGCAAAGACTGCAGATCAGGTAAAAGGAAACCAGGAGAGGGTTCCAGAAGCTAACTGAAGCCAAACTCAATAATAAGTATTTTCTCTCACCAAAGTAGCAAAGATTAAATTAAAATAATCAATGCTGATGAGAATGCTGTGAGACAAGCATGTTCCCTGGAAGGTGGAGTGCAAACTGGTATAACCCTTTGGTAAATCAATTCATCAGTGAATCAATAATTTGAAAAACACATATTCTTCAACCCAGTATTGTGCGAGAAAATCTATTTTTGAAGATTAATCCAAAATACTAAAATTTTATGTATATTCATAGTATTGCCACTGATTGTTTTAAAAATTGCTATGCTGTACATCAAATAGGAAGAGTTCATTTTCTGAATATCTGTGCTAAGGATAGTAGTTCCCCTAAGTCAATTCGGCATGTCATCGTTTTCTCTCATGCCCAACTTCATCAGCCCCTCTGAATTGACACCTCATATCCTCATTTCCTTGTTGACAAGTCACAATTTACTTATTTCATCTGGTTGTGTTAAAATATGAAATCATAGACCTAAATGCACCAAGGGCCTATAGGAATCATTTTATCCAACCCCTTATACTCAGGTAGGTGATACCACTTTACTGATGAGGCAACAAAAAGTGAAGGTAACATGACTTGTTGGAGAATGAACAAAAGAATGTTTAAGGTCTCCTGATCTTTGCACGTTACATGGGAGGTTTAACAATCCTACATATTCATATGCAAAATGGTTACAAGTCCTCAAAATTCAGAAAACACTATAGTTTTGTAAAGATTGAACACAGACATATCTATCCTTTTTTTTTTTTAAAGAGCAGTCTTTTTCTCATTATCCTCTCGTTAATTTGAAGGGCATTTATTGAATGCTTACTATTTTCCAGGCATGAAGAGTGCAAAATTTAGTAAGAGACAGTCCCTAAACTCAGGTGTAGTGGGGAAGACAGAACCTTACAAGTTAAAAACACTGTAACAGAAGCAAACACATCTGTCATGGGAACAAAGATGTGGGGGATTTTATTACAACCAGAAGTATCTCTCTTCTCCGATTCCAAGAGCTTTCTTCATTCCTCTCCTTAAAATACTTCCATCAGGGAAGGTATCATCTATGAGATAATACAGGGTGAGTGCTAAAGGACAAGCAGGAACTCATCAAGTGACCAAAGGAAAGCCTAAATGTTTCAGGCAAAGGCAAGTGCATGTGCAAAGAACTTGAAAAAACCTATTTCCCTAATATCTAAAGCATAAAGTAGGAAGGCAGTAACAGGAAGTGAAAGGGAAAACAAGCAGAAACCAGATTACAAAGGGTCACATACATGACGGTATCACGTGTTTGCACACTCATCCAATTGTCTAAACTCATCAAACTGTACACACTGAAGGTGCAGTTCTTTGTTATCAATCATACCTCAACAAAGCTGTTACAAAAAATAATGTGGTCTTCCAGACACTATCTGGTACCCACCACCCACCCACCCACACACTAACTTATTGGAGTCTTCTGGGATCCACTTGGTAGTCAAACAGCACAGCAAACAGAGTAACTCTTTGGCATAAGAGGATCATGGGTTCAAGTCCCAACTCTGCCACTTTCTGGCAGTGTAACCACTGGTGAGTTATTCTCCCTTCTTGAGTCTTTTATCTTATTCATAAAACATGGTAGTCCCCACATCTCAAAGCAGCCAGGAAGATGAAACAGATCAAGTGGTCAACAAATGTTGTTAGGCATATAATACCAATTCATTAATAGAGCTCAATTTTATGGATGCTCTCTGAAGCAGATAAATGGTAAACAGGGAAACATACCACACCCCCTCCCCCAACAAAAGGAGGCCACATATACTCTTAAAACCTAAATATTAGTAAATTCTAGATTCACTGGAAGGCAATGACTTAATTTTGGACATCCAAAATACTCCTGGCACGCATTTGTAAAGAAACAACGCAAAATTCTCAATTAGCAACAGAATATGAAACAAAAGTTGGTCGTAACTGAATATTCACTGTAACATCATGATGTGCTTTGTAAGTATTCCCATCTAATTCTCAAAAATCACCCTTTTAGGGGCACTTTTATTATCTCCTTCCACGTAAGAAAACTTAGTCATATTGGTCAATTTGCTATGTATTAACAGAATGAGTAAGTGTGGACTCTGGAAGCTGCTTTAATGAAGGGAAGAAGGCAAGTGTGACTAAAGGGACAGGCTGTGAGGACTTCAACTAGATGCATTGTTGAGCCATGAACTATGATTGGAAAATACACAGGACTAATGTGATAATTATGTTTACATGCAACTCTCCACTACTAGAATGTGAATCCTTAGGGGCAGTTATTCAGAGATTCATATCCAGGTGTGAGGGATCCCAAAGCTGTACATACCACCCATCTCGCTTCATTAGAAAAAACTCAAGACCACCAACTAGACTTTTCTCCATTCACACTAAAAAATGGTTTTTTTTGAGACAGGGTCTTGCTCTGTCACCCAGGCTGTAGTGCGGTGACACAATCACAGCAGACTGTAGCCTTGACCTCCTGGACTCGTGATCCTCCCACCTCAGCCTCCCAAAGTGTTGGGATTACAGGTGTGAGCCACTGTGCCTGATCTTTCATAGCATTTAGTAAATATTACTAGGTCTTTGCCTTACACAGCAAATACACCCCAAGTAGGTAGCAACAAGACTGACTGTGTAGAATCTCAAAGGTTAGATAAAATCAATTAGGGGATGAAATGGACTTACAGTCAGTAAGATTAGTGAGGATACATTTCAAGGACCCATGTTTGCTAAGTAAAGGTTTCCAATTGAATGGTACTGTTTTAATATGTCCTCTCCAAAATTCATGATGAAACTTAATCCCCATTGTTGCAAAGAAATTGCCATCAGTCATGCACTGCTGGTAGAAACGTAAAATGGTAGAAAACTCTCTGGAAAACAGTTTAGCAGTTTCTCAGAAACCTAAACATGGAACTACCGTTAAGACCCAGCAACTGCACTCTTGGACATTTATCCCAGAGAAACGAAAACTTACATTCACACAAAAACCTGTACATGAATTCTCCTAACAGCCTTAAAAACAACAGCTAACAACTGGTAATAACCCAAATGTCTTTTAGCAGGTCAATGACTAAACAAACTGTGATACGTTCATACCGTGAATTGTACTGAGCAATAGAAATACACACAATACACGAAACAACTTGGATGCACCTTCAGAGAAAGATGCATCCGAAAAAGGCAAAAAAGTCAAAAAAGGCAAAGGGTCACATCTAACTTACATGATTCCTGGTCATTCCCATTCTTGAAATGACAAAGAAATGAAGGCTAGCTTGGTGCTTGCTAGGGATCAGTGGGGATGAGGGGAGATAGAGGTGGTCTGACTACGTAAGGCAACATGAGGTATCTTGTGGCGTTAGAACTGTTCTACATATTGACTTTATGCTTATCACTTTTTTCTTAAGATGGAGTCACTCTGTTCCCCAAGCTGGAGTGCAGTGGCATAATCTCGGCTCACTGCAATATCTGCCTCCCAGGTTCAAATGATTCTCTTGCCTCAGCCTCCAGAGCAGCTGGGATTACAGGTGCTCACGATGGCAGGCTCATTTTTGTATTTAAATACAGACGGGTTTCACCATGTTGGCCAGGCTGGTCTCAAACTCCTGACCTCAAGTGATCCACCCACCTCGGCCTCGCAAAGTGCTGGGATTACAGGCATGAGCCACCATGGCCGCCTATTATCAATATCTTGATTGTGAAACTGCACTACAGCTTTGTAAGATGTTATCATCGACAAACAGTATACAGTGTACAAGGGATCTCTATTATTTGTAACTCCATGTAAATCTGCAATTATCTCAAAATAAAACATTCAATTAAAAAAAAAAAGGAACTCCCATTGTGGCAGTTATCAAGAGGTAAGTTAAGGCCAAACCTTCACAAGACACCGAACCTGCCAGCACCTTTACCTTGGGACATCAGAGCCTCCAGAACCACCACATAAGCTTCTACTGCTTACCCAGGTCTGTGGTATATTGTTACAGCAAGACAACGGCCTAAGACAAATGCTATTACCACTATTATTTTGAGTCCTGTTCCATGCATGGTCAAAGCAATTCCAAGCTAGTATATAACACACAAAGAATGGATGCTTTAAACAATCTTTTTTTTTTTTTTAAGGATTCAAAAGCAAACTCTGGATCCTGAGCTTAACTGTTACGCAATAGATGACATCCCACTTATTTTTGTATGTTTTATTTGTCCTGGCACAGTAGCTCACACCTGTAATCCCAGCACTTTGGGAGGCCAAGGCAGGTGGATCACGAGGTCAGGAGTTTGAGACCAGACTTATAAACATGGTGAAACCCTGTCTCTACTAAAGATACAAAAATTAGCCAGGCGTGGTGGCACGCGCCTATAATCCCAGCTACTCAGCAGGCTGAGGCAGAATTGCTTGAACCCAGGAGGCAGATGTTGCAGTGAGCCGAGATCACACCATTGCACTCCAGCCAGGTTGACAGAGCAAGACTGTCTCAAAAAAAAAATATTTTATTTCTTCCTTGATGATTTAGAAGGACTATCTTCAAACCAGTACAAGTATTTCATATATAATACCTCGCCATTTTCTGAGTAATTTGTTGCACAATAAGCTACCTCATGTCCTTCAGCAAGAAATACATTAAATTTGAATAGCAAGGACATTACATAATGAATTAGGACACAACCAAAATTTGCTTTAAATATTTCTTTGGGGGAGAGGACACCACACTTCTACTCAATGAAGAGAAACATTTTTGTAGCCCAGAGGTCCTTTATTTTTTTTTTTAACACCTATTATGCCATGAATTCATAGGGAATAGGTTCCAGCAGCTCAGGCTCCTTCCCATTGGTTCTCACAAAGTGTGCTTCTCTGGGTGGAGCAGGCTATTAAAGGAAAAAAAAAGGGAATAAAATAATTATGTGATGTGTTAAATCTCAACCTTAAAGTGCTCTCAGAACCAATGAAATATACACCAAATTCTTACCTGGCGCTTTAGTTGAACCCAGGTACCTTTCTCTTTGGCTTCTTTCTTTTTCTGATCATTTTCCTTCACACGTTTCAGGAAGCTATCTCGGCTCTTAGAGTGCTTAATGTGCTCAATACGCACATTAATTCTCTTGGCAAGAATCTTGCCCCTGGACAGAGCAGAAATTCTTTTAAGTGCTTTAACAAAAATATAACAGAAATGTAGAAAACTGATTTTGCAGTTTCATTTATTAAATAAACCATAAACCTTTTACCCAGATATGACAAATCAACAAAGTATGCCTTGATTACTTAATTTACAATCAATTAATCATATCAGAAGAGGCCTTGCAGAGAACATCCCTACTTTTAACTCTCTTTGATGAGATGATGGTCTCTTAAACTCTAGTAATCTAAAACCAGACTGCTAATAAAATTTAAAAGTTTACTAAACTTCTCTTTTTATTCTATAAAAACTGCTGGGCCAGGCGCGGTGGCTCATGCCTGTAATCCCAGCACTTTGGGAGGCCGAGGCAGGCAGATCACGAGGTCAGGAGATTGAGACCATCCTGGCTGACACAGTGAAACCCTGTCTCTACTAAGAATACAAAAAATTTAGCTGGGCATGGTGGTGGGCGCCTGTAGTCCTAGCTACCCCAGAGGCTGAGGCAGGAGAATGGCGTGAACCCAGGAGGTGGAGCTTGCAGAGAGCAGAGATCCCACCACTGCACTCCAGCCAGGGCGACAGAGCAAGACTCCGTCTCGAAACAAAACAAACAAACCGCTTAGTAACTAACTGTGTAAGACTTTCCAGTAAATCTATTTCAATTTGTTTCCTCTGACAGGATACAGACAAACACCCAGTTTGCCTGAGTTTTAAAAGGATATTTCCTTTGCCCCACTTGAATGACCAATAAAGACATAAGTCCAACTGGCAAAGTGAAAAGGGGGTATATGAGGGAATACTGGTTAGCCACAAAGAACTACAACACTACTTACTTAACTTGTTTGTTTACAACAATGCCAACAGCATGCTGGGTAACATTGTAGACTCTTCCAGTTTTGCCATGGTAACACTTGTGGGGCATTCCTTTTTGAACAGTACCCATTCCCTATTAAAGAAACCAATGTTATATACCAGCATTTCCCCTTCCTTTAAAATTCTGACTTTAAGTAACTGCAAAGTATTCTAAGATTTCTTTCAAATGGCAACTCAAGAGCTTTCAGAGCCGGTGAAATGTGTTTTTCACATTGCTTCAAGCAATCAAAAAAAACAGTCATCATTAAGCTCGAGTGCCAAGATACATTTAAATCCAGGTCACAGAAGAACACAGCTTTCACTAGGAGGGTTTTTAATCATAGTAATAGTAATCTTCATCAATAATTAAACTTTGCACTAAGGCGTTCCTTTCCAACTTGATAAACTCATAATTTCCCACCCTACCACCCAATTTCCACTAGCTGTTAACTCCAAGCGGGTAATGAGGAAAATTTAAATTCTGCTAAGAATAGCACTTTAAAAAATCCATTCTAGGCCGGGCACGGTGGTTCACACCTGTAATAATCCCAGCACATTGGGAGGCTGAGTCCGGCGGATCACCCGAGGTGTTCAAGACCAGCCTGACCAACATGGAGAAACCCCTTCTCTACTAAAAATACAAAATTAGCCAGGAATCATGGTGCATGCCTGTAATCCCAGCACATTGGGAGGCTGAGTCCAGCAGATCACCCGAGGTGTTCAAGACCAGCCTGACCAACATGGAGAAACCACTTCTCTACTAAAAATACAAAATTAGCCAGGTATCATGGTGCACGCCTGTAATCCCAGCTATTTGGGAGGCTGAGGCAGGAGAACTGCTTGAATCCGGGAGGGAGGCGGAGGTTGAGGTGAGATCATGCCATTGCACTCCAGCCTGAGCAACAAGAGTGAAACTCCGTCTCCAAAAAAAAAAAAAAAAAAATCCATTCTATACTCTTACAGATGCAACATACACTAGTATTTGAATTCCTACACTAGATTAAATCCAACTTTTCTATCTTCTGTAGTGTTATTTTCCCAATTTTATGTTTACCTTGATGTCTACAATATCACCTTTCTTATAGATTCGCATATATGTGGCCAAAGGAACAACTCCTACAAAAATAAATTTGGTATAGTGAGTATTAAGGCTAAAAATCTAGAGTAAAAGAAATGCAATTTTACTAGCTTTTAACACATATATCATTTTTGATGGTTACATGCTTATTATCTTCCCAATGGACAATTTCTCCTGACAGCACAATCAGCCTACTAAATCACAACCTCTCTCCAAAGTTTAATCTTGCATCAATACTTAGTCACAAAATCACCATATAATTTTGGTAATTTATTTACCTTATCACGAAATAAGCTGGGTAGACGCTAGTTATTTAATTCTATTGATACACATTCTATGAACTACAACACATGTTGAACACAACAGAACACAAATGTGTGCCATGCTTCTCTCAAGGAAGGTAAACCTACTTACCATGTTTTCTAAAAGGCCTAGAGAACATATATCGGGTGCCTCTCCTCTTTCCCTTTGTGTTCGTCATTTTGGCGAATTACTGAAACCAGAAAGCAGAACAGTCAAATACGACTGAAAACTGGCATTTGCCCCAAACCCCTGTAATTTCAAATGTTCACATTTCAGTAGCGAAGTGAGAACTGCAAACTGAAAGCTGGATCACCAAGCAGTTAGTTCTGTTGAAAGGTTAAAAAATCATTATTTTAGCAAGTAAGGTCTTTTGGCAAAACTGCCCAAGTTCTATAACATCAAAACTCTTAAGGAGCAGAACTTGATACGAGAATCCAAACTAGTACCCTTTCTCTATGAGAATATAAAAACACAACAGGACTTCTACCACACTCTATCTGTAGAACCCAATTTAGAATGCCAAGGGCATGTAATTACTAACTAGAAGATAATTTAGTGGAGAACACAATAAAACAGCCTTACATTTTTATGTGAATTAAACCTTTCTTGTCAACCAAATTTTCCGTGATGGTGTATCTCAAACATCATCTATTTAACTATCAGAAATCTCAAGCCACTTCACATTTCTGATTATTTACTACGAACGTATATAGGGTAGAAGAGAGGGGAACCCAGGCTTTATAATCATTGACCTAAATTTGACATAGGCTCTGCCACTTACTAGCTGGGACACCCACATTTCATCTCTCATCTTCATTTGTAAAATAGGGGTGAACACTTTCGTAGCTGAGGTAATGTCTACAAAGAACTCAGCAATGCTTGGCCCGTGTAAAGTGCTCAGTAGTAACCGGCAGCTAATTTATCATTATCTAAGAATTCACCTACAGGCATTTAGAAATTAACCTTTCCTTTGTTTCCCAAAAAGGCCAAAACAATAGTTTTGATAGCTCTTTAGTCATTATAGGGCAGAAATGCCATTCCTGGCCATTACTCCTACCATAAGGTAAAATACAGCAGTCAGGCTTGACGTGTTGACAATATTCTAACACAATTTGGTTTCTAAGTTTACCAACAATCCTTTAAGAATGGCTCCCAAAGTACCATTTTTATAAAAATTGTATAGCAAGAAGACATGTTTCACCTAACTCACCAAAGTCAAACCATTGTTACAATGGATGAACCCTTTAAATGCCAGGTACTCTGTTCCAATCCCCAAAGCCTTTAGATGTGTATAAAGTTCCAAAAACTTGTGCTAAGTTAGTACACAAAGGGTGATACTGTGTAGATTCAAGTCACTTTGTGGAATCACCAAGTGGCATAATCAGTTAACTCATTCCTGATTCCAGAGCCCATAATCCTCCACTAGATCCATCTTTCTGAGTTTGGAATCCATTTTAAGCATGGACCCCATACACTTAAAACTGAAGGCACTTTTCAAAACGATGCTTTACAGTTTGTAAGAGTATTAAAATCATGGCAACTAGGATCCACCATAAAGAGCAACCTGCAGTTTGCTCGACTCTGTTGACGTCCACAAACTAGACAAAATGATGAACTATGGCTAAATGTTTCCCTTCACTCAAAGCATGCTGCCCTAGAATTCGCAAAACAGTATCTCCTCTTGGTGCAAATATTGGTGTTGCAACCTCAAAACACTTTCCCTTCGTCCGATCACCATGTGGGGTCAAAATTTTAAAAACAGTCGGAAATCGTCTTATGCATTAACTAAGGGCAGTGAGGGTTCATCACCCAGGACGACTCCGGGACCCACTCTCCGACCGAGAGCCCGGGTTTTCACACCTGTAGGCTTCACAGAAGATTAAAGCCGACGCCTGACTTTAAACCCATTCCTACTACCCCTTAAGTCCTCACCCAACATCATCGCAAGATTTGGAATAAAAAAGCCACACTGAAAGGAGTTAGAAAGGCATCAGGCCACGCGGCCCCCACACAGCCTATGTGAGAGGGGCCACCCACAGTACCGGAGATGCAGCCACGGGAACATAAAACGAAGTCTTTTAAAGATTAACTCGAGTCGCCTCACCCCAAGCGACTCAGTCTCGTCTTTCTCGCAAATGTCCCCCCGCAGGGCCGCAACATCGCAGTCCGGTTCTCAGCCCACGGCCCAGACCCGACCCGGCGCACGCTGCTCCCCGTCTGGCAGAACATGGTTTAACCCGCCCATGCCAATGGACCTCAAACAGGTTAGAGAGTCTCCCCACGGTCCCAATGAACGACCTCTGAGGCCACAAGGTCGCGGTTCAAGTCTGTCGAACACCTAGCGCCCGGGAGCCACGCGTAGGCCCTACCTGGAAGATGGCGGTTCCGGCCGAAAGGAAAGAGGCGGGGCCGCGGCGCGCGCCTTACAAGGGCCTGTGGGCTGCCCACGGCGCTGCCTGAGGGAAACGCCAACCGTAAGCGACTTCTTTCTAGGGAAGAAGATCGTCTCTGAGAACACAGAAAGTCTGTGAGGATATTTTCCCCTCTTGCGAAAGAAAGGCAACCGGCCAACACAAGCTGACACTTGCATCGTGTCAGACAGCCCGGAAAGGGGCCTTCAAGGGCGATCAAGAGGACGCCGTCGTCCCGAGCGTGCTTACGCCATCCTTTGCGTCACCGCCTTCGCCGGAAGCTGCCTTGTATCCGCGTCTCCGCAGGGAAAACTGCGGCTGGCGGTGCGGGAAGTGCTATTAGTAGTTGTTTATTTGTTTGTTTGCAGAAATAATTGCTTGGGTACGAAGGTCAAACGAGAATGAAGCAAGTATATTATCTAGTTTGTATGTCTTTAAATAGTTTCTCCTCCACACGTCTAAACATACGCACCTGCTAGTAGGTGCGCAAATGTTAAAACCTCTTTGGGAAAGCAATGTGGCAAAATCTAGTAAAAGTTTTCAATTACTAAACCCCAGCACTCTGCTCCTACCTATATGTCTTGTAGAAACTTTGGTAAGTGAACAAGGATGTACGTAACAGCGCTGTGGGTAGAAGCAAAAAATTAGAAACGTCCATCAATAACAGAATAAATACCTTATGGGATGTTAGGATGTAGTATTATACGCCAATAAAAGAAGACTGAACTCAGAAATGTGATGAGGCAAAAAGAGAAAGATGTAGAAAAATAAATAGTATGACAATTCATATACATTCAACTCTAAAACTTGTAAAACAATGCTATATATTGCTTAGTTATGCATACATATGTAGTTAAAGAAGTCAAGAAATACAAGAGAATGAAAATCAAGTTGAGAAAAGCAGTCATATCTGGTAAGGAGGGGACAATAAAGGGAGGCTTTAACTGTATTGACCATTATTAAACCGGGTGTTAAATATATGGGTGGCCATTGTTTTATTCACTACACCTTTAAAAATAGATATTATTTTCTTAATGTAGTTTATTTAAATTGAGATAATGCCATATACCCAGCATCCAGTTTCCCCTATTATTAACATCTCATGCTAATATGGTACATTTGTTGCAATTAATGAACCAATATTTTACACTGTTATTAACTAAGGTTCACATTTTATTCAGATTTCCTTCGGTTTTACCTAATACCCTTTTTCTGTTCCAGGATTCCATCCAGAATACCACATTACATTTAGTTATGATGTCTCCTTATATGCCTCTTGTGGCTGTGGCAGTTTCTCAAACTTTCCTTACTTTTGGTGACCTTGAGAGTTTTGAGGAGTACTGGTCATGTATTTTGTAGGATGTCCTAATCATGGAATTTGTCTCATGTTTTTCTCATGATTGTATGTATTTTTAGGATGCATTTTTAAAAAGTCAGCTAAGTTAACAAAATCCCTTATCAGACTGAATATAAATAATATCGTCCAGTCGCTTTTGAAATTTGCATGTCTTCGACTCACTCTCCTGATGCACCTGAAAGTTGTAATTTCTAAGAACTGCGTCAGCACCATTTTTTAAATGTGTACATTCTGTGACCATCGTCATCAGCACTTAACATCATTTGCTGAAGAACTTGAGGAGGAATAGGATTTGGTATTGATTCCTTCAATACGTTGACTCCTCCAGACTTTCACTGTAACCATTAGCCCTTGGCTTCTAGATTGTCTTTAACTTAATTTTCTGTAGTTCATTATTACAGTCACTCTGTTAGCACTCACTTCCTCAGGTCACTTTTCCTTTCCCATTACTTTCTTTCTTTCTTTGAGAGGGAATTTTGTTCTTGTTGCCCAGGCTGGAGTGCAGTGGCGCGACATCGACTCACCACAACCTCTGCCTCCCGGGTTCAAGCGATTCTCTTGCCTCAGGCTCACGAGGAGTAGCTGGGATTACAGGCGCCCGCCACCACACCTGGCTGATTTTTTTGTTTTTAGTAGCGACGAGGTTTCACCATGTTGGCCAGGCTGGTCTCCAACTCCTGACCTCAGGTGATCCACCCGCCTCCACCTCCCAAAGTGCTGGGATTATAGGCGTGAGCCACCGCGCCTGGCCCCCATCACTTTCTTAGCACATACCGAACCTTGGATAAATGCAACCGTGACAGTACCTCCACAGCTGAGCACCGTTGAAGAAAATCTTGTAATCTGGTGTGATGACAAATCAGAAACTAGTCATCCATGCACTATATTTTTTTGCACTTGGAAATATTTTTTTGAGCCCATAGAGTGTTTTAAAAATTAACATATCAAAAAAAAAAGATTTCTGGCTTCCCTTGAGAAATCAGGAGATCTGGCAGCATAGAGCTGATAGTCTTGATGGCCACTCCACTGGCTTCCCCTTTAGATGGGGCATTCATTCTTGAGTTCCTTCATCACTCAGCCTGCTTCAGTCATTTACCTGCCTGGCTCCTGTTGGCATTTGTGTTTTTAGCCTCTCCCATAAATTCACGACCAACCCTTAACAAATGGGTACTGTACTGTTTAGCATCCCCACTACAGTTCCCCAGTTAATTTGCTTACCTGCTGTCAAAAAAAAAATTAAGCTTTTACATAATTAAAGTTAGTTTTATTCAGAAGTCTCACTGAGGACTGTAGACCAAGGTTTATACCCTGAGGGCAGTTCTTTCACAGGGCTCCAAAGTGGTCCCTCAGCCCATTGCTTCTATGTAGGTTGTGGGGGTTCTGTATGTGTGAAATCTCATTAAAGTTTGGGTGTAAGAGTACATCAGTTTATAGATTACTAAAGTAATTTGGTTATAGATTGTAGAAGCATAATCACTAACCCTGTCAGACATCTTCATGTAGGAAAAGGCAAGGTCAAGTTCATTTACTGTTTCAGGAACGTTGTAACTCAGGCGAGTGACACGGGGGGCCGTGTGCTCTATCCTGTTTTAAGATTCTTCCTGAGGAGCTGCATTTCATCACAGTCAGGGGTTCAAGCAGAAATAAGCAAACCTGGCTTAACATTTTCTATTTTGTCTCACATTATTCTATTTAAAGATTATTTCATGTCATTTCTTTGATTATCAAACCTTCCTTTCTCCCACCTTTCTTTCAGCTGATGACTGCCTCTTTTTTTGAGACTCTCTTAGTCCCCAGGCTGGAGTGCAGTGGCATGATCTCGGCTCACTGCAACCTCCACCTCCTGGGTTCAAGCAATTCTCATGCCTCAGCCTCCCAAGTAGCTGGGATTATAGGCGTGTGCCACCACACCCGGCTAATTTTATTATTTTTGGTAGAAACAGGGTTTCGCCATGTTGGCCAGGCTGGTCTTGGACTCCTGACCTCAAGTGATCCACCTGTCTCAGCCTCTCAAAGTGCTGGGATTACAGGTGTGAGCCACCACGCCCAGCCAACTGCCTCATTTTTATCAGTGTACAAACATGCTCCCAGCCAACTCCATCATTTTTATCCATGTACAAACAGGCTCTGGTGTTCCCCACTAAAACCCGCAACTCTCTTCTTTCTGATTCTGCTTGATCTCATATTCCTTTATAACTACTGCCCCATATGTTCATTTTTCTTCTGTCAAATGTAAAAAAAAAGGAGTCATGAAATTTTTGGTTTTGTACATCAAAAATTGTGAAAGTTCAGCAGTGTCATACAGTTTAATACATAAACACTATTATCTCTTCCTCATCTTTCATTCAGCTTCAGTTTCATTTGACTTCTGTTCTAGTCATGTCATTAAAGCTGCTCTTGTCAGGGCATCAACTGCTTATATGTTGCCAAAGCCAAAAGACATTCCCTGTTCTTTCCTTTCTTGATCTCCGCAAAGCACTGGACTCTGTTGGCCAGCTCTTCCTCCATGAAACACTACCCTTCCTCACCACTCCACAGTCTGATTTGCTGATTTTCCCTCCTCTCCCTGTCCTATAAAGACTACATTTCCCTGGGTCTTGGAGCTAGGCCCCTGCTCTTCTCTTTCTGTACTGCCTTCCTGGTTAATTCCATTTACTCCTATAATTTTAAATTTCATCTCTGTGTTGCTTACTACCAGATTGATTTATGTGATTCCAGCCTTTCCTCAAGATTGCTATTCAACTTGATATCTATTCTTGGATACTCTTTAGCATCTCAACATGTCCAAATCTTTTATTTTTCTTTTCTTTTTTTTTAACTGCTCCTTGTGGAGCAGGGCTATCCCATAGGCAGCGTGCCTAGAGTAGCCAAAATTAATTGTATGTGGGTACTCTACTGTTTAACATCCCCACTACAGTTCCCCAGTTAATTTGCTTACCTTCTGTCAACTTAAAAAAAAAATCAAGCTTTTACATAATTAGTTTTATTTAGAAGTCTCACTGAGGACTATAGACCAACGTTTATACCCTTGGTATAACCTTATGGGATGTGTTGTAAGTTTTTATGGGATGTTTTTAAGTTTTAGATATACTTTTTTTTTTTTTCTTTTGGAGACAGGGTCTTGCTCTCTTGCCCAGGCTGGAGTGCAGGAACATGATCATGGCTCACTGCAGCCTCAACCTCCTGGGCTCAAGCCATCCTCCTGCCTCAGCCACTGATGTAGCTGGCATCACAGGCATGCACCACCACACCTGGCTAATTTGTAAAAATTCTTTTGTAGATATGGAGTCTCCTTTTGTTGCCCAGGCTGGCCTTGAACTCCTGAGCTCAGGCAATCCTCCCACATTGGCATCCCAAAGAGCTGGGATTGCAGGCGTGAACCCCTATGCCTAGCTCATAAAACTTTTTATTTTCTGCCAGATGCAGTGGCTCACACCTGTAATCCCAGCAGTTTGGGAGGCCGGGGCAGGCAGAGTGCTTGAGCACAGGAGTTCGAGACCAGTCTGGGCAAGATGGTGAAACCCTGTCTCTACAAAAATACAAAAATTAGCAGGGTGTGATGGTATGCGCCCATAGTCCCAGCTGCTTGCGGGGCTGAAGCAGGAGAATCACTTGGGCCCAGAGGTTGAGGCTACAGTGAGC
The DNA here is from genome assembly GCF_000001405.40 of Homo sapiens. NCBI lineage: Eukaryota > Metazoa > Chordata > Mammalia > Primates > Hominidae > Homo > Homo sapiens. The sequence goes on along the minus strand of NC_000013.11, from coordinate 27,246,544 downwards.
TGTGTTCATGCCACTGCACTCCAGCTGGAGCGACAAAGTGAAACTTTGTCTCAAACAAGAAAACAACAACAAAAAAACTTGATTTTTACCCTGAAGCCTGTTTCTGCTCCAATATTTTCCATTCAGTACATAGCATAATCAAGAAACCTTGGTTTTGCCTTTAAGTTTCCCTTTATCCCTTCCGTATGGAATCCATTGGAAAGTTTTGTTCCAGTTCTGATTGTAAAATATTAATATATTAATGTATCTCCAGCTGACCTACCTCTTCCCATCTCTGTGGCCACGCCACTAATACGTCTTATTCTGAACTACAGCAATGGCATCTTTATGGTCACTTTTTTTTCCTCTCTTGCCCCTGTTCTATCCATTTCCTATATAGTGGCCAGGGTGATCTTTTAAAAATATAAACCTGATTATATCACACCCTTGCTTACAGCCCTCCACAGGCTTTCTGTTGCTCTTAGAATAAAATCTAAATTCCTTACCTTGTCTTACAAAGTCCTGTATAAACTAGATCGTGCTTATCTTTTCAGATTCCTGTCTCCCTCACTTTCTTGTGTCTCTCTCTGCCTTCTTCAATTCCGTAAATACTTCAAGTTTTTTCTAGTCTTGGGATCGTTATGCATGCTGTTCCCTTTGTTCTTCAGTAGCTTGATCTTTCTCATCTTCTTGATTCCCGAAAGAGGCTTCCTAAGAGAAGTGATGCCCAAGACATTAAAACATGAATGGGCGTTAGATGAAGACAAAAGAGCATTCCATCGTAGAAGACAATGTAGCATGTGACGGTGAGTACAAGCAGTGTGGTGTTGCCCATGCAAGACAAGAGTGATGGGAAATAAAGCCAAAAGGCAGATGGTGAAGGTTCTTACCAAGGTGCCAAAGAATGCTGAATCGAGCCTGTGAGGCTGGAAGCAAAATGGAGTCAGCTATGCTAGACTTCTCTCACTTTCTTTTTTTTTTTTTTTTTTTTTTTGAGATGGAGTCTCACTTTGTTGCCTAGGCTGGAGTGCAGTGGCACAATCTTGGCTCACTGCAGCCTCTGCCTCCTGGGTTCAAGCAGTTCTCCTGCCTCAGCTTCCCGAGTAGCTGGAACTACAGGCGTGCACCGTCACGTCCTTCTAATCTTTATGTATTTTTAGTAGAGACAGGGTTTCACCATGTTGGCCAGGATAGTCTTGACATCCTGACCTCATGATCCACCCGCCTCGGCCTCCCAAAGTGCTGGGACTACAAGCATGAGCCATCACCCCTGGCCTGACTTCTGTCACTTTCATAATCTTTGTAAAGGTGGTTTCAACCTCATGTCACATACCTTAGGGGTAAAATCAGTCTTGGACACTAAACCTCTCAAAGGTTTTGGTGAAGATGTGTGTTTTCACAAGTTTATCAAATATGGAGTTCTTAGCACTAGTATTCTGATTGAAGATCTCCCCAATTGGAATAACTTACACATTACTGGAGGACTCCAAAAACTGGTGAAAATTACAGCAATGAATGAGAATGTCACTCTCACAGATCAGCCCTCGATAGAATTCTGGAGTGCTGTGACCACTGTTTTCCTCATGCTCCCTGAAAGCTTTTCTGAAGGAAACCTCTCTACAGAGATTGCCGGACTGTCCTATTTAGATTAGTATGATTGGTGCCCAAATGTTCTGCAAGGAGGAGATTTGTTATTTGAAGACTCTGCAGATAGCCTGTCCTCACTCAGCACTGGAGTGGCAGCAGTCTTAGTTGTAAATTACATCACCTCATGCATGGTTCCTGTGTTAACTCTGTGATTTGCTTTCCTACCTCCCAGGTCTCCTTTCCACATGTCTACACTTATTGTACCAGGGTAATTTTGTTTTTAATATTTATCTTGAAACAATTTCAAACTTACAGAAAAGTTTCAAGAATATTACAGAAGACCCCTGTATGCCCTTTCTCTGCATTCACTGATTGTAACATTTCACCACATTTGTTTTCTCATTCTCTCTGTATCAGTGGTTTTCAAAGTTTAGCATGTATCTGAACGACCAGGAAGGCTAAGGTTAAAACACAGACTCCTGGCCCCCACCCCAGACAGGTGATTTAGTAGGTTTGAGTTGAGCCCAAGAATTCGTATTGCTAACAAGTTCCCAGGTGACACTGCTGCTCCTCCAGGGATCCCACTTTGAGAACCACTGTTTTCTCCATCTATGTAAACACACTGTATATGTTTTTTTCTAAATTGTTTGAGAGTGGGTCACACATATCTTTTCCTCTTTAGGCCATATACTGTACTGATTTGTGTCTCCTAAGAATGAGGACATTCTCTCATATAACCACAGTACATTTATCAAATTCAGGAAACAAAACTGATACAATGCTTATATCAATTTTTTTTTTTTTTTTTTTTTTTGGACAGAGTCTTGCTTTATGGCCCAGGCTGGAGTGCAGTGGCATGATCCTAGCTCACTACAGTCTCCACCTCCTAGGCTCAAGCCATCCTCCCACCTCAGCCTCCCAAGTAACTAGGACCACAGGTGCCACCACACCCAGCTAATTTTTTAATTTCTTATAGCGAGGGGGTTTCACCATGTGGCCCAGGCTGGTCTTGAACTTCTGAGCTCAAGTGATCTGTCTGCCACAGCCTCCTAAAGTGTTGGGATTGCAGGCTCCTGGCTGGTATCACATTTACAATCCACATTTCAAATGTCAGTTGTCCCAATAATGTCCTTTATGGCATTTTTTTTTTACATGATCCAGTCAGAAATCATATGTTGTATTTATTAATAGTCGCTGTGTCTCTCTTAGCTTTTAATCTGAAGCACTTCAGCCTTTTCTTGCCTTAGGTGACATTCATGTTTCTCTAGTCTGCAGGTCAGTAATATTTGCCCTGGTATAAGCAGCGTTTTCTCCCTTATGTGCCATCTGTTTGCACGAAGATCACGCAAATATCTTGCTTCTAAACAAACTTTCCCTCCTGGATTAAGTATTCATCGTGATTCTTGCAATTTTTACTGTGATGGTTACAAAGCGGTGATTTTCCAGCTCCACTTCTACTTCCACATTAAGGAAAGGGTTTCCTTTTTTCCCTATTCATTTATTTTATTCGTTCATTTACATGTCTAAATGTTAACCTCTTTTCCCTTTCCCTCTAAACCAATTGTGTTCCTCAGGGATGTCAGAGTCTCCTTTAAAGGACAAGGTGGAAAGTGAGAGGGTAGAGCCCAGGCCCCTCACCCTTGCTGCTCCCCGAGGAGTGCCACATTTATCTGCTTCCTATAGTAAGGTTCATTTACAAAACAAGCGGTCTGCTACTTTTTTAAAAGTTTGAAAACCACCATCTTAAATAAATATCCTCTGTGCCCATTACAAAAAAAGAAAAAAAGAATGCTTAATCTTTTTCTATAGACAGTTGAGAATCTGACTCGTTTTAACCAAAGGCATGACAGTGGTAGTGATAGCTGATATTTCCTGAGGGCTCATTCTATGTGCCAGTAAGCACTTACAAATATTATCTTACTTAATTCTTATGAAACTCCTAGGAGGTAATGGGTGGTACCTATTCCTATGCATTTAGAAGATTCTACAGTGTACAAAAAGTCGCTCTTCAGGTTTTTCCATTGCTGTTTTGGGATTGAGCTTTCTCAAGTCACCTACGTCAGCTGGCATTTGTCCATCTGTTTTTCAGCTTTCAAAATGTTGCTGTTATTTTTTATCTTCCCCATGCATATGGTTTAGGTCGTTAGACACACACACACACCCACACACACACACACACACGCACACACACCCAATGGGATTCTCGGAGGTAACAAAATTAGATGAGGGTATTTAATCCATCATTTTAATCTGGAGCCCCTAGGGATGAATTATTTAGATGCAGGATACCTAATAATTAGTTTAACTCATATTGTTTTAGCTGAATTGGATGTTGAAGGCATTCCAATACTAAATGAGGAGTTGGGTTACGGAGTGGACATTGGGACATTGTTTTTTAGCTACTCAAACTCATTCCTTCTTCCTACTAGACCTCCATTTACTTGGGGGCCTTAACTCCTGTCCCATGTGCATATTCTTAGGAAGGTACTCCCTACCCACATCAAAACTAAGGGGACCAGAATTGCACTCTCCCTGCTCCAATAAACATAGGGTAGACATCCCTTCCAGTCAACCCCCTCCCTGACTAAAAACAATATTCTGATTTCTGTTTGATTCATTGATTGAGATGGGATCTTGCTATGTTATATAGGCAGGTCTTGAACTCCTGGCCTCTAATGATCCTCCCACCTTGACCTCCCAAAGTGCTGGGGTTACAGGCATGAGCCAGCCTGCCTGGCCAATATTCTGATTTCTATAACCATAAGTTAGTTTTGCCTAATCTTGGATTTCCTATGAATGGTACCATACAGTTTGTACTTTTTTTTCCTGTGGCTCTTTTTGTTTAGCTGAATGTCGTTGAGAATCAATCATATTGCATGTACTAGTAGTTCAATTCTTTTTATTGTGAAAGTAGTATTCCACTGTAGAATATATCACAATTTATTTTTCTGTTCTCCTCTTGATGGCAGTTTGAGTTGTACATAATTTTTGTGGGTCTCGCTGTGTTGCTCATGCTGGAGTTCAGTGGTGTGATCATAGCTCACTACAGCCCCAAACTCCTGAGCACAAACAATCCCCCTATCTCAGCCTCCAGAGTAGCTGGGACAATGGATGTGCGCTACTGAGCCCAGCTTAGGAGTTACATTCCTTGATCGTAAGGTAGGTGTATTAGTCTGTTTTCACGCTGCTGATAAAGACATACCTGAGACTGGGTAATTTACAAAAGAAAGAGGTTTACTTTGACTTATAGTTCCATGTGGCTGGGGAGGCCCCACAATTATGGTGGGAGGTAAAGGCACGTCTTACATCACAGCAGGCAAGAGAGAATGAGAAAGATGCAAAAGTGGAAACTCCTGATAAAAACATCAGATCTCATGCGACTTATTCACTACCATGAGAACAGTATGGAGTAAACCACCTCCATGATTCAAATTATCTCCCACCGGGTCCCTCCCACAACATGTGGGAATTATGGGAGTACAGTTCAGGATGAGATTTGGGTGGGGAACGCGGAGGCAAACCATATCAGTAGGTGTATGTCTAACTTCATAAAATATTGCAAAATGGCTTCCCAAAGTAAATCCCAATTTTATTAGCATTTTTCTCTCAAGAGGATAAGGAATTTATTTTTACTATAGCCTTTTAAAATAGGTTTGTGTCATTAGCTCCAATGTACAGATCTGAAAAACAAAGTGGCTTCCTGATTCACTAATGGTCAATGTGTCTCTAGTTTGAGACCGTTAATATAAAGAGAATAAGAAAAGAATTGAAGCTTTAAAAGAAATATGAAGTAAATTACATGTAGAAAATAGGAAATATCAAAATTCATTCAATATTTATGAGCTTCTAGATTAAATCAGATACTGTACTAAGTGATGAGACCATGAAAATGAATAAAACATGATCCTTGCCGTCAAGGAACCCACAAAGAGTCTGGTAGAAGAAAAAAGCAAGTTCATTACAATATTCTAAGTGATTTAATAGAGGACACTGAAAATGAGTGACATGGGAGTTCTGTGGAGGAAGTTACTGCACCTAGATTGGAGGAAGGGGATGGGAAGAGAGTAGAACCCCTGAACGAAAAAGGGAGCTTCACAGAGGTTTGACTTGATAAGAGTAGCACTTTAATCAGAGAACGAATAGTAAGGGCATTTAAAGTAGAGGGAACAGCTTATGTAAAGGCATAGAGATGGATAACAACTTTAGGATGTTGGAGTAGTGAAAGTTGTCCAATAGTCTTAGAAAATAAGAGCAACAAATGAACAGGGATGTGGCTTATTAAAATAAGGGAAACTTATAATTTTCTGCTAGGCTTGAGTAAAACACTACACAAAACACAACTTTTGGTCATTAAGCTGAATTTACGTCTATGTATTTCTATTTTTGTGTTTTCCCTTGTGAAGGGATTTTAACAAAGTAGATATTTTATTTTGGTTTTCAGAAGACATTGGCTGATTAATTCCAGGAGGACAAATTTTCCAAGCTAGGAGAAAAAAAGTTCTGTCCTTTATGTGAGAGGCCCAGTTGGTCACCTCTTTTGAGTATCTCACCACTCACTTATTATTTGTCCTTTGTCCTGGTAGATTGACAGGAGAACAATTTCAAGTAAGAACTGATTAGGAGTTTCTAATGTAGAAAGTATATAATGAGAATTCTTGTCTCAAGAAAAATGTCACTGCAATGACAGCTAAAGTAATGAGGGTTAGAAATACTGTGAATAATTGAAAAACATATCATGAAGAATAATTGTGTAAAATAATCTTTTCCATCAAACTTTTTTTTTTTTTTTTTTTTTTTTTTGAGACAGAGTCTTGCTCCGTCACCCAGGCTAGGGTGCAATGGCGCCATCTCGGCTCACTGCAACCTCTGCCTGTTGGGTTCAAGCGATTCTCCTGCCTTGCCCTCCTGAGTAGCTGGTGGCACCCACCACCATGCCCAGTTAGTTTTTGTATTTTTAATAGAGACAGGGTTTTGCCATGTTGGCCAGGCTGGTCTCAAACCCCTAACCTCAAGTGATCCACCTGCCTCGGCCTCCCAAAGGGCTGGGATTACAGGCATGTGCCACCGTGCCCGGCCCCATCAAACTTTTTATTTGAGATCCTGAAAAACAGCAGAATGAACAAGACAAAAATCTATTTTTTATTTTATTTTTATTTTTTGCTACTTATCCTGAAGTTCTAAAAATCTGTTTTTTTAATTGAGCAAGGCAAAGATTGTGTTCTTCCTTCCAAAATCTGATTCTTATCTGAAAAGCATAAGGCATAAACAGGCTTGTAACCATGTAATTGGACATTCAAATTGAATCCTAACCCCCTAGTACACGTCCTCATTGTCCGCAGCCAGATTTTTCTGTCTCAATCCTGATTTTTGTTCCAGACTTCAAAAATGTCTTCAGCTGCTCTAGACTCTAAGGCCAGTACAACATGAGGCAGAACCGAATCAAATACTAGAAGTATTCAGATGGGAAATGTGTTGAAGTGGTGAAGCAGTTGGGGAAGTCATTGCAGTGGTTTATAGAGGCCCAGTTATATTTCAAGAATAAAGCACAATTTGGAATGTGGAAACTGCTTCACTGTCAATATTAGACTTTTGACGTAGATGGGAAGTATTTAGTAGACTGTTAGGACTTGTAATGAATTCAGAGAGACCAGCTGGTCAGTTGAAGTCAACAATGTTCACTCCTAATAATTATATTAGTTTTTCTAGCTAACGCCACCTGGAGCTATGCACATATTTTCCTGGCAAAGTTACTTTTTGTATTTGTAAAGAAGGAAGGAAGAGGTTCACCCTCTGATCCCACACAATTGCTTCTTAATGATTTTAGGTGAAGGCAGACAAACAAATTTCACTTCTGTTGTTAGCCTTGATTGATTGGTTGATTATGGCTACCTGGACCTCAGTTGAGAAGCTTCTAAGGTTAATTTCAGGCTCATTGAAAATTAAAGATTATGAATACCTGATGTGCTCCCTGGGAAGAAAAGCACCTGTATATTCTGTATTTTTGTCACCTCTGATTTAGATAACTAGTAGTAGAAATAATTTTACTCAAAGAGGCAAGGGCCTGCACAGGAATGGGAACAGTCCAGGAGATTGGATGGGGGACATGGCTTGTAAGGGGGTACTCTGGAAGAGAGGGGTCCCTATACCAAAGCTAGTAAGAAAGAAGATATCTTTTTCCATGGTGGGAAAAAAGCAAGAGTTTTGGAGCCAACAGACTAGTTTCCAGCTCTGTTCTACAGCTTTCTGTAAGCCTATTTCTTTGCCTTTAAAATGGAGGCACAAATAATTGTTTAGAAGGGGTTTGGATTTATACTACCACATGAGACAATGAATGTAGAACATCGTTTCTATTTTGTCCGGTACCTGGCAGCTGGTGGATACAAAGTGTATCCTGCTGTCCTTGGCCATTTCTCTCCTCCTAGCCCAGCCAAACTCAGAAGTCTGGTCTGTGCAGTCCTGAGTGTCACAGACTTGCAAGGGATCTGTGAGTCAAAACTGTTTTCATAATAATGCTAAGGCATGATATACTTTTACTTTTTTACCCTTGAGTCAAAATTTTTTTTTTTCTTTTTCCTTTTTAGAGCCAGGGTCTCGCTATGCCGACCAGGCTGACCTCAAACTCTTGGGCTCATGTGACCCTCCCGTCTCAGCCTCTCTAGTAGCTGGAACTACAGGCAAGAGTCATAGAGCCCAGCATCCATATCTTGTTAATGTATTTTATGTGACAAAGCAGGAAGTATGCATACAGCGCTGTAACATTGTGCTTTCCGATCAGTATGATGGTTGGCTGGAGGAAAAGTACTTGGCTATTGTTTGACTTGACAGCTGAACTTAGCCACCACTTTATTCCATTGAACAGTTTTTACGTGATAGATTGACAAACTATGGTGCTTCAGACTTGGATATTTGGCAGACATTTTTGAAAAATGAACTAAACCAGATTGCCACTTCAGTGAAAACAACTGATGATGTTTGTTGCCAATGAAAATTTGAGCTTTTAAGTGAAAATTCGTATTTTGGAAAACTTGTATCCACAACTGTGAGCTTTAGGGCTCCCCAAAACTTAGATACTTTTCTGATGAGATCAGTGATGATATTAACAAATATGTTTTGTTTTACTTTGTATAAAAAATGTGTCAGTATTTGGATGATCTGCATAACTGAGTGAACCCTATTTTCCAAATGACTGATACGTAATGTTACAAAATAATAAATGAGAAAACATCCATTTGAAGAGTAAAATAGATCAATAGGTTTTAATGTAACACAGTAGGAAAACTTCATTGCTAGGGTTTCAGATTTCACACTAATCTTTTTAAAAAATATGACACTTAAGGCCTGGTGCGGTGGCTCACGCCTGTAATCCCAGCACTTTGGGAAGCCGAGGCGGGCGGATCACCTGAGGTCGGGAGTTTGAGACCAGCCTGACCAACATGGAGAAACCCCGGCTCTACTAAAAATACAAAATTAGCTGGGTGTGGTGGCACATGCCTGTAATCCCAGCTACTCGGGAGGCTGAGGCAGGAGAATTGCTTGAAGCTGGGAGGTGGAGGTTGCAGTGAGCTGAGATGATGCTGCTGCACTCCAGCCTGGGCAACAAGAGTGAAACTCCATCTCCAAAAAAAAAAAAAAAAAAAAACCTGACACTTGAGCACTGGAATAGGATCAAATAAGGATAGATGCAGTTTTCTGGAAAGGTTATTCAAATACCTTTGGTTATTAAAAAAAAGATTGTAAAAAGGTTATTCTCCTTTTTATAACATCTGTGTGAGGCTGCATTTTCTTCATATTCCTGTACTTCAGCCAAACGGCATATGGCAATAGATTTGATGCAAAAGCAGACACGAATATCTCGTTATCTTTGATTAAGCTAGACATTAAGTAAAGACATTGGAAAACACTAAACATTAAAAACAACGCCACACTTCTTAACGTATTTTTTCTGGGAAGTATTGTTATAAAATGTTATTTATGTTAACATGTAGGGTTTTAAAAATTATTTTTATGTAAGTTAATGAGTATACAAATTCTTCATTTTAACTTCTGATATATGGTAAATATTGATAGATAAAAATCACACAAGCAAAAGTTGTCACTGATCCTCAGTAATTTTTTGACAGGTAAAGATTTCCCAAGACCAAAAAGCTTAGGAGCACTGCCCCATTCCACTGTTCTGCTGCTGGTTTTGCTTTGACTCTCCCAGAGGAAAACCGGGGTTGTCACTGGAAGTTCCTGAAGTAATCTCCTTTTTTAGCAAACTTTTCATTATTACACTATTTGGGTGAGTCCCAGACCAAAATATGCACGTTCTCATGGTGATCTTGCTTCTGCTAAGTTTTCCAGGAACACAGGCTCATGGGATTATTTTCATTTTGCTTTGTTTCTGGGCAGGTCATGGTACAACTTTGCTGAATTGCCTTGAACTGAAGTATTGGATTTTTACTTTAATTTATCCTGTGATTATGCTGATTTTGCTTCACTGATATTCTGTCATGTCCTTAGATTTCTAATGAAACTGCTCAGAAATCAACCAGGTAAAATTTTATGGGAAAGTTAGGTGGGGAACTAGCACTTGGTTATGTTTGTATAAAAAGAAACCCACAAAATTTTTTCTCAAAACAGTGTTTCTGGTTGTCAAATGAAATAGGGGAGCAATTAGACTTCTGTCTGGTGAGTAGATTAAAATATTTCTGCTGACTGCTATTGTGTCCTTTCTGTACCTCTGAGGTATCATTCAGATACTTGGCTGTCCTCTGATGGAATAAGAAGAATCTGTGGTTGAAATATTTTGACTATAGTACTTGCTGACAAAAGGCAAAAACCCTTTTAACAATTAGAAAAATTACTCTGGCTAAAGTTTCATATATGCCAGGAATATTTGAAATAGACCTTATTTTTTTGAAAACTGACAATATAACCACTATAATGAACCACAATGCCATAAAAATATTTCTGCATAATAGTTAATATGAAATGCCTTTAAAAGTTTTAGTACTGGGATTTGTAGCGGAAGCATAAAATGCAATGTGAAGAACATTTCTCAGACATTAGTTTAATGCTATTAATTTGTACTTAGATTTCAAAATCTATAGATGCAATTTTACTACCAATTATTTTCTTCAAACTATTTTTAAAATACCTATGATGCTTAAATTTTCACTTCTGTAGTACAGTCCTCTCTCTATATCTGGGGGAATTGCTTCCAGAACTACTCAGATACCAAAATTCATGAATGCTCAAGTCCCTGATACAAAATGGCATAGTATTTGCATATAACCTACACACATCCTCCTAACAGTTTAAATAATCTCTACATTATTTATTAATATGATACCTAATACAATGTAATGTTATATAAATAATTGTACCATATTATTTCTGGTTTTTTAATTATATTGCCTTTTAAAATTTTTCTCTTTTTTTTTTTTTTTTTTGAGATGGAGTCTTGCTCTGTCGCCCAGGCTGGAGTGCAATGGTGCAATGCAGTCTCAGCTTACTGCAACCTCTGCCTCCGGGGCTCAAGTGATTCTCTTACCTCAGCCTTCCAAGTAGCTGGGATTACAGGCACGCGCCACTGCGCCCAGCTAATTTTTGTATTTTTAGTAGAGATGGGGTTTCACCATGTTGCCCAGACTGGTCTCAAACTGCTGACCTCAGGTGATCCACCCACCTCGGCCTCCCAAAGTGCAGGGATTACAGGTGTGAGCCACCGTGCCAGGCCTAAGTTTTTTTTCCAAATATTTTCCATAAGAGTTTGTTTGAATCCACAGATGTGGAACCCATGGATATGGAGGGCTGACTGTGTTTGAAAGCTGACTTATGTGCATGAATTTGGCAAGGTTCAATGTAAATTGTTTGCTAGAATTCGATTTAATTTTGGTCTATCTGGGAGAAGATTATTGAAACTGGAAAGTAAACTGTATAAGGAATGTCTAGGGGCAGTGGTCTGATTAACTTTGGCATGGTGAGTTTCAGATAATTATACTTCAGAGTTCATAAGGGCATGGGCTTTGTCACTATAGGTTTACCACTTCGTATCCAGTGCTTGGCATACAGCAAATGCTCAATAAATATTTGGGAAAAGATGAAAATGGAAGGGAGCAGTGAGCTAGCTCAACCAAATCAGCATTACTACAGATAATTTTAATATCAGTGACAGAATTCTAAGAAAATGATCGTTCACAGTTGCAGAGTCTTACAGAAGGAATTAGTGTTTAGGGTTCATTTGAGATTAACCAATGAATCTGACTTAGTTTACTTCCCAGCTGACTGGTTTCCTCAAGCAGTGCTCAGGGCATTCATTTGTTCATGAAGCATGCATTTATTGGTCACCTCTGTGACAGGCACTGTGCTGAAGATACATGAGAATAAAACAGGCATCCCTATGCACTTGAAGTTTACATTCTAGTGAAAAAAGACAGTTAATAAAAAATTATTTACATGATTACAATATATACATTATGACAGATGGAGAAAAGTGTTATGGAGAAAAAAATGAAGAAAGACATTACAATTTAACATAGAGTGAGCAGAGAAGACCTCTCAGGACATTTGAACAAAGATCTGAAGAAAGTGAGGAAGGGTGCCATGCAGGTATCCGAGAGAAGAGCATTACAACAGAACAAACACAAAGATCCTGTGGACAAAGTGTTCGATACATTTAAGCAAGGGGCCTGGGGGGGTTAATGGCTGGGTAACAGGAGAGGGAGGGTAGTGCGGAATGCAGGGAGAGGTAAGCACATTTTATGAGACGTTTAGGTATTGCAGGTACTTTGGATTTTATTCTGAGTGAGATATGAAGGCAGTAGAGGGTTTTGAAGAGGAGTGACGCAATCCTTATTTTTGTAAAAGATGACTCTGGAGTAGCTGTTAAGAACGAAGAGAAGGTAGTTGAAGGGAGAAACAGAAAATTCAACAATAATAAATGAAGACTTCAATACTCTGCTTTCTCTCTCTCTCTCTTTTTTTTTTTTTTTTTTTTTTTGAGTCAGAGTCTCACTCTGTCACCCAGGCTGGAGTTCAGTGGCATGATCTCGGCTCCCTGCAACTTCTGCCTCCCAGGTTCAAGAGAGTCTACTGCCTCAACCTCCAGAGTAGCTGGGATTACAGGTGGGCACCACCATGCTCGGATAATTTTTGTATTTTGAATAGAGATGGTGCTTCACCATGTTGGCTAGGCTGATCTTGAACTCCTGACCTCAGGTGATCCACTTGCCCCGGCCTCCCAAAGTGCTAGGATTATAGGCGTGAGCCACCGTGTAGGCCATTCCACTCTCTATAATAGATAAAACCCAGACAAAAAATTAAGAATGTAGAACACTTGAACTGTATTATCAAATAACTGGCCCAACTAACGCCTATAGAACATTTTAACAATAGCAGACTAGACATCTTCTTAAGTGCATATGGTACATTCTCCAGGATAGACCATATACTTGGCCATAAAACAAGTCTCAAAAAATTTAAAAGACTTAAAACCATACAAAGTATTTTATCAGGCCACAAACAAACATAAGAAATATTTTGGAAAATACAAATATATGAGAATTAAATGATGCACTGTGTTACCAATTGATTAAAAAAGAAGAAATAATAGAAATTAGAAAATTATTTGAGATGAATGAAAATTAAATACAAGAGCCTGGTATGGTGACTCATACCTGTAATCCCAGCACTTTGGGAAGCTGAGACAGTAGGACCACTTGAGCCCAAGAGTTCAAGGCCAACCTAGAAACATAGACCCCATCTAAAAAAAAATTAGTCTAGCATGGTAGCACATGCCCATTGTCCTAGCTACTTGGGAGGCTGAGGTGGGCAGTTCACTTGAGCCTGAAAGGGCAAGATTGCAGTGAGCCATGGTCATGCCACTGCACTCCAGCCTGGGCAACAGAGTGATAACTGTCTCAAGAAAGAAAAGGGAAAAAAAGGTATCGAAATTTCTGGGATACAGTGGAAGCAATGTACAGGGAATAGCTGTAAGCTCCTATATTAGAAAAGAAGATCTCAAATCAATAATTTGACTTTGTACTTTTGGAAAGTAGAAAAAGAAGAACAAACCCAAAGCAATCATAAAGAAGGAAATAATGAATAGAAAGGAAATAAATAAAATAGAAATCAATAAAACCAAAAGTTAGTTTTTTGAAAAGATCAAGAAATTGACAGACATTAATGACACTGACCAAGAAAAAAGTGAAGACTTAAATTATTAAAATGAGGAATGAAAGCATGAACATCACTACCAATTTTACAGAAGTTACAAATATTGTAAAAGAATACTATGAATAACTGCATGCCAACAAATTAGTCATGTGAAATGAGCAAATTCCAAGAAAGATAAAATGAAACTGACACAAGAAGAAATAGAGGGTGAACACGGTGGCTTACATCTGTAATCTCAGCATTTTGGGAGGCTGAGGCAAGCAGATCACTTGAGCTCAGGAGTTCAAGAGCAGCCTGGGCAACACGGTGAAAACCTGTCTCTACAGAAAAAAGTACAAAAATTAGCCAGGTGTGGTGGCTAGCTAGTTGTCCCAGCTACTTGGAAGGCTGAGGTGGGAGGACTGCTTGAGCCCAGGAGGTCAAGGCTGCAGTGATCACACCACTGCATTCCAGTCTGAGAAATAGAGTGAGACCCTGTCTGAAAAGAAGAAATAGAAATCTAAGTAAATTTAAAGCAAGAGATTGAATCAACAATTTAAAATCTTCCCCAAAAGCAAAACCTAGGCCCAGAAAATTTCACTGGAGGATTCTACCCAACATTTAACAAAAATTGCTTACAAATCTTTCACAAACTCTTCCAGAATATAGAGGAAAGAAAGCTTCCCACTTGATTCTATGAGGCAGTATTACCTGATGCCAAAACTGGACAAAGACATTACAAAAAAACTACATACCAATATTCCCCATATGTTAAGATGCCAAGAAACCCTTAAGAAAATACTAGCAAACCAAATCCAGCAACGTATAAATACGATTATACAGTTTGACTAAATAAGACTTATCTTGAGAATGCAAGGCTGGTTTAATATCTGAAAATCAGTTACTATAATACATTTTATTAATGAAAGACAAACACATCCTCATTAGACATGCTCATTTTCAAAAAAGCATTTCAAAAATTCAATGCCTATTGATTTTTTAAAAACCTCAACAAACTAGGAATAGAAAAGAATTTCTTCAACATGATAAAGAGCATCTAGAAAAATTTTATAGCTAACATCCTACTTAATAGTGAAAGACTAAATGATTGTCTCTTAAAATCAGAAATAAGATGCTTACTCTTACCGCATCTATTCGACATTATCCTGGAGGTTCTATCCAGGTTGTTGAGGCAAGAAAACATAAAGGCATCTAGAAAAGTAGGAAGTAAAACCGAAATCCACCTTTGCAAAAATTGTAACTGAGAAAATTATTACAGTGAAAGAGATCTGACTTAACCGACTCCATCTTGCTTCTAACCTGCAAGAGCTGTCCTTGCTCATTCCTGTAGGCTGAACTAACTTTAGAAGGAACTTAGTTTATAGTTTAACTTTGAAATAAAGACAATAACAGCCCCTTCCCAAAACAAACCCCCTTCTTGCCTGGAGAGTAGACTGCCTTTGCAGGACTAACAAATTAGCCACAAGATTAGAAATTATGATTTAGGAGTCACTGTTGTAAAACCTGAGATCAGTGCTTGAGGTATTTTGCAGACCCTGCATTCCAGTGCATCACCCAGATTGGTAAATTAGTTTGCCTGGTCTTGTCCCCACCCAGGAACTGATTCAGCACAAGAAGACAGCTTTGACTCCCTGTGATTTCATCTTCGACCCAATCAGCACTTCCTACTTTCTGACCCCCTACCCACCAAATTATCCTTAAAAACCCCAATCTCCAAATTTTGGGGGAGATTGATTTGAGTAATAACTCATACCCACAAGGTATGGCTGGCCTTGTGTCAGTTAAACTCTTTCTTTACTGCACTGCTGTGGTCTTTATTGTGCAGCAGGCAGGAATAACCCATTGGGTGGAGGCAGTTACAAAATTCTTCATTTCCAGATGACGTGACTTTGTATGTAGAAAATTATGCACAGTTCGGCTGGGTGCAGTGGCTCACGCCTGTAATCCCAGCACTTTGGGAGGCTGAGGCGGGTGGATCACGAGGTCAGGAGATCAAGACAATCCTGGCTAACACCGTGAAACCCTGTCTCTACTAAAAATACAAAAAAAAGAAAAAAATTAGCCAGTCGTGGTGATGGGCGCCTGTAGTCCCAGCTACTCAGGAGGCTGAGGCAGGAGAATGGCATGAATCCAGGAGGCAGAGCTTGCAGTGAGCGGAGATTGTGCCACTGCACTCCAGCCTGGGCAACAGAGTGAGACTCCATCTCAGCAAAAAAGAAAAAGAAAAAAAAATTATGCACAGTTTACTATAAAACTACAAGAACTAATAAGTTCGTCCAAGTCACAGGATACAAAATCAATATACGAAAGTCAAATGTATTTCTGTATACCAGCATTTAATACTTTGAAACTTGGTCGGGCACAATTGCTCACACCTGTAATCTCAGCACTTTGGGAGGCCAAAGCAGGCAGATCATGAGGTCAGGAAGTCAGGTCCAGCCTGGCCAACTTGGTGAAACCCAATCTCTACTAAAAATACAAAAAAAAAATTAGCCAGGCGTGGTGGCATGCGCCTGTAATCCCAGCCGCTCAGAAGGCTGAGGCAGGAGAACTGCTTGAATCCGGGAGGTGGAGGTTGCAGTGAACCGAGATCACACTACTGCACTCCATCCTGGGCGGCAGAGCAAGTTTCCATCTAAAACAAAAAAAACAAAAACAAAAAAAACCCTAACAATAAGAAAAACATTCCATTCACAGTAGCATCAAAAAAGTATGCAATACTTAGGAACAAATTTAGCAAAAGCGCAATGCTTCTACTCTTAAGAAACATTGCTGAAAGAAATTAAAGAAGACCTAAATAAATGAAAGAACATAGTATATTTGTAGAGTGAAAGACTTAATATTGGTAAGATGGCAAAAATCCCCCAAATTGGTTTGCGTATTTAATGCAAATCCTATCAAAATCTCTGCTGACTTTTTTGGGGACTTTTTTTTTTTTTTTTTGAGACAGCACCTGGCTTTGTTACCCAGGCTGGAGTGCAGTGCCCCAGTCTTGGCTCACTGCAATCTCTGCCTCCAAGGCTTAAGTGATCCTCCTGCCTCAGTCCCCACAAGTAGCTGGGGCTATAGGCATGCGCCACCACACCTGGCTCATTTTTGTATTTTTTGTAGAGATGGGGTTTTGCCATGTTGGACAGGGTGGTGTCAAACTCCCAAGCTCAAGCGATCCACCTGCCTCAGCCTCCCAAAGTGCTGGGACTACAGAGCCACCACACCTGGCTGGGCATAAATTGATAAACTAAAATTCTTAGGAAATGAAAAGATCCCAGAATAGCCCAAAATAATCTTGAAAAATTGACTATAGTTTGAGAACTTAGACACACCCTCACTTCAAAATGTAATGCAAACCTATGGTAATCAATACAGTGTAGTATTGGCATAAGGATAAACTATAGACCAGTGAAATAAAATTGAGAACCCAGAAATAAACCCTTTCATTACAGTCGATTGATTTTTGACAAAGATGTCAAAATTCAATCGGAGAGAGTCTTTTCAAAAATGGTGCTGGGACAGTTAGACATCCATATGCAAAAAAAAAAAAAAACGTGAAATTGGCCTTCAGCCTCATACCATACACAAAAATCAACTCAAAATGCATCGCACACCTAAATTTAAGAGATACAACTGTAAACATTAGAATAAGACATGGCGTGTAAATCTGTGGTCTTAAGTTAGGCAATGATTTCTTATAAATGATAACAAAAGCACATTGGTAAAAAAAAATAATAAATTGGACTTTTGAATTTCAAAAACCACAAGAAAGTGAAAGATAACCCACAGAATGAGAGAAATATTTATAAATCATATATCCACTAAGAGACTTATATCCAGAATATATAAAGAACTCTTAACAACTTAATTGTTTTAATGGGCAGAGGACTTGAATAGATATTTCTAAAAAGAAGATACGTAAATCGCCAATAAGCACATGAAAAGATGACTAATGTTCTTAGTTGCCAAGGATATACAAATCAAAACCACAATGAGATACCACTTTATACTCACTGTAGTGGCTGTAATAAAAAAGATATAATAACAAGTGTCAGCAAGGATGTGGAGAAACTAGAACCCTCATGTTGCTGGTAAGAATGTAAAATGGTGCAGCCAGTTTGGAAAATAGTTTGAGAGTTTCTCAGAAGGTTAAACATAAGAGTTACCGTGTGACCCAGCTGTTCTACTCATAGGTATCCATCAAATATAAATGAAAACATTTTCACACAAAGATTTTTATGTGAATATGCAGAGCAGCAATATTCACAAAAGTAAAAAAGTGGAAACAACTCACATGTCCATCAGTTGGTGAATGGATAAACAAAATGTGATATATCTATACAATAGAATACTATTTGACAGTAAAAAGAAGTGAAATACTGAGACTTACTGCATGAATGAACCTCAAAAACATTATGCTTGGTGAAAGAAGCCAGACACAAAACAAAATGTACTGTATAATTCTATTTATATGACATATCTAGAATAGGTAACCATATAAGGACAGGAAGTATGGTTGCCTAAATGTGAGGTGAGGGGGGAGTAAGGACTGACAGCTACTGGGCACAAAGTTTATTGTGGGGATGATGGAAATGGTCTAAAATTAGATTGTTGTGATGGATACACAACTTTGTGAACATAGCAAAAACCATTGAAATGGGTTAATTTTATGGCATGTAAATTATGTCTCAATAAATCTATTTAAAACAGATAAACACTGGCTCTTGTCCTGGGAGGGCTGTGCTCTGAATGACAGCAGGACATAGCAGTGAGGTAACAATATGCCCACTGGGACCTTGGAAGCAGAGTGTTATGATAGTAGGGTAGTGGATTTCAGCATTGCCGTTTTTTATTTTCCCTCAAATGTTTTAATTCATTTTTGTGAAAAGCATGGAAGAGGTATTACAAATTTTTTAGCAGTACCTCTCATCCACATTTCAAAAAAAAGTCCTATTCTAGAATTTTGAATGGGTGGCATTTTATGTTAATGACCAAAGAATTTGTCTTTAACCTCTGTTGGCAGAATTTCAGGATTTTGTTACAAGGGGTCACAAGGTGTTGGGGAAAGGACTTTGGCTTACAGGTCTGGAGACTGTCATCAGCCAAGTGGCTGGCTGTGGGCAAATCTGCATTTCTCCACTATGCTCCAGCCTTTTTAGGGGAGCTTTGTGGATTTGGCTCACCAAGGTTCCTTTATCATCTACACTTATATGCAATAGGTAGCATTGTTTCTGTTCTCAACAGCTGAGGTAGCTATTAATTCTAGAAGGAGGTTAGAGCCAGTGTAAATTTCTGGTGGGAGTGGGGTCCTGCATGCAACCTTCCTCCGGGTGCTCTTCCTTCCTGGGTGCATCCACCCTCCTAGGGTGCATCTGGAAAAATGCTCCAACCTTTCAAGGTTTGGGGCTTTCCTCTGTGAAACTTAGCAATCTTCCTTTTAAAATTTTTAAAAATTTCTGTTGACTTTTTATTTTGAGATAATTATAGATTCACAGGAAGCTGCAAAAATAGAACAAAGAGGTATTTTGTGCCCTTCAACCAGTTTCCCCCTGTGGTTACTTTTTACCTACCTACAGCACAATATCAAAATCAGAAAACTGACTTTGGTACAACATATGTGGATAGTTCTATGCCATTGTATCACATGCGGAGGTTCCTGCACGAGTGCACACCACTACTTCATGACACAGAACTATTCCAACACCTGACAGCTCCCTTGTGTTACCCTTTTCAGTTACACCACCCCTTTCTTTCACCATACCTGGCAACTACTAATCTTTCATCTCTGTAATGTGTGATAGTGAGAATGTTAAATAAGTGGAACTGTAGAGTACATCAGCTTTTTTTTCCTTTTTTTTTTTTTTTTTTTTTTACTCATATGATGCCCTTGAGATCCACCTAAGTTGTGTTTATCAACAGTTTGGTTTCCTTTCATTGCTTGGTAGTATTCCATGGTTTGGATGTGCCAGTTTAACCATTTACACATTGAAAGACATTTTGATTGTTTACACTTTGGGGCTATTTTATCAGCATTACCCTTATGAAAGTAGGAAAGCTTTAACTAATGCTCTTGGAACCCAGGACACAAAAATGAGAAACTACTAACTACAAAAGGAGAGGTAAACCCTGTTCTAATTGAATGAGAAAGGAGCTATTCGGGTTGACAAGTTTCTGGGAGAAAATTAAGCTCTCAAGTTCAAGAACCTCAGGTTCCTTCATGCCTTCCTCAGTAGTATGCACCCTCTTCTCCGTCATCATTCACCATTCAAACAAGAAATAAGACAATTTTTTTAAAAATTGTGAGGTCCTGGTGAAGTGTGGTGGCTCATGCCTGTAATCCCAACACTTTCAGGCGGGCGGATCACCTAAGGTCAGGAGTTCGAGACCAGCCTGACCAACATGGTGAAACCACGTCTCTACTAAAAATACAAAAAGTAGCCACACATGGTGGCAGGCACCTGTAATTCCAGCTACTTGGGAAGCTGAGGCAGGAGAATTGCTTGAACCTGGGAGGTGGAGGTTGCAGTGAGCTGAGATCACACCACTGCACTCCAGCTTGGGCAACAGAGCGAGTCTCTGTCTCAAAAAAAAGAAAAAAGGGCCGAGCACATTGGCTTATGCCTATGATCCCAGCAGTTTGGGAGGCCAAGGTGGGTGGATTGCCTGAGGTCAGGAGTTTGAGACCAGCCTGGCCAACATGGTGAAACCCTGTCTCTACTAAAAATACAAAAATTAGCTGGGCGTGGTAGCGCATGCCTGTAATCCCAGCTGCTCAGGAGGCTGAGGCAGGAGAATCGCTTGAACCTGGGAGGCAGAGGTTGCAGTGAGCTGAGATCATGCCACTGCACTCCAGCCTGGGCCACAAGAGTGAAACTCCGTCTCAAAAAAAAAAAAAATTGTAAGGTCCTTTTCTTATATAAAAAAAGTTCTGTGTGTAACATATTCATTCATCCATTTCTTATTAAGTGATTCATTGTGTGCCTCTATGATACTGGGACCTGCTCTTAAGATGGGAACAAGTCCATGCCTTTGGGGAAATTATATAATCTCTAGGGAGACAGACGCTAAACTAAGAAGATTATTTTAAAAGAATTTCATATGTGGTATGAAGGACCAGCTGAGGCTACCAGAACATCAACAACATGATCTTTAATCTGAAAGATCAGGACAAATTATCCAGGGTAGGAGGCATAAAACCATAGGAGTGAGTGAGAGAACAGCACAGGGGCATAAGATTCAACACATTTTGAATCATTACCTGAATTATGACTACATACCCTTGGAAAGTACTCGTTTTATCAGAAGATACAAAATTGTGAACAAGTTATTTATACAGACCAATGATATATGGTGTAGGAAAAAGATGTACAAATTTCTATAATGCACTGGCAGATTTTTAAAAAGAATTTTTTTTTCTTGAGAGGGAGCCTCGCTCTGCCACCCAGGCTGAAGGGCAGTGGTGCGATCTCCGCTCACTGCAACCTCCACCTCCTGGGATCAAGCGATTCTCCTGCCTCAGCCTCCTAAGTGGCATTACAGGTGACCGCCACCATGCCTGGCTAATTTTTGTATTTTTAGTAGAGACGGGGTTTCACCCTGTTGCCCGGGCTGGTCAGAATTTTCTGTATAAACAATAAAAGTTGACTTTTCAGTTTTAGTAATAAAAATATTTTCTAATTTGTTAATCATTTTTTATCCTTATTTTTGGTATGTTTAACAAAATTTTAAGTGTGGGCCTATTCTTATTGTGTGTGTGTATGTTTATGTTTAGAGTGAAATACAGGACTGCAAATTAAAGGAAATGTATTTTCCTGTTCAACATAGAGCACACTATACTTCCTTAGGCACTTTCTACACAAAGTAGGTACCAACTAGAATTTTGTGTGATGGTTGAATAAATGTATATCTTACAAAAGTACTAATCTTGGAGTCCTACATAAGTTGGTGAATTCCCTGCCTTGTTTTTTCATTTTTAATTGAGGTAAAATTAACATAACTTAAAATTTAGTGTAGAAATCTAGCCAGGTATGGCGGCCCTTGCATGTAGTCTCAGCTACTTCAGAGCCCAGAGTTAAAAGTTACGGTGCACTGTGGGAGATTCGTCAGGGTGGTGGGAGAAATTATAGGAAAAGATGCAAGCCTTCTTGGAAGGCCAGGAGGTTTTGCAAAAGCTTCGAAAGAGGATTTGGCTGAAGGCAGGCAAATTATCTTATCCAGAGCCTGAGAGCAAAGGTTAGATAACAAGGGGATGTAAAGAAATTAATCTAGGTAAATTAGTTTGCTTCGGGACCTGGCCTTTAATCCGCAGGATTGCTTTTTGGGGCGGGGTGGGGGTGGGATGGGGTGGTGACCATATTAATTACCCACAAAGTGTGTTGACTCAAGGCCTTTGTTATTAAATCTGTACTGAATAAATGCCTGCAGCGCAGGCTTGTCAGGGCTGCGGCTGCTACAACCCTTTAGGACACCCTCCTCGGGGTCTGTGAGCGGCCTGGTCCCCTAGCCCGCTCTTTCACTGGATACCTACACCTGAGTACTCCTTTCATCCATCGCTGGGCCAGACCCAGCAGTGCACTCCAGTCTGGGCAACAGAGCAAGACCCTATCTCTAAAACAACCACAACAAAACCCATTTTAAGTGTACAATTCAGTGGGTTTTAGTCCATTTGCAATGTTGTGCAACCATCACTATCTAGTTCCAGAACATTTGCATCACCACAAAAGGAAATCTTTTACCCAATAAGCAGTCATTCTATATTGTTCCCATGACCCAGACCCTGGAAACCACTAATAGGGGATTTGCTTATTCCGGATGTTTCATATAAATGAAATTTATATAGCCTGTTGTGTCTGTCTTTCATGCAGCATAAATTTTAAAACTTCATCCATGTTATAGCATGTATCAGTACTTCAGGGTTTTGGGGTTGTTTTTAGTTAAAGAGCATATTTACCTTTGTAAATTTACCTTATTTCCAGACACATTCATTTTTAATAAGCTTACAAAAAGTCAAATATCTAAATAAGCATTTTATTCTTACAAGTTGTTGTTTTCTAAAGTTATACACTTATTCTAATAACATTGCCATTTCTTGAAATGTTTTTGAGGTTTTTTCCAAAAGAATTCTAATTTTTTGGGGGAAAATTTAAAAGATTTTTTTTAATTATGGCAAAATTTATATAACATAAAATTTACCATGTTAACCATTTTTTAGTGTACAGCTCAATGGCATTAAGTACATTCATATTGTTATGCAACCATCACCACCATGCATCTCCAGAACTTTTTCATTTTCCCAAACTGAAATTATAACTTTTAAGCAATTAACTTCCCCATTACTCCCCTCCTGCCAGCCCCTGGCAACCACCATTCTATTTCTCGTCTCTATGCATTTAACTACTCTAGGTACTTTATGTAAGTGGAACAACAGAATTTTTGTCCTTTTGTTTCAGGCTTATTTGACTTAGCATAATGTTTTCAGGGCTACCTGTGTCTCTCAGAATTTCAGTTCTTTGTTTTAACTTTAGGTTCAGGGGTATATGTGCAGGTTTGCTATATAGGTACACTGTGTTTCACAGGGGCTTGGTGTACAGATAATTTAATCACCCAGGTAATAAACATAGCTACCCGATAGGTATATCTTCTGATCCTTTCCCTCCTTTTACCCTTCACCCTCAAAAAGGCCCCAATGTCTGTTGTTCCCCTTCTAGTATCTGTGTGCTCGTTGTTTAGCTCCCACTTAGAAATGAGAACTTGCAGTATTTGGCTTTCTGTTCCTGTGTTACTTAGCTTAGGATAATGACCTCCAGCTGTATCCATGTTGCTGCAAAGGACATGATCTCATTCTTTTTTATTGCTGCATAGTATTCTATGGTGTATATGTACTACATTTTAAAAATCCAGTCTATCATTGATGGGCATGTAGGTTGATTCCATGTCTTTGCTATTGTGAATAGTGCTGCAGTGAAATGCACGTGCATGTATCTTTATGGGAGAGCAATGCATATTCCTTTGTGTATATACCTAATAATGGGATTGCTGCATCAAATGGTAATTCTGTTTTATATTTTTCAAGCAATCTACACTGCTTTCCACAATGTCTGAACTAATTTACACTCCCACCAGCAGTGTATAAGTGTTCCCTTTTCTCTGCAACCTTGCCAGCATCTGTTATTTTTAGACTTTCTTTTTCTTTTCTTTTCTTTTCCTTTTTCTTTTTTTTTTGAGACAGAGTCTGCCTCTGTTGCCCAGGCTGGAGTGCAATAGTGTGATCGCAGCTCACTGCAACCTCTGCCTCCTGGGTTCAAGCGATTCTCATGCCTCAGCCTGCTGAGTAGCTGATATTACAGGTGTGTGTCACTTTGCCTAGCTAATTTTTGTATTTTTAGCAGAGACAGGGTTTCACCATGTTGGTCAGGCTGTTCTCGAACTCCTGACCTCAAGCAATCCACCCACCTTGACCTCCCACAGTGCTGGGATTACAGGCATGAGCACTGCGTCTGGCTTTTTTTGCTTTTTAATGATAGCCATTCTGACTGGTGTGAGATGGTCTCTCATTGTGGTTTTGATTTGCATTTCTCTAATGATTAGTGACATGGAACATTTCTTTATATACTTGTTGGCCACATGTATGTCTTCCTTTAAAAAGTGTCTGTTCATGTCCTTTGCTGACTTTTTAGTGGGGTTGGTTTTTTTTTGCTTGTACATTTGTTTAAGTCCCTTATAGATTCTGTGTATTAGACCTTTGTTGGATGCATAGTTTGCAAATGTTTTTTTTCCATTCTATAGGTTGTCTGTCTACTCTTTTGATAGTTTCTTTTGTTGTGCAGAAGCTCTTTAGTTAGTTAGTTAGTTCGTTAGTTAGTTATTTAGTTAGTTAGTTTATTTTTGAGACAGAGTTTCGCTCTTGTTGCCCAGGCTGGAGTGCAATGGCATGATCTCGGCTCATCAAAACCTCCGCCTCCCGAGTTCAAGCAATTCTTCTGCCTCAGCCTCCCAAGTAGCTGGGATTACAAGCGCCCACCATGCCCAGCTAATTTGTTTTTTTTTTTAATTTTTAGTAGAGATGGGGTTTCACCACGTTGGCCAGGCTGATCTAGAATTCCTGACATCAGGTGATCCACCTGCCTCGGCCTCCCAAATTGCTGGGATTACAGGCATGAGCCACCGCACCTGGCCTAGTTTAATTATTAATAGGTCCCATTTGTCATTTTTTGTTTTTGTTGCAATTGCTTTTGGCATTTTTGTTGTGAAATCTTTGCCAAGTCCTATGTCCAGAATGGTACTTCCTAAATTATCTTCCAGGGTTTTTATAGTTTTAGGTTTTACATTTAAGACTTTAATTCCTCTTGAGTTGATTTTTTTATGTGGTGTAAGGTAGGGGTCCAGTTTCAATCCTCTGCGTATAACTAGGCGGTTATCCCAGCACCATTTATTGAATGAAAGTCTGTTCACTATTGTTTGTTTTGTCAGCTTTGTCAAAGGTCAATTGTTGTAGGTGTATGGCATTATTTCTGGGCTCTCTTCTGTTCCATTGGTTTATGTGTCTGTTTTTGTACTAGTACCATGCTGTTTTGGTTACTGTAGCCTTGTAGTATAGTCTGAAGTTGGGTAGTGTGATGCCTCTGGCTTTGTTCTTTTTGCTTAAGATTGTCTTGGCTACGTGGGCTCTTTTTTGGTTCCATATGAATTTTAAAATAGTTTTTTTTTCTAATTCTGTGAAGAATGTCATTAGTAGTTTGATAGGAATAGCATTGAATCTGTAAGTTGCTTTGGATAGTATAGCCATTTTCATGCTATACTATCCATGAGCATGGAATATTTTTCCATTTGTTCATGTCATTTCTGATTTTGTTGAGCAGTGTTTTGTAATTCTCATTGTAGAGATCTTTCACCTCCCTGGTTAGCTGTATTCCTAGGTATCTAGGTATTTTTGAATTTTAATCCTTTTCTTTTTTTTTTTTTTTTTTGAGACAGGATCTGGCTCTGTCACCCAGGCTGGAGTGCAGTGGTGCTGTGTCCGGAATTGGTGGGTTCTTGGTCTCACTGACTTCAAGAATGAAGCCACGGACCCTTGCCATGAGTGTTACTGTTCTTAAAGATGGTGTGTCTGGAGTTTGTTCCTTCAGATGTTCAGATGTGTCTGGAGTTTTTTCCTTCTGGTGGGTTCGTGGTCTTGCTGACTTCAGGAGTGAAGCTGCAGACCTTCGCGGTGAGTGTTACAGTTCATAAAGGTGGCGGTCCAGAGTTGTTCGTTCCTCCCATCCAGAGTTGTTCGTCCCCCCTGGTGGGTTTATGGTCTCACTGGCTTCAGGAGTGAAGCTGCAGACCTTCACAGTGAGTGTTACAGCTCATAAAGGTGGCATGGACCCAAAGAGTGAGCAGCAGCAAGATTTATTGCAAAGAGCGACAGAACAAAGCTTCCATAGCATGGAAGGGCACCCAAGCGGGTTGCCACTGCTGGCTCGGGTGGCCTGCTTTTATTCCCTTATCTGGCCCCACCCACATCCTACTGATTGGTTCATTTTACAGAGAGGTGATTGGCCCGTTTTACAGAGAGCTGATTGGTCCGTTATGACAGAGTGCTGATTGGTGCATTTACAAACCTTTAGCTAGACACAGAGCACTGATTGGTGCATTTACAATCCTTTAGCTAGACACAAAAGTTCTCCAAGTCCCCTACCCGATTAGCTAGACACAGTGCACTGAGTGGTGCATTTACAAACCTTTAGCTAGACACAGAATGCTGATTGGTGCATTTACAAACCTTTAGCTAGACAAAGAGTACTGATCAGTGTGTTTACAAACCTTTAGCTTGACAGAAAAATTCTCCAGGTCCCCACCCGACCCAGAAGCCCAGCCGGCTTCACCTCTCAATGGCACTTGCCACGGGACTTTGCAGCACCTAGCCCAGGCACTCCGGCAGCCCAGAGGGAGCTCATACCCCAATCAAGCCCAGCAAGTGCCGGCCGGCCGTGCAGAGTGCGGGGCCCTCCGAGCCTGCGCCCACCTGGAACCCATGCCACCTGCGAGTGCTGCATGCAGCCCCGGCTCTTGCCCGCACCTCTCCCTCCACACCTCCCCACAAGCAGAGAGAGCTGGCTCCGGCCTCAGCCAGCCCCAGAGAGGGGCCCCCACAGCACAGCGGCAGGTTGAAGGGTTCCTCAAGCGTGGCCAGAGCAGATGCTGAGGCCGAGGAGGCACCGAGAGCGAGCAAGGGCTGCTAGCACGTTGTCACCTCTCAATCCCCCCTCTAAACAGGACACCCCAACTGCTGTTGGGAATTTGGCTGATGACCACTGTAGCTACTTCCTGCTGGATAGGGGCGAAGAAGCGGCCCTGCAGTTGTAGTCTCCTCCAGAAGGGAACTCTTTAGGCTAGTGGAAGGGCCCAGCAGGTCAGTCCAGGGGTCCTTGGTAGAAGCTGTTAATTGAGCTCATTTGGGGTTCCATTTGTAAGACCATCTGTAGCTTGATGGCCTCGATTCTAGAGGAAACAAATTTGACAAGTAGGTTAAAAATACAGAGTCCAAAGGTGAGTAACAGCAAGATGGCTGCCACGGGACCTAGAAAGGGGAGAAGCCATGTTGCTCAACTCCAGAGGTTGTTATAAGAGTTTGAAAGGCATTGTCTGATTTCAGAAGCCTTTTTCTGTAAACACTGGATGGCATCTCATACTATCCCTGACTGGCTAGTGTAAAAACAACACTCTTCCCCTAAGAAGCTGCAGAGTTCTCCTTTCTCAGCAGTGAGGAGGTCTAGGCCTCAGTGGTTTTGGAGAGTCACTGCTGCTAAAGAGTCTATTTGGGATTGTAGAGTAAGGATAGATTTCGTCACTTCCTGCAAACTGTCTGAGAAATTCTTTGAGAGTGTGTGGCAGTAAGATAATGCATGTTACACTGTTAACTTTTAGCAAACTTTACTTTAGTTGAAAACCTTGTAAGTTTGGGATTTTAATTTTTCTTTGCTATTAATAAAACCTTGTTCAGTCCATATTAACTTAGAATTGGTATAGATGTCTCCCTCCTGATTCTGTAAGTACTTTAAGATTTGGCTGAGTGCAAACAACTCGCACATTTGAGCAGACCAATTATTAGGCAATTTTCCTAACTCTGCTTCTATAAGAATTTCCTTATCACTTACTGAATGCCCATTGTGTCTTTTTCCATAATCGCTCAGGAGGAACCATCTATCATCCTCTCCTGAAGGGAGTTCCTACTAGGTCTGGTCAGACCTTCAAATTTAGATCCCCTGTTAGGAAACCTGCTGGGTTAAGGATATTTGATAGGAAGGCTACGGGTTGTCAGTGGCCTCAGTGCTTTTTGGCTATGCCCTTGTTTGCGCTGACAACAAAGTGGTATTGGAGTGTTATAGGGTCATGGAGAAGACCTTCAATTATCAATTATAGGTTTTAAATTTATCCTGGCTTTTAAAGGAATAGGGTACACTGTTTTTTCTTTACTACTTCCATCTCTCTTTCTCTTTGACTCCTTTGTCTCTCTCTTTCTGACTCCCTCTTTGTCTGTCTCTTCCTCTCTTTCTCCTTCTTTGACTTTTGTCTCTCTGTTTCTGTCTCTCTGTCTCTTCCTCTCTGTCTCCTTCTTTTTGTCTGTTTCTTCCTCTCTTTCTTTTTCTCTGACTTCCTATCTCTTTCTCTCTTTCCTTTCTGCTGGTCTTTCCCTGTCTCTGCTAGCTGCTTATGCTACTGTTCTCCCCTCTCCTTCCCCTTTTTGATGGCTTCAGCAGTGTAAGACTGCCACCTCCTTGGGTTTTTGCACTGTGTGCAATAACTCCATAATTTCCTTGTGGTATTTAACAGGGGTTCCCCCAGAGGTTAGGAACTCCCTTTCTTTCCATATTGCAGCATGGGCATGTAGGATTAGATAAGCATACTTGCTATCTGTATACACATTTTTTCTTTTTCCCTTTCCCAGTTCTAAGGCTCGGGTAAGTGCCACTAGTTCTGCTAACTCGGTGCTGGTCCCTGGGGGAAGAGGCTTACTTTCAAGTACAGTTACATCACTAACTATGGCATAACCTTCCCTTCATATCCCATTCTCCACAAATGAACTTCCATCGGTATATAGGTTAAGGTCAGGATTAGCTAAGGGGATGTCTCAGAGATCATCTCGGGTGGCATAAGTCTCGACTGTAATTTGTTGGCAGTCATGCTCGATTGGTTCCCCATCCTCTGGGAGAAAAGTGGCAGGGTTGAGGGCCATGCATGTACATATTTGAAGCACCAGTCCCTCAAGGAGTAGCGCCTGATATCTAAGTAAGTGATGTCTGATAGCCATAAACTTCTTTTGGCACCTAGTGTGCCATTTACATCATGAGTAGTCCAGACAGTGAGATCCTTTCCTTGTATTATTTTGATAGCCTCGACACTAAGACCGCCACTGCCGCAACTGTCTGTAAACAGTGAGGCCAGCCTTTTGCTACTACATCAGTTTCCTTACTTAGGTATGCCATTGGTTGTGAGGTTGTCCCACGAGTCTGAGTAAGGACTCCAAGAGCTATCCCTGCTCTCTCTGTGATGTATAAAGAGAAGTTTTGTCCTGTGGGAAAGCTTAAACCTGGAGCATGTATTAGGGCCTGCTTTAAGGTTTTGAAGGCTGTTTCTGCCTCTGGTTCCCATTCTACTAGATGAGTATTTGCTCTCTGGGTCTCCTTGATTAGAGGATAGAGGGGCCTGGCTATCTTGCTGTATCTGGGGATCCATAGTCGGCAAAAGCCAGTGATTCCAAGGAACCCCCGCAACTGTTTTAATGTCTTAGGGTGAGGATAAGCCAGTATAGGCTGTATTCGTTCCTTGCTGAGGGCCCTGGTCCCTTTGGCAAAGATTAGGCCTAGATATTTGATCTGATGTAGGCAAAGCTTGGCCTTTGACCTAGACACCTTGTACCCTTGATCAGCTAAAAAGTTCAAGAGATCTACAGTAGCCTGCTGGCACAAGGCTTCCGAACTGGTAGCCAAAAGTAAGTCATCCACATACTGAAGGACCAGAGTGCCTGGACTTGAGAAGTGACCAAGATCTTGGGCCAGGGCCTGACCAAACAGGTGAGGGCTATCCCTAAACCGTTGGGGCAAGACCATCCACGTAAGTTGGACGTGTGGTCTGTGGGATCCTCAAAGGCAAAGAGAAACTGGGAGTCAGAGTGCAGGGGAATACAGAAGAAGGCATCCTTGAGGTCCAAAACAGTGAACCATTCTGCTTCCTCTGGTATTTGAGAGAGCAATGTATAGGGGTTGGGTACAACTGGATATAGAGGAATTACTGCCTCATTGATGAGTCTAAGATCTTGCATTAGTCTCCACTGACCGTTCAGTTTTTGTGCTCCTAGAATTGGGGTGTTGCAGGGACTGCTGCATTTCCTTACTAAGCCTTGAGCTTTTAAATGTTTAACAATATCCTGTAATCCTTTATGAACTTCAGGCCTTAAGGGATATTGCCTTTGATAAGGAAAGTGGTGGGGTCTTTTAGCCTGATTTGGACTGGGTGGGCATTTTTTGCCTTTCCAAATTGTCCTTCCAATGCCCAGACTTCAGGGTTGATTCCCTCCTCAAGTAGGGGACAACAAATGGGTAACTTCTTCCCCATATTCATGTAGATAATAGCTCCAGCCTTGGCTAATATATCCCTCCCTAATAAGGGTGTGGGACTTTCAGGCATAACAAGAAAGTCATGTGAAAAGAGCAAAGTCTCCCAATTACAACTGAGGAGGTGGAAGAAATACCTGGTTACAGGCTGTCCCAGGATTCCTTGGATGGTAATGGACCTTGAGGACAGTCGTCCAGGACAGGAGATTAACACTGAGAAGGTCGCACCAGTATCCGGGAGGAAGTCAATTTCCTGACCCTCAATGGTTAAACATACCCAGGGCTCAATGAGGTTGATGACATGAGCTGGCGCTTGCCCCAGGCACCCTCAGTCCTGTTGTTGGATCATTTGGTTGGGGGCTTCTGACTCAGAGAATCTTTGTCCTCTGGGGCAGTGCACCTTCCAGCGATTGCCTGGGCATAGTGGACATGGACGAGGGGGCAGCTTGTTTCTCATTGGACAATCTTTTTCAAAGTGTCCTTGCAAACCACACTGGTAACAGGCCCTACAGGGTGATTGGCCTGCTCCATTTTCTGTCCTCTCTGAACTACCAAGGTTTGTCTGTCTGAGGGCCATGACTAAGGCTGTGGCCTTTCCCTGATCTTGCTTTTCCTTTTGGGCCTGTTCCTCTTTGTCCCTATTATAGAACACTGAGGTTGCCAGGTTTAATAATGCCTCCAAATTTTGCTCAGGGCCCAGGGCTTGCTTTTGGAGCTTTCTCCTCATATCTGTGGCTGATTGGGTAATAAACTTATCTTTTAGAATCAATTGACCCTCGAGTGATTCAAGTGACAGGGAGTATATTTCCTTAAGGCCTCCCGTAGCTGCTCGAGGAAGGCAGAAGGATTTTCTTCCTTTCCCTGAGTTATGGTGGACATCATTGAATAATTCATGGGCCTTTTTCCTAATTCTCCTTAGTCCTTCTAGAACACAGGTCAACAGATGTTTATGACTCCAGTCCCCATGATCTGAGTCAAGGCCCCAGTGGGAATACATACGGGGGACGGCTTGCTGACCGGTAGGGAATTTATCCCTCTCTTTGGCTATCATTCTATCATTTACTTGACTAAGATACCAGGTATCTCCAAACTCTCGGGCTGCAGCTAAAGCCACATTCTTTTCATTAAAGGCCAGGGTTTGATCTAATAGTAGCATGACATCTCTCCAAGCAAGGTTGAAGGTTTGCCCTAGACCCTGTAGGACATCTATGTACCTATCAGGATCTTCTGAAAACTTCCCAAGGTCTGCCTTGATCTGCTTTAAATCATAGAGGGAGAAGGGGACATGTACCTAGGTTGGGCCAAATTCCCCTCCCCCTACAGCTTGAAGGGGACATAACCAATAGCCTAGGGGTTTTTGTGGTCCTTTGGAGATTTCTTTGCTTATTTCCTTCTTGGTAGGGGAGATTAGAGGAGGATTATCATTAATGGGAAGGGGAGCTATAGGGAGGCTAGGATATGGGGGTAAGCTGAGAGGTCCTCCTGTGGGATGTAAATTGCAGGCTTTGCATAGTTGTGTATTCTCCTTCAGTGAAAAGAAAGCTTGGACATAGGCATTTCACTCCATTTGCCTTCCCTTTTAGAGAAAAGGTCAAGCTGCAGGATAGTATTGTAATTTATACTTCCCTCAGGTGGCCATTTTTCCCCATCAGAGAGAGAATATTGGGGCCAGGCCATAGTGCAGAAAAAATTAGCCACCTCTTTTTCAGGGTTTGTGGGTCAAATTGGTCCCAATGATTTAGGATGCATTTCAAGGGTGAGCCTGTTGATACCTGAGTGTTTCTCATCTGAAAGACAAAACTGCCCATGGTTTTGTTTTGTTTTGTTTTGTTTTGTTCTGTTCTGTTCTGTTTCTCCCCCTGCCCAAGAACCCGCAATGGTCTTTGGACCCTGCTGACTGGAATAGTTGCGCTCACCAATGCAGCAGCAAAAACAACCCCTGCCCAAGAACCCACAACAGTCCCTGGACCCTGCTGATCAGAATAGTTGTGCTCACCAACGCAGCAGCAGAAACACTAGTTTTCCTCCCAGACCACAAGGAGGACTGAGAAAGGTCGGATTTAGTGGCCCTTACTGATGCATTCTCAAAAACCTGTACCCTTGCCTGTCCTCCTAGACCACAAGGAGGACTGAGAAAAATCGGATTTAATGGCCCTGACTGATGCATTCTTCAAAACTTTTTAGAGTCCTAAGCATTCTCATGTTAGTATTGGGACCTTACCCATGTCCTATAGAGATGTCATGCCCCAAAAATGAAGTGGAGGCCCATACCCTGAGGGAGGGAAGGGATCTCCAGAGTTGGAAGAGTGACACCTTTTGTCCTCACTTATATGAATAGGAAGGATACAATTTCTGAGGCTTCCCATATCCTAGCTTCAGGAATAGCTTTTGTTAGGCCTGCTAGTCTGAGGAGGGATCCTAAAATTCCAGGTAGTCCCCCCATGATGGGGCTTTGGGCAAAAATTATGTCTTTCTGATTGGTGACCCCAGGTGCTGAAAGAAGGTAACAGAGTCCTGGAGTTTATACTAGAAATCATTCTTATAAGAGAAACTAGAAAAGCACCAGAGACAGGGAGTGACTTTTAGAAGCGGGACTAGCTTCGGAGAAGAGAGGCAAGAGGAAGTTTGTCTAGCAGGCATTAGGACCCAGGAGGCAAGGGTCAGGGTAGATAGAATAGATGGGCGAGTCTCGCTTGGGTGACATGACTTGAGAGTTCCGCTCATGGCTACAGGGTCAACCAGCTTGCTGTTGGGACCCCAGAGCTGAATGGCTTTCCTCTCTGTCAACCCTCAGCTCAGCCCAGAAGTACAGGAAAAGTGGAAGCTGGTTCCAGGCAAACCAATGCTCCCAACTCCGAAGAGTCAGGGGTTGTTAGAGAGCCCTTTCCCAGAAAGCCTGACACCCGTGTCTTTAGTCCGGCAGCCGCGCTAGTCGCTATTAACTAGCCAACAGGTGCCCGTTATTTAGCCCCCAAATTCTAAGGAATAATAGGACAGAATAGCAAGTGAAAGGGGTTCAATAGTACTCACCGCTTGGCGATAGGCAGTGGTCTCACTGCTTGGTGATAGTCTTACTGCTTGGTGATAGGCGATAGTCCCTTCGTGGTCACCAAAATGTGTCCGGAATTACTGGGTTCTTGGTCTCGCTGACTTCAAGAATGAAGCCGTGGACCCTCGCAGTGAGTGTTACAGTTCTTAAAGATGGTGTGTCCAGAGTTTGTTCCTTCATATGTTCAGATGTGTCCAGAGTTTCTTCCTTCTGGTGGGTTCGTGGTCTCGCTGACTTCAGGAATTAAGCTGCAGACCTTTGCGGTGAGTGTTACAGCTCTTAAAGGCGGTGCGTTTGGGGTTGTTTGTTCCTTCCGGTGAGTTTGTGGTCTTGCTGGCCTCAGGAGTGAAGCTGCAGACCTTCGTGGTGAGTGTTATAGCTCATAAAGGTGGTGCAGAGCCAAAGAGTGAGCAGCAGCAAGATTTATTGTGAAGAGTGAAAGAACAAAGCTTCCACAACATGGAAGGGGACCCAAGCGGCTTGCCGCTGCTGGCTTGGGTAGCCTGCTTTTTATTCCCTTATCTGGTCCCACCCACATCCTACTGATTGGTTCATTTTACAGAGAGCTGACTGGTCCATTTTACAGAGAGCTGATTGGTCTGTTTTACAGAGAGCTGATTGGTCCGTTTTGACAGAAGGCTGATTGCTGCATTTACAAACCTTTAGCTAGACACAAAAGTTCTCCAAGTCCCCTACCCAATTAGCTAGACGCAGAGTGCTGAGTGGTGCATTTACAAACCTTTAGCTAGACACAGTGCTGATTGGTGTGTTTTTACAAACCTTTAGCTAGACAGAAAAGTTCTCCAGGTCCCCACCCAACCCAGAAGCCCAGCCGGGTTCACCTCTCAGTGGCACTTCCCATGGGACTTTGCGGCACCTAGCCCAGGCATTCCGGCAGCCCAGAGGGAGCTCGTCC
Organism: Homo sapiens; assembly: GCF_000001405.40. Lineage (NCBI taxonomy): Eukaryota > Metazoa > Chordata > Mammalia > Primates > Hominidae > Homo > Homo sapiens. Next base: position 27,212,268 of record NC_000013.11, on the reverse strand, counting down.
CAGATGAAGCCCAGTAGGTGCCGGCCACTAGGAGTGCAGGGCCCGCCAAGCCCATGCCCACCCAGAACCTGCGCCTGCAGCCCTGGCTCCCACCCACGCCTCTCCCTGAAATCTCCCCAGGAGCAGAGGGAGCCAGCTCTGGCTTTGGCCAGACTCCAAGGGGGGCCCTCACAGTGCAGCGGTGGGCTGATGGGCTCCTCAAGCGTGGCCAGAGCGGACGCCGAGGCCAAGGAGGTGCCAAGAGTGAGCAAGGGCTGCCAGCACGTTGTCACCTCTCAGTGCAATCTCAGCTCACTGCAGCTTCTGACTCACTGCAGCTTCTGACTCACTGCAGCCTCTGCCTCCCAGGTTCAAGCAATCCTTCCACATCAGCTTCCCGAGTAGCTGGGACTACAGATATGCACCACCAGGCCTGGCTAATTTTTGTATATTTTTGTAGAGACAGGGTTTCGCCATGTTGCCCAGGCTGGTCTCGAACTCCTGGGCTCAAGTGATCTACCTGCCTCAGCCTTCCAGGATTACAGACATGAGACACTGCACCCAGCTGAATTTTAACTCTTGTTATGGCTGAATAATATTCCATTATATGGACATACTACTTTTATTTATCCACTTATCAGTTAATGGGCATTTGGGTTATTTCTACATTTTGGCTATTGTGAATAATACTGCTAAGAATATGACAATATTCTTAGTATTATGACAGAATATGACAATATTCTTAGTATTTTTGAGTTTGAGTTCCTATTTTCAATTCTTTTGGGTAAACACCTAGGAGCGGAATTGCTAACTCTTGTGTGTAATTCTTTGTTTAACTTTTTGAGGAACCACCAAACTGTTTTCCACAGCAGCTGCACCATTTTACATTCTCATCAGCAATGTACAAGAGTTGCAGTTTTCTCCATCCTTGCCAACACTTATTTTCTGGTTTAAAAAATGTTTTAGTCTGGGCACAATGGCTCATGGCTTATGCCTGTAATCCCAGAGCTTTGGGAGGCTGAGGCAGGTGGATCACTTGAACCTAGGAGTTCAAGACCAGCCCGGGCAATATGGAGAAACCCCATCTGTACAAAAAATCCAAAATATCTAGGCATCGCAGTGCATACCTGTAGTTCCAGATACCTGGGTGTCTGAGATGGCAGGATCACCCTCCTGAGCCCAGGAGGTCAAGGCTGCAGTGAGCTGTGATCATGGCACTGCACTCCAGCCTGGGCAACAGAGCAAGACCCTGTCTCAAAAAAAAATGTTTTTGACTGGGCATGGTAGTTCATGCCTATAATCCCAGCACTTTGGGAGGCAGAGGCAGGTGGATCATGAGGTCAGGAGACCGAAACCATCTTGGCTAACACCCTGTCTCTACTAAAAATTCAAAAAATTAGCTGGGCATGGTGACACATGCCTGTAGTCCCAACTACTCGGGAGACTGAGGCAGGAGAATCTCTAGAACCCGGGAGGCAGAGGTTGCAGTGAACTGAGATCACGCCACTGCACTCCAGCCTGGGCGATAGAGCAAGATTCTGTCTCAAAAAAAATAAAATAAAATAAAACCATCATCAAAAACAAAAACACAAAAAACAACAGCAGAAAATTATAACCATCCTAATAGGTATAAAATGATATCTTGTGATTTTGATTTGCATCTCCCTTGTGATGAATGATGAGCATATTTTTATGTGTTTATTGGCCATTAGAATATCTTATTTGAAGAACTATTCATATCCCTTGCCTATTTTTTATTTGGCTTGCTTGTCTTTTTTCTTGTTGAATTATAAGGGTTCTTCATGTATTATAGATACTAGACTTAGCAGATACATGATTTGCCAATAATTTCTCCTATTCCGTAGGTTGTCTTTTCACTTTCTTGATAGGGTCTTTAGATGCACAAAAGTTTTTATTTTGATGAAGCTCAATTTATCTACTTTTTCTTCCTTCCTTTTTTTTTTTTTTATTTTGAGACGAAGTTTTGCTCTATCACCCAGGCTGGAGTGCAGCGGCACAAGCTTGGCTCACTGCAACCTCCGCCTCCCAAGTTCAAGCAATTCTCCTGCCTCAGCCTCCTGAGTAGCTGGGATACAAGCGTGCACCACCACTCCTGGCTAATTTTTGTATTTTTAGTAGAGACGGGGTTTCACCGTGTTGGCCAGGCTGGTCTAGAACACCTGACCTCAAGTGATCGCCCTAAGTTGGCCTCCTAAATTGCTGGGATTACAGGCATGAGCCACCATTCCCAGACAATTTTATCTATTTTTTCTTTTGTTGCTTGAGGTTTTTATGTCAAACTAAAAAACTGTTGCCAGATCCAAGGTCATGTAGCTTTATCTCTATGTTTTAGAGGTGGGGGTTCACTTTCTTGCCCAGCCAGAGTGAAGTGGCTATTCACAGGTGTGATCAAAGCTAACTGCTCAAATCCTGGCCTCAAAGGATCCTCCCGCCTCAGCCTCCCAAGTAACTGGGACTACAGGCACTGCTGCCTGACTCTACTTTATATTTTTTAGTTATTTTCTTAGTGATTACCCTGAGGATTACAGTTAACATTATAATTTATAACAATCAAGTTTGAATTTATACCAGGTTAGTTTAAATAGCATACAGAACTTTGCTCTTACATAGCTCCATCCCTCCTTTATGTTGCTATTGCTGCAAACTACATCTTCATGCATCGTGTGCTGATTAACATATATTTATAACTATTGTTTATGCACTTGTCTTTTAAATCATATAAAAAACAAGGAGTTATAAAGCAAAAATATAGTAATACTGTTTTTTGTAGTTATAATACCTTTACCTATGTAGTTGTAATACCTTTACTGAAGTTCTTTCTTCACATGGCCGCAAGTTACTGTATATTGCCTTTCATGTCAGCCTGAAGGACTCCTTTTAGCATTTCCTGTAGGGCTGGTCTACTAGTGACAAATTTCTCCAGTTTTTGTTAATCTGGGAGTGTCTTAATTTCTACTTCATTACTGAATATAGTTTTGCCAGATAAAATTTTTTGGCCAGGCTTGCTGGCTCATGCTTGTAATCCCAGCACTTTGGGAGGCTGAGGGGGGAGGATTGTTTTGAGCTCAGGAGTTCAAGACCAACCTGGGCAACATGACAAAATCCCAACTCTACAAAAAATACAAAAATTAGCCCGGCATTGGTGGCTTGTGCCTGTAGTCCCTGCTACTCACGAGGCTGAGGCTGGAGAGTCACTTGAGCCTTGGAAGCGGAGGTTGCAGTGAGTTGAAATCATGCCACTGCACTCCAGTCTATACTCCCCTGTCTCAAAAGAAAGAATTTTTTTTTTTGGTTGACATTTTTTCTCTTTCAGTACTTTAAATGTGTCATCCACTAACTGTGGCTTTCATAGTTTCTAATGAGGAATCAATTGTTAATTTTATTTAGAATTTCTTGTAAATAATGAGTTGCCTCTCTCTTGCTGCTTTCAAGATGCTCTCTTTGGCTTTTGACAGCTTGGTTATAATGCGTCTCTGTCTGGTTCTCTATACTTGAAATTTGTTGAGCTTCTTGGGTGTGAAGAGTCATGTCTTTCATTACATTTGAGAAGTTTTGGCCATTAATTCTTCAAATATTGTCTCTGCCCCTTTCTCTTTCTCCTCCTCTTTTAAAACTCTCTCTCTTTTTTTTTTTTTGTTTTTGTTTTTGATACAAAGTGTCACTCTGTCACCCAGGCTGGAGTGCAGTGGTGTGATCTCAGCTCACTGCAACCTCTGCCTCCCAGGTTCAAGTGATTCTCATGCCTCAGCCTTCTGAGTAGCTGGGATTACAGGCGTGTGCCACCATACCCACCTAATTTTTGTATTTTGTATTTTTTTAAATTTTGTTTATATATTTATTTATTTATTTTGAGATGAAGTCTCATTCTGTTGCCTAGGCTGGAGTACAGTGGCACAATCTTGGCTCACTGCAACCTCTGCCTCCCAGGTTCAAGCAATTCTCTCAGCCTCCCAAGTAGCTGGGATTATAGGCATATGCCACCATGCCAGGCTAATTTTTGTATTTTTTGTAGACACAGGGTTTTGCCATGTTGGCCAGGCTGGTCTCAAACTCCTGACCAGCCCTCCTTGACCTTCCAAAGTGCTGGGATTATAGGCGTGAGCCATTGCACCTGGCCCAGTTCCCTGGGATACATGTGTTTTAATTCATTTTCTGTTGCTAGTAACAGAATACCTGAAACTGGGTAATTTATAAGGAAAAGAAATTTATTTCTTACAGTGATGGAGGTTGAGAAGTCCAACTTCAAGGCACCACATCTGGTGAGAGCCTTCATTCCGATGACAGCCTTCATGCTGGTAAGATTTTCTTCAGAGTTCCAAGGTGGTGCACGGCATCACATGGCGAAGGAAATGAGCGTGCTAGCTCAGGTGTCTCTTCCTCTTCTTATAAAGCCACCAGTCCCACTCCTGTGCTAGTAACTCTTTAATCCATCAACCCATTAATCCATGAATAGATTAACCCATGAGGCCTCTGCCCTCAGGACCCAATCACCTCTTAAAGGCCTGACCTGTCAATATTGCCATACTGGGGACTCAGTTTCAACATGAGTTTTGAAAGGGACAAACATTCAATCCATAGTAACATGAGAGCTTTTCAAAGCCCTTCTTTGTTGAAGTATGTCCTTCTCCAGCCTCTTTTTTCCCAGGCTTTTTGTTTTTTCTATTGCTTGTGCAGCTGTTATCCTTTGCTACAGGTGGCAATAGCTAATACATTTGCCTTTAAATTTGTTTGACAAACACCACCCTGGAAGTAGCCTCAACTCTGGGGAAGCTCCAAGACAGGTAAAATACAGGTAAGCCCTTGAGCAGATCCTTCAGGAAGCTACCATATGGGTCAAAACACAGAACCACAATTCTTTAATTCTTTGAGAATAAGGTCTGTATTGTTCCCTCTGTTACCAGCAACCTGCAGCAGGAAAATGGGCTTCAGTTTTCAAGTCTGCAGCTGAGTTGGGAAGTTGCGGACAGTAACCAGGTAAGTTAAAATTCACAAAGCTCTGTTACTGACACTCAGCTTTTTTTTTTTTTATCATTAAGCTTTCCCCTGGTTGTTGTAACTTTTTTATTGGATTCTAAAGTTCTGAAAAAGTTCATTGTGATAATTTTTGCAAGCTTTTCATTGCTTTTGTGGAGACATAATGTTTTGGAGCTCTCTACTCTGCGATTTTCACTGATATCTGTCCAAAGGAGAGAGTGGGAGAGATGGATCTTATATCACTCCATAAAAGTGCAGCCTCTAGGCCAGATCCCATTAGATTTGGCTGGGAGTCTAGGATAATTAAACATTCACATACTCTGTAACCCAGAAATTTCACTAATATATATCCTACAACAACTTTTGCACATGTGCATAAAAGAAATTCATAAAGGCATTCATAGCAAGATTGAAACTTTGTATTCTACCTTCTTTTCTGAAAGCATTGGATACAAAGGTCTACGTCTCTGGCCCACTGCTGAAGTCACCTAGAATTTTAATTATATGGATAATTATTTGGCAGAGTGCTTAAGGAGAAATAAAAAAGGGTTTCAAAAAACTACTGATTTTTTTTTTTAAGAGAAATCTTGCTCTGTCACCCAGGCTAGAGTGCAGTGGCACGATCTTGGCTCACTGCAACCTCCACTTTCCGGGTTCAAGTGATTTTCCTGCCTCAGCCTCCTGAGTAGCTGGGATTACAGGTGTCTGCCACCACGCCTGGCTAATTTTTGTATCTTTAGTAGAGACGGGGTTTCACCATGTTGGCCAGGCTAGTCTTGAACTCCTGACCTCAAGTGATCCTCCCACCTTGGCCTCCCAAAGGCGAGAGCCACCGCACCTGGCCTCATTCCTTTTTTATTCTGGGTAATTTTAACATATCATCTGACTGACAAGCTACTGCTAATAAAATATAAACTGAAAATAGATTTTTTTCTTCCTTGTCTAGACTATTTAATTTTGTTCTTCTTTGCTATTGTCTAGTTCTAGAAAAAGCGCTTAGTGTGAAATTTGTGGGAAAGATGCTGTTCAGAGTTTAATTTCATTATGTAGTTAACCAATGAAAATCCAGCGGAAAAAAAAGGTAAACATTTTTAGGAGATGGTAAAAACTATTTAAAAAATGGAAAGTTCATAGACATAATTTTTCTGAAATAGAACATTCAGTCAATAGAGTTGAAAACTGAATAAATGAATACATGATTGAATGGTTGATTCAAATGCATCATTAATTAATTGGAAATAATTGACTGTGTCACTTGGTCCTAAAAATATTCCTCTAAGAAATCATTAGCATTATCTGGAAAACTTTAAAAAGTGATACCCAAAGCCCAGTTTAATTGAATCAGAATCTCTGGAGGAAGGGCTTAGCCATTATTATTATTATTTTTTTTTTTTCTGAGATGGAGTTTCACTCTTGTTGCCCAGGCTTGAGTGCAATGGTGCGATCTCAGTTCACTGCAACCTCCACCTCCCAGGTTTAAGTGATTCTTCTGCCTCAGCCTCCCGAGTAGCTGGGGTTACAGGCGCATGCCACCGTACCTGGCTAATTTTTGTATTTGTTGTAGAGATGAGGTTTCACCATGTTGTTGCACAGGCTGGTCTCGAACTCCTGAGCTCAAGTGATCCGCCTGCCTCTGCCTCCCAAAGGGCAGAGATTACAGGCATGAGCCACTGCACATGGCCCTTTTAGACCTCTTTTAATCTTTGGGTTTCTTCAAAACCATTTGCTTCCCTTGCAATTTATTTTTGGGATAAACCAGTTGATACTGTAGGGCTTCCCACAGTTTAGATTTTGCTGATTATAACTTTATGGTGTTATTTAACATGTTCCTTTGTCCCCTCTATTCCGCATAGATTGTTCGTCTGGTAAGGATATAATAAACTTATTAAATGTTAGCCCATTGTGTCATTCCTCCTTAGTAGGGGTTAAGAATTATGCTGCCTTCAGGAAGGGGTCTGCATGTTGAGGTTGCCCAGGTCTGAGTGCAACTAGGATATACAATGGGAGTTGAGATCATCATTGTGGGGCAGGATAGTGTAGAAAATGGCAGGGAAGCTGCTCTTTGCCTCACCTCCTCACAGCCTCTGTTCTTGACATCTGCCTCTCTCTTAGAGTGGTGTGGAACATGTCTCTTCTCTGAACTCCCTCTCCTTTAGTCCTGTCACACTGAAGACATTGCTGGAGGCATTTCTGCCACCTGGGTGAATCAAAGAACCAACTAATTTGTGAGGATGTGTAGAGGAGGCATTCCTAACTTTCCACTTATCTGTTAAGACCCAGTTGAAATCTTTCATCTTGGAGCGGGGGACAGTGATCCTGTTCCCCCGTGCCCACCCCCATCTGGAAGCACAGCTGATCACTTTCTCCTTGGTAGAACAGCATGCCTCACATATACCCCTGTTATGCATTTTGTTACATGTCATTTGAATTATGTATCTCTCTACGTAATTGTTTCAACTATAAGATGCACAAATTCCTTGAGGTTGAGAACCAGGTCTTCTTTATTTTTTTAACCCCAGGGCCATGCACAGGCCCTGGTTGTATCTGGCACGTTCCTGGCAGGAAGCAGATGATGCCTTCAAACTGGGTAATCAAGGGCAGTTTAACAATATTATAGGCCATGTGCATTGCTTACGCCTGTAATCCCGGCACTTTCGGAGGCTGAGGCAGGAGGATCACTTGAGCCCAGGAGTTCCAGGCTGCAGTGAGCTGTGATCATGCCACTGCACTCCAGCCTGGGTGACAGAGTGAGACCTTGTCTCAAAAAAAAGAAAAACAGAAAACCCCAAAGGTACTATTACAAAAGTGTAGGCAGGGTTCTGTGAAAGTAACAGGGAATGGTGTGGTATACCCAAGTTAATAACGGAATGGTGGAGGGGCAAATGGAGAGAATGGTCACCAAAACCCAGGGAAAAGCTTTTAGTAGAGGACACAGTCAATCCGTAGTGACCCAGCAAGGGAGGAATTGGAAATAGTGACCTCAACTTCGTTTTTCTCCATCCTTTGATCTCCTGCCCATGTTTTCTATTGGCTGAATCTAACCAGAATGCAGAGGGCAAGAGAGCCCATTGCTGCGGTCCATACAGGTCTGCCTCCCTGGTCTGAAGACAGCTAGATGGGGCAAATGGAAGTTATCCAGTATGGGATCCCCTCAAGCATTCACCCTTATCCTTTTGCCAGGTGAAATACTTATGTTCCCAGCAGAGGGCACCCACAAAATTCCTATTAACTGCTGTACCATTGCATGATGACTTCAATTCAGTCATAGTCTAACCTCGAGTCTAAAATGGTAGCCATTGCCAGTGCCCATCATTGAAGGTATGAAGGAGGGGGAGATTCAAGGAGACTGGAGTGAGGGGGCAATTAAAATAATTACAATGAAATGTAACTCTGACTGAGCACATTTCTGGAACAAGTCATGGAGGCCACGCTGATAATCATAGCTTCCTTCTTCCACCACCCATTACCTCCTTCGGGCTGAGTGGGGTTTGTTACTTGGCAGGGTGATCCATACCTTCATCTGTGATCTGAGTCCTCGGTGAACCTGCCTCTCTGGGTTGCACCACTTTCCACCGACTGCTAGAATAAGAGATGCCTCAGTGAATCTCTTGGATGAGTCTCTCCTGTCGGGTAGCTGCAAAGGAATTTCCTTCTAGTCAATGGAGACAGCCAATACAGTGACTGCTTTCTCTGCCTTTTGGTTTAGCAGCATGAGGAGGCTCAGATGGCTTAGGGTCACACTCAGTTTCAACTTCCAATTGGATGTTACTTTGTGTTCCTTGATGGAAGTATTTCTTCTAGGTCAGCCACTGAGCCCAAGGTCAAACAAAAAGCAAGAATTCTTTCCATGGTGAATTAGTGTAATAGTGCGAAGAACCACTCCTGCCTCCACCCCTCGGTTCCCAGGCTGATGCAATCTGATTACGGGGGAGGTGGCATCCTGGGCTGCTGCTGGTTTGAGGCAGTTACTGCATCTTATAGGAAAGCACCCCACCCTGCCAGGCATTGCCCCTCAGCTGTCACTGTGTCTGTGTCTTCAGCAGGCCATTCCACCATCCAATTAATCCATTTATTTATTTATTTATTTAGATGGCGTCTCACTCTGTCACCCAGGCTGGAGTGCAGTGGCTCGATCTTGTTTCACTGCAACCTCTGTCTCCCAGGTTCAAGCGATTCTTCTGCCTCAGCCTCTCAGGTAGCTGGGACTACAGGTGCATGCCACCATGCCTAGCTAATTTTTGTATTTTTAGTAGAGATGGGGTTTCACCATATTGGCCAGGCTGGTCTCAAACTCCTGACCTTGTGATCTGCCCGCCTCGGCCTCCCAAAGTGCTGGGATTACAGGCATGAGCCACCGCGCCTGGCCCAATTAATCCATATTTTTCTAGGGAATGAATCGTGATAAAACCAGTGAATTCCATGGTTATGAGCCCGCTGTCACATTGCCACCTCTGAAAAGTGTATCCCTTGCAGGGAGATGTTTGAGTTTTGACACCATTTGGGATAGACAAGACATTCTTTAAGTCCATGAACTTTGGTGCTGGCAGACATACTGGGGACAGGAAAGGCAAATCCATACTTGGAGCAAATATTTGTCTCTGTGAGGCTAATTCTGCCTCCTACCTGATGAAAGGGATCCAAAGTTATCTACCTGCAATCAGATGTCTTTGCTGGGTCTCTTTAAGGAACGGTGCCATTTTAGGGTCTTAGTGTTGATCTGCTGTGGCCGATTGGACATTGAGTTCTGGCAGAGGCCAGATCAGTCTTGGTGAGAGTGTGCTACTGAGCCCATGCATAGCGTCCATCCCTGCCATATGTGTGCTTTGTTCATGGGCCAATTAAGCAAGTACGTGGGAAGTGAGGGAAAGAGACTGATAGATATCCACAGATTGGATCATCTTGACCACATGATTATTGTTAGAAACAGAATTGTGGCCCCCAAATTCATATAGTGAAGCCCTAATTCCCCCATGTGACTGTATTTGGAGACAGGAGATAATTGAGATCATAAGGGTTGAGGCCTAATCTCATAGGATCGCTGTCCTTATAAGAAGTGGAAGAAACATCAGAGAGCTCTCCCTCTCCACACACACAGAGGAAAGGCCACATGGGGACAAGAGAGGGCAACTGTCTACAAATCTGGAAGAGAGACTTCAGAAGAAACCAGCACTGATGGCATCTGATCTTGGACTTCCAGCCTCTGGATCTGTAAGAAAATACATGTCTATTGTTTATGCCATCCAGGCTGTGGCACTTTGTTAGGGCAGCCCAATGACCAAAAGGATTAATGAGAGGCTCCTTCACAGTGGATGCTGTGGGGGACATTTACATGGTATAAAAACATCCTCACATTCTGTGCATAGTCCACACACCTCTCCCCCAGCCCTCCATGTCACCAAATATGCAGTTTACTCTTTCCCAAGTTGCTGACTAATCTGATGAATCTGTCAATGACTAACCATGGATTAGAGGGTCATTGCTCAGACTATCTTCCCTTTCATGCAAATAAACCAGACCTAATGCCCGAAGCCCACTGGAAAGATTGTCTTTCACCCCTCTCTTTCTGGCCATTCCTGGGTGGGGTATAGTTCAACACCTCATCATTTCTGGCTGGTTCCATCTTACCATGAAGATCCATTAATAAAGCTGACCCACACCTTTCCCTCCTCTATTTAGTGGGGGCAGGGAACTCCCCATAAGGCCATGGGTATGTGTTGAGAGAGGAACAATAAGACAGTGGGAAAGGTACCACGGGAGCCTGGACCACCATGTGTTCCTGAAGTTTCTGTGTCATTTCCAGATCTGCCAGAGCCTGATCTCATACACACTGATGTGGTACAGGAAATGCCACCTGAAAATATGGTACCTTGGCATTTGAGGAAACAGTAGAAGGAGGTCATAGAAACTAGAAAGAATTCCTCCTTGCTCTTTGTCCCCCAAAGGAGCCATAAAACCTGGGCCGAGTTTCTTCTGAAAATAAGTTATAAGATCCTTATTCCAGAGGGGTCCTGCCCTGTGCCTGGAGGAAAAGAATGAAGACACAGAGATGCCTTGAAGAATCTGAACAAACAGCCCTTGCTAAGTTCCCCCCAGTTTATTGACATTAGATTAGACCTTTTGTCCTCCAATTATACTTCTGTGTTCCTGAAAATACACATTTTCCCGTTTTTTCTTTTGTTTGCTTTTTTTGATCTTCATTTCTGAAGATTCCCATGTCATGTAAAATATATGTTAAACAAATGTGTATGCTTTTCTCTTGTTAATCTGTCTTCTGTTATAGGATCTCAGTCATGAGCTTTGTCCTGGGGGAGGAAAAGATACTAGAGTACATTTACATTTTACAATGAACACTGCTGAGTGGGCCCAGGTCATCAGGTGCAGTTCACATCACACAGTCATTTGTGACCCAGAGTCAGATGCCTAGTCTGTATCTGGGCCCTGTAAGTCCAGGAACTGCTTTTCAGGTGAAAAACAGTTGTCAGTAGAAGAGGTCACAGCTTTACTCGGGTTGCACTGGGTCTTGCTAGGGTCCCCATATAGCAGCTCTGTCTGCCACAGATTCTTCCACTCCATTGGGTCTGCTTGTGATGCAGCCTGGACTTGTCAGAACCTCTTTCTACTCTGTGCCCACTCAAAACTGTCAGTCTTATCAGGTGAATAATCCAGTAATGAGATTAGAGGAACACACCAAAGTATGATTCATGTTGTCTTTAAAATCCAAAGAAACCCACTAAGCATTGTGCCTCCTACATGACAGGTGGGGCAAGGGGTAAGCATGATCTCATGATCTCTCCCTTTTTCTTTTAATGTTTGTTTGTTTTTTTTCTTTTTGAGTCAGGGATCTCTCTCTGTCACCCAGGTTGGAGTGCAGTGGCACAATCACAGCTCACTGCAGCCTTGCCCCCAGGCTCAAGCAATCCTCTCACCTCAGACTCCTGAGGAGTAGCTGGGACTACAGGTGCATGCCACTGTGCCTGGATTTTTTTTTTTTTTTTCATAGAGATAGAGTCTCACTATGTTGCCCAGGCTGGTCTCAAAACTCCTGGGCTCAAGCGATCCTCCTGCCTCGGCCTCCCAAAGTGCTGGGATTACAGGCATGAGCCACTGTGCCTGGCCAATCTTCCCCTTTAGAAGGAGATATTCCAAGAAACCACTGGACTCTCAGGAACTTCATCAGTATATCAGGACCCTGAACTTCCCAGGGAATTATTTCCCAGCTTGTTGGCAAGCATGTGTTTTACCAGTGGATCTAAGCTCCTTTCTGCTCACTAGATCCAATTAGCATAATATCATCCATGTAATGAACCCATGTGACTTTCTGTAGAACAGCAAGACAAACAGGGTTCCTCTATATTATATTATGACAGCAGGGGTTGACTTAGCCCTGAGGCAGGACAGTTAAGATATATTGCTGTCCTTGACACACGAAGGCAAACTGCTTTTAGTTATTTTTCCTGATATAGAAGGGGGGTAGTGAAAGAATTTTCTAGGTCATTAGCTGTAAATGAGGTGCTGGAAAGTGTTGCCTTTGGAGCAGCCAACCCACAGCAACCCTGCCGAGAGAAGGCAGGGTGATAAATATGTCAACCTCACTTGGCTCCTGTATTAGGGTTCTCCAGAGAGACAGAACCAATAGATATATATGTATCTAATATATCTATATGTACATATAATATATATGTATTAAATAGATACATGAGAGGAGATTTACTAGAAGAATCGGCCCACTTGATTTATGGAGGCTGAGAGGTCCCAAAACAGGCCATGTGCAAGCTGGACACCCTGGGATTCCAGTAGCATGGCTCAGTCCAAGTCCAAAAGCCTCAGAATCAGGGAAGCAGATAGTGTAACTCCCAGTCTGAGGCTGTAAACCTGAGAACCTGGATGGCCATCGGTGTACATCCTGGAGTCCAAAGGCCAGAGGGCCTGGGGTTCTGATGCTCAAGGCAGGAAAAGAAGAGTATATCCCAGCTCCCAAAGAAAGAGACCGATACAGCTTTTCTGTTTGTATTCTATCTGGGACCTCAGCTGATTGGATGGTGCCCACCTGCATTATTGAGGCTGGTCTTGCCCACTGAGTCCACTCAGACTCACATGCTAATCTCTTCTGGAAACACCTTCACAATTCCTTTATTATTTTTTTTTTCTTTTCGAGACTGAGTCTCCCTCTGTCACCCAGGCTGGGGTACAGTGGCGTGATCTTGGCTCACTACAACCTCTGCCTCCTGTGTTCAAGTGATTCTCCTGCCTCAGCCTCCCGAGTAGGTGGGATTACAGGTGTGCACCACCACGCCAGCTAATTTTTTTGTATTTTTAGTAGAGATGGTGTTTTGCCATGTTGGCCAGGCTGGTCTCAAACCCCCGACCTCAGTGATCCGCCCACCTCGGCCTCCCAAAGTGCTGGGATTACAGGTGTGAGCCACTGCACCTGTCCTCTAGATATTCTTTAATCCAGTCAAGTCGATACCTTTAAAAAGATTCTTTTTTTTTTTTCTTTTCTTTTTTTTTTTTTTTGAGACAGGGTCTCTCTCTGTCACCCTGGCTGGAATGCAGCAGGCCCGAGAGATTCTCCCACCCCAGCCTCCCAAGTTGCTGGGACTACAGGCACGTAACACCACACCCAGCTAATTCTTTTGTATTTTTTATAGAGACAGGGTTTTACCATGTTGCCCAGTCTAGTCTTGAACTCCTGGGCTCAAAGCTATCTACCCGTCCTGGCCTTCCATAGTGCTGGGATTACCAGGTGTGAGCCATCATGCCCAGCCTTTAAGACATTTTTTAAAAAGCTGATGTTGTGAAAGACCAATTTGAGCCAATAGAATACATTACTTCAGAGAATGGGAGACATATAATGCAAGAAATAGAACTAAAAAAAAAAGACCTTCCTAAGCTAAGCCCCAGAAGACATGCGATTTATCTACTGAAAAAAAGAACAGAAACAGATGGCCACGAAAAAAGAACACTCAAAAAATATGAAAAAAATTCTCAAAAATTAGAATCATGATTGCCAAAACGAAAACTTAAAATAGAAGGACTGAATGAAGTAGAAGATTGTGTAGTGATCTAAAAGATATGGACAAAGAGATATCCCAAAATACAGAGCCATAATGAGGGAAAGTGAAAAAACAGAGAGAACTCACTATCAATCTAATAGAAGTTCCTGGAGGAGAGAATGGTGAATGAAGAGAAAGCATTTAGAGAAATGAAAGATAATTTCCCTGAACTGAAGAAAAATTCAAGTGTTCATATTGAAAAAGACAATAGTACCAAATACAATGAATGAAAAAAAGAGGATCACACTTAGACATATTATGGTGAGATTTCAGAATGTCAAGTTTAAAAAAGAAAACCCTAAAGTTTTGCAGAGAAGAAATCAAAGTTTCTTAGGTGGAAATGAAGAACAAATTGGCATCAGATATATGTAAAGCAACATGGCTAAAAGACAACGAAACAGTGACCCCAAATTCATAAGGAAAACTGATTTTAACCTAGAAACTGACATCCAGTCAAATAGGCAGCTGTGAGAATAAAATAAAAAGCACTCACAAAGTTTATCTCTACATATACCTTTTCTGAAAAAATTAACTGAGGATGTGCTCCTTCCAATCAGAACAGGAATCCAAGAGGGAGACATGAAGCCCAAGAACAAGGGCAGTCACCTAGGAAATCATTGAGAAGGAAGCTCAGTTGTAATTTGTGTAACAGGCTTAGAAAGTCATCAGTTCAAGGCCAGATGCGGTGGCTCACACGTGTCATCCCAGCACTTTGGGAGGCTGAGGTGGGTGGATCACCTGAGGTCAGGAGTTCAAGACCAGCCTGGCCAACATGGCAAAACCCTGTCTCTACTAAAAGTACAAAAAAATTAGCTGCATGTGGTGGTGGCAGGCATCTGTATTCCTAGCTACTCGCAAGGCTGAGGCAGGAGGATCACTTGAACCCTGGAGGCGGAGGTTGAGACACCACTGCACTCTAGCCTGGGCAACAGCACAAGACTCCATCTCAAAAAAAGAAAAAAAAGAAAGAAAGAAAGTCATCAGTTCATATTATAGCAGGAAGTCAAGGGCCTGCAATAATAATATCTTTTTTTTTTTTTTTTGAGACAGGGTCTTGCTCTGTCACCCAGGCTGGAGTGCTCTGGTGCCATCATAGCTCAAGGTAGCCTTGATGTCCTGGGCTCAAGTGATCCTCTTACCTCACCCTCCTGAGTAGCTAGGACTACAGGCATGTGCCACCATGCTCAGCTAATTTTTTAATTTTAATTTTTGTAGAGATGGGGTCTCACTGTGTTGCCCAGGCTGGTCTCAAACTCCTGGTCTCAAGGCATCTGCTCACCTCGGCCTCCAAAAGTTCTGGGATTACAGAGGTGGGCAGATAGCTTGAGCTCAGGAATTTGACACCAGCCTGAGCAACATGGTGAAACCCCGTCTCTACTGAAAATACAAAAACTAGCTGGGCATGGCGGTGCATGCCTGTAGTCCCAGCTACTCGGGAAGCTGAGGTGAGAGGATCACCTGAGCACGGGAGGATGAGGCTGCAGTAAGCCATGATCACACCAGTGCACTCCAGCTTGGGTGACAGAGTGAGACTCTGTCTTTTAAAAAAAACCCAAAAACCAAAAAACAAATGAAAAAACCGAAGCTAACTAAAATATGACATGATTTTGAGCTATGTATTGAATTTGGAAAAATATTCCATTAAATCATGGCAGATTTAATAACATAGAATATGTTCCCTTTTCTATGGGTTTAGTCATATTACTCGTTTCTGCAGTGCACCTATATACAAAACACAAAAGAATCATAGTTAACAGAATGAAGAGGTAAGGACAGTGGCAGAATTGAATAGAAATCAGGGAAGGAGAAGCGAGGTGGGAAGCCCTGTAGATGCCACATGTCCTCATCTTACAGAGTGGCTCTCAGGAGGGCTGAAAAGGGAGAGTGGTTACCCCTGGGGAGTGGGAGAGGAGCAGGCGCTGGGGGAGAGGAGGAAGGAGAGCTCTACTGCAGCCCCTGGCTTCTACAGGCTCCTGGCTTTGGTCTCTAGAGAAGCCAGATTCTCAACTACCACTGCCTGTTTGAGACCCACGGCCCCTGGTCCTAGTTTCTGCCTCATTCAGCTCTCTCTTGTTTCTGGTCCATGTAAATAATTGTCTTGTTTCTGAGCCATGCTATATCTTTTTTGGTTTTCTCTTTGTGTATTAGTTTGACATTGTTGAATGTGTGCAGCAGATGGCATGCATCTTATGGGGCCACCTTGACTGGAAAGCCATTATATTCCTTTTATAATTTAAAAAATGAGATCTTAAAATGCAGAAAGGGCATTCCTTTCTACTGGTAGGATCTCTTCTGCCACATACTGATATTGTTTAGTTATTATTTTCTGTACATCTGCAAAACCAGAGTGTATCTTTCAAATCAATATAGGATCTCTTTTCTGAACTCCAACACATGGTTATTCCATGAGGGAAACTGAGGCACAGAGAAGGAAATCATAGGAGTTCTGGTCGTTCACCCTCCCTCCACCTGTGAATGCCCCTCCCTCCCCGCAAACTCTCAAGCTTTGCTTTAGTGAAGAGCACATTCAAATACCACGGTGGTCAGAGATGCCAATGTATAATCCCCACGTGCTATATGTTTATACCATCTCCTGTATTTTGACAAGCATCCCCTTCAGCACATTTGTCCTTTCAGGTATCTTTAAGTCACTCCTGCTCCCGTTTCCTTCCGTTCAACCCCTAGTGGAGATGACCATACTCCTGGTCATCTTCCTCCTTCTTCTCCTGCTCCTACTCCCTCCTCCTCTGTGCAGAGACCTTTGTATAGCAAGGGATCATTATTTAGTCACCCTCTAGCCATCTCTTTCCCTGGCTGACTCATTCCTTAACAGTGCGTCCTAGGTCTTATTGTTTTGAGCTATTAGTCATCCTGGTGGCTTTTCTTTGAAATCTCCCCAAGTGCCTTCCCTTTCCTTTACGCTGTGGAGGTTGAATGGGACGCACACTCTGCCAAGCATTTCCAGGAGGGCTGAGGACATAATCTAGCTTATGATTCTATAAGACACAATAAGTAAACCATTGACAATTATACCCTAACAAATAAATAAACAAATAAGTCAATCTTGGGGCAGCCTTCCCTGTGTTTGAATATTTTCATTATGTTTCTTGCTCAGAGGCAGTTTGTTATCCACCCAGCTGGGGAATGGAATGCTCCTTTCCTCTCTAATATCCATTCTCTCCTTTGTTTGTGCTAGAACCCCCAGTTATTAGCTAGGCACACGCCCACCCAGAATAAAGACTATTTCCTAGCCTCCTGATTGCTAGACAAGACTATGAGACCAAATTTTGGCCAATGGGATGTTAATGGAAATGTTGGATGTAATAGCTGATAAATATTTTTATTTATTTCTTTATTTTGGAGACAGAATCTTGCTTTTACTGCTCAAGCTGGAGTGCAGTGGTGCCATCAAAGCTCACTGCAGCCTCAACCTCCTGGGATCAAGTGATCCTCCCGCCTCAGCCTCCTGAGTAGCTGGGACCACAGTTGTCAGCCATCATGCCCAACTAATTTTTAAAATTTTCGTAGACACAGAGTCTCCCTACATTGCCCATCCTGGTCTCAGTAACTCCCGGGCTCAATCAGTTCTCCTGCCTCAGCTTCCCAAAGTGCTGGAATTATAGGGGTGAGCCACAAAGGCCAGTCTGTGAAGTGTTTTTAAATGGTAAGGTGTAGGTTCATTTTTGCACCTTCCTCCTCCTCACTGCTTGGAAAAAGGAGATGAGATGGTAGGAGCCAAGCAGACTTCCAGGACCAGGAAGCCGACAGAGCAGGAGGGAGAAAGGAGCCTGAATCCAGGTGATTGTGCAATCTTGGGCTGCCTACTTTCCGGCTTATTTTATGTGTGAGAGAAACTAATTTCTGTATTTCTAAACTGCTGGGGTTTTTGTGTGTATGTGTCTGAGTGTGTGGGCATGGGGTGGGATGGTTATTTGTTTATTTCACGTAGCTAAACCTAATCCTAACTGATTCAATGGCCCTTAGAGAGTGTTTCTATTTTTTGCTTTGTTTTACTTGCACAGGCTATTATAGATTGAAAATGTCTAGCTGGTGGTAATTTACTTTCCTCTGTGTGTGACTAGCTCAGGTATACCAGATGCTTATTCTATACCCGGTACTTTTTATGTCTTGTCTCATTCAATCTTGACATAAACCTATGAAACTATTATTATTTCCATTTTAAATGAGCGTATACCAACACTCAGAGGTTAAGTAACATGTTCGAGGTCACAGAGATGGTAAATAGCAGACCCAGGATTTGCATCTGGGCGGCCTGGCTCCAGAGCCCCCTGTCTTGAGTGCCACACTGTGGAACTCTTTGAAAACTGACTCTATTCCCCAAGAACCTACCGAGAAGGTGTTAATAATAGAACCTCTCTTGAGTCCCTGCTATGTGCAGGTACTGCATTGTACAGAAAGCAGATTCTAGAAAGGCTGCCCAGTCCTGAGTGTAGGGAGAGTGACGTCGGTGAAGTGGCGAAGGGCTTGAATCGTGCTGCAGCCTTGCCTTGTCCCGGGCACCTTTCAGTGCTGCTGGCTTCTGCAGTTCCCTTTTCTCTTCACTGATTTTGAAATGGTGATTGATAGGGGACTTCTATTTTTTTTTTTTTTTTTTTTTTTGACAGTCTCACTCTTTTGCCCAGGCTGGAGTGCAGTGGTGTGATCTCGGCTCACCGCCTCCTGGGTTCCCTCCTGCCTTCAGCTCCCGGGCTCAACCTCCGCCTCCCAGGTTCAAACAACTCTCCTGCCTCAGCCTCCCAAGTACCTGGATTACAGGCACATGCCACCACACCTGGCTAATTTTTGTATTTTTAGTAGAGATGGGGTTTCATCATGTTGGTCAGGCTGGTCTCAAACTCCTGACCTCAAGTGATCCACCCACCTTGGCCTCCCGAAGTGCTGGTGTTACAGGCATGAGCCACCATGCCAGGCCAGATGACTTCCTTTTGAAATTCAGTAATCCAGGACTCTTTTTTGTACTTTTGTCTAAATATTTTTCCTAAATTGTTTCATATGGACTTTCCTGTTGTTTTATGTTGAGAATTTTTTGGTATCATAAAAATCTTACTCATTGTATATAAATGATACTACTTCTGTAAAGTGGTGACACTGAGGTACATCTTGTCTTATTGACTCATATTCAAACTCATTATGAGACAAAAGAATATGAGGTATAAAAATAAGGTCATCTCTCAGCTCCAGGCTAGTACCTGGAAATAATTAGAGATGAGCTAAGCTACAAGTAAAGTCAAATAATTAAAAGATTTTTTTAACTGTTACTTTTATAAACTAACAGACTAAAATTTGTTTAAAATGTATCACAGGCCAGGTGAAGTGGCTCACACCTGTAATCCAAGCACTTTGGGAGGCCGAGGCGGGCACATCTCTTGAGCCCAGGAGTTTGAGACCAGCTTGGGCAGCATAGTGAGTGAGACCCTGTATTAGTCTGTTTTCATGCTGCTGATAAAGACATACTGGAGACTGGAAATTTACCAAGGAAAGTGGTTTAATGGAGAACTCACAGTTCCATGTGGCTGGGGAAGCCTCACAATCATGGCTGAAGGCAAGGAGGAGGAAGTCACATCTTATGTGGCAGGCAAAGAGACGGCTTGTGCAGGGAAACTCCCCTTTATAAAACCATCAGATCTCATGGGACTTATTCACTGTCACAAGAACAGCATGGGAAAGACCTGCTCCCATGATTCAATTACCTCCCACAGGGTCCCTCCCACAACATGAGGGAATTCAAGATGAGAGTTGGGTGGGGACACAGCCAAACCATATCAGACTCCCTCTCTACAAAAATAAACAAAAATTAGCTGAGCATGGTGGCACATGCTAGTGGTCCCAGCTACTTGAAAGGCTGAGATAGGAGGACTGTTCCAGCCCCAGAGGTTGAAGCTGCAGTGAGTTGAGGCTGTGCCACTGCATTCTAGCGTGGGTGACAGAGAGAGACCCTGTCTCAAAAAAAAAAAAAAAAATATATATATATATATATATATATATATATATTCCTTTCTAGACTAAAGCCTTTAGAAAATTCAATACTCAATATAATTAATAAACAGGACTGGGCACAGTGGCTCATGACTGTAATCCTAGCACTTTGGGAGGCCAACGTGGGCAGATTGCCTGAGCTCAGGGGTTGGAGACCAGCCTGGATAACATGGAGAAACCCCGTCTCTACTAAAAATACAAAAAACAACATATATTTAATAATCAGTTGATTAATGACACATGAAAACAGCAGTTCTTATTTGTCCTCCCTACTTTTTAGCTATTCTTGAATGGGAGAAGACAAGTTTCCATTTCCATATCAAAAAATTATGAAAGCATGGTGAACATCTGATGCAAATTAGGCTACCCTTTCCTGTAAAATTCTGTCATAAATCGGACAAAGGCCATTCTGTAGGTTGCCTCTGTATAATTCTTGAATATCAACCTTACCTTTCTTCTGAGTCTTGCGATGAAAACATGACTCAGAACCTAGAATGAATCCTACATGTTACGATTTTGAACCAGTATTCTAAATTAGATTCTCTGATGCTTTTTTTTCTTGTTGATGCATTATAATAATACAAACAACACCAGTTGCAGGATATAAGAACTGCTTTTCCTAGAAAAATTGGTTATCCAAATAATAGGCTATGAACTACTCAACTAGTTCTTGAATATGGAAGCAGTATAGTTTCTGCAGTACTTTGAAGCACTATAAGAAGACATAGTTAAGCATAAAAACAACTTAAAAAGAAACAAACTGATTTTGATCACATACACACAAAAAACTCTATGACAAAAATATGGCATCCAAAAAAGAAAAAAACATACTACAAATTCATGGAAATATTTAAGATGAAAATATAGAGAACTCAACAGAAATAACTTAAAAAGCCCTAGGACAAAAACAGAAGCCTGGGCCAGGTGCAGTGGCTACGCCTGCAATCCCAGCACTTTGGGAGGCCGAGGCAGGCAGATCATGAGGTCAAGAGATCAAGACCATCCTGGCCAACATGGTGAAACCCCATCTCTATGAAAAATACAAAAATTAGCTGGGTGTGGTGGCAGGTGCCTGTAGTCCCAGCTACTCGGGAGGCTGAGGCAGGAGAATCGCTTGAACCCAGGAGGTGGAGTTTGCAGTGAGACGAGATAGCACCACTGCACTCCAGCCTGGCGACAGAGCAAGACTCCATTTCGGAAAAAAAACAAAACAAAAAAGCAAAACAGAAGCCTGGGCAAAGATGACAGATACATAATTCACAAAAAAGGAAAGGCAATTGCTAATAAACATAAGAAAGGTTCCTGTTGCAACCAAGCAAAGAAATACAATTTGAAATGCAGAGTGGTTTTAAATAGCTCATATGAGCAAATATTTAAAAATAATACACCGTCTGATAGAAGTGATATTAGTGGACATCCTTCTTTGCTCTTGATCTTGGGGAAGAGCATTGGTCTGTCACCATGAAGTATGTTGCTAGTTGTACATTTTTCATAGATACTGTTGATCACATTGAGAAAGCTCCTTTCTATTCCTAAATTCCCTTTTGTTCCCTTTTTTTACAGTAATACACAATATTGGCAACAATGCAACAAAATGGACACACTCTACTCTCCAGCGGGAGTGTAAGTTTGTATGCTCTCTCCAGAAGTCAATTTAACAATATGTATTAAATATTTTAATGCCATATTTTATGTCAATGCTTTTATTTGTAGTTATCTGACTTAAGAAAATAATCTGATATACAGTTAAAGAATTAATTGCAAACATATTCATCACAATGCTATTTATAATAATGACAAATTAAAAGTAACATAAGGTCAATATTAGAATGGGTAAGATAATTATGGTCAAACATAAAAGAATAAAATGCAGCCATTCAATTTCTATTTACAGGCTGGGTGTGGTGGCTCACACCTATCATCCCAGCACTTTGGGAGGCTGAGGCGGGTAGATCACCTGAGGTCAGGAGTTTGAGACCAGCCTGGCCAACATGGTGAAACTCCATCTCTACTAAAAATACAAAAATTAGCTGGGCTTGGTGGCGCATGCCTTTAATCCTAACTACTCGGGAAGCTCAGGTAGGAGAATCACTTGAACCTGGGAGGCAGAGGTTTCAGTGATCTTGATCATACCACTGCACTCCAGCCTTGGCGACAGAGGGAGACTCCGTTTAAAAAAAAAAAAAAAGGCCGGGCGCGGTGGCTTATGCCTGTAATCCCAGCACTTTGGGAGGCCGAGGCGGGCGGATCACGAGGTCAGGAGATCAAGACCGTCCTAGCTAACACGGTGAAACCCCATCTCTACTAAAAATACAAAAAAATTAGCTGGGCGTGGTGGTGGGCACATGTAGTCCCAGCTACTCCGGAGGCTGAGGCAGGAGAATGGCGTCAACCCAGGAGATGAAGCTTGCAGTGAGCTGAGATCACGCCACTGCACTCCAGCCTGGGTGACAGAGCAAGGTTCCATCTCAAAATAATAATAATAATAATAATAATAATAATTGTATTTACAAAAGCTTTTTAATGCTATGGGGAACAAAGAAAAAATATAATAAAGATTACAGGTCAGGTCTGGCCTGGTCTATGAACTTGGTTTCAGAGCCAAGTAGGTGAGGTGAAGGGATTTAAGGTGACAGGGTCAGTATCCCAGTCAGGGACATGACATTGGAACCAGAGATCTGAGTGAAGACTCACATTATGGTAACAAGACCAGAACTCTAGGTTTAGTGAGGGAAGGGCTAGAACAAAATAGGAAAAAGAGAAAAAAGAGAGGTCATTAGTGGGGAAAGGTAGGCCAGAGAGCAGGCAGAGACCACATGACCTTAATATGGAAAACAAAACATTCTTGTGTAGGTCCACTCATGCTCAGTGCCACTGAAAAATCCAGCTCTCCAGTTTTCTATATGCAGAGAAAAAAGACAGGAAGGAAATATGCCAAAATAGTCACAGTGATTTTGTCTGAGTGGTGAATTATGGCTGATTCTTTGTTCTTTTTATATTTCCAAATTTTTATAAGAGCACAGAAATACTTTTAAGAATTTCTGACTACAAAAAATTGGTTTTTTAATTCCCTGTGCCAAGTTCAGAAATATGCCATAATGGAACAAGATAACTAAAAGAAGAAAACTACCTCAAGGTATGTCCTTTTTAATCTACAGTCCAATTCCCAATTGCTTTATAAATGGGCTTTTCTCCCCCGATCTCCTCAGGGCATTGCAATCACCTATACCAACTGGAGAATTTTCAAATACATGTTTTTTCAAACTGTTGTGTCAAGTTTGGCAGCTGATGGGTAGTTTTTTTCTTTAATAACTGCTCTTATATATTCATTCATTCATTCACTGTTTCCATTAGCTGTTGAGGGTACCACAAAGTTGAAGTAAGTCTCTTTACAGATCTTATGTTCAAATTCTTTCTGAGGTATGTTTTCTTTCTTTCTTTTTTTTTTTCTGTCTGTTTGTAGAGAAGGGTCTCACTATGCTGCCAGGGCTGGTTTTTAACTCCTGGGCTCAAGCAATCCACACGCCTTGGCCTCCAAAAGTGCTGGGATTATAGGTATGAGCCACTGTGCCTGGCCATGTGGTATGTTTTCTAGGAGTAGTGCAAATGAAGTGAAGCAGGAATCTTAAAAGAATGAGAGAATATTATAGAAGCCTGATTTCTGCCTGAAGAGATCAGGCTGACTTGGCAGAGGAGGTGACATTTGAACTTTACCTTAAAGTAAATGGATTCCACCAGGTAGAGAGGGGAGGGTATCATAACCTTCCCGGGGCAAGAACTATGTGTATCTTGTTCACTACTGATTGCCCAGAAACTAGCGTTGGCCCTGAAACCTAGTAGGTGTTGCACAAATATTTATTTAATGAATGTTTGAGGGCGGGGTAGAGATAAGAGACAGCATAATCAAATTCTCAGGGGCAGAGAAACAAGGTTTATTCATACAAAAGCTAGTTAACTCTTGTGGAAGGATAAGCCATATGAATAGCAATATCGGAAATTTAAACTGGACAGCTATATTGAATTATGGTTGGGTTAGACTAAAAAGTACTCAATTAATAGATAATCATGATGGTGGTGGCTGGGCGCGGTGGCTCACGCCTGTAATCCTAGCACTTTGGGAGGCTAAGGCGGGTGGATCACCTGAGCTCAGGAGTTTGAGACCACCCTGGCCAATGTGGTGAAACCCCATCTCTACTAAAAATACAAAAAAAATTAGCTAGGCATGGTGGCACACACCTATAATCCCACCTACTGAGGAGGCTGAGGCATGCGAATTGCTTGAACCCGGGAGGCAGAGATTGTAGTGAGCTGAAATCACACCACTGCACTCCAGCCTGGGTGACAAAGTGAGACTCCATCTCAAAAAAAAAAAAAAAAAAAAAAAGACACCATCTAAAAAAACGAAAGAAAGAAAAAAGATAATCATGATCATGTTGGTGGATGGAAATGTTAATCTGGAATGATTTCAAAATCAATAGATAGATCAAAGGTGAATAAATCAATTACAAATCTATTAAAAGAGAATTGGGGAAATGTGCACAGGGACTGGATATTTAATAATGTGGAAAAAATATTGTTCATTTCAGTGTGATAAAAATATTTTGGTTATCTTTCAGAGAAACATAATAAAATATTTACAGAGAAAATGATCTGATGTGTAAATTTGCTTCTAAATCATTCTGGGGATTGTGGGGTATTGGTCTAGATGAAACAAGCATGACTAGGTATTGAAAACTGATAAACCTGGGGGATGGCAAAGAAACTTTCTGGGGTGATGGAAATGTTCTGTGTGTTGATTGGGGGTGACAGTTAAACAGGTATATAGATTTATCAAAAAATCCATGCTTTTTGCTTTTTTTTTTTTTTTGAGGCAAAGTCTTGCTTTGTTACTCAGGCTGGAGTACAGTGGCACAATCTTGGCTCACTGCGGCCTCTGCCTCCAGGGTTCAAGCAATTCTTCTGCCTCAGCTTCCTGAGTAGCTAGGACTACAGGCGCTTGCTAGCACACCTGGCTAATTTTTGTACTTTTAGTAGAGATGGGGTTTCTATGTTGGCCAGGCTGGTCTCGAACTCCTGGCCTCAAGTGATCTGCCCACCGTGGCCTCCCAAAGTGCTGGGATTATAGGCGTGAGCCACCATGCCCAACCTTTTTATTTATTTTATTATTTAATTCTTTTGAGACATAATCTCGCTCTGTCGCCCAGGCTGGAGTGCAGTGGTGCAATTTCGGCTCACTGCAACCTCCGCCTCCCTGGTTCAAGCGGTTCTCCTGTCTCAGCCTCCCAAGTAGCAGGGACTACAGGTGCACACCACCACACTGGCTAATTTTTATGTTTTTAGTAAAGACAGGGTTTCACCATATTGGCCAGGCTGGTCTCAAACTCCTGACCTCAAGTGATCTACCTGCTTTGGCCTTCCAAAGTGCTGGGATTACACGTGTGAGTCACTGCACCCAGCCTATTTATTTATTTATTTGCATGCATTTTACTATATATAAGTTTTATGTAGAAAAGCTGGATGATGTATAGATTAGGTTCATTTTACAATTCGAATTTTTTTTATGTTTGATAATTTCCATAATAAAAGGTTAAAAAAACGAAAAGAAGAGAAAGAAAAAAGGAAAGAAGCAGAAGGAAGAACTCTGCTGCAGTACTGGAAGCAGGCAGATTATTTAAATTACGGTGGTGCCATGGAACAAGAGAAGGCAGATGAAGAGCGACACCCTTCAAGTTAACACAGGTAATGAATCACTTCCATGGAACGGGTTCTGCCTCCCTGGAGCACTAACGCAGAACCCAGTATTGAAGAAAACCAGATGGGTTACTTTGACTCAAGCATTAAAAGGAAAGAGCACAAAAGAATTATTCCATCTTTTTCTGGCCCAGTTTCCATTAAAATGCCCAGTTGATATTCTCATCCATAAACTTGCTACTCTATCATTTCTCAAGGTAAAAATGGTGAGAGGAAGAAATTTTCTTTGATGTGCTTTTGGTTATAGGATTGAGACTTTCTCAGATGACTTAATAATATACCCAGGAGGAAGGTATTTAGGGCTTTCCAGGGCAGGGTTTAATCCTAAAGCAATCTAGCAATGAGATTAGTGTTCCTGGATGTCTTGTTTCTGTCAAAACTATCTCCAAAGAACAGACCCTACTGCCATTCTCCTTTCTCTAGATTTCTGTTTTTATTTTTTATTTTTTTAATTCTTTTGAGGCATAGTCTCATTCTGTTGCCCAGGCTGGAGTGCAGTGGCACAATCTTGGCTCACTGCAACCTCTGCCTCCCAGGTTCAAGCAATTCTCCTGCCTCAGCCCCCCGAGTAGCAGGGATTACAGGCGTGCACCACCACGCCCAGCTAATTTTTTTTTGAGATGGAGTCTCGCTCTGTTGCCCAGGCTGGAGTCCAGTGACGTGATCTCAGCTCACTGCAACCTCTGCCTCCCAGGTTCAAGCGATTCTCTGCCTCAGCCTCCCAAGGAGCTGGGATTGCAGGCGTGCACCACCACGCCCAGCTAATTTTTGTATTTTTAGTAGAGATGGGGTTTCACTATATCCATCTACCTTGACCTCCCAAAGTGCTGGGATTACAGGCCAGGCATGAACCACCGCGCCCAGCCCCAGCTGATTTTTTTTTTTTTTTTTTGTATTTTTAGTAGAGATGGGGTTTTGCCGTGTTGGCCAGTCTAGTCTCAAACTCCTGACCTCAGGTGATCTGCCCACCTTGGTGTCCCAAACTGCTGGGATTACAGGCGTGAGTCACAATGCCTGGCCTGATTTTTGTTTTAATTTTTAATATTTAAAGGATAGCAATCTCTCTGGGTATACTTTCTACTGATTTGATTTCATGATAGCTAAAAATCTGTGTTGCTTAAAGCAAAAGTTAGGTAGCAGCAATGGTGGAGGGGTTTTCATGACAAGGTTCACTGGTGTTGAGCATATACAACTGTAAACAAGTGATCCTATTGCCTCAGCCTCTGGAGTAGCTGGGACTCCAGGCACGCCACCACACCTGGCTAATTTTTAAAATTCCTTCTAGGGATGGAGTCTTGCTACATTGCCCAGGCCGGTCTCGAACTCCTGGACTCCAGGGATCCTCCAGCTTTGCCTCCCAAAGCTGTGGGATTACAGGCACGAGCCACCTTGCCTGGCCCCATGCTTCTTCCCTACTCTCAGAATGCTTGTTTGGCCAGGATGGGGCCCTCTTCCCTCACATAGCCTTGTGGCTTATGGGGAGCTGAGTCCTAGCCCCAGCTCCAGGAGCAAGACTGCTTAATCAAAGGAAATCCTCGACCTGTACCCTCAACAGTGAATCGTTCAGAAATTAACTTCTGTCTCTTTCCCCTACTTAAATGGAAACTCCAAGAGGGAGTGGATGTCTATCTGTTTTGCCAAGAACCTAGAACAGTGCCTGGCACGTAGTCCTTTTTTTTTTTTTTTTTTTTTTTTTTTTTTGTTGAGATGGAGTCTTGTTCTGTTGCTCAGGCTGGAGTGTAGTGGCACAATCTCGGCTCACTGCAACCTCCATCTCCCGTGTTCAAGCGATTCTCTTGTCTCAGCCTCCCAAGTAACTGGGACTACAGGCACAAGCCACCACACCTGGCTAATTTTTGTATTTTTAGTAGAGATAGGGTTTCACCATACTGGTCAGGCTGGTCTTGAATTCCTGATCTCAGGCGATCTGCCCACCTCAGCCTCCCAAAGTGCTGGGATTGCAGGTGTGAGCTACCATGCCTAGCCATAGTTTTTACTTAGTAATTTTTTTTTTTTTTTTTGGAGAC
Organism: Homo sapiens; assembly: GCF_000001405.40. NCBI lineage: Eukaryota > Metazoa > Chordata > Mammalia > Primates > Hominidae > Homo > Homo sapiens. The sequence goes on along the minus strand of NC_000013.11, from coordinate 27,184,466 downwards.
AGTTTTGCTCTGTCACGCAGGCTGGAGTGCAGTGGCACGAGCTTGGCTCACTGCAACCTCTGCTTCCTGGGCTCAAGTGATTCTCCTGACTCAGCCTCCCTAGTAGCTGGGACTACGGGCACAAGCCACCACACCCAGCTAATGTTTTTATTTTTAGTAGAGGTGAAGTTTTGCCATGTTGGCCACGCTGGTCTCGAACTCCTGAGCTCAAGTGACCTGCCTGCCTCAGCCTCCCAAAATTCTGGGATTATAGGCGTGAGCCACTGCACCTGGCCCTTACTTAGTAACTACTTAATGGATTCGTTTTTCATTCCTCCTCAGCAAACATTAATTGAGCATATGTAAGACTCCAAAAGTCTAGTAGGGATGACTAGACATGTAAACGATTGCATAACAGTGCATGCTGGTAAACACCATCATGAAGTCATACATAACAGTCTGAGGTAGTCCTGAAGTAGAGGTCAGCACTTGGGCCAAGCTTCCCAGAGCTTCTGACATTGAAGCGGATCTTGGAGGATGAGCAGAGATTTGCCAGGTGAAGAATTAAGGCAAATGTAATCTGACCATGTAACTTGTTCAAACCAGGACACTTGGGCGGGTGGAGGGGGAGGGTGGTTAATTAATAATTACACCAGAAAATAGGCGTAAACAGGTTGTTCTGGGCAAACCAGACCACATGGTCACTCTTGGCAGAAGGAACAATGTGGGCAGATTTAAAGGATGGTGGAAGCCCTTGGGAAAGGCAAAGGTTCAGCGTGTTGAACAAGTGTGGCCTGTGGGAGGAGGGCTGAGCTGGAGTGGTGGGCTGGCCATAGCGAGAGGGCGCAGTTCTCGCAAAGAGCTTCAACTTGGTCCCCTGGCAGTGGGAACCTGTGGAGGTTTCTCCGCAGGGCAGCACTGGGACCAGACTTGCAGTCACTGTGGCAGGGTGTAAAGAACTGGAGGCACAGACTAGAGGCTAGATAGAGGTGAGGCAGGAGGCTGGACAGTGGTTTATTGGGGGAATTATGAGCCCCGATCTCAAGCAGTATGGGGATGGGACTTCAGAAGGAAATATATACACTGGGGTGGAACATTCCTGGGGTGGAACTCACTGGCCTGCAAGCAGCGATGGGAGGGCTGGGAAGGAAAAGAAGAAATGATGATGCTTAAATTTCCAGCTTGGGTGACTGACTGGTGGTGTTGGCTCTCCGTCCTCATCGGTGGTGACAAGTAGAGAATGACCTCAGCTGTTTGGCTGACTCAGAGTTGACAGAGCACAGATACAGGAAACTCAGTTTTGCAGGGACCAAGGGCCCAGCCAAGTGGCCAATCCAAAAGCTGAGTCACTAAGCCAAAGGGTCAGCACAGATGGAAAAGGAGACAAGGTGCCCGGGGGAGCAGGAAAGTCCGTGAGTGAAAAGTGTGGAAGCAGACAGGCAGGGAAGCGGGATCGGAAGCCAAGTTTTATGTTGATTCGTGAGCAGGCTTCGTGTATTTGCACCCTTTATTCAGAAGGCAGCAGGGGATTCTTGGGCTGATACATGGAAGAATCAATAAGCCATGGCCCCCAGGGTGGACATGTGGACTGTGGGGGCAGAGGAGTGGATCTGTAAGCAGGTCACAGTCTTAGAAGTGATGGTGCTCTGGGGACCTGGAGGAGGAAGGAAATCAGTGTAAATTAACAAATTGGCATTCTGTTTTGTCCTCAAGTCCCTTGTGAGGGGTTTTTTTTTTTTTTTAGATTCTTAGTTTTTGATTGTGATAAAATCACATATTTATCATTTTAGCCATCTGTCAACATATAATTCAGTGGCTTTAAATACATCCACAAGGCGGTGCATCTATCACCATTATTTATACCCCAACTTTTTCATCATCCCCAACAGAAACGCTGTACCCATTAAACAGTAACTTCCCCTTATCCCCCCCTTATTCCCTCTCTGATAATCTCTATATTACTTTTTATTTTTATGAATTTGACGATTCCAGCTATCTCATATTAATATAAGTGAAATCATACATTAGTCCTTTTGTGTCTGGTTTATTTCACTTAACAAAATGTTCTCCATGTTCATCCACGTCATAGCATGTATCACAATTTTACTTCTTTTTTTTTCATCTTTTGTTTTTTTTCAAAGATAGGTCTTGTTATGTTGCCCAGGCTGGCCTCAACTTCCTGACCTCAAGCAGCCTCCTGAGTAGCTAGGACTACAGGCATAGGCCACTGCACCCAGCCTTCATTCCTTTTTATGGCTGAGTAATATTCCATATATATGTGTGTACCACATTTTAGGTTTATTCATTCATGCATCATTGGACACTTGGGTGCTTCCACCTTTTGACTATTGTGAATAATGCTACTATGAACATGAGTGTGCAAATATCTGTTGGATTGCCTGGATTCACTGCTTTTGGATATATACCCAGACGTGGAATTGCAGAATCATATGGTAATTTTATGCTTTCTTAAGAACTGCCATACTGTTTTTTTTTTACCATTGGCTGCACCATTGTATATTCCTACCAGCAATTTCCCCACATTGTAGAGAAAATGGTTGCAATTTCTCTACATTTATCTACATCTTTCCTAATGCTTGTTAGTTTCATATATATATATATATATATAGACATCCTAATAGGTCCTTGTGAGGTTTTTGTTGTTGTTGTTTTGTTTGTTTTTGTTTGAGTAAGTCTGTCTCCCTTGCACCAAATGTGTTCCTTGATAGAAAAATTGAGCTTCAGGTCTGATGACTGAGGACTTGTCTCTGGACCCACTCTGTGCTGTCCTATCTCAGCTGTCCTTTCTCTAAGGCTTTGGGTACATACACCAGCAAAGAAATTTATGTGGGAGTTTTCACTAATTTATGTAACAGTCTTATAACACTCTTTACACACTATATCTTGGAAAATTTTTAAGTAGGGCACTAGTGATGGTAAGTGAGAGAACCAAGACTAGATTCCTCCAAAGAGACACTTCATTTAGACCATACTTCATCATTTTGCGAGGGGGCTCATGGCAATGTTATGAATGGACCTCAGGGAGGTGCCAACATGATTTCCAAAGGCCTGGTTATGCCTGTAACACAGTGGATGGCTTAAAGAGCAAAGACAGAACCTCACAATGCTTCCATGTCATCCAGTTCCCATCAGATCAATGGCAACTCTATCAATGTGAAAAGAGAGCAAGAAGCTACCGGGCTTATAACCTTGAAACACTCTTTTTATTTTATTTTTATTATGAAAGTAATACATTTTCAATATGAAATGTTAAACAAAAATGAAGTACACAAAGAAGAAAGGGAAAGCCTCTATAACTCTACTTCCCAGAATTAATCACAAGTTAAATTTATAATCTTCTAAATATTAGGTATAAAATTATACCTGTTCTCTTACATCTTATCTTGAAATTTGCTCTTTCTTTTTAACTTAATAATAGATTGTGGATATGTTTTTGGGCAAGGACACATACACCCTTGTCTTAATTTTTTTTTTTTTTTTTTTTTGAGATAGAGACTTGCCAGTCACCCCACCTAGAGTGCAGTGGTGTGATCACTGTTCACTTGACCTTCTGGGCTCAAGTGAACCTCCTTCCTCAGCTTCCCAAGTAGCTGGGACTACAGGCGTGTGCCACCACGACTGGGTAATTTTTATTTTTCTTAGAGATGGGTTTCTCACTATGTTACCCAGCTGGTCTGGAACTCCTGGGCTCAAGTGATCCTCCTGCCTAGGCCTCCCAAAGTGTTAGGATTATAGGTGTGAGCCACCGAGCCTGGCCCTGTCTTAATCTTTTGAAGGCTTGAATAATATTCAGTTGTGTGGATGCATCGACATTTATTTAACCATTCACTATGACAATCAGTGCTTCCAGGGAGCATGCTTGGACATATTAACTTCATGCTTTTGTGTGATAGGCTTAGATTTTAAAAGAATAACAACACTTAGCAATGTGATTTAGGAAACACTCTGCAAAAAATCTATTAAAGATGCCTACTGCAGGTTGAGTGTCCCTAATCAGAAAATCTGAAAATTAAAATGCTCCAAAATCCAAAACTTTTTGAGTGTTGACATGACATTGAAAGGAAATGATCACAGAGCATGTCAGGTTTGGGATTTTCAGGTTTAGGATGCTCAACCGGTGAGTATAATGCAAATATTCCCAAATCCGGAAAAAATCGTAAACCCAGGACACTCCTGGTCCCAAGCATTTCGGATAAGGGATAGTCAGCCTGAATTTTGACTGTGCTTTGGTGTTTATGCAACACTGTTACAAGACACTGACCTCTGATTTAAGAAGTAACTGACAAACTGAAAGGGTCAGGGTCTTTCCCAAGTTTAACTTTCTAACCCCTGTACCAAACTGCCTCTTATCTTCCTCTGAAGACTCATATAATAGGCTTTATTATTATGTAACCATTTTAAGTGCACAGTTAAGTAGCGTTAAGGAATTTTTTTTTTTTTTTTGAGACGGAGTTTCGCTCTTGTTGCCCAGGCTGGAGTGCAGTGGCGTGATCTCGGATCACTGCAACCTCCACCTCTTGGGTTCAAGTGAGTCTCCTGCCTCAGCCTCCCGAGTAGCTGGGATTACAGGCATGTGCCACCACACCCAGCTAATTTTGTGTTTTTAGTAGAGATGGGGTTTCTTCATGTTGGTCAGGCTGGTCTTGAACTCCCGACCTCAGGTGATCTGCCTGCCTTGTCCTCCCAAAGTGCTGGGATTACAAGAGTGAGCCATCATGCCCAGCCGCATTAAGGACAGTTACACTGTTGTGCAACCATCCATCCATCTCCAGAATTCTTTTCATCTTGGAAAACTGAAACTGTGCCCATTAAACCATAACTCTCCCTGCCCTTCTTCCCAAGTCCCTGGCAACTGCCATTGTCCTTTCTGGCTCTATGAATTTGACTACTCTAGGTACCTCATACACATGGAATACTGTATGGAATCATATAATATTTGTCATTTTGTGACTGGTTTATTTCACTTAGCGTAACATCCTCAAGGTTTATTCGTGTTGTAGCATGTGTTGAAATACCATTTATTGTTAAGGCTGAATAATAATCCATTGTACGTTTATATTACATTTTGTTTATCTATTCTTCTGTCAATGGACATGCGGGTTGTTTCCACCTTTTGGCTGTTGGAAATTCATTACCTCTTGAGTCAAGGAATCACAAGCTATTTTGACTGAAGTGTCCTGTTAAGAACAGGTGAAGATTCCAGGTGAACAACCGTGCATTCCTTTTATCTCCTTGTGGGCTTGGTCTGGTGCTGAGAACTTATGTACAATATCATATTTAATCCTTTCAACAACATGATGAAGTAGGGGTCTTCACCATTGTATAATGAGGAAACTGGAGTTGAGAAAGTTAAGAGCTTGTTCAGAATCACAAACTGGCTGGGCATGGTGGCTCATGCCTGTAATCCCAGTACTTTGGGAGGCCGAGGCGGGCAGATCACCTGAGGTCTGGAGTTCGAGACCAGCCTGGCCAACATGGTGAAACCCCATCTCTACTAAAAACACAAAAATTAGCTGGCTGTGGTGGTACACTCCTGTAATCCCAGCTACTTGGGAGGCTAAGGCAGGAGAATTGCTTGAACCCGGGAGGTGAAGGTTGCAGTTAGCCAAGATCGCACCAGTGCACTCCAGCCTGGGTGACAGAGTGAGACTAAGTCTCAAAAAAAAAAAAAAAAAGAAAGAAAGAAAGAAAAGAAGAAAAAAGAATCACAAACTGAACATCTTGCATGTGTGTTTGTGTGTGTGTACAGGGGGAGTCAATCAAGCCTTCGGACACCCTAAGTCTTAACTTGAAACCCTGTAGTATTTCAGGGTCAACTATCCCTACTACAGAGCTTTATAAACTTTGACTTTCCCATATTCATTATTTTATTGTCTATTTCCTGTTTCCCAGGAACAATTAACAATAGAATCCTTAAGATGCAAAACTCCTTGCTGTTTACCAGCAACAGAAGAGAGGAAGAAGTGGCTCTGGGGGAATTGCGTGCCAGTCTGCGGCAGGTTGGCTGGAGAAGCAGCCCTGGTTGGAGCTTTGGAGAGACACATGTGCATTTACTTGTTACCTGGAAGACCTTTTAAAAAAAATTCTCGTAAATCTGTCATTTGTGTATCCTCAAGGTTTGTGGCAGAAAGCAGATATATCTGCTCCTGTGTGTAATTGTTGTTAAAAAACACAAAAAGGAAATAAAAGTGCACAACATACCTAGCAGACTTGACCAGAGGGAATTGGGAAAGGCCAAAGTAAATTATTCTAAAAAATAAGCAAGCAAACCAGAAAAGGTTAAGATGGAGAGGAGCTTAGAGGAGCAAGTGCTCTTCCCATGCTGGGAAAAAGGCAGCGACAGAACCGCCTAGTGGGCAGGTGAGGGCACTGATCACGTGATAGACTGGGGCCCACTGCATCTCTTTTCTCTTTGGGTCTTGAGGATGGAGAGGCAGGAACATGAAAACAGTGAGAAATTTTGAGGTTCACTTCCCTTCTTCCACCTCTCACTTCCCCCATAACCTCTTCCTTTTGATAGTGCTGGAAGAACAACCCAAGGCCAGCCCTCTTGAAGCAGGCAAATAGATGCTTGTCCTTTACTTCATGTATAAAGAGATTGTTTTCTTTCTTTACTAAGACAGTCAGAGCCAATGAAAGTGGAAGATAAGTACCTCGAGAGAGCCCTAAGGAGGGAGCATGGGGGTTCAAGTGTATGGTCTACTTAGGCAGAGAGGAATCAGAGTTAAACTAGGCTCAAAATACATTTTTATTTTGAGACAGCCTTGCTCTGTTGCTCAGGCTGGAGTGCAATGGTGTGATCTTGGCTCACTGCAACCTCTGCCTTCCGGGTTCAAGTGATTCTCCTGCCTCAGCCTTCTGAGTAGCTGGGATTACAGGCGCGTGCCACCATGCCCGGCTAATTTTTGTATTTTTTAGTAGAGATGGGGTTTCACCATATTGGTCATGCTGGTCTCGAACTCCTGACCTCGTGATCTGCCAGCCTCGGCCTCCCAAAGTGCTGGGATTACAGGTGTGAACCAGTGGGCCTGGCCAATACATTACTTTTAAAAAGAAAAAAAAATGTTAACTGTGCCCTAGTAATTTAAAAATAATGTCACATAAATATGTCTTTTAAGTCTTAAAAATACTCCATTTACTGAAATTTTGAAATAGTTGTATATTCGCATGTGTAACTAAAAAAGTATACAGTAAAAATTCCCTCCTCCACCTTCTCCCCTAGTTCCTACTTCCTCATTCCAGGAAATCACCGTTAACAGTTTCTTGTGTATATGACAGGAGTTTCTTCATGCTAAATATATTTTGGAATTTTTTATTTGGTTTAACATTGCTGTGCTTAGCTATTTTAATAGAGTTTTTTTTTTTTTTTTTAAAGAAGAAGTAGAAACTGTGTGTATTTCATCAGCTGAGGATTCAGCTTGAACATTTCAGGAAACCCCAACGTGGCACATTACCTCTCCCTAGGTACCCTAGGTAGGCTGATGAAGGTCAAGTGGCAAGGAGGCCCCGTGGGTGCTAAAATGCAAATCTGAATGTGAAAGTGACAGCAAAATGACAAGGTAGAGCCAAAGGTTTCCCATACAAACTCCAACAAATGGTTAAACCCTGGTAAAACATATAGAAAAACTACTCTGAAAAATTTGAGAAGTAGGTAGTAGAGAGAAGGCAAGATGAAGGAAGATGTATCCAAAGGAAAAACTCTAAGGGCACAAATCAAGAAAATCAGAGTTGGGAATGGGGAAGTTAGACCTAGATGCCGGAGGCTTCTCGGAGTCCAGAGGATGTTTCCTTTTCTTGTGCTATTTTTTTTCCCCTGATAAACTTTCTCATTAGAGCTGAGCAAATGCTGAAAAGAAAATGGGAAACTCCAACCCAAAGAAGAGATTCAGAGAAGCAGGCAGAATATCTGTTAGTGCTTGAGGAGCCTTGAAATGTATCGTGTTGCTTGGAGGTCAGCACTGTTCGAGACCAGCCTGGCCAACATGGTGAAACCCTGTCTCTACTAAAAATACAAAATTAGCCGGGTGTGGTGGCTCATGCCTGTAATCCCAAAATTAATCCGTCTCAAAAAAAAAAAGAAAGAAAAGAAAAAAAGAAAAAGAAAAGAAAGGAAAGGCCTGAAAAGTCGCTGATTTGTTGATTCAAGCCAATAAAAAATTTACTGTTTTGATTGACATCTACTGCTTGATGACTGGGTGATATTAATGAATGCCACTAAGACGACTGATTCCTTCAACTATTAAGAGGTTGGGTAAAGAAGCGGAGAGACCACAGGTTTTAGAGTCAGAGCCTTTGTGTGGATCCTGGCCCTGTATGTGCTGGTTAGTGCAATGATGAATGTCATATTCCCCTGTGTGTAAAATAAGTATGAAATGATGGATCTGTAAGGTCATCGTAAGGGTTACATTGGAATATGTATCTGAAGTACTAAGCAGGTGGCTGGCACATAGCAGAGGCTCATTAAATCTGGAGGAGCAAGCTGGCAGCCCGAGGGCTGTATTTGCCCACCCCAACTTTTTTTTTTTTTAAATTTTTTTTTTTTTGAGACGGAGTCTCGCTCGGTTGCCCAGGCTGGAGTGCAGTGGCGCGACCTTGGCTCACTGCAAGCTCTGCCATCCAGGTTCACGCCATTCTCCTGCCTCAGCCTCCCGAGTAGCTGGGACTACAGGCGCCCGCCACCATGCCCGGCTAATTTTTTGTATTTTTTAGTAGAGAAGGGGTTTCACCGGGTTAGCCAGGATGGTCTTGATGTCCTGACCTCGTGATCTGCCTGCCTCGGCCTCCCAAAGTGCTGGGATTACAGGCATGAGCCACTGCGCACGGCCCCCCAACTTTTAAAATGTTGACTTTGAATGTCCATTCTAAACTTTCCATTTTGTGTTGAGCGCCAGGCACTATTTGAAACATGTTTTATCGTTGTAACATAATTATTACCCTTATTTTCCAGATGAGGAAAGTGAAACAAAGAAATATCGATTTGAGTATTTTTTTTTTGTAGCTTAAACCTTCATGCAAGTCCGAAAGGAGTCGTGCCTCTCAACCTCATCCTGTCAGAATCAAAATAAAATACTTTTACAAAGCTAGTGTAGTGGAGTGGACACAGGTGTGGCTCCTGGAGCTAGGTTCAAACCTTGGTTCCATTGCTTACTAGTTAGTTGTGCAACCCTGGAAAAGTTATCTCTGTGCCTTGGTTTCCTTATCTAAACGTGGGGATAATCGTAACACCTGCTTCATTAGGTTGTTGCAAGGATTAGATAAAATGTTTACACCCCTTCTTGGACCACTCCCCATCACTTTCTTTCCCAACCCATCACAAGCAAAGCTTCACGAATCATTTATGTGAGCTGGTATAAACCCACATGCCTTCAGGGAGAAAAGAGGTAGCAGAACTATATAATAAAGTGACTTGTGTTAAACTGTTGAACAGAATGAGTAAAGGAAAATTTGAGGCAGACTGTAAGGAACTGGAGAGTGTAGGATTGTGTAACAGTATGCAAATGAAAACATTATAAAATGCTGTGCTGACTAAATGGATTAAGGTTGGACATAGTTCATTTACTTGCCTGGTCCCTGAGGCATCTGGGCATATTTTGTAGTTTGCATATTCAAGAAGGCCGAAAAGGAGTCAGTTGTACACAAACTCATCTTTTGCTAGGCACAGGGAAGCTCTTTGTAAAGCTGATTACACAGCTGTGTAAAGCTGTGTTCTAAAGCCAGATTACCCTTTCCAAGCTCAGGGTGCAAAAGTGTGGAGTTTCAGCCAAACTTATTCTCCAACTGCATTACATATGGTAAAGAACACTCAGTACAACACCTAGCACATAGATTCAAGAATGTCTCTTTTATGTTTGTGTCTCTCCAATCGACCATAGGCTGTGGAGACAAGGCATTGTGAGGCTCTGTGATTAGGTTTCATGACTTTACCTGTGAATTTAGATGGCTCCAACATCAACTAGACATGACTCCAGATAATTCTATCAGAAATCCATTTTACTTTTTAAAATTTAATTTAATTTAATTTTTGAGACGGAATCTTACTCTGTCGCCCAAGCTGGAGTGCAGTAGCATGATCTCGGCTCACTGGTTTTTCCCAGGTTCATGCGACTCTCCTGCCTCAGCCTCCCTAGTAGCTTGGATTACAGGTGCTCGCCACCATGCCCAACTAATTTTTGTAGTTTTAGTAGAGATGGGCTTTCTCCATGTTGGCCAGGTTGGTCTCAAACTCCTGACCTCAAGTGATCCGCCCGCCTTGGCCTCCCAAAGTGCTGGGATTACAACAGGCGAGAGCCACTGTGCTGTATTTTTGAGATACTGTTTCAGTCTGTCGCTCAGGCTACAGTGCAGTGGTTCAATCATGGCTCACTGCAACCTGGATATCTCGGGCTTAAGTTATCCTCTTACTTCGCCTCACAAGTAGCTGGGACTATAGGTATGCGCCACCATGCACCACGTATTTATTTTTATTTTTAGTAGAGACAAGGTCTCACTATGTTGCCCAGGCTGGTCTTGAACTCCCTGGTCTCAAGGAAGTTGGAAGCCATCCTCCTGCCTCAGCCTCCCAAAGTGCTGGGATTACAGGCCTGATCCACTGTGCCCAGCCTAGAAATTTATTTATTTATTTATTTTTGAGAGAGTCTCACTCTGTCACCCAGGCTGGGGTGCAATGGCACAATCCCAGTTCACTGCAATCTCCACCTCCAGGATCCAATCTATTCTTATGCCTCAGCCTCCTGAGTAGCTGGGATTACAGGCGTACACTGCTACGCCTGGCTAATTTTTGTATTTTAGTAGAGACGGGATTTCACCACGTTGGCCAGGCTGGTCTCCAACTCCTGACCTCAAGTGATCCACCTGCCTCGGCCTCCCAAAGTGCTGGAATTACAGGTGTGAGCCACCATACTCAGCCTAGAAATTCATTTTAGAAAGGCCTTGTTCTTATATAAACTTATATGTAAAGCCAGTGGCTTTTGTTCCTGTGACATGTTCGGATTAATGGACAAGGAGGCATATGGGTGGTTAGCGGGATGGAGGCAGGTCTAAAATTCTGGCACATCAGACCTGTTTGCTGGAATAGAACAGCAAGTGGGAAGGACAGGATGACCACAGCTATTTATCAGGACGGGCACACAGATGGGCATGGTGACACTCGGACAAGGCCCAGGTAGGCCCTAGAGGTCTAAGATGTAGAAACCCTTGTCCAAACAGGGGGTAGAAAAGAGCAAGAAAGAATTCAGGTGGGTGATGCTTGCAAGTATAGAGAGGAAAGCCCCTGGCTGGGGTATCAGGGCTCTTGGCTTCCATGGAGGCAGGCGCTTGGAGATCCAGTCCGGCTACCATGGGGCTTGGCTATATTCAATCTGCATTCCCCCCCCAAGCAAGCTTATAATGGAATCACTATGGAAACAGTATTCATGTACCAGAAGTCTATTTTTCACTTAAATTTTGTTTGAATGCTTTTTGTTTTTGAGTGCTTTGAACCCTTGAGGTGAGGCATTTCTGATTTTACAGCTCTGCCTGAATTCAGATCCTCAACCCCACTGAATTAGGGGAACCCAGAAAAGTACCCCATCACGAGTTCAATCAGAAAATATCACAAGCTTTCTAACATAATAATTTATGAAGTTATTCTACTCACTTGAACTACTTTCTCAAATAGGAAAAAATAAAGCTGAGCTGCCAGGCATGAAGAACAGGGTGCAAATATGAATTTTATAAAAGGAGAAAGAGGAACTACCCATGCCAGTAGCCAGCACTGCCTAAGGATTTCTCACAGGGCATTTTTCTTGCTTGCGGGCTTCCTGTCTCTGGTAATATCATCATCACTGCTGGCTTGAGATCCTCCCTATTTTGCAGCTCAATGTGCAGATATTTAGAAGCCTATTATAAATTTATCGCCAACAGGCCAACAGGTTTCGCTCCTCTCCTTCCCCCATTACTTATCTTTCTTCTTAATTCAAAGAGTTAAACATGTGTAATTTGTTCTTTGCCTCTTCATTTTTGTTTAATTATTTTGTCTTTTTCTAAGTTGTGTTTGACTCCGGTGATTCATCCAATATACGTAAAAAGAAACAAACCAAGTGCTTGGGACGCATACCCGGGTTATCTTAACTGTGCAGAGCAGGTTTCCTCCCACTCCGCCCGTAGTTACCCAGATCATCGCCTCCGTTTTCTGTTTAGGCAGCGGGGGCTCGCCGTCCCCTCGCCCGCGGTGGGTGTCGCAGCTGGTCCCCTCCAGGGTTCTCCCAGATCGCCGCCGCCACCCCCGCGCCTCCCCGCCGCACCCCTTCCTACGCGGGGGTCTCTGGGTCCCCGGCTCTAGGACCGCAGGGACGCGGGCAGGAGGTGGCGCCCGCCTTCGGTCCTGCCCTCTGCCGCGCGCGGGGTGGGGACGGACCGGAGTTCCCCGGCTCGCGCACAAGGGCCGCGGAGGGGTTGCCGAGGGGTGGGCGGGGCTGCGCCGCCTGGCCGCGCCGCTGCCTGGCAGGCCGGGCATTAGGGCCTCGGCGGAGCCCGCTCCCCTGTGCGCTGGGCGGGGTGGGCGGAGGGCGGCTTCGCGTGCAGGCGCGGGCCCGGAGGCAGCGGCTGCGCCCTGCGCCGGGGCGGAGCCGGGGGCGGGCCGGCGGCCGGCAGGCGGGGGCTGGGGCCCGAGGCCGGGAGTGCCTGAGCGCCGGCGGCGACGACGGCAGCGGCGGCCCAGCGGGCTCGGTGGTTGGGTCCGCGGCGGCTCGGGGTCCGCCCGCGGGCTGCGGTGCGAGCGGGCGGCCCGGCTCCCCTCCTCCCCCGCCCGCCGCCGCCGCTGTGATTGGGTGGAAGATGGCGCTGGCCGGATGGAAATCCTAATGACAGTCTCCAAATTCGCCTCCATCTGTACCATGGTAGGTGGCGGCGAGCGGGCGGCCGGGGCTGCCGGGACCTCTCGGGCGGGCGGGCGGCGCTGGACCCGCCTCTCCCAGTGGCCGCTCGCGGGGCCTAGCGCCGGGGCGGGCGGGCGGGCTGGGCGGCCCGGGCGGCCCGGGCGGGGGCGGTTGGACGGCGCGCAGGCGGGGAGCGCGGGGGTGAGCGGCCCAGGCGGCTGGGGAGGGGGCGCCGCCTGGTGGGCCAGGGCGGCGCGAGGGTAGCGGTGAGTGGGCGACCGTGCCAGACGCGGCGTCGGGCGGGCACCGGCCTCCGGGAGTCCCCGGCTGAACTGCTGGGGTCCGCTCGGGACGCGGGGACGAGGGCCGAGGCGCGCCCGGCCTGTGCCGGGGTGAGGGGTGGGCGCGCGCGAGCCAGAGCGCGGCCCCGGGCCGGGGTCGTCGGGGAGGGGGCGCGGAGCCGCGCGGGCTCCATTTCCTTCTGGTCGCGCGCCGAGCGGGAGGGGTCCCCGGGAGGGGTGGGGGTCGGCGGGCAGGAAGGAAGGGTCTCGGCCGGGGCGGGCAGCGCTCATTCCCGCCTGGGAGAGGACGGAAGTCAAGTGCAGATTTCCTCGCGCCGCTGGCTGGGCCGAGTCCCCGACCCCGCGCTGGGGGAAAGGGGCGTGTGTGAAGGTGGAAACTTTAAATAAGTACTGTTGAAATTCTCTCCATTTTCTCCTCTGAGAGGCACGAGCTCTCCCGTTTCCAGCCGTGTGTCCAGGTGGCAGTCTTGTCTCTGGGAATGCACGTTAATCTTGAAAAGCAGCATTAGCTTTCCTGTCATTTGTTTACTTCAGCCCACCAGACACATCTGTATGTGGCTGGAGCTAGGTCTGTCTGTGCGGGGACCGCCTGCCAAGGCGATGGTATTTGTTTTCCTAGGGCGTTTAAATAGACTGTAAGGGAAAAGTGCTAATGCCCGCTGGAAGTCCCGAATTAAGCAAAACGTGGGCGCGTTTAAAACTTGGTGTTTTGTGCGTGGCCAGAAGGACCACAGTTTTCCACATGATGAGACAAATTCGTTTCATTAGTTCCTCATGAGCTTATATGTAGGGATCATAATTTATGAGTCATCACCGAAAAAAGTTGTTCTTTGCAACGTGGGCCTAGTGGTTGTTATTAGAGACTTCTGAAATCTTGTGTTTCATGCCTCACTGGCCCTATTTATGCAACTGATTTCATATAGGAGATCCCCAAGAAATTTTCCATCTAAGGGTGGTACATTGTATATATTTTTCTTTAAGGAGTGGTGAATCAGATCTGAAAGATGCCTTAAAAAGCAGATTCTCTACTACACGCTGAGGAACAGTACAAAAAATGACTGAAATCAGGTGGACATAAAATCGACAGTATTAAAGAAATCATATTGAAGGATGAATCATTGAAGACTCCATTTCCCAACTGGATGATTGTTCTTTCTCACAGTTTACATTTTAGGAAAGCATTTGTATTAAATGGACTATATTAAAATGATTTTGGAGAATTGTTTGGGCTAATTATTTTTAGATACGCCAATTATTATCTTAGTCAATTTCAAAAGGAATGCGATAATTAGGTCTTTTACAGTGACAATTTTGCCACATGGCTGAGCTACACACATTGTATGGGTCATAGTTCATTGTCAAAGACTAGATTTCAGGAGTGGTGTGATACTCTTTACCGACTGTTCATTCACTCAAGTACTGTATATCAAGTATACACTTAGCAGCCACTAAGTGCTAGAGGCGACGCTGAGTACTGGGGATGCAGTATTGGTCAGGGCAGCCCCTGTTTTCTTGGTGTTTACATTCTTGCTCATGGACACAAACAGTATTCAGGTAAACAATAAATGTATGCTGTAATCAGATTAGGACAGTGAGACACAGGGATTTGCCAGGGTCACACACTTAGTAAGTGGGATTCTGATCCCAAGGATGTCAAATCAGAAGCTCTTTCTAGGGCTTCCATCCAGATACATTAATTACATGTGGGGCGTGTGTATTGTTGGCAAATACAGAAAATGCCTGGCCAAATGAGATCGTTCCAAAGGTACTATTAAAATTGGGTGTGTCTGTATTCATATTTGAATACATTCGAATGTACCCCCAAATAGTGCTGAATATCTCAAAGTAATTTGCAGTCTTATTCTTTAAAGAAAATTGCCATTTGTCCTCTGAGAATCACAAAATTGAAAAGCAAAGATACCTCTTTGGCTTTGTAGGTGCTGTTTTGCTAGGCTTGGAACGCTCCTCCCTGCCACACCCCGTATCCTTCTTGTCTGGCGAGTGTGTGTGCCTGTCTCTTAAGCAGGGAGCCTTACTTGAATAATCCTACCCCTGTCCAACCCGACCCTCCATCCCCTTCATACAGTTTCATGGCATTTTTGTAATCTCAGTAGCACTTATCATACTTACTGTGCAGTAAATTTTTCTTTGAACTCTTACTCAATTGTGAGGGCCTTGAAGGGGAAGGATTATCATTTACTTCTGCAGTTTGATCTGGAGTACCAAGTTCTGCATTCAGTATAAAAGTTTTCCAAAGTCCTTCCTGCCTCCTCCTGGTATGCCGGGTGAAGCAGGGATGATGTGGCTGTGTGTGTGTGGAATGGTGGAGAGAAGATGGGCTGGACTTAAACAGAACACTTCTCAGAATCAGCAGCTGTGAAAACATTTAGGATGAGTTGAAATTTTATTCTATAAGTACTGAAGTGTACATAATTTTTTCATTTGTCAAAATAACGTACCTGGGCAAATCTGCAATACCTTAATTGGGTTAAGTAACTGTTAAAAACAATTCTCTTCAGCTGTGTCTTATTTTAGATCACTAGTGTTGTGCTTACATGTGAAAATTAGTAAAACTTGTTTTTCATAAGTTAGTATTATAGCCTGAACCAAATGAGTGATTATGTTTAGATTGCAGTGAGTACATTTTCAAGGGTACCTCTTGAAATACCTGTTTTTAATTTGTCTATGAAATAATACATTTTCAGTATCACATAGTGTTTATTTTGCCTTTGAAGTAGTTTCAGACTTCAGGGCCTGGCACGGAGTACCTGCCTACCTGATATTTAATATTATACTTAATAAGTGTGAAATAACGGGAAAAGTGACAGAATACATGTAGAGAGGCTGTGTTTTGCAGTTGAGGTGGCTAATCCGGGTGGTCCGTCATGGGCATGCAGTAGTGGTCAGGACAGCCCCTGCTTTGGAGCTGGCACTACTTACTGTTAGCTCCATAAATGTTAGCTCTGCCTCTGATCATTATTGTCTCTTCCTGTTTGGGTTGTAGGAGTCATGGTTAGGAAGGCGTTGTTGGGAGGGGGACCAGACAACGGAGAAGTTGTTGGTGCAGGAGGTGGGTAGAGTTAGATCATGGGGTGGCACTGGCCTGGCTGCTTGCCCACCCTCGGTTACAAGGGCATGAGATTAGATCCATTAGAACATGGTGGTAATGAGGCCAAAGCTGGTAAAGGTAGGTGCTAGGAGAGTCCCACGGGCTTTTCTTCTGAGAAAGCCTGTGCCTAGCACAGCACCCTGAGCATGGTAAACTTTACTTGCTGAAGAAAGGCACAGGTGAAACTGGCTGTCTTTTCTTTTTTGTTTGCTCTGTTTTAATAACACGATTTTTAAAAACATAAATTAGAAAGGACATACATGGAAAATGTTTGCCTTTTCTTACTGCTCAGTCTCACTGGGATCCAGGTAAGGGTATGTGTGGTCAGTGCAATTTATCCTTACTACTGAAAAAAAGGAAAGCTGGGGCAAACCTCAGAGCCCATGCGTTGTTGGGAATGTGTGTGTGTGAAAGTCTCCTCTTCATATAACAAGAATATTATATTAAATAATGAAATTTCTTTTTCCTTCTCAAGAAATAGGGTGGATGTAGTTCTTTTATTAATAAAATATTTATTTGTAAATTAATATTTTATTAGTAAAATAGTACTTCTATGATAGGAGCATTCAAATGTGAGTTGCCATTGTTTTACTTATCTAATTTTGCTGTGTTAATTTAAGAAGGGAACAAAACTTAAGCTTCTTAAGCCTTTAAAAAAAATAAGAAAACCTCAAAAATAAGGAATCTTCTATTACATAAATGTTTGGTCAAAGGAATGTTTGAGCTTGGTGGAGAGAGAACATTTAGAAGAAGTATTAATAGAAGTTTTATTTAAGCCCACTCATCTTTTGAATTTGTCTAAAATACATTTTGGACATTAAAAATGATACATTCTCATAGAAAATCTGGAAAATATAAAAACTCCAAGAAAGCAAAAGGAAGGTCAATTTTTACCTCCCAGAGGATATGTTATTTATTTATTTATTTTATTTTTTTTTTGAGACGGAGTTTCACTCTTGTTGCCCAGGCTGGAGTGCAATGCTGCAATCTTGGCTCACCGCAACCTCCACCTCCCAGGTTCAAGTGATTCCCCTGCCTCAGCCTCCCGAGTAGCTGGGATTACAGGCATGTGCCACCACGCCCAGCTAATTTTTGTATTTTTAGTAGAGATGGGGTTTCTCCATGTTGGTCAGGCTGGCCAGAGCATATTTTATTTAACTTTTTAAAAAACTTGAGTTGTATTCCCTAGATATAGTTTTACACTGTTTACCCACGAATGATTATCATGTTATCATTATCATCATTCATGCCCATCCTAAAATTTGCCCAATTTTAGGATGAACATGAGTTTAATGTTATAAAATGATGAGGTGGTGAGATGAGCCCAATAAAGCATAGTGGTAGGGTACTAGGGCGTTGACAGGTTATATGTTTAATGATTATTAGAGGGTAAAGTGATATAGTTAGCAGAAATGGAATTTTATAAGAGGTGGTTTATTCTAATCTTAGGCACTTAGTTATCACAAAGATAAGACTTGTTATGATCTGAAATTTTTAATATGCTTGAAAACTCTAGTTTTAAATACCATATTCAATTATGTGGCATGTGTATAAATATTATGGTCTTATTTTATATCATATGGCTTTGCTTACCTTCTGGTGACTTTCTCTTTCCACCTTTTGCTAATAAGTGGCTAATAGGTCTCAAAGTAGGTTAATTATCTGCCCTACCATGATCCATGTTGGCCAGTTGCAGCGAGATGATGTCACATTTCTTGTTGCCTTATTTGATTCTAGACTTTTGACCAAGTCCCCCCAAACTGAGTCTGCCTCCTTTTTGTCATTTACCAAATTCCTTTCTTCCTGCCTTTAAACTCATATTTATTCTAGCTCTTCTGAAACTTTTATTGTCTCAGGAAGTATCTTTTAAGCATTTGTATACTTTGTATAATTCCTTTCCAGAAACCTTTTTAGATTTAAATAATCTAATTTTGTTTTGGTTTCTCTTTTAGCAGCTCTATTCCAGAAACTTAATATGGTATTTTGTTATGTATTTGACAGCATGGTATAATGAAAAGAGCAGTTGGACCAGAAGGTAAATTCT
The DNA here is from genome assembly GCF_000001405.40 of Homo sapiens. Taxonomy (NCBI): domain Eukaryota; kingdom Metazoa; phylum Chordata; class Mammalia; order Primates; family Hominidae; genus Homo; species Homo sapiens. The sequence goes on along the minus strand of NC_000013.11, from coordinate 27,166,157 downwards.
AGTCCAGATTTTGACATTTAGATGTGTATATATGGGAAAGTTTCTTAAAACTTCGAGTTAATTTTTCTCATCTGTGAAATAAAGGGATTGGACTAGATACTCTTTAATAGATATTCCTTATATGCTTGTCTCCTTCTAGGTCTAAAATTCTGATCCTTTAGTAGTTTATAAATGATTATTGGTATCATTTTCATCATTTTAGGAGCTCTTTTTTAAAAAATTATTATTATTTTTTTTGCTCTGTAGCCCATTTCTAGAACATCTTGGGAGTTCTAATTATGTTTTAGATAACATAAAAAGCATAGAATCAGACATAATTAAGCAAGAATTTCACTTAGTTCCCTAGTTTTTACAGTCTAAATACATTTTTCTTTCTTTAAAACTGGAGGTTACTGATACCACCATTTTCGTCACCAACAGCCTAATAATTCACAAAGCTATTTGCTAATTTTTGACACTTTTTTCTTTGCCAGTACCATTAAGGGATTTGAATTTTTTTGAGGTTCCATGTTTATTTCTTTAGTTATGAGTATGACCTTGGACAAGTTACTTCTCTGTACCTGTAAAGTGAGAGTAAAATAACATCTAGTTCATAGGGTTGTTGACTAGTACCTGGCCCATGGTAATCACTGTGTCATGTTGGCTGTTACTGCCCTTTAACATGATTTGCTCCCCTCCCTGTGGTAAAAAGTATTCATTGGCACTACTAATTAATCTGTTAGCTCAACATATACTAACCAAAATGGAAATTTGTTTTGTGAAATACAATTGTCAGTTCCTTTTCATTATAAGAAACGTTAGTTTATTAGTAGTATATACCCCTGAGAAAGCACTAATTTATTTTGAAATTGAGTGGATTAATTCATAATATGAAAGCTGAGAATGTAGATTGTCTTCTTTCTCTATTTTGAATAGTTCATAGAATAATTTATTTCTTTTATCTGGGAACAAAAATAACTGGTCTAATTTGTGACATTCTCAAACATATTTTACAAGTTTAGATAAGTTGAGAATGGCAAAAACCACAATTACTTTTGCAACAATCTAATACTTTTAGAAGAAAAATCTATCTTACCTTATTTTATACTAAAAAAAAAAAAAAGCACACCAGCTTTTTGTCATTACTAGAACAAGGTGTGTGCATTCAAGTTAGCTTCAGGACTTATTTTCTTTCAGATTTTTCTGTTTACTGAGGCCATATTATTATATTTAATTTCCTTATGCTCTATCCTTTAGGGAGCATAACAAGGGAATAACATCTCTTGTTGGCTTACATTGAACTTACCCACCTTGCTCTTAGATATCTTGTCTAAAACCTACAGTCCCAATCTCCTAGTCTAGAAGAGGGATATTTACATATCTACACCATACTTTAAAGGTGTTGGGAGAAAGTAGTAAGTGAAGAGTTGTATTATGAAGAGTTACACTTGCTGAACTGAAAACTCTCTATTGGAGTCCCAGTATTGTTGAAAAACTTACATATAACATTTGACCATTTGCTATCTTATGTGCAGAATTTGCTTTAGGAGGTTAGAGTGGCAGTTTATATACATTTATTTAGGAAGAAAAACTAGTAAGTCTTTGCTTTCTCACAGCAAAACTCGAAGACTTTTGTGATAGTGTAAACTATAAGAAATTTAATGTAGAGCACCACTGTGTGAGGTGGTATAGCCCTCTCTGTTCCTTGGCTTATGCTTTGCTGCTGCTTCTCTTTCAGAAGGACCATTAGCTTCTTCTAAACAGTATGTTATGTCTAAAGAAGAGATGTGTAAGCTTGCTTTATTTATCTGTAGTGAGCCACATGTCCAAAGCTACGTACCAATAAAAATTTATTTCCAACTGAAAACAAGAAGTAGATGTTTATTTCAGTGATAATGGACAGATGTTCTTAACTGAAATGCTTCATGGGTAGAGGAAGCATCCACACATTCTCTACTTGTAAAGGGTGGTTTAAATCATAATATCTTTCAGTAGAGTTAGAGTACTGTTGCCTTTGATTTTATTTTAGTGCTTTTTATTTTAGTGACCTACTAAGCCTCTACCTGATGCTAGTGATTTTTTTTTTTTTCCTTTTTGTAGGGATAAAGAGTGCTTTTTCTAAAGTATTTTGAGGAAGGATTCATGGAGACCTACATTATATCGTGCTGCATGTAGGTTCTGAGAACATGAAGACGACTGTGATAAACTCTGGTCTTATGGAACTTCCCATTCAGTGTGTCTTGAGTGGGTTATAGTTGTGCTGAGGAAGTAGTCCTCTTGACCCCTGGGAAGCCTGGAGGTATCTGGGTTGATAGGAGACCCTTAGCCAGTCCCTTTCTGGTGAGAGCAGACATACCTGTCTTACCTGTAGCTTCTTTTCTTTTTTTTTTTTCTTTTTTTTTTTTTTTTTAAGACAGGTCTTGCTCTATTGCTCAGGCTGTCTCCTACATTTAAACCATCCTCCTGCCTTGGCCTCCCAAGGTGCTGGGATGACAGGTGTGAGCCACTGCACCTGGCTATGTCTGTATTCTTGTGGGCTTTACATATACTATTTTCTCTGTGTGTCCTGATGAGAAGATTGAAAACCAGCTCTACTTACAGTATTGTAGAAGAGGATGGACGTATAAAACAAATGCATGCAATGAGATGTTTTTCTTATTGGTATAAGTAATGGTAATTATATGTGAAAGAGAAGGTGGTTTTGGGAGAGAGAAGAGGGCTTCAGGAAAAAGCTTCTTAGAAGAGAGTTGAACTTTGCAAAATGAATGGCCTTTATTATGTGGACATGGAGGGATGGGATACCAGATGTAAATAGATAATGTGTTACTCTTAGGCTCTGTAGGTGGTTTGGCGTGAAAGCGGGTCTTGTGAACAGTAAGGCTGGAGAGTAGGAAGGGGGCATATTTAAAGAAGTACCAGGAGTTTACCAAGTATTGATTCACATTAAAATGATTATTAAAGTGTGTGTTTAGCCTGAGGAAATGTAAGTCCAGAGGACAGTCATGAGGATATAAGAAACAATGGAGTTGGTAAAAATATGCTGGTAAATTGAATTACATTGATTTTTCAAAATTTGCTTGTATTTTTTTTAAGAAGAGAAAATGACAACAAAACAAGATGGATGGGGTACAAGGACAGTTCAGTGGGTTGTTAAAACTTGTTAAGGGCCTCCTTGTTTAAGAGCCAACTAAACAACCACTATTGGAAAATTTTGGATTGTATATACATGTTAAAAAATTAAGGATAAATACACACCCACACAGGGAGTGAATTTTCTTGCTTCCGTAGCAGCAGACATTTAAACGTTACCATTCAAACTCTGAGGGAAGGAAAATAGGAAAAACAAAATGAAAAAGAATGACAGAAAACACAGGTGGAAGAAATAAGCTCTTCTAGTTCATTAATCATAATAATCCAAATGGTTCAAACTTACTTTCATTGTATTAAAGGAACTATCAGAATGGATAAAAAACAAAATATTGCTCAATAAGAAACCTACCTAAAATGAAAGGGCAATCTCTTTAACAGTAACACGATAGTATTGTCACAACTAAGAAAATTAACAATAGATTTTTTTTGAGGTATTTCAAAAGCATTAATTTTATTTTGTTGTTGTTATTAGTCTTTCTCTATCTGTCATCTTGAAGATCCATTCAGAATTAGGAAAGGTTAGGTAGTATTAGCCCCATTTTCACAAAATGGAAAAGGAAGCTTAAAGTCAGCCCTGCAGCAGCTAGGGATGGGGTCCAAATTTCTAGACATGCAAACTCGTTATGACATCTACAGGGCAATGTGTTGCAGGTTTGATGGTTGAGACAAAATTACTCCTTTTCAAACAAGAGATTGGGGAATTTTTATTCCTGACTTTTCGGCTGCATATCTGTGTGTGTGTGACTTTGAGTCCTCACTAATTATTTTCACTTGGGTAGGCCGTTTAACTGGTTTCAGTTATGAAATGGAATAATAATTTCCCCATTAGATCAGATGAGATGACACATGTGAACGTCCTTTGTACTATAAATACATATCAACATCACCCTTACATGGTCATTGTTGGTAAGACTCCATGCCCTCTTAAGGAAAGGATGGAAAGCACATTAAGATACTGTGGACTGTAGGAGTTGTAACGGAGCTCACAAGTTACCTTTGACAAAGCGTAGTCATTTCAAAGTTTGAAAATGAGTATTTTAATGATCCATGAAGCAAAGTTTTAGATTACCCTTAAAATCTTTACTATGTTAAAAATGTACAGTTAATGAGTGGCTTTTTAATTTTTTTTTATTTTTTTTTATTTTTTGAGACAGAGCCTTGCTCTGTTGCCCAGGCTGGAGTGCAGTGGTGCAGTCTCGCCTCATTGAAACCTCTGCCCCCCGGGCTCAAGCTATCCTCCTGCCTGAGCCTCCCAAGTATCTGGGACTACAGGCACACACTACCATGCCCAGCTATTTTTTCTTTTTAATTAATTTTTTTTGTAGAGACAGGGTTTCACCATGTTGCCCAGGCTGGTCTCAAACTCAAGTGATGTAGCTGGCCTCCCAAAATGCTGCAATTACACGTGTGAACCACTGCACCTGGCCTGTAGTTAACTTCTGATGGCAGTAAACACTGCAATTCCCTATTAGTAACATTTTTTTTTAAAGGTATAAAATTATAGTGAGTAAATTGCCTTTATTTCTACAGTATTGGTCTACCTGGGTTTTTCAGGGATCCCTGAAAAGAGACTTTCAAAATTAGAGCCCATCTGGGCACAAGTAAAATAAGTCATAAAGTACTTAAGTTGTAGGGGTAAGGAGACAATAAAATACAAGGCTTTTGTTCTTTGGAATGGAAAATGCATTTATAATTTGAGATTCTGTAGATGAACATTTATTCTGCTTTGTATGTGATTATCTTAGTCCAAAAATCTAGCCGTTATAACTTTGAAGAAATTATTTCTGCTGTTTCTCTGGCATATTGTTTCACAATTTTTCTTTGCTGATGTTGCAAAGGTTCCCTGTTTGTTTAATTTGCTTAATGAAGAGACTCATATGCAGGATGGTTAAGGTGGTACCTTGGGGGTAGTAGCTGGGACTTTGAAGTTTGCGTTAGGAGGTATATCTTAATAGAGCAGGGGGATTCTCTTTTCCACAAAACGGGATATAATGTTTAGAAGGTTTCAGACTTAACGGCCTTGAAAGATGACGCTTTGTGGAGGGGAACGCTACACACTGGGGCCTGTGGGGAGGATGGCGGGAGGGAGAGCATCAGGAAGAAGAGCTGATGGATGCTGGGCTTAACCCGGGGAGATGGGTTGAGCTGTGCAGCAAACCACCATGATACGTTTACCTGTGTCACAAACCTGCACATCCTGCACATGTACCCTGTAACTTAAGGTTGAAGGGGGAAAAAAAAAAAAAAGAAACATGATGCTTTGGTTCTTTTAAGAACAGGTGAGGAATAGGAATCAAGTGGTTTCACTGTTTGTTGTTTGATGGACCTAGAGGTTTAAAGCTGATAATTTCTTCAGACTGATGTGCTCAGGGTTTTTATGTAAAGGTGGACAAAATTTGGAACAAATTTGAAACATCAAAGGCTCAAAAACTAGATACAACGGACCAAAAACAAAACCAAAAATATTGTGCTTTTGGTTCTGCTAGGCAAATTAGAATCTTTTCATTGTCTGGTGTTGCATTTTTTTTTTTTTAAAGACAGTTCACTTTTTTAAAGTTTACTGGTTAGTTTCATTTGTTTTTATTGCATTTTTTTTTTCAATTTGAGGAGGCTTATATCTCCTCCACGGGGGACCCTGCTGAACAAGGACCTGCCATTGTCATGTGACTGGTTAAAGCAGAGGCCTTCACTTAACTTGGCAAATGAAAAACTAAAAGGAAGCAACTTTTACTTCTGGTTGTTTTCTCACTATACACATCAAGCCTTAGCCAGATAAAAATGCTTGGATATTTGTATCATTGTCTTAGTTGGAGACATTATGTTGCCCTTTTTAACTAAAAAGATACAAGTGAAATCTGTCACCTTTTTTTGTTCTCTGTTTAGTTTCTTTCTTTATTGAGTTTTTCCAGCTTTACTGAGGTATAATTGACACATGGTATGTATTTAAGGTGGTATTTTCGTTCTTTAAAGACTGCACAGTTGCCTTTGCTCAGGTTACTCCTCCTGCCAAGTGTTCGCAATTCCGCTCTTTCAGGTTTTTACTTCCTTGTGTCCTTAAAGCTTCTCTTCTGTTACACATTTTCATCCCAGATGTTAGTTGCTTTAATAGTCTACTTTCTTTCCTTTTCATCTCTGAAACTGGGTTGTAGTTATTATACCATTTCAGTGCTAATAGCCTACCGTGATGTTCTTGCCATTTTATGTTAATGATGACTTAGGTCATCTTCCCTGACTTGTAAAGTTGAATGTGACATCTGTAATTTTAGCTTTCCCAAGGAACTTATATAGGAGTCTGACATTTATTGAGTGGCTACTTGGTGATGCTATTGCTAGGCATTTCACAGATTCAGATCTCACAATGATAAAAAATAAAGGTGTAGGAAAGTTTGAGTTTAGATAAATGTATAGATGATAAATCTAGAACAGACTGTTAAAGAGAGTTAGGATATTTGGGTACATTTTTGGTTGACATCCAAGTTAACAAGGCCCTCTGCAAATGTTACTGGATATTGATAGAGAAGGCTGGATTGAATAGGTGTGGCCTAGTTGAGAAATGAAATTTAATGATAGAACACTTGTAAAACACCAGAATTATATGCCTGATGCAAATGGAATGGTGTTTGAAAAATCTTATTTTCTTCCTGACATTTTTAGGAACAGCCTGTGTTTAATATGGACTTTGAAATATAATGTCATGGTAACTTTTAGAAATGGGGTGGTAGATACGCCCTTGTAATTTAGTAATTGATACATTGTTTTTTGAACTACCAGAGTGAGGATTTTAAAAGAATTAAATTATTCAGGTTTAACTGTATATACTCTTAAAGAAAAATGTGATATCTGATTACCTTAGAAATGGTAGTTTCTTTTAATTTTGCAATTTTAGAAGTTTAAGAAAAACCAAACCACTTACTATTTTTAAAACTGCAAAATTGTGTGAGTTTAAAAAATTCATTTCTTACAAGGAAGAGGGGCCGCCCTTTCCCAAGAAGTAATTGCTAGAAAGAGTTGGGATATGTGTGTGTTTATTGCCAGACATTACCTGTGCATATACAAACATGAGGTATTGTGTGTGTGTCACCCCCACTCCCCCCAAAATTTAAAACTGCAGGTTTATTTGCTTTTTCACCTAACAGTGTATATTTTTGGTTGTCATCATGTTTCATTCCATGTCAAAACTCTTGTGTGCATTTTAATTTCCCATGATCTTCAATGTCTATCATATTGAAAGGTTTGGTTATATAATACTGTTTGCACATTTTCATTTTATTAAACAATAATTTTATTAGTTTCCTAGGGCTGCCATAACAAAGTGCCAGAAACTGTGTGTGGATTATAATACTGTATTGTTACTGTACCTTTTCTACGTTTAGATGTGTTTAGAGACATGAATACTTACCATTGTGTTACAGTTACCTACAGGATCCAGTACAGTCATATGCTGTACAGGTTTGTGGCCTAGGAGCAAGAGGCTAGACCACATAGCCTAAGTGTGTAGTGGGCTGTACCATCTAGGTTTGCGTGAGTACACTCTATGACATACGCACCATGATGAAATTGCTTAACAGTCAATTTCTCAGAATGTATCCCTGTCATTAAGTGGTGCATGCCTGTAACAGAAATTTATCGTCCTAACAATTCTGTAGGCTAGAAGTCCAGAATCAGGATGTCGACAGGGTTGGTTCCCTCTGAGGGCTATGAGGAGACTCTCTTCCATTTTCTACCCTAGCTACTGGTGGTTTTCTGGCAGTGGATGCATCATTCCAATCTTTTCACATGGCATTCTCCCTGTGTCTCTGTCTCCATTTTGTCTTCCTTCTATGCCTGTGTCCGAATTTTCCCTTTCTACACAGACACCAGTCACACTGGATTAGGGTCCACCCTAATGACTTCATTGTAACTTGATTACTTCTGTAAAGACC